>NC_000008.11:106964222-108214222 GCF_000001405.40 Homo sapiens
TTATTTCATTGAGCAGTGGTTTGTAGTTCTCCTTGAAGAGGTCCTTCACATCCCTTGTAAGCTGGATTCCTAGGTATTTTATTCTCTTTGAAGCAATTGTGAATGGGAGGTCACTCATGATTTGGCTCTTTGTTTGTCTGCTATTGGTGTATAAGAATGCTTGTGATTTTTGCACACTGATTTTGTATCCTGAGACTTTGCTGAAGTTGCTTATCAGCTTAAGGAGATTTTGGGCTGAGACAAGGGGTTTTCTAGATATACAATCATGTCATCTGCAAACAGGGACACTTTGACTTCCTCTTTTCCTAACTGAATAACCTTTATTTCTTTCTCCTGCCTGATTGCCCTGGCCAGAACTTCCAACACTATGTTGAATTGGAGTGGTGAGAGAGGGCATCCCTGTCTTGTGCCAGTTTTCAAAGGGCATGCTTCCAGTTTTTGCCCATTCAGTATGATATTGGCTGTGGGTTTGTCATAAATAGCTCTTATTATTTTGAGATACGTCCCATCAATACCTAATTTATTGAGAGGTTTTAGCATGAAGCGCTGTTGAATTTTGTCAAAGGCCTTTTCTGCATCTATTGACATAATCATGTGGTTTTTGTCATTGGTTCTGTTTATATGCTGGATTACATTTATTGAGTTGCGTATGTTGAACAAGGCTTGCATCCCAGGATGAAGCCCACTTGATCATGGTGGATAAGCTTTTTGATGTGCTGCTAGATTCGGTTTTGCCAGTATTTTATTGAGTATTTTTGCATCGATGTTCATCAGGGATATTGGTCTAAAATTCTCTTGTTTTGTTGTGTCTCTGCCAGGCTTTGGTATCAGGATGATGCTGGCCTCATAAAATGAGTTAGGGAGGATTCCCTCTTTTTCTACTGATTGGAATAGTTTCAGAAGGAATGGTACCAGCTCCTCCTTGTACCTCTGGTAGAATTCAGCTGTGAATCCATCTGGTCCTGGACTTTTTTTAGTTGGTTAGCTATTAATTATTGCCTCAATTTCAGAGCCTGTTGTTGCTCTATTCAGAGATTCAACTTCTTCCTGATTTAGTCTTGGGAGGGGGTATGTGTCAAGGAATTTATCCATTTCTTCTAGATTTTCTAGTTTATTTCCATAGAGGTGTTTATAGTATTCTCTGATGGTAGTTTGTATTTCTGTAGGATTGGTGGTGATCTCCGCTTTATCATTTTTTATTGCATCTACTTGATTCTTCTCTCTTTTCTTCAAATTTCATTTTCATAGTAATGATATTGGTATCAGATTATCACTGTATTTTTTCCTTGGGTTCTTTGCAGATGATAGAAACATTTTCTGCTTTCAAATTGGCCATGTGCCTCTTTGGAGCAAATGTTCCTTGAGGATAGACAGTTATTGATAAACCCACATAGAGTCACTTACAGTAACCCTAGAACAGATTGAGTGTCTAGGAGCTCAGTGAGAGCAGACAGAAAGTGAGATAGGAGTGGGGAGAACTAGACTCCTGACGCCTGCAAAAGTAATTTGGGAGGAAGTGAATTCTTCTCTTTCTGGTAACACTAGGGAAGATTCAAGGTAGTGATAGTGTAAATAGGAAAAACATACAACTAAAGCAGTCTGGGATTATTAGCATCTGATGAAGTTATAATAAAGAGTTTTCTACAGAGACATCCTTGTACACTGTACCATCCTCACACCATAATTTGATTGGCAAAAGGGCAGATTGTCAGCTTTTATGCAAACTACTTGATAGTATTTTATGTTCATATTAGTTTGATGCATGATGTCCTCAGCTGTGTTTCATATATTCCCAGGATATATATTGTGAATACATAGTCAAGTCTTATTGTGTTGCTTTGCTCACAGTTGCAGGAAATTTCCCCAATATTGTGCAAAATGTTGCACAAGTTGCAAGAATAGCATATGGCAAGTTAGAAAAGGCTCATGACATGCTTTCCACAGAAATTTTTGTAAGAAGGTACTGACGTACACCTCACACCAAGTACTACTGCTGCTCTTTCATGGTTAGCCCTTTACAGGCTCCCATAGAACCTCTTCTACATACACTTATGCAGTGCCTGGAGATGGTGTCTATTTTGTTCACCACTGTATCTCCAGTGTTCTGAATGGTACTTAGTACATAGCAGACTTACAATAAATACTGTTGAAGGAAAGTGATATTCAGAGGTCTTAAGTATCTGGTTCATAAGTATATAGCTCAAGCTAGTAAGCTTCAAAACAAAAACTCCAGTCCAGATCTATATGGCTTCAAATTCATTCTTCTATTATGTTTACTCATCTATAATATAATTTATTGAATGAATCCTTCTTTACTATTTTTAGCAAAACAATTTATGAAGTATATCAAGCAATAAACAAAAGCTCTGATTAAGCATTATTATGTAATAACCAATACATATACATAATTTATGAGATTTTAGAAAGCATAATAACAACACTGGTGAACCCACTGTTGAGGTTAAAAACAGGAACGTTATCAACATCATTGAGTTATGTGCATATTCTTTCAAAATTCCATTCCTTTACCACCTTTCCAGAAGTAACTGATGTATTTATTATTCTTTCTTTCTACAATAAATTTACCAAATACGTAGCAATCCCTACATAAAGGCAGTTTCTAAAACAAGTAACAGTTCAAAATTGATAACATGTAATAATTAGGTACATACTATAGGTCATTTCATATATTATGCAATTTTATTCAACTTTTTTCACTCAACATTGTTTATTGTGTCACCAGTAGCTATAATATATTCATTTTCACAATTCTGTAATATTATGTGACTATGCTATAATCAATACGTTTTTTCTGTAAATTGACTTTTGTTACCTGATTTTTTTCTATTTCTATTGCTATTATTGACAACAGTTATTATTGACAATTATAAAATTCTGGTATATATCTTTTGGGTCTCACATGCAAATTTCTCTAGGTTTTGTTTCTAGGAGTAAAATTGCTGGGTTATAGATAAGTTAGTGTTTAGATGTATAAGATGAACGTTTTTCAAATAAGATGTTTCCAATTATGCTTATACTATAGAGCTGTATATCTTTTTCATCAATCTACTTCTTACCAACAATATATATCAATTTTTAATTTTAGTATAATGCAAAAAAAAGATATCTTATTGTGATCCTACTTTGTACTTCTTTGATTACTGAAGAGGCTGGGTCATTAGTACTTTCTCTGATCTGAAATGCCGGTTTGGCCACTTACTAGTTTTTTGAGGGGAGAGAGGAAGTTGTTATTTTATTCTCAATGTGGAAGAGTTCATTATACTTAATGAATACTAATTATTTGTTGACTATAAAAGTTACAAATAGTTTGTAACTTTATATTATGGTGTCTTTAGATAAGCAGAAGTTCTTCCTATTAATCTAGGTGAGCTTAGCATTGTTTAAAAATTTATAGTTAATATTTTCTCTATTCTGAGTTCACAAAGATTATTTTCTATATTTTGCTCTCAAAGTTTTAAAATATTCCCTTTTGCCTTAAATTTTTGATCTACCTGGAATTGATGCCTGTATATGCCTATATATAATATTGTTTATTATATAAACAAATAATACCTGCATTTTTTAATATTATTAGCTTACTTCCTTTCTCCAGATATCGTAATATCATCTTTGCCATATATCAGGTTCTGTTATGTATAGATCTGTTTCTGGGTTCTCTATTTTACTGGGAATTCTGTCCTAGTGTCTGATAGGTTTTTGCTTATTAATTGACACTGTATTCATTGACATAGCTTTATAATAAAACTTGGTATCTGGTAGCACAATTTTGTTTTCCTATCCTTCTTCAATACTTTACCCATTACTGAGCCTTTGCCTTTTCAAATAAATTTTAGAATTAGCTTCTCAAGTTTCTCAAAAACCTTATTAGAAAAAAATTAAATCTATAGTTCATTTTGAGGAGAAATTTAAGGAGACATTTTTATGATATTGAGTTTATGATATTGGAAACAAATTAAATCTGTAGTTCAATTTAAGGTGACATTTTTATGATATTGAGTTATCCCATCCCATGAACATGGCATATTTCCCTTTTCATATTTATGTCTTTTAAAAACAGCTTTCAAAAAATTTTGTCTTTCTTCCTTAGTTTCTTACAGATCCTCTTAAAATATCTATTTCATTTTACTTACATATTTTTGCTATTACAAAGAATTCTAAAATGTTTTCTAGTTTTATAGTTGTTGTATAGTAACACAATAAAATTTGCATATTGTTATAGTCAGACACCTTGCTAAATACTCATTAATTCTCATATTTTGTTGGTAGATGGGGTTTCTATATAAGCAATCAAATCACCTTTTAATAGTGACAGCCTGGTTTCTTTCCATATTTATAGTATTTTCTTCTCTTACAAACTGGATGGGATCTTCAGCATAATGTTGAATAGAGGTAGTGATTTGGGGTATCCATCTTTTTCTTTTTCATGATAATAAATTGAATGCCCCCATTACATCATTAGTATTTGCTATGGGTTCTTTTTCTCCTTGTAAATGCTTCTTAGCAGATAAGGAAAACTGTCTTCTATTCCTGTTTTATTAAGCATTTAGTTTAGTTTTGTTGGAAAAGGGTGTTGGATTATAGAAAATGTTTTTTCTGCATCTGTTGAGACGACTATATTTTTTCTCATTTAACCTGGAAATATAGTGGTTTACACTTACAACATTTTAATGTTAAGCCACCTTTGATTATTGGAGTAAACACAACCTCTTCATGATATATTCTCTAACACTTGACTACATTTGGATACCTAATAATTTCTTATCTTTTAAAAGGTTGACAAAATTTTATACATTTCTCATGTACATGATGGCTTCAAAATTTAGACACTGTGGAATAGCAAAATTGAGCTAATTTACAAATACATTACCTCACATACTTATTTTTCATGGTGAGAACACTGAAAACCTATTCTCTTAGCAATTTTCAAGATTATAATACATTGTTGTTAATTATAGTCACCATATTGTACAATAGATCTCTGAACCTTGGTCATCCACGCTGATATTTTGTATTTTGATCAATATTTTCCCAACCTCCTTCCCACCCCCAGTCTCTGCTAACTACCATTCTTACACTCTACTTCTATGAATTCAACATTTTTAGAGTCTACAGATAAGTGAGATCATGGGGGTATTTGTCGGTCTGTGTCTGGCTTATTTCACTGAACATAATGTCCATGTTGTCAAAAATGGTAGGATTTTGTTTTTAAGGCTGAATATCCCATTGCATATTCCATTGTGTATATAAACCACATTTTCTTTATTCATTCATCCACTGAAAGACACTGAAGTCAATTCCATATCCTGGCTATTGCAAATTATGCCACAATAAACATGGCAGTGTGGATATCTCTTTGACAAATATTTTATTTCATTTTTTTGTTATATGCATATTCAGTAGTGGGATGGCTGCTGAATTACTAATATTTTCTCATACATGTGAATGCGATTGGCTTTTCTTTTACTAGATTTGCATGATTTTTGTATTTGAGGTAAAACTAGACTCAAAGAAACGGTTTTTTTTTCCTAATTTCTGATGAATTTTGTAAATTATTGAAACGTGGCAGATTGTGCTTTCCGAAAATGGCCACAGCAATTTTTCAGTCCCACAACATCTACCAGAACCTTTCCACTCCTTTTAGGAGGTGAGGTCTATTTTCCTTTCCCTTAAAAGGTGAGGGAACTTTGTGACTGAGTCAACAAGCAGAGTGAGGCAGATGTGATGTGTCATGACTTCTAGGGCTAAGTGATGAAACGTCAAGTGCCCTGCCCTAGGAATGCTCTTGGGATGCTCACTTGGGAAAAAGCCACCATGTTGAGAGGTCCAAGTCACATGGGGTGGTTGCATGTAGGTGTTCTGGCTGACAGACCCAGTCAAGGTTTCAGACAGTTGCCTGCACCAACCCCAGATGTGTGAACGATTGAACTTTGATTGGATTCCAGCCTCCAGCCTTTGAGCTGCTCCAGTTGATGTGAGTGGAACAGAGAAGAATGAGTTCCATTAATCCCTGCTCACACTAAAGGACCATGAACAACATAAATGTTAATTCAGTAAGTTTTGGAGTGGTTTGCCACTCAGCACTAGATAGCATATAGTTTGGCAAATTTTATTTGTTAAAATTTGGGTTTTAGTCACATTCATTTGGTTTCATTGCTACAAAAACTTTCCCATTTTGTCCCAGTTTTCAAATTTGTATTATAAAATTGTTCATAGTATTACATACTTAGATTAATTAAACCTCTTATAGTGAACCAAAAAACAAATTATTAAAATCATGACAGATATTTTTATTCATCACTAGCAATTTCAGTCTATTTACATTTTATTGTGTGCAAATATATTCGAAATTGTTTTCACCACCTTTGTGCTTTCTATTTGTTTCACTTTCATTTATTTTTTTTTCTACTTTGGGTTTATTTTTTCCTTATTTGATTTTTCCACACCTTACTTCTCTATTTTTATTCCTTAGTGATTATTATAAACATTTTACCAGGCATATTTAGTGATTTAAAAGTCTTAAAGAGAGCCAGTATCTTAACTAAAGAACACAGGGACCCTAGAACCATCTACTTCTGACTAACACATTCCAAATTACAAGTGTATATTTAGTGCAGCATTGTATAATATAAACTCTTGTGATAATAGAAGTGTCCTATATCTGTTTTATCCAAAACATTAGCCTCTATTGGTATATGGCTATTGATTACAAGAAATGTGGCCAGTGTGACTCAGGAACTAAATTTTTAACTTAATTGTATTTAAATTTAAATAGCAACTTGTGGCTAGTAGATTCTGTATTGGACAGTGTCAGTGTAGTATTTTTGTTGTCCCTATGAACTCAGAATTTACTCATTTTATTATGTATTATTTTACATTATTTCTTTTCAGATTAATTTACATATTTCACAATTTCTTGGATCAACAGTTCTTGCATTTTAGAACTTGTTACAATCTTTCCTTCTTTAAATATATCTTTTAGAATGTACGTTAGTAAAGATTTGCTGGTGGTAAACTCAGTTTTTAATTTTGGACATGTGTTTGACAATGTCCTAGAAAAATAATTTTTATAACACAATTCTAGGTTGATAGTATTTCTCTCAGTATTTTGAATATATTACTCTATGAACTCTGGTTTCCATTGAAGCTATTGAGAAATCTGCTGTTAGAGTAGATCATCCTCCTTTTAGGCACTCTGGTTTTTTCTGTGGCTCTCTTTCAGATACTTTATCTTTGGTGCTCTGAAATTTTACTATGTTTTACTTGTGGATTTTTCTTTGCTTGATCCTCTTGGTATATATTGTGCATTTTCTATTGTAGATGTGTGCCTATCCAAAAAGTCAAGGAATTCTCAGCTTAAGTCTCTGTCTTCCCAATATTGCCTCTTTTCCATTCTCTTATTTTTTAGAGTACAATTACATATATGTTTGACCTTCTCATTTTTATTCTGTTTTCAATAGCTCTTTTTATATTTTCATGTCCTTGTCTCTCAATGCTGCAAGTTCTACAGCTCTTACTTCTAGTTCATTGTCTTTTCACCGTTAATATGTTATTTAATTTAAATAACGGAATTAAATTAAATTAAAACTGAGCTTTTAATTTCAATAAATCTATTTTTTCTAAAATTTCTACTTCATCTTTCTATAATCAGTTTGCTTAGTCATTTTTAATAATTTCTTGTTCCTCACTGACTTTTACTATTTAAAAAATTTCCTAGATATTTTATAATGTGATCATTTTCTATTTACCATCAGCTAATTCCAATGTCTCCAATATTTGATAGTTTTTTTGTGTGGTTTCTGCTGATTCTCACTCATGGTGGCCTATTTTATTTATGGTTGGGTAAATTAAAAAAAATTGTGAGCTTATTTTTTAACTACACATAATCTTTGAGAACAGAAGCCCTAATGTGTAGAGTAGCTTTCTGCCATATAAAGTGACTATAGATCTGTGTTCCTTTGGCTCCAGTAAAAGTAAATGTACATCTTAACTTTTGTGGAGGATCCTGCCTTCATGCTAGGCATCCTGACCTTAAAGAATGGCCGAGCCATCTCCTGAGCCAGGGACTGTTCTTAGAATCAGGGAACCTTGGCTTTTGTGTTTGCTTACTGGCATAATTCAGGGTATAGCTCCCTGTTTCTTTTCTTCTTTCTCCACTTTCTCCTTCCCATATATTTTCTTTGTCTTCATCTTTGGTGATTTCTACAGGTTTTTTTTAACCCCAACACTGCTTTAAGAAATAAGTTTGTTGTAGTTATGCGGGATCAAATTGCATTGCCATCCATGGGCCATTAGAAACATCTATCTCATAATTCTAACAGCAGAAGTCAGCCCGTCATTATAACTGACAGCCTTCTTCTAGTGCCCTGAAGCATCTCTGGATTGGTGTAAGGTGTTTATTATGGAGTCTCCAGCTCTGGAATTACATTGATTCACTTTATTTTCCTTGCCTGCCAGATTTGTTCAGGCTTCATGAAAATCCAATTATGTTATCAGATATATCATTAAACTAATTATTTTAATAAAATATGCACAAAAATACTAAATTATGTGAAAAGTAGATATAGCTTTTACATTTATAGTCTTCCTTGAGAAAATGTTTTACAACATACTTGTATGTATATTTTCTCTTTTCCAAATTCATATTATTTAAGATCACAGGGAAAGGAAATGTGGAAAAAAATACTGAATTTGGGGTCAGAAAATAGTCTGTAATCTCAGCTTAGACATTAAGCATATTATTTTCAACAATATAATGAGCCTGTTTTCTCATCTGTATAATGGAGATAATTTCTATTTTGTACAGTCACTATGAGATTTAAATCAATTAAACAAGATCATACATGTGGAATTACCCATTACGGTGTCCAGCACATAGTAGATACTTGCACAGGATTAATTTTTCTTTCCTTCTCATGACATCCATGAGTTTATGTGACTAGATGTATTATTTCTGAAAATATATCTTGAATTTTTTAATGATCTTTATTTACTTCTAGGATAACCTATCAGCTTTATTTCTGTACTAAGAGTTAATTTTTAAAAATAGGACAGAGTGTAACTCCTACCTATACAAATTAAGTCACCTTCAAGATATGGAAAGTTAGATCTGATTGTAGTTAAAAATGTGAACAATGCTTGTGTAACTTTAGTTAGTCAACATCTGGAACTGATCTAGAAAACTTTGATTAACAGAACCAGCATGATGAATCCCAGATGTTTCAGCAAGGCTGTGTTTCCTAGGCTCACTGGATCGTGAAAGTGAGTACATTCAAGGAAGGGAAACATTTAAAAGAACTAGGTGTCAAAATGGCTGAGGGGATATTTGAATATTGGTTCACTTGTTGGGGAGAGGTGGTCTCTTTAAATGAACATCTCCTTTCAGGTTTTATCTATGTTAAGACAAAAATCTGATTTTTGATTTCCTCAATAATATATCTTGAAACTTCACTTACATTTATAGTTGCCAAACAGATTTTTGAACATCTACTTATATGCAAGTTCATGCAGTTGGAAAGACAAATAATAGTCCCTGCCTTTGATGATTCAGTTTAGCAAGGGAGATAGTCATGTGAACAATAACTACAATCAATTATAACTGCTGGAATGAAAGGCTGAGCACAGAAAGTATCAGGTCTTCAAAAGAAGATGGGAAGGTTTCATGGAGTAGGAGACACAGGGCTCAAGATCTCCATCTGAAGTGGCATTCAGCTGTGCTCTTATAATACAGCAACTTCCACAGTATGGTAAGTTCCATAGATCACTGGACAATTTGTCATGCCACAAAACTATATTTAGAACAGCAACTTCTGAAATGAAAAACTAAAGTATTTTGACAATCCAGTGTCACAATGGTGAAATCTTGATTAGTAACCTTATGGCCTTGCCATCCTTTGGTAAAGCTCCTAGAAAAACAATAAATATTTTAGTATTTCCCACAAATTGTGCTTTCCACTAAAGGAATGCATTCACCTTTTGCAACCTTTTTCTTGCTCTCATGAATGCCTGATGCTGTGGACAGGAAAAAAATCAGAAATGTTCTGAGTTCAAAATTACTTTAGAAGCCTTTGGGGGAAAACACATACCTTTTTTGTTTTGTGTTTGTTTGTTTGTGTTTATGTTTTGTGACCTACTTTAGTTTTCATAAAATCTGCTCCATTTTTCCCCCAAGGAAATCTACTCTGAGTGAAAAGAAACAAAACCTATACCCTAAGGAGAGGAGCCCAAATGCCCTATTGACAGCAATTTTGAAAAGAATTAAATTTATTATTAATAGCATGGATAACAGAAAATATAAGGCTGATTATTACACAAACGGTTTTCAGTGAAAACTAATGGGCCATCAGGCTCAAATGTGCTTATCTCCTTTCTTTATCCAGCCATGAGCAGCACTTTATCCCTTTTGTTTTCAACAAAGGAGGTTTACTGCCTCCTTCTCTATCATCCAGTGCTAAACTGCCCCTAAACTCCTATCAATCCTTTACCTGAAATAACAGATATGCTTGTCCCCACGTTCAGAGATTCTTTAACCAGCAGATAAGGGCTATTGTCTGGGACAATTTCCTGAGATTCCAGCCCTTCTTATCCAATCAATGCCTACTTGTCTTTCAAAATTTGGGGTTTAGATATTTCCTCTGAAAGAACTCCCCCAGTCCTTCCAGGCTCATTAAGATCCACGTGCTACCTACATCCCTATGATTCTGTCACATGACCCTCATCACACCTGTAATTACATGTGTAGGGAAGTTCAAACATTTCCTCTGAAGATCTGAGATTTCAGTTTGTTGAAATAAACTGGCAATAGACAGATTCACAGGAGAAAAGGCATCACAAATTTATTTGATCATAGTTTTACATGACATGGGAGGCTTCAGACTGACGACCCCAAAGACCCAGGGTGAACTATCCATTTTTATGCTTAGGTAGATGAAGCATGGCCAGCCATGTAGAAAGATGATTAAACAAAAAGGGTGTGATCTAATAGTAATAGACTGAGGGGCGGGAAACCCAGCAAGCCCTGCCTGTTTGGATTCTTCTCCCTGCAGCATTCCTTCCTTCTGAGTATGGGGCAGGGCCCTCTTTGGAATGGGGGTCTTATGACCTACAATCAAACAAGGGAGGCCAGAGAATTTCTTTATGGCCAATTCTCACACAGAAAGGTGGGGGAAAGTTGGAGTCACATTTTTAGGTTTTATGTCTGGCTTTGGGGAAAACGGGTTCTGGTTTTTATGGCTCACCATGGGGAAGAGGAATTATAGTTTCTATGGCTAGCCTCTGTGGAGAATGGGGGGTGAGAGACAGGAGGACAAAGATAGAAACTTTGCTTTCGAGGCTGCCGCTTTGGAGTATCATTTTCTGAGCCCCAGTACATGCTCAGTGTTCATCTTCCTCACCTGATTGTAAGTTCCAGGACAGCCAGACCTTTTTGTGTCTGTATTCACCGCTGTATTTCTAGATCATTGTGTTCACTCACTAAACACTTGTTGAAAAGAATACAAATATTCTTAATACTGTACCAGTTTAATCCCTCATAATGTCTTGCTGGATCAGTCTAAAAGGTATTTCTTTAAAGCCTTCTGCATACTATTCTCTGTCTGGGGTGATGTTCCCACAAATGATTACTTCCTGACCTTCAGGTTTCAGCTGAAACCTCATCTCTTCATGGAGATCTTCTGTCACTTAGGTGGGTAATTTTCAGTTACTTTACCTTATTTGTTTTCTTCATAGAGCTCATCAAGATTTATAGTTATATATTAAATTTTTCTTTACTTATTTAGTGGCTACGCTGAGGGAAGGGCTGTGTCACTAGGGCCCAGCCAGGAAGATGCTTTTTGTTTTTTTAGTTTTCCCCAAATAAATAGAAGTTGCATGTGTAAATGTTTGGTGAATGCCTATCTAAATATATTGTCAGTTTCAGGCTTATGGGCTGTGGTTTTGCATCATGATTATTCTAGTATCAAGCGTGGTTCTTTACACATATTAGGAGCTGAAATTTTTATTAAATGAAGGAATGCATAAACAATGTCTTAGAATTATCTAAATCATAGGACTTTTGCAATATCTTATATAAAACTTGCCATTTATACTTATTAGCAACAAATCCAAGTGAGATGAGTTGCAAATCTAAGAAAAGAAAACACCAATTACCAAAATGTATCTATATAACTTTTATTCAGTGAGTATTAACACCTGGTGTGCAAGGTGCTATTGAACCTCTGTGAATAAGACAGATCATCTACTACAGTGGTTTTATTATTGTAACTGGGGTGGGTCTTCTCTCTATATTTCAGGAGTGTTACTATGAACATAGGATAAGATGATTGACACTCGTTTCCTCATCTATTAAGAATAGTAGCAAATCCAAAATCATCCTTTTTCCAGAGGTCCCCTAGGGCTACATACTCAGAGCCAGACTCCCAGTGCTGCCCTTGGGGAATGGGAAAGTGCCTCAGAGAGGAAATTCTGATGTGCAGAGCCTGCGGTCCCCAGGAGTGCTAAGGCCCATCCTATTCTGAAGCTCCTGGGCAGAGTCATCAGGTACTCGGGAGCTTGGGAGCTTAGGGGCTGAACTGGGTCTTCTGTTGAAGACATGGTCAGGTGCATGGTGGGGGTGGGGGTGATGCCTCTTTAAAGAAGTTCTGTCACTTCCCTGGCTACAGGACAGTATCAGAGTGTGGGTCAGGATTGAGGTGCACATCTACTCTGCCAACTCCCAGGCTCAGAGCCAACAGTCCCAGTCCTGAGGCTGCTCTGATTTTAAACTAAAAAATAGGAAAGGCTTAGTTCTGCTTTTTTTTCCCCCCACCAAGGACAGTGGGGCCACCTAGTCACACCAATCTTTGTTAAGTAAAATGATTTTTTAGTGATTCCAAGTAGTTTTCTCTCTGGAAAATATGAGTGATGAGTTGGCGTTTCCAGAGTGACTGCAGGATTCCCACCCCAGTCACCCACCCAGCCTCTTCCAAAGAAGGTAGGACTCATTGTTTCCTTATTCTTTTACCCTTTTTAAAAGTATCTTTCTTGCAGAGGCAGAGAGGGGAGAAAGATTTCAAGTTTAATCTGTGTCAGGATGATCCACATATAGTAATATTAGGCAAGATGAGATGTTTGCAGATATAGCAGTCTCCCCTTCATCTGTGGTTTTAGTTACCCATGGTCAACTGTGATCAGAAAATATAAAATGGGAAGCTCCAGAAATAAACAGTTCATAAGTTTTAAATTGCACGTCATTCTGAGTACCCTGAAGAAATCTCATGCTGTCCTGCTTTGTCCCACCCAAGACATGAATTGTCTCTTTCTCCAGCGTATCCACACGGTAGATGGGACATGCCCATTGGTCATCAATATCACTGAGGCTCAGTGACCCAGGATCATCTGAAGCAGATGATGTCCTTCTGATGTAGTATCAGAACTTCAATAGCAACCTAACGCTATGGCACAAAGCCTACATCAGTCACGTCCCCACAGTTTATCATGTAGGCATTATTTCACATCCTCTCAGGAGGGGTGAGTATAATACGGTAAGATATTTTGAAAGTGGGATCCCATTCATATAACTTTTATTACAATATGTTGTTGTAATTATTTTGTTGTTATACTCTTTTTGGGTTTGTTTTGAGATAGGATCTTGCTCTGTTGCCCAGGCTGGAGTGCAGTGGTGCAATCACAGTTCTAATCACCTCTTTGGGTTACTCTTTGCTGGGTGCTCCCCTGTGTACCTGTGTGATACAAATATTAATGAACTTTTTTTTCTCTTATTAATCTGTCTTTGCCTAGTTCATTTTATAGTCCCCTAAGCTGAAGAACCTAAGATGAGTGGAGGCAGATAATTTTTTCCTTTCTTATAGTGCCATAAAATTAGTAGAAATAGAATAATAACACTTGGCATGAGTTCACAGGTGGGAGATATCACATTTGCTTGTAGGAACCAGAAAAGTTGTGGAAAAATTGGCTTTGGAACTTCACTCAGAGATCAGGACAGGGCTTGGCCATGCAGCAATATGGCAGAGAGTGGAGAGAAAGCATGGGGCATGATTGTGGTGAAAGAAATGGAAAGTTAGTGCTAGAACCAGCTCATAGATATCGTTGACTAGTCAACTAAGGAGATTTGGCTTTAGTTAGGAAAAAGAATTTTAAGCAGAGCTATGGTATGTGTGTAGAAATGATGGATTGAGGAGCATAGTTGGAAACTTAAAATATTCCCGGAGGGAAGTTAATGAGAGCTTGATTTAAAGTAGAAGCAGTGGGAAAGGAGAGGAAAAAGATGGACGGGAGTGAAGGAGGCACAGCAATGGACGTAAGGAGGGCAGAGTCAAAACAGCAGGTGGCTCCTCATGGAAAGATCAGCTGGGGGCACAGTGGACTCACCCCAGGGATTCAGATTCCTGTTCTGTCCCAGGGAACAACTGTTTAACATCTCCTGAAAAGTTCCTGAATTTTCAGAGTCAGAGTATAATTTACTCAGAGCCCATGAGCTTTCCTTCTGCCAGGTGCAATGTCTTTTGCCCAACAAACAAGAATTTCCTTTGATGCATTTATCCTTATGAATTATGTTTGTCCATTTCCATAATTAGGAAAATAATAACTCTTGACATGAAGCTGGTCTTTAGAGACTTTAAGTAGTTTTCATATACTTGTTCTCATTTTATCCTAATCAAAGCATGCCATGAGGAAGGCTTTGGTGCCCTTTTATAAGTGAGAGGCAGTGTACATTGTGTAGTTGTCATCGATATTATTGGTTAAACTAAAAAGTAGTAACAAAATGCCACCTGTGAGTAGCTGCAGCAAACTCATGAATGTGAATCCCCATGGGTACACGTGGGCAGCTGTAGTTTTAAAGAACATGAGGCAAGAACCATAAATACGTTGTTTCACAGCCCAGGTTCTATGGGCAGACTAGAAATAAACTCCTTTGCAACCAGTTAGCAGCAGCATAACCTTGGGCAAGTTACTTAGCTTTTCTGAGCTTTAGTTTCCTCATCTACATAGTGGGGTTACATGACATCATCATTCGATGAAAAAAATACTCGTGTCAGCAACAGCTCACACACTGCATTTCTGATTTGGTAAGTGCCAGGCATTCAACATTCTCTAAGTTTTGCATGCAATATCTCAGGTAATCCTTGATATGGTACCTTAGAGGAGCTCCAAGTTACCCCGAGTTACAGGTGGCGTATCTGTGTGGCTCCGCAGCAACTTCAGTCCTTGCTTTCTCAGAAGAAAGACTATGAGGAGCGTAAAGCCGACAAAGAGACTGAGGCAAGTCTCAGAGCAGGAGTGGAAATTTATTTAAAAAGGTTTTAGAGGCCGGGCGCGGTGACTCACACCTGTAATCCCAGCACTTTGGGAGGCAGGGGCGGGCAGGTCACGAGGTCAGGAGTTCAAGACCATCCTGGCTAACACGGTGAAACCCGTCTCTACTTAAAAAGAAAAAAAAATTAACCAGGCGTGGTGGCGGGCGCCTGTAGTCCCAGCTACTCGGGAGTCTGAGGCGGGAGAATGGTGTGAACCCGGGAGGCGGAGCTTGCAGTGAGTTGAGATCGCATCACTGCACTCCAGACTGGGCACAAGAGCAAGACTCCGTCTCAAAAAAAAAAAAAAAAAAAAAAAAAAGGCTTTAGAAAAGGAAAGATAGGGAGGTGCACTTGGAAGAGACACAGGCAAGCATGTGAAGGTTAAAGAGAATAAAAGAGGCATTTAACCTTGATACTGGGTCTGTTCAGGCCAGACCATGATTCTTCCCTTAGGATGGGCTTCCCGCATGCGTGATGCCTTCCTTACCCTTGGGAATTGAGCAGGCACAGTGTGTTTAGGAAGTTGTATGCATGCCTATCTGAGGCTTTTTTCCTTTTTCCTGCGGAGTGTACCGGGAAGATCGTATTTCACTATTTTGTCTCGTATGCGCACGCCCAGAAGTTTCTTCTCCTTGGCATCTACATTCAATCAATGCTTTAATGTTAATAGCTGTGGATCATCAGGGAATGGCCTCTCCCTGGATCCCTGGGTGGGCTGGCAAATTGTCATTTTTAGAGAGGCAGTGTGACAATTGTCAAACCATCACTTGGCATTCCTAACACCGAGAGAGCCTTCTCTTGCCCTGCTCATGCCTAACTACCTGTAACAAAAATAGCCCTGGAACAGATAATCGTATCATTTTATAGAGAAGAAAATTAGAGGCCTTTGGAATATTAATTTGTCTAGATTACAAAGTTAGTACATGGCAAAACTGAGATTTAAATCTGTTTTCTGATACTAGATTGAAGATTTTAACCATTATTCTATACCATCTTTGTGTATGGAAAGTACTTAACATGGTGTCTGGAATTCAGTAAATATCAAATGTATTTTACTACTACTACTACTATTATTCTCAAGTCAAATTACAACTTCAGTGGCACAATAGATGTATTCTATGAACTATTTAATGTTTTTGGACCTAAGGCTCCTCTCCAGTCTACACCAGTCTAAATGTAATTTAATGTTATGGACGTAAGATTTAAGTAAATATTGACAGAGCAGAATCAGGGTGAAACCAAGTGTTTGAAGTTTTAGTATTAAGATACAAAATGGACTTTAGAATGGATTAGAAGGTTAAGAGAGAAAGCTGATAAGGAGACCTGAAAAGAAGGAGGAAGGGAAGGGAGGACCAGAAAAAGTACATTATTTGTGTTAGTATTTTTGTCACTTTTCCCAATGAATGAAAAAGCAGTGGCTGCCATGGAGCCTATACGACAGAGAACAATGATCTCACCACTGCCAGGATGGCCTGTAAGCCAGCCATCTACCCTGCAGACTGACTGAGGGGACAGCATGAATTGCATATAAAATTCATATATGCCAATAGCTACCAGAACTGTGTGAGGCAGCCAGGACAGGACCCCTGGAGACAGAACAGCAGACATTCTTGCTTAAAAGGGCAACACGGAATGCTGCAGCATTCTTGCTAAAGGGCTATATACCACAAGGGTCTGTGGAGTGGCTCGATAGAAACAATGGACTGAAGCTGCCAGGCTGGAGAGAAACCTTGGCTTGTGAAAAGGAGAAGGCTATGGCTTCCACCAGAGGCAGGATGAAATCCTTGGCTGGAAGTTCTTCCGAGGGCTTAAACTTGATGTCAGTCAGCACAGGGTACTATGTGGGGGTGGCATCCATGAGTGCAGGAGATTTTATAGCACCTTCCTCTTGCCTCAAAGGGATTGCTAATCTGAAGAGTGCCAATGACCAGGTACTTAATGCCATCGAGGTTCAGTATCTGTGCCTTATTCTCTAATTTCTACTATGTTCAAATATCTGCATCGAACCACATTCTAAATTAAGCCAGACCTCCAAGTTGTATCTGTTTTACCTGTATCACTTGCTGATCCATCCTGAAATGTCCAGAGCACTTGGCTTTCCCAGGAAGCATCATTCTTCTGGGTCATGCTCAAGACAGTGGTACTTTTCAGACCTATCTCTGCCTGACAAAAGTAAACTTTCCTCTGCCTGACAAAAGTAAACTTTCTTAAAGAAAACTGACACCAGACAAAGATTGAACTTCATTGAATATGGTTAGTCATTCCAAAAATATAGTTGAATCCATATTTAAAGAGTTCATAATAATATATGTATACTATGCTATTTGGACATGGTTTTTTAAATGGAATTTAAATTAACCAGAAGATTATAGATATGTCTATATACAAACAAATTTGATTTGCCTGGTAAAACAAGTGTCATGTTTTGTTTCACTGAACTATCCAATAGTTTGGTTGATTTTACTGAATGAATGTGTCATTTTTGTGCTGTTTTGGCTGTAGAAGTTGTTTCATATAGGCTGTGGACACAGTGTACATTAAGCCATGTTGGTCCAAATAAGCAAAGAATGTGGTTGCTAGACTCATGGAGTTCACATTGTTTTGTGTTTTAGTCAATATTGTTCATACTTAGAACATTTAAATGTGCAGAACCCTTCACTGTAAAGCCTTTTCACATGCTGAATTTCAATGAAAAAAAAAAATGCAAGTGCTTTTTAATGATCCAGATGGGCAATCTAACAGCTAACGTTTTACAAGGGATAGCATACAACTTTGTGCCTCTTCTTCCACTTTCTTTCAATGCTACTTTCAAATACGCAATTTGTGCTGTAGAAAATACTGCAAATTTTTAGCAAGTTTTGAGTGAAAACAGAGTTATAATAGAAACCATTATGCATGCCTCTGCTGCTGAGATCAGACCTCATGTTTTTGTAGTCACCCATTGTTAATGCAGCAGGAGAGCCCTATCCTGGATTCTTTGTGTCTCCAAACTACTTTATTTCCTTTCTTCTCACCATCAGAGAATGTTTCCTTTTTCCCTATGTCTCAGAGCGCATGAGACTCTATGAGTCCTTTTGGCTCTATTTCTTGCTATTTATCTTATTACTTTTTCTGTTTAAATTCTCATATTCTTTCTGCTTCTGTATAAACAAGGCTGGATTTGCTATTAAATCAAAAGCTGAGGGAAGGATAGTTAATTATTTCTGAACACCTGTTATGTGCCCAGCAGTATAGGGCTTTGCATACTTTATTTACAATAAAATAACTATATGCACATGGTATTAAATCCACATTTAAAGTTGCAGATACTGAAGCACAGGGATTAAGCAAAATGCCTAAGATCATGCTGCCAGTATGTAGCAAAGCTCATGGAAGACATCAGGACTGTTGCCTACCAAAGTCTTTCCTCTTCTTTATTATGCTATGGTCTGTCTACCAGGTCTAGCTTATGGTGGGGTCACCTTCCCAGGCATGGGACACTCATTTTCCAGTGACAACCATGAAACTTTTACCATAGGATAGATTTCCTTGATTTTGCTCCCTTTTCTTTTGCTAGCCTGTCTGGGAACCAGAACTCTAACTGTGAACCTACTAGACTTAACACTCTTGTCTATCTTCAAAGACTCTGCTTTTTGCACCCAGTTATACTTCCTATCAGCATGATCAGTCAGTTATTACCTGCCCCTGCCCACCAAGCACCAAAGACTACAATAAAGTGCTTCAGTGGCTGAATTTCTTGGCACCAAAGACTACAATAAAGTGCTTCAGTGGCTGAATTTCTTGGAAATGATTTACCTTAAATATACCTCAGTTGCTCTTTTCTAAGCTGTTCTTCCACAGGAAGTATCAGTAAGAATACAGTTGCAAGAAACAAAAGTGGCTCCCTCCACCACAGTAAAGGGTAGGAATCACAAGGCTACAACAGTGGACTCCACAACTGCTGCTGGGCATCCCTGTGGCAGTGATTGGGCACTGGAGCACCATTTCAGAAAGACCCAATGTCTCTGGCTATGGCTGTCCACAGAAGACAGCAATGAAGTAGATCATTGCCCTCCAACCCACTTCTGTTTTCTGCATCTTGCATGAGTGGATCTCATGCGTGGAACCTGCTTGGCATCTAGAATCCTAGCTGCAAGGGAGTTTGAAATATAATTTTTTAGTTTTTCAGTATTTGCAACTCAAAAACATACTTTAGAAAGTAGAGGGAACAGAACACCGGTAAGCCAATTCTTATTTGCCAGAGGGGTATTCAGTAAACATTAGACGTGTTTTGTATTAAAATGAGGAGAATTTTAGGTAAATAGTTATAATAATGTGAATAAAACAACACTAAAACACACCAACTGGATAATTGGTGTCGTATCCTACTGGATGGGTGTTAATATTTGTGTTTTTTTGTTATAGTATTTGACAAAAAGTTTTCTTAAATTCATAAATGATCTCTTAAGTGGAGGGAATTTGTCTTAATCACCTTGACTCCATGTAGAGTGACTCAAAGTGTAGAAAGTAAGGTCTACCATCTTTATAGTATGGAGAAACTGAAAAGAATGGAAGTATATCTTGTTGAAAACTGCTAGACTTGTGTTATATCTCGGATTAAACCAAGAAACCATCAGTAGTTCAGGGAATATAAAAGTAACTCAAAGCAAGCTAATCAAGAATACAGAAGACAAATTAATATTGGAAATACCAAGTAACAACAACAAAAGGCTGAGGTTACTTATGTAAAAGTGAAAAACTTTTCTAAAGATTTCAGAAATGGTAACATTAATGACCTAATTAAAATTGGCAACATGAAAGCTAATATGTAAAGGTCTTTAAATTAGGCCCGAAGCTAAGTGCTCCTTAATCAATTTTTGCCAGAAACAAGTTATTGGAATAACAAGGACATATACCTCATAAGGGAGATTTTTTTTCTTGGAATTATTTTTAATTGGACTCTAAACTAGCCATCTCAAACAGTTTTGTTAAAAAATAAATGTATAAAGCAGAGTGCAAGAGACAAAACATTAATCTTTGAAGAAGTTAGCTTTTGAGAACTGAAATCTAAATATAATACCAACTTTTGTTATCTGTATAAGGTGAGATTCTATTTTGGTTCCTTTTTCTTGTCTACTTCCTAAGGCTAACTATTCTGATCCATTTTTTAAAAGCACTTTAAAAAATGTTTTTATTTTAATTTCTTTTTAGACATAAATGATTTAATTTTATTTCCCATAAGCCTATTTCATTAAATTTGATCCTGGAAATTTGATTTTTAAAAATATATGATGTATATGAATACAAATGCTAAGCTTGTTGTAGTTGATTTCATTTACCTTCACAAACTCGTGAAAGTGTTTCAATAGATTAATTATGCAATTATATGTCCCCATTTGAATGATACTATGTCTGAAATCAAAACAATCTGCATTCTAGACATTTAAAAATAAATGCAAAGTTATTACTATCAAAAGTAGCTGGCAGAATTGCTTATTTCCAATAGAGTTACAAGAGAAGCCTGGTTTACTTAACAGGATTCTTAGGTTATGTTCCCTAAAAGCAGAGCCTGAGACAAGGATTTAGATGCAGATTTGTTGAGGGAGTGTTCTTCAGGAAAAAAACTCTGTAAGAGAGGAAGTGAAGCAGGAGAGGGAAGGTGAATTAGAGGGGAAAGGGCAATGCCCTGTGGGTTGAGGCAGCTCCCATCAGCTGAGGACAGTTCCTGGAGAAGGGAGGGAATCATACTCATAGGAGCTGGGAGAGGGTGCACTGCCTCACAATGCAGACAGGGGTTATGGATTACATGCTATTGCAATAGACAAAAAAGACCTTCAATTGGCATAGCAGACAACAGCCATGATAGTTGCTTCCTTCTGGCTCAGTCTAACATGAACTAAATTGTCAGCAATGGCTGCAGAGTGGGTAGGTCTGGATGCTTATTTTTCTACCATGGGATTATCAAAACCATATATGGCTTGATAGGGTAGGCCTCAGAAAAAGATCAATTGGTACCTATGTTGAGCAATGAGTTATGATAAGACTAGGTTTCAAAGATGAGCTAGGACAATCAGATTTCTTAATTTGGATATTTGAAGTAGGCTATATTGGAAGCAGAAGCTGAGAAGCCATGATGACCTAATGTACAGGCTGGAGTTCTGAGGGAGGCAGATACTATGAGTTAGCAGCAACCTCGAGGTGGAAAAATGGCAAGCAGACAGCACAGAGCGAAAAGGCCAATTGTTGGAGAAACGGAGAATGGGAAACAAAGCAGAAACCTGAAGGGGAGTTGAATTACATTAGTAGAGCATTGGACCAAAGAACTACAAAGTCCTGATGGTGAAATACTTTTGTTTTTTCAAGTAGGAGGGAAGATGTCAAAGAGCATGCTCAAGAAACACTAGACTGGATTGATGTGTGATTGTTCTCTGGGGAGGGTAGATACGGTTATTTGCATGACGTAGTTTTTTCAATCACTAAAATGCATCTGGTATGCCTTAAAGTGGAATTGTTTTGTGTTGATGATAACCAGGGAATCCTGGAGGCCAGGATGCTTCTTCCAAAAGGAGAATGGTAAAGAAGGGAACTTTGAAAAAGACAGATTCAAAAGCAGAATTTTAAAGTTATAAGTAGTAGATTGTGTGATGTAAACCTATTTAATAGTGATTTTATTTTTTTATTTGCAGAAGTGTAATTTGACCATGGGGCGGAGGGAACGGTTGACATTTGGATTACACAATATTGTTTGGTAAATGCCCTGAGAGAGGTATAGAGGTGTGCAAGAATTCCAAGTGAAATCACAGGAAAGGTGCTTGCCAATCTAATTTCTACAGAAGCAAAAACCAGAGAGAGACTCACAGGATGGCCAGGGGTTGGTTTGGTGAAGAGGAGGAGAGCTCAGGTCATTGATTGGGACAATGGTGAAAAATGTTGGACTTGATTGTGTCAAGGGTCTTGCTAGCTTTGAGTCCGTGACTTTTTAATGGTGCTCTTCTTGAATGTAAGATCTTAGGAATATTAATCTCCTTTAGCAGGGGGAGAGAGAATCTTAGGAATATTAATCTCCTTTAGCAGGGGGAAAGAGAGTCTTTCCTGCCCTGGCTCAGGGTGTAGTGAGGAGAGTCATTTCTACTAGGCTATAGTGTGTCTAAACCAGTGCGTAGGGAGGGCGAGAACCCAGTTATCACAATCCATCCTGTGTCACTTGTGAGAATATCCTGTAAGTGCTATTAAACATAAAAGTTTTTAAGTTAAGAGGAGCGGTAAGCTCTCTAGAAATTGTTGTATCTTCATTAGCATTTAAATGATCAAATATTTGACCCAAGAAGCATCATGTGTACATGCCTGTGTACAAGTGTTTATTTGTGAAAACATACCCACAAACCCATTTTTATGAGGTCAAGAGAATCTTAGACACACTTGATTGTTTTTGCATTTGCTCTTTGCATTTAAGCTTTGATCAATTGATTTCCTGAATATGGCATTAAAACAGGTTTCAAGATAATGAAGACTACAAAACATATCATAAAATGAAATAATAAAACAACAAAAAAATGGGTAGATTGAGAACAATCTCATAGCATAAAGAGCCCTCATCGTATTTGGTGGTAGTATTTTTTTGTGGGCATCTAATTCTATGATTAGAGAACATTTAATATAAATTCAGCAGAAACATCTGCTGATCTCATCAGTGATTACCTAGCTATGAAATTCTTGGATTCCTCTTGAAAGCACCGTGTAAGTCTACTACAGATATTTCTTCCATCCTAGATTCTGAAGAATATCTAGGAGATAATTTCACAGTTTCTGGTGCTAACAGTGCTAAATCATAGATACTTAGAGAATTTAATTTTAAGTGGAAATTTTCGTCTGTTCTGTTGTCAAAAATGAAATACAACCACTACAAGAAAAAGTATTAATGAGATCAGTTCAAGGTCAAAACTTCAATGGAATTTTCTAAAAATCAAAACAGGGTGCCCCTAATGTGATAATATGTACTTACAAACAGAGCTTTGTGGTTTATGCCATCAACCGCTTTGCAAAATCTTGCCAATAGTTTTATTGCCATAAAAATTGGAGAGTTGATCAGTGGGTTACTTAAAGCTGTAATCTTAGCCTTTAGTGGATTTATTTAAATCTAATTTAAATGGAGTTCCTTAATATTTATTTTAACAAAAGTTTACTTAGAAATTTAAGATTGGAAAATAGTTTCAAATGAGTACTGCTGGAACTAAAAGTAGTTGGATATGTGGCGTTTTTCCAAGGTGGTCAGATTTCCCTCAAGGCCAATTTGTCATTGATGAAGCATCTGTCCAAAATCATTCATCTGTGTTTTGAGAACCTAGGATCAATCAAACTCTCTGTTTGGATAGTCAACTATTGTTTTCTGAGTAAAGATGGATGATGATAGGTGAATGTAATATTTTAGGTTTAACTTTAATGATGTCTGTTTTTTTTTCTGGAATTAGAAAAATACCAGGGTGGTATTTTGGACTTTTGCCTTATCTCACAATTAAGTGCTTATTGGAAACTCAGAAAAGAAAACAGTTGAAGGGTATTTAGAAGTCATATGAATTTCTTCATTTTGCGCTAATGGCACTTTTTAATGTGATTGTTGTTTGAATATACTGGTAATGATGGAGCTGGATATTTATGAAAATAAACACTGAAGATTAGTCTATTTTGAAACCTTTTTTGAGGCACCAAAACCATAGTGTCATTCTACTGTTGCCACATACTCTATATCACCTAGATCATCTTCCCTGTTTTAGCCACAGACATACATGAAGAATACTGTGCTAATATATGCATAAACTGAAAGTTTTAGCCTTCACCAATAAAGGATATATAACTTTAAAATGGAATCTCTAGAAAAAGATAGGTACTATAGATTAAGCTTTTTACTTAACTATTTGTTCATTTATTTACTAAACGTTACTTGAACACCTGCTCAGTTTACATTGCATTATATTTATGTGTTTAATGATCTGTCTCTTACCAGACTGTGAGAAACTTCTATTCCAGTGGCTGGATTAATGGCTAATATTTAGTAAACTTTGTATACACATGTGACAAATAAATGAATGTAAGTATTCAGAAATGATTTTTTAAAACGAAGGGAAGAGAGACACAACATTTTTAGCATGTAGTATATAGTTTGTTAGATTATTTGTTAATCAATTCAAGCATATTATCTTCTTTGTTTTATTCAATTATTACAGTAATCATTTGAGGAAGTAGGAACATAATTGAACAAGTCACTGAATCTTTGATTCTAAGTCATTGGACTGGGAAGTCAGGGCTGGGAGTTGAACTTATGTCTGTATGATCCCAGGGTTTGTGTGCTTAGATTGCAACAGTTGGCTGCCACACACAAACTCTTACCACTTTACCAGGTTAAATAAGAAAGAACTTATTTGACTACTGTTTACACTAAAAAGGAATTCTAGTAAATTTCAAAATTGATATTTTCTTTTTTTTCCAGTAGCCACTATTATGTATCCTTCTTAAAATTGAGATGGAAGAACAGTAAGGGTTGTTATTATAAAAGTTCCAATCAATTAAAAAGGATACAAAGCATACCTTTTGATAGTAAATATATGAAAATAAGGAAATATTTGAAATTTGTATGCTTGGATACCTAGAAGCATCAGAACACAAAAATGATTAAAATTTGGGTGAATTAACTTAAGTGGCTAGATGTATAACATGCAAAACAGCAGTATGTTGTATGGGAAGCTATTAGATTTGAGAATAGGTCTGGCATAATCCCAACACTTAAAGGCCCATTCTAAGAGTTTTTAGAAACCAGACTGTAGACTTGCAAGGTAGAACGCAGAGAGGTTATTTAGGTGGGTTGTACAATTTTCCAGGATGAAGAGGACTTGGAACAGGCTACCACCTGGGTAGAAGTGAGTACATTTTGGGTGTATTTTGAAGAAAGAACCAACGAGTTTCATTGATAGATTGTGGCACAGGAGAAAAAGAGGTAGGATAATGCTATAAATTTGGGCCTAACAGGATGAATAAAATTGACATTTACTGAGAAGAATATTGGGGAAAAAACCACGTTGAAGGTAAGGAGAATCGGAAAGTTTTGAACATGCAAGTGTTAGGTGCTTTTTAGGCATCTAAGTGCAGACGTTGAGTAGATAGTTGCATGTATGAGTCTGGAGACTGGGGCTAGAGCTGCACATTTAGGCATCACCAGATCATGAAAGATTTTTAAACTGAGGCTTTGATGATATCACTTCAGAATGAGTTGGTTAGAGAAGAGCAGAGCACTGAGGTTTGAGTTATCAAGGCATTCTGACCTTCAGAAGGTGGACTAATGAAGAGGGACTAGCTAAAGGATCTTGGGAAAAAGTGGCCAGGAAGGTAAAAGACTTGTAGTACCTTGTGTCTCAAAAGTGAAGAAGAGTTTTTGTAGAAGGAGTTAATATTATTAAATGCTGCCAGTGGACCACATATGATGGAGACTAATGATTGGGTTTATTGCTGAGGAAGTCACTGGCATCCATGAAAGCCTGTTTGGAATGGGCCCGAGAGAACAGGAGAAGGAATAGAGAAAGTGGGTATAATCAACTCCTGAATTTTGTTCTAAAGACAGTTGTTTGTAGGAGGACATAAGGTGAAGGGAAAGGCTTTATCAATATTAGTGATATTACAACAACTTGCTATACACATGAGAATTATTCAGCAGAGAAAATATTGAAAAATCAATACTGTAGGAGAAAGAAGATAATTTCCTGGAGTGAGGTTCTTCAGTGAACAAGAAAGTCTGGTGCCTAAGTGGAACATTTGGTCCCACAACGAAGTGTGTATATTTTAGCTATTGTAACAGGAGAGGAAGAGAGTATATGAATTCAGGCGTGTGTGAGTTGATAGATTTGTAGGTGTGATGATGTACACATTCTCTTTTGTTTCCATTTTCTACATAAAAAGTAGAAGAGTTTTTTCAGCAAGAGGGAGATTCTATGAACTAAGTTGTGGAACCCCACCCCTCCCAGAGATTTTGTATGTTGAAATCCTAACCTCCAATGTGATAGTATTTGGAATGGGGACTTTGGGACATAATTAGGTTTAGGGGAGGTCATGAGGCTGGGGCCTTCATGATTGGATGACTTGCTCTTATGAGAAGAAACACCAGAGAGCTTGCCCTCTCTCTGCCATGTGAGGACACAGGGAGAATGTGGCTGTCTACAAACCAGAAAGAGGGTCCTCACCAAGGAACCACATTAGTCAGCAACTAGATCTTGGAATTCAAGCCTGCAGAAATGTGAGAAAATAAATTTCTGTTGTTTAAGCCACCCAGTTTGTGACATTTTGTTACCTAAAGCAAACTAAAACAGAAGAAGATATGTTAGAGATTTGAGGAGAAAATATGTAAAAGTAATATAGGAGAACAATAAGTGAATTGAGCAGGGAAATGTAATAGTAAGTTTGGCAGGCAGTTCTGAGGGCTTACCTAAGATTTTTATTCATAAATTTAAAGTTGGACTGTTCAGCATAGTTTCAGGTTTTATTCTAGCATTATTCAGCTACTTTAGTGCACAGAGAACAGTGTTGGACAAGGAAGTTTGAGTTATTGGGATATAATATGATGGAGGGAAAGAAGGAAAAGGAATTAGGGTGTTTACAATCATATGGTAAGTATGGTGTATAAAGATCACGTCAATGGTGGCAATATGCTAATAAACAATTATGAGTGTGAAACATGTATGATCTATTAAAAATTCTAACAGATAGGGTGGGTTTGTCATCTGTCAACTTGGCTAGGCTCAACAATATTTCCCAAAATTCCCTTTCTTGTATATTGCCAGTTAGAGTGGGCCACTAGAGAATGTTCATAGGATGTTTGGGGAATGGAAATTAAACAGAAATTTAATTTGTGGTTCATACCCAGTGGGGCTGTTTTGGATCTTGGTTTGGACAGCAACTGGGTCTGCAGCTTTAATTCCTTCCCCTGGATCCTCCTCCTCCTCTTGGCAGGTATGTGTCTAGCTACATGACAGGTGCCATCTTTCTGTGCAGAACACTGTGTCATCAAGATTGCAGGCAGTGAGAACTGGCATGGGTTTTATTCTTTCCTCATGGGTTCTAGTTGGTCCTTGATCTCCCCTGTATTACATCCATCTTGTGTCCCCAACTTTCTGCCCTGCAGACTTCAAGCTCCAACATCAAATGGAAGACAACAGCCTTACAAATACTACTGAGCCAGCTCCCATGATTGTGTAAGATTCAATCCTGATAACATGTCCCTTATTTTACATGCAGTGGTTCTGCTTCTCTGATAGAATTATTTCTGATGCCAGAGATTTATAGCACATGTCATGTTGTAAACTGAGATGATTAACTATTGGGCAGGTGTCAATTCTCCCTGAAAGCAGTTATGAATTTAATAGTCCTGATACAAATCCAGTTGGACACCTCCGAGAACTTAAAATGTCAGTAAGAATAGTTTAACAGTAAGTATGCCACAGAACACAGAAAGTCTCTGCACTGAATCTCTGAGGCTCCCTGGTGGGAGCATAAGGCTGGAACAAATTAATAGAAGTGGCCAGGTTCTGTACCATGCTTTGAAGCATGACATAGTTAAGTTGTGTGAAAGGTCTGGAGCAAGCAAACATAAACCAGAATGCAAGATGTTCATTTCAGATGGCAAGAATTAAGTGGAATAAAACAGTAGTTATAGCTAGCACATATGGTATATCTATGTGTGAGACACTCATTTTCTAAGTGCTACACACACATACTAGCTCATTTTATCATTACAGTAACCCTATGAGGTAAGTATTATTGTTTCTATTTTACACATCAAAAATGGAATCAGAGAGATTGAAGAACTTGCCCCAGGTCCCACCAGTAAGTAGCAATAAGGTCACGCCAGAGAGTGATGGAGGTTAGAGCTCCTACCCTACTTTCTCCTATTTTTCTTCGTTTTGACTTCAGCTCTGCTATTTGAGAAATTACCCTGGTACAGGCAGGAAATGGAGCAGCTCAATACCCCCAAGATACCCTTTAGAGCAGGGGTCTCCAACCACCTGAGCTCTACCTCCTGTCACACCAGTGGTGGCATTAGATTCTCATAAGAGCATGCACTCTAAATACTATTCTTAGATTGACGGATGTAAGTACTAGATCCCTGCACATACAATCTAGTACTTTTGCACAATCCATGGAAAAATTGTCTTCCACCAAACCAGTCCCTGGTGCCAAAAAGGTTGGGGACCACTGCTTTAGAGGAAGGTAGTAACAATTAATCTTGTAACTAAGTGAATGAACTTGGACCACTGAAGATGGAGAAAATCAACTCCATGAGCAGAGCCAGGAAAAACAGGTAAAAACAATTGACCCTGTCATTAATCTTATGTGTTGCTGGGCTATTGGCATAAGGCTGGCAGAATGACCCAGGGACAGACTATTGAGTGAAACATGTTAAGGAGCAAAAACCAAGACAAAAGTTGTTTTACATCCTTATGTGTGAGGCATTTCAGTGCACACCAACATAAGGACACTCCTTATCATGCCAAGGTGGATGGACAGATCAGCAATCAGAATAGGGAGGGAAGGATGTCATGCTGCTCCAGGCCTGTACACAGGTGGTCTTACTGTTAAAAGATAAGGCAGCATCAGTGGCTGGAACACATTGCCTTTGTGCAGTAGGGAAGTAGTTGGGCAGGGATTTAAGGGATTATCATTTTTCATAAAAGTCCTTGTAAGATTTTTAAGCCTACAATCGTCTTCATATATGTCTCTGATGAAAGAGTACGCACTAAAAGTTATAATAGAATCCAATTCTTTGCCTTTCAAATTAGCAAAGATATTAGTGAGCCTGGGATGAAAACACTAGTAAGTAAGTGTGTGATGGAATGCACTAGTTATTGCTGCTGGCAGTGTTAATCGGTATGACCTTTCTGGAAAGCAATTTATCAGTATTTATCAAGAGTCCTAAGAAACCTGATATCATCTGAACAGTAATTTCACCCTGGAAAATCTACTGTAATAAAATAATTCCAAATCTAGAAAAGAGCTTTATACCCAAAGAAGTTCAGAGGTTCACCATTAATTATTGTGAAAAACTGGAAACAGAATATCCAATCATAAATAAATGAACCATGGTATACCCACTCAATAAAATAGTAAATGCCACTAAAAGTATTTACAAAGATTATGCAATAACATGGCTACCACTAATGGAAGAGTAAGTGAAAAGAACCGAACATGAAATCATTTATGCCATATGTAAGATACATATTATAAAGACACAAATATATATTTTTTGAAGTACACCTTTTTTTTTGTCAAAGGATTAGAATACAAAGACCACAGTTGTTAGAAAAAAGTAGTTGAAGGTAGCTGGTAGGAAAATGGATAGTTTTCCTTGCTTTGTTTCTACTTGTGTGAATTTTCAAATGTCTGTTAATGTCTCAAATGAAAAAATTAAGGAAGTTATATGCAATGACAGTAGTGTAAATTTAATTTTCAGAAAGAAAGGGAAACAAATGAACAAACCTAAGCCCCTTCAACCCAACATAATTAAAGCCAAAGTGAAGTCCCCAGACTTCCAAAATGTAATTTAATGTTCCCCTATTGTAGCTGTTACAGGAATAGCTTTCAAAGTAAAGCCCATAATAGAACCTAAAATAA
The DNA here is from genome assembly GCF_000001405.40 of Homo sapiens. Taxonomy (NCBI): domain Eukaryota; kingdom Metazoa; phylum Chordata; class Mammalia; order Primates; family Hominidae; genus Homo; species Homo sapiens. Next base: position 106,994,162 of record NC_000008.11, read on the forward strand.
ATAAATGTTCTGAATGTGTAGCAGAGCTTGGTTTATTTTGAATCAGTTGGCTGACAAACTTTGTTGTGATTAACCTGCATGGGCAGGCAGAAATTTAACCTGAATATTTGGTTAGATTGCATCCATCTTGCTTATTCCACTGAAGAAAAATTAATATTTTATAGGGAACAGGTGAGGGTGGGAAGTGAGGAGAAATTACAGACAAGTGTGTTTTATATTAGAGACTCTTCTAGGCCGTGGCTCCAAGGTAGAATTATTTGTTGGCACAACTACTCCTTTGCAAAACTGTTTATGGTGCAAAAGCAATGGCGTGTGGGTGCACCTGCGCCAGGTTTCTTCAGGTTCTCTCGGGAGATGACAGCCAGGGCTTCTCATTTGTGACCCACTAACATACTTTTAAAAATTTCTTCTGAAGGACTGGTTGTTATTAATGCCTAGCTCTTCAGAAATGTTTAAAAACCCCATAAATAGCATTTTTCGGTTGTTGCCCTAAAACTAGGCTTTTAATGTGTGTATATATATACACACACATATATATACACATATACACATATATATGTATACACACTATTTTTTCTATATATTTAAAATATGTTATATATAATGTATTATATATATTTTCAAAAGTTTAGGAAAAATAAATACTTGGATATATACATATAAATTCCATGGACTCACAAGATGCTGTATGTAATTTCACTTTTGTTTAAAAGTATCTCCTGCCCTTTTCCAAGTGTGAAATTAGTTATTTATTATAAAAGATAATATCAAAGAAAGTATGACAGGATAGTTTTGTCTGCATTTTGGACTTCTGAAAATTTTTGAAGATAGACACATGTAATAGACCATCAGGTCATTTCATATTTGCTCTTCTTTTTCTGCATACCTAGTGAGATAATTATATTATGGGAATTTGTACATTCTGTCTATGCTGACACTACTATTTTTACTTTCAAATTTGACTGCTGCCTTCAGCATTGTGCAATGTTTGGCTAATATCACATTTTGGCTGTGTCAAGAGTTTCTTGGTATACATTATTGCAATAGATTTTGTTATTGGTTCCAGATACGTTTATATGTCTTTCTTGTTCTCAGTTTCTGGAGGTTAATCTGCCTAGCATCTTTCCTTTTCTTGCAGAAAGGAATCTAGGAATCCTTGAGAGCTGAATAAAACTGCCACATTATTTTTTTTAAAGAGCTGAATGAAGTTTTTGGAGAGAAAACTATAAACTGACTCAAAGGGAAACCTTGCTAGGTATGAAAAATTGCAGACAAATTTAGAAGTATTTTTATATATAGTCCTTTTCCATTCTTGCTGAGAATCACAAGTTGAAAAAAAGTGTTCAATGGTAGGCATTCAAGTGCATGAAAAGCATCTTGGTGTACAGACGTCTAAAGTTGAAACTAGCTCTATATTTGGCCATTAAAATAAATGTAGCATGGCAAAAGTGGCCAGTACAGTAGTTTTCATTTTGTTTTGGCTAATCAATATGATAAACAGATGGGTTTATCTTGCAAGCTGTTCCAGCCAACCAAGTTTTCAAAAAAAGCATTCAATTTTAATCCCTGTCTCAATATAAGCAATGCATTAATACATGTGAGTGACTGGATATAATCTAAACAGTTTTATCTTTATCTCTTATCACTCCTTTTAACTTTATTTAGTTGGGGAAACCTTTCCTCTATTAGATGAAAATTTAGCAGATTCTAAATGTTTATGCTCACACTTAAGGTATGTAGTTACTGTAAGAGATAAGATATAGTCTTAATGCATAATTTAAAAAATAATCCAGAGAAATATATTAGCACTTTAATCAAGAGTGAAAGGTTGAGTTCTATAGATGGCAGTCTGGGGGATTTGCAGAGGAGGAAGAAAAGCTTATTAGCACCCTTTTCCTGGGCCTGGATTCTCTAGCTGTAATTCTAGATTCTGCCAGGGAAGAAGGGAGAAATTTAGGGAGACAAAGAGGCAAGTTGTTTCCTAACTGGTGATAGGTACTGTCAAAACCTGACTTCTTACTCCGCAGGTGTTTGCAACTAATGCTTTTTCTTGTGAGTATTTGAAGACCTATGACTGGCCCTGTCCAGCAGCAGCTCCCACAGCACAGGTAATGTTTCTCTTCCTGCCTCAGCCCTGGTACTGAGACTCTGTCCATCTCAGGGCTGATCCAAATCCTTTTGTGCTCCAGGCAAGCTCTCTCCCTAACGTGCCCACATCTGGTCCATGGGAAACACACATTCTTTGATTTTTACCAGTGGAAATATAGTTACATCACAAACACAGGCCTCTCTTCTCTCTATTGTCCCTGCACAAGCCATTTAACTTTCTCAGTCCATGTTATTCCCCCTGCAGAGAATATCGGGCCCTCCAAGTGAAGCCCTTACTTACATTGAGATGTGTGGGCAACAAACTCTTCTTTTCCTTGGGTAGTAGAGGTAAGGCTCAAGCCCAGCTTTTCCCATGGGAACCTTCCCCACAACATTCTGTTTCATTCTGTGCACACTGTCACTTTTTAATATATCCTTAATCTGTCTCAGAAGCTCAAGTGTGAAACCAGTTTTTGCACATTTTGTTTGTGAATTCTGCATTTTGTTTGGGCCTTAGCTTTGGCATCTTTGTGATGAAGTTCAGGATGTGGTACCCCAACATATGGCACCTTGGCATTTTGAGTATTTCAAACTAAAGAGATTTGAGAAAACGACAAAATAAGGAAGGTCTCTTTGCCCCTTGGGGGCAGTTTATGAAACCTACCAGGGATTTTTTGACCTTCCCCTGAGGCAGACAAAACACTCATGTGAGAGGTACGCTCCCTCTACCCATAGGAAAGAAGCATCTTGACCTCCAAATACAGAGTTGCTAAGGAGAATCTGAACAGGCCTTGCTAAATTAGATCATAATCTTTTTGCTCTATCATATTGTTCCAGAACTCTCCATTCTTCATCAAACCTTCTGTAAAAAAACACTCACGTTTAATAGTTACTTTGGGTCTTCATTTCCTTATGAAAACTCCTGTGTCACATAAAACTTATATTAAATAAATGAGTTTGCATTTTTCTTGTTAATCTGTCTTTTGTTACAGGGGCCTCAGGCATGAACCTAAGATGGTTAGGAGGAAAAATATTTTTCCTTTCTTTTAGTTGCCTGGGTCAAAACTTTCAGTGAACGCACTGTTACACTGATGTGAACGCCAATGACAGTCATGTTACTTTGATCTTGGACTAAGATTTCCAAATAAAATACAGGACATCCATTTAAATTTAAGATAAACAATGAACTATTTTTAGTACATGTCCCATGAACCATTCAAAAATGCATATGCTAAAAATTATTCATATTTATCTGAAATTCAAGTTTGTGCATTCTGTATTTTATTTGCTAAACCTGGCAACTGTATCTTAGCCAAAGCCCTGTACATGCCACTGGAAGACATTCTGATGAACATTTCATTATCTGCAGGGTTTAATGTATGTATATGTATATGTCTTTCATGTCCAAAGTAGATAACTGTTCAACAAATTTGTTTTGATCGCAAATACTACACACCCAGAAGCAGCACCACATCTATTGCCATCTTCCTGGCTACTAATTTGTTTTGAGGTTAGAATAAAGCCTGTTTTCCATTAGCCATGTTGAGGCTTGGTTTCAGGAGGATTCTAATATATTTTGTTACAGGAAATAAGCTGTTTGCTCTGCTATTAAACAATTCTTAATTGCTTGCATTTATGCTTTAACTCAAATACTTACTTATAATATGTCTTGTAAGGAGTTCAAATACATTACAAATGCATCCAATTAAGGCTATCTGATTCTACTGTTGATATTGTTAGATACTGTGCTATGGTCATACTTTTACTAATAAAGGGATTGAGCAATGAGGTTACAAAAAAATCATAGAATAAGGATGCTGTTTACCAAATTAAAGTTTCTACTTAATATTTTTTATTTTACATTAGGAGACTTTTTTCAGCTCAAAGTTTTCTTAACATCTTGGAACTTTGTGGTAGACAGAGAGAGAGGTGCTTGAGAGGATGCCATGGAAGATGGGATCCTTCTTAGCTGCAAATTCTGAAAATTTTAGCAGAAAATAACATGGTGAATAAAATTTTTAATGGAAATTCTTTGGTGATGCTTTAAATATATACCAAACGTTTTCTTTCAAAGCTAACATTACTGTTTTCTTTCAAAGCCTTAGCGTCTCACTGGAATGACTTTTATTTTTAAACTTAAGAGGATAGGACCTCAATTGAGATTAAGTTGTGTTTGTGAGAAAAGCATAGAATGGAACGAAAAAGAACTACCTTAAAAGAAGCTAATGTGAAAAATAGTGCATGATTTCGACATTTTATGTCACTACAAATTCACCAGGAGCTAATGGTGTGACCACACTAGATAAAATTAATATTGGTATGACCACTTCTGTGCTCATTTTGGGGTGAAGTGGAGGATGTGAAAGGATTCACAATGTCTTTGTGAAGAAGATGTTAAATAAGTAGATCATTAGTCTGAGGCTATCTACATAGTTTGAGTTCCTAAGTAGCAAACCACAACCTAACTTAGGAATATAACAAAGAGCCAAGTTTTGGCCAATTACATGCTGACAACTTACTGCACTGTGCCCAAATAAGGCAATGTCTAACTGTAAAGAATCAGGTGATTTCTCTACTTTGCTTCTCCATCTGGCCTGTAAAAGCTTGTTGCTCACTCTGCTGGGCAGAGCTCTTTGAACCTTTTCTGGTCCTGAGTCCTGCCCGATTCATGAATCATTCTTTGTTCAAATAAATATTGCTAAAATTAATTTCTCTAAAGTTGCTTCTTAATAATAGTTTGGCATCAGAAGTGGGATATGAAGGAGACTTCCAGTGACCCAGAGAAGGTTTCCACTAGACCCATCATTCTTTCACAGTAACTGGAGGTCATGGGTAAGTTTCTTCTTGGATTCAAGCTCTGCAAATTTCTGTTTTTTGTTCTGACTTTATTGGGCAATTCTTTGACCAGACTGGGTTCAGGATTGGATGACATCCAATAAGGAAAATGGACTGGGACCACTAAGAGACCTTCAGCAGAGAAGGTTACTAGAAGACAGGGAATCATGGGATCATTTGGATCCAAGGAATCTATAACTCCTCAATCTGGAATTCTGGCTAATTTCATGTACAAGAACTATGGATGCAAAACATGCTTTTCTAGTGAGATGGGTGGACCTTATCAAAGATAACTTAGAATTGCAGTGGAGAAACTCCTTGCAAAAGGACATGTATTTTTATAGCTACAACAGCTACAGGGACCAAGAGGACCTCCATGTATACATTCTAAACCAGGATTCCCCAGCCCCCCGGGCCATGTACTTATATCAGTCTGTGGCCTATTAGGAACTGGGCCACTCAGGAGGTAAGTGGTGGGCAAGTGAGCATTACCACCTGAGCTCCATCTCTGGTCAATGACTGTGGCATTAAATTCTCGTAGGAGTGTGAACCCTATTGTGAACTGCACATGTAAAGGATCTGGGTTGTGCACTCCTTATGAGACTAATGCCTGATGATCTGAGGTGGAACAGTTTCATCCTAAAACTATCCCCCCACCCTGTCTGTGGAAAAATTATCTTTCATGACACCTGTCCCTGGTGCCATAAAGGTTGGGGACCACCATTCTAAACCAAACCAAGAGGTCCCAAACTATGCCCTATGCCCTGAGATGTCTTCCTTTATTGTAAATAGCCAGGCCACTGGAAAATAAATTGTCCATGCTTACACCGGCCATCTGATAGACATTTTTCCTTTGGCCTGGACCATTTCCTCACTAGAGGAAATCAAGCCAAGGGCTTGATTCCCAGGACAATAATTAACCAATCCCTCCAAGAAAAAAAAAAAAAAAAAAAAAACCAGAAGAATATTTGAAACCCCAATTGCAGAAATAAAGTTCATTTTCAGAAAAGCACTTGTAAAAATTAGTCCTCTGTTTTCTCGAATCCTGTTCTCCCCTGGGACCCTCTCTGACAAATGATATGTTCTGCCAACATTGTCTTTCTTGTTATCATTGCCTTTGCTATGCCCCAAAACTCTTTCTTGCAAAACAAACAAAAGTTAACCCATCTCTGACAATAAGGCAAGATTAGAAGTATCCATGCTGAGTGCAGGCATAGAAAATGCTTGTCTTATTCTTTTCTGGACTCAACCCTGAACTCAGTTATACAGTTAAAACACAAGCTGGGCAGGGAAACCACTGATCCAGCTGAATTAGTCTCTAAAATTTGTCTTTCTGGCATTAGAACTATTTTTAGCTTATTTTAAAACCCTTTTGCAAGAGAAATTTACATCTATAAAGGAAATCTCCATTTGTCAAAGCTTCTTCCCAGTGCAGAAAGAGAGACTAAGTCACTAGAAACTCTTACAATGGAGAAGGCATTGGCTTAAATTTATATAAGAAGCCTTACCCTTGGTTTAAAGATGCTTTTCTGGCTGTCTTTTTTTGTTTGTTTTTGTTTTGAGGTGGAGTCTCACTCTGTTGCCCAGGCTGGAGTGCAGAAGTGCAATCTCGGCTCACTGCAGCCTCTGTCTCCTGGGTTCAAGTGATTTTCCTGCCTCAGCCTCCTGAGTAGCTGGGACCCTACAGGCGTCCACCACCATTCCCAGCTAATTTTTGTATTTTTAGTAGAGACAGTTTCACCATGTTGGCCAGGCTGTTGTAGAATTCCTGACCTCAAGTGATCTGCCTACCTCAGCCTCCCAAAGTGCTGAGATTACAGGTATGAGCCACTGTGCCCGGCCCATCTTGTTTTAACTAGACCTTTACCTACACTCCTGTTTCATGGTTTAGGCAAATGGCAGTATTTAAGCCTGAAGTCTAAGCTCTATGCCTTTGAGATGTAAATGTTCTACCTGTCTTCTCTAAGACCTGACAGCTGTCCCTTTAAAATTTAAGTTTAGGGGAGATGACTCATTAGAAGAACTAAAAATAGGTATTTAGAAACTGGACAAATAAAAATGATTGATTTTCCACAAATATTAGTAAACAGTTTTAGCCATCAGGAAATCTTGTTTGATTATCCAGAAATACAATTTGGCTTCAGATCTTATTTAATAAATTAGTGAGCTTTGTATTACTGTACCAGGCACATCACCAAAATTTTAAAATAAAAGCTATAAGATCAGTTTCTATGTGTTTATGTATGTCTGTATTGATGAAGAGTCAAACTGTAAAATATTTGAAGAGATTTATTTTGAGCTAAAGTAAGTAACCATGACACAGCCTCTCAGGAGGTCCTGAGAACATGTGCCCAAGATGGTCGGGGTACAGCTTTGTTTTACACATTTAGAGAGATACAAGACTTCAATCAAATTCATTTAAGATGTACATTGGTTTGGTCCAGAAAGGTGGGACAACTTGAAGCAGGGCTTTCAGGTTATTGGTAGATTTAAAATTTTCAGGTTGATAACTGGCTGAGTTTATCTAAAGACCTGGGGTCATAGAAAGGAAATGTTTGGGTTGTGATAAGAGGCTGTGGAGACCAAAGTTTTGTCATGCACATAAAGCCTCCAGGTGGCTGGCTTCAAAGAGAATAGATTGTAAATGCTTCTTATCAGAAAATTAACAAAGGTATTCAGGACTTGAACTCAGCTCTGGATCAAGTGGACCTAATATACATCTATAAAGGCCAATGACATTATGAAGAAACTATCAATTAATGTGCAAAGTAACCAGCTAGCATCACAATGACAGGATCAGAGTCACACATAACAATATTAACCTTAAATGTAAATGGGCTAAATGCCCCAATTAAAAGACACAGACTGGCAAACTGGATAAAGAGTCAAGACCCATTGATGTGCTATATTCAGGAGACTCACCTCATGTGCAAAGACATACATAGGCTCAAAATAAAGGGATGGAGAAAAAATTATCAGGCAAGTGGAAAGCAAAAAAAAAGAAAAGCAGAGGTTGCAATCCTAGTCTCTGATAAAACAGACTTTAAACCAACAAAGATTAAAAAAAAAAAAAAAGACAAGGGCATTACATAATCATAAAGGGATCAATTCAACAGAAGAGCTAACTATCCTAAATATATACACACCCAATACAGGAGGACCCAGATTCATAAAACAAGTTCTTAGAGACCTGCAAAGAGACTTAAACAAACACCCCACTGTCAATAGTAGACAAGACAGAAAATTAATAAGGATATTCAGGACTTGAACTCAGCTCTGCACCAAGTGGGCCTAATAGACATCTACAGAACTCTCCACCCCAAATCAAGAGAATATACATTCTTCTCAGTGCCACATAGCACTTATTCTAACATCATCCACATAATTTGAAGTAAAACACTCCTCAGCAAATGTGAAAGAACTGAAATCATAACAGTCTCTCAGACCACAGTGCAATCAAATTAGAACTCAGGATTAAGAAACTCATGCAAAACCACACAGCTACATGGAAATTGAACAACCTGCTCCTGAAAGATTCCTGGGCAAATAATGAAATTAAGGCAGATATCAAGAAGTTCTTTGAAACCAATGAGAACAAAGAGACAATGTACCAGAATCTCTGGGACACAGAGATTCTGCTAAAGCAGTGGTAAGAGGGAAATTTATGCCCACTAAATGCTCACATCAGAAAGCTAGAAAGAGCTCAAATTGACCCCCTAACATCATAATTAAAAGAGTTAGAGAAGCAAGAACAAACAAATCCAAAAGAAGCAGAAGACAAGAAATAACTAAGATCAGAGCAGAACTGAAGAAGATAGACAATAAAAAATCCTTCAAATAAAAAAAATCAATGAATCCAGGAGACAGTTTTTTGAAAAAAAAAAAAAAAACTAACAAAATAGACTGCTAGCTAGATTAATGAAGAAAAGAGAGAAGAATCAAATAGACACAATAAAAAATGATAAAGGGGATATCACCACTGACCCCACAGAAATACAAACTACCATCATAGCATACTATAAACACCTCTACACAAATGAACTAGAAAATCTAAAAGACATGGATAAACTGCTGGACACATATGCCCTTCCAAGACTAAACCAGGAAGAAGTCGAATCCCTGAATAGACCAATAACAAGTTCTGAAACTGAGGTAATAATAGTATGCCAACTTAAAAAAGGCCAGGACCAGAAAGATTCACAGTCAAATTCTACCAGAGGTACATAGAGAAGCTGGTACCATTCCTTCTGAAACTATTCCAAACAATTGAAAAGGAGGGACTCCTCTATAACTCATTTTATGAAGCCAACATCATCCTGATAACAAAACCTGGCAGAGACACAACAACAAAAAACTTTAGGCCAATATCCCTGATGAAAATCAATGTGAAAATCCTCAATAAAATACTGGCAAACTGAATCCAGCAGCCCATCAAAAAGCTTATCCACTAAGATCAAATTGGCTTCATCCCTGGGATGCAAGGGTGGTCCAACATACACAAATCAATAAACATAATGCATCACATAAAAAAAACCAATGACAAAAACCATATGATCATCTGAATAGATGCAGAAAAGGCCTTTGATAAAATTCAACATCCCTTCATGTTAAAAACTCTCAATACATTAGGTTTTGATGGAACATATCTGAAAATAATAAGAGCTACTTAGGACAAACCCTTAGCCAGCATTATACTGAATGGGCAAAAGCTGGAAGCATTCCCTTTGGAAAGCAGCATGAGACAAAGATGCCCTTTATCACCATTTCTATTCAACAAAGAATTGGAAGTTTTGGCTGGGACAATAAGGCAAGAGAAATACATAAAGCATATTCAAATAGGAAGAGAGGAGGTCAAGTTGTCTGTTTGCAGATGACATGATTTTATATTTAGAAAACCCCATCGTCTCAGCCCCACAACTCCTTAAGCTGATAATCAACTTCAGCAAAATCTCAGGATACAAAATCAATATGCAAAAATCACAAGCATTCCTGTACACCAACAATAGACAAGCAGAGAGCCAAATTATGAATGAACTCCCATTCACAACTGCTACAAAGAGAATAAAATACCTAGGAGAACAGCTAACAGGGAGGTGAAGGAGAGCTACAAACCACTGCTCAAGGAAATCAGAGAGGACACAAACAAATGGAAAAACATTCCATCCTCATAGATAGGAAGAATCAATATCGTGAAAATGGCCATACTGCCCAAAGTAATTTATAGATTCAATGCTATTCCCAGCAAACTACCATTGACATTCTTCACAGAATTAGAAAAAAATACTTTAAGTTTCATATCGAACAAAAAAAAAAAGAGCCCATATAACCAGGACAATCCTAAGCAAAAAGGACAAAGCTGGAACCATCCTGCTACCTGACTTCAAACTATACTACAAGGCTACAGAAACCAAAATGGCATGGTACTGGTACCAAAAGAGACATATATACCAATGGAACAGAACAGAGACTTTAGAAATAACACCACACATCTACAACTATCTGATCTTTGAGAAACCTGACAAAAAACAAGCAATGAGGAAAGGATTTCCTACTTAATAAAAGGTGCTGGGAAAACTGGCTAGCCATACATAGAAAACTGAAACTGGACCCCTTCCTTACACCTTATACAAAAATTAACTCAAGATGGATTAAGACTTAAATATAAAACCCAAAACCATAAAAACCCGAGAAGAAAACCTAGGCAATACCATTCAGGACATAGGCATGGGCAAAGACTTCATGATGAAAACACCAAAAGCAATGGCAAAAAAAGCCAAAATTGACAATTGGGATCTAATTAAACTAAAGAGCTTCTGCACAGCAAAAGAAACTATCATCAAAGTGAACAGGCAACCTACAGAATGGGAGAAAATTTTTGTAATCTACTCATCTGAAAAAGGGCTAATATCCAGAATCTACAAGCAACTTAAATTTACAAGAAAATAAAAACCCCATCAAAAAGTGGGCAAAGGATATGAACACACACTTCTCAAAAGAAGACATTTATGCAGCCAACAGACATGAAAAAATGCTCATCATCACTGATCATTAGAGAAATGTAAATCAAAACCACAATGTGATACCATCTCATACCAGTCAGAATGGCAATTATTAAGAAGTCTGGAAACAATAGATGCTGGCAAGACTGTGTAGAAATAGGAAAGCTTTTACACTGTTGGTGGAAATGTAAATTAGTTCAGCCATTGTGGAAGACAGTGTGACAATTCCTCAAGGATCTAGAACCAGAAATATCATTTGACCCAGCAATCCCATTACTGGGTATATACCCCAAGGAATATAAATAATTCTACTATAAAGACACATGGACACATATGTTTACTGCAGCACTATTTACAATAGCAAAGACATGGAACCAACCCAAATGCCCATCAATGATTGACTGGATAAAGAAAATAGGCACACATACACCAAGGAATACTATGTAGCCATAAAAAGGAATCAAATCATGTTCTTTGCAGAAATATGCATGAAGCTGGAAGCCATCATTTTCAGCAAACTAACACAGGAAGACAAAACCAAACACTGCATGTTCTCACTCATAAGTGGGAGTTGGACAACGAGAACACATGGAGGGGAACAACACACACTGGGGCCAGTCAACAGGTGGAGCAAGGGGAGGGAGAGCATTAGGACAAATAGCTAATGCATGCAGGGCTTAAAACCTAGATGACAGGTTGATAGGTGCAGCAAACCACCATGGCAAATATATACCTATGTAACCTACACATTTTGCACTTGTATCCTGGAACTTTTTAAGTTAAAAACAAAACAAGGTATTCAGGCAAGAAATAGCACAATAAATAGAAAAATACCTCACATCTCAATACTAACATTGAATGTAAATGGCCTAAATTCTCCAATTACAAGATACGGAATGGGCCGGGTGTGGTGGCTGACACCTATAATCCCAGCACTTTGGGAGGCCAAGGCAGGCAGATCACCTGAGTTCGGGAGTTTGAGAGCAGCCTGATCAACAAGAAGAGACCCTGTCTCTATGAAAAATACAAAGTTAGCCAGGCGTGGTGGCACATGCCTGTAATCCCAGCTACTCAGGAGGCTGAGGCAGGAGAATTGCTTGAACCTGGGAGGCAGAGGTTGCAATGAGCTGAGATCGCGTCAAAAAACAACAACAACAACAACAACAAAAACCGAATGGCAGAATGATTAAGAATTCACCAACCAAGTATCTGCTGTCTTCAAGAGATTCTCTTGACACTAAAGAGTCAGTCACATAAACTTAAGGTAAAGGGGTGGAAACGATATTCCATGCAAATGAATACCAAAAGCAAGCAGAAGCAGTTATTCTTACATCAGACAAAACAAACTTTAACAGCAGTTAAAAAGGACTAAGAGGGACTATATATGCACCTAACACTGGAGCTCCCAAATTTATAAAACAATTACTACTAGATCTAAGAAATGAGATAGATGGCAACACAATAATAGTGGGGGACTTCAATACTTCACTGACAGTACTAGACAGGTCATCAAGATAGTCAAGAGAAAGTGGACTTAAACTATACCCTAGAACAAATGGACGTAACAGATATTTATAGAACATTCTAACCTGCAACTGCAGAATATACATACTTTTCATCAGCTCATGGAACATTCTCCAAGATAGACCATATGATAGGCCACAAAAGAAGTCTTAGTAAATTTAAGAATATCAAAATTATATCAAGTATTCTCTCAGACCACAGTGGAGTAAAATTGGAACTCAACTCCAAAAGGAACCTCAAAACCATGCAAATACATGGAAATTAAATAACCTGCTCCTAAATGATCATTGGGTACACAATGAAATAAAGATGGAAATTTAAAAATTCTTTGAACTGAACAATGATAGTGACACAATGTATCAAAACCATTGGGATACAGCAAAGGCAGTAGTAAAAGGAAAGTTCACAGCATTGAATGCCTATATCAAAAAGTCTGAAAAAGCACAAATAGACAATATAAGGTCACACCTCAAGAAGTTCGAGAATCGAGAACAAACCAAACCCAAACCCAGCAGAAGAAAAGAAATAACCAAGATTAGAGAAGAACAAAATAAAATTGAAACAAAAACTACAAAAGATAAATGAAACAAAAGCTGGTTCCTTGAAAAGAAAAATAAAATTGATAGACCATTAGCATGATTAACCAAGAAGAGAGAAGATCCAAATAATCTGAATTAGAAATGAAATGGGAGATATTACAACCAATACCATAGAAATATAAAAGATTGTTCAAGGCTACTATAAATAGCTTTACATAATAAACTAGAAAATCTAGAGGAGATGAATAAATTCCTGGAAATACACAACTCTCCTAGATTAAATCAGAAATCAGTGGAAACTCTGAACAGACCAATAACAAGCAGTGATATTTAAATGGTAATTAAAAAGTTACCAACAACAAAAAAAGTCAAGGACCAGATTCACAGCTGAATTCTATCAGACATTGAAAGAAGAATCAGTACCAATCTTCTTGACACTATTCCAAAAGATAAAGAGGGAATCCTCCCTAAATCATTCTAAGAAGCCAGTATCACCCTAATACCAAAAGCAGGAAAGGACCTAACAAAAAAAAAAAAAGAAAAAAGAAAACTACCGACCAGTATCCCTGATTAACATAGATGCAAAAATCCTCATGAAAATATTAGCTAACTGAATCCTAAAACATATCAAAACAATAATCCATCATGATCAAGTGGGTTTCATACCAGGGACGCAGGGATGGTTTAACATACAAAAGTCAATAAATGTAATACACCACATAAACAGAATTAAAAATCACATGATCATCTCGATAGACCCAGAAAGGGATTTGACAAATTCCAGCATCCCTTTATGATTAAAACTCTCAGTAAAATCGGCCTAGAAGGGACATACCTTAAGGTAATAAAAGCCATTTATGACAAACTCACAGCCAATATTATACTAAATGTGTAAAATTGAAAGCATTCCCCCTGAGAACTGGAATAAGACAAGAATGTCCACTTTCACTACTTCTGTTGAACATAGTACTGGAAGTCCTAGCAAGGGCAATCAGACAAGACAAAGAAGAGACATCCAAATTGGGAAAGAGGAAGTCAAAAATTGCTGTTTGCTGATGACATGATGGTATACTAGAAAACCCTAAAGACTCATCCAAAAAGATGAGTTCTTTAACTCATTTTTTGGAACCCTAGGAGTTCTAAAGATTCCTATAACTGATTAATGAATTCAGCAAAGTTTCAGGATACAAGATTAATGTACATAAATCAGTAGCCTTGCTATACACCAACAGTGACCAAGCCGAGAATCTTGAACTCAACCTCCTTTATGATAGCTGCAAAAATAAAATACTTAGGAACATAGTTAACCAAGGTGAAAGACCTCTACAAGGAAAAGTACAAAACCCTGCTGAAAGAAATCATAGATGACACAAAAAAATGAAAACACATCCTATGCTCATGGATGGGTAGAATCAATATTGTGAAAATGATGATACTGCCAAGAACAATCTACAAATTCAATGCAATTCCCATGAAAATGCCACCAACATTCTACACAGAACTAGAAAAAACAATCCTAAATTTTATATGGAACCCAAAAAGAGGCCACAGAGCCAAAGCAAGACTAAGAAAAAGGAACAAATCTGGAGGCATTACATTACCCAACTTCAAACTATAAGGCCATAGTCACCAAAACAACATGGTACTGATATAAAAACAGGCATATAGACCGAAGGAACAGAATAGAGAACCTGGAAATAAAGCCAAATACCTAGAGTCAACTGATCTTCTACAAGGCAAACCAAAACAAAGTGGGGAAAGGACATTGGCAAGCCACAAGTGGAAGAATAAAACTGGATCCTCATCTCTCACCTTATACAAAAACTCAAGATGGATCAAAGACTTAAATCTAAGACCTGAAACCATAAAAATTCTAGAAGATAACGTAACATAAGAAAAACCCTTCTAGACACTGGCTTAGGCAAAGACTTCATGACCAAGAATACAACAAAGATATATGGGACTTAATTAAATTACAGAGCATCTGCACAGCAAAATAAATAGCAGAATTAACAGACTACCCATGGAGTGGGAGAAAATCTTCACAATCTATGTGTCCAACAAAGTACTAAATCCAAAGGAACTCAAATCATCAAGAACAAAACAAACAATTACATCCAAAAGTAAGCTAAGGACATAGACAATTCTCAAAAGAAGATATAAAAATGGCCAAACATGAAAAAAGTGCCCAATATAATTATCAGGGAAATGCAAATTAAAACCACAATGCAATACCAGCTTCCTCTGGCAAGAATGACATAATAAAAAAGACAATAAATAATAAATTTTGGGTGGATGTGGTGAAAAGGGAACACTTTTATACTGCTAGTGGGAATGTAAACCTGTACAACCACTATGGAAAACTGTGTGGAGATTTCTTAAGTAACTAAAAGTAGATCTACCATTTGATCCAGCAATTCCACTCCTGGGTACCTACCCAGCAGAAAAAAGTCATTATACAAAAAAGATATTTGCACTCACATATTTTTAGTGGCACAATTCACAATTGCAAAAATATGGAACCAGTCCAAATGCTCAACTAGTGGATAAAGAAAATGTGATTTATATATATATATATGTGTGTGTGTGTGTGTGTGTATGTGTGTATACATACACACATACACACCCACACACATATACACACACACCATGGAATACTACTCAGTCACAAAAAGGAATGACATAATGGCATTTGCAGCAATCTGGTTGGAATTGGATACCATTACTCTAAATGGAGTAACTCAGGAATGGAAAACCAAACATCGTATGTTCTTACTCATAAGTAGGAGGTAAGCTATGAGGACTCAAGGGAATAAGAATGGTACAATGGACTTTCGGGATTCAGAGGAAAGGGTGGGAGGGGGGTGAGGGATAAAAGACTACACATTGGGTACAGTGTACACTGCTTGGGTGGTGGGGGTACCAAAATCTCAGGTATCACCACTGAAGAACTTATTCATGTAAACAAACACTACCTGTTCCCCAAAAACCTAAATTTAAAAATGTTAAACAAATTGACAAAACTAACTAAATCAACTAGATTCCCTTGGCTATTATCAATGGCCTGGATAGCAATCAGATCCACTCCTACTGTAATATTCAATTTAACCCCTAATAAAATAGTTACTGAGAGACTTTCGTACCTAGTAATAGAACCTCATGTATCTCTTATGCTTGTAATCTCTGCTTATGACTAAATACTAGAAGGCTTTAACGCATTATGCCAAAATGTATTTTTACCAACTAAAAGCCGCCGCCCACTGGGAACAATCAGAACTTTCATCATCTAGTACCCAGAGATTGGGCCTTTTGGAAACGACACCAGAGAAAGACTGCCCTTGAGCTCTGTTGGAAGGCCATGCCAGATTTTCACCACCAATAACTGCAGTAAAACGTCAGGGCCTCAAATCTTGGGTTCACATCTCTCAACCCAAGAGGGTACCTTCAGACTTTTGGAACTTTACACCCGTTGCAGATCAAGGTAAAACTGACCAGGCAGGTTTCTACTCAGAAGCAGATGACATCCAAGATGTGGAAAGCTTTCCTAAAATCATGGACCAAGTCGTCTTTTCTATTTTTTGTTTTGTTTTCTTCATGAAACACTTGACCTTTTCCCTGTGTTTCTTTTCTGTTTATACATGGAAAAATAATGTGATAATAAAGATTTCACAATTGATAGCATCCATAGGGAACTTAATTGAATATTGGATATGTTATGTCAAAACTAAATCCTACATGATCTAGATACTCTAGTTCACCATGTAACAAATTGCATGTGATATCCCCAGTGTGACTATTTGTTCCAATTACACATGTAATTCTTTCTATAAAGTTAGGCTTCTCAATTTAGATGTTCAGATTCCTTGCTTAAATCTAACAGTAGGGAAAACCTGTAGTGAAATTTTCAGTTAAATTATGCCAGAAATTGAATAATAAAACCAAAACTTACAGGAGAGATAATTTGACAGCTTGTAGGTAAATTTATAACCCTCATATATTTGAGATATTTGTCCCCTCCAAATCTGATGTTGAAATGTAATCTCCAGTGTTGTAAGTGGGATCTGGTAGATGGTGTTTGGGTCATGGGAGCAGATCCATCATGAATGGCTTGGTGCCCTCCCCATGGTAATGAGTGAGTTCTCACTCTGTTAGTTCATGTGAGATGTGGTGGTTTAAAAGAGCCTGGCATCTTTCTATGGCTTCCTCTCTCACCCTGTGACATGCCTGCTCCCCCTTTTGCCACCTACCATAATTGGGAACTTCCTGAAGCCCTCACCAGAAGCAGATGTTGACACCATTCTTCTTGCACAGCCTGCAGAACTATGAGCCAAATAAACCTTTATCAATTACCCAGGCTCAGGAATTCCTTTATAGCAACACAAAAGAGACCAACACAAACCCTCATTCCTTAATTACCGTACCATCTAACAATGCAGTGATTCAAATAATGGAGGCTTAGGTAAGAATTACTAGTCCTTTTTTTTTTTTTTAATGAGTGACCCCTATGTACAAGGTATCCCACAGGAAACATCTCTGTTGTGTTCCTATAAGATGTATTTTTTTTCTGTGTAGGCAGAAAATCATAGTCATGGCCAAATCAGTGTGTCAATAAGTAGAAAATAAGGGGCTAATGTGAATTAGAGATACTAACAGTGCCACATTGCCACTCCATAACAAATTAGAAACTGAATATTGGTCTATACTTCTTAATTTACAGCAGGCAGAAATCTCTGTAAGCATTTTTAGTAAAATGCTGCTTACCTGGCTTGGCATAAATATAAGTGAGGTCATGATTAGAAATCTGTCTCAAACATTAATCACTATAGCTGACTCTACTGCAAAGACTATAGTTGCCTAGCAAACTTCTTTAACTTTTCTTACTAATATCATTTTAAATCACATGTTTGCTTTGGACTACCTATTGTCTAAACAGAGGGGGTAGTTTGTTAGTTGACATCTCTTGTTGCATGTGGATAAATGTGTGTGGTATAGTAGAAACTCAGTTCCAAGAAATCAACATACATGTTACCTTCTTAAAATAAGTAGATTCTTCTGGCTCATTTTATAAAATTTATGGGATTTTAATGGTTCCCTGTTGAGAAAGAGCTTAAAGGTCAGATGATCATCTTCTAAAAATTTAGATAAAGTGTTCTTTTCAATTAAGTGATTTCATGGTATTATCATAAAACATGAAAGTAGTTAAAAATTTAGATGGTACCTGCTATCTTCGAGATACTGTTCTGAGGGCATGTGCTCACTCATTCATTAAAAAATGCTTTTTAAATATTAGATGCCAGACATTGTTCTAGGCCCAAGGGTTACATCAAATTCTTACCTTCATAAAGTGGTATTCTAAATGGCATAAATAGCATTAATAAGCTACAGAATACTACATGTTAAGAGAAAAATAGAACCAGGAAACGGGATGGAGCATTCAAAAGGAGGATTTGCAATTTTAAATAGGGAAGGTTTGTTGAGATTATTATTTTTGAGTGAAGATGTGAAGGAGTGAGAGCAAACTATGGGCCCCTCTAGAGTAGAAGCATGGCATGAGTGGGAACAGCAAGTACAAAGGTCCTGAAGCAAGATGTGTCTTTTGTCTTAGATGAACTGTAAGGAGACCTGTGTGACTGAAGAAAAGTATTACAGGGAAAATTAGCTCAGGGAATTAAGCTCAGAGGGAGTGAGAGATTCGATTTTGTAGGCCTTCCTAGACCTTGGTTGAGAATTTACTTTTTCCTCCGAGCAAGAATGGGCATCCATTGAAGGATTTTGGTGGAGGCATAACATGACTTGGCTTACATCATTATTTGCACAGAATTTATCATAGATAGCAAGGTAGATAGGAGGCTGCTGCAATAATCCAGGAAAGAGATGATGGCAGTTTTTACCCAGTTGGTGGCAGTGGAGATGGTGAGAAGTGATCAGAGCCTGCATTTATTTTGAAGGCAGAGAGAGCAGAATTTGCTGACAAGTTGGATGTGGGGTGTGAAAGAAAAATAGGGACTAGGATGGGCCTGGATTTGAACCTGAGCAATGAAAGTGAGGTGGGAAGGGTGAAGTTTCAGAGTAGAGTGGCAGAGATTATCACCAGCTTACAGAACTATCCGTTTAATCATCTTAAAACTCTTTGACGTTATAATCTGCATCTTGAAGATGAAACTGACATAGAAATTAAGAAACTGGCTAGCATTCAGAAAAAGTGCTGAAGGCAAGATATGAATACAGGTGCCTGACTCAAGATTTGTCTGTGCTTGGTTTCTCATATAACATGTTATAACATGGTCTCAAATATGATTTAACAATGGAGAAGAAGACGCAGACTTCAGTAACACAAACACTGAGTTGTAGACATCAATCAGAAGAAACACAAGATAACTAGGAAAAAAAAGACTGAAATCCCAATTCTGAATATAGACAATGATTCCTTTCTCTTATTAGTCCTTTCTCTTATTAGGAAGAAAACATTTTTACTAAAGATATTGTTCTCTGGTTAGTTATTGAATTTTAAATACTATTTTTTTCTAATCTAGAATTGATTCTGTCTTATTTATTTGAATTGAGTATGGAGGCACTCTTTCGCCCCATTTAAAATGGTTTCAGGCCAGGTGCAGTGGCTCATACCTATAATCCCAGCACTTTCAGAGGCCGAGGCAGGAAGATTGCTTGAGTTTAGGAGTTTAAGACCAGCCTGGGCAGTGTGGCAAAACCCTGTCTATACAAAAAAAAAAAAAAAAAAAAAAATCACACAAAAAAAAACAAAATTAGCTGGGTGTGGTGGCAAGTACCTGTAGTCGCAACTACTTGGGAGGCTGAGATGGGAGGATTGTGTGAGCTTGGGAGGTGGAGGTTGCAGTGAGCTGAGATTGGGCCACTATACTCCAGCCTGGGCAACAGAGTCAGACCCTGTTTCAAAAATAAATAAATAAATAAATAAATAAATAAAAATGATTTCACTTTTGTATCATTCTGGCTATCAACCTTTCTAATAACAAAAAAAATTTAATTTTGTATTATATCCTTAGCCATATTTCCTTTTCATAAAGAGAATGTGAAAAATATAGCAAAGTATAAAAAATATAATCAGGAGGGAATGTTAATAAGATGGCAGAATAGGGCTTTCTAGCTCTAATCCCCCATAGAAGCATCAGTTTGATCTATTCATGCACAAAAATACTTCATAAGAGATAAAGAAACCAGAGGAGAGATTACAGCACCTGGGCTTAGCAGAAAAATAAGAAAATAGCATTTAAGAGTGCAGGAAGAACAGTTTTACATTACCTATGTCACCCCTCTCCCAACCAGAGATAGAACAGAATGGAGAGAGAGACCCTCTGCATGGGGAAGGATAGTAAAGTGAGTACTGGACATTGCCTCAGATCCCAATACTGGGCTTGCCCAATTAAAAACCAGCACAGTGCAGATCTTCATGGCCACAAACTTCAGACCCTCTTTGATGCCAGGCCAGATTACACAATCCCAGATTCCAGGCTTGTCCCATGAGCCAAGCCAACCCCAGTGGCTCCAGGCTCTGGACAGACTAAAATACTGAGCCAGCTCCAGGGGTCCTGAGTTTCTGGCCCACTCCAGGACCAGGCCTACCTCAAGACCCAGGCTCCAGGCCTTTTCAGTGCCAGGCCTGCCCCTGCAGCCCCAGGATGCAAGCATACTCCAGTTTCTAAGACAGCCCAGAATCAGGTCTCCATCAATACTCCTGGCCTCAGGAATGAGGTCAGCACTTGTGGACACAGGCTCCAGGCCTTCCCAAGGCCAGGTCAGTTCCTGGAGCCCTCAGGATGAGGTCAGCACCTGTGGACATGGGCTCCAGGCCTTCCCAAGACCAGGCCAGTTCCTGGAGCCCTAGGGAGCTCCCAAGCTGGCTGCTGCAATCCCACACTCAAGTCGACCCAGGTCTATCCCAGTAGATCCCATCACTGGGCTAGCCCCCAATGGACCCAGGCTCTAGAACCACTGCTGTGGATCCAGGTTGCAAACTGGATCCAGTATCCAGGCCAGCCTTCTTGGACCTAACCTCCAGAACAGATCCCATGTGCTTACCCTCATGGTCCCAGTCTCTAAACCTGCCCTAGGACCAGGTTTGCCCCAGGCTCCAGATTATTTCCTGTGGCTCCAAACTCCAGTGGATTCAGGATGCAGGCCAACTCCAGTAGGACCTGGTGCCAGGTCAGCCATCAAGAATTAAGGTTCCAGACCACCCTTGTAAATCAATTTCCAGGCCAGCTGCCAAGACCCTGAATATGGGCCTATTCTCAGGAACTCAGGATCCAGGCCTGCCCTAGAACCATGCCAGCCCTCATGAACCCAGGTTCCAGGCTTGTCCCAGTGGACCCAGGCACCCAGCCCATCCCAGGGCTTGGATGGTCTCTGCAGACTCAGTCTTAAGGCCTACCCCAGTTCCAGATAGTACCTGTAGACCTAGGTCTCATGCTGGCCCCATGTAAATTCAGGCTCCAGTCCCACTCTGTGGGCCTGTTTATCAGCTCCAGAAACAAACCCATAGATTCGGAAGCCACTACAGTCAAATTGCTGACCCAGGCACAACTTAGGCTGCCCAAGTGCTCCAGCAGCATGTCTGCCTATGGACCACACTAGACAGCCTTTACACAATCTCTGGGTGGGTTAACTGGTGAAGGGCTTTCCCAGAGGAAGCCAGTTTTAAAGACTGAAATAAGTCTACTTTAAATGCATAACTACCAACACATGGCCACAACAGTCAAAAATAATCAGGGAAACATATCACTAAAGGACTACTTTAAAGCAGCAGTAACTGACCCTAGAGAAATGGAGATATATGAATTGCTTGACAAAGAATTCAAAATAATTGTTTTTAAGGAAGCTAAGCAAACTTCAAGAAAATACAGAGAAACAATTCAACCAAAAAAAATCAAGAGAACAATAAATGACCAAAATGAGAAACTTAACAGAGATTGAAGTTATATTTTTTAAAAAACCTAGAAATTCTGAAGCAGAAATAGATAATGAAATGAAAAAGTACAATAGAGAGCAACAACAGCAGAGTTGATCAAACAGAATAAAGGATCTATGAACTTGAAGACAGGCTATTTAAAAATATATAGTCAGGAGAAAACCAAAAGACTAAAAAAGAATAAACAAATCTCATGAAATTTACGGGACAGCTTCAAAAAACAAATGTTCTAGTTATGGGAGCTTAAGAAAAAGTATTAGAAAGCTTATTTAAAGAAATAATAGCAGAAAACTTTCCGAATATAAGGAAAGCAGGTAACAGGAAGGTCAAAGGTCTTCAGTGAGATTTAATCCAAACAAGACTACTTTAAGACATGTTATGACCAAACTGCCGAAAAGCAGCAAAACTTTAAAAAGCAGATCACATAAAAAGGAGTTTCAATAACTATCAGTGCATTTTGCAAGAGAAATCTTATAGGCTAGGAGAGAATGGAATGATATATTCAATGTTATAAAGGAAAAAAACATCTGGCAACCAAAAATAGTATATTTGGCAAAGCAGTACTTCAGAAATTGAAAGATTAAAACTTTCCCAAACAACAGCTGAGGAATTTTATTACCACTAGATCTGTCTTACAAGAAATGCTGAAGGGAGTTCTTCCAACTGAATTTTAAAAATGCTAAATAGTAACACAAAAACATATGAAAATATAAAACTCACTGGTAAAAGAAAGTATTCAACCAACTGTAAGATAGCCTAATACTGTAATGATTTTATGGAATACTGTAGTGAGGTTTTAATGGTGGTGTATAAATCACTTATATCATTTATATCTTTAGTTTGAAGGCTTAAAGACAAAACTATTAAAAATAGCTACAATAATTTGTTACGGGATATACAATATAAAAAGATGTAACTTGTGACAATAAAAAATGTGGGAAGGGTGGATTAAAAGTGTATTATTTTATGCAATCAAAGTTAAGTTGTTATCCATTTAAAATAGTATATTATATCATATGTTTTATGTAAGACTCATGGTAACCACCAAAAACCTAAAGAGAATATACAAAAAATAAAAAGGAATCAAAGCATACAACTGAAGAAAATCATCTAATCACAAAGGAAGGTAGCAAAAGAGGAAGAAAGGAGGAAAGAATCTACAAAACAACCAGAAAACAATTAACAAAATATCAGTAGTAAATACTTACCTGTCATAACTGCCTTGAATGTATATGGATTAAATTCTCTAATCAAAAGACATAGAGTAAATGAATGGATAAAAAACAAGATGCAAACTCATGCTGCAAACAAGAGACCTACTTCACCTATAAGGACACACATAGACTGAAACTAAAGAAAGGGACAATATTTTCTGCAAATGGAAACCAAAAGACAGCTGAAGTAGCAATGGTTATATAAGGCAAAATAGAGTTTAAGTGAAAAACTTTAAAAAAGACAAATAAGGTCAATATATAATGATAAAAAGTCAATTCATCACAGGAATATTAAAATGGTAAATATATACATATCTGACATCAGAATATCAAAAATATATAAATCAAATATTAATAGATTTGAGGGAGGGAGAGAGAGACCACAATACAAGAGTAATAGGGAATTTAATAACATGATTTTAACACTGGACAGCCCATTCAGATGGAAATCAATAAGGAAACATTGGATTTGAGCTGCACTTTAGACCAAATTGGCCTAACAGATATATATATAGAACATCCAACCAATAGCTACAGAATACACATTCTTTTTAGGTGCACATGGAACACACTCCAGAATAGATCATATGATAGGCCTCAGTGTAAGTCATAACAAATTGAACAAGGAAGATTGAAATCATATCAAATACCTTTTCTGACCACAATGGTATGACACTAGAAGTCTATAATAGGGGCAATTTCAGAAAATTCACAAATATATGGAAATTATACATGCCCTAAAACAACTCATGGGTCAAAGAAAAAATGGAAATTAAAAAATTTCTTCAGAGAAATGAAAATGGACACACGATATACAAAAACTAAAGGGATGCAACAAAAGCAGTCCTAAGAGGAATGTTTATAGCAATAAACGCCTACACTGAAAAAGAATAAATATCCCAAATAGACAACTTAGCATTATACTTCCAGGAACTAGAAGAAAACAAACTGAGCTAAGTAGTAGGGGGAAGGAAATAATAAAGATCAGAGCAGAAATAAATGAAACAGATTATGAGAAAAACATTAGAAAAGATGACCAAAACTAAGAAGTGTGTCAAAGATAAACAAAATCAACAAATCTTACACTAAGAAAAAAGAGGAACCAAATTTTTAAAAATCAGAAATGAGAGAGATATTACAAGTGAGATATCACAGAAATACAAAAGATTGTAAGAGACAACTATAAACAATTACATATCAACAAATTGAATAACCTGTAAGAAAGGGATAAATTTGTAGGAATATAAAACCTACATATAATACCTACTGTATTCATTCATTTTATATTGCTATAAAGGGAATACCTGATACTGGGTAATTTATAAAGAAGTTTATTTTGGCTCACGGTTCTGCAGACTGTACGAAAAAACATGGTGCCAGTATCTACTTCTGGTGAGTGTCTCAGGAAGCTTTTACTCATGGAAGAAGAAGAGGGAGCAGGCATGTCACATGGTGAGAGAAGGAACCAGAGAGAGAATGAGGAAATATAAAGAAATGCTAGACTGTTTTTAACAGAGTTTGTGTGAACTAATAGAGTGAAAACACTCTCATTACTGTGGGAGGGCACCAAGCCATTTGTGAGGAATCCACCCCTATGACCCAATCACCTCCCACCAGGCCCCACCTCCAACACTGGGGATCACATTTCAACATGAGATTTTTGAGAGGACAAATACCCAAACCGTATCACCTACCAACACTGAATCATAATAGAAAATCTGAAGACACCAATAATGAGTAGGATATTGAATCTGTAATAAAAAGTCTCCTGTCAACGGAAAGTCCAGGACTTGATGGCTTCCATGCAGATTCTACCACATATTTTAAAAAAGAAATTCTTCGCAAATACTTCCAAAGAAATTAAACAGAGGGGATAACTCCAAACTCATTTTATAAGGTCAGCATTTCCCTGATACCAAAGCCAGACTAGCACATTACAAGAAAAGAAAATTACAGGCCACTAAATCTGATAAACATAGATGCAAAAATCCTCAACAAGATTCAAGCAAACCTAATTTAGTAGCACATTACACACTACAATCACTGCAATCAACTCAGATTTATTTCTGGATTGCAAGGAGGGTTCAACATATGCACATCTATAAGTGTGGTACACCACCTAAATAAAAGGAAGGCCAAAGCCATATGATCATCTCAACAGATGCAGAAAAGACATTTGATGAAATTCGATATCCTTTCATGATTAAAAATTCTCAAAGTAAGAAGAGAAGGAATGTGCCTCAACCCACTAAAGGCCACATGCAACAAGCCCATAGCTAATGTCATACTCAATGGGGAAAAGTTTAACACTTTTCCTTTAAGACCCAAAACAAGACAAGAATACCCATTACCACCATTTTTATTCATCATGGTACTGGAAGTCCTTGCCAGAGCAATTATGAAAAAAAGACATACAAATTAAAAAGGACAGAATTAAAAATGTCTGTTTGCAGACAACATGATTCCACATATAGAAAACCCTGAAGATGTCACTAAAAAACTGAAAACTAACAAATTCAGTAAAGTTCTAGGATACCATAATCAACACACAAAAATCAGCAGTGTTTTCATACACTAACAAACTATCCCAAAAAATACATCAATAAATCAATTCCGTTTATAATAACTACAAAAATAAAATACTTAGGGACAAATTTAACCAAGGAAGTGAAAGACAATAAATTGAAAACTGTAAAACATTGATGAAATAAGTTGACACAAATGAATGATATCTCACGTTCATGGATTAGAAGAATATTGTTAAAATGTCCATACGTGATCTGCAGGTTAAATGAAATCCGATACAAATTCTAATGACATTTTTCAAAGAAACCTTAAAAACAATTCTATCATTTGTATGGAACCATAAAAGACCCTGAATAGCCAAAGCAATCTTAAGCAAAAAGAACACAGCTAGAAGTATCACACTATCTCATTTCAAAATCCACTACAAAACGATAGCAATGAAAACAGCATAATATGGAGACGTAGGCAAGATGGCCCACTAGATGCAGCCAGGAAGAACTTATTCCACCCAGATAGAACAGAATATTGAGTTAACTGGCATACTTGGAACAGATCATCTGAGAGAAGGCACTGAGAGAGGTTAGAGAGATGACCTAGACACCAGGACTGAAGTGGGAGGATGCTGTAAATCCTGCATGGGGTTGCCAAGCACTGAGATGCATTCCAGGCCCTGGACAGCTCCTAAAGGAGAGGCTGTGACCTGTGTAATCTGCCAGACCTGGAGAGACAGCAGGGATGTCTATCCTGTGGGACTAGAGAGTCTGATCTGTGCCCCTGCTCTCTGCCAGCCCCCTATTAGAGTCCCTGC
Organism: Homo sapiens; assembly: GCF_000001405.40. Taxonomy (NCBI): domain Eukaryota; kingdom Metazoa; phylum Chordata; class Mammalia; order Primates; family Hominidae; genus Homo; species Homo sapiens. The sequence continues at coordinate 107,020,642 of NC_000008.11, forward strand.
CTGGCTATATTTGCATGCAGCGCAGCCTCAGCTACTCGTTAATTTGAAGCACTTTTGGCAGGGGCCATCCACCACAGTGCTTTTGCCAGAGGACCCCACTGCCCCACTGGAGTGATTTTGCTGACAGCCTCCCAGCAGAATGGATTTGCCGGTGACCCCACTGCCACCCCTCCAGAGAATGCTCACCTACAGTGCCCCCATAACCCCTGCTGGGGGTGTGCTTCCTTTCCATGGAGACACCACTGAAGCACTTACACCCACCTGCCCCCACCTCTCCTAGAAAATGCTGTTGCCAGTCGGTCTGGTAGCTCCTTGGCCCCTCCAGCCCAGCCAGGGCTCAACCTTAAGGGACAAGAGGACAAAGCCACAGACCTAGTCCCAGGTCCTAGAGCACACAGCCCATGAGTGCAAATCTGAACCCTGGACCTCTGAGAGCACCCAGAAATGAAGCATTCAGTATACCAACTTGCACCATGGTCAAACCTTCAAGGACAATAAAGAGGATTTGAAAACAAAAGCCCCATCCAAAAAGCTGCTTTGGCAGCAGTGTCAAAGGATAACAAAACATCAGCCCTCACAGATGAGAAACAACCAGCACAAGCATTCTGGCAGCTCTAAAAGTCAGAGTGACTTCTTACCTCCAAATGATCTACTGGCTCTCCAGCAGTGGTTCTCAACTAGACGTAAATGGTTAAAATAACAGACATAGAATTCAGCATCTGGATGGCAATGAAGCTCAGAGATATAAGGGGAAGTTGAAACCCAATCCAAGGAAAACAGTAGAACAATCCAAAGAGTTGAAAGACCACATAACCATTTTAAGAAAGAACTAAACTGGACTTTTGGAAATGAAAAAATTCACTACAGGAATTTCAAAATACAGTTCCAAGCATTAACAACAGAACAGACCCAGCTGAGGAAGGAATCTCAGAACCTGAAGAGCGCTTCTTTAAAGCATCACAGACAGACACAAATAAAGAACTTTAAAAAAATGAACAAAACCTAAGTGAATAGAGGAACAGAAAACCAAATACTGCATGTCCTTACATAAAAGTGGGAGCTATGTATTCAATACACATGGATACAAAAATGAAAACAACAGACACTGGGACTGCTTGAATGGGGAGGGTGGGAGAGAGGTGGGGGTTGGAAGGCTACCTATCAGGCAGGTATTATGCTCGCTACCTTGGTGAGGGGATCATTTGTATACCAAGCTGCAGCAATACAAAACTTACCCATGTAACAAACCTGCACGTGTACCTCCTGAACCTAAAACAGAAGTAGAAGAAGAGCATAGTATTGACATAAAAACAGGCACATAGACCAAAGAAACAGAATAAAGAACCCAGAAATAAATACGTACATTGTGGTCAATTGACTTTGAATGAAAATGTCAAGAACCATACAGTGGGGAAAGGACAGGGTCTTCAATAAATGGTGCTGGGAAAACTGGATATCCACATACAAAAGAATAAAATGACATGCATATCTTATACAATATAAAAAATCAACTCAAAATGGATTAAAGATCTAAATGTAAGATATGAAATTGTAAAACTAGTAGAAGAAACCATAGGGCAAAAACTTTGGAATTTTTCTGGGCAATGATTTTTATTTTTTTATTTTTATTTTTGGATATGACTCCAAAATCACAGGTAACTCCTGTGTTCACTGCAGCATTATTCACAATAGGCAAGATATGGAATCAACCTAAGTGTTCATCAACAGATGAATGATTTTTAAAAACGTGGTATATATACACAATGAAATACTATTCAGCCATAAAAAAGAATGAAATCCTGTCATTATGACAACATAGGTGAACCTGGAAAACACTATGTTAAGTGAAATAAGCCAGGCACAGAAAGATAAATACCATACGATATCACTTATATATGAATTATAAAAATGTTGAACTCATAAAAACAGAGTAAAATGGTGTTAACCAGAGGTTGGATAATGGGAAATTTGGAAAGATTTTGGTCAAATATACAACATTTCAGTTAGGAGAAATAAATTCAACAGATCGTTATGATGACTACAATTTATACAATACATTGTAGACTGGAAAATTGCTCAGATACCATATTCTAAATGTTCTTGTCCTAAAGTAAATAAGTATGTGATGTAATGAATGCCTTAAGTTACTTGAATTAGCCATTCTACAATGTATACATAAATTAAAAAATCATGCTGTACACCATGAATACATACAATTTTCACTTGCTAATTAAGCTATTAAAAATATGAAAAGGAATAATAAAGGTCATGCCCAGAGCTGATTTGAATAATTTAATTTTTTTCATTTTAATACATTTATATTTACAGATGTTATATATGGTGAACATTATTCTATACATATAGCTTTGTACTATGAATTTTCATTGACATGAGATTGTCATGTTTTCCCCATATTAATTTTTTTGTAAATATAATATTATTCACATTTAAGAATTCCCTTATTGGACTGTCTCATAATTTTGCAATGTCTCTTTAAAAAGACTTTTGGGTACATTACTAATATTTTCCAAGTACAACTGTTTGTGCTTGGAATGAAAACATATTATGGGACTATGATGCACCAGTGTTGCTAAAACACTATTTGAAATGGTCATTGGTGAGAGACAACGTGCAACTGGTATTTAATTCAGAGAAATGCATGTTTCAAGATTCCTAATTGAGAATTTGATATCATTAATGTTCTTTTCCATGTCAATAAACTTTGTCACAGACATCTCTTTTTAAAGCAGGCAAAGAAGTGGTATATCCCATGCCAATATTTCTATTTTAGTCTTCTTGGAGCTTTTACAAAAAGTTCCTAAATCTAAGCCTCTCCAAATAACAATATGAGCTTCAATTCTACTTTAGTGATGTTTTTCAGCTAAGTGATGCCTATGGATTTAATGTCATTTAGGAATTAAAAACCAAGCTATTGCTACAGTCCATGATAAGCATATTGGGATATATCTATAAATTTCAGATTTGGGGGATTAATTATTTGCTAAATTCTCTAGAGATAGTCCTTTGTGTTTATGTATAATGAATATATTCTAATGTTGATATGTTTCTTCTTGGACAGATTCTTAATTTGAATGAAAAGTGACTTAAATATAACTTAGTGATTAATCTATGATGGTGCTATATGCCTACCTTATTTTTACTTAGAAATAATAATTTAAATCTCACCTGTTTTATGTGGTAGCCCATGCTTGTATCAAATTTATAATGTCTAAAAAATAAATTTTAGCTTATTTAACCAGATTGAATAAAGAGTTAATTAGTTGATAGCAAATTATATTTAAGAAAAAGCTCATTCGCTGTAAGTAGATGGGCAATTTAAAGGTGAAAATAAAAAATATATCTAGCATTAAGATTATACTGAGAGTTTAATCCTTGATAATTTATACATTTATATTTTGAATTATAAATGATTTGTTATAAATATCAATTCTTCTTGTATTATGGATATTTTGAAGCTTACTAATAAAAACCAAGATTAGATTTGGCAAAGCTCACAGACATAATCTAATCAAAGCTTACTATCAATAGAAGACTAGATTCTAATAAGTTCATGTAGCATAGAGCCAGAAATGTGATCAAGGTCATCTGGATTTTCTCCAAGACAGCACCTCAATCACTTTCTGAATCACAGGCTTATACAGATCACCTAAGGTTAGGTTAATCAGCTTCCTGTTTAAAGATACCAGGATAAATGCTGGGCTTAATGTTTTGATAGCATGATGAAACTACTGTCATATTCCCAGTTTTAAGGTACCATAATTTGTAATAGGTCAGTTTAATTACCAATTCAGTGGTTTAGCAAAAACCTATCACTACATCAATGTTCTAATATTACTGACTTCTGAAACAGTAAATGTATGTCTTAGATTTAAAGATGCAGTTATGTGTATTTTCTTGCTACATGCTGGCTTTTAAACATTTGGGCTCTTTTCAGACACATTTCAAAAGGAGACCACTTACTGACTTGTTTCAGTAGGCATGTTTCCCTGTGATGGAGCCATTTCTGTAAATCCGTCAGTGACCCAGGATGGTAACTGCAATTTCATGTGGGGCCTTCTCATTCACATGCTCTTCCTAAACAAGGTCTGAACAAAGTTTTCTACTTGATACTTTTTAATATCAACAAAAGAATTGTTTGAAATATAAAATCCATTCTTTAAAATATTCTATTTATAGTTAACAGAGGCCTAAATACATAATTGCTTGCAGGTTGTGTGAAGTATTTTTCTAGGCTTGGGGTTGTAAACCTATAGCACAAGTGTTACTTTTTTTTTTTTTTTTTTTTTTTTTGAGACAGAGTCTCACTCTGTCGCCCAGGCTGGAGTGCAGTGGCGCTATCTCGGCTCACTGCAAGATCTGCCTCCTGGGTTCACGCCATTCTCCTGCCTCAGCCTCCCTAGTAGCTGGGACTACAGGCACCCACTACCACGCCCGGCTAATTTTTTGTATTTGTGGTAGAAACAGGGTTTCACCTTGTTAGCCAGGATGGTCTCGATCTCCTGACCTCGTGATCTGCCCGCCTCGGCCTCCCAAAGTGCTGGGATTATAGGCCTGAGCCAATGTGCCCGGCCACAGGTGTTACTTTTTAAATCTCTTCCACCTATGGATAGACATTGGACTCAAACATGGAGCTTATATAGAATGAAATCAGGTGAGATTTCCTAACCGCACTCCAGCAACTGCTACCCAATTATCCGAACAGGTTCTGGAGTAGAAAGCTGTTTATCACCCATTTTCTTGCTCCTGGGGAAGTCCCTAGCTGGGTATGGTTAGAATAATATATTTGAATCTTGGTCTGTTTTAAGTCTTTATCTTAGTTCTGTTTCTGCCTCTGACTCATATGGTTTGCTTCTGTATTCTGTATCTAGGGCTCATTGTTGAGAACAGAAGATGCTTGCCTGCAGTTGTTCAAATCTCAGCCTGTAAAGGAAAGATGCTTTCTGTGTGAACATCGTGGGTCCCTGTCACTTGTAATTCTACTGCCACTTCTCTATCTACTATTGCTCAAATCAGTGCAAAGGGGAGTTGCACAATGGACAGTCCTCTTGTGCTCCTCCTTCCAGATGCTCTCAAGTAACAAGAATGAATTTTTTTTTTTTTTGAGATGGAGTCTTGCTTTTCCCAGGCTGGAGTGCAATGGCATGATCTTGGCTCACTGCAACCCTCACCTCTTGGGCTCAAACAATTCTCCTGCCTCAGCCTCCCGAGTAGCTGGGATTACCGGCATGCACCACCACACCCAGCTAATTTTGTATTTTTAGTAGAGACAGGGTTTTGCCATGGTGGCCAGGCTGGTCTCAAACTCCTGACCTCCGGTGATCTGCCAGCCTTGGCCTCCCAAAGTGCTGGGGTTACAGGCGTGAGCCACCGCACCAGGCCTGAAATACTTTTTTGAATATGTTTTGGGAGGAAGTATAATATTGTTTGGACTAAGAGCTACTGAGAGCTATCTCCTCAAGATAGTAATTCTTTTAAAATCCTGTTTCCTTCATAGTTGTGGCTGTCCTTCACTAAAAACCAATAGAAACAAAAATAAACACGCAACAAAACCTATTGCCCTGGGGCCCTGTATCCACAAGAGGCCACAGATTAGAGTTTTACTTTCAATAAAATATGAACTACACTGGGGTCTCAAAATTGCTCTGTTTAGTTTAGGCTCTTTGCAATCCATGTGGAGAAGAGACTGGCTGTAAGAACCAGTTGTGTCCAAATCATGGAGAGATGGAACAAGAATAGGTTATTATCATAGTATCTGATAGTTTCATGATAGTTCTCAAACTGTGATCTTGTAAAACACTGGTGTTTGAGCTGAATAAATTCCTACAGAAAAAAAGAGCAGAGCCTTTACTAGATTCTAGAAGAAAAAATCCATAATTTTTCCAGTTTTAAGTTAGTTCCATTTTTTTATTTTCTTAAAAATTTGGTATTTACTACTATTACAGAGTCAGTACTGCAAATGAGAGACACAATAAATGAAGACATTACAAATTAAAGTGAATGGAAATATAATGTGAGATAAAATTGATCAAACCTATTTTGTTTTACTTGCAAATGATGCATCCTATGTCCATACCTACTTGTATTGGCTGTATTTGCTAGTTCAAAATAATGCAAAAGTTTACTTTTAAAGAAAATAATTATTTGAAACTGAGCTCATAAGTTCACATAACAATGTTCTCTTTAAAAAGTTACTGTCAACCATGGGTTTGTAGTATGAAGACAGTGACTCAATGTCCATGGGAAGTTAGAAGCCAAGTATTCTTTCAACTCTATTGTCTCCAATATTATTGTTTTATTAAGTCAGGTGTAGCTCTGAAAAAAAAAAGTTATACTGTCAAAACCTCAGTATATTTGGAGAAGAAAGCAGCTCCTGTTGTTTTAACCTCTAGAGATGGAGAACAGATGCTTGGTGTTAGGAGAAAGGAGGCTGGATTAAATGATATTGGATCAAACCCAAAATTGTCAAGCCAGGTAGGATGTTTACAGAGGCCATGTCTACCCAGAGCTAGAACTTCAAAATCAAATCAAAACGAAAGAGTCCAATTACCAATATGTAACTTACTCAAATGTAAAAGAGTGAAAGGAGAAGAGTGGGGAAGAAGACAATGTGGGAAAAGCTGTCCTCCTTCCCCGGGGATGAGCCAATGCCTCTGAGTGGCAGGTGGGTGAAGTAAATCTGTTATCCTTCCTTGTTTGATCCCACGAGTCTCTTATACTGAAAGCATGTTACTACCTAGTATATCAAGATACAAAGCACATAACTTATTCTAGTGTCACCTAAAGAAACAGCTGTCCTTCAGCCTGGAGGAAAAACTGCTTGCATCGGATTTACTGATGAGAGAATGCCTGGATATACAACATATATATGTATGTATACATAGAGTACTTGTATAGCTATAAATTTGTAAAGTTTATGCTCAGATGTGATTGTTCTTGATGTGGTAACCCCCAGGCCCTCACCAGTAGAGATGTTAGTCTGCTTCAAGAGCATGTCTTGGTTTATTTACTGCTTTGGATCCTTTGTCCATATAATCCTTTTGTTCTTTACTTTCAGCTTCATTGTAAGCCTTTCAAACTGTGCCATAACTTGGTTGACATCATTTTGACTTAACTATAACATGTCACAGATCAAATATCTAATTACATGCTTTTTGCTTCCTATGATCTTGCCCTGCTGGTTCCCTGTCAACACTAGTTTTTACATTACATTTCTTTGGCATCTGTACCCCTGAAATTTATAGATTTTTGCCCTGGAATTTGGCCACGGATTTTTCAACATCTGGGTTTTAATCAAGATTTTAATTTTTTTTTTTTGGTTTACCAGTGACTTCCAACAGTAAATTTACTACTTTCTCTGGGCAGCACTTTGGAAAGGGAAACAAAGAATTTTTTGTTCCTCATTGATAGAAATACTATCAATGTAATATATGAGTAATATAGATATTTTTGCTCCTTAGAAAAGATAAATGGGCGATTGACTGTACTTTAGGTATGAGTGGGGGAATCACACCTTTACAGAAAGTAGGAATCTTTTTCATTATTCAATGCTTAGGATTAAATTTCTCTCAGAGTCAGGCCATAAAGCAAGCATTGTTGAAAGAGATTTAGAGTTTTATTAATATATCTGCTTTTTATTTTGTTATAGTATTCTAAGAAAATGGTGCTACTGATTGAGAACCAAGAAGTGAATAAAAACATATATGACCTTTAAAGTTTTTTTCAGTCTTTTCCAGAAAATTGCTTGCATCTTGCTGCCAAGAGTGTTCAGACCTGATCATTGCTAATACCATGTGATGAGACTTGGTAATTTGAAAACAAATTGAGAGACAACTCAAGTGTAAGTCAGTTCCAACAGTGATTTTTTGGTTCTTGTCAAATGGCAGACAATGTTGCTGAGAATATGAAAATGACCAAGGGAGTGACGTCACCAAGATATTAGAGTAGGAGATACCAACCTTCATGTCTTGACATAACAAAAAGAGCTATTTACATATGAAAATAGCCTTGGGACAGCTCCATGACCCATAAAAGAATCTGCAGCAACAGAGTGGAGACACCAGGAGATTTCTTGGAGCAAAGAGGAAAGGTGAAAGCTATCAGTGTCAGCCACATGGTGGGAACCACTGGTCTCCAGTGGCCTGCTCTCCAGAGGATACCAGCACATTTTGTCACTGAGGTAACCAACAGCCATTCCTGCCAGGGAATTCCATAGAGCTCCACACTCCTTGCCCACCTATTAAGTGGTCACTCTTTTGAGCTGCTTTGGGAAAGCAGTTGCCACTTCTCCCAACCCCTTGCAGGCCTTGACCCCTAAGCTTCAGCAACTCCATGAGTTCTCATAATCCAGATCTAAATTCTGTGACTGCACTGGGCCATACACCAACCCACATCTCAGACAACAAAGTCATTTCCATAATTAGCTAGTTCACACCACAAGCCTGGAACCAAGTACTTGCTGTACCTGCCCATGCTGGATACCAGCTCACGTGCCACAGAGAGCTAGACCCTGCTCCAAGCATGGAGCTTCTCAAATGCCAGTGCTTCCATTATTGGCTCCATGGCTGCTTCAAAATCATCTATACCATGCATTCTGTTACCAACATGGCAGTGGGGATAACTGCAACTCGTGCACCAGTGTCATTAGGGTCCTGGATCTCAGAGCTATACTCCCTCCACAGGTTCCCAGTGATATGGTTTGGATGTTTTGTCCTCTCCAAATCTCTTGTTGAAATGTGACCTCTAATATTGGAGGTGAGGAGCCTAGTGGGAGGTGTTTGGGTCACAGGGGCAGATCCCTCATGAATGTATTACTGCTGTCCTCATGTTAATAAATGATTTTTTACTCTGAGTTCATGTGAGATCTGATTGTTTAAAAGAGTCTAGGACCTCCCCCTCTTTCTCTTGCTCCCTTTCTTGCCATGTGACACATCTGTTCTATTTGCCTTCTGCCATGATTGTCAACTTCCTGAGGCCTCACCAGAAGCAGATGCTGGCATCCTGCCTCCTATATGGCCTGCAGAATAATGAGCCAAAATAAACCTCTTTTCTTTATACATTACCCAGTCTTAGATTTATTGCAACACGAAGAGATTAACACAGAAAATTGGTACTGAGTGTGGGGCATTGCTATAAAGTACCTGAAGATGTGGAGTGGCTTTGAAACTTGATAAGAGGCAGAGGTTGGAAGAGTTGTGAGGTCTCAGAAGAAGACAGGAAGATGAGAGAAATTTTGGAATTTCTTAGAGACTTAAGTAGCTGTGACCAAAATGCTGATGGAAATATAAATGGCAAAGGCCCAGGCTGATGAGATCTCAGTGAAATGAGGAATTTATTGAGAATTGGAACAAAGGACACTATTGTTATGCCCTAGCAGATAACTTGGTTGCACTACCTCTATGCCCTATGGCTGTGGAAGTTTGAATGTAAGAGTGATAACTTAGGGTATCTGGCAGAAGAAATTTCTAAGCAGCAAAACATTAAAGAAGTGACATGGCTGCTTCTAGTAGCCTATGATAAGATATGGGAGGAAAGAAAGGACTTAAAGTTGGAACTTATATTTAAAAGGGAAGTACAGCATAAAATTCAGGAAATTTGCCACCTGGCTATGTGATAGAAAGGAAAAAGCATTTTCCGGAGAGGAATACAAGTTGGCTGCTGAATAACCACTTGCTACAGAGATCTACATGACTAAAAGAGAGCCAAGTGCTGATAGTCAAGAAAATAGGGAAAAGGCCTTGAAGGCAATTCAGAAATCTTCAAGACAGCCCCTCCCTTGACAGGCCCAGAGGCCTAGGAGGACTGAATGATTTGGGGGCCCAGGCTCAGGGAGTTAGTTGTTCAGTTCCACCTTGGGACACAGCTCCCTATATCCCCACTACTATAGCTCCAGCTGTGGCTCATAGGGCATCAGGTATGGCTTGGGCTATTTTGAAGAGCACAAAGTACCAAAAACCTTGGTAGCATCCCCATGGTGTTAAGTCAGGATGCACACATAATTTAAGAGTGAAGGAGGCTTGACAACTTTCACTTAGATTTCACAGGATGTATGGAAAATCTTGGTGCCCAGGCAGAAGCCTGCTACAGGGCAGGGCTCCTGCAGAGAGAATCTACTAAGAAATACCGAGGAGGAATGTGAGGTTGGAGTTCCCACACAGAGTCTGCACTGGAGCATTGCCTAGACAAGCTGTGGGAATGGGGGCACCACCCTTAAGACCACAGAAGCTTATAATCTCAGCCTAGAAAAGCCACAGGGGCAGAGCTACCCCAGGCCTTGGCAGCCTACCACTTGCATAAGTGTGCCCAGAATGTGGGACATGGAATCAACAATTGCCCTGCTGGTTTTTGGACTTGCATTGGGACCTGCTGCCCATTTCTTTTGACTGATTTCTCTTTTTTGGAATAGGAATGTTTATCCAATGCCCTTTCCACCATAGTAGTCCTAGCTACTGAGGATCTCCAAAATCTTCATCAATACTGACCTTAGCTGAAAGAGCTGCAGAGACCATACCAAAGGAACTTTCACAAGTACCCTAACCACTGCACCTACCCCAGTAAGTACTGTCACATATACTTTCCCAGTAAGTACTTTCCCTAAGGGAAAGTCGTTCCATAGTGAAACTAGCCTGTAAAGCCTGGAAAAAGTGACTTTTCCATCAAATGTGCAGATATCAAAGTAAGAAGACATAAAAAAACCAAAGGAAACATAATGTCATCAAAAGAACAAAATGATCTTTTAGTAGCTGAACCCAATGAAATAGATACACAAATTCCCTGACAAAGAATTAAAAAATAATTAAAGCAGCACAGCAAACTTCAAAAAATACCAAAAAACAATTCAGTGAAATCAGAAAAGCAATAAATGACCAAAATAATTATATGTGTATATACATATATATCTCTATCTATCTATCTATCTGAATTATATGTATCTCCACATAAAGCCAACAAATTCTGGAGCTGAAAACTACAATAAATTAAATGGAAAATGCAACAGAAAATGTCAAGAGCAGAACTGATCAAACAGAAGAAAGAATATGTGAACTAGAAAACAGTTTATTTGTAAATATACAGAAGAAAAAACAATAAAAAGGAATGAAGAAAACATGGGATTTATGGAATGGCATTAAGAGAGAAAGTGTTTAAGTTACAGGAGTTAAGGAAAAGAAAAGCAAATGAGGAAAAAAGATTATTTAAAAAAATAATAGCAAGAAACTTTTGAACTCTAAGATAAAAATCCAGGTACAGGAAGGTCAAAGGTCTCCAATCAGAACAAGACAACTGAGATATGTTACAATTAAATTTGCCAAAAATCGAAACAAGAGAGGATACCGAAAGCAGCAAGAGAAAAAGAGATCACATACACAGGAGTTCTAATAAGTGAGCAGATATATATAGAATATTCTATCAACAACAACAGAACATGCATTCTTAAGTGCACAGAAATTCTTCTCTAGGATAGATCATATGGCTATAATGCTAGTGTTAACAAATTTTAAAAGACTGAAATCATATCAGGTATCATTTCTAACCACTATGTTATGAAAGTAGAAGTCAATGAAGAATTTTGGAAAATTCGCAAATATGTAAAAATTAAACATGCTCCTAAACCAATGGGTCAAAGAAGAAATTAAAGGGGAAATTTAAAAATATCTTCATAGAAACAAAAATCTATAGGCAACATAGCAAAAGTTAGGGGATGCAGGAAAATAATTTCTAAGAGGAAAGTATATAGCAATAGATGCCTACATCACACAAGAACAAAAATACTTAACATTACACTTTAAGGTGCTAGAAAAAGAAAAAGAGCTGAGTTTGAAGAAAGTAGAAAGAAGGAAATAAAGACCACAGCAGAAATAAGGACTAGAAAAACAATACAAAAGATCAAAACTAAGTTGATTTTTTGAAAAGAAAAAGGATACACCTCTAGCTAAACTAAGAAAAAAAGAGAGGAGGCTCAAATTCAGAAATGAAAGAAGACATTTGAACTGATACCAGATGAATGCAAAGGATCATAAGAGACTACTATGAAAAATCATACAGCAACAAATTATGTAACTTAGATGAAATGGATAAATTCCTAGACATATACAACTTACCAAGACTGAATCATAAAAAAAATATAAAATCTAAACAGAGTAAGTCAGGAGATTGAATCAGTAATTAACAGTCTTCCATCAAAGAATGCCCAGGAACTGATGGCTTCTTTGTTATATTCCACCAAATATTTAAAGAAAAATTAATCCCAGCACTTTGGGAGGCTGAGGCGGGTGGATCACGAGGTCAGGAGATTGAGACCATCCTGGATAACACGTTGAAACCCCGTCTCTACTAAAAATACAAAAAAATAGCCGGGCGTGGTGGCAGGCGCCTGTAGTCCCAGCTACTTGGGAGGCTGAGGCAGGAGAATAGCGTGAACCCGGAAGGCGGAGTTTGCAGTGAGCCGAGATAGCGCCACTGCACTCCAGCCTGGGCGACAGAGTGAGACTCCGTCTCAAAAAAAAAAAAAAAAAAAAAAAAGAAAAAAGAAAAACTAATACCAAACTGTTTCAAACTCTTCCAAAACATTGAAGAGGCAGGAAACTTCCAAACTTATGAGGCTGGTACTACCCTGATACCAAGGCCAAACAAGGACACTGCAAGAGAAGAAAATTACAGTCCAATATCACTGATGAACATGGATGTAAAAATCTTCAGCAGAGTGTTAGCAAACCAAATTCATTAGCATATTAAAAGAACTATTCAGAATGATCAAGTGGGATTTATTGCTGGGATGCAAAGATGGTTCAGTATATGTAAATAAATAAATACGATATATTACATTAACAGAATGAAGGATAAAGCCATACTATCATCTTAATAGATGCATGAAAGGCATTTAAAAAATTTTGCATCATTTTATAATAAAACTCTTAACTAATTAGGTATAGAAGAAATGTACGTTGGCACAATTCAAACCATTTACAACAAGCCCCATAGCTAGCATCATATTCAACAGTGAAAAGTTGAAAGCTCCAAGATCAGGAACAAGGCAAGGATGCTCATTCTTGCCACTTCCATTCGTCATAGTACTGGAAGTCCTAGCCAGAGCAATTAGGTCAGAGAACAGAATAAAAGGCATCCAAATAGGAAAGGAAGCACTTAAATTGTCTCTGTTTACACTTAACAATCTTGTATATAGAAAACTCTTCAGACTCCATAAAAAATGTTAAAACTAATAAATTCAATAAAGTTGCAGGATATAAGACCAACATACAAAACTCACTAGCATTTCTATACACTAGTAATGAACTACTAGAAAAAGAATTTCAGAAAACAATCCCATTTATAATAGCTACAAAATACTTAGGAATATATATAACCAACAGGTGAAAGACATATTGAAAACTATAAAACATTGATAAAAAATTTAAGAATGACACAAATAAATGGAAAGATATCCCATGTAAAGGGATTGAAATTATTAATGTTGTTAAATTGGTCATACTACCCAAAACAATATACAGATTTAATGCAACCCCTATGAAAATTCCAATGACGTTTTTCATAGGAATAGAAAAGACAAACCTAATATTTGTATGAAATCACAAAAGACCCCAGTGCAAAATCATTCCTCAGCAAGAACAAAGCCAGAAGCATCTTATTACTTCATTTCAAATCCATTATGAAGCTATAATAATCAAAATAATATGATAACGGCATAAGACAGACAATACACCAGTGGGATAGAATAGAAAACCCAGAAATAAATGAATGCATTTATGGCAAATTGACTTTTGACAAAGGTGCCAAGACCACACAATGGCAAGGACATTCTCTTCAAATGATACTGGGAAAACTTGATATTCACATGCAGGACTACCAATACTACTACTACCACTACTACTACTTCTGCTGCTAGACCATCTTCTTACATCACATTAAAAAAATTTTAACTCAAAATTGAGTAAAACTTAAATATAAGACCTAAAATTATAAAACTACTAGAAGAAGACATAAGGGAAAAGCTCCATGACTTTGAGCTGGGTAATACTTTTTTTGTATATAACTTTAAAATCACAAGCAACAAAAGCAAAATAGACAAATGGAATTATATCACACTAAAGAGCTTCTGCATTGCAAAGGATACAGAGTGAAGAGACAACCTTCACTTCAATGAGAAAATATATTTGCAAGTTATATATCTGATAAGGGATTAATATCTAAAATATATCAATAACTCAAATCAATAGTAAAATACCAACACAATTAAAATGTAGCAAAAAATCTGAATAGACATTTCTCAGAAGAAGACATGCAAATGGCCAAGATGTATATGAAAAAGAACGCTAACCTCACTTATTAGGGAAATGCATATTAATGTTGATAATATTAACATATTATCAAAAAGACAAAAGATAACAAGTGTTGTCAAGGGTGTGGAGAAAAGAGAACACTTATACACTGGTAGTGGAAATGTAAATTAGTACAGCAGTTGCAAAAACCTGTATGCAGTCCATGGGGTTCAACTGTGTCCCCACCCAAATCTCATTTTGACTTATAGTTCCCATAATGTCATGGGAGTGACCTGGTGGGAGGTAACTGAATCTTGGGGGCGGTTCCCCCCATGCTATTGTCGTGATAGTAAGTTCTAACAAGATCTGATAGTTTTATAAGGGATTTCCCCCTTAGCTCAATTCTCATTCTTCTTCTCTCTGCAATTATGTGAAGAATGATGTGTTTGCTTCTCCTTCTACCATGTTTTTAAGTTTCCTGAGGCCTCCCCAGCCATGCTCAACTATGAGTCAATTAAACTTCTTTCGTTTATAAATACCCAGTCTCAGATATGTCTTTATTAGCAGTGTGAGAATGGAGTAATACAGGTATGTACTCAAAAAATCAAAAATAGAACTGTCCTATGATCCAGTAGGAATCCTAGGATTCCACTAGTAGGTATATATTCAAGGGATGCATATTAAACAGGTACCTGCATTCACTCTCATGTTCACTGCAGCATTATTTACAATAGCCAAGATATGGAATCAACCCAAGTGTTCGTTAATGTATGAATGATATATAAAAATGTATTATATATATACAATGAATACTGTTTAGTCTTGTAAAAGAATTCTGTCATTAATGCAATCAAATTGTTAATTATCCTTGCTGAATTACATTGTGACACAGACAACAGAATAATGCATCTTGGGTCTTCCAAGTTTATTATCTCAAAGCAAATCATAGGGAGGGAGTAAAACCTCATGATCTGGAGTCAGGCAGACCTCTGTGTGACTTTTGGCTTTACTTATTGTTGTGTGACTGTTTTTATATCTCTAAGGTGGGAATAATAATATTTCTACCTGTCAGATAATGAAATTACCACATAAAGGCTCAACAAAGTAAGCCTCTAAAAATATCTTATTGTTACTAACAGTCACTAATGCTGTAGAGACCTGAAACCTCTAATCAAAGTGGCCAGATGGTGATATAGGACAGCTCTTTGAAAATTCATAAGAAAAATAAGTAATTGGATCTTCTCAGGTTTTCAAAATATTAAGGAAGAGAAGAATTCTATACAGCAGTAGTTCTCAAAGTGTGGTCTCTCAGATAACTTCATCAGCATCAGTGGAGAACTTGATCAAAATGCAAATATAGGACTGTATTTGAGACACATTGAATCAAATTGTGGGAGTGGGCACCATCAATCCGTGTTGTAACATTCTTTAGGTGTTTTTGATGCACACTAACATTTGAGAACCACTGTCATAGAGAATATTAGCATCAGTAACATTTGTCTCAGAGATATCATTTGTGATCAATTTTTCTTCTTAAAAATCCTTCTTTGTTATCAAGTCTGTATTTAGGAGTATTTCCTAGTTTACTCTAATATGGAAACCTTCGAGTTCATTTCATTTATTTAAAAAAACAATTACTTCAGTCAAAGAAAGAGGAGAAAAAGGAAGAAAAAATAAAGTTGAACTGGTGAAATTTAGTATAGATTGGAACATATATTAGTTCAAAATTAAAATAGCACACTATATACAAATATACTTTGGAGCATATATGATAAAACATTTTGAGAACTCTTCTGTCTGTGGTAATAACTTGAAGGTAAGGAAATTTTTGGTTTCTTCTGTTCACAATATTCTTGTTACTATTACCTTTTGCATAAGCTGATTTTTCTTAATTCTTTAACATCTTTTGGGAAGTAAATCTGTTCGAAAGCTCATTTTCATTTGGTAGGAAAAATGAGAAATATATATGAATCTGTTAGAATGGAAGCTGCTTGAGGATTTCTTCCATCGGTTAAGAATAGACTATTTTTGAATTTCTTTAATTTGGACATAAGAATCCCAGCTAGACTAGAGTGTCAAGGCTTTGTATATTAGACTAGAAGACATATTATGAATCTTGAAATTTCTGGAAACTCTCACAGTCAGCCTACTGAAAACTGCAGGATTACTTTAATAATTATCATGTATGCTTAAACCAATGAAATATAGGACACTGTCATTCATTTGCTAATTATCAAGGAAGTCTGGCAATGTTTTAGTTTACTTGCTGTTTTATTTAATGGAAGACTTGTTTACATATCTGCTTTATGTCTTTGAGTTGATCACTGAATCCTGTTCTTCCTTTCCACTAGTAAAATGTAGTTGTAGATGTATTAACATGATCCTAGTCTGTATTAATTTTTTTTGGAGTAACCGTAGAATATTTTTCAAAATTTTGCTTGCTATCTTTGGTGAGGATATATTTCTATCCAGTTTTATAAAAGTTTTCCAATTGCCTGTATTAGCAAGTCCTAAAACCAATTACTAATTTCTAGTTTTGAATATTAGAATAATGAAAGTATAACTTCAGTTTTGCTTAAAATGGAAAGGAGACAGTAAAAGTATAATAGCTAGCTCCAGGTGTTTAGTATATGGAGAAACCTTGGAATTTAGTTGAATCTACTTTTCCAGATTATGAGTAAGATAATTTAAACAATTTATATAAGATGTTCATATCATGTTCAATCTGAATGATATTCCTTTAGGGTTGTACAATGCATAATCTACAAAACTAGTCAATGACTACTCTTAGGCATTCAAAAGAAGATGGCAATTGTTTGTCGAAGTTTTTACATTGAGTCACTTAATCATTTCAGTTTGAAGATGTAACACTTAAGAGACATTGGCATATAGATGATATTGAAACCATGGGAGCAGGGGAAGGTTTGTAGGGAGATGGTGTGCATAGGGAAGAGACATTGCTGAAGACAGAGCTCTAGAATACTTCAACAACTAGAGGTCTGCTAGAGGAGAAGGATCTAAAAAAGTGAGACTAGTCAGGAGAGAGGCAAAGCAGGCAAGTGTGTGGTCATGGAAGCTTGGCAATGAAAGCATTGCAAGAAGCAGCAACAGACACTGTCACATGCTGTTGAGAGGTCAAGATTAAAGAGACAGTTAAATGCTGGCTTTGATAAAGTTAGTTTCTAGTGACCTAAGCAGTTTCATAGGAATGAAATCTCCTGTGATGGTGATGTTAATACATCAGGCTGTCTTTCGAATTAACATGATTAATTTCAAGGCTTAGGCACATAGATATACAAAGACACTGGTATAAAATAATAGTTTATGTGGGTAATAAGGCACCTATTATAACTCATTTAAAGATGGGGATATATCTTACACCTTTTCTTAATCTTTTGGTTGAGAAGAGAGCTTCACATAAAGTAGTACTATACAATTTATTGATATTCATGTGTCTTCAATTTTTCCACCTTAAAACATATAAAAAAGAGAAGAAGAGAAGCTAATTTCTTTTAGAAAATAAAGTCCTTTTGCAAGTCTAACATTTTTTGAGCCTATGTTAAGGCACTTTAAAAATATTTGTACCTGGCAAAAAGACCAAAATAAATGTGATAGAGTGGGAAAAATAAAGACAAGGTAATCATAGAAAAAATTAATTTTACAAAGAACAAAAAAGATAAAGAGAAAACTCGGCATAATTCTTTTAAGGTTGTCTACCTTTTGTGCTTTTAAAATGTATTTCTAAATGTATTTTTATAATTTAAGACTTTTCAAAATACTTCAATTTATATTTTCAAATAAATACAAATGAGAGACATATACCACCTCAGTGCATTAAACCATGTATGTTTGAGCGTAAAGTGAGCATGTATTAATGAGTAATTTCATTATATATATCAGTTTTACCTCTTGCATTTCCATGCTTTATCATAGTCATGGGACCTGAGTCAAGAGGATGTTTCCTCTTTAATAGCGGAATAAAAATGCTTTTACTTGAAAGTTTGATTTCTTTGTAACTTTGTGTTTCTGTGAATATGCATTTGCCTATCAGTCTCTCTGCAAACTTGCATTCTTATTTTCTCTCTAATAGTTAACATTTATTGAGTGCTTATAATACACTAATATCCTATTTACATATAAGAATTCCTTTAATTCTTACATAATTCCTATGAGGTATAATTATTCCTGTTATACAGATGAAGAACTTACTACTGTGTCATCTAACTAGTTTTTCCTTAATGACTTGCATGTATAATTTTGTGAATATGTGTGTGTATATAATCTCCCTAGGTCACTCTCAGTCTTGATATTTTTTAATTGCTGTCTTCTCACCTTTTGTATTCCTGCCCTTCCTTGTCTCTTTCCTCATCAGTCTCTATTTTTTATCTTTTCTTGATTATGTCATACTTTCCAGTCATTTTTCAATTCTTTCTCCCTTCTCTTCGCCTTACTTACTCATCTTTAATCAGTAATGAAGTCAAATTCAGGGTCTGGAGAATAATGGTGTAGCCTGAATCCAATGACTTCACACATTCACCTCAAAAATTATAGAATGAGAAAGCAAAGGGCACAAATTGAATCACACATGGCCTGTCTTCCACAGTTCTAGGATACAAAATTCTCTGAAGTTTCCATTTCTTTTGATTAAAGAAATATACACTAATTTTCAAAAGAGCTCTTCCTGATGCTTTAAGCCTGTGAGAGTGGGGGAAGGACAGCTGTTCACTTTTGTGTGTCAGAGCTGAAAGAGTACCTAAGATATAGATGAAACACAGATAGAATCCCCTTCAGAAAGATACATTCAAAACCAGTTCCAAAATATTAAACTCAGGACTGGAACGTGGTAACTGAAAGTATCAGCTACAGGAAAAGAACTTGACCTGAGTGGGACCAAGAGTGGCAACCTCAGAGAAGCCTTACTTCTGTAAGAGAATTAAATAAACAAGGGTGGTATTCCCAGAAAAATGGTAGGTGTAGGGAAAGAAGAAAGTCAAAGGGGAAAATAAAATACCTTGCAGAAAGAAAAAATAACATGTCATCCTCTCCTAATTTCATACAATCACCACCACCACCACTCATTAAAGAAACTGTACTTTTTTTTTTTTTTTTTTTTTGAGACAGCATTTCAATCTTGTAGCCCAGGCTGGAGTGCAGTGGCACAATCTCTACCTCCTGGGTTAAAGCAATTCTCCTGCCTCAGCCCACTGAGTAGCTGGGATTACAGACACAAGCCACCACACCCAGGTAATTTTTGTATTTTTAGTAGAGATGGGGGTTTCACCATGTTGGTTAGGCTGGTCTCGAACTGGCTAAAGAGTGTGTGCTTGATGAAACCCTTGTCAGAAGGCAGTTGAAAAAATAGAAAAAAAATTCATAGAAATTCATGGCAAAGAAACAGAAAAGGCAAATTATAACGTTTTAAGTAATAAAAATCCCCTCCTTCCCCAACAATTATGAAGCAGAAAAATAGTGTGCCATATTACAAATGTCATTTAGTATACTTTAAAAAGCATTTGGAGATTTAAAAAACAAAACTAGAATCAGAAATTGAATAACAAACTAAATGGAAATGGACAAAAAAGAAGAGAAAGTATATCACAGCTGATCAATTTTAGGGAAAAAATAGAAGAAAACTCCAAACCACTTCAGAAGTAAAGAATAAGATGCACAAGGGAAAAAAGATTCAAATACAAATTTAAGTATACCGAAGAAAGGCATAACATCCAAGAAAATGAGAATGAAATTAAAGAAGAAAAACAAAAGAAAAGAGATGAAGGTCACAGACAAAGTGATAAGAAGGAAGTCAAACTAAGAAGGTTCAACATACATGTAACTGAGGTCCCTATGGCGGGGGGGAATGTAACAGAACTAATATTTAATGTTATAATCCAAGAAAGCATTCTATAAATAAGACAAATCTCCAAATCAAAAGGGGTCCATTCTTTGCCTATGAAAACCACTAGATTTGAAAGATGAAAAATAACTTAACGGCTTCCATGCAAAATGATCAAAGTATTAATTAGGTTAAGAAAATTAGGCTTGTTATCAGACTTTGAGCAACTTTTAATACAAGTACTAGTAGATCAGTAATTTTTAAGAAGCTCAAGGAAGTTATGAAGAAAGAATAAGTTTTATTCAGCCAAGCTGTACTTTAATTATCAGGACTATAGGAAAAACAGGTGCTTTTTAGTATATGTGTTGCCGAGGCGAGCATGAAAAAACAGTTTTAAACACGTAAGCAAGCAGGGAATATTATTCAGAAGTGTACCTCTTGAGGAAATTACTAGTTAATACATGTTATACAACTATATAATTGGGAAACATTCAGCAAAAGGACTGATGGTGAGCAGAAAACATTTATATTATGAACATATAATTATGAAGACGACAAACAAGTAGGAAGATGGCAGAAGAATATAAGCAAATGTTATGTGTACTTACAGAAGAGAAAGACTGCAATGGAAAAAGGGAAAGGGAGAAGTGAATTGTGGCTACCGATTGTTGAATAGGCAATGTATGGGAGTCAAGGAATTTTTTTTTTTTTTTTTTTTTTGAGATGGAGTCTCACTCTGTCACCCAGGCTCGAGTGCAGTGGCATCTCAGCTCACTGCAACCCTGCCTCCC
Source organism: Homo sapiens (assembly GCF_000001405.40). Lineage (NCBI taxonomy): Eukaryota > Metazoa > Chordata > Mammalia > Primates > Hominidae > Homo > Homo sapiens. The sequence continues at coordinate 107,041,557 of NC_000008.11, forward strand.
AAGTTCAAGCAATTCTCCTGCCTCAGCCTTCTGAGTAGCTGGGACTACAGGCGCACGCCACCGCCCAGGCTTAATTTTTTGTATTTTTAGTAGAGATGGGGTTTTGCCATGTTGGCCAGGCTGGTCTCAAACTCCCGACCTCAAATGATTCACCCACCTTGGCCTCCCAAGTGCTGGGTTTACAGGTGTGAGCCACCACACTCGGCCAAAAAATAATATTTTTAAACAACAGCATGTAAAAGGGTATGCAAGAAAAGAAGGGTTAAGGATTCTACGAAGGTAACGATTAAGAATATTAACCTTCATAAGTTCGAAATGAAAATTCTTTACAAAGTAAACACATATCTAGTAGAGAACACCATAGAAAATAAAATATAATACATATAGTAATTATATAAATTTATGATAGAGTTAAGTTCAAACATATAGCAGAGGGGCTAGGTGCAATGGGCTAATGCCTGTAATTCCAGCACTTTGGGAGGCTGAGGTGGGATGATTGCTTGAGGCCAGGAGTTCATTAGACCAGCCTGGGCAATTTGGCAAGACCCTGTCTCCACAAAAAAATAAAATTAGCTGGGCATGGTAGTGCATGTGTGTCTATAGTCCCAGCTAATCAGGAGGCTGAGGCAGGAGGATCACTAGAGCCCAGGCGTTCAATGATGCAGCAAGCTATGATTGTGCCACTACACTCTAGCCTGAGTAACAGAGCAACACTGTCTTTTAAAAAAAGATGGGGGTGGTATTTTGTTAATGATTTTAGCATCTATGTTCATCAAAGATATTGGTCTGTAGTTTTCTTTGTTGGTAGTGTCCTTTCCTGGTTTTGATATTAGGATGGTACTGGCTTCATATAATGTATTAGAGAGGGTTCCTTCTTTATTTTGTGGAGTAGTGTCAAAAGGATTGGTACCAGTTCTTCTTTGAATGTCTGGTAGAATTCTGCTGTGAATCTGACTGGTCCTGAACTTTTTTTGTTGGTAATTTTTAAATTGCCATTTCAATCTCGCTGCTTGTTATTGGTCTGTTCAGGGTGTCTAATTCTTCCTGATTCAAGCTAGGAGAGTTGTATTTTTCCAAGAATTTATCCATCTCCTCTAGGTTTTCTAGTTTATGTGCATAAAGGTGTTCATAGTAGCCTTGAATGATCTTTTGTATTTCAGTGGCATCAGTTGTAATATTTCCCATTTCTCAGTGAAGTTATTTGGATTTTCTCTCTTCTTCTCTTGGTTAACCTTGCTAGTGGTTTATCAATTTTATTTATCTTTTCAAAGAACCAGCTTTGTTTCATTTATCTTTTGTATTTTTTTTTGTTTCAATTGCGTTTAGTTCTTCTCTCATCTCAGTTATTTCCTTTTTTCTGCTGGGTTTGGATTTGGTTTTGGTTTGTTCTTGTTTCTCTAGTTCCTTGAGGTGTGCCCTTAGATTGTCTGTGCTCTTTCAGACTTTTTGATGTAGGTGTTTAGGGCTATGAGCTTTCCTCTTAGCACCGCCTTAGCTGTATCCCAGAGGTCTGATAGGTTGTGTCATTATTGTCATTCAGTTAGAAGAATTTTTAAATTTCCATCTTGATCTTGTTTTTGACCCAATGCTCATTCAGGAGCAGGTTATTTAATTTCTGTGTATTTGCATGGTTTTGAAGGTTCCTTTTGGAGTTTTCAGTTTTATTATACTGTGGTCTGAAAGAGTGCTTTATATAATTTCAATTTTCTTAAATTTATTGAGGCTCATTTTATGCCCTATCATATGGTCTATCTTGGAGAAAGTATGCTAAAATCCTTAACAAAATACTAGCTAACCAAATCCAACAATATATCAAAAAGATAATCCACCACAATCAAGTGGGTTTCATACCAGGGATGCAGAGATTGTTTAAAATACTCAAGTCAATAAATGTGATACACCACATAAACAGAATTAAAAACAAAAACCACATGATCATCTCAATAGATGCAGAAAAAAGCATTAGACAAAATCCAGTATCCCTCTATGATTAAAACCCTCAGCAAAATCAGTATACAAGGGACGTACCTTAATGTAATAAAAGCCATCTAAGACAAACCCACAGCCAACATAATGCTGAATAGGGAAAAGTTGAAGGCATTCCCTCTGAGAATGGGAAGAAGACAAGGATGCCCACTCTCACCACTCCTCTTCAACAGAGTACTGGAAGTCCTAGCCAGAGCAGTCGGACAAGAGAAAGAAACAAAGGGCATCCAAATCGGTAAAGAGGAAGTCACACTGTCCCTATTTGCTGATGATATGGTCGTTTACCTTGAAAACCCTAAGGACTCCTCCAGAAAGCTCTTAGAACTGATAAAAGCATTCAGCAAAGTTTCTGGATACAAGATTAATGTACACGAATCAGTAGCTCTTCTATACACCAACAGTGACCAAGTGGAGAATCAAATCAAGAACTCAACCCCTTTTACAACAGCTGCAAAAAACAAACAAACAAAAAAATACTTAGGAATATACCTAACAAAGGTGTCAAAAGACCTCTATAAGGAAAACTACAAAACACTGCTGAAAGAAATCATAAACAACACAAATAAATTGAAACACATCCCATGCTCATTGATGGGTAGAATCAACATCGTGAAAATAACCATACTGCCAAAAGCAATTTACAGATTCAATGCAATCCCCATCAAAATACCACCATCATTCTCCACAGTTAGAAAAAGCAATTCTAAAATTCATATGAAACCAAAAAAGAGCCCATATAGCCAAAGCAAAACGAAGCAAAAAGAACAAATCTGGAGGCATCACACTACCTGATTTCAAACTATAAGGCCATAGTCACCAAAACACCTGGTGGTACTGGTACAAAAATAGGCACATGGACCAATGGAACAGAATAGAGAACCCAGAAATAAACCCAAATACTTACAGCCAACTGATCAACAAACCAAACAAAAACATAAAGTGGAGAAAGGACCTACTTTTCAACAAATGGTGCTGGGATAATTGGCCAGCCACATGTAGGGGAACAAAACTGGATCCTCATCTCTCACTGTATACAAAAATCAACTCAAGATGGATTAAGGACTTAAACCCAAGGTCTGAAATTATAAAAACTCTAGAAGATAGCATTGGAAAAACCCTTCTAGACACTGGCTTAGGCGAGTACTTCATCAGCAAAATCCCAAAAGCAAATGCAATAAAAAGAAAGATAAATAGCTGGGACCTAATTAAACTAAAGAGCTTTTGCATGGCAAAAGGAACAGTCAGCAGATTAAATAGACAACCCACAGAGTGGGAGAAAATCTTCACAATCTATACATCTGACAGAGGACTAATAACCAGAATGTATGATGAACTCAAACAAATCAGTAAGAAAAAAAACAAACAATCTCTTCAAAAGCAGGCTAAGGACGTGAATAGACAATTTTCAAAAGATACACAAATGGCCAACAACCATATGAAAAAATGTTCAACATCAGTAATGATCAGGGAAATGCAAATAAAAACCACAATGTGATGAAACGCAAATAAAAACCACAATGTGATATCACCTTACTCCTGCAAGAATGGCCATAATTAAAGAATCAAAAAAACAGTAGATGTTGGCGTGGATGCGGTGAACAGGGAACACTTCTACACTGATGGTGGCAATGTAAACTAATACAGCCACGTAGAAAACAGTGTGGAGATTCCTTGAAGAACTAAAAGTGGAATTACCATTTGATCCAGCAATCCCACTACTGGGAATCTACACAGAGGAAAAGAAGTCAATATTCAAAAAAGATACTTGCACATGCATGTTTATAGCAGCACAATTCACAATTGCAAAATCCTAGAACCAATCCAAATACCCATCAATCACCAAGTGGATAAAGAGACTGTGATATATATATGATGGAATACTACTCAGCCATAAAAAGGAATGAATTAACAGCATTTGCAATGACCTGGATGAGACTGGAGACTATTATAAGTAGCTCAGGAATGGAAAACCAAACTTGGTATGTTGTCACTGATGTTGGGAGCTAAGCCATGATGATGCAAATGCATAAGAATGATACAATGGACTTTGGGGACTTGGGGGGAAGAGTGGGAGGGGGGCGAGGGATAAAAGACAACAAATACAGTACAGCATATACTACTTGGGTGATGGGTGCACCAGGATCTCACAAAACACCACTAAAGAACTTACTTATGCAACCAGATACCACCTGTAATCCAGTAATTTAAAGAAAAATAAAATTTAAAAAAAATGGGGATGGGAACTTGCATGGGGGAGAGCGTGTGGGTGTGTGAGTGTGTAGCAGCGGGGGCGCGCAGGGGTGGGGATCACGTGCCGGGGTGGGGGTGCAGGAGGGATGGGAGAAGTAGCAAGGGGGTATACATGGGGGGAGGGGGATAGAGAGCAAAAGGGAAATAGTTGGGGGAGGGAGGATGGAGAGGGAGGGGAAAGCAGAGGGGGAAGGGTTAGAGCTGGGAGGGAGCCAGGAGGGGAGATTGGTAGGGGCATAGTGAGCAGTGAGAGCAGGTGGGTGGCGAGAGACAAGGAGAGGGAGAGACAGGGAGAGGGAGAAACAGGGAGAGGGAGAGAGAGAGAGAGAGAGAAATACAGAACAATATATTCAATAAATATGTTTTCCTATTAAAACAAATATAAAGTTTTCAAATAATGTATACATACTTATGAGCACTTAAGTAGAAAGTAATGGAAAATTTTTTTTTAAATCAGAATTTTCAAATGTGATAGTAGTTCTGTTCAGGCAAGAATTAAGAGATAATAAACCTTTTTGGATAGTGGGTTGTCTGAGGAACAGGATATTTACATGGTCCATAATGTCTCCCCATAGTCTCTTGTAGGTGCAAGATTTTTCCCTAAGTGTGTCATTAACACATCATCTTAAGCTTAATATTAGGAACGAGGAACTACTGGACATCATGTGCTTTTGGATGTAACAACAAAAGAAGGCAGCAACATCATCTTTGTAATGTTCAGGCTGGAGAGACAATCTGAATATAATCACAAGACACTATCAGACACATTCAAACTGAATATCATTTTTATAAAAATAAGTGATATATACTATGAAAATATCAGTGTCATGAAAGCTAAAAACTTTTTTAGATAATAGGAGGCTTAAAGAGATATGACAACTAAGTGCAATATGTAATTCTTGACTGGAACCCATATTGAAGGGAGGAATAAACATTACAAAATATATTACCTTCACAAAATAGGAATATAGATTATAGATTATTGTATCAAGAAGTCAAATGCAGTAAGGAAAAAAGTATCAGACAAGAAGCTCTCAACTTTCAGATTATACCTTGGGATCTGTTCATATTGTCCAGCAACCCATATTTCATAATATGAAACATATAGAGCTTTATAATTTACAAAGTATATTTGTATGTATTATGCTATTTTAATTTTGAACCAATATTTAAAATTAAATAGGTGGGAAATCATCTCATTTTATAGTTTGGAAAACCAGGGCATAAACTGTCATGAGTTTTCCTCAATGATATGGTTTAGCTCTGTGTCCCCATCAAATCTCATCTCAAATTGTAATCCTCCAATGTAGAGGGAGGGACTTGGTAGGAGGTGATTGGATCATGGGGAAACAACATCATCTTTATAATATTCAGGCTGGTTATTTTCAGTTCTATAGTTTCCCCAGTGCTGCTCTCATGATAGTGAATTCTCACAAGATCTGGTGGTTTAAGTGTTTGGCAGTTCTCCCATTGCTTGCTCTCTTTCATGCTGCCTTGTGAAGGTGCCTGCTTCTCCTTCGCCTTCTGCTGTGACTGTAAGTTTCCTGAGGCCTCCCCAGCCATGCAGAACTGTGAGTCAATTGAACTTTTCTTTATAAGTTACCCAGTCTCAGTCAGTTCTTTATACCGGTGTGAAAACAGACTAATACATTCAATAATGACTAAATTGCAGGAGCAGACAGCAATGGAACCCAATTCATTCTAAGTTTACTGTTTCATACTACCTCATTAAGGACTGGTGGAGATACCTTAAAGTCTTTGTCTATATGTATAAAAGAAGTAATGTGAACAAATGCAATTTAGAATGTTTTTCAGTTATTTAGGTCAAAAGAAAGAGGACTCCAATTAATTGTTAGCAAACATTTATAATAATAAACCCAATTATGCAGAGTACTTGGAATAACCTGATGGAATACAATCCTACTTCATGCAGATGGTAGGCCATGAGAATCCTCTTCATGTCCTTCTGATATCTGAAACTGTTCTAGTAATTGAAACTATTTAGAGAGTTCAGAAATTGAAATGTAAGTTAAACTAACTTACTCACAGTGTAGGTACAAGCCAGTCATCTTTATGTGATCAGCATGTTAAAGAAAAGGAAAAAAAAAAAAGCTTTTCTGACAGAAGAATTTGATTGAACCAATCATCTTCATTTGGCCTTTGGGGAGTTATATTTGGAATGATGGATACTTGGACCACTCAACTGATTGCACTGTTGGATAAGGGATTGTGGTTTCCTGTGGGTTTTGGAGCTTAAATAGTGATTTTTTTTCTGACCCTTAAAACATGGACTCCTGCCTTTCTTCAATAACGTTAGTATATATTTATTTTGTGAAAGGATAATGTATCTTCCAAGCAATTTTAGACTCCTTTATTTTTAAGCATACATATTTGGGGAAAGATAATCAATTATAAGGGAAGTATATATAGCTATACAAGCAGATTAATAACACTAAACCTACTTATTACAGTTGAACTGATAACGATTATTAATTCATAGATGTCAGTTCCAAGTTGAACCTGGTATTCTGTTAAATCCAGTAAAGTGTACTGATTATAGATAACAGGTTTGGAGCTACATTTCTGGATTTGAATCCAGTTTCCATGGTTATGAGCTGTGTCCTGGAATAAGTTAACTAACCTCTTTGAGGTATAAAATGTTACAGATATTTTGTCATCTGTAAATTGGGGTAACAATAGGATCAATGTCACAGAGTGGCTTTGAAGATTGTCTGGATCAATATACGTGTGGAAGCCAATATAGAGGACAGTACCCAGCATATTATAAACAATGAGAAAATTGTCTTCTACTTGAAAGTGTCAATGTAGAGATTCGAGATCAATGCTGTTTATCTCATAAGTCCTCAGAGAGTGAGCTAACACTCAGAACTGGCTCAAGCATTCTGTGGCATGCACAATTCTGACAGCAAGAGCGTTCTTGTGCTCCTACTTAAATGTAGGAAACCTACATTAACAGGGGGTGAGAAAGGTGTTATGAGGCACAGCTGGCTGGGAAGATAGTGCCTCTCTGTAGTGTGTTTTGCAGGACCAATGTACTCTTTCACCTGTTAGACTGTGGGACCCTTGAGGGCCACAATTATTATTCTTTTGCTGTTAAAGAGTCCCTATGTTTGGTGTGTTAACAGATGCTTAATTAGGGTGAGCGTATGACCCACTTCATATGACCCAGTTCTCCTGAGAAAGGCCTAATCTTATACCCATTGCCCCAGCATAATTAGTAATAGCCACTTTGGACTCTCTAAAGTGTCTCAACTTGGATAATCAATTACACATTCTTCCTGTTAACAATAGTAGCTGAAGGGACAAAGTCCTCTCCCTATCTGTGTCTCAGCCTGTCTTCTACATCTAATTTATGCTTTCCCGTCTTTTCAGTATTTTCCCCCATAAATAATAAATGAAGAAGGTATTATATTCAAGCAGTAATAGGCATTAATGTATTTTTAGTTTGTTTATTCCTTTTTATAGAACTGAGATAAAATAGTGGGACGCTTCCCAAAATGTTATTTAGTAGAAAACAGCTTTTCTTTAAATCTATTTAAACTTTATGAAAGTTAACATGTAAAGAAGTCATTTTAGAGAAGTTGTTTGAAGAGGCAGTTTTACAATGTAAATAGAGGCAGTTGTAAAATTGTTTATCAATATCTAGCACAAAGAGAGTTTCCTTGATGGCATCTCCACATATTTGAACTATCTGTGGGCAACAATTTTGTTTAAAATGATTCTATCAGTGCAGTAACATTTCAAAGGATGTGCAAATACCAACTTGATTCCATTATAAGTTTCTAAAATCCCATTATAATAGATTTCTAAAAGAACTTGATAATTAAATTATTTTCAAATGGAAACATCTATAATTTCAGGGATTTCATGGAAGCAACTCAAGAACACTAGAAGAATTATTTTTGCTAGTATACTCGTACATTGTTACAGTCATGTGTGTTCTTTCATCCATTTTTCCAAAAATAATTTGATTTAGTTAATTCTTCAGGTATTTTCATTTACATAATTCATCACAATTGAAGTTCAGCCAACCCATGATATTACCTTCCTTTGTTGCAATGACATACTCAGTCACTAATTACAAAGACATTATTCAGACACATTTTATCTTGTAATTTGTGCCCATTAACCATAGTAGAAAGAAAAATGATATCCTATCCTACTGCTTATTTTCTCTTTAAATATAGCAACAGAAAACAATAAATACAGTATTGGTGGAGATATGGACTCTCCCTCCCACCAACTCTTTCCTTATCCTCTAGCTCTGTATTCTATGTAGTATGTCTTTTACATTTGTGTTATTTCAAGCAATAATTACATTAATTTTAGTTTAAGACAACAAATACTAGTCTAAACGTGTCCCTTCACTTCATATTTATTTATCCTCTTCTCCTGATGGATTCAGAGCACACTACCCCAATATAACACTTTGGTATACTGAATATTTTAAGTTGAAGGAAGCTGAGAAAATTGCAGAAGCAGGAAAGTCTGACCATCTTCCATCCTTCTTCCCTTAAGTGGTGCATAAAACTTAGAATTTTCAGTCCTTCCCCTGAAATAGGTCATAAGACCCTCATGTAAGTGGTACCCACCCTATAATCAGAAGAACAGAACATCCTTCTCTCTCAAGACAGAAGTTATAAGTTGAGACCAAGTCCACTGACCTAACATTTTAAGAAATTTTATGTAAACATCCTTGTGGGGAATGGGTTCTGAACTTGTATATGATGTTCAAAGTAGTTCTAGACCCCAAAATGCTTGAGAACCAATAGAACACTATCACCAAGGTACTCTCTAATTGCCTTCACTGTCTGCCCAAGAGTTAGTTGCTTAATTTATTAGCCATATATTTATTAATGATCTCTAAGTGCAAGGCCACAGAAGAAAATAATGAGGGGCTCTGAACTTTAGTATCTTACTATCTCTTAAGTGAGAGACAAAATAGTAATTCTAATAGAATGTGATAAAAGCTATGATAGGCCAGGAGGAGTGGCTCATGCCTGCAATCCCACTTTGGGAGGCCGAGGCAGGCAGATAACTTGAGGTCAGGAGTTCGAGACCAGAGTGACCCACATGGTGAAACCCCATCTCTACTTAAAAAAAGACAAAAAACAAAAACAAAAACAAAAAAAAACTTAACCGGGCATGGTGGCACAGGCCTGTTAATCCTAGCTACTCAGGAGGCTGAGGCAGGAGAATGCAGGTTGGAGTAAGCCAAGATAGCGCCACTGCACTCCAGCCTGGGCAACACAGCAAGACTCCATCTCAATCAATCAATCAGTCAATACATGCTATGATAGAGATATCATCAAATTATTGAGAAGTCATTCAAATAAGACTAGGAATGTCAGTGTGAGAAGAGCTGTCCTTACAGAGAACATGACATTTGACCCATGTCTCGACAGGTAAAAAAGGAGACAAGTAGATTGCAAGCTTTGGAAACAGGATAAAGAAAGGATGTTAAGTGTGAAATATTTGGAGGAACAGCAAAAATGGCTGGAGTATAGCATGTAAAAAGGAGTTGAGAGACTCTCTCCTTGACCAAACTTTAGCCAGACTCCTATAATAGGAGTCTTAATAGACTTGATCTACATCTATCAATAGACTTAAAAGACCTTTTCTTAATAGGCTTGTCCTTGGCCCTTGTACTCAGGACTGTATATCCTAGTTTTAGAAAGATTTCTGCCAAGTCAGTTTAGGGAGAATCCCTCAACCTTGATATCTGATCAAATTCCTCATTCCCCCACAATTCCTGAAATGATAGCTGATCACCCTGACCTTCCTTCAGCAAGAATCCTGTTAGGTCAGTTTAGAAAGAACTTCCCTTACCTTTAATGTCTCCTCTTAGTAATTCCACACTCCCTCCAAACAAACAACATAAAAACATGTTTCTTGGCTATAAATTCTTATTTGTCTTGTTGTATTCAGAATTGAGCCCAATTCTATACTAAGGTCTGTTTTACCCTATTTCAATAGTTCCTAAGTAAAATCTGCCTTTACTGCTTTAACCTTTCTGGTTTTCTTTAATAAGGTGAGGTGGATAAATAGGCCAGAGGCAGGAAGGGACACAGTGTAAGGGATTTACAGGGCAGGTTAAGTAGTTTCACATTTATTAAGATAATAGTTCTCAATTTGGGGGTTCATGTATCCCTTCCAGAGGTGTGGGAATGAGTCTAAATACTGTTGTCAACACTAAGTCTATAAGAGGTGTAATAGATATTTACCCAAAATAAAATTTAACCTTGTGCTGACAGTTCAAAATCTATTGATTAACTAATGCATTTTGGAATCAAAATGTTGCAAAATGTGGGGTTATTGGACAAAAAACCTTAATGACATGTTTTGCATGGTTTGTAAACATGCTGTCAATGATGGATAGTGATTCCATTAACTTAGACTGGGAATAAGACATTTAATAGACAACTCCAATGGCCCAGTCGTAGAGGAGTTTAAATATGAATTATGTATTAGGTAATACAATTATACAATGCTAAATTTCCCAAATATAATAATTATTCCTAGGAGATACATGCTGAAGTATTTAGGGTAAAATATCAAGATGTTTACGTTGAACTCTCAAGTGATCCTGAAAAAATACATACCATAAAAATTAGTCAATGTGGCAAATTAACAATTGATGAATCTAGGTGAAGGTATTTGAATATTCATTATACTATTTTAGCAATCTTTCTGAAGACTTAGTTTTCAAAATACAAAGGGAAAAAGGGAGGTAGAACTGGTAAAAGATAAAAATAGGAGTGATAAGCATGAAAGATGTGAACCAGATTCAAGCAATGGTAATGAAGACAGCGATTTGTGTCTGAGAAGCTGAGAAACAGCTTAAAGAGGAGGCACCATTTGGAAGAAACTATTTGAAGACTGATATGGTAAAGAAGGAGAGGTGAACTGGCAAGGAAGACAGCTGTAAAAAATTGCTACAATAGCCCGGGAGAAGACTCAACTAGTGCTTGAAAGCAGGTGAGTTTGTTGAAGGGGGACTGTACCAAAACCAATTCTAAAAACCGTTTTAGTTTTTGAGAAGTTGGAGGCAAAACATCCTTTGCTGTTTTTCATTACAGACTTCTTATTTCTATTATTTGACACAGTTCAATAGTTAATAGTTTCTTAGAGAAGATTGATTCCTCTTTTTAGTAGCAGTAATATAATAATAATAATTAACATCTATGAGTACTTGCTATCTTCAAAGGACTAGGCAATGAGCTTTGGCTACATAACAGGTTTAATTCTTGCAAAAATCCTGTAAGAGGATGGTAATCTTATCGATAGTCCAATTTTACCAACGAGAAACTAGAGAGATTTAATTACACGCCTAAGGTCACTCAGCTTGGAGGCTACAGACCCCAAAGCCTGTGCTCTGAAACATATGATTCTTATTTTGTTGGAGAAATATTAAAATCCCACAGAGTACTGCCAACTCCTCATTAATTAAGAAAATCACAATTTCAATGGCTTATTCATTTTCAGAATTACTGTAAACTTAATCTTAATGCAGTAGGCTTATAGGCTGCCCTCCTTTACAACTCTTTTCTAATTTGAAGCATTTTGTAAATTTGATTTTTTTTAAGAGGAGACCTAACTCTGATTATGGAAAAGCCTAACTGAAACATGAATTAAAGAACAGGCTATAAGAGATTACAGATAAATATTTTTGAAATGGGAAACAGATATCTTGATTAGTACTTCAATGGCATGGTACTTTCCATGAGTTCAGCAGAAATATATCAAGAGGTTAAAAATGATCAGTAATGAAAAAAATCAGGGCCAAACCTTGTCTGCTGGTTGAGTAAACGTACATGTTTTCACCAACTTTTTCTTCAATTTCTTACATGAAACCACAGGTCAGCTGCTCAATCAATTAGGCCTTATTCCAGGATTCTAGAAATGGTCAGACTAGGAGGTAGGCAATGAGTGAAATGATAAATTAGCCACAGGTAACAGATGGACCAGATGAAATGGCATGAACAAGTGAGGAGGGTGAGGATTCTTCAGAGATCCTCCCTCAGAGAGACCCAGGAGACTGCCAGTTGTATTGGCCTGACAATGAATAACAAGTGAAAAGTATATATTTGGTTTAAATGTTGCTTTTCCCAGAATAAAATTTATCAACTAAGTTCATAATTTAAAAAATTTTAAATGGTGCAGCCACCTTGGAAAACAGTCTGGCAGTTCCTCAAAAGGTTAAACATAGAATTACTGTATGATTTAGCAATTGCATTCTTAGGTATATGCCCAAAGAGACGTGAAAGTATATTCCCACGCAAAACCTTATACACAAATGTTCACAGAAGCATTGTTTAGAATAGTCAAAAAGCGAAAGCAACCTAAAAGTCCATCACCTGATGAAAAAACGTTAAAATATAGTATATCTTAAATGAAATAAAACCAAATGAACTATTGGTGCAGGCTACAGCATGGCTGAACCTTAAACATTGTGCTAACTTAAAGAAGCCAGGCACACAAGGTGACATGATCCCATTTACATGAAATGTCCACAGCAGGAAAATCCAGAGAGAGAGAGAATAGTGGTTTCCTAAGACTAAAGGAAGCAGGAGTTGGGGGATGAAAGTTAAACGATATGGGTTTCTTCTGAGGGTGATGAAAGTGTTCCAAAAGCGATTGTAGTGATGGTTGCACAATGGAATTACTAAAAAAGTATTAAATTGTATACTTTAAATAGGTGTATTATATACGAAAAATCTCAATAAATCTGTTACAAAAAACCAATTTGGCTAAACAGAGAAATGTTTCTGTTTTGTTTTTAAGTAAGAATCATTTCTTTTGCCTTCTACTTTTCTGCTACTGGTGGCTCTTCAAGGATGCAAAGATGAAGCCTTCAGATCCATTAGTTTTGAGCCAAATTTATCTCATAGTAGTAGGTGGTAGGAAAAAAATGTTGTATATGCATAGCTTATGTCATATATGGTTGGAGAACAGCATGGACTAATATAGAAAAGATAAAACTTGCATTCAGAAAAACTGGGGTTGAGACTTGCCCCTGCTAATCACTGTCTGTTTAACCCTGAATAGGTAACTAATCTCTGTGAATCTGTTTGCTGTTTTGTACAATTTGATTGAATAACAACTACCACCTTACATAATTATAGATCGATAAAAATAATAGGCTCATTTATCTATTCAAAGCTATGGTAGGGGATATACTGGCTTGTTGACTTTCAGAGAGGCTGACAGAAGTGAGCCAAGACACTCAGAGCAGGTGAGAACATCACATGATTCAGATTAGGAAGTTAAGGAAATACCTCTTAGGATAGATGATCCCTCAGCTGATTCTTGAACAGGGAGGATTTCAGCAGGTGAGAAAGCATGGTGGTGGGGTTGGTACCTGGAAAAGGAGAAGCTAGATGAAGGCTCAGAGGTGCATCTGAGGGGAGTGTTGAAGGCATTTTATTTAGTCAGAATTTGAGCTGTAGCTAACTGTGCTCCTCAAACCATTATCATTAGCATCACATGGAACTTCTTAGGGTTGCAATTTGTCAGCTCCCACCAGAAACCTAATGAGTCAGATTCTGAGGATAAGGCTCAGCAGTCTATGGTCTAACAAGTCCTCCAGGTGATTGGGATACACAGTCAAGCTTCAGAACTATTGGATTAAAACATTGGGTACCATGGCAAGAGATATGTCTACACTAATTGAATATTTATAGAGTTTACAAAGACAATCTTATATGTGGAATTATACACTTTAAGGTATCTGCCACTTTAGGCTATTTATTTGAAAACAGAAAAGGTTCAAGATAAAGTTTAATATTATTTAGATATATTATTATTTTGATAAGTTGTATAAATATATACCTTTTTGTAACATTAGGCCATATTATACCTTCTTTTGTATTTTGTTTTTGCTAGCTTATTATTTTGAGCATTTCCCCATGGATTTTGAATTCTATCACTCAGTTCGAAAAACTCATGGAAAATATTTTTAGTGACTGCAAAGTATTTCATCATGTGGATAGGCCATAATTTAGTTTACTATTTCTTATGTTGGATTTTTTCAATTGTTTCCTTAACTTTTATAAATACTACAATGATGAAAAACATTTGCATAGACATTTTTCTGCATCGGTTTCCTATAGTAGATTCCTAGAAATAAAGTTCTTAAGTACCTACTCTGTTTATCTGTGTCCCTACTTATTATGGTAAAATACCCATCTCCTCTGGCTACAAGACTGGCATGTGTCCCAGACTGGGCCAATTATGATACCTATTCTTTTCACGACACAAACACATTCAGGAGCAGTTATGTGATCCAGACAGGGCCAAACAGCTTATTGATTGCGTATTGCAGGGCAATCATACCCCACCTTCCCACCCCCTCACCCTAGAGAATGTGAAAAAACCTAACTGTGGTAGGAAGTAATGAAATTAATTTGATGAGAGAGAGGCAAGGAACATCCAAATCTTCAATGCTTCCTAGCTTCACTTTTTCAAAACAAAAGCACTTAAAAAATACTGTGTCAAGCTGGATTTAATATTTGACTAATACATTAGGCCTTGAAGAATATTAGGGCTATTGCATTAAATCTATACATTAGCTTGAGAACACTGAACACATTTAGTATTTGGCCTTCCTACTTGGAAGCAGATCATTTTATAACATGCATTAAGATTTTGTAATTTTCTCCATATATGAACATATTCTTTATAAAGTATATTCTTAGGCATGCCATTTTTGTTGTTTTTTAAACAATGAGCTTTTTAAATTTGATTTCTATTGCTGCTGTAGCAAATTACTACAAACTTAGTGGTTTAAAACAACACAAATTTATTATCTTACGGTTATGGAGGTCAGAAGTCCAAAAGGGGCCTCACTGGCGTAAGAGCAAGATGTCGGCAGGGCTGTGTTCCTTCTGGAGGCTCTAAAGAAGAAAATATTTCATTGCCTTTTATAGTTCCCAGATGCTGACCCCCTTCGATCTTCAAAGCCAGCAATGTCCAGTTGAGCTGTTCTCATGATATCATCTCTCTGGTTCCGATTCCTCTCCCCCCAGTTCTGATTCCTCTCCCTCCTTCTCTATTTAAGAATGTATGTAAATTTACATTAGGCCCACCTGAATAATCTCCTTGTTTTAAGGTCAGCTAATCAGCAACTATATTCTACCTGCAACCTTAATTCACCCTTGCCATGTAACCTAATACATTCACAGGTTGTAGAGATTAGGATGTGGACTTTTGAGGTAGCATTATTCTGCCTACCACACACCTCACTATACATTTATATTTTCTACTTTATATACACATACAAATACACTTTTTTTTTGCTTTCACAGGAAAACTGCTCAATTGTGTCTCTACATTCTCTTGTGACACTGTCTCTCGGATGCATTGTCATAATGCTTTCATTTCCATAATTCTACTAGAAACTTAGCTGAAGGTTATCAATTACCCACACTGTGCCAAACCTAAAGGTCAACAGAGAGTTCTCATCTGGGTAGGTTTACTGACATTTATGAAATCTGAATGTCTTTGCACAATGAAAGATTTTTTCTTGCTCACGCCACTGTTGTATGAAGGTTGGAGTAGGAGGAGGGCTGCTCCATGCCACCACCTTATGACCAAGTCCTTTCCCAGCAATGGCTTCATCATCCCCTAGAGCCCTAGAGTCATCCCCTGGATTCTTGGCATACAGCTGGCAGATAAGAGAAGAGAAAAACGAAGAAAATAGTGCAAGGTTTACTGTTTACAAAGGGGTTAGTGTTAAAAATGATTCACAATATAGCTGCTACATTCCATTGGGCCTAATTCAGTGTCATTGCCACACCTAACTGCTAAACATAATGGAAATTGAATCTAGCTCTATGGCCAGGAGGATAGGAAAATGGGAGCACATACCACTGTCGCTGCCACATTAACCAGTCACATGCATTTGATGCAGTTGCTTACTCTCTTTCTAATCCTCCACTAATTCCCTGAGACCAACCCAGGTAGTTCCTGTAAAGCTCAGCCAGTTTCAGAGCCAATATAATTTGCACTAAATTTAGGACATTTGTGATGATTTAGTTCTGTAGCGGCCTCTTATTTTCTCTCCCCAAACTTCTACTTCATCTTATTTTCCATTCTTTATTAGTGCTCTGTTCTTCCTTACTCTTTTTTATTTATTTATTTATTATTATTGTACTTTAAGTTTTAGGGTACATGTGCACAATGTGCAGGTTAGTTACATATGTATACATGTGCCATGCTGGTGCGCTGCACCCACTAACTCGTCATCTAGCATTAGGTATATCTCCCAATGCTATCCCTCCCCCCTCCCCCCACCCCACCACAGTACCCAGAGTGTGATGTTCCCCTTCCTGTGTCCATGTGTTCTCATTGTTCAATTCCCACTTATGAGTGAGAATATGCAGTGTTTGGTTTTTTGTTCTTGCGATAGTTTACTGAGAATGATGATTTCCAATTTCATCCATGTCCCTACAAAGGACATGAACTCATCATTTTTATGGCTGCATAGTATTCCATGGTGTATATGTGCCACATTTTCTTAACCCAGTCTATCATTGTTGGACATTTGGGTTGGTTCCAAGTCTTTGCTATTGTGAATAATGCTGCAATAAACATACGTGTGCATGTGTCTTTATAGCAGCATGATTTATAGTCATTTGGGTATATACCCAGTAAAGGGATGGCTGAGTCAAATGGTATTTCTAGTTCTAGATCCCTGAGGAATCGCCACACTGATTTCCACAATGGTTGAACTAGTTTACAGTCCCACCAACAGTGTAAAAGTGTTCCTATTTCTCCACATCCTCTCCAGCACCTGTTGTTTCCTGACTTTTTAATGATTGCCATTCTAACTGGTGTGAAATGGTGTCTCATTGTGGTTTTGATTTGCATTTCTCTGATGGCCAGTGATGGTAAGCATTTTTTCATGTGCTTTTTGGCTGCATAAATGTCTTCTTTTGGGAAGTGTCTGTTCATGTCCTTTGCCCACTTTTTGATGGGGTTGTTTGTTTTTTTCTTGTAAATTTGTTTGAGTTCATTGTAGATTCTGGATATTAGCCCTTTGTCAGAAGAGTAGGTTGTGAAAATTTTCTCTCATTTTGTAGGTTGCCTGTTCACTCTGATGGTGGTTTCTTTTGCTGTGCAGAAGCTCTTTAGTTTAATTAGATCCCATTTGTCAATTTTGGCTTGTGTTGCCATTGCTTTTGGTGTTTTAGACATGAAGTCCTTGCCCATGCCTATGTCCTGAATGGTAATGCCTAGGTTTTCTTCTAGGGTTTTTATGCTTCTAGGTCTAAGGTTTAAGTCTTTAATCCATCTTGAATTGATTTTTGTATAAGGCTTAAGGAAGGGATCCAGTTTCAGCTTTCTACATATGGCTAGCCAGTTTTCCCAGCACCATTTATTAAATAGGGAATCCTTTCCCCATTGCTTGTTTTTCTCAGGTTTGTCAAAGATCAGATAGTTGTAGATATGTGGCGTTATTTCTGAGGGCTCTGTTCTGTTCCATTGATCTATATCTCTGCTTTGGTACCAGTACCATGCTGTTTTGGTTACTGTAGCCTTGTAGTATAGTTTGAAGTCAGGTAGCATGATACTAGCATAAGAACAGACACATAGAGCAATGGAACAAAATAGAGAATGCAGAATAAATGCAAGCATATATGATCAACTAATTTTCAACAAGGCTGTCAAGAGGGCACAATAAATGGTGCTGGGAAAACTGGATATCCACCTGTAAAAGAATGAAGCTGGACTCTTATCTTACACCACACACAAAAATCAACTCAAAATAGATTAAATACCTAAATGTAAGACCCGAAACTGTAAGACTCCTAGAAGAAAAGATACAGAAAATATGGTCTTGGAAATGATTTTATTTATTTTTATTTATTTATTTTTCTTTTTTCTTTTTTTTGGTTATACTTCAAGTTCTGGGGCACAGTGAAGAATGTACAGCTTTGTTACATAGGTATACACATGCTGTGGTGGTTTGCTATACCCATCAACCCATCACCTACATTAGGTATTTCTCCCAATGTTATCCCTCCCCTAGCTCCCCACCCCCAACAGGCCCCAGTGTGTGATGTTCTCTTCCCTGTGTCCATGTGTTCTCATTGTTCAGTTCCCACTTATGAGTGAGAACATGTGGTGTTTGGTTTTCTGTTTTTGTGATAGTTTGCTGAGAATGATGGTTTCCAGCTTCATCCACATCCCTGCAAAAGACATGAACTTATCTTTTTTTATGGCTGCATAGGATTCCATGGTGTATATGTGCCACATTTTCTTAATCCAGTCTATTATTGATGGACATTTGGATTGGGTCCAAGTCTTTGCTATTGTGAATAGTGCTGCAATAAACATACATGTCCATATGTTTTTATAGTAGAATGATTTATAATCCTTTGGGTATATACCCAGTAATGAGATCACTGGGTCAAATGGTATTTTTAGTTCTAGATCCTTGAGGAATTGCCACACTGTCTTCTACAATGGTTGAACTAATGTACACTCCCACCAACAGTGTAAAAGCATTCCTATTTCTCCACATCCTCTCCAGCATCTGTTGTTTCCTGACCTTTTAATGATCACCATTCTAACTGGCATGAGATGGTATGTCATTGTGGTTTTGATTTGCATTTCTCTAATGACCAGTGATGATGAACATTTTTTCATATGTCTGTTGGCTGCATAAATGTCTTCTTTTGAGAAGTGTCTGTTCATATCCTTTGCCTACTTTTTGATGGGGTTGTTTTTTTCTTGTAAATTTGTTTAAGTTCCTTGTAGATTCTGGATGTTAGCCCTTTGTCAGATGGATAGATTGCAAAACTTTCCT
Organism: Homo sapiens; assembly: GCF_000001405.40. Taxonomy (NCBI): domain Eukaryota; kingdom Metazoa; phylum Chordata; class Mammalia; order Primates; family Hominidae; genus Homo; species Homo sapiens. The sequence continues at coordinate 107,060,626 of NC_000008.11, forward strand.
CCCATTCTGTAGGTTGCCTGCTCACTCTGATGATAGTTTATTTTGCTGTGCAGAAACTCTTTAGTTTAATTAGATCCCAATTGTCAATTTTGATTTTTGTTGCCATTGCTTTTGGTGTCTTAGACCTGAAGTCTCTGCCCACACCTATATCCTGAATGTTATTGCCCAGATTTTCTTCTAGGGATTTTATGGTCCTAGGTATTACATTTAAGTCTTTGATCCATCTTGAGTTGATAAGGTGTGAGGAAGGGGTCCAGTTTCAATTTTCTGCATATGGATAGCCAGTTTTCCCAACACCATTTATTAAATAGAGAATCTTTTCCCCGTTGCTTGTTTGTGTCAGGTTTGTCAAAGATCAGATGGTTGTAGAAGTGTGGTGTTATTTCTGAGGCCTCTGTTCTGTTCCATTGGTCTATATATGTGTTTTGGTACCAGTACCATGCTGTTTTGGTCACTGTAGCCTTGTAGTGTAATTTGAAGTCAGGTAGCCTGATGCCTGCAGCTTTGTTCTTCTTGCCCAGGATTGTCTTGGCTATGTGGACTGTTTTTTGGTTCCATATGAAGTTTAAAGTAGTTTTTTCCAATTCTGTGAAGAAAGTCACTGGTAGCTTGATGGGGATAGCATTCAACCTATAAATTACTTTGGGCATTATGGCCATTTCCCAATATCGATTCTTCCTATCCATGAGCATGGAAAGTTTTTCCATTTGTTTGTGTCCTCCTTTATATCCTTGAGCAGTGGTTTGTAGTTCTCCTTGAAGAGGTCCTTCACATCTCTTGTAAGTTGTATTCCTAGGTAATTTATTCTCTTAGTAGCAATTGTGAATGGGAGTGCATGCATAATTTGGCTCTCTGTTGGTCTGTTATTGGTGTATAGGAATGCTTGTGATTTTTGCACATTGATTTTGTATCCTGAGACTTTCCTGAAGTTTCTTATTAGTTTAAGGAGATTTGGGGCTGAGGCGATTGTATTTCTGAAAATACAATCATGTCATCTGCAACCAGAGACAATTTGACTTCCTTTCTTCCTATTTGAATACCCTTTATTTCCTTCTCTTGCCTGATTGCCCTGGCCAGAACTTCCAATACTATGTTGAATAGGAGTGGTAAGAGAGGGTATCCTTGTCTTGTGCCAGTTTTCAAAGGGAATGCTTCCCATTTTTGCCCTTTCAGTATGATATTGGCTGTAGGTTTGTCATAAATAGCTCTTAGTATTTTGATATATGTTCCATTCATACCTAGTTTATTGAGAGTTTTTAGCTTGAAGCACTGTTGAATTTTGTCAAAGGCCTTTTCTGCATCTATTGAGATAATCATGTGTTTTTTTGTCATTGGTTCTGTTTATGTGATGGATTACGTTTGTTGATTTGCGTATGTTGAACCAGTCTTGCATCCCAGGGATGAAGCTGATTTGATTGTGATGGATACACTTTTTGATGTGCTGCTGGATTCGGTTTGCCAGTATTTTATTAAGGATTTTCACATCGATGTTCATCAGGGATATTGGCCTGAAATTTTCTTTTTTGTTGTGTCTTTGCCAGGTTTTGGTATCAGGATGATGCTGGCCTCGTAAAATGAGTTGGGGAGGATTCCCTCTTGTTCTATTTTTTGGAATAGTTTCAGAAGGAATGGTACCAGCTCCTCTTTGTACCTCTGGTAGAATTCGGCTGTGAATCCGTCTGGTCCTGGACTTTTTTGGGTTGGTAGGCTATTTATTACTGCCTCAATTTCAGAACTTGCTATTGGTTTATTCAGGGATTGGACTTCCTCCTGGTTTAGACTTGGGAGGTTGTATGTTTCCAGGAATTTATCAGTTTCTTCTAGATTTTCTAGTTTATTTGTGTAGAGGTGTTTATAGTATTCTCTGATGATAGTTTGTATTTCTGTGGGATCAGTGGTGATATCCCCTTTATCATTTTTTATTGCATCTATTTGATTCTTCTCCCTTGTCTTCTTTATTAGTCTGACTAGTGGTCTATCTCTTTTGTTGATCATTTCAAAAAACCATCTCCTGGATTCATTGATTTTTTGAAGGGTTTTTTGTGTCTCTATCTCCTTCAGTTCTGCTCTGATCTTAGTTATTTCTTGTCTTCTGCTAGATTTTGAGTTTGTTTGCTATTGCTTCTCCAGTTCTTTTAATTTTGATGTTAGGGTGTCTATTTTAGATGTTTCCTGCTTTCTCTTGTGGGCAATTAGTGCTTTTATTTCCCTCTACACAGTGCTTTAAATGTGTCCCAGAGATTCTGGTATATTGTGTCTTCATTCTCATTGGTTTCAAGAACATCTTTATTTCTGCCTTCATTTCATTATTTACCCAGTAGTCTTTCAAGAGCAGGTTGTTCAGTTTCCATGTAGTTGTGCAGTTTTGAGTGATTTTCTTAATCCTGAGTTCTAGTTTGATTGCACTGTGCTCTGAGAGACTGTTTGTTATGATTTCCATTCTTTTGCATTTGCTGAGGAGTGTTTTACGTCCAATTTTGTGGTCAATTTTCTGTTTGCTTGGTAGACCTTCCTCCATCCCTTTATTTTGAGCCTATGTGTGTCTCTGCACATGAGATGGGTCTCCTGAATACAGCACACTGATAGGTCTTGACTCTTTATCCAATTTGCCAGTCTGTAAATATTAATTGGGGCATTTAGCTCGTTTACATTTAAGGTTAATATTGTTATGTGTGACTTTGATCCTATCATTGTGATGCTATCTGGTTGTTTTGCCTGTTAGTTCATGTAGTTTCTTCGTAGTGTCAATGTTCTTTACAATTAGTCATGTTTTTGCAGCTGGTACCAGTTGTTCTTTTCCATGTTTAGTGCTTCCTTCAGGAGCTGTTGTAAGGCAGGCCTAGTGGTGACAAAATCTCTCAGCATTTGCTTATCTGTAAAGGATTTTATTTCTCCTTCATGTGTGAAGCTTAGTTTGGCTGGATATGAAATTCTGGGTTGAAAATTCTTTTCTTTAAGGATGTTGAATATTGGCCCCCACTCTCTTCTGGCTTGTACAGCTTCTGCAGGGAGATCCACTGTTAGTTTGATGGGCTTCCCTTTGTGGGTAACCTGACCTTTCTCTCTGGCTGCCCTTAACATTTTTTCCTTCATTTCAACATTGGTGAATCTGACGATTATGTGTCTTGGGGTTGCTCTTCTTGAGGAGTATCTTTGTGGTGTTCTCTGTATTTCCTGAATTTGAATGTTGGCCTTTCTTGCTAGATTGGGGAAGTTCTTTTGGATTATACCCTGAAGAGTGTTTTCCAACTTGGTTCCATTCTCCCCATCACTTTCAGGTACACCAGTCAAACGTAGATTTGTTTTTTTCACATAGTCCCATATTTCTTGGAGGCTTTGTTCATTCCTTTTTATTCTTTTTTCTCTAATTTTGTCTTCTCCCTTTATTTCATTAAGTTGATCTTCAATTGCTGAGATCCTTTCTTCTGCTTGATGGATTCAGCTATTGATAGTTGTGTATGCTTCAGTAAGTTCTTGTGCTGTGTTTTTCAGCTCCATCAGGTCATTTATATTCTTCTCTACACTGATTATTCTAGTTAGCAATTCGTCCAAACTTTTTCAAAGCTTCCTTGCATTGGGTTAGAACCTGCTCCTTTAGCTCGGAGGAGTTTGTTATTACTCACCTTCTGAAGCCTAATTCTTTCACTTCATCAAACTCATTCTCTGTCCAGTTTTGTTCCCTTGCTGGTGAGGAGTTGTGATCTTTGGAGGAGAAGAGGCATTCTGGATTTTGGAATTCTCAGCCTTTTTGTGCTGGTTTCTCCCCATCTTTGTGGATTTATCTATCTTTGGTCTTTGATGTTGGTGACCTTTGGATGGAGTCTTTGAATGGATGTGCTATTCCTTTCTGTTTGTTAGTTTTCCTTTTAACAGCCCGGCCCCTCTGCTTCAGATCTGCTGGAGTTTGATGGCGGTCCACTCCAGACCCTGTTTTCCTGGGTATCACCAGTGGAGGCTGCAGAACAGCAAAGATTGCTGCCTGTTCTTTCCTCTGGAAGCTTCATCCCAGAGGGGAACCTGCCAGATGCCAACCAGAGCTCTCCTGTATGAGGTGTCTGTCAGCCCCTAATGGGAGATGTCTCCCAGTCAGGACACACAGGGGTCAGGGACTCACTTGAGGAGGCAGTCTGACCCTTAGCAGAGCTCGAACACTGTGCTGGGAGGTCTGCTGCTCTCTTCAGAGCCATCAGTCAGGGACGTTTAAGTCTGCTGTAAATCCCGGAATGGGGCTGCTGCCTTTTTTTCAGAGATGTCCTGCCCAGAGAAGAGAAATCTGGCAGTCTGGCCATAGCAGCCTTGCTGAGCTGCAGTGGGCTCCGCCCAGTTCGACATTCCCAATGGCTTTGTTTACACTGTGAGTGTAAAACCACCTACTCAAGCCTCAGCAATGGCGGATGTCCATCCCCCCACCAAGCTGGAGCATCCCAGGTGGATCTCAGACTACTGCTGTGCTGCCAGTGATAATTTCAAGCCTGTAGATCTTAGTTTCCTGGGCTCCGTGGGGGTGGGACCCGCTGAGCCAGACCACTTGGCTCCCTGGTTCAGCACCCCTTTCCAGGGGAGTGAACGGTTCTGTCTCGCTGGCATTCCAGGTGCCACTGGGGTATTGAAAAAAAAAGAACTCTTGCAGATAGTTCGGTGTCTGCCCAAATGGCCACCCAGTTTTGTGCTTGAAACCCAGGGCCCTGGTGTGGTAGGAACCAGAGGGGATCTCCTGGTTTGCATGTTGCGAAGACCGTCGGACAAGCACAGCATCTGTGCCAGAGTTCCTCAGGCTCAGTCCCTCATGGCTTCCCTTGGGTAGGGGAAAAAATTCCCTGACCCCTTGTGCTTCCCAGGTGATGCGACGCCCCACCCTGCTTTGGCTCACCCCCCATGGGCTGCACCCATTGTCCCACCAGTCCCAATGAGATGAACTGGGTACCTCAGTTGGAAATGCAGAAATCACCCGTCTTCTGTGTTGATGTTGCTAGGAGCTGCAGACTGGAGCTGTTCCTATTCGGCCATCTTGCCAGCAATCGATTATTTTTTTTTTAATATGACACCAAAAGCTCAGGCAACTAAAGCACAAATAAAGGATTAGGACTGTATCAAACTAAAAAGCTGTTGTATCAAACTAAAAAGCTGTTGTACAGCAAAACATGCAATCAATAAAATCAAAAGGCAGCCTATGGACTGGGAGAAAATATTTGCAATATATATCTGATAAGTGTTTCAGAGTATGTAAGGAACTCTAACAACTTAATAGCAAAAACCCAAAATAATATAATTTAAAAATGGGCAAAAGACTTGAATAGACATTTTTTCCAAAGACAATATAAAAATGGCCAACAGTTATATAAAAAGATGCTCATCATCACTAGTTATCAGGGAAGTGCATATCAAAGCCACAATGAGGTATCACTTCACTCCTGTTAGATTGGCTATTATCAAATAAGCCAGAGATAACAAATTCTGGTGAGGGTGAAGGGAAAAGAGAACACTTGTACCTTGTTGGTGGTAATGTAAATTGGTACAGCTGTTATGGAAAACAGTATGGAGTTTCTTTATACTGTTCATCAAATTAAAAATAGAACTGCCATATGACTCTGGATATATATGCAAAGCACCTCAAAGATATCTGCCTTTGTATGTTCATTGTAGCATTTTTCACAATAGCAGAAACATGGAAACAACCCATGTGTCCACTGACAAATGAAAAAAGAAAATGTGAGATATCACACACACACACACACACACACACACACACACAATGTGATACATACACGCATATATGCATACACAGTGAAATGTTATTCAGCCTTTTAAAAGAGGGAAATTCTGCTATTTGCAACAGCCTGGGTGAACCTGGAGGAGGTTATGCTAAGTGAAATAAGCCAGAAACAGAAATAAAAAATACTGCATGATCTTACTTATATGTGGAGTCCATAAAAAAGTAGAATGCATAGAAACAGAGGGTTAGAATGGAGCCTACCAGGGGAGGGAGAGGGGGAGAAAATTGGCAGATGTTGACAAAAAGGTACGAACTTTAAGATAAGTAGGAGGAATAACTCTAGAGATCTAATGTACACTGTGATGACTAGAAGGTCCCATGGAAGGTGATAGATAGGATAAATTTCTTGACTGTAGTAATCATTTCACTATGTGTATATATATCGAAACATCCTGTTGTACACCTTAAATATTTATAATTAAAACAGAAAAAGTAGACATATATAAAAGAAAACTAATTGTGTTCATATGTATATATTTTCCTTCCAAATTTTTATAATTTCTAAGGTAAAATTAGAATTATGGTTTGATTTTCATGAGGTCATCAGCTCTTTTTAAAAGTCTGTACTTTCAGTCATTTATTAAAATTTTGCTTAATAAGATACAATTTGGGGATTTAAGAATCAAATACAAATTCAGCCTTTTTCATTTCTATAGATGTCTATTTATGATAGGAAACAATGATAGTAACTTTTGAAAAAGACTTTAAGTTCAAAGTTCAATAAGCATGATAAATATATAAGCATGATAACATAGGCATGATAAATAAAGAGAGAATTAGAGAGCTTCATGTGTATATCCCATATCTGGATGAGTTTACTATCCATGAATTGATGGCATAGTCCTTAGCAGGCAACAGGCAATAAGAACAAATATTGTCTCATATCCTTCTTGACTAATCAAACTCTTATGGTAAACTGTGTAGTCATGAGATTATACACAAGTCATTGTAAATCAAGTGGAATAAAATAAGCGGTGAGGTAACTTAATCCAGAAAATCTCCTGGCTTTTCTTTGAACCATGATCAACAAATTCTGGTAATTATAATTTAGGCAATTCATGTACTTAGATGAAAACTAATAAAGAAATATTTCCCAGTATCATTGCATTGTTAGAAAAAAGTTTCCATGTTTATTAACAGTATAAGAAAATTTAAAAGATTGAAGATATATTGATGTTTCTATTAATAACATATTCTAAAAATATTTATTAGGCTTTCATTATAAGGAATGTAGGTGCATTCTTATTTGAACACCAAGGTTGACCTCAACCCAATGACACTTGTCAACTTTGAAAGTGAAGAGGGTAAAAATGCCTGGATTTCCGTGGCGATTTAACTGACCCTTTTCATCAGTTCTTATTCTTGTGGATTTGTAGTTCAAAGAAAGGTCCATAGTTTAGCCCACTACGAAGTACTATATGCTCCAACCCATGTGAACTGCACCAAACATTTACCTAGCTTTAGTGGATTTCTTTTGCATCCTGAAGAAACCTCGGATACTTAGTTAATGTTTCCTACATTTTGATTTGATTTTTTTCTCCTAGTTTTCCTGATGTATGATCTATATCTCCATATGTTTATATTTTGTCAACACAAGCTATAAAAAGACTAGCAAAATTAAGGGCAGAATAAAGTCAATTATCCAAATAATACAAATCAAGATAATTTCACCTTCAATCTGCAACTTGTTATTAACAAAAGTTTGATCTTCCTATTTTTTTCCCTCAGAGTATTTTTAAATCAAGTCAAAGTGTTGGTCACCAGAGTATAATACTGTAATAATATCATCAACAACATATAAAATTCTTGTATGCTTTTTATTCTACTCTTTCTACCTATAGATGGTTATGTTTGCATAAGTTTGCATTAGGTCATGTAATATTTGTATAGATTTTTAAAATTATCTAAATTTAATTCAACACCGGTTGAAAAAGTACCATGAGATCTTGTTTTGTAGTCTTAACTGTAGCACGTAAATCTGTTCTGCAGACCATAACAGCAGCAATGTAATGAAGATGCTTGCTAGCATCAGTCATGATGGCAAGGAATTAGAAGGGAGTGGCTCATTTGGGCAACATACTTCCCTTGGGTCTGAAGCTGATTGATATAAGGCTTATAGCTATTAGGTCTTATCGCCTTCAATGACAGAATTGGCTAGAGGCCCAGACCAAGATCATTTCATTGGATGAGTGATTATTAATTCTAAAGATAATATAAATCAAAGGATTTAAAAATGGGGCTGTTATATTCATCACAACTGGAATCTTTGACAAATTTAATAGCTCCCATCTTGCCAGCACAGGCAGACTGACCCATGTTAATGCTGTGTAGGATTTCAATAGAAGAAAAGGCTCAGGCTAACAGGATCACCAACCTCTGTGGCTCAGACTCCAGGCAAGGTCGATGTAACATAATCTGGGAGCCACCAGATGTCGTACATACATTGTTCATTATTTGACTTCTTCAAGTACATGTAGTAAGTGGTGGAAAGAGAAAGAATTGCTGCAGCTGTTAAGAAGATTATGTCCAGAGCAGTGTTGAGTTTACTGATAAAATTTACTTCCTCTAACATTGTACATGCAGTTTAGAAAAGAACTGCTACCTCATTCATGGGAAACATTTTAGTTAACTTGAAATGTGCTAATTATTTGTATGATGGTTTAATTTCCCTGAACATACTGTTTTTATTTTAAATTGCCTCTCAAGTTGACTTTGTTTTTTATTCATTCAGTCCACAAATCCTGACTGAGTGTTTTCTATTTAACCATCACTTGTTAGGTGCTGGGGATACAAAGGTAAATAAGATTTTCCCTGTCCTCAAGGATCATACAGTTCAGGCAGTGAGTTAGAGAGAAATAAGCCAACTAACAGAGCACAGCTATGATGTGGTCCTAAGTTACATTCTCAGAAAGCAGACACTGAGATGGAGTTTGGGGTGCAAGATGTTTATTAGGGTTAAACACCTGTGAAAAGATGGGGGTGGAAATAGAAATGGGCAGGGAGGAAAGTTAAAATGTGCTGCAGGTCTGCCAAAGCACTGGGCAACATGGTGGGACTTCTGGGGCAAGTATTGCCCATTAGAGCTGTCCCACGTCAGCCTGGGCCTTTAAATCTTTGTCTCACTCAGTGGCTAGATGTGGGCTGCCCGAGGAAGGCATGACCTTGGGTGAGGCTGAGGTCACTCTTTGTAGCTGAGGCAGACCCTGAAGCTGACATTTGAAGGCTGCCTCATGACCACACTTCCTATAAGCTCAGAAGCAAGTCCTTTCTTATAGGGAATTTTGGGTAGTGCATTACAGTATAGATCACATACACATAGGATGCTATGAAACCCTAGAGGAAGGTTACAAAGCAGCCTCAGGGAGTAGATCATAGATAGTGAATCCACAATGAATCTTAAAAATAACAATAATAATAGCTAAGATTTATTGGATTATTACCACATGCCAAGTATAATACTAAATCCTTGACATGGATTATCTCATTTAATATTTCCCACAAACCTAGGAGATAGATAAGTAACTACCATTCTCAGGTTACAAATGAAGCTATAGCAGTTTAAAGATTAAGCAACTTGTCAAAGGTTACACAGTTGGATTCAATCCTAGGCTCTAATGGCTTCAAGACCCATTGCATAAAGATATGAACTGTTTAGCGAAGTTCTTGACATAGAGTGCAAATGTAATAAATATTTGGTGAAGGAAGAGGAAGGGAAAGGAGGGAAGGAGAGGGGTTGAGGGAAGAAGGAAGAAAAATAAGAAGGAAAGAAGTTACCTTTAAATAACTGCAAGAAGATGGATATGGTCAGATGGGTGACTCCCAAGCCCTATTAAGATGCTCTCAAATTTTTCCTTAAAAAATTGAATGACTATTAAGCATGTTGTTTTTGTTCTCTGTATGAGAAGATACTCCTTCTGAGATTATTTCCTCCCATCTTCTGGTTTTTAAAGATATATATGTGATTAATCTTCTCCAATATATCAGAATTATTCTATTGCATTGGTATTGTTTACAGAGGTCTTTGCATCTTATCAAACTACCTAATTGTCTTAGGGACCGCATGATTCCTGGCTCAAAAAGATTGTCATCATTCCTACAACATTATAATAGGGTGTCTACTAGATTGACTTCCTAGAATTTGATGGTCAGGTAATTTCAGCTTCTACTTTTGTGATGCTTTTCCAGCACTCTCCCTTTCTATACATTTTATATTCATCCATCTATCTTATCTACCATCCAGCAGCACTTGTCTTTTGTTCAGTTACTAAGTCCAATGGACATGTGTTTCTGTAAGCCACAAGCCGGATTTCAGAAATATTAGAATAGCTAGGTTCTTGGCCATTCTGTTTTTCCTTAAACATAAAATATTGTTAAGAGTTATTTAAAAGACTACATATGATGCTACTTATGATACCAGTGTCAGCCTATTGGTACTTTTAATTTCCTATAAGACTTTGTCTTTTAATCTCATATAAGTGTTTGAAGGTCTTGTTGATTAGATATTCTACTTTCTGTCTGTATTTTAACTTATGTAGCCCTATTTTAAAGCCCATTCTTCATGGTTTCTGGAGCCAAGAACAGTACCACCTATAAATAGAGCCTTGTATTTACAGACACCGTAGCAGAAAAAGAATGATAAAATAGAAGAGGTGGGTGACACTATAATTCCTTTTTACATGAGTTTGGAAAAGATGGCAGGTCAGAAAAATCAATTCTGATGATAGGCCTCTGGAACCCAGACTTCCAGCAGTGCTTCAAACTACCAACAGAAATCCAATTTTTTTACTTTATAAGAATCTGTAAAATATAAAGTCATAGAAGCTGAGACATCTCTGATCAGCAAATGCTATAGCCCCAATCAAGACCCTGTGGATGTTCTATTTTCTTCTGAATACAAGTGACCTGGACTGGTACCAGCATGATGTCCTGGGCCAGGACATTTGGGATGATATGGGAAACAAGATCAGAATAGAGAGTATTGAAGGAAGCATGTGCTTAGCATCAAGTCCAAGGTTTAGTGAGTGTTAATAGAGAAGAAAGAGGGGATCAAGTACAGATATCAAAATGGTGTTGACCAAGGAAGAGGGAGGAGATGGGTTGAAAAATTCAGGACATAGATGGTTAATAAAGGCAAGATTTGGGGAGTATCTCCCATCTAGTTCAAGGAAGGGTTGGCTTAACCACATGTGCAGTTGGTAGTGGCTGTGGAGAGTGGTGCTGTTGTTGGCAGTATGGGGAGTTGGAGATGAAGGGAGCTATGTGATCTCGGAAGGAACATTCTACTTATTTTTTGTTTTTTTGTCTGAGGCTAGTCCTGAGTCTTACATATACTTATATATGTTAATATAACAGTGATTTCCAAAGTACCTTTTACTTGATCAGTGGGCAAAATCCTGTATGAAGCCCCAGTGCATAAAAAATAGAAGCAATAAGTTCTACAATTCTATAGCAGAGTAAAGTGGCAATATTGAACAATTATTTGTTGTATATATCAAAATAGTTGAAAGAAATGATTTGAAATGTTCCCAACACAAATAGATGATAAATGTTTTGAAGTAATGGATATCCTAAATACTCTGATTTGATCATTATGTATTTGTATACATCTATCAAAATATATATACCTCATAAATATATATAATTATCATGTATCAATTTTTAAAAAGCAGAGCTTCCCTGGTTGAAGTAGGTGGCAGTTGGTACCAATGGGGGACCTTAAGAAGGAGCTGTTAGGAGTTTCTACAAGTTTAATGGTGTTTGAGAGGATACGTGGGATGAAGGCACAGCCCTTGATTCAAATTAAAATATAGAATATTTTCGTATGGATATTTTGCATGTGTTAATAGTTGAATGTGTAGTTATTTTACACTTAAAGTCATTTTAGTTTAATGTAATTAACTAAATTTAACTTTTGGTATTATTAGGTCATTTATGGTATAATACGTAGATTGAAATTAACTCTAAATCCAGACTGCCTGGGATTTTGTTCCATTTACATTGCTTACCTTGAACAAACTCCCTATTCTTTCTGTTTCAGTTTTCTCACTAGCAAAACTGCATCTACCTTATAGGTACTATCATGAGGATTAAACAAATTAATACATTTAAAACACTTAGAATGGTCCCTGGTATATGGTATGTGTTATATCAATATTTTTTATTTTGTCATGAATTTTGTGTACCTTCCATTTGCAAACAGATTGCATACTTCTTGGAGTCAGAGGCATTATTTCTGTCTCTTTTTATCTTGACTGATTGGAATACTGTTTAGCATGTAGTTCAGGAAAGTAATGAATTAATTAACCAACTATGAAGTGAGTAATTAGTCTCATACAAAAGCACCCTTAGGGGTTGAAAGCATGATAATGAATAAAACAGTGCTTTTGAAAAACTTGCAGATTAATGACCTAAATTAAGTAAATCAAGGAAAATATAATTAAATGCAGTTAATTAAACATAATTTAATGCAAAATAATTTAGTAAAATATCTGTCCTAGAGGTATGACAAAAAATTTTTTAGGAGAGCAGATAGTTAGGTTGATTTTCTTTTCCTTTGGTAACAGCATCCGGAATTGTATTTGAGTTAAAATTTGAAGGGTGCATTATTAGAGTTTCCTAGTTCTAAAAGTGACAGACATTGTTCCCAAAGGGATAAAGGCATAGAGGCAAAATGAAAAACCACCCACAACAGGATATTTGAAAATAGCAAATAGGCCTTTGGATCCTGAAGGAGGGAGAAGATGTGACTTAGGCAAGACATAATGGTAAGCAGGAACCCGAATGCAGAAAGCCAAGTATGCCATTTAAGATTCAGGACTTAATCCTGTAGGAATTGAGAAACTGAAGGTTTCTGTGAATAAATATTTGTGGATACTGACAATGTCTATTCTGGATTAGACAATACTGTGAAGCTCCCTTTGGGGTTTTGGGGTCTTTATATGCACATACTTTTTTAAAAAATGAAAAACTAAAAATAAATAACTTTGCTCTTTAGTGGTTCCAACTAAGCATCCTTGAAGGCCACTCCAAATAACAGAGAGAGTATGCATTTTGAACTTTTCCAGGTTTAATTTGGAAATCATGTTTTTCTGTAGAGAAATTAGATTTTTCTTTTCAAATAGTAAAATGCCAGAATCGTAATTATGGGAAGTTTTCACTTGGACAGAAACTATACTGTTCATAGTGTACTGTAATTTTGTAGAAGGAATAACAAGAGCTGAACTTGTCCATAACACATTCTTTCTTTACATTTACGAGGATGAGAATGGTCAAAGTACATAAGGTAGCCTATGTGAGACTCTGCTTATGAAGAGACTCATATAGTCTCTTCCTTTTGTACCTTTCTTTCTTTATCTTTAGCACTGGTTTATGTCTTTATTGTTTCATTAGATATTTTATGACCTTAGGTTTCTTTTTTTTATGCTTAACCTATAGTAAAAATTCAGTAATAGTAGTTACATAAGTGAATAACATACTCTTACATTCCATACCAACTAATATAAAATCCATGACAAATAATATATTTATCAATTACATATGGAAATAAAATATCTTACCAAATCTCCATCCCTTGAATATTATGATTATAGAGGAACAGGGTGTCTTCCATCTTGAGATCACCTGAACGCCTTTCTTGTCCTTCTTGCTGCTTTCAATGCTAATGATCTCACAGCCCTTCTGGGACCCATGCTCCTGGACCCTGGAAATGGGTCACTTTCTCAAAGTTGACCTCTAACAAGTAACATGCTCTGATTAATAGGAAAGCAAAAGAAAGAAAACAAAATAAAACCTCTACTTTTGTCAGGGCATCAGCATTTTCCAACTAAGAATATTACCTTATGTCGAAAAGCACATGGTTTTCAGAATTAGATCTGGGTTCAGAATTGGGCTCCAATTTTTATGTGACCAAGCTTGTGAACTTGGGCAATTTACTTTCCCAGCCACAAAATGAGGACTAGTAATATCTACCTCCCAGAGTTGTTTTGAAGATTAAAGAGAAAAAAAAATATGGGAGCTCTAGGCATAGTGAGCATTGTCTGTTACAAATAGAATGAATCCAGTAGACCCTGTCTGTATACCCAGACCACCACTTTATCCACCTCCTGACTTCTGAAAGCCTCCCCTTTTCCGGAGATTTGAATCATGAAACTTGCCTAGAAATCGTATTTAAATAATAGGTGATTGGTCTATGACAGATTACATTGAGAATTATGATAGACCTTTCCAGTATAAGAAGCACTTTTTCCTGTGGTTCTGTGGCTGAGATAGCCCTATTCACTCCACTCATCAATTACAAGAGTAGTCATGACCTCCATATCCAATCAATCCGAGTATTTCTCCCTTTAGCTAAAGAGATGGGTTAAGGAATGGACAAGTGGCATGTAATCTCAGTCAGAACACTTCTTCTCTAGCTTTTCACCATAAATATTAGTGAAACTATTACTCTCCATTGGGCTTGATAAGTTGGCAGGATATAGGTCAGCCATCTTGCCTACCACAAAAAAGAGAATTGTCTGAAGGAGAGAGACTCATATAGCATTATTTCACTACAGATATTCCAGTAGCCATTTTTATTCCTAGTCTTCATCATTTTATTCTTCATCTGTTTTGAGATGGGTTTCTGTTATTTGCAAAGAAAAGAATTCTGAAAATACACATCTTGGCTTCTGGAAGAAAATACTTTGATTATGAAGATTTTAAAGAACTATGAATCAGGTTTTTTTGCACATTTATAGTTGTCTAAAGACAACTGTATTTTTTAAAGCATATATATATAATATTTAATATTTTTCAATTTTTACATTCCTAGTATTCATAGCTAGACTGAGATTTGTAAAGTGGGATTAAGAGTTGCTTGCATCAAGAGAAACATGTTTGCATGGGAGCTGCATGGCTAGTTCTCATGCTCAAATGCACCTCAGCAGCAGAAGAGGCCACTTGGCTTAAGAATCCCAAGAAAAGTCAACACCAGCATCAAAAACGAAACCATAGACATGCTGAGCATATTCAAAGGTGTTAATCAGGGCAAGTGCTTGACTAAGCTGCTGGATTACAAGCCCCTGACAGCTCCTCTAGAATCTCTGAAATATCTGCAGTGTGGTACTCTACACCTCACCACTCTCTGGTGACAAGGGATATACTACAATCAAGGTGAAGATATAAAAGGAAGTATATTTCTTAAAAAAATTAAGAAAAATGACAGTTTATATTGACATATGGTACTAAACACTTATTTCCCCAAAGGTATAAAATACAGAAACACAGTCTTCTTGGAGACTCATGATCACCTATAAGCATGCTAGTAAATCATCTGGTGTTCATTTAGTCATCTATCTAGCAGATATTTATTGGATTCTCAATGAATGTCAGTTAGTGTTGTAAATGCTGTGGATATAGCATTCCACAGTACAGACAAAAAAGTCCTCACCCTCATGGGGATTACATTCTGGGCGGAGGCAATTTAAAATAAATATAAGAAATACATACTGGCTGGCTGGGGCTAAGTGCTGTGGGGAATCATACTGCATGGAAGAGGGAAGAAGGAATGCTTTGGGTGGGAATGGAGTTGTACTTTAAAAATGAGAATGGCTTAACAAAGAAGAGGTGAAGGAGCAAAGTACAGAGGTATCTGGGGGAAGAGTATTCAAAGAGATGGGAAGAACCATTGTGAAAGTCCCCAGGCAAGGATATGTCTGTGTGTTAGGAAACAGCAAGGAAGCAAAGAAGTCAGTGTGGCTGGTGATAAGTGAAGGTAGGAAAGATACATTCAAAAAAGTAGCAGGGGCCAGATCATGTATAGAAACTTGGAGTCAATCTACGGAATGGGCTTTAATAACAGTTTTCAGCAGAAGGGCAACATGATCTGAATTAATTTTTTTGATATTAAATCCTTTATTAAGGGCTAGATTTTTTTATTGATAAGTTAGAGTTGTACATATTTTGGGGTACATGTGACATTTTTATATATGTCTACAATGTGTAATAATCAATTCAGGGTAATTGGGATATCCATTACTTTAAACATTTATCTTTTTCTTTGTGTTGGGAATATTCTAATTTTTCTCTTCTAGCTATTTTGAAATATACAATAAATTATTGTTAACTATAATTTCCCTACTGTGCTATCAAATGGTAGAACATTTTCCTTCTATCTAACTGCATTTTTGTACCCATTAACCAACTTCTTTTTATCTACCCCCAACCCCCACCCTTCTGAGCTTCAGGTACCTGCCATTCTACTCTCTACCTCTGCGAGATCCAGATCCATCTTTTCAACTCCCAATGTGAATGAGAACAAGGAATATTTGTTTTTCTATGCCTGGCTTATTTCACTTATAATAAGGACCTCAAGTTCTATCCATGTTGTTGCAAATGACAGGATCTCATTCTTTTAAATGGCTGAATAATATTCCATTGTGTATCTATATCACATTTTTAATCCACTTATATGTTAATGGACACCCAGGTTGATTGAATATCTTGGCTGTTGTGAATAGCGCTGCAACAAACGTGGGAATGTGATATATTTTGGATATACTGATTTCCTTTCTTTTGGATATATACCTAACACTGGGATTGCTAGATCATATAGTAGGTCTATTTTTAGTTTTTTAAAGAAACTCCATACTATTTCCCATAATGGCTGTACTAATCTATATTCCTACCAGCAGTGTATGAATATTACCTTTTCTTGGCATTCTCACTATCATTTGTTGTTGTTTTTTGGTATTTTTGATAATAGCCTTTCTAACTGGTGTGAGATACAGCTTATTGTGCTTTTAATTTGTATTTCCCTCATGATTAATAATGATAAAATGTTTTCCTACACCTGTTGGCTATTTCTGTGTCTTCTTTTGAAAAATATCTATTCAGGTTTTTGCCTATTTTAAAACTGGGTTATTTGTTTTTTCTGCTATTGAGTCATTGGAGTTCCTTATATATTCTTATTTTGCTCCCTTGCCACATGGACAGGACAGGAATAGGTAGATGTCTCTTCACTTTGTTGATTGTGGTTGGGATGGTTGTCTCTTTGCTTTGTTATTGTTTTCTTAGCTATTCAGAAGCTTTTTAGCTTGATGTAGTCTCATTTGTTATTTTTGCTTTTGTTGCCTATGCTTTTGAGATCTTACCCAAAACATCTTTGCCCAGACCAATGTCTTATAGCATTTCCCTAATGTTTTCTTCTAGCAAAATTTTAAGTCTTAAATTTAAGTATTTAATCCATTTTGAATTTATTTTTGTATATGGTAAAAGATGGGGATCTAGTTTCACTGTGCATGTAGTTATGTAGTTTTCCCAGCACCATTTATAAGATGGCTGTCCTTTCCCTAATGCATAGTCTTGGCACCTTTGTTGAGAATGAGTTGGTTGTTGTATTAGTCCATTCACATGCTGCTATAAGGATACACCCAAGACTGGGTGATTTATAAAGGAAAGAGGTTTAATTGAATCACAGTTCCACAGGGCTGGGGAGGCCTCAGAAAACTTATAATCATGGTGGAAGGGGAAGAAAACACGTCTTTCTTCATATGGCAGCAGCAAGGAGAAATGTCAAGCAAAACAGGAAAAAGCCCCCTATAAAACCATCAGATCTCATGAGAACTCACTCACTATCATGAGAACAGCATGGAGGTTACCAGCTCATGATTCAATTACCTCTTCAATTACTGGGTCCCTTTCACAACACGTGGGGATTATGGGGACTACAATTCAAAATGAGATTTGGGTGGGGACATAGCCAAACCATATCATTCTTCCCCTGGCCCCTCCCAAATCTCAGGTCCTCACATTTCAAAACACAATCATTCCTTTCCAACCGTCCCCCAAAATCTTAACTCATTTCAGCATTAATTCAAAAGTCCAAGTCCAAAGTCTCATCTGAAACAAGGCAAGTCTCTTCCAACTATGATCCTGTAAAATCAAAAGCAAGTTAGCTTTCCTAGATACAATGGGGGTACAGGCACTGGGTAAATACAACCATTCTAGATGGGAGAAAATGGCCAAAACAAAGGGGCTACAGGCCGCATGCAAGTCCAAAATCCAATAGGGCAGTCATTAAACCTTAAAGTTCCAGAATAATCTCCTTTGACTCCATGTCTCATATCCAGGGCATGCTGATGCAAGAGGTGGGCTCCCACAGCCTTGTGCAGCTCCATCCTCTGGCTTTGCAGGGTATAGCTCCCCTCCTGGTTGCTTTCATGGGCTGCCATTGACTGTCTGCAGCTTTTTCAGGTGCACAGTGTAAGCTGGAAGTGAATCTACCATTCTGGGGCTCAAAGTTGGTGGCCCTCTTCTCACAGCTCCACCAGCCAGTGCCTTAGTGGGGACTCTGTGTGGGGGCTCTGACAACACATTTCCCTTCCACACTGCCCTAGTAGAGGTTCTCCATGAGGACTCCACCCCTGTAGCAGACTTCTTCCTGGACATTCAGGCATTTCCATACATCCTCTGAAATCTAGGCAGAGGTTCCCAAACCTCGATTCTTGTCTTCTGCACACACAAAGGACCAACACCATGTGGAAACTGGCAACGCTGGGGGCTTGCACCCCATGAAGCAACATCCTGAGCTGTACCTTGGCCCATTTTACCCATGGCTGGAGGGGCTGGGATGCAGTCCCGAGGCTGCACATAGCAGGGGTCCCCTGGACCCAACACAGGAAACCATTTTTCCCTCCTAGGCCTCCAGGCCTGTGATGGGAAGAATAGCCATGAAGGTCTCTGATATGCCCTGGGGACATTTCTCCATAGTCTTTGTGATTAACATTCAGCTCATCATTACTTACGCAAATTTATGTAGCCAGCTTGGATTTTTCTGGAGACATTTTTTTTTCTGTTGTATTGTCAGGCTACAAATTTTCCAAACATTTATGCTCTGCTTTCTCTTGAATGCTTTGCCACTTAGGAATTTCTTCTACCAGATACTCCAAATCATCTCTCTCAAGTTGAAAGTTCTACAGATCTCCAGGGCAGGGGCAAAAAGCCTCCAGTCTCTTTGCCAAAGCACAGGAAAAGTGACCTTTGCTCCAGTTTTCAACAAGTTCCTCATCTCTATCTGAGACCACCTCAGGCTGGATTTCATTGTCCATATCGCTATCAGCATTTTGGTCAAAGCCATTCAACAAGTCTCTATGAAGTTCCAAACTTTCCCACATTTTCCTTTCTTCTTCTGGGTCCTCTAAACTGTTTCAACCTCTGCCTGTTACCCAGTTCCAAAGTTGCTTACACATATTTGGGTATCTTTATAGCAGCATATTACTCTCTGAGGTACTCATTTACTGTATTAGTCCATTCTCATGCTGCTATAAGGACATATCAGAGACTGGGTAATTTATAAAGAAAAGAGATTTAGTTGACTCACAATTCTGCAGGGCTATGGAGGTCACAGGAAACTTACAATCATGGTGGAAAGGGAAGCAAACACATCCTTCTTCACATGGCAGCAGCAAGGCGAACTGTCAAGCAAAAGGGGGAAAAGCCCCTTATAAAATAATCAGATCTCATGGGAACTCACTATGATGAGAACAGCAGGGAGGTAACTGCCCCCATGATTCAATTACCTCCCACCAGGTCCCTCTCAGGACACGTGGGGATTATGGGAACTATAATTCAAGGTGAGATTTGAGTAGAGACACAGTCAAATCTGTAGTAAATGTGTGGATTTATTTCTGAGTTCTCTGTTGGGTTCCACTGGTCTACGTGTCTATTTTCATGCCAGTCCCATGCTGTTTTGGTTACCATAGCTTAGAAGTATAATTTGAAGTCAGGTAGTGTGATGTTTCCAGCTTTGTTCTTTTTGTTCAGGATTGCTTTAACTATTTGAGGTCTTGTTGTTCCTTGGGAATTTTAGGATTTAAAAAAATTTGTGAAGAATGTCATTAGCATTTTGACAGGGATTGCATTTAATCTGTTAGTTAAATTTTGAAAGAATCCCTCTGGCTGCTGTGCTAAAAGGATATGTAATGGGAGGAGGGGCAAAATCCAGGAAACCAGTTAGGACACCATTGTGATAATCCAGGTATGATATGATGGTGGTGGGCCAGCCCTGGTAGAGGTAGAGGCTGGGAGAAATGTTCAGATTCTGGACATATCTTGAGGGTAGACTCAACAGATATAAGTTAAATACTTTAACAAATCTTTAATAATGACATCATTGTAAGAGAATATGCATATGTAAAGATTAAAATATAGCTCCTGCCAATAATGAGTTTACATTTTTATTAGTATCAAATACATAATATATAGTGATTTAGCATATGTAAAAACTTCATTAACCACAGCTTGGAGAAGAAAATCACTCTGAGCTGAAGTCACCTGAGAACCTGGGAAGTAATCCTCCATCCCTTGCTTTGCCTTTGGGTATGTGTCCAGGAGACTTCTAGACCTCTCCTTTCATCTTGCTGCCTCCCTTTCTCCCTTCCTGTACCTTATACATCCAAGGCCTGCTACTTAATTTTGAGGCCTAGTGAAAAATAAACACATAAAGCAGGAAATAAATTGCTGTTAAACACAGTAAAATGTAAAAGTTTTCTCACCTCTGTAGTTTTTCTCTCTACTGGTTATGGTATTTTTTTTGTTATTTATCATTGTTCTAAGTAAAGAAAATCAAAATTGTAAATTATTAGAATGAGTTTTACTGTTCTTTACATTATGCAATTCCAGCTTTAATGCCAAATTACAGCATTTAATTTATATAGGTAGAATCACTGATACTATACAATTTATCTTTTACAACTCATCCATGCATATATATGTAATTATGACTAGAACCACAGAAATGCTGCACAAAACTAACTCAGCTATTTTTTATTCCATTTCTTGATGTGTGCACATTCTACCAACACTCTCTATCTTAGGCTTACTGATGAATAAAAAATAACTGAAAGGAAAAGGAACTATGTATTGCCTATCTTCCCCATAATGTTAACATTTTTAGCATAAGGGTCAGCTAATACAGAGAAGCAATGTAAGTGATATGATAGATTTCTTGATTATTTGTATTTTTTGGAAAATTATTGCCCTCTTTCTGCATTTTAAGCAAGTTATGGTTTGACTGGACACTGTGATTTCTAAGGGTTGTCAATGGCCCCACTTTCTCAAGAGTAGACATAATATGCGTACCTTGTTCATGCTTTGAGTCTTGCTGAACTCCCATGCAGGGTAGGTCCCTGGGATTTCTACACTCATGTGACATTGAAACTATTGCATGCAAATAGGGCAGCAAAAATGGCAGATATGCATATTGCTCTTATCTCCTCTGCTCACGCACAAGCTCCATTGTCTCATTGGATTTCACCTACAAAATATACCTCCAAAGATTATTAGGAATTTTAAGATGACAACAGCAGAGCATTAAACAACATGTAGGGTGATCATATAGTTTGCATGCCCGTGAACCCAGCCCTGTCTATATCTCACATTTCATTATGCTCCCCACTCCTTTCTTGTAAAATTCAAGATGAAAATGTCTGGGTTTTTATGTATTAGAGGACAAGCTCACAGTGTTTTAAATTTTAAGTTTTTCTCCCAACTTTATTGAGATACAGTTAACTATTTAAAAATTATATATAGTTAAAAAGATCTAAGGTACAACAATGTGACTACGAATAACAATATTGTATCATACACTTGAAATTTGCTAAGAGGGTAGATCTTAAATGTTCTCAGCACAAAAAAAAAAAGGTTATGGGAGGTGATGGATATGTTGATTAGGTTGAACGTGGTGAATAATTCACAATATTCTTATCAGTGTTTCCCTACTTTCCTACCCTTTTTTTCTGTTATTTTTACTTCTTTCACAAATGAGTTTGCCCTGGAAACTATCTTTCCAGTCCCTCCTTAAATTGTAGAGTGCTGTCACCATTCCCACACCTCACCCCAAATTTGCCCAGCCAAAACCTAAGCACTGGAGGAAAAGATACCTTTCTAACCATATCACTTATCAGATATATTTGTAATGTAATATTTCCCCATTAATAGAATTACCTATCTAAGAAGAATTTGGCTTTCATTTTGAAGTTAGTTTTCTTCACTTATCTCTTTACTTCTATACAAATACTTTTTTTCACATGTAAACATTTTTGAAAATGCAATACAATTTAAAATCAATATGCCAATTTAATCTAATAATGCATCTGGTATGTTAAAATTTGAGAGGGAGACATATAATATAATGTAAGATCTATTTGAAAATATTCTGTGGCATTTTAAAGAACTAATTAAAAGGAAACACGTGGTATTCACTCCTTGTTCCTGAATAGTTTATACATATCTTTATGACAGTACCCATCACTCTGAATTACAAGTATTTCCACTATGTATCTCTTCTATTATACTGTGTGTATCCTGAGGACACAGACTATATCATAGACAGATGTATACCACCAACACCACAAGTAGAGCTAATTTTAGACTCCTAATAGGAGGTATTCGGCACTCACATCCTGAAAGGAAGAGGGCTGTTTCTTATTTGTGGGGTTATAATTTTAGTTGAGATTTCAAAAATACATTGTAATATTTATAAGGCATTCTTTATAAACTGCTCTAATATTTTTGGTTGATTTATGTGGGAATCCACATCTAGGAATCTGTAAGTTTTAAGAATACACATACACAATGTCTTAAGCATTTTATGTTTTGTTTTTACATGTATCTTTAGTTCCTCGAGTCTCTGAAGATAATTTTTTTCCAACACTAACATTAAAGAAGAGGTTGATGGTTTGCAAAGCAAAATTGTTCTCACTATGCTACCCTATTTCTTTCCTGGCACTGCTCAGTGGAAGTGTGTCCCTATTTGCAGTTACATTTTCTCCTAACATTCAGGGTCACTGCCAGGGTGCCAGGATAAGAGACTAAGTGGAGGCAGAAGAGAATATTAATCTACCATCACCTACCACCCATATTTATTTTATGTATTCTTAGAACTCTTGAATTGGACGCAAACACGAAGATCATCTGCTCTGACTTCTTTCTTAATACAGAGATCTCTTGTTTATTAGCTTTGACAAGTTTATAAGAATTCATCTCTGGGTTCTAGGCCCTGAACCAAGATTCAAAAGTGTGTGCTCTGGACTAGGGAAGAATGTGTTCCTGTTTTATACTCTGAAATCCCCTTTAAGAGTGGCATTCCTTAGTCATTGCCATAAGCTACATAACTTTGATTTCATAAGACCTAAGCTTTCAGAATATATTGCTTTTTAAACCATATTTTGGTGGCGAGAATGTGGAAAACCTTTTCTTTTGGAATTTACTTGACTCTTAATGGCAAAAGTTATAATACAACTGAATATAGCTATGAATTTCTTTTATTTATAAATATGCCCTGTACTAAGGATCAGGTATATCAGATAAAAATCCCCATTTAATTACCATTTAATAAAAAGGTAAAGGTGTGCTAGGTGCCAGGCACTATTGCTAGACCCTGAAAAGAGTGATGATCTCAAAGACATGGCTCCGAAGACCTTTTGAGTTTGGTGAGTGAAAAGGTAGTAAAACAAGTAATCCTGAGGGACTTTGGGGAGTTTTCTGATATGAGAAAAGCATACAAATGTACATTAGAATGATACTTACCTGATTTACAATGTCTAGAGTCTTCCTGGATGTTGACTGTTTAAACTGAGACCTAAGGAGTAGAAGTAATTAAAGTGAACAGAGCAGGGAGCAAAGGATAGATGGCTCAATGACCAGAGATACCAGGATAAGTTAAAGGAACTAGAAAACAAAAGCAAACCAAAACAGTGTAGCTGGTGTGTGGTTAAAAGAGGGACAGCAATCCAGCACTTTGGGAGGCCGAGGCAGGCAGATCATGAGGTCAGGAGATTGAGACCATCCTGGCTAACACAGTGAAACCCTGTCTCTACTAAAAATACAAAAAAATTAGCTGGGCGTGGTGGCGGGCACCTGTAGTCCCAACTACTCGGGAGGCTGAGGCAGGGGAATAATGGTGTGAACCCAGGAGGTGGAGTTTGCAGTGAATCGAGATCACCGCACTGCACTCCAGCCTGGGAGACAGAGTGAGACTCCATCTCAAAAAAAAAAAAAAAAAAAAAAGAAGTGGATGTGGGCCAGAGTGTAGGGGGCTTGTCAATTTAGAGAGGGATTTGGGACTTAGTGCTAAAGGAAGTGGGAGATATTGAAGGTTCTTAAGCAAGGAGATTACAGATGACTGGCTGCACTGGGTACTGCATTGAGACAGTGGTGTGCTGAGCTGGCATAGGAGAGTCAATTCTCAAAGGTTTAGGAATCTTACTGGTTGTTAAATTGTTGGTAGCTTGAAATTGGCAATGGTAGGACTGTTTATGTATTGGAAATGGCAAACACCACAAGTAAATGTTTTGTTGTTACTGGTTTTCATGTTGCTATTGTCGTTGCAAAGCTTGTTTACCAGAATGCCAATGGATGGATATAAGCAAGACTGGAGATGAGAAAAATGAAGGCCTGGACATGGGTGGTAGCAGTAGGAATGGAATGACATGGCTACGTTTGAGAAATATTTAGGTATGATCTGGCTTTCTGGAAGTAGAGACGGAGACAGAAGAAAGGCATAGGATGCACCAGGCTCTTTTCCAATCTGCCAGTAGAGTTCTAACTTGATACTCTTCAAGTAGTTCCAGCTTGAAAACAAAGTTCAAACTCTTTGGACATTCCATTGTACATTTAGTCATACCATTTGTTTCTTAAGAAAAAGTATATTAAAAAGCCTTAGCATAGGATTTAAGAACAAATTAATAACACTATACTTCAATTTTGATAATACTATCAGTAACATAAGGCAAAAGTCTTCATATTGTCCAGAGGTTTTGTATTCCTCATCTGACATTTATTGCTAATGTTCTCCAAGCTCTCTCAAAGACAATGTGAACGCCAAATGTGAAAGGCAAGTTGCACATTAAGCTGTATGTCCTCATGTGATTCTGCAGAGATGGCTTTTCTCCAAAATACTGCTAAAGCAGATGTTATGATTCTATGAAAGTTTTATTTGTAATTTTATGAGATTAGCAAAAAAAATCATATGGTATGTTCTTTTTGGTTTTCAGCAAGAATTATATCTACATATATATATTATGGAGAGGTAAGAAGCAGAAGAGAAAATATTATTTACTTTGGCCAATCCAGTTGCCAAGCAGACATATTATTTGTGTCTTGGCTCCAAAGTAGCACATTTTGAATATGGGTCTGAATATTTATTTATTTTTTTCCTTGTTGTGTCAGATTACAGGGATTAAATCACTTCACCAATAGTTACCCTTCCTCTGACTGAAAAGCCATATCCTGTCATTTTTACGCTCCAAAGATGATTCTGTTTAGATAGAGGAAAGTGTCAGGAATGAAGCTTTCTGACAGCAGGGTGAAACTCTCTCACATTTAAGGAATTCTCACCAGAGGTGTCTGTAATCTCCCTCCTATTTTTCCTTCCTCCTAAAACCTGTTTGAAGATAAAGCAGAGTGTAACCTGTGCCCTGTCAGCTTCCTGCAGAGTGTTAACTCAAAAGCCTCCATCAGTCACAGAGTACATCATTTAACAAGTTCCTGGTGATCGGTAACAAGTTCCAGATCACTTTCCATACCGACTGGTTGTCTATTGCCCCAAGCCACTGTAGCTATTTATTAAATCTTCAGAAGGTGATATCTAACTTCATGATTAAAGGGCCTTGAAACAAGGTGCAGGGTGATTCCTTGTCAGTAAATTCATCTCAGCTCCTCAAAACTAGGAAAATGAGAAATGTCTTATGAGAACTTTATAGCTTTTAAAAAAAAGGGACAGTTTAAGAATATCCTTCATATCTATGATTTATGCTGTTGTTACGGTCATTACTTTTTTACTTTTAAGATATAAGGATAAGTCAACTTTATTAAATGGTGTTTTATTTCTGTTTTTGTTTTTGTTATAGCTCAAATTTTTAAAAATTTCCCTCATGATATGTTACACCTAGATGTTTGGGCTATAGTGGTGAACGAAACTGGTAAATTCCCTGCTTTCATGAAGTTTGCATTCTAGGAATAAATGATTGAATAAATGACACGTTACCTGCCTGAAGAGAAGGTTTTTCACTTAAGAGTCCTTCCAAAAATTTTAAAATTTTTTATTTTGAAATAATTTTAGTCTTTAGAAGAGTTATAAAAATGGTACAGAGGCTGGGCACAGTGGCTCATGCCTGTAATCCCAACACTTTGAGAGGCCAAGTTGGGCAGATCACTTGAGGTCAGGAGTTCGAGACTAGCCTGGCCAAGAAGGTGAAACCCCGTCTCTATTAAAAATACAAAAATTAGCCGGGTGCGGTGGCGTGCACCAGTAATCCCAGCTACTCGGGAGGGTGAGGTGGGAGATTCACTTAAACCTGGGAGGCGGAGGTAGCAGTGAGCCGAGATCGCGCCGATGCACTCCAGCCTGGAGGAAAAGAGTGAAATTCCGTCGCCAAAAAAAAAAAAAAAAAAAAAAATGTACAGTGACCTCTTTTATTCCCCTAAAGTTAATCTTGTACATTTTGCATGGTAAAATGGTCAACACTAAGTTATTAACATTGTTACAATACCATTTACCAAACTATAGATTTAATCCTATTTCCCCAGTTTTCCCCTAATGCCATTTTGCTGCTCCAGTGTCCAAGCCTCGATATTACACTGTAGTTGGTGATCATATCTCCTTAATCTCCTCCAATCTGTGAGAGTCCCTCAGCCTTTTCTTGTCTTTCATTATCTTGACAATTTTAAAGAGTATTGATCATGTATTTTGTAAAATGTCCCTCAATTAGGGTTTGTCTGATTTTTTTGATGATTAGACTGAGGTTATGAATTTCGAGAAAAAATACACAGAGGCGAAGTATTCTTCTCATTAAATAAAAAGGTTCAGGATATCAATGTTTTATTACAAGCCACATTGACCTTGATAACCTGGTGGTACCTGCCAGGTTTCACTACTGTGAAGTCACTATTCTTCCC
Source organism: Homo sapiens (assembly GCF_000001405.40). Taxonomy (NCBI): domain Eukaryota; kingdom Metazoa; phylum Chordata; class Mammalia; order Primates; family Hominidae; genus Homo; species Homo sapiens. Next base: position 107,087,333 of record NC_000008.11, read on the forward strand.
TTTCTGTACTATATTCTTTAGAAATAAACCACTAAGTCCAGCCCACACTCAAGGAGAGAAGGATTTAGCTTCATCCTCTAAAGAGGAGCATCAAAGAATGTGTGTCATAAAATATGTTGCTATGTTTAAAAATCACCACAGTAATTAATAAATATGTTGAGGGAGGTACTTTGAGGCTATGTAGACTTTCTGTTTCTCTTTAATTTAGCATTCTTCGGTAAATCTTGCTTGCAGCTGTATTACTGAAGTGTTTCAGTAGTGACTTTCTGTTTTCCTCATGTATTTAACATTTTTAAGTTAGAATTTTTCTTTAAGGAGCAGCTATCCCACCTCCCCAGTTTGTTTGTTTAATCATTTATTGATATCAGTATGGATTAATGGATATTTATTTTATTCTTTGGGTTGTAATACAGTCTTATTACTATTTATTTTGTTGTTCAAATTGCTCCAGCTTTGGCCAATTCATTTTTGGTCAAATGCTTTGCTGTTTACAGCTAAGGGTATAGTCAAGTCTTTGGTTGGTACTGTTATGTTTTTCTCTCTATGACACAGTAGAACTTCCTGCTGTGAGAGGCAACTTGTGTGAAAGTTTATGTGTCTTGGGAGCGCTAGAAAGAAAACTGAACAAAAGAAACTGTTCTCACAAACTTTGAGAATTACTCACAAATATATTTGAAGCAATCAACTGCATACTTATGAGCAGAAGTAATGGCCTTCACAGAGAGTAATGAAGAAAGCATACGCTTTCTTGAGATTTTTAAAGCATTACGAAGAATAATATGCATTTCCTGAAGTGATATACCACACCTTGATTACAGATGTCAATTCTTGAAAGTATTGTTTGAGCCTAGTACAGTGTCATGTAGGCAAGCCTAGTTAATAATTACTTATTGAGCTTCATCTGCATACTCTGTACTGTTCATTTAAGCATGAAGAAAAATAGAAATAGCCATCTTTGTTGAATGAATAAAGACAAAATTCATGCACTGAATGATTGTAATGTTTGTTGGTATGATACAATAAAAAATATAAAGCAATTAATTCAGAGACAATAGTACATATATTGGCAAATTTCTATTTTATGGAACATATGTTAAGGGATGCTCTTAATTAGACACTTTAGTATTTGGTTTTTCTTATTGTAATTAAGCTTTAGGGGATTTATTGTGGCTGTATTGGAAATTTAAATGGTTATCAGATATCTGGGCTTATTTATTTGTCTGTTACCTAAAGGCAGACAATAATTTGTTGAATGTCATAATCACTTTTTCCTATCTGTTGGCATCCAATTTAATAATGTAGTGAACTAGATTTCTAGTTCGAACATATTCTAATACAGTTTACTGCATTTACGAGATTTGGGGATGGTTTCTTCATTCAACAACTTTGTTAGTAACATTGAATCGAGATCAAGGTGTTTCAAAGAAGGTCTGTTAAGAATGTACAATGTAAACTCGCTTTCTGTCCTTGATCAGAGAACAGTTAGAACTCTAACTTTATCTTATATATTACAACCTGTAGAATGGACTTTTTATTCCACAGGGACCTTCTAAAGTGTCTGGATTCAGTAATAACCCACTTCAAGGTACAAACACAAAGCCTGATGAAAAGGTGTGTGCTCATGGATGCTAGGCTCACTCACCTGCCCATTCTGTGTAGGAAGCTCATATCCCTCATAATAGGTTCAGTGGTCAGCAAAATTGAAAAGGACACAGATACTGTGTATCTGTGGATCATGCAGGAACACTCAGTGTGGCAAATTGAAATTTGAAAAACAACCAAACAAATATGTAGTGCTCTTTGAAAGCAATATTTAAAGAAACAATATTTTCCAATATCAAATAAAATTTTGTTATCAGATTACCAGCCTTTCAGTATCTTGAGATCTAGTGGTCAGGGTTCTATATTTTCAATGGCATTTGACTTTCAGTGAAGAATCACAATCTTTTGTTGGTCTGAGTATTAGACCTCTGTTGAGAGGCAGGAACCTGGGCCTCTCAAAAACAAACATTCAAGCAGGCTGTTTCTACATTTATGTTGATACTTGTGAGAATCAAGCTTGTGGAGAATAAGAGATAATGTACGAGAGCTTCCCCACCAGGGAGTTTAAGAATGTACCTCGTCCACATCTAACAATATACATTAGAGTGTAATATTACTAATATATGGTATAATAAATTTCACTTATCTACTGTAATGGCTGGTCCAGCAATGATTATATTTTAGAACAAAGCATAATAAAGATGTTTCCAAATTGTAATATTGTAGGTAAGATTAGGAAAAATGATATCATGCTTCCTGGAAATCACTGTTGGAAAGAAGGACTAAAAACCAATCATATCTTCTTTTTTTTTCTGGAAGGTCAGTGGTTTATTCTTGGCTTTATACATAGGTTTAATCTTCCTCACACTCCCGAGTCAAAATAGAACAGTCCCAGCATTGCTATTAGTGGGTGATTTCATTATTTCTTATCACCTCAATTCCCTTATCTTTTACAATCAAAAATATTTTTTAAATAACATGTTTTGTTTTTGGACTATCATCATCATCATAATCATCATCAGCCTCAATATCATCATTTTATTATTGGCCATTCTTATCCAGAATAATCATGGATAAGATACAACATAACTTACAACTTTTTTTAAAAAAAAAAAAACCTCTCAGGCTTATATACTTAGATTATAGGTACTTTGGATGAGGAGGACTAAATGATGTTCCTCATTTCTGAACTTTTTATATTCCTTTCCTCCATTTCATTATTAGAAATATCTTCTGTATCTGCTGGTTCTAAAAATAAAATCCCCCCAAAACAAACATAAATAGAAAATTCTACCACCAACAATGAGGGAATTACTATTAACAGCCCCTTTTTCTTTATTACAAATGCTTGTTTGGGAGGTCTGGCTTCTAAAAAGTCTGCTTATCTAATGAAGTAGCTCCATATAAATTGAGACTTAACATTATCCAGAAATTTGGCTAAGATTCATAACTGACACACATCTTATTACTGTTAGATGAAATTTCAAGGAAGCAGACATTTGCCTGTTTCTGATCACATAGCCTCAACTACACATAGTCACATTTAGATTAGAGAAGTTTAAATTACAAATCTTATTTAAAATTTGAGAATTATAATGATAAAAAGCTCATAAATAAGAGCATAAAACATATTTAAGAATAGATTATGAGTCTTATACAATAGATTCAGGAACAACATTTCTTTACAGTCAGTTATATATGAGGGGATTAACTTGATAATAAGAATTATCACTACATTCAAAAATTAATATTTCTGTTGTGGTAGTAAAATAAATATTAACTCACAATTTAACATTGTAGGTCAAAGAACCTATTTATTATTTCATCCAAATGTCCTGATGTAACATTATTTAGCTGACACTTTAGTAGTCTTAAAATAGGATCATATTTTAGAAAATTGTCTGTGACAGTGATAAAATAAAAGTGATGTGTGCATTTAACGTTTTATTTTTCAAGTCTGCTGATACGTACTTTTTGGGCCAAATTTAATATTGATATATGATATTTAATTCTAGCCCCCTCCTCCCAGAAACCAGTAAAAAAACTGTTCTTTTCAAAGACATCTACAATTTTTTTAAATTTAAATTTTAATAAAGCCTTGAAAATACATTTTAGTCTATAATTACTTTATGTTTAGCATAAAGGTTTGTGGCTCTGTGTTATAAAATCTACAATTAATATATGTGCCAGTCAATTAAAAATAAAACATAAACTAATAAGATTACTTATGATAACATCAGACCTTTAAGAATGGCCCACATATTGGTATCAATGCGAAGATTCCTGCCTAAGCATTTCTTGTGTTCCCCAATACACTTTTTCACTCCCTCCTGCATAGTATTACCCAGCTTCCTGACTTCAGGTTCTAGCTTCTAGTTTTCTTTCATTTTCTTTATGTCTTGCACATGTACTCCAGACTAATTTCAATCCTGTTCTCATCATGTCATTTTTCATACTCACCAATCTTCAATGGTTCCCTTTTTTCCCCCTATATGGTAGTGTCCAAATTACTATTAGGTCTTAAAAGTTTGACATAACCAACCATAAAATGACCTTTGAAATCAAATCTGCCACTATTCTTTTTTTTACATTTTTCTTTGGCAAGTGTATGTTATTCACTGTCTCTTAAAATAAAGCTGGTCATTCTTGCTTCTATAACATCTCTCTTAATTATCGTTATATCATAATTTCTTGTCCCTCTCCTCAATTTGTGTTACTTTTAATTCCAGTTGCCTTTCCAGTTACCTTTAATTCTAGGTCCAATTCCTCTCTCACCTCTATTTTGATCATTTCAAACCACCGTAATGTTGATTCTCAAGCATTCATTACATTATATCAATCTGTTGCATTTAACCTAGTGATGCTTTTTGGTATATCTATACTTTTTAATGTAATATATGTGATTGATTGTTTCTTGGGCTATCATTTAACTATATCCATACTTTTCTATGTAATATATTTGATTGATTCTTGGGCTATCATTTAATTACATCTATTTTTAGAAGCTCTTTAGGGAAGACACTGCCTATTTTATCCTTTGGAATACCGTGCATAAAAGTGCATTGATTTTAGAATATGCAATCCTAAAATTTGAATCTTGACACCATTACAAGCTTCATGAAGGTCATTCATTTACTTCTCTCAGCCTCAGTGCTCATCTTTAAGAATGAGTAAGACAAATTAATTCAAAGGATCACGGCAAGTATAATGATCCTCATCTAAAATACTTAGTACTCAACAAATGTTAGTTTTCCCACTTGTGCTATGTAAAATATAGGTGCTCAGTAACTACTTAGCAAATATACTGAAGAACTCATATTTTTTGTTTCCTCTTCATTTAAATAGTAATTCAAGGATGTATCAAAATCAAAGTCCAAAAGATTTGTGAGCTGTATGACTCTCTGTGAAAAATTATCTGCAGATAGTAGCTCTTGGGAGGATTTTAGAAGAATCAACTATATCCTGGGCTCAATTTCACATACATAGGGCAAGGTTACTAAAAAGAAAATCCCCAAACAAGCCCATCATCATCAGGAGCCTAACAAATCTGCCCCAAAGCCAGCTCAGTTAAGCCTGTGTGGAAGACAAATGACAGCGAGATTCCCACATGATCGCTCCTGTATTTTGATATGAAGTTTGCTGGGCAGGAAAATGCAAGAAATGTTTTATTAATGTGTGGAAGACAGACTTCAAACAGAGTACTATAAGTGAGATAACAGGAAAGTAAAAGCAAAGGAAATGGGAGAATTGTCTTTTATTTGGGCCTGTCTAGCACATGAAGCAATAAAAAAGAGCCTAAATCACATTAGATTGTTAACAACAACAAAACCTGCTTTAACATAATTTTATACACATACACACACAAAATTGTATAAATATATATAATTATAGGACTTTGATCTTTAAGTTCATATTTATATACGTGAAAGTACTATAAAGTACATATTTATGAATATATATGTAAGAGTATGTGATTTAAAGATCACTGAAATTATTAACCAGTAATACTCTCTGAAAAAACATTTGTATTCAATACTCAATTTGTCAAGGAAATGATTGAAAAGATGTGAGAATTCAATATGAATACATGTATTAATAATATTCAAACTTTTTTTGACTGGATCAATTTTATGTCAGGAAATATAATCCACTACTTAAAAAAAATAAGAAAAAGGATGTGAATTTCCAAGATATCTATGTAAAAGTATCATTTCTCTTATCTTTAAAAAATACTGAATTCTTCCTGACATGCTTTCAAAATATTTATATATCAGGTGTTACTACTTTTCAGAATGCTTAGGAAATATTTCAGAGGTGTTATTCACTGTTGTTGATAGGTGTCATTACCATAGGTAAATTAATTAATTCACTTAATTTATTTAAAGTTTTAATTTGTTTTAAAGGATTAAGTAAGCAAGAATTCCTTCTTGCTTTCAAAGATTTTGATGAAGTAAAATGCTTATTGTTCAACATTCTGGATGAATTTTTGTCTCTTATTTTAACTCACTTTGCTTTTCTGGTAGTAGTACCTAAGAACATTCATCGGTGCACACATGATCAGCCAGCTATTCTTACACCACTACCCAAGCAAGGACAAATCGGATGGACATTTGCTTCTCTTTTCTCCCCCAAAAGTTAAATAATACTTTTAAGACTTCACTTTAGATCCAGAAGCCTATACTAAACCAGCTAAATAATTTGACCAATTCACTGAGCAAGAATCAATCAAATCAGTTTTATGTGGTGCTGAAAACACAGCTGGTTGATAACAGAGTGAGCCTCCTTTTCAATGGGCTGTCTAGACCTTATCCAAGGTGTGGGAATAGGCATGCACAGAGAAGTGTCACCTTGACCTTTTCGTTAAGGCTAATTTTTATAGAAGTTTTAGGTTCATAGCAAAATTGGTTGGAAGGTACAGAGATTTCCTATATACCTCCTGTCCCCACTAATGCATAACCTCCCCCGTTATTAAAATCCCCTAGCAGAATGGTACATTTGTTACTGGTGATGAACCTACATTGACACATCATAATCACCCAAAGTCCATGGTTTACATGAGGGTTCACTCTCGTACATTCTGTGGGTTTAGAAAAATGTGTAATGACATGTACTCACCATTGTAACATACAGATCATTTTCACTGCCTTAGAAATCCTTTATGCTCCACCTATTCATCTCTCCTCCACCCCTTCACCTCCGGCAGCTACTGATCTATTTACTGTCTCCACTGTTTTGCCTTTTCCAGAATGTCATATAATTGGAATCATGTTGCATATAGCCTTTCCAGATTGATGTCTTTCACTTAGTATAATAATATGCATGTAAGTTTCCTTTTTCGTTTTTTAATGGATGACAGCTCATTTCTTTTTAGTGCTGAATAATATCTCATTGTCTGGATGCACCACAGTTTATTATCCATTCACCTACTGAAGGACAACTTGGTTATTTGCAAGTTTTGGCAATTATGAATAAAGCTATAAACATCTATGTGCAGGTTTTGTGTAGACATAAGTTTCCAGCTCCTTTAGGTAAATACCAAGGAGCACAACTGCTAGATCACTTATAATAAGAGTCTGTTTAGCTTTGAAAGAAACTGCCAAACTGTCTTCAAAAGTGTCTGTCTCATTTTGCATTTCACCAGCAATGAATGAAAGTTTCTGTTGCTCTACAACCTCCCTAGAACTTGGTGCTGTCAGATTTTCTAGATTTTGGCTATTCTAATAGGTATGTAGTGGTATCTTGTTGTTATTTTACTTTGGCTTTTTTACCAGTTGCTACTGCTGTGGTATGGCAGGAATGTGGCTATGGCCTATAAGACAGAGGCAATGATGTTTGAATATTTTATATATGCTTTAACCTGGATCTACCTACTCTTATCATTGGATTGGGGTAAATAAAAATCTCATAAGCTATCTTCAAAAAGAACTCTTGTCAGTGGTGTTTTGTTTTGCTTTGCTTTATCTATAACAGCAACTTAGAGGACCTGGCTCATAATGTCAAACCAATTGTCTTAAACTCTTTCATAGTGAATTGAAAGTGGACAGAAAGAAGGAAAGGTCAAATCTATTTAGTCAAGTCTTTGCCTAAAAAAAATTTGTTGTGCAAGAAGTTTTATTTAAATTGACAGATGGCTAACGGGAGATCACTCTAGACTGAGGTCTATTGTCTTCAATGTGTTGCTTTATACTTGTTTCTTGCTTTTTCTTTAAAAAATGGCACTCTGTAGTGTGTTCTGAGACACTGGATTATACATAAGAACTGACAACTTCCAAAACAAATGTCTTTAACTAAGGGGAGTTATAAGTCAGGATAGCAATGAAATAGATGGCAAATTCTTCCCATCTGTAAATTTTATTTTCCTGAGTATATGTTCTAATCTTAAAAATAGATATATCTGTATTCATATATAGATATATATACGTTTATGTGTATATTTATACGCACAAATACCAACACACATTATTAGAGAAGATGCAAATTACCTTCTATTTGTACTTTGAAGGCATTCAAATATATTTTATCCACCACTTCATTAAAGTAATGCCTTAAATTACCAACCTTCTGCCTGCTGGACTTTAACCATTCAGAATCAAGATTGATCAAGTCAAAGGCTACAGTGAAGAATAAGAGAAATTCTCAAGTGCTGAGTTAAAGATGTCAAAAGCAACAAGAACTTAGCTTACTGACAAGTGGAAAGGATCAGTGTGTCCAAACTTCACTGGTCAGAGATGTTTAGAAATAGCATTTAAAAAGCAAAAGATGGCAGCTACCCTCATAGTGCATGCTGGGCAGCAGGAGCAGTGGTGGATGGCACATGGTCTGATCGAGATCAGCGGAGGTCACAGGGATTGAGAAAACCTCAGAAAAGTAACATCAATGAATAGATTTGTAGGCAAATTCCTTAACTTCTCTGAATGCTAGGTTCTTTCTTTTCTTTTCTTTCTTTTTCTTTTTTCTTTTTCTTTTCTTTTTTTTTTTTTTTGAGATGGAGTCTTGCTCTGTTGCCAGGCTGGAGTGCAGTGGTGTGATCATGGCTCACTGCAACCTCCGCCTCCCGGGTTCAAGCACTTCTCCTGCTTCAGCCTCCAGAATAGCTGGGACTACAGGTGTGCACCACCACACCCATCTAATTTTTGTAGTTTTAGTATAGATGAGGTTTCACCATGTTGGCCAGGATAGTCTTGATTTCTTGACCTCGTGATCTGTCCACCTTGGCCTCCCAAAGTGCTGGGATTACAGGTGTGAGCCACCATGCTGGGTCAATGCCAGTCTCTTCATAAGTAACATTGACATAATAAGAGTATTGACTTCATAGGGTTATTATATTATTAAAAAAGATATTCATGTAACAAATGAAAAGTGAGCCTGGATGATATTTATTGAATTCTTACTGTTAGCTCTGTACCATGCAGTGTTTGAGTCAGTGTCTCTCCTGATATCTATGCTTGTCCTTTCTCTATGACTTATGTTGATTGTGTAACCAAACGCAGGTCCAGTCCCTCAACACTCACAGAACCAAATAACAAGGATGAGGTTCAGTGGAAGAAAAATGACTTTATTTTCCAAAGCTAGCAGTGAAGAAATGGTCCAGGCTCCTACCTTAAAGAAACCATTTCAAATTTTGGACAAAAAACAAAGACTTAAAAAGGAGTGCTTGGAATGCGGGGCATGCAAGGAGGGTGAGGAGGTGCTATTCTATGAGACTTGTTCCAACGACTTATCTTGAGTTATTGTCCCATCTGGTAAGTGGGCTAGAACCCTCCTGGGCACAGTCAGGCTGTAAATTAACTAAAGCCTTGAGGTAATCCCCTGGTGGGCCAGAATTCCACAGGTGCCCAGATTGTTTTAAGATTCAGTCCCCAGAACTTACTTTGAAGCAAGCATATAATTAGATAAGGGAAACATTGCTCAGGAGATGCCTGATGGGAAGAAGGAGCAAAGGTTATGACTTCATTACTAAGAAAGGATGAAAAAGGAAAACAGAAAGAAAAATTTAAACACATGATAGCAAGGTTGTGGAGAAAAGGAACACTTTTACACTGTTGGTGGGAGTGCAAATTAGTTCAGCCATTGTGGAAGACAGTGTGGCACTTCATCAGAGGCCTAAGGACAGAAATAGCATTCAACCTGAAATCCCATTACTGGGTATATATGCAAAGGAATATAAATCATTCTATTATAAGAACACATACACATGTATGTTTGTTGCAGCACTATTCACAGTAGCAAAGACGTGGAATCAACCTAAATGCCCACCAATGATAGACTGAATAAAGAAAATGTAGTGTATTTACATGATGGAGTACTATGCAGCCATAAAAAAGAGCAAGATCATGTCTTTTGCAGGGACATGATGGAGCTGGAGGCCATTATTCTTAGCAACAGGAACAGAAATCCAAATACCACATGTTCTCACTTATAAGTGGGAGCTAAATGATGAGAACACATGGACATGTAGAGGGAACACAATGAACACATTTCAAAGAATGGAGAGTGTAAAGAGGGAGAGGATCAGGAAAAATAACTAATGGGTACTAGGCTTAATACCTGGGTGATAAAATAATCTGTATAACAAGCCCCCATGACACACGTTTACCTATGTAACAAACCTGCACTTGTACCCTGAACTTACAATAAAAGTTAAAAATAAATAAATAAAATTGTACTTGTTGAGGGAAAAAATAGGGTACTCAGTTACAATTGTATTACCTGTTGGTGCATTGGATTGTGTGTTATAATATCCCTGTTTGGCCTGGCAATTTTTCCAGCTCACATTCAGCGTTATAATGATGTATAGCAGCAGCCCCTAACAGTTTTGGCACCAGGGACTGGTTTTGTGGAAGACGGTTTCTTCATGGACTTGGGGGGTGGGGTGGGGGTAGGGGCTGGGAGTGGGGGAATGGTTTTGGGATGAAAATGTTCCACCTCAGATCACCAGGTATTAGATTCTCATAAGGAGCGCGCAGCCTAGAACCCTTGCATGCACAGATCATAATGAGGTTCGCACTCCTATGAGAATCTAATACCTCCGCTGATCTGACAGGATGCAGAGCACAGGTGGTAATGCTTGCTCCCTACCACTCATCTTCTGCTGTGTGGCTCAGTTCCTAACAGGCCACAGAATGGTACAGGTCCATAGCCTGAGGGTTGGGGACCCCTAATGTACGGTGTTATGGGCAAATTAGTGGCCATGAAAGCCAAGATATTAATAATAATCTATTCTCAGTGCAGAAGTATAGTGAAGTTTAATATAGCATAAGTATCAACCAATCATACCTGATGCTGGCTCAATTTTAAAAGATACCAGTTATAGACAACTGGAATAGATATACCATTGTGTGTATATAGATACACAGTGACATAAGAGCATCAGTCCTGCCTATGTGATTCCAACTTCAGCTAATCTATTGTAGGGAAGTTTCAGCAAGTTGGGGATTTAGAGGCAGAAAGGGAGAAATCTCTTTCCTCCCAATCATAAAGAGTCACAGCCAATACTCCTATAAAACAAAACACAGGTTAATGAGAAAAGCATAACAAATGTATTATGTGCACAGGAGTCATGCAAAATATTGAAAACTGAAAGAAAGGGCCAGATGGTTGATGCTTAAATACCCTTTTCACTGGAGGAGAAGCAAGCGTGTATGGGGTGCACGGAGGAGGTTGCTGTAAAACCATGGGCCTGAAGACTATAAAATGGTTTGTAAATGATTCTCTTTGGGAATTGAATGGGGTCTAAGAACAGACAGTAGTTTGGGACAAAGTTCATCTACATTCTAGGTGTGATATTTAATTTTCAGTCTCTTCCTTTGTAAGAGGAATTTTAATCTTCTCTGATTAATGACATTTCAGGGAAGAGATCAAAAATAATTTTGTTTGTGTTTCTAGGTAAATAAGGGGACATCAGAGAAGAGCCTCATCCTGTGTTTTGGGAGAGATGGAGGATTGAGACAAGGGTGGGTAGGCAGGAGGTCAGAGAGACCTTGAGTTTGCTTCTTTAGTTGAGCATGTTAAAGCACTGTATTTCAGGGTGTTTGATATTTCAGGGTATCAGTTTCTGAGCCTCAATAGGAGTTTCTGTGAGTGGAAAAGCTTCTGCTTTCCATTTACTATCATAGGTTTCAAAGCAGAAATCTGCCTACTGATTTTGGATCCCAGGTATAAAAAAAGAAAAGAAGAAAAATAAGAAAAGAAAAAAGAGGAAAAGATGGAGGAAGAAAGGGGAAAAACAATAAAACTAACCAATTAAACAAACAAACTCATTTCTTCACGTAATATCAGTTTGTTGACTTAATGTTTTAATGATTAGCTAGCTTAAAATTGGAGTCCCTTGTGTTTAAGGATTCATTAAAGCAGTCAAAAATAGTAAAATAAAATAAAACTATTAAAATGTGTACAAAGCTTCCTTCTTAATATGGGTAGGGCAATATTAAGTTCCCAAAGGCAGAGAAGAAAGAATTCCTACAAGGGAACAAAACAACACTTTTTCTTTTAAGATGCTGTAAATATTATAAATAGTTTTAAAAAAAGTTGGAAATAAACTTAAACAAATTGGTTTACAAAATCCTGAAAAGCCTGTGAAAATGACAAAAAGAATTAAGACATCCAAGAATATGTAGAGACACATGGAAAAGCATTGTATTTTAGATTTAGTAATTAGATACATTTCTCATTAAATGGTTTCTATGTGAAAGGGCAAACTAGACTGAAGTAATTCAACCCAGACCTGCTTGATCCCAAAAGACTGGCACAGGGCAAACTAGACTGAAGTAATTCAACCCAGACCTGCTTGATCCCAAAAGACTGGCACAGGGCAAACTAGACTGAAGTAATTCAACCCAGACCTGCTTGATCCCAAAAGACTGGCACATCACATCACAGAAGATTTTCTGGATTTGTCAGACCTTCTCCAAACCTGGATTATTGGATGCTTGAATTGTGAATGTGGACTTAATGATCTTTCATGAGCATGCATTACCATATCTGGGGCCAACTTTTTGTAAATCTGTTGGTACTTGGGTCTTCTTAAAGTGCTCTTTTCTATTTCTGCTGGGGTTTCCCCATTTTTCTCCTACAAACACTATGGTGACTTGTGGGGGTCCCCTTTTGAAGGAATTCATAAATGAAACATAAAGGATGGAGAAATGGAACTTGGAATATCTGGAGTTTAGTTGAAACCTCAGAAACTTTGGTGCTGTTAGCCTAGGGAGCCTGATGTACCAAGAGGATAGATACAGATATTGATAAAAGAATCAAATGCTGGGTGTGGTGGCTCATGCCTATTAATTCCAGCACTTTGGGAGGCTGAAGCAGGATTACGTGAGCCCAGGAGTTTAAGACCAGCCTGGAGGTCGGGTGGGGTGGCTCACGTCTGTAATTCCAGCACTTTGGGAGGCTGAGGCGGGTGGATCACAAGGTCGGGAGATCAAGACCATCCTGGCTAACACATTGAAACCCCGTCTCTACTAAAAAATACAAAGAATTAGCCAGGCACGGTGGCACGTGCCTGTAGTCCCAGCTACTCGGGAGGCTGAGGCAGGAGAATGGCATGAATCTGGCAGGCGGAGCTTGCAGTGCAGTGAGCCAAGATCTTGCCCCTGCACTCCAGCCTGGGCGACAGAGCAAGACTCTGCCTCAAAAAAAAAAAAAAAAAAAAGACCAGCCTAAGCAACATAGGGAGACCCCATCTATAATAAAAATTTAAACAATTTTTCAGGTATGGTAGTGTGTGCCTGAGGTCCCAGCTACTCAGGAGGCTAAGGTGGGAGGATAGCTTTAGCGCAGGAGTCTGAGGCTGCAGTAAGCTATGATCACACCACCACACTGCAGCCTGGGTGAATGAGCAAGACCCTATCTCAGAAAAGTAAAAAATAAATAATATTTATCTGACAAATTAAGCCCAGGAAGTCCACTGCTCGAATAGAAACAAAACATTACTTGGAATTAACTTAAAAATGGTGATGACTGAGATCTGTGTAGATTGAAGATTTGTACAAGAAAGTCTGAATACTGTATTAGAATATCATCTAAATATATTATAGACTACATCAAATATTTCCCAGGTCAGGAATTCATGGGGTAAAACAATTTATTAACTAACGAGACACAATGTTATATATAGCTTATGACATCATGAAGTCTAAACTGGCCTAGATGTGTACCCAGAGAAGTTTGTATGTATTCCAAAGGGCCAGCTTTTTGTAGATGCAGATTCCCTAACACAGTTAAGCTAATTAGTGTTGTTAACTACACAGAGTTAACAAGAAAGCCATATTGGGTCAGGGGCTCCAGTTCTTTTGTTTAGGATACTAGGTCAATTGCAAAATAATGGTTGTGTTGTAAGGCACAATATTTAGCATACTAATTGCAAAAGTCTCCTTAGTGTTTGACCCGTTTGGACAATATCTAGAAGAAGGGTTAGAGTAGACCTGTAATCCCAATTTGCCAGAAATAATTGCTTCAGAAGTGTCTGATATAAAGCACAGGAGTCTTTATATCAGACTACAGGCAGTCTTCACTGTGCATGGCCTGTCTAAATAACACTTGTACATACCAAAATAGTTTCATCATCTTGTATGGTTTCACTGTACAAAGCAAGGACACAGTTCTGACATGCATGACTTCCCAATAATAATACCATGCAAAGCAAGGACTACGTATAGTTACTCTAGGATGTAGTAGGTCACAGGTAGGTGGCAATACAATTTAGCATTTAAATTGAGATTGCTTTGAGAGTGAAATAGGCTCTATCAATTATTATACAGGGATAACAGTTATAAATCAAGGCTGTTCCTGGTAAACATATGGTCACTGGGATGATAGGATTCTATACCAGGTGATACCAAAGATAAATAGGAAAGAAGAGGTTAAAACACAACACAAGTGGAGCCCAGAAGTGTCTGTCATAAAGCACAGTAATACGGTCAGTGCTGTGTTACATAACACTTGTGCATACCAAAATAGTTTCATTGATTTGTATGGTTTCACTGTAGGAAGCAAGAAAACAGTTGTGTATTGTTGAGTAGACAGAGCTCTGACCAGACACACAACACGTTCATGAGACGATCATTCAGCCAGAATGTTAGCTCATCAAATTATCAGTTCCTTGACATCTATCATAGTGTTGCTTCAAAGGCAGGTCTTGATCTGTCACATATTGGATTGGCAGCCTAGCACTCCCAGGATAAGCAAGAGTTTAGAGTTAGTGGTACAGGTAGGATGTGGCATTTATCAGTGGCAGGTACTATGCAAAATAAATTTCTCTTTCCAGTATCACATGGTTCTAATAATTCAGAATGCTTGGTGTATCATAGATATTCAATAAATTTGCAGAAAGTTATAAATAAGATGCTGTTATACAACTTCCATGAAAAAGTCAGCCCAACTCTGCTGAAACTCCACAGAACATCTGTGACAAGAAACACACACAACTTTATAAGGAATCAATTTCACTGCTAGTCGATTGTAGTTGTTAAATGTTCTTTCTTAGATTATGTTGAGCTGCTGAAGTCTGTCTTTCTGTACTTCCTATCATTTTCTGCCGTCTGAATTGAGAGCAGGTTTTTGTTGTTGTTGTTCCTTCTTGATGCTCTTATGCTACCCCTTGGATATTTATTTTCCTCAGGCAAAAAAACTTTTTTTTTCCATTGCTTCAATCATTCATCATATGATTTGTTTTTAGCTACTTAGAAAAGAGTGTATTAGAAATATCTTGGGAAGATGCATGAAAGTCTCTTGCTTTGTGTCAGAATTAATAGTAAGTCACACCATTTGTTTTCCATATGATATAGAGCATTAGCATCTTGATTCATGAGCGTACTTATTACTGATGATAAATTTTAGTACCCTGTTCTGTTAGCTATTATTTTTGCCTTTTCTCATTTATCATTTTTTAATCTGCTTTGGCAATAATCATATCTGTCACTAGAACTTGAAGAAACAATTAAATAAAATTGTTTTCTAAGAAAATATACCATCCTCCTTATTGTAAAGCCATTTGAAGTTTTAAAAAGACTTATTATACCCTTGCATAATTCCTTCTGCTCCCAATTTACTATTGCTCAGGTTGTTAATCTAAAATTCTGTGGATATACTGGCTCTTTTAATCAGTCTTTATTTCCATGGACATTTTTAAAAGTGTACCCTGTATATGCACACTTGGCATATATGTTGCCACATGTCAGCAAAGAGATAAAGTTGTTATTTTAAGTCTGGGCAACTCTTAAAGCATTTTTTATGTGTAAGACATCAAGTTCTCACATGGTGAAAAGGGGGGCAAAGGAATAATTTAGGTTTGCTAGGCAATAGTAGAGGGGATTGTACATTTATAAACTACCTCAAAGGTTAAAAAGCATTTTAATTTATTTTATCTTATGTAGTCCTTACAAAAATGTGGGGGTTTTTAAAGAATAGAAGTTTGCAGAGCCCTTTGCGCTATGAAGAAGCTTTCTAAAAATTTATCTCTATTTTTTTAATTGTAAAGGGATGTGAAAAAATGAAAGGATAAAATCATTCCAGTGCCCTGTGTAGAATGAGGAAGGCTCTGTTCAACATGCACATAGCAAACCTAGTTTTGCCAATAACCATTTTTTTTAAATTAGCCACTCTTCATGATTTCTGCTTTTCAATTTGTTCTTTTCTTTCCATTTTAAAACAACAAATTTCCTATAAGCATTTGATAGGTGTTCCCAGCAATCCTTTTAGTAAGTATTTCAGAAGCAGGGTAAGAAGGAGTAATTGTTGACAGATTTAGGTTACTTGAGCATGGTCTGTTTGTAAGTTGGGAACTTAAAACGAATCAAGTCATAGGTAAACTTACTATTACAGAAGTTAGATTTTTTGAGTATTTATCCTCAAATACTTTAACTATAAACCTATCAATTTTTAAATAACTATGTTTTTTTAAAATACATGTATTTAGCTGTAAAACAGTAAAGAACTTGAATTTGCCCCTAGGTCAGCACTTGTACTCTAATTACTGACATTAGGTGAATACCAACCAGCTAAATCACAGTGGCTCCAGAACATTTTAAGGAGCTGTGTCTGCACAATATATGGCCTCATGTGCAAAGTAGAAGATTGCTTATACAAACAGAAGTGTGCACGTGTAAATTCTTTTTTGTGTTGAAGCTGCTTATTTTGTACAGATAATCACCAGGCCGCATTCCCACTAAATGTATTTTGCTGCCTCAAATTGTGGGCTTAATTATGAAAATTGATCCTTTGAAGAGATGAAACTCTTTGAAGTTTTCTTTCCTGATTGTAAAATTTTATGGGTTTTGTCTATAAATTGAGTCGTGCAGAATGACTGGCCTGATGGATTCTGTCGCTTGAGGTCTAGTTACCTTCAACAGTGTCCCATTGCCCATTTTCTATTAGAATGCCATGTCTGTGCAAGGACCCCTGGGCCATGAGTTGATGATGACATTAATTCTTCTATAAGTTGGATCTCTGCTTCTGAACATTTTCCCCATTTGGATGTTCTGTCATTGTTAACAGTGAGAGCAGAGAAGGAAGTAGAAAACATGTTTCTGTTTATCAGTTTAAGATATGTTAAGAGGCAGCTGTAATTATACTATGGAGATAAAAGCAGTATTATCCAGCATTAACAAATGATTGCATTTGTCACTTACGTGAAATGCTTTGGGCACTGGAAAGAAGTGACACTATAAAGTCCAAGGCTTCTATTGTCTTTATATGTCATTTCTGAGGGAGAAATGGCTGACAAGACTAATATTAGGTCCCTAAATGTTTCCACAGTGTGGCATTAAACTTTATTTGACATGTAAATGCAGAGACCATCTATAGAGACAGGCATAATTTGTGGTTTCCTTTTAGAATCTTAATTCAGTGTCTATTTGGAAGGCTTTATGTGTATTTTTATTTATTTCCTTCTCTGCTGTGCCTATGTTGTCCTATAGGATTCAAAGATAATCCTGAAAGTGATACTACTAACCTTATTGGAAAAGTTTAAAAAAATGTGTTGGCATGACCAGCATGTAATGTAGGAATTAATTCTTGCTTGTGGTTTGAACCCTAAATCAAGGCTGTTGCTATTAGTGACTCTGTAACTTTGCCTCAAACTTTTCCAGGAAGAGAGCTTTCCTTATTGCCACAAAGCAAGCCATTCTATCTGCTGTGGTCTAGCCTAGAAGCCCACATCTGTGCTATGATGTGAAGGTGGGTCATGCTGTGGTTTTAAATATTGTCTTTAATATATTTTGCCTGTGAATCAATGCAACCATCCTGGAGGGAAATGCGGCAGTACCCACTAAAAAACTTAAAAATGCTTACCATTCATGACTCAGCAATTCGACTCTAGAATTTTTTAGGAAAAAGTTTCAATGATGTATATTAAGATTCATGCATACAGTTTTCCTTCAAAGTATTATATATAATGATAAATTTGAAAAAATACTATGTTGCACAATGCAAGGTTCCTCATATAGTCTAGACTAGAATGGGATAGAGTCATTAAATAATGTGTGATAAAGTTGTATGGCTATCAGGGAATGTTTATAATCTTTTAAAAACAGAAAAAGTACTTTTAGGAACTATATTCAGTTTAAACTACTTTTTTGTGAAAATAGAGGTAAGTATATAACAGCATTAGCCTATTGTATAGTTTGCTTGTGTGTGTGTTATGTGTTTTATTGAGAGGTCTCTTCAATTTAAAAATATCCCTTATTACTACAAAAGCAGTTCAGCTTTTGCAGTCTTCTCTTCTCCTGTGTTCTCTCTTCCTATGTAAAATAAAAATGGCTGCCATTTGATTCTGAAATCCTTGTTTCCAAACGTATTACTTTCCAAACTTTACCAAGCTACAGCACTGCAGCTGCCACCACCCTCTCCCCACAGCAGAGCTTGAAAAAACAAACAGTGTCTTTGCACTACAGCAAATTTAACACTTCAACCAGTGAAGGGATATACTTTTATGAAGCTGTTTCTTCACTAGAAGTTGAAGAATAATTGAATAAATATTAAAGAGGTAGAAAAAAGATCAACATGGGGTGGAGATTGGGGTGAGGCAAGTTAGACTTCCCAGGTTTTTGATTTGGACAACTGGTAAGTTGTGCATCACATCCCCATCTGCTGGTTAGCATTTAGGGTCTAGGAATATAGAAATGGAAAAGACATTGCTCTCCAGTTACCAGGCGCTCTCAGTGTAGGTGGTGAGATGGACACAGAAACAAATAATTATAATTCAGTGTGGTTAGTATCATAATTGACATATATACTCAGTACTGCCAGCTTGGAAGAAGGAATAATTACTCTGTGGACCTTGAAGCTCTATTTAGACTTCAGCGAAAGAGTGGTGCTTGATTTAGCTCTTGAAGATTGAGTAGGTATGGAAATTACAAGTCTTGCAAATTGCAAGTAATTACAAATTATGAGTGGTGACATATGGCAATGCAGTCCAATCATTTAGGGTTTTCCTTTTTTTTTTTTTTTTGAGATGGAGTCTCGCTCTGTCGCCCAGGCTGGAGTGCAGTGGCGCTATCTTGGCTCACTGCAAGCTCCACCTCCTGGGTTCATGCCATTCTCCTGCCCCCGCCTCCTGAGTAGCTGAGACTACAGGCACCCTCACCACGCCTGGCTAATTTTTTGTATTTTTTAGTAGAGACGGGGTTTCACTGTGTTGGCCAGGATGGTCTGAATCTCCTGACCTAGTGATCCACCTGCCTTGGCCTCCCAAAGTGCTGGGATTACAGGTGTGAGCCACTGCGCCGAGCCTCATTTAAGGTTTTCTTAGGCCAATACAAAAATCGATTTTGGTTCAGTCAAATGAGCCATTAGAAAATGTTGTTTTGAATTTCACATGTATAGCCTTCTCCCAACATGTCATCTAAGAAACACCAAAAATTGCATGGCTATGAGAAATGACACAATTCTTCAGCACCAAAACAGAAAGATCCACACAGTCAGCAGATTCTGTTTGCAAAGCATACATTCCAGAACAAGGACTGATAAATGTTGGAAAAATGAACTTTCAATAATTCTACCAATTCATCACAATCTCAGTTTAGATTACTGTTTCTCAACCTTATTTCATTATCATTCTCTTGCCAACGAGCATTTTTTCCTAATCACTTCTCCTACTCCCCATGAAATTTTAATATAATAGATATATCTGTTTATATGTAACTGCAAACCATCGTAATAGCTAAGATTATTTTCACCTCTCAAGAACCAATTTTGGCCCTGTTGGGGTTGATATCACCTCCACCAAGCATATGTGATTGAGATGAAGCAGGTCAGTTGTAGATGTTAATACAAATGTTTTATCTCCTAGATTGCTTGAAGCCCAGCACAGTTTTATCCAGAGGCATACATTTTGTTTTATATGTGTTATAAATTTTTATATGTGTTTATATGTGTTAAATATGTAAATCGCAGGACATACATTGACTGTTATTAAACCCTTTAAGGTAACTTTAAACAGTTACCCAAAGCAGAAGTTTTGTTTAGATTCTGGAAGCTATATTCAATTTCTAAAGTGTAGTTCTCCAACGAATATCCTGACTGCCTCTCATTTCTGAGATTTTTCAATGGAATCTCATCTATTTTTTTTTCAGCACCTTAAAAAAAATAGACAGGAAACAAAAATTCTTCAGACAGTCCTTTTTTGGGTCATGTATTTCCTCTGGCTAACCTCAACCAAACCAAAATCAGAGCAACAAGTAATTAGAGCAATTTCAAAGAACACACACACACATGCATATACATATAAACTAAAAAAGAACCATAATTTTATTTGGTAAATACAAGCTAGGGCCAAAACTTTTATGGAAAATGTAATGCTTCAGAAAACAGCATACCTGCAACTTCACATTATGGGAGGGTCCCTATGATAAAGAGTAGAGACTGGCTGGAGGAGAAAGCTTCCACAGGAAGATGACAGTGACAACTTTCAGATTTGGGAAAGTAAAAGACACCTGGAAAAAATGGATTGGGGACTTCAAGCAAATAAAAAAAATCTTCCTTTCTTTGCACATACTTAAGATTTGAGGAACAAAGGGCTTCAGGTCCTATGCTAGCATAACTAGCATGCACTTGACGGGGCATCAGCCAAATGCAGGTGGAGCCAATGAACACCAGAAAAGGACTATGCTGGGTAAGAATGCATGAACATTGGGGCCGGGCGCGGTGGCTCACGCCTGTAATCCCAGCACTTTGGGAGGCCGAGGCGGGTGGATCACGAGGTCAGGAGATCGAGACCATCCTGGCTAACAAGGTGAAACCCCGTCTCTACTAAAAATACAAAAAATTAGCCGGGCGCGGTGGCAGGCGCCTGTAGTCCCAGCTACTCGGGAGGCTGAGGCAGGAGAATGGCGTGAACCCGGGAAGCGGAGCTTGCAGTGAGCCGAGATTGCGCCACTGCAGTCCGCAGTCCGGCCTGGGCGACAGAGCGAGACTCCGTCTCAAAAAAAAAAAAAAAAAGAATGCATGAACATTGGAAAAGCACAGAGGAAGTGGGGGAAAGACGTCTCCAGATTCTGCTGTGGTAGTCTGACTCATGCGCATCAGGGTTGTGCAGTGTCAGGCAAATTTTTTGCCAGTTCCATACATCAACCATTGAAATGATGCACCACCGAAACCACCAATTAAAAAAAAAAACTATCAATAAAATATTGTACAATTTTTTCCCAGGAGTAACAGAAATTGGGAGGAAGGGTTGAGGAGGAATGAATCTCTATCATCTTGTTGTCCATGGGAATGCTGACAGGAAAACAAATCAGGGAGGAATGGCCTGACAAGGAGCCCCTAAACCCAAGGTGTCCCAGGGTTACTGTCTCCCTTTGCCTTTCCCCTTCATGAGCAGATTTCTCTCCCACCTTCCGCTGGGTCTCCCTGTCATCCCTCCAGGCACCTGCCCTCTTGGCTCCTACGTGAGAGGAGAGTTACCATCTCAGACACACCAAAGTTAGTGATTTATAAATTTATTGTAGGTCTAGAGTTTAAAGCTCTAAAAGTGTTACACAAAAAAGATAATAGATGTACAAAAATAAACTGTTCTGTGGCTGTTGGAAAATCCAGATTAGATAAATTTAACAGGTTTACCAACAGGCTAACAAGCACTGTGACTCTTCAAGTGACAGATAGTATAGGTAGTTTCTTAACACATACTGGAAAATAATTAAATACATTTTTACATATAAGATTCTATTTCACTTTTGCACTAAGAGAAACTGGTATTTGTCAAGGTAAATTTTCTTTTAATATTGGGAACAAAAATAACTTTTATTTTTCTTTGAGACAGGTTCTCACTCTGTCGCCCAGGCTGGAGGGCAGTGGTGTGATCTCAGCTCACTGGAGCCTCTGCCTTACAGGTTCAAGCAATTCTTGTGCCTCAGCCTCCCAAGTAGTTGGGATTACAAGTGAGTACCACCACACCTGGCTAATTTTTGTATTTTTGAGATGGGGTTTCACCATGTTGCCAAGGCTGGTCCCAAATTCCTGGTCTCAAGTGATCCGCCCACCTCGGCCTCCCAAAGTGCTGGGATTACAGGTGTAAGCTATCTCGGCCAGAAGTAACTTTTGATGAGCAAAGTAACTCCTTATAGTTACTTGGGATTTCAACTAATATTCAATATATTAAATTAGAAAAAAATTTAAAACATAGCTTTTAGTCTTTCAATTTAACATACAGTTCTTGATATATATTCTATCAATATATCTGCTATTTACAATATAAAAACAAAATCACTTTTATATGTATCAAAACAGCAATCCATGAGCTCGGGTTGAATAGACTAAAACATCTTAAATAATCAATGGCATTTACAATTTTGTTAAATTTCTCTAAATATTTTATCTGCACTTATGAATTTAATAATTTGATTTTCTTAAATGATCCAAATGTATAACAGGGTAGACTTGTAACCTTAAGTTGCAAAACTTTTCTAAACCCTTACAACTAACATTTGTTTAGTGCTTACACTATGCCAGATAGTTTTGTAAGCTTTTTACATATCTTAATATTAATTTATGTAATTCACACAAGATTCTCATTAAGTGGCTAACTATTCTTATTTCTCTTTTACAGATGAGAAAACTAAGACATTGAGGTGTTGAGTAACCTGCTGAAAGTCACATAAGCTAATAAGTGTCAGAACTCTTACTAACTTAGTATATCTAACTCATCAGTATAGTAAATCAAGTTCTCTTAGACATTCTAGCACTCTTGACTAACTTAAATTCTCTAATAACTTTCACTTAAAAGTTACAAAACCATTATGTCAGATTATCTTAAATATTACAAATAAAATAAATAGCAAACAGATTATTCTGAATTTAACGTGATGTTTTCATACTAAAGATTTAATTTGTTTTTTTCTTGATCTAGTCATAATTTCTTTTTTTATTTTTATTTTTTATTATACTTTAAGTTCTGGGATACATAATCGGAAGTAAAATATTCCTCAGCAAATGCAAAAGAACGGATAACAAACAGTCTCTCAGACCACAGTGCAATCAAATTAGAACTCAGGATTAAGAAAATCACTGAAAACTGCACAACTACATAGAAACTGAACAACCTTCTCCTGAATGACTACTGACTAAATAATGAAATTAAGGCAGAAATAAATAAGTTCTTTGAAGCCAGTGAAAACAAAGACACAACATACCAGGATCTCTGGGACACAGCTAAAGCAATATTTAGAGGGAAATTTATAGCACTAAATGCCCACTGGAGAAAGCGGGAAAGATCTAAAATCAACACCCTAACATTACAATTAAAAGAACTAGAGAAGCAAGAGCAAACAAATTCAAAAGCTAGCAGAAGACAAGAAATAACCAAGATCAGAGCAGAACTGAAGGAGATAGAGACACGAAGAGCCCTTAAAAGAGTTAATGAATCCAGGAGCTGTTTTTTTGAAAAGATTAACAAAATAGACTGCTAGCCAGACTAATAAAGAAGAAAAGACAGAAGAATCAAATGGACACAATAAAAAACGATAAAGGGGATATCACCACTGATCCTATAGAAATACCAACTACTATCAGAGAATACTATAAACACGTTTATGCAAATAAACTAGAAAATATAGAAGAAATGGATAAATTCCTGGAAACATATACCCTTCCAAGGCTAACCCAGGAAGAAGTCAAATCCCTGAATAGACCAATAACAAGTTCTGAAATAGATGCAGTAATTAATAGGCTACCAATCAAAAAAAAGCCCAGGACCAGAAAGATTCACAGCCAAATTCTACCAGAGGTACAAAAAGGAGCTGGTACCATTCCTTCTAAAACTATTCCAAAGAATAGAAAAAGAGGGACTCCTTCCTAACTCATTTTATGAGGCCAGCATCATCCTGATACCAAAACCTGGAAGAGACACAACAAAAAAAGAAAATTTCAGGCCAATATCCATGATGGACATTGATGCGAAAATCCTCAATAAAATAATGGCAAACCAAATCCAGCAGCACATCACAAAGCTTATCCACCACGATCAAGTCAGCTTCATCCCTGAGGTGCAAGCCTGGTTCAACATATGCAAATCAATAAATGTAATCCATCACATAAACAGAACCAATACAAAAACCACAGGATTATCTCAATAGATGCAGAAAAGGCCTCTGATAAAAGTCAACACCCCTTCATGCTAAAAACACTCAATAAACTAGGTATTGATGGAACATATCTCAAAATAATAAGAGCTATTTATGACAAACCCACATCCAATATCATACTGAATGGGCAAAAGCTAGAAGCATTCCCTTTGAAAACCAGCATAAGACAAGGATGCCCTCTCTCACCACTCCTATTCAACATTGTATTAATTTGATTTTTATTTCTAAGTCTTCCTAGAGTTTAATTGCCCAGCTACATGGAGGAGAGTTACTATCTGAGACATATTTAGGTTGTCAATCCATAAACTCAGGGCCATAATATAGCTACTTCTCAGTTAGGAATCAGAGTCTAGAACATGGTGCCTGAGAGTAAAAAGTTTCCATATGATCCTCCTAGAACCATAGTTGGAAGTTTGGAGCAATTATTTTAGTACTGCCCATGGGGCATCATCAAACCCATTGTATTCAATTGAAATTTCAATCTATTTCTGACCTTATACCCTACTTCTCCTGGTGTGTATATGTGTGTGTTTTCAATGAAAGCTTGATTAGATTCATGCATTTTCTTTACTAATTGAATTCTGTGTTCTTTAATTTTTTTTCTTCAGCAACAACTCTCTAGTAGTGAATAGGGCTGAGATGCAAGCTGGGTCTTCTTTGTCCCAATTTAGAACAGGTTTATTGCTTAATAATTGATGCCTAGTTTGCCCATGATAGTTATTCAGGTTGAACTTCTCATCTGCTAGCCAAGAACTCTGTATCTCATGTTGAAAGTATATTCTCTCGATTTCTTTCCTTTGTTTGTGCCTTTGAAAATACTCATGGTTACTGTTAGGTCATTTATCCATTTATCAGTCAGTCACAAATATTTACTAGGTGCCACTCATATGCCACGCTCTGCTCTTGGCACTTGGGAAGAACAACATTGATATGGTTTGACTGTGTCCCCACACAAATCTCATCTTGAATTGTAGTTCCCATAATTCCCATGTTTTCCTGGGAGGGACTCAGTGAGGTGTAATGTAATTGTGGGGGAAGTTACCCTCATGCTGTTCTTCTGATAGTGAGTGAATTCTAATAAGAGCTGATGGTTTTATAAGGGGCTTCCCCCTTAGCTCAGCTCTCATTCTTCTCTTGCTGCTGCCATGTGAAGAGAACATTTTTGCTTCCCCTTCCACCACGATTGTAAGTTTCTTAAGGCCTTCCCAGCCATGCTGAACTGTGAGTCAGTTAAACCTCTTTCCTTTATAAATTACCCTGCCTCGGGTATGTCTCTATTAGCAGCATGAGAACAGACTAAACAAAAATATTAATTTATACTGAGAGAAGGGTTTAATTTTTGTTTAAGCAGACCATTAACTTCTGCAGTTGTCTGTTTGCTTGCTTCTTTTTTGTAGAAACAGGGTCTCTCTATGTTGTCCAGGCTGATCTCAAACTCCTCACCTCAAGTGATCCTCCCATCTGAGCCTCCCAAAGAGCTGGGATTACAGGCATAAGTTGCTTTCTTCTTCCAAGTAATAGGAACCCACCTTAGAAACAGTAACAGAAACCTACTTAAATCTAAAGCAAATGAATTGATTTGTGTTTTAGTCAATTCTCACACTGCTCTAAAGTAATACCCGAGACTGGGTAATTTGTAGAGAAAAGAAGCTTAATTGGCTCACAGTTCTGCAGGCTATACAGGAAGCATGATGCTGACCATCTGCTTGGCATGTGAGGAGGCCTCAGGAAACTTACAATCATGGCAGAAAGCAAAGGGGAAGCAGGCACATCTTACATGACTGGAGCAGAAGGAAGAAAAAGAGGTGGGAGGTGTCACATACTTTTAATCAACCAGATCTCATGAGTACTCACTCACTATCATGAGAGCAGCACCAAGGGGAAAATCCACTTCCATGATCCAATCACCTCATTAGAAATTACAATTCAACATGAGATTTGGGTGGGGACACAGATCCAAACCATATCAATTTGTATGACTGAAAATCTGTGGGTAGGGAGCCTTCAAATGTGGCTGGACCAGAGGTCAAGGGATGTTATAGAGCCTACTGCTTTGCTCTCACTCTCTGTGTCCACACTCTTTCTGTCCCATGTCTCCATGTGCTACATTTTGAGTTTTGGCGTGATTGTTTTCTGTAACTGACTGCTTCTTCCATGTGGCAAATGATAACTGCGTATCTTTTCATTTGCATTTTCTTTTAACCTTGTGATTTCAGAGGAAATAACAGCATCTCTTCCAAAAGCTCTGTGATAAGAAATCTGGGAAAGAAGATGAACTGGCCCAATTTGAGCCATATGCACAACCCTGAATAAATCATGGTGACCAGGGATATGGATAGGCTTGTGCCAAATGTCCCAGGTTGGAACCAGCACCATTTATGCTACTTGCAATGATGAGTAGTTTTTAAAGTGAGGTAGTGGGCAAACTTGTTGGGCCACATGTGTTTTTTCTGTCTTTCTCTTTTCATTCCCTTTTCCCTTCTTCCTTCAATAGCATCTAGGGTGTGCTAGTTATTGCAAAAAGGGTCAGGAATAAAACAGATATAACCTTGCTTCTGTGAAGTTTAGTATTTATTCTAGGAAGGAAGATAAACTTGAAATGACTAGTTAATTATTCAATTTCTTAATTATTTCAGTTGTGATAAATGATATAAGTACAGGCTGCTAAAACAGTATGGACTGAGAAAGTAGCCTGGCCTAGAGGGTCAGGGAAAGCCTTCCCAAAGGAAATATGGTTGAGAAATGTATTGTGATCTAAATTAAAAAGAGCAATTACTGAGAAAAAGAAGGGAATGAAGAGCACATCAGGGAGAGGGAAGGGTATCTGTGAAGACTGAGGTGGGCAGAAACATGGCATATTAGATGAACCGAGAGGCTAGTGTGGCAGGGCTATACTGAGGATGATGGAAAGAAACACGAGGGGAGGCTGAGGCTGGGAGGAGACAAGTGCCAGATCATGCAAGGTCTTGAAAATCATGACAAATGGCTTTATAGAGGACAACGCCCATACCTTTATTGAAGTTGTGTAATCTAAAGGAATGAAATTAATGGCAGGAATTTCTAGCCATTAGAAATGCAGGATGGTTGCATAGTATTCCATGGTGCATATATACCACATCTTCTTTATCCAGTCAATCAGTGATGGACACTTAGGTTGGTTTCATCACTTTGCTGTTGTGAATAGTGCTGCAATAAACATACAAGTTCAGTTGTCTTTTATATAATGAAAAGAATGAAATCATGTCCTTTGTTCTTTGCAGTAACATAAATGGAGCTGGAGGACATTATCCTAAGTGACTAATGCAGAAACAGAAAATCAAATGCTGCATGTTCTCACTTATAAGTTAGAGCTAAACAAAGAGTACACATGGACATAAAAATGTAAATAATAGATAATGGGAATTCTAAAAGGAGGAAGATGAAGAGGTGAAAAATTGCCATTTGGGTATAATGTTCAATATTTGGGTGATGGATACACTAGAAGTTCAATCCCCACCATTACACAATACACCCATGTAACAAACCTGCATAGAGTATTTCTTGAATATAAAACAAAGTAAAAAATAAAAGTGTGGAATGGAAAGATAACAATGTGTCGTGATATTTGAGCTCACCTGGTCTTACAAAGTTTCACATATCATTCCATGTAACAGGTGGCTTACCTCGCCTAAAGGTGTGGTTAGACCAGAGATGGAGTCACTGCTTAGTGATTCTGCCATCAGTCTCTCTCAGCCTAGAGTATATTCACTTTGGTTTGTGAGGATGAGTGACTCTAGTGAATACATTTTTAAAACTCTCCTGAAACATAAAGTCTGTCTTGGTTTTGAATTTTGAAAAATATTTAAATGCCTGGAACTGTCTTCATACATCCTTCATCTTCAATCCCTTGCCAAGCTAACTTCTATTTATCTTTGGATCAACCATTGCTTCCTTTGGAATTCTTCTCTGATTTCCAGTCATGGAATCAAACTAAGTATCCATCAACCATGGATTGGATAAAGAAAATGTGGTATGTATGCACCATGAAATATTATGAAGCCATTCTGCATTTCTAATGGCCAGAAATCCCTCCATGCTGATGGAGCTATGTCAGCTCAACTTCAAGATTCCCCCTCTACAACAGTACAACAGTTATGAGTCCAAATGCCGTGAATTTTTTTTTTATTAATCACTGAGATCTCATCTCCTACTGGCCATAGAGCCATTCTAACCAGCTTCTGTTGGAAGCTTGGACATGTTTATTCAAGAACAAAGCGAAGGTTAAAGGATAACATAAAATTGTAAGGAGTTAGGGTTAGGCACAGGAACAAAACAAGAAAAACATTTCCAGCCACTAAGACATATATGTGTGTGTGTGTGTGTGTGTGCGTGCGTATGAGTATGGTGTGTTCAAGGTCCCCCAGCTACATGCTCTTTATTATAGCACTCTGGCATAGCGTGTGTAGTTATTAATTATCATCACATTTGTGTGATGATATATGTGGCTGTAAAAACAACTCATCCCACTATATTGTGAGTTCCATGTGTGGGATGGCTACATCCCCCAGTACACAGCCCAGTGCTGAGCACATAGCAGGTAATCAGTAATTATATATGAATAAATGAATCATTCCAATTTTCTGATTTACATTAAATTTTTCAGATTTACACTTGGTGATTGTTATACTTTAAGACTTTAGTTAGCCTCCATTTGGAGATTTGCTTATAATGAGCTATCAACCATATATTCTAAAAGGAGTTGTCAAGAAAAAAAAATCAAGACTGTTTCTAGAATGCCTGAAATTATGACTTTTTAAATATAATTTGATTAAGAGATCAAAAGAACAGAAGAACTATCTGAGTAATCTCCTTTTAAATTCCTCTCTCTGTAGAGTCACACATTCATGACCTTTGTTCCTGTTTCTGAATCTCTCAATCAGAAAGATGCCTGCTTGCTGCAGCCCTGGAGGGGGACAACACATGAGGAACAGGAGACAGAGTCTCAGGGTCAAACCACCTCATCCAGTGAATACTGTAATATTCTATGGCTCAGGTCTTGTAAAGATCTTCTTAGACATTTTTATTTGTTAACTGTTTAATGTTTAAATGCTTCTCAATGGAGAAGAATTACACACACACACACACACGCACACACTTCTTATTGGCTAAAAATGTCTCTAGTGTTTTGTTCCTGTGACTAATGCTAACTCTTAAAATTTTATGTTATCATTTAACCTTCAGTTTGTTCTTGAATAAACAACATGTCCAAGCTTCCAGCAGTAGCTGTTTAGAGCAGCTCTGTGACCACTAGGAGATGAGATCTCAGTGATAATAAAATATTCATGGCATTTGCACTCATAACTGTTGTACTGTTCTAGAGGGGAATCTTGAAGATGAGTTGACATAGCTCCATCAGCAAACATCCCACCGGATGTTTTCTTAAGCATTCTGAACAAAGTTCAACTGCCCTTTGGGAGAAAACACACATTTCTTCCTAATTTATAATTGTTGGAATGATACCAACCCCCCAAAATCTGAAGAGTTCATTAGGGGAAAATATGTTCAAATATAATAATGCTTTATTTGTCCTTTATTCTATAGAACCATATAGATCTTTTTAAACATCTCAGCAATCAACTATACTACCATGTCTTGAGGAAGGCAGGAAATACTAGTCTTATTTTATAGCTGTTTTAGAAAAAAACAGAAAAGCTTTACTCTTCTGAGATAAGAGCCTTCCTGGAAGAAGTTTAGCCTCTTGGAGAATGTGTTAATAATTTCAGAACACACTTAAGAAGCAATGCAATACATTGCTAATTTTAGCTCTGTACAAGAATATCAGAATTCAAAGTGACCTACATAGATTTTTACTTTTTCAAATACAGGTTGTCTTATGCAGTTTGTTTTAAAACATGAAGGACCTAGTGACTGAGAAAACCTGGAATCATTATATAACTCAGTGGGGAAAAAATTAAATTTAATTTAATAATTTTCTAACTTAATTATGTTTGCATATTTATTCTACATTTCTTGAGGCCACTACAGCCTGTTGTGCATTGCAGACCACAAACAAAATAATAATTTCTGGCTGCAACAAATTTCTAGCAATAACACTACAACCTGAATGGTCTAAAATATTTTTTCCTCCAGTTTAAGCAGTGTTTGGTTTTTCTCGTGCATTCAGGAGTGACTAAGGTATTCCTCCTTGTCAACTTTGTGCTAATCATCCTTGTACCCTTGTTTGTTCAATGACTGGAATTTACATCCTCGAACTGGTACCATTTTTAAAAATTATCCATGTTTCTCTTGAGGCCATGCTGATTGTTTTAGCAAGCACCCCAATAATGTGTAGCTGCTCTGCTTCAACATCGCCAAGCTGAAAAGGGAGAATATAGTGGACCCTCAAACCTTTTTAAAAAAAATTTCTAACCGTATCATATATTAAATATATGAATCTTAATAAAATATATAATACATACAAAAGTAAATATGATATACCTGTATGTATAAACAACAATAATAAAATGAACATTCATGAACCTGACAGCCAGCTTGAAAAATAGAACTTTAATCACTTTTTAGCTTTGAATCACTCTCTGTCCCCCTATCTCATCCCCACTTCCCCAGCAGAGGTAATAACCACTAGCCTGAATTTAGCACTTATCTCCCTGCCTTTCCTATCGTTTCCCACATGCACACATATCCCAAAAGGGTTTAGTATTTAGTTTTGCCTGGTTGTGAACTTTACGTACAAGGAATTACAATGCATTTGTTCTATGACTTGCTTGTTTTGCTCATTATATGTCTTTGAGGTTCATTTACATTGGTGTGCATAGCTAAGGTTTATTAGTTTTCACTCCTGTATTTGTTTTATTGTATGAGTTGCCACTTTGAGTGTCATTTCTACTCTAGATGGACTTTTAGTTTGTCAGCAATGTTTTAAATAATATGAACAATTCTATTGTGAATGTCCATGTTCTGTGTAATTATATGTAAATATGTGCAAATGCTGTCTATGGTATATGCCTTAGGAGTCAAAAAACTGTTGTAGAGTTAGGACCATTTCATTACCATATTGCTAGGTGAGGCCCAGTTGTTTTCCAAAGAAGTTGACCCTATTTATACATACCCACCAACAATGAAGGAGATTATTATAATCTCATTAACACTTGGCCTAACATTTAAAATTTTTGCAAGTCAGGTTAATTTGAAATTTTATTTCATTATTAGCAAAGTTTAGTATTTTTTACATTTTTATTGATCACTTACATTTCCTTTCCAATGAAATGTCTGTTTACATCTGCTTATTTTTCTTTCGAGTTCTCTTTTTCTGGCAGATCTGTAGAAATATTTTTCAGTTTACATATTATGAGTCTGAGAAAATATTCCCTAACTACAGGCTTACAAAATTATTCTCCTACATATTTTTCTGAAAGTTATAAGGTTTTGTTTGTCAGATTTAAGTCTTAATCCATTTTGAAATTGTTTTATATTGTGAAGTAGAGACCCATTTCCATTTTCCCATACAGATACCCAATTTTCGATACTATTTTTTGAAAAGTAGTCCTTCAGTTTCCTATTTCTCTGCAATCCATACTTGATTTGCCTCTTTTTTTCCACTGGTGTTGTGTTATTTCTAAGCTCTCTTTTTGGTTTAATTAGAAAATTTTTCCAATGCTCTTCCACTATTACACTGTCTTGTTCATTATAGCTTCACAAAAGTTTTGATATCTAATAAGTCATTTCCCCCTAGCTTCTATTTGGGAGTTTTTTGCTGTTATTGGCCCTTTAGTTTTTATTTAAATTTCACATTCATATAAAAAACTGTATTCAGATTTTAATTAGATTTTACATAAATTTATAGATTTTTAAAATTGATGTCTTTAAGCTGTTTTGTGTTATTCCGTGACCATGCCACATCATTACATTTACTTATTAAGTCGTCCTTAAAATCTTTTTTAAAAGTTTGGTAGATTTCTCCAAAGTAGTCTTGTACACAATTTGCTATATTTATTCCTAGGTGTTTTTGTTTTTAGTTATTATTGCAAATGGTTTAAAACAATTATTGCCAGCCAGGTGCGGTGGCTCATGCCTGTAATCCAGCACTTTGGGAGGCTGAGGCGGGTGGATCACCTGAGGTCAGGATATTGAGACCAGCGTGGCCAACATGGTGAAACCCTGTCTGTACTGAAAATACAAAAATTAGCTGGGCCTGGTGGCAGGTGCCTGTAATCCCAGCTACTCAGGAGGCTGAGGCAGGAGAATTGCTTGAACCCAGCAGGCGGAGGTTGCGGTGAGCTGAGATTGTGCCATTGCACTCCAGCCTGGGGGACAAGAGGGAGATTTTGTCGCCAAAAAAAAAGAAAAATTATTGTCTAACATTTTCTCTCTGATGTGAAGACACACCATGAGCTATGTATCAATTTTGCTGAAATCTCTAGTTAGTTTTAGTAATAATTTGTTCATTAGAAATTTGGATTTGCTATGTAGACAATCACAGAATTTGAAAATAATAAAAATATTTATTCTTTAAAAATCTTTATACACTTATTTTTTATATTCTTGTTATAGTACAGGAGATGTTTTTTCTCAGTTTATAAAAAAGACATTTTGGGGGGCTAGTAATGTGGACCAAATATCAAAGCTATGACATAGTGTTTGGGAGAAACATTTAAACCACTGATCAGAATATTTAAATTGTTGTATGTCTCAGGTTTTTTTTTATGACAATTTTATTACTTTTAAATCTAGGAATTTCTTCAACTAAATTGTTTATACATTGCCTCAAAGTGGTTTATATTATCTTTTACGTCTTTGCTACATCTCTAATAATGTCACTTTTGTCATTATGAAATAATGACCAGTTCTAAATATTGTCTAATTTTCAGTACTATATCTTCTTTAGCACATAAATGTTAATTTTTTTAAGTTTATGTTACTGTTTTAGATTTTCAAAGCTGCATTTTGGATTGATAAATATGTCTGTACGTAAAGATGTTGGAAATTTGTTATGAGCTGCTATATGGACTTGTACATCATAAATTTTTGCCGGGCATGGTGGCTCATGCCTGTAATCCCAGCACTTTGGGAAGCCGAGGCAGGTGGATCACCTGAGGTCAGGAGTTTGAGACCAGCACGGCCAACATGACAAAATCCTATCTCTACTAAAGATACAAAAATTAGCCTGGTGTGGTGGCATGTGCCTGTAATCCCAGCCACTCAGGAGGCTGAGGCAGGAGAATCACTTGAACCCGGGAGGCAGAGGTTGCAGTGAGCCAAGGTTGTGCCACTGCACTCCAGCCTGGGTGAGAGAATGAGACTCCATCTCAAAAAATAAAATGAAATAAATTTTTATAAATATTTATGCTGACAAAGAATGTGTATTTTGCAATAGTTGTGTGAGTTTTCTGCATATGTCCTTTGAATCAATATTATTAATTTGGGGTTGTTCAAATTTTCTAGAGTTTTATTAATATCTTTTGTTTACTTGAGAGAATACTGAGGGAGAAGTATTAGAAAGTCTAAAATTCAGAGATGATTTGTCAATTATTATGTAGATATGTCAATATTTATCTTATATTTGATAGTTTCATTATAGTTGTATCCAAGACTTGTTGTATCATTTTTCAAAATTAAAATATTTATCAGTATCTGATTTCCCTAAAGACAAAGACCACCAGTGCTGCTTTTTGCTTTAAAATGAATTTTTTATATTACCTATGTTATTAATAGAACTAAACTAGACTTGTTTTGATGTATATTTACATAATATATCAGTATCTGATTTCCCAAAAGACAAAGATCACTAATGCTGCTTTTTGCCTTAAAATGAATTTTCTTTATCTATATTATTAACAGCTAAACAAGACTTGTTTTGATTTATATTTACATAGTATATGTAATTTACATAGTATATGTAATTTACATAGTATATGTAAATATGCTTTGTTCTCAGTTTTTAATCTTTGTCTTTTGTAAACAATACATAATTGGATTTTATTGTCAATTCTAACATTGTTCTTCATGAAGAAATAATTTCATTTACACATATTGTGACTACTGTTATATTTGGATTAATTTCAACCATCTTATATTCTACTTTCTATTTTTTCACTTCTCTAATTTTCTTCCTTGCTAGTTTTGTGATTAATCAATTATTTTCCTCTCTCACCATTTTACATTTTCTCTGATAGTTTGGGAGATGTAAAGTATTTTTCTGTGTTTTTAATGGTTATACTAGACATTTGAAAATACTCAAGTAACAACAAATTTTAAAGGTTATATATCTTTTTTCTTTCTCCTGAATAATACAAACTTCTTAGAGTGGTTCAATTTCGATCACTCAATTTATGTAATGGTAGATGCTTCAGTTAATTCAATGTTGAATTTTTAATCTCACAAATTATTCATTCTTATTACCCTTTTATAAATCCCTATTATTTTTATATGTTTACATTTTTTAGCTCATTGTTCACCTTACATCGCAGATCTTTAAGGATATCTTTTCAAAGTTACTTTACTGAAGATCTTTGTGTAATAAAATCTTTCAGTTTTGTGCGCCTGAAGTTGTCTTTATTTTGACCTTATTCTTAAAAGATAGTTTTACTGGATACAGAATTTTAAGTATCAGTTACTTTTTTCTCTGCATACTGCATGTCCTTTAGATCTGGCTTTTAAGTACATTTCTCCAGATAGAGTGTGTGTGTGTGTGTGTATGTGTGTGTGTGTATGTGTATATATATATATTTGTTTTTGCGAGGCCTTCCCCCACCATGTGGTTAGTATGAATTCCCACACCAAAACCATGTGACTACATGGCTGTGGCAAGTTTCTCAAGGGAAACTATTTTCATTTTGACTTTTTTCACAGTTTACTTAGAACAAACATCAAGACAGATAACGTTTCCCTATTGTCTTTTCTCATTTGCTTATTTTCAGAATGTATTAATTGAGGATATCACCTTTTTGGAAGTGATGGCAGAGGTGGCCTGTCTGGAGCAGCTGCCATGACGCCGGCTGCCGTGTGGGAGGTGCCGCTGGGGCTGCCTGCTCCATGGAGCCTGCAGGATCCAGGACAGGTAGGAGCCCCGCCCCTTTCTGAGTGGGAGGGGCAGGAGCCCCACCCTCCCAGGGGTAGCTGCAGCCACCCAGCCACGGTTGTGGACCTGGGCGTCCCGGCACTCTTGGGGACCAGGAAGCTCCTCTTCCCCCACAGGCTCAGAAGTGCCTGCTCCTGCTACTTGGCTTCTCCTCACTCCCAGCGCCTGCCTCAATTTCAGAGCAAAGTTGTGGCCAAGCCCCAGCGCTGTTTTGATCTGGCCAGATGTGTGCATGCTTGGGGTGGTGTTGATAGGCCAACCCCCCCTGCCGCCTCAGCCCCCTCTGGACTTTGGGTGCCACAGCATGGAAGGGAGGCCAAGGCAGGGCTGAGGGCGGCTCAACATGAGCCTGAAGGCGCCTCTCCGCAGGAACAGCCTGGGCGCCATGCACAGCAGGTTGATGACGGCAGGAGGCAGACAGGCTCTTGGGTAGAAAAGTCTCCTGTCGGCTGAGGGCTTCAGAGACAACAGGGCCACCTGCCTGCCCATAGGAGCTACAGACCCTGGGTCTCCTTTCTGCTGAGGGCCGTGCAGACGTCGAAACAACATGCCTGCATATAGACCAACTCTGGGTCTCCTCTCTGCTAAGAGCTGCACACTCATCAGGACAACCTGTGTACGGAAAAGAGCTACTCACTTCAGGTCTCCTCTCTGCTAAGAGCTGCACACCTGGGGGACAACCTGCCTGTGGAAGAGAGCTACCCACTCCAGGTCTCCTGAGAGCTATTGTAGAGCTCCTCTCCACCTTGCTCACCCTTACCGTCCAGTTGTCCATGTACCTTATTCTTCCTGGACATTGAACAAGAACTCAGGACCCATTGAATGGAGGGACTAAAAGAGCTGTAACACAAACAGGGCTAAGACAGGCCCCCCTCCGTCCCCCGCCCCACCAGCCTGCTCACCACGTTGCAGGTGACAAGAAGAGAATAAAGAAGGAGAGAAGAGCTGCAGCCCTTCAGGGATTCCAGACCTAGGAGCACCCCAAGCCAGGGATGTGACACCCTCTTGGGGCTCTGTGGTTCCTGGCATCTTCAAGCTTCTGGGTGCCACTGCATTCCCTGGTGCCCACAGTGGAAGCCACCTATAGTACACCTGGTCCAGTCGCAGCCTTGCAGAGAGCCAGTGCCTGTGTCGGCGCCTAGAGCTGCCTGCCCCACTGCAGCTGGCATGCATGGCTGCACACAGTGGCTGGACCTTGTGCTTGCTCGCTTACCCACCCCTCATTGTTTCACGTGTGGCTCACCCTTGGCAGGCGTGGGAACTGGGCTGGTAACAAAAGCCAGGCACACTGCTAGGCTGAGTGGGCAGAACGAGCGCAGCGGGCTCGAGCAAAACTCAGGCAAAGGCACCACTGGCCACAAAGTTTTCTGGCTGGTGAAGCAACAACCCAAGGATCCCATGACAGAAGAGTCCCCTTATAGCATTTTCAGCTATGCTATGCTAGGAGTAGTATCTGAGACCTTCTAATCTGAAATATTATTAGAAATAGAAGTTCAAGTTGGACCATTCATTTTTAACCTCTCATATTAAATCCAATATTAAGGCAAACAAACTCGCTCATTCATTTATCTTTTCTTTACTGACAGATCCTCTCTCCTAAGAAATAAGATTGGGAGCCGACATCAGAGAATGTATGAGTCATATAGCCTCCTGTCAAGTCCAGATTCTCCCTTCTCATACCTCCAAACAAGTGACCCTAGACTATTTTGTTACACCTCACCGGAGTTTAATACCTCATGGTCCTTGGCTTATATAATTTTTTGCTCTTCCACAGGACCTGAGGTAATCAAAAGCCTGCCTATATGGCTTCCTCTTTTTTACTTAGATAATAATCTATTAGTTTTATGTTTACAATTTAGCTCTGGAGTTTTTATTACACAACACCCCCCACTCCAGACAGACAGACACACACACAAACACACACACACACACAAAAATTAGGAATTTTCATAGTATTTACCATAGCCTGATCTGGCTGCAGCATACATGTCTAATCTCATCTTTTGTTACTGACCCCATGTTCATTCTGCACCAGCCATATGGGACTTCTTGCCCTTTTTGTTATGTACCCAGCTTCTTCCTGGCTTAGCACCTTTGCAGTTATTTTTGCCTTTGCCTGGAATTGCGTGACTTCATCTCTTCTCAAGGATCATTGCCTCCCTTCAGTTTGTTCCTTCCTCACTATCACCTCCTCAAAGATGCCTTTCTGATCCTCAAGTGTATTTAAATTATCACTCTCTCATCTCCTCATATTTTACCCTGACTTTATATAAAATTATGTTTTTATTTCCTTGCTTATTGGCTGACTTCCCTGCTAGAATCTAAGAGGTAGGAAGGGAAAAATTCAATTTGTCTCATTTATCACTATGCCTATAGCTCTAGAACAAAGCCTGACAGGAAGTAGGCATTCTGTAAATATTTGTTGATGAAATGAATGGTAATATAATAACCTTCAAAACTTGATAAAATATGTTGATTTTTATGTGAATAACTTAGTTAATATTGTGGATTTGTATCAGTTGCATGGCATTTCACATAGGTGAAATGTCAAGAGAATATACCCTTTTTATAATGATGTCTAATTTATAATGATACCTAATTATTAGGTTGATGCAAAAGTAATGGTAGTTTTTGCATGGTTAGAATTTGCTGTTTGATATTGGAATGCATGCTTAAATAAATGTGGTTATGTTATACGTCATTTTAATGCACACTTCTTGCTTTTTTGCTAATGATTACTTACTATTTCTTTTCTATTTATTTTACGCTATGGAAATGATGCTACACAAAGAGCAAATTCAAGTAATTTTCTTAATTGAGTTCAAAATGGGTCATAAGGCAGTGGGGACAACTCACAACATCAACAACACATTTGGCTTAGGAACTGCTAATGAACATGCAGGGCAGTGATAGTTCAAGTTTTGCAAAGAAGACAAGAGCCTTGAAGATGAGCATAGCATCTTTCTATCAGAAGTTGACAACAACCAATTGAGAGCAATCATGAAAGATGATCCCCTTACAACTATATGAGAAGTTGCCCAAGAACTTGACATTGACCATTCTATGGTCATTTGGCATTTGAAGCAGATTGGAAAGGTGAAAGAGCTCTACAACTGGGTGCCTCATGAGCTGACCAAAAATAAAAAAAAAATTGTTGCTTTGAAATAACATCTCTTATTCTATGCAACAACAACAAACCATTTCTTGATTGGATTGTGATGTGCAATGAAAAATGGATTTTATATGACAGCTGGCAATGACCACCTCAGTGATTGGACTGAGAAGATCCAAAGCACTTCCCAAAACCAAACTTGAATAAAAAAAAGTTCATGGTCACTGTTTGGTGGTCTCCTGCTGGTTTTACTCACCACAGGTTTCTGAATCCTGGCGAAACCATTACATCTGAGAAGTATGCTCAGCACATCCATGAGATGCACTGAAAAGTGCAATGCCCACAGCCAGCATTGGTCAACAGAAAGGGCCCAATTCTCCATGACAATGCCCAACTGTACATGGCACAACCAATGCTTCAAAAGTTGAAAGAATTGGGCTAAAAATTTTTGGCTCATCTGCCATATTAACCTGACTTCTCATGAACTGACTACCACTTCTTCAAAAACATTGATGACTTTTTGCAAGGAAAACACTTCCACAACCAGCAGGATATAGAAAATGCTTTCCAAGCATTCATAGCATCCGAAAGCATTGATTTTCACACTACAGCAATAAATAAATATGTTCCTCATTGGCAAAAATGTGTTGATTGTATTGGTTCCTGTGTTAGTCTGTTCTCACGCTGCTAATAAAGACTACCCAAAACCGGGTAATTTATAAAGGAAAGAGGTTTAGTTGACTCATAGTTTAGCATTGCTCAGGAGGCCTCAGGAAACTTATGATCATGATGGAAGGGGGAGCAAACATGTTCTTTTTTACATGGTGGCTGAAAGGAGAAGAATGAGAGCCCAGCAAAGGGGGAAGCCCCTTATAAAACCATCAGATCTTATTAAACTCACTCACTATCATGAGAACACAACAGAGGAAACTGCCCCCATGATTCAATTATCTCCACCACGTCCTTCTCACAACACATGGGGATTGTGGGAACTACAATTCAAGATGAGATTTGGGTGGGAACACAGCCAAACCATATCGTTCTGCCCTGTCCCCTCCCTCCCAAATCTTGTGTCTTCACATTTCATAACACAATCATGCCTTTCCAACTGCCCCCCAAAGTCTCAACTCATTCCAGCATTAACCCAAAAGTCCAAGTCCAAAGTCTCATCTGACACAAGGCAAGTCCCTTCTGCCTATGAACATGTAAAATCAAATGCAAGTTAGTTACTTCCTAGATTTAATGGGGATACAGGCATTGGGTAAATACACCCATTCCAAATGAGCAAAATTGGCCAAAACAAAGGGGCTATAGGGCCCACGCAAGTCCAAAAGTGTATGAGGAAGTAATTAAAGCTTTAAAATAATCTCCTTTGACTCTATGGCTTACATCCAGGTCACGCTGATGCAAAAAGTGGACTCCCATGGTCTTGGGCAGCTCTGCCTCTGTGGCTTTGCAAGCTACAGCTACCCTCCTGGCTGGTTTCATGGGCTAGCATTGAGTGTCTGCAGCTTTTCCAGGCACATGGTGCAGGCTGTTGGTGGATCTGCCATTCTGTGATCTGGAGAATGGTGGCTCTCTTCTCACAGCTCTACTAGGTAGTGCCCCAGTGGGGACTCTATATGGGGGCTTCAACCCCACATTTACCTTCCACACTGTACTAGAAGAGGTTCTCCATGAGGGCCCCTGCAGCAAACTTCTGCTAGGACATCCAGGCATTTCCATACATCGTCTGATATCTAGGAAGAGGTTCCCAAACCTCACTTCTTGACTTCCGTGCACCTGCAGGCCCAACACCATATGGAATTGCCAAGACATGGGGCTTGCATCCTCTGAAGCAACAGCTTGAGCTGTACCTTGGCTCATTTTAGCCATGGCTAGAGCTGAAGCAGCTGGGACACAGGGCACCATGTCCCAAGGCCGCATAGAGCAGGGGGGCCCTGGCCATGGCCCACAAAATCATTTTTCCCTCCTAGGCCTCTGGCCCTCTGAGGGGAGGGGCTGCTGTGAAGGTCTCTGACATGACCTGGAGACATTTTCCCCATTGTCTCGGAGATTAACATTCAGCTCCTCATTACTTATGCAAATTTCTGCAGCTGGCTTCAATTTTTCCCCAGAAAATGAGGTTTTCTTTTCTATCACATCATCAGTCTGCAAATTTTCCAAACTCCTCTTGAACACTTTGCTGCTTAGAAATTTCTTCTTCCAGATACCCTAAATCATCTCTGTCAAGTTCAAAGTTCAATATATCTCTGGGGCAGGGGCAAAATGCCACTAGTCTCTTTGCATAGCAAGAGTGGCCTTTAGTCCAGTTCCCAAGAAGTTCCCCATCTCCATCTGAGACCACCTCAACATGGACTTCATTGTCCATATTACCATCAGCATTTTGGTCAAGGCCATTTAACAACTCTGTAGGATGTTCCAAACTTTCCCATATCTTCCTGTCTTTTGAGTCCTCCAAGTCTCTAGGAAGTTTCATACTTTCCCACATTTTCTTGTTTTCTCCTGAGTCCTCTAAACTGTTCCAACCTCTGCCTGTTAGCCAGTTTCAAAGTCACTTCCACATTTTCAGGTATCCTTATAGCAGCACTCCACTTTACTGGTACCAATTTACTATATTAATTCATTCTTACACTGCTAATAAAGACACACCCAAGACTGGCTAACTTATAATGGAAAGAGATTTAATTGGCTTATAGTTCAGCATTGCTCAGGAGGCCTCAGGAAACTTAGAATCATGACGGAAGGGGAAGCAGCCACATCCTTCTTCACATGGCAGCATAAAGGAGAAGAATGAGAGCCTGGTGAAGGACTCTTCTTATAAAACTATGAAGTATTGCATAAAACTAGTGCATCTTGTGAGAACTAACTATCATGAGAACAGGATGGGGGAAACTGCCCCCATGATTCAATTTTCTCTATCTGGGGGATATGGGGATTATGGGAACTGTAATTCAAGATGAGATTTGGGTGGGGACATAACCAAACTCTATCATTTTCTATTCTCATTAATAAAGACGTGTTTTAGCCTAGTTAAATTGATTTGAAATTCATGGTCCAAAACCACAATTACATTTGCACTAACCCAGTAAATAAAACTTTAGTTGAGAATGTGATTATGGCACATATACTTTTGACATGAGCTCAGGCTCTGTGCTTAAAAGTCTACAAAACAGATAGGTATACTGAAGTTTAGAGCATTTAAACTACTAAATATTGAAAGTGTGATGTGTACAAAGGCAGACTAATACTGGAGCAGTGGCCTTTAATCATTACCCATGTTTCTGTTCCGAGGGCTAAACCATTCATAAGTCACTAACTTTGGAAGGGTTTCTCAAATGTAGGTGAGTGAGAAAAACCTGTGATAATTGAGTTTTAAACCCAAAGGGATTACGGTCATTTCCTATGGCATTAAAAGAAGATTTCTTGAACCTAGGTCTTGATTGCAGATGGTAGACTTCATCCAGACTTTCAGTTCATCGAGTTTCAATTTAATAGGAAGTATAGTCCTCAGTAAATATATTTGTTGTTAAACTATTACATATCTCTGGGTCATCATGCATTCATGCAAGTGGTTTCATACCTTTTATCATTTTGAATTATAGGGTCCATTTTACAGACCATTGTTATCTCAAAGCAAGGCAGGGCTACAGGTTGATGATAAACTTCTTTGGCTCTAGTTTCTACCACAAATTTTATAGATATCCATCCTCTATTTCAGAGTCTCACTACTATTCCTTGGGAGGCCTCTGGGGATATCTCATATGTGCTCACAAATAGGTCACTTCTGCTATCATAAATATACTTCCGAGATATTTGCCTTCTCTAGGCCTCACATGTCTGTAAACCCTCATGAGAGCAACTCACTTTACCACTGCTGGCTGTGTGCACTGCACAGGGAGCTGATATTCATGCCTCAATCAGGTTTTCCTGTTTTCCAGGCCCCTGAGGTGCTTTTCTTGTGTCAGTGGCAGCTTTTGTTCTACAGATATCCAGGATGTGTTATCTACTAAGGAAGGAGCATCTTTTTTCTCACTGTTTTGTGTTCCACTGGTAGCAAAGCAAAAAAGGTTTCACAAGGATTTGGGGATGAAAGATCTTTTGATTCTTGTTTTATTAATTATTTTTAATACGATCACACTTTTTTCCTTAGACCTGAGACACATGCATGGAGAGGATAGGAAGGGGGAAAGAGGAAGGAGGTGAATAGTGGATAAGCCTCAGCTGCAGATAGTATTTCTGGGGTCCTGGGAATGTTCAATATATGGCAGATGTTAAATAAGAACGACACTGTTTTCCAATAGGCCTGTCAGATGACTGATGTGTTCATACTAGCCAATCTCAAGTGCCTGTCCTTTTCTTCTTCTTTCCCAGGTAGCTCTTTCTATTAGATGGCTCCTGGTGGAGCCATCCAACAAACACTCCCTTCATATTCAAGCATGCTGAAATCTCAGGCTGGAGATCTGGGTATAAATATAACCTGGGTCCTCCTAAACTGCATTGCTTAGCTGTTTTATACCTACACTCTTATTTTAATATAATACTGTATTTCTTTGCTGCATTTTTTTGTTAATTCACTTTCCACTTAAATACAAAGGTTTGTATTATTATCCTGAAATCTCTAACATCTGCCATCTATTTAGCTGCTTAAATCTCCACCCCTGTAATTTAAATATAATTAGGTTCCTGTTTCTTCCATTTCTTGTTGGTTTCTTCTCATATTAAAAAAAAATTTCTCTTGTTGTCTTAATTTCTTGATTTCTTGTTTTCTATTTATGTATTTTCTAGCTGATTGTGGTTTCAGGTTTTAGAAGTTGAGTTGATGTCTGTTTCTTCTTTTTGTTTCCTTCATTTGAGGAATTTTTGTGCTTTCTGGCCTTTTTTTATCCCTTTTTCTTTTCTTTTTTTTTTTTTTTGAGACGGAGTCTCACTCTGTCGCCCAGGCTGGAGTGCAGTGGCGCGATCTCGGCTCACTGCAAGCTCCGCCTCCCGGGTTCACGCCATTCTCCTGCCTCAGCCTCCCGAGTAGCTGGGACTACAGGCGCCCGCTACCACGCCCGGCTAATTTTTTGTATTTTTAGTAGAGAGGGGGTTTCACCGTGTTAGCCAGGATGGTCTCGATCTCCTGACCTCATGATCCGCCCGCCTCGGCCTCCCAAAGTGCTGGGATTACAGGCGTGAGCCACCGCGCCCGGCTTTTATCCCTTTTTCAATGTCGTTAAGACTTTCTTTGGCAGTTTGGCTCCCTAACCCTATTCATATACTTAAAAATTGACTAAAGATTTTGCTGATGAAATTCAGTCTGTCTTGCATCGAGCACATTTTAATTTCAACTTTTATTTAAACTTATGTAATGCTTTATAAGTATTAATTAATCTACTCCCCTTCCTCAAATGAAAGTAAGGACCCATGGTGATTGAATTGCAGCTAAAGTCTGGTAAAATGATATTCAACTCATGAGAAATGTTGGCCACCACTGGT
Organism: Homo sapiens; assembly: GCF_000001405.40. Lineage (NCBI taxonomy): Eukaryota > Metazoa > Chordata > Mammalia > Primates > Hominidae > Homo > Homo sapiens. The sequence continues at coordinate 107,131,122 of NC_000008.11, forward strand.
AAGACTGTTATTGAACACAGAAAAAAGAAGTGATGTCTTTGATACATAAAATTACTTGGCTTGAACTTGCAGAAATACAAATGTTTTGTTCTTTGGTCTCACTTCAATATCAAAGTTCAACAGTAAATCACCCTGTTTTAAATTATCACTTTCATTGTAAGAACTCAAAGCAGCATCAGAATAAATATGAGGTATTAGTAAGCTTTAAAGTAGAATCAGGATTCCTAAGGCAATGATGGTAGTCTGTGTGTGTGTGTGTGTGTTTGCATGTAGAATCTCAGCCACATAAAATAATTTATGTAATGCATTGAGCTTCTTATAGATGCCTGGAATTGTATATATACCTTGGTATCTGTACATTTGATATTGTATAAAGCAATTTAGAATTTATCCTAAAATAGGCATTTATTCCACCAACAATAGTTGAATATATTTATTCCTGAATGTGCTTCTGATATGAGGTATTTTTTTAAAACTGTGTTAAAAAATGTCTTTAACCCACACTATAAATTACTAGAGGGGGAAGTGAGGAAGCGGGTTAAGGGCTAAAAAACCACCTATTGGGTACTATGCCCACTACCTGTGTGATGGGATTATTCATACCCCATACTTTAACATCATGCAATGTACTCAGGTAACAAACCTCCACAGGCATCCCCTAAATCTAAAATAAAAGTTGAAATTATAAAAAATAATTTTTCTTAACTCAACCTTAACTTTGGACAAATGAGACAGTATAATCTGTCACTGATGGAACTCAGTGCTGACTGATCACACACAAGCCATCCATAACAATGTGCAGGACAATCCTTTCTGCAGGACTGGCCACTCACAGAAGCCCATTTCCACCCATTATACTTTCCTGGGCACAGTCTCTACTTCTTCTGCTCCCCAAGGACCCTATTTCTTTTCAGATCTCCTCTCCACCCCTTTCCTATTGGTGTTCTAGGTCCACTTTCACACACCACTCCCTTCTTCCTCTCATAGTCCTACCCTTTCTCTTTCTCCTTTGGCTGGGGATGTCTGTCATGCAGTTCCAGTCATTCTTCCTTAAACTAGAGAGTGTTCAAATCCAAGGAGGGTTGAGGACATTTGCAGGGAGACAATTAAAACAATTCTGACTAATCTCAGTGCCAATTCTCTAGAGGCAAAACAGATTTTGGTTTAGCTAGGATGGCTTGTCTCTTGCAGGACACCTGAGTATTATTTCACTGGAGAGACCCTCTATCTCTTATCTTGCTATCAGGTACAGTGAAAAGGGCCTCTTCTTCATTGTCCAGGCTTTCTACGTGCAAGTTCCAGAAGGTGATGGTTGTGTTTTATGTTCCAATGTGAGGATAAAGAGAGAAAAACTTCTTACCTTCTGCAGTGGTTGAAAATGAATTTGAACACATCAAAAAACTATTACAGACGGTGTTGGACAAATCATAAGTAGAAAATCATAACATTCCTTGGTAAGTTTTGGTTTGAAATCCATTGGTTTAAAATGAAATTGAGAAAGTAGATCTAGTTGGGTAGAAGCAAAGATGACTATCAGGTTTAGCTGATGATATTTTCCCAACCCTTCCTTGAGCAAGTCATTCCTGCATATGGTTAGTGAGGAGCCTGTGGTTTTTGAAAGAATTCTGCCTGTGGGCAGACTTCCATCAGAGTGAGCAAATAATAGTTCACTCTCCACCTGCTCAGCATAATGGACATTTTCAATGTTTTCTGCACTCTATTGTGCTCTGGAGTTAGGAACCTGGGCTTGAAGGTTTGATTATTGATGTGTGTGGTCATTTGAAATATTCTTGGACTCACCTCATCTGCTTTTGGCAGAATTCAGAAAGTTAAGTTCAAAATACTGAAGGCAAAGTAAAGCAAGTGCCAGCTTGAAGTGTTCTTCCGAGATTTTTTTAAAGGACACTTATATGGAATTCTGTGTATTAGGAAAATGTACATTTCAAATATAAATGAGAACATGAATAAAATAAAATAATCGCCACAGTATTTAATCTCCATAACAATGATGTGATAGTCTTTATTTAAAAGGTGCCTAAAAATAAAAGCCAAACCATATTCTCAATGAACACTGATTTAGTAATTTTTAAAATTCTAATGGAGTATGCACTAGTTCTTTAAAGTCTAATATCATAAAAATCTCCATGCTGATGAACTTTAAGATGCATGTTTTACATCCTTTCCCTGAAAAGCAGCACAAGAAAAGTAACATATGCATGCTATACAATGCCCCCTAAAGTGATTGGGGTTAATGTCCTAGAAGACGATTGTTGCTTTATCTTATTTAAGCCTCTGAGGTTTAGACTCATCCAATGATCATAAGAATATAAGCTCAGGCTTTTAGACTTGAGTCTTTAAATTAGAAATGACTTAGTGTAAAACAATGTTTTATGAAATGTGAGCTATAAGACAATAGTATCTAGAAATATTAGTATATGTTAAAACATAAAAAGTTTAGATTTTTAAATAATTGGGAAATTCTTGGTTAAACAAATTTAAATAGGATTCTTTATTAAAACACTGTAATATGCTAAGATGCTTCACAGCTCTAGATAGCATTTAAGCAATAAATATTTATCTAGTTCCTACTGTGTGCCAGGAATGGTACCATGCTTTGCTCAAAGAAACATCAACAAATCAGACATGGTTTCTGTCCTCACAAGCTTTCCAAAGTAGTGGGAAGATAGAGATTAAACAAATAAAAATGTAAATGTTTAGATAGCAGTGAATCGTAATGTACTATGGAGGGAAAGAATAAGATGCCATGAGAATGAAGAAGAGGTATCAATTTAACTGGAGGATGGATTTAGGAAATTCCTCCCACAAAAAGGGTGATCTAAACTGGAGCAAGAAGTGGGAATTAGCCAGATAAAGAGGGGCATTTAAGATCATAGAGTGAAAAAGCAAATTCAAAGTTTCAAGGCAAGAGAGAGTTTGCTATATAGGAGGAGAGAAAAGGCCAATGTGGTTAAAGTCTAGCAAACAAGAGACTCGAGATGAAGTAGGAGAAATAATTAAGGGTAAGTCCATGCAGAATCTTATAGATAATATGAATGATGATTTTTATTCTAAGTGCAAATTTTTTAAGGAGGGAACTGGTGTTTAAAATATCATTTTCCTGAAAAAGATATTTAGAATTCCTCAAATGTATTGACCATGAAAATTTATTTTAATGATAAATTTCCTGGGAAATTTTGGAAAATATTTTGGCTAATACTTTAAGAAATCCTACTCTAACCAAGGACTGTCTATCACTTAACAACTCCAATTGTAAGGGATCAAAAATAGTAAAAGAGACTTCAATCAGTTCAAATACATTTATCAGCATCAGAAATATTCAGAAGTAGGGCTGCCAACATAGATTTGCAGCTCTAAGGTTATCAGTTTCTCTCTTTTTTTTTTTTTTGAGATGGAGTCTCACTTTGTCACCCAGGCTGGAGTACAGTGGCGTGATCTTGGCTCACTGCAAGCTCTGCCTCCCGGGTTCTGGCCATTCTCTTGCCTCAGCCTCCCGAGTAGCTGGGACTACAGGCACCCACCACCACGCCTGGCTAATTTTTCTTTTTCTCACAGGGTTTTACCCTGCTAGCCAGGGTGGTCTCAATCTCCTGACCTCGTGATCCACCCACCTCGGCCTCCCAAAGTGCTGAGATTACAGGCATGAGCCACCGTGCCCGGCCCAGTTTCTCTTTATCAGTAGTTCCTATTCCTATTTTGGTTTTATTCTGAGGCTCAAAAATATAACCCCAGAATGCCAGGATTTTCCACTGTGGTTACAAGGTAGCTGAATCATCTCCTCATATGCTCCCAGACAGAATGCCAGTGAAAAAGAGAAACCTCTTTTGCAACATTTTAGAAAAATTCTATTGCCTTTTGCTACCTATCATTGAAGTGCTTGATTTGGTTTGGATTTGTGTCCCCACCCAAATCTCATGTTAAATTGTAATCCTTGATGTTAGAGGAGAGGCCTGGTAGGAGGTGACTGGATCATGGGGGTGCTTTTCCCTTTGCTGTTCTTATGGTAGTGAGTGAGTTCTCACAAGATCTGGTTGTTTACAAATATGTAGCACCTCCCCCTTCACTCTCTTCCTCCTGCTCCTGCCATGTGAGACGTGCCTGCTTTCCCTTCACCTTCCACCATGACCATAAGTTTCCTGAGGCCTCACCAGCCATGCTTCCTGTACAGCCTGCAGATCCCTAAGCCTATTAAACCCCTTTTCTTATAGATTACCCAATTTCAGGTATTTTTTTATGGCAGTGCAAGAACAGACTAATACAGTGCTCATCTGGGACCCAATCATTCATATCAAGGTATGGTACATGTTGATCAGTTTAGGCTTAAGTAACCTGTAGCCTTGTCTATTTGGATTCCCGCATATAAACCTGGGATAAATACTATAAGACGAAACAATGCTGGAGAAGTAGAGAGCAAAACTCCATTACAGATATTTTTTAATTTTACTGTTTTGAGTAATCATGTATTTCCTTTTGAAATATGAAAAGGAAATGCAATAAAGTTTCTAAAATAGCACTATCTAAAGAACTAAGTAGGGCACAAAACCAAAGTGCTTTTTGTTGCTTCTGGGTGGTTACAGAAAGTAGAAAAATTATTTAAAAATGAAGCAAGATACTTCTGTCATTACTACTACTTAATTCTTCACCCCCATCTATAACTACTACAGCGAGGTTATTCTATCTACACCAGTAAATTACTAAATAAATGAAGTTATGTGATTCATTTAAATTATTGCCTGCATCCCTACCATTTTGTGCTTCCAAATACATATACCTTTCACTGCATCAGACATATGGCTAAATTTGCTTAGACTTCTGCTAGTTTATAAGGAAACTAGAAAGGCATATGCCTTTATAAAAATACAAGTCTTAAGGATTATAAAAGGTGATTTCATGGTTAGATTCTTCGACCAGAATGTTCTCCAGTCCATTTGGGATAGTAATAAATATTGGAATTTATAAGAGGCAGTGTGTCAAACTCCTGAGCATATAAAATAAATTTTAAAAGTATAAAAGGAAAAAATGCTCTTCCATGAGATGAAAATATGGTCTGAGTGTATCAAAGTAGACTTAGTTAAATTGTGGAGCCTGAATAAAAACTACAGGTCAAGGAAAAGCTACAACCCTTACAGCATCAACTAGCAACATATTTTTAGTCTTACAGATGGTGGTTAACACTTTCGGTCATTTAAACTTTGTTCTTCATTTTATGACTGTTGTACGAAAATAGTTGGGGCCATAGCAGGGGAGGAAATTGTCAGGGAGGTTTTGTGGATGAAATGAGAATTCAGGGAATTTTTTTAAAAGGGATATGAAAGTGTGTGGCAGATAATCCTAACAGGGAGTCAAATACAGGGGCAAAACAGCTTGGCACCTAGAATCTTATTGTCCTCACCTCAAAAACAGGTTCTATTTCCCTCTAATACCAAGAAGTGTCCTGTAGCAAATTTCTTAAGGATTTTTAGACTGGTAGACAACCAAAGCCAGATGGTGTTTTCCAATTTCATTCTGGGTATCTTTCCTTCCAAACTTCCCTCTCATCTTACAGAAAGAAAACTTGATTTGCCTTTAGACATGAAGAGAAAAGAAAGTATGCTAATATTCTTTTTCTTCCTCTTTCTGTTTTTCTCCTGTCTATCCTTCTCCTACTTCTTCTTCCTCTTTTTCTTCTTTTTGATCCTTTTACACTAGGAACATAGGTATGGAAGTTTGGATGCAGGTGGGTTTAAGCATAAATATTGTATGAAGGTACTTTAAAAAAGCAATCATGGAGTATTAAAAAACTTAGCATACAATTTATATCTATTAGTTGTCCAGTGATATTTTGGGAGAGTTAATGTACAGGCATACCTCAGAGATATGACTGGTTCAGATCCATACCACTACAATAAAGCAAATATCACAAAACATGTCACATGAATATTTTTTGTTTTCCCAGTACCTATAAAAGGTATGTTTACACTCTACTGTCATCTATTAATTGTACAATAACATTATGTCTAAAAACACAATGTATATATCTTAATTTAAAAAATACTTTATTTTTAAAATTGTGAAGAATCATTTGTACCTTCAGCAAGTTCTGATGTTTTTGTTGGTAGGGGGTCTTGCCTCGATGTTGATGGCTGCTGACTGATCAGGGTGGTAGTTGCTGAAGGTGGGGGTGGGGATGGCTGTGGCGATTTCATAAAGTAAGACAACAGTGAAGTTTTCTGCATTGATTGACTCTTCCTTTCATGAAAGGTCTCTCTATAGAATGCAATGCTGTTTCATAACGTTTTACCCACAGTAGAAATTTTTCAAAATTAGAGTCAATCCTCTCAAACTCTGCCACTGCTTTATCAATGATGTTTATGTAATATTCTTAAATCCTTTGTTGCCATTTCAACAGTGTTCACAGCATCTTAACCAGGAGTAGAATCTATCTCAATAAACCATTTTTTTTGGTCATCCATTGAACCAGCTCCTCATCCATTGAAGTTTTATCATTAGATTGCAGCAATGCAGTCACATCTTCAGCTCCACTTCTAATTCTAGTTCTCTTGCTATTTCTACCACACCTGCAGTTGCTTCTTCCACCAAGGTCTTGAACTCCTCAAAATCATCCATGAGGGTTGGAATTAACTTCTTCCAAACTTGTGTTAATGTTGATATTTTGACCTCCTCCCATGAATCATGAATGTTCTTAGTGGCATCTAGAATGACAAATCCTTTCCAGAAGGTCTTCAATTTACTTTTCCCAGGTATAGCCTTACAAAAGGCTGTAAGTATATGCCAAAAAATTTACTTATAGTAAAAACTTACTATATACTCTATATTTTATAGTATATACTAAACATTTTATATTTCATAGAATAATAGTAATATAGTAGTAATTTTATAGTATATACTAAAATTTACTATTTACCATATATTTACTATTTACTTATAGTAAAAATTTACTGTAAGTAAATTTACTATACCTCTGGCAGTTATAGCCTTACAAAATTTATTTCTTAAATAATAAGACTTGAAAATCAAAATTATTTCTTAATCTATGGGTTACGGAATGGATGTTGTGTCAGCAGACATGAAAACAGCATTAATCTCCTTGTATATCTCCATCAGAGTTCTTGAGTGACCACGTGGACTGTCAATGAGCAATAATATATTGAAATAAATATTTTTTTCTGAGCAGTAGGTTTCAACAGTGGGATTAAAATATTCAGCAAGCCATGATGTTAACTGATGTGCTATTATTAAGGCTTTGTGCTATTATTAAGGCTTTGTTGGTGCCACTTGCCATTTATGGAATATAGGTAGAGTAGATTTAGCATAATTCTTAAAGGTTTTAGGATTTTTGAAATGGTAAGTGAACATTGTCTTCAGCTTGAAGTTACCAGCTACATTAGTCCCTAACAAGCTAGTAAGCTTGTTCTTTGAAGCTTTGAAGCCAGGCATTGACTTTTCTTCTCTAGCTATGAAAGTCCTGGAGGGCATCATCTTCTAATATAAGGCTATTTCATCTACATTGAAATTCTATTGTTTAGTATGGCCATTTTCATCAATGATATTACTTAAATCTGGATAACCTGCTGGAGCTTCTACATCAACACTTGCTGCTTCACCTTGCATTTTTGTGTTACGGTGATGGCTTCTTGACTTAAACCTCATGAACCAACCTCTGCTAGCTTCAAACTTTCCTTCTGTAACTTCCTCAGCTCCCCAAGCCTTCATAGAATTGGAGAGAGTAAGGGACTTGCTCTAGATTAGGTTTTGGTTTAAGGGAATGTTCAGGCTGGTTTGATCATCTATCCAGACCACTACAACTTTCTCCATATCAGCAATAAGGTTGTTTCACTTTCTTATCATTTGTATGTTCACTGGAGTAGCACTTTTAATTTCCTTCAAGAACATTTCCTGTGCATTAGAAACTTGGATAACTGTTTGGAGCAAGAGGCCTAGTTTTTGGCCTGTTTCAGCTTTCAACATGCCTTCTTCACTAAGCTTAATCATTTCTAGCTTTTAAAAAATAGTACACATGATCATTTAATACATTTATATAATTTATACGGATCAAATCATTGTACTTGGAATATCCATTACCTAAATATTTATCTTTTATTTATGCTAGAAACATTTAAATGTTTCTCTTCTAGCTACTTTGAAATGTATAAAAGTTTATTGTAAACTATAGTCATGCTACTAATCTATCCAATAATACTATGGCTTATTTCCTCTATCAAACTGTGTATTTTTAACCTGTTAATCAACTTTAACTCAAAGGGAGAGACCTGTGTCTCTTCTTTTCACTTGAACACTTAAAAGCCTTTGTAGGATTATTAATTGGCCCAATTTCAATGTTGTTGTGTCTCAGGGAAAAGTGAGGCCCAAGGACAGGCGGGACATGGGGAAGAGTCGATTGGTGGAGTAGCCAGACCACACACATTCAGCAATTAAATCTGCCATTTTATCACTGATCACAGATCACTATAACTGACACCATAATAATAAAAGTGAAGTATTATGAGAATCACCAAAATGTGACACAGAGACACAAAATGAGCATATGCTCTTGGAAAAATGGCACCAGTACATATGCTTGATGTGGGGTTGCCACAAATCTTCAATTTATAGAAAATCAGTTATTTGTGAAGCACAATAAAGCAAAGTTCAACAAAATGAGAAATGCTTGTATTCTTATAAAAGTCCAAATTTGTTTATCCCTAAATATCCATCTGTTAGTTTTTGTAAGAAAAGGGATGAGTAAATAGCTAATAATCACATGACTCTGTAAAGTATAGGAAGCATGCTTAGAAATCCTATTAGAATTATGTATTAATATAACTTTCACAATTTTTTCCTGAATCATACAAAATCCTATGCATATTATTCTATTGATGATATAAATGCTTTTAAAAATTTATCGAGATATATTAACTCAAGCAAGCCATGCATATAAATGAATAGTGGTCTATTTCTGAATAATTCCTTGAAAATAAAGTAGTATGGTATGTTTATTCTTTGTTCCAAATGATTGATACACTTTCTCTATAGAAAGTGAGATTATTAACATTTATATATATTCAGTTATTTAAATTCTGCTAAGGTGATGCTTAAGTATAAAGATATTTTTTAACATGATTTAAGCCTTCCCAATGCCATATACTGTAAATAATCAGATATTATTAAACTAACATTTATACTACAATTTTGGAAGGGTATTTTCCCACTAGGTAAATTACCATAAATCTAGTAGTTTGGAAACATGGTGCCTTATAAAAAGAGAGCAACCACAATGTTTTGCTTGGTGTCACATTTTACATTGAACACATTATCTGAGTGTTTTAATCTGCCACATTATTTTTAAAAACAGACAAACTAGAAGGGGATAATGAAAAATGTCTATTGGTATCTGGCTAAATTCACATTAAAGTAGAACTCAAGAATTCCAATTTTCTTTCCCTTAATTTGTGTTAAAATGTGGGTTTTCTCTTAAATATACAGGCCATGGGATAGACATTGCTTTTAGCTAGTCTTCCTTGGCCCCATCAAATGGTCAAATAGAACATTTGCATCTTTACCAGTTTACCTCCCCTACCTTTGGGATTCCCCATGGCAGGTTCTACACAGTTTTCTTCACAACAACTGTGAACTTCTGGCATCCCAGCCTAGACCTTGTGCTTGAATCTCTGCAGGATAACATGTAACTAATTCCTCCTACTCTCATTAAACCAGCTTCTCTACACACAAGACAAGCAAATGGATTTATCTATCTATGATCCAAGCCTCAGAGCTTTCAAACAAGCTGTTTTGGTGCCAAATCAAAGAAAACTCAGCAGAGATAAAATAGCAAACTTCCCTTGCATAATTTCTGCCCCTCCCCAGTTGCCAAATGCACTGAATCATGCTACTATTACCCAAAGCACAAAGCCTGAGGGTAAATATTAACAAGTGCTGAATTTTTCCTCTTCAATATTTCCATTGTGCATTTCTTCCTCTCCACCTTTATCATTTAAAGTGTGATTATCTCCCATCTTGATTATTATATTTTACTTTCAAAAAAATCAAATTCCAGCATCAAACAATTATTACTAATTATTGGTCTTTTCCCTTCCTTTCAGAAAACATGCCATCCTTTACTTAAGGATCTTGCAATGTTTGCAGTTACACTTTTAAATGAGCTCCACCTTTCTAAAAGTAGGCAAGATATAGCGAAGTGTGATTATACGAAGATAGGTTTGTGAAAGAAGTTATTACATCAAATTGGTCAAGAATCTTCCAACTGCAAGTGACAGATAAAAATAATACTTTCCTAAATTAAAAAAAAATCATGCATGGCTAGATCTAGATCCAGGGGCTCAAATAATATCAGCTGAACTTCTATCCATCTTTCAGTTTGGCTTCTGTGTTGGCTCAAGTCTCAGAAAGGCTTTTTTTTTTCCCTGGTGGTTGCCAAGAGTTTTAACTTACAATCTATCTTTTTAGAATTCTACCCAATGATTTAAACAAATGTCATAAAACTGTGTCTCATTGTCTTTTACTGGGATACAGGCTTATTCCTGAGCAGGGACAGGAGACCTGGGGGCTCTAGTTGGCCATATCTTGGTGACGTGCCATCCCTTGGATCTAAGGGTAGAGCCAACTCCCTAAAACCACATGGACTAGAGTGGAGAAAGGGGGACTTGAAAAAATTAGCGGACATTTTGAGAATCCCAAACCAACAAATGTGAAGTAAATATGACATGAGGAAAAATATATGGGTATGTCAATAAGGAGTATATGTGTAATATAAACAAATAATCATGAAGCTCAGTACATCATGATATAATATTGGAAATGCTTTACATTAGGCAGTAATAATTAATTATTCCTTATTTTTTTCAAATACATAATATTTAGGGCTACCTAGAGAACTATCAAAGAGTAGATGAAATAATTTTGCATCAGGCTCTCTTTATAAGTGTTTGATTTTTTTTTCCAGGAATGAGTGACTTTATTTTCTTTAGAAATGTATTCAAAAATATCCATGATTCCTCAAAGGCCCAAGCTCATTCACAGTAAGTCTCACAATGTCCAAACTCTTCACTATTATACATTTTCTGCTGTCCACTTATAAATATTTTTCAAAATAGTCACAAATAGGATACTCAGGTGCTTAATACATGCACTAATAACAAGGAACTTAATGAAACATGGGTTACAAAGATAATGAGTACAGTCTATAATTTATACCCCTTTCAGTTGTATTTTGCTGCCTCTAAGCTAACAGCGATTAAAGTTCACAGTTTCATGCAGCAGCTGCTTTTGCTGAAGTGGGGTATAATCAGCATAGTTATCATTAGGGTGCACTGAGGGACACAGCTATTCTTGTTGAAGAGCAGCACTCTAGACACAGAAACAATCTGCATTTTGTAGACAGAGAAATGGATTATGAGTGGTGATTGGTGACCAAGAAGTATCCAGATTAATATAGGAAGAAGAAGACTAATTTGTAAGTCCAGAGACTTGACTTCTGGTCATAATTTATTAATTTGCTATGTGACATTAGCTAAGCATTTCACCTATCTGGGCTTCAGTTTTCTCATTTTTAAAATGTGTATATACATGTGTGTGTGCCTTCCATTTTCTAAATTCACTTTGATGTGCTGAGATTCTATAATCTACCTGGAGGAGAGAAAAAAGGCACATAGATTAGACAAGCACTTTTGAGAACCTGGACCATTTGCATCAAGGCTAGTAGCTGTGCTCATAATAGAAGTACTATAGAAAGATACCATGCTTGGGAGAAAAATGGCATCGGCAACAACAGAAACCAGAATCTCCAAGATGACACATGCCCCAACATAAGGGGAGAGCTGAACAGAGTTGGAGAAGGCTGGGCAATTTTATGGCCACCCAAGAAATCCCTTTGCAAGAAACTAAATAGTTCCTTACTACTACTCCCCCTTCCTATTATGATGATTGTAGCCAAGGGGCTCTCTGACTTCACTTATTGAACCAGCAGTGGGCTCTTGAGCCAGAGTGGACTAGTGAAGCTTTTGATCAGGGATTTGGATTTGGCAGGTAAATAACAAGTAATTTTCTCTTAAACGGATGAACTTATAACCTCTGGGAGTTGTTAATGGTCATGACTTCTACCACATGGTCAAGAGAAGGGAGAGAAAACAGAGTAGAGAGAAGGACAAAGTGGATATTCAGAAATATGAATAGGTGAGAGACAGAGAATTCTGTTGGCTTTGAAGTTTCTCTTCCAGTTCTTCCTGAGACCAGCAGCATTCCTGTCCTTGAGTTATATAAGGCATCCTAGTATTATTTTGAATTATTATTAAGGAAGTTTTTTCTTTAGTTAATTTGAATTAGTTCTAATTAATACAAGCTGGTGGGAGACGGAACCTTTTTTTCTAGTGGTAATTTAAGCTTTTTAATATTTCCTTTAACTCTTGGTGTTGGTGTTTCTGTTGATGAATCATACAGTAGATACTAGGTACTACACGTAGATTATTTCTTTAATGCCCCCCAAAATTCTATGAAGTGGACAATATTATCTCTTTTATGCAGAAGATTAAAGTGAGGTTTAGAAAAGTTACCTAATTCACCCTGAGCTAGATGGCTATTAAGTGGTGAGGCTACTTTCTAGTGGGCTTACATTAATTGGATTCTAACTCTGATCAGTTATCTCAGGCCCATGCTTTTAATTACTATTTCATAAGATTAAATAAGGTGTGAATTGGTAGTGGGAAATTCAAGGTGAAGAGAATGTATCAAATGCTGATTTTTCCTAATATTTGCAAGTTTTCAAAAAAGGAAATCAATATTGTTCTAAGTCAAGAATGGAGACAAAAGAAGAGAGTGGTTGACTTTTAGGGGAGCTTGGTATCAAAATAAATCTATCTTGTTATGTCAGATTCTGTAATTCTAACCATTGCAGCCCTTATGGAGTTGTTTAAAAAAGGAAATTATGTAAGGGTTAGTTCATTTAGAAATGCAGTCTGTGCCTCATTTAGCTGGTATTTACAGTGCCAGAAGTCAAAAGCTACCACTTCAAGAGTTAGTGGATTCTCCCTCAATGAATTTCTCCCAGTCTGCAGGGCCTTATAACTCTTTCAAGTCTAGCTGTGTTGCCTTCACAAGTATTTTAAATGACAAACATCCAGTTGGCCACAAACACATTCTTGTACAATTCCTTCATTGATGTACTCTTAACAGTTAACCAAACTGTTAACTTACTTTTAAACAAAACGGAATATTTGAAATGTCTGACTGCTTCCTATCAGTATAAAAATGTAAGTTTGGACAACAGCTGCAATTCGTTTCAGTAAGGATTAAGTTTTGCCCAAAGAAGGGGAAAAAAGTTGTCTATAACAAGAGAAGAATAATGTTCTCAATGGAAAGAAACAAATATACCCACAGCTTTTTTAATGTTGGTTAACATAAAAATGGTTTTGAAGAATAAATGAGAAACATTCTTTCTATTAAATTCATCTTATTTCCAGATGATGAGTAGCATCAGACCATAACTATTGTAAAAGTATTAAAGAAAATGGGAGATAAGATTTGAAGTACATTACAAAAATTCAACAGCATTCACTATACAATGGTTGGTCAAACATTATAAAATGTCACAGTTGCTTTATAAAGAATGAGAAAAGTATGCCTTTGAGGTCTTTTCTCACTGAAAGCCCTTACAATTTTTCCTCATGAATGAACTAATTGGTATCTTTTCAACTGACTAACGTTATATCACAATATTAAATAGATGTAAAGGATTTTATAAGCACTCATAAACCACCACAGCAGCCTAACAACTCTCTCAAATATGCACAATATTGTACCAGTAAATATGAAGGAAGCTCCTACAGCCACTGGTCAAACTTCTTAGGGCTAATGTCTTGGCTAAGTCATGGATTACAAGGTCAATCATTGCTTTTTACATTCAGAACTGAGCATTCTCAGCCCATCTAGCAAGGATCACTTCCTTAATAGCCAACTTGTTCATTAAATCATCCAATTAGTGTTTCCGGAAGTAAAGCACATAGGATGAGAGAAGTAATTTCAGAGCCAGCTGGCCAGTGTGAATCCAGTATGAAGCCAGCTCTCCCACTTGGGCAAATGGCTTAACCATCTTGTGGTTCAGATTGATAATCATGCAAATGGAGATAAGTACTAATTCCAACCTCATAGGAACATTATAAGAAAAATATTAATAATTAGAAGACCTGTAGCATTGTAGTAAGCACTACGTAATTGTTCAATATAAAAGTAAAACTCACTCATTCGTTCCAGCAGTATTGATTATGTGCCTGCCAAAGGTTAATCACCATGGCTTGCTTGAGATAGGTAACGTACCTGCTCTCATGAAGCTTCCATTCTGGTTAGAGAAGGAAGATAATTTGAAATGTAAATAATTAAATAGACATCGTTTTTCTAGGTACTGATAAATTTTATGAAGAAAATAAACTGAATGATGAAATGGAGAAGATTTGAGGTGGGGTGGGAGCAGAATTGAACAGAGATAGTATCTTTAATATTTGAACCAGGGCCTGAGGATGAGAAGGAAATAGCCAGGAAAATCACAGAAGGGAGAGTGGGAAGAATGAGGCAGGATAATCTCGGATGTCCAGAGCTTTGTTGTGGAGGAAGGGTATAGTAAGAGGCTGAAGGGCCCAGCAAGGAACTGATGATATAAGACCTGGTAGGTCATGCTAAGAAGTTTGTGTTTTATTTTGAATTTCAATGAGAATGTATTTCTATTATGGCTTTTTTGGGTACCCAAATTTGGGTAAAGAAATTTTACTTAAACAAGCAAAAAATTTTGTTGCATGTGACCAAAAATTAGTGAAGAAAAAAATCTGGTCCAGGCAGAGCTAGATCCAGACTTTGAGTAATAATTTCAGGATAGTTTTTGTTTCTCTACATATTTACTTTCTCTCTCTCATATTTTGGTTCTACTCTCAGGCAAGCTTTTACCTTAACATGGGAAAGATGACTACTAGCATGTCCACACTAACACCTGTTTTCCATGCAAAAACAATTCCCTAGGATAACCCTTATTGTTCTACGCTATCACAAACTCACTTGGGAACCAAGAACTTTGACTCTGATCCACTGTGCCTCGTTGACTTGCCCACCCCAGAGCTAGAGGGTGGAATCAGCCTCATAAAAACCTCTCAGGAACGAACACAGATGGTGGATTTCCCGAAGAAAAGCTACAGAGCTCCAAGCAGAACAAGAGGGGATGAATTCTGTGCAGGCAATCACAAAATATTTTTATCAGATATTTGAAGAATTTTTAACAAAATAAATGATACACTCTTGGATACATTTATGAGGTACAATCTTTTTGATCCATAATTTATTCATCCAGAAATATATTTTTCTTATTATTCTATAACTCAAAGTAGATTTTCTATTTAGCTGCCAATTTTTCTGACTGCATAAAATATAATTTTAATGCCAAGTAAACTCAAATTAGGAATTTTCTCATTCATGTCAGTCCTCTCTTTTTACCTGAAATGATCTGCCATCCAGTGAGCTTTTGTAACACTATGTATTTATGAGGCTGGGTTTGAAGTATCAGGGATATGGCCCAAGCTCCTCATGTGTCCATGCTAGCATCCACTCAAATGTACCTCATCCCTACCCTACATTTTGGCATCCATCTTCACTGGCATTCTGTGGAGAGGCAAGTTCTTATTTGATGTGCGTCAGTCCGTGCACACAGGATCCTCTTGGACTCTCAGAGGAGTTGTGTTAGTCCATTCTCACACTGCTATAAAGAACTGCCCAAGACTGAGTAGTTTATAAAGAAAAGGAGTTTAATTGACTCCCAGTTCCACATGGCTGGGAGACCTCAGGAAACTTACAAGCATGGCAGAAGGGGAATCAGGCACTTCTAACATGGCGGCAAGCAAGAGAGAGCAAAGGCGGAACTGCCAAATACTTATAAAACCATCAAATCTCATGAAAATTCATGAGACAGCATGGGAGAAACTGACCCCATGATCCAATCATCTTCTACCAGGTGCCTCCCTCAACAAATGGGGATCACAATTCGAGATGAGATTTGGATGGAGACACAAAGGCAAATCATATTTGGAGTCAAACCTCTCTAGGGTATTTCTGCACCCCTTCTAAGAATTTGAGAAACTTCCTGATTCTCTGCTATATAATCAAAACTTGGAAGGCCGCATACATCCCTTCTGCCTAGACATCAAGGTATTGTGTCTTCTCTTCCACTGCCAATCGCCCCTGAGTGTGAGGCTCTCAGAAAGGCTTCCTGCCTCCTTAGGCTCACTTAGAGACTAGGCACATTTAATGTACTCTCCTATTATTCTAAACCTCTTTTAGAGTGAGGACAATCTGGAGAAGATGGCGTAAAGCCCCTACCCGACCTATACTCCTGTTGCTCTCTTCTTAGGCTTTTCTTCTCCCTCCTCAGCTTTTTCTTTTTAATTAACTTCAGGTTAGAAAAATTGACTCTCATATACATTCTTCTCATTTCTATTGTTTTTATACAATAAGTTGGATTTTGGTCAACCAAAGCTAGGCTTCAAGAACTCAAAAAACCTTGATCATATATATCTTTTGCTTAGTATTTTAAGGTCTACTTTTTGAGAATTTACTTTTTTTTCCTGTTCTGTGTGACATCCCTTCTCCAGAGCACTGAGCCCAATCCACACTAGCTGATCTCTGATTGTCCCTCTACAGATAAAACTACTGCGTGCTTATGATCCATTGTCAATCAAGTGATGGATGGTCATTGATAAGGTTAGTTTATCTGAACCTTGTTTTATAGGTGACCACTCTCATCTTGTTTATATCTTTTTCCTAAAATGGAACTTCCAAGATTTCTTCTAATCAATGAAATGACTCTAAAATTCAGTTTTTTGTTGTAAGCAACAAAAAAATCTACTCTGGCTACTTAAAGCAAAAGAGATTCACTTGGATCACACTTGAGGATTACAGAGGAATGACATTCAACAGGAATTTAGGTAGCATGTCACCACTGCAGTGATAAACAATAAGCTCTAACCGTGACTCACATGCTTTATCATTCTGGTCCAGGGAGAAAGTATCTCATTTTTCTGGCCCAGATCACAGTCTACTGACTCTGTGCGCAGGAACACGGTGAGGGAGGATCTGACCCCAAGACTGTGATAGGAAGCAGATGCTACTTCCCACTGAGACTACATATAATGAGGAAAGGACGACATCTTTGACAGAAACCAAGGAGGGATTAGGAAGGAGGAGACCTCCTAGATAGATGAAAAATGACATAGATCCACTAACAATTCTATGATTCTATATTTTATATATAATAGTGCTTCAGGCTAGAGAAATCTCTAAGGTGGTATTGAGAATATTACTGTAGCCTCTTTCTGAAGATTAATAACAGAAAAATAATCTCCATACTATTCCTTCCATTAAAAGCAAACTTCTTAGAAAATTTACTTAATGCCTTCTCCTATACAAAACTTTAGTTTTGTTATAAGGGAAAAGGACATAACATTGTTATTCGGTTCCTCTGCTGACCTGAATGGATCATTATTTTCTATTAACAAATAGAAAATAAACAAAATGTTAGACCCAACAGAAGAAACCTGACTTTGAGAAGAGTCACAAGATACAGAAAAAGTAGGGTAAGAAAGGTGAATGAAAGACAATCTGGAGAATGAGAAGGAAAAGCAGAGAATTGCATTTATAATAATGCCTTAGCAAACAGCTTTAAATAGAAAACACAAAATGAATCACTATGACAACTGGAGATCTCTCTCTCTCTCTCTCTCTCTCTCTCTCTCTCTCTCTCTCTCTCATCCTCCTTCTAAGCCTTTCTGCTTCCCTTGCTACCTCTCTCTCCCTTTCTTCTTTTATTTTTGACATCAATACCAGATCCCTGCTATCTGCTACTGGCAAAAGACTTGCAAGCTAACATCACCAATCTTGATTACACAACTCACCCAAAGTGATCACTTCAAAAGATTAAACAATTCATCAAAAATAAAAATACTACACAGAATTTCCTGCTTTTTTTTGTTTTTACTTAAAGCTTCTATAAACACCTTTACTTTCTTCTTTGTATGTAATTGTAAGCATTTCCCATACAATGCTGACTTATAGCTTTGGCTCTTTGTCATAACAACATGGTAAATAATCATAACATGCTTTGAAAATGTATAGGTTTGTGTAAATCTAAACTACGATTCTATGTAAGCTTGCCCACAAATGTGTTTTCACTAAATCTGGACTGCCTACACCCAATGGTGAGAAACATGTAGAACTCTGTTTCCCTAGCTAATGATTTCTTTAACAGAAGAGCCCTTTAGATCTTAGATGGATATAGACCAACAAATTTATTCACTCAGCTCAGTAACTATCATATAGGTATGCCATTTGATTGACTGCATTTGATAGGATAACTTAAGATATATGGCTTTTAATAAAAATAAAATATTTATATTAATATTTTATATTAAATGATAATATATTTTTAATAAAGTTAAAATTATCACCATTATCTTCAATATGTATTGAATGCTGCTTGCCAACCATGATGCCCAGCACTTTAGTTTCATTCAGTCTTGATAACCATCATATGTGATTATACATAGTTATTTATTGAGATATATATATATATGTTATCTCCATTTCAGAGGTGTCATGAATAGCTAATGAATAGTAAATGGTACACCAAGGTTTCAAACTGAACTTATTCAAGAGCCCATTAGGCATTAATTAACCCTGAAATCGATGGGCTGGAGTGTGCATTGAGCAAAGATGTTTTATCAAATTTAGTTTTGTAATCAGTACTTAAACTCATGAGACTTGTGTTAGTGCTCCATTGTTGAGTTGATTTGTTGGAAGAAGAATTTTTGCTAAGCTCACCAAGGCACCCTTAGTAGATTACCCTGTTTTACTTTCCTCACAGAACTTCTCCTATCTGAATATAAGTTGAAGACAGGAAGGACTTTGCTTATCTTGTTAGTGCTGTTTTTCCAACAACTTAGATTGCCTAACCCTTAACAAGTGCTCAATGGATATTTGTTGAATGTTGAACTTGCATGAGCCACTGGCTTGGGCACACTTGTCTTTGAGAATTTAAGGGGACAACATACAAAGACGATTAAAAATATGAGCTCATAGTCTGGCAGCCCAGGTTAAAAATGATGTAAATTTTAATTATTTATCTGTAGTCTCTTATGTTTTTCATGAAAATATAATCCTTTTGTTTGCTTTGATTTCAATGCTTATATGTTTTGTTTCATTTTTATTTTATTTTACTGGCTAGATCTTTCAGTTGAATGTTGAAGAAATAATAGCTAGAATCTGTGTCCTGTTCTTGATTTAAAAAGAAATATTTTTAAATATTGCAAAATTATAATAGTTGCTCCATATGCTATATTTTTTGGCTGATTTCTATTACTAGCTGCACTACGTATCAAATTATTGCCTCTTCACTCCAAATACACTCTTTGTTGCCTGCCTGTGTAAATGGAAATGGGCCCTTTAAGATTTTTCCTTTGACAGCTGGCATAATGTTAAACTTTGCCAGTAGTGGGTTGTAGAGAGAGACTGCAAGAGGAAAGGGTTTTCTTTCCTGACTTTGGGGTGGTAACCATGCATGCTCTTGCTCATATGGATTGTCCACTGCCCAGCCCCTACAGCACAGGCAGCTCCTCTAGCATCTGCTCTTGAAGCACTTACAGCTTCTCCAAGATCAGGAATGGGCAGCTTCCCCAATGTCCAGCTCCTATAACACAAACTGCTTCTTCAGCACTAGGCAACCAGAGGCCATGGAGAGTAGAAGCCACCAGTGAACAGCAGCTTCCACTGGCATCTCTCTCCTATTGTTTCATTGCACAGTTCTTCCAGGAAGATACTACTGTATGAACAGTTTTCCCTCAAAATCCCAGAGTAGGTTTCTTGCAACTTCCTGAGGGCAGATTTTCATCAAATTCCAGTGGCATGGCACCATAGTAACTTCTCTACCATCTCCCACTCCAAGAAGTTCTGGACCTGGAATGGGGAGAGGGTCTTCTTTGGGTACTGTATCTCAGCCCTAGTGGTAGTAGTGCATTTTATACTTGCTGTAGCTAATTCCTCACCCACTCTAATATCATGTTTTACTTAAAAAAATCTTTTTATTAAACTTTCCCTATTCATATTGCTGTATGGTTTTCCTTTCCTGATTAGAACAACACTGATATACCAGGTTAAGTCATTTTTCTTATTTTGCTAAAGGTTTTATCATAAATATCATTAATGGGCACTGAACTTAAAGTCCTTTTCTCCACAAGTTGAAATAATGATGTCTTTTAAAAAGTATGTTAATGTGGTAATGTATATTAATGTCTTTTTAATATTGAACCATCATTTCACTGCTGGAATAAATCCAATGTGGTCATGATTTTTTATGCATTGTTATCTTTGGTTTGCCAATATGTTCTTAGAACTTTTCTGTCTATGTACACACAGTTCAAGATATAATTTTCCTTTTTGTTTGTCTTTGTGTGGTATTGACGTCAGGCTTATACAAACTTCATGAAATATCTTAGAGAAAGTTAGATGATATTCTGTCATCCAATTTCCTTTCTTTTCTGGCCTTCCTTTCTCTTCTCTTGAGCAGCTGCTGTGGAACCTCCGTTCATGCTCTCCGCTTTTGCCTTAGGTCTCCATCATCTTTAATTTGAGCTATAGCAAAGCTTTCCTCCCTTACCCACAGGATTATCCAAGTTATCTTTTCAAAACATCAGTTTCAAATAGTCCCCTGTTTTCTTACATAACAATATTCCTGAAAACTTACCAAAGGCAAATATGTGCAAGCCACCAGTGAAATTACATAAGAAAAAACTCCTGGAGTACAAAAAATTGATCCAAACTTCTAATTACCTTTCACCTTTTAGATATTGTCTTAAAAGTTTGTAATTAGCATTTCACATATGTTCTTTGACTTTGTTCTCTTCATTCCTAATTACTCATGCAGTCAACAGGCTTAGGTTCAATGAGTAACAAATTGAAGGTTAACAGTCTCTATGTGATGATTTCCATCTTTATCTCAAAGTTTATTCAGTTCATGAGGTCTTCACTTCTCACCTATATCAGCACTTTATTTTCTGTTGGTATAATATAGGTAAAACGCAATAAAACATACAATTTAAAAATTTGTGCTAAGATGCTGACACACCTGCAAATTACACAGCTTGCCCTACCAACAAAAACACAGGTAAATTTAGAACATAAAAGGCAATTTGAGGGTTTTCAAGCATCATGTTTGAAAGTGAGCATTCTTTGAAAATGTTAAAATGGTCAAGGGTTCTATTTACAAAAATTTTGGTGTTTCTTCATTGCTTGAAGAGTAAATTTAAACTTCTGAACATGCCATTCAATGCTATCCCTACACCCAGCTTATTTTTCCAACTGGAATGCCCATATTTTTCATTTCCATTATCCTGTGTACCACTCACTGTTTTCAAATATACCTGGTTTCCTTGCCATCTCCATAGTCATGACATACCATTAATCTAGTTTTACCATCTCCTCTTCTCTTCTTTTTAAATCACTTAAATTTTTCCAGGTTTTTGAAGACACTAACTCCAGTATGAATTTTCTTCCTTTCCTCTTATACAGTCAATAGACTTAGGTTCACAGGACAAGTTAATTTTTCCTCTACGTTCCTAGAATACTTATTTGTTTTGAAACAGTATCATCTGATTAGAGATAACTGTACCAGTTTGGGGCACAGCATTAATCACTTCTCCTTTTCATATTTCAATTAAATGGTTTCACTCGTTATATAATTCTTCCAACAATTTCTTCTTATTCCCAGGGCCTACATTCTAGAATACTTCTGAGGGTAAAAGTTCTGCTAACCACTAACACTTATGCAATACTTACAATGTATGTTTTGTATACTTGAAGCATATGGTCATAACAGCAATTCTACTGAGTACCTATTAGTATAATGCTTATTTTATATGGCAGGATACCAAGGTACAGAAAAGTTAAGTAACTTGCTCAAGATCACACAGCAGATCTCTGTGGCTTCTATCACTCTGAGCTTTGTGGGGAGGGAAGCTGTAGGCAAAAGGTGAAGAAACTGATTGTGTGAGTTACTCTGAAAACCAGGGTGGCACAAGTACATTTGGGTCTCAGATGACATAGTGTGCCACAGAGTAAGAGACAGACTCTCTTCTCACTTCTGAGTAGGCCTCATCCCGGCTTCAGTGCAGACAGGATTTAGGGGAAGGTGGTGGCTCAAACACCTTGAGGGTGTTCCATTTGGGCAGCTCTGGAAGCCAACATTCCTAGAACATCTATTGGCCTTCTCATGACCTGCAACAGCAGTGTTGGCACAGGAAAGCTTTCAGGCTCAGAGAACGTTGCAAAGGAAAGCATTGGGGTAGTAAATACTGTTGGGGTGATTTATCTAGTAATGTCAAGAAATAACTGGGTGAAACTTGGCTAGACTGTAAATCCTCCATTATGAGGGACTGGGCAAAAAACACTAAGGTCTGCATTATTCCTATCAGTAAGAGTAAGATTCCAACAGTGCCTATGATTTTGAGAAGTCTAGAAACTGTTCGGGATACAAAAATGATCTTATCTATTCCTCCACAATTAGCTTGCAAGATATGCATTATCATTTCTACCACAGACATTTATGAAACTGAAACTTAGAGAAATAACATACTCAAAACCAGGACTCTTGTAAGTGGTAGAGCTAAGATACAAACCTAGCTATTTCTGACTGTGAAGCTCACGTTCTTTCCTCTGTACCATGCTGCCTTCCTGTAATCACGCATTTAAAAAAAAGCACTCTATCTTCTGTTTGACAAATATAGGCAAAGCATTCCTTTCTCAGTACATGGCATTTCTCATGACCTAGAAATTAGAATTCATCGATAATTTTGTAAAATAAACTCCCCAGTGAAGGGTTTTGTCCTCACCTAAGATAGATAAGCTTCGGTAAGCTGCTACAATGTGATGATTCTCAATGTGGTTTTCCTTAGAGAATGTAGGTTCAGATGTAGCGATCACTTTTAATATGTGCATAAATGTGTGTATATACCACAGCTGTTCAACTATCAGTTCATATGGTGCACAGATGAGAGGAGGCCCTCCATTTCCCACAATACACAGCCTACCTCTAAGAAGAATTAAAAAAAAATGTTTACAACAAAATGTGTTTCCCAAGACATAATATTGCCCACAAATCTGGGCATTATTCTCTTAAGACATTCTTTGAACTCCTTCCTTTATTAAAAAAAATAAAAATAAAAATAAAATAGTGTCTCAGAAGTAAGGAGAGAGGGCACTATAATATCATTAGTAGAAACACAGCCCAAGCAGGGGATTCCTTCCACATTGAACTCGAGTCCATGTATTTCAGTTCTGATGAAACTGCAAATTTGATTTTTTCTTATAGGAAATGTGATTTTGCATTAGATTTAATTTTGAGGAATTTATGATTCAGAAGAAACATTAGTTCAATACATTCCAAAGAAGGGGGAAATGCCATTGCTATAGCCAAAGTTAACAGTTTCTTTGTGAACCTGAGTTCAATTTTTTACCATTATATGTAGGTCAGGAAAGCATATTATTGATCCATTTGGACACCTCAGCCAAGGATGTGAACGTTCCCTGGGGTGAGCTAGTTTAATCTGTATTTGCTTCTGTTTTGCTCTCAGCTGGTCTGAATTGATTGGGTCAAGTTGGTGAAGTGATGGCGTCCTTCCTTCTTGGTATCTAATTCTGACCCACTGAATGTCAACAAAGTTTCAGAAGGCAACGCCCCCTTGGTGGAGCTGAGAATTTAAGTCCTCATGCTACACAATTCGTGTTTTTATTGAAATGTACAAATACAACAGATATATATGTATGTAAATGTATATTATTAAAAACCATATTCATAAGCTGGGGCAGGGGTGATGGGAGGAGAGGAGAGAAAGCTATGTCTGGGAGTCCCAAGAGTCATTCCCTCACAGTTATGCAAAAGTTTCCAAATTAATGGCCTGAAGAAAAATCATGAATATATTTTTGCCAAGAATGTTTCCCCTAGTATTTTCGTCCCAATAAATTTTCTATGTGACTTAGAAAATGAATCCATTCCTTTCTAACATCTTTAACTTATTGATGTTCATGATTTTCTACACTTTTCGAATCAAAATGTGAAATAGAACATTTGTTCCAAAAAGATGCACTTTGAGTTTTGTATTTGGGATCTAAGTAGGTTGTTTAGATTATTTGAGGTTTCTCTTTTAACAATTATGAATAAACTACTGTTCTAGCACAAATATGGATGATGAAATAAAACTTGGAAGCAAGTTCAACAATGGAATCACAATGACAACTCATAAGGGTTATACCCCATGTGAGGCCTCGGCATTTCATTGAAATGCCTGTTGTTTCTTTAACAAACCAGGTGTCACAGCTTTTGGGACTGGTATGTGCAGGCCAAGTTACTACTGAAAGTTTAGCATAGTGTTAGAATATCTTAAAAGGAAAATTTGTTGAAACATATCTTCAAGTCAGTATTAGAATCTGAAAACCTTGCAAAATGAATACTTGTCCTATTCCCTTATGAAGCAATGCATTATCTCACTATTTTCCCACTACTCTGTGCCACTCCCATCTTTAGTCAGTGAAACTTTTTGTCTTTTGAAATCCAGTTCGAAAACCACCTTCTCCACAAATTCCTCCCATATCCTCCTCTCTCTTTTAAAGTCAGTTCTCTCCTTTAAATGCCCATCTTATTTTACCTGTATCTCTCTTGAGGCAGATTTAGTCTTTATTATGGTCACTTGCCTGCATGTCTTATTTTCCCTACTTGATTCTAAAAGCTCTTAGGGTTGGGTTCATTATCTGATTCATCTCTGAATTCTTCATAGGTACTTAGTCCTGTGTACAAGCCAGGAATAATAATAAAAAGACCTAACATTTATTGCATATTTACTATGTCCCAAGCAGTCCAGAAGGCATCATTTAATTCTTTGAAAACCATACAACATAGGTACTATTATTATTTATATGAGTATGAGACCCCAAACTTCAAGAGAGTAAGTAACTAGTAAATATTCAAACCCTGGCAGTGTGACTTAAAAACAAACAAACAAACAAACAAAAAAAACAAAAAAAAAAAAAGAGAGAGAAAAGGCACAAAATTTAAAAAAAAGTTTAGCAAGTAATTGACAGGAATTACAAACCAGAGATTAAGATTATATGTTTCAATCTTCACTACAAAGACATTAAATAATCTAAACCCCACTCTCTCACCCTCTTTATTACAAAAACAACAATTCATAGTTTCTCTATTTCTACAGTTTTCTGGTCAGTTTTGTCTTAACCTGGCAGAGCCAGAATTTAAGTCCAGGGATATTAAAATCCAAAGTCCTGTATTAACCATTATGCTAGGGCTTTCTCACCCTTTCAGGTTTATCCTAAACTTCTGTTGTGGCCATTTCCATCGTGTTGTTCTGTTGCCCTATTGACCAAGGGCTAGTGCCTCCACCTTTAAAGCCTGCCATATATTCTTAGGCTTCTCATTTCTTCCTCCAGCCTCCTGTTTCCAAGGTCAAGGCAAGTCATCATTTTCATTCTTTCTTTGTAGGTCAAACATTTATACCTTGTAACTTTCTTGTTGCTCCTCTCTTTGCCCTTTTCAAGTTATATACTTGATTTTAATATTAAGTGACCACCTTGAATTATTCAATTGTTGATCTAATAATTGTCCTGTGCCTTTTTTTTCTGACCACAATATTGACATGATGACACAGGCCGAATTGTTTACTCCACTGTCATGTGCATGAATACAAAAAAAACAAAGGAGCAGGTGAGAGTAGGGGAACTACCTGCCAGCTGGAACTTTAGAAAAGAATGATGTTCTGTAACCTCTGGAGCCATTGAGCACAATTGAACCTTGTCTATTTTTGGCAATATATAAAGGATAGATGTAATATTGTGGCTTCCCCCTCCGCCCCCTCCACTTTGGGGATATATGGAACTAATCTAGTGCATAATGGTAAGCAGGCTAGTAATCTTGGTTGCATGGAACTTTGGGTTAGAGTGCAACTTAGAACTATTTTTGGCATTTTCCTCCTATCAAGATTCATATTGATACAGCAATCCTGGACACATCTTTTCTATATTCCAGTGTTTCTGTGCTTGTTCTGTATAAACAGCATGACATAATTTTTCTTATACACATGGGTTATAGATTTTATGATATGATTATGTTGAGCTTTAGTATCTATGTTTTCTTAAGTTAGCCTCTGTCAAAATACCTAGGTATAATTAAGAATTTTAACATTTGTTTGCACATACTATACAATAGTCTTTCCTTCCCCCTACTTGTACAGGTTTTTCTCTTTCATATAAATTCCCCTAACAGAAAAAATATATATACACACACACACTAATGATAAAACACAATGTAACCCTTGTCATTACAATTATTATTACTCATTTAGGCAGAGAAATCGTCTTATCACAAGCATTGTTTTGTGACTTTTCGATTTTGAAAATTCAATTTGGCAAATTTGGTGACAAGTTTCCATAAAAGATTCACCGAATTATGTACTAAAGTCTATCTTTAATAGGCTGTTATCTTCAATCCATGTATAATTTAAATACACTCTGCATTTCCTTCTTTTGGTTTCAACTGTGTGTCTGAGCCTCAATGTTGCTCTACCTGAGAGCACTCTTCAAACTTTAACGTGCACACGAATCATCGAGGGATCTCATTAACAGCCACATTCCTAGCAGTTCTGAGAGGAGGGCCAGAGATTCTGCATTTCTACCAAGGTATCAAATGAAGCTGATGTTGCTGGTCTGTGGAAAACTCTTTGAATAGAAAACACCTTTATGCATAATAAGTTCTCAGTTAAACCAGTGGAAGAGGTATGCCTGATTCTTCTCTTTTCCTAAATGCAAAATAAATCAGTCATTCATTTAACAAATATTTACTGAACTCCACTCTGTACCAGATAAATCAAGTGTTCTCCTTTACATTGCAGATCCATCTACTTTTTTTCATTTCCACTGATTCTACTAGCCAACTTTATGCTACTATTCTTGTGCTTTGGAACTTTTGCAATAGCTGCTGAATGCATCTCTCTACGTACATCTTTGTTTTCTCTTCAATTCATTTTTTAAAATAGCAAAAAAATTGATCTTTAAAAATACATAGCATTCTGATGTATCGAATACATCAAACTTTCCCATTGACTCTTAAGATAAATTTCAAATTTTTTACATAAAAATTTTTGAAAGATCCTGCTTACATTAATACCTTCCTCTCCCTTTACCCTCCCCCTTGCTTTTGAGCTTCCAGCCACTTTGGCTCTTTTAGTTATTCAACTTGCTAAGCTTTTTCCCATCTCATGTCTTTCACACATGCTGTTTCTTTCCCTAGAATGCTCTGTATCTAATATTATCCACACTTCGTATTTCAGATTAACATCACTTCCTCAAAAAATTTTTCTTTGATTTTACAAACTAAGTCAGGATATCCTGTTATAAGCTCTTTTAGTGCCACTTATTTTCATTTGAGGGAAACTTTTCATAGACATAATTATATCATTAAATATGAAAATCAATCTACTTCCTTTGATAATTAGTTGTACGAAGGCATGGCTCTTTTCTCTTTTAAATTTCTTTTTAAAAATTTTTATTTATTTATTAATTTATTTGAGACAGGGTCTTGCTCTGTCACCCAGGCTGGAATGTAGTGGTGTGATCTTGGGTCACTGCAACCTCCGCCTCACAGGCTCAAGTGATCCACCCACCTCAGACTCCTGAGTAGCTGTGACCATAGGCACATGCCAACACAACATGCTAATTTTTTGTATTTTTGGTAAAGATGGGGTTTCATCATGTTGCCCAGGCTGGTCTCGAACTCCTGAACTCAAGGGATCTGTCCACCTCAGCCTCCCAAAATGCTGGGATTACAGATGTGAGCCACCATACCCAGCTTTTTAATTCCTATATGCCTAGTGCTTAGCATAGTGCCTGGGACATAGTAGGAAATGAATGATTTTAAAAATGGAAAGGGAATATTCTAGTTCATCTGAATCCCTCTGTTAAAAACAGAAGTAGTTTACCAATTTTTAAATAACTAGGCTATTAAAAACACACATGATTAAAATGTGCTCCAGTTTCTTAGATGTGTTAATGAGGTGTTTCAGCATCTTCCAGTTCTTCCACACCATTTATATGGTATCCATTTTTCTCTGAAATTCATGAGATGATTAATAGAGAACTTAAATTATTTGCATATTAAAAAACCCCTGCTGCATATGTATTTGAGAAGTGTTTAATATATTGCCACATACAACCTTCTACTGCTTCATAAATTGTTTCTGATGACACATAGCTTTTGTATATGGTGAATAATTATATTTGTTTAAGAATGCTTTGTCAAAAAGGAAGATGAATTTTCAGGAACAGTATCCCAGGAAACCCTTGTAATTTTATTATTTCGGTATTCTCGAATGGATGGCTTCATCCTTTATCTAGTTGACAAATTTCTTTTCTAATCATTTGTCAAAATATATTTCAAATCTATTTCTTAAAGTTCTGCCATCACTTTGGGACATAAAAGGAAAAGAAATGCAGGAATGCCTGACAATGGATGGCCCTTGAGCCTGCATGTCCCACTACTTTGGACCACAGGTCTAAGAGTTCTCTATGATTTCTTTAGAAAACATTATTTTATAAATATTTTTCAAGGTCTGGAAAGTTATCCTCAACTTTCTGAAATGAGTGGAGAAGCAAAAGTAATTTTGGAAAGTCCATGAGTTCTTCATTGCATAGGAAACAGGAAAATAATGCAAATTGGTGAACTGAAGTGATTCAGTTCGTGGCGTGTTTAACGTATTTTCAGAAGGCTGCTATTATTGTGTGACCCAAGAAGATCATAGGCAAAGACCTCAGTCCTCCCCAGGAGGACACATTGTGTATCTCCAAAGTGGTGATTCAGCTTTATTTTGAGCCCTGAGTGAAGTGGGGAGCATTATTCTCCTCAGGTCCACAGTGGGCTCCAGGCCAGCAGCAGCTGTCAACTCAGCAGGGTTTCAGCTCTCTGCTCAATGCAGATTGACTTGGAGCCCTTGGCAGGGACAAGTGAGAGACGAGTGAGTGCTTACGGGAAAAAGCTTAAGTTGTCTGTTCCCTCTTCATTGCTGATGTTTTACAATCCAAGTTCTACAGTAAACATCAGGAAAAAGCTGCTCCATCCTCAGTAGAAGTGCAAACATCTATTCTCACCAGCACATTACATCAATACAGCTTAACTGAAGGTCACTGAACTCCTGAACCAACCAACAAGGTGACGGTAGGCATTTTGTCCCCACGGAGGGCATCTGACTAAGGATGACTGCAGGGTTATTCTCGGCTGCATTCTTGCTCTGATTCTTAATGTTACTCACCTTCTCACATGTATGTCTCTAATCTTACACTGTTCTCAATGATTTCATACTATGAATATAATAAGCATTCGTTTTACTGTCTTTTGCCTTTTTCTAACAAATCTTATCCTAATTTTTGTCTTTTTAGTTAACAATTTAATGCATTTAAGATGTTTAAAATTTATCTTCTAGCAATACTCAATTTCCCAAATTACAGACAGGGTAAATAGCTAAGGTAACTAGCAGGAGTGCATCCAGAGACTCTATTAGTCCCTCTAGAGTATCTGAAGACTTGTTTTTGTGGTATTTTGGCTATTTCCCTCTGATTTTCATTTTCTTCTTGAAGTCAGACCTCATTGTTGCATCCCCAAAGGGTCCAGGGATACACTTAAGAACAATTTCATATTGTCCACATAGATTCTGGGGAAAACCACAGGGTTTAGAAAGAGTCACAGGAAATAAGCAACTTCTCACCCTAATTCTAATACTCTCATCTTCTTCACCATCTACATGAACCTCTCTCCTTCTTCCATCTTTTTTCATTGATGGATAATATTTGTACATATTTATGGGTTGCATGTAACATTTTGTTACATGTATAGAATGTAATGATCAAGTCAGGATATTAATCATATCCATCACCATTAGCATGTATTATTTCTATGTGTTGAGAACATTTCAAGCCCTCACTTATAGCTATTTTGAAATATATAACACATTGTTGTTAACTATATTCACCCAACTCTATTATTGAGCATCACAATTTTTTTCTTCTATTGAACTGTATGTTTGTACCCATTAACCAAACTATATTCTCCATCTTCCCACACACATACCCACATACTTGCCAGCCCCCGGTAACTGTCATTCTACTCTCTACCTCCATGAGATCCACTTTGTTAGCTCCCACATGAGTGAGTACATGCAATATTTGTCTTTCTGTATCTGGCTGATTTCACTGAACATAATGACCTCTAATTCCCTTCATGTTGCTGCAAATAACATGGTTTCTTTTTTTTATGACTAAGTCATATTTCATTCTATAAATATACCACATTTTCTTTATTCATCCGTTGATGGACACTTAGGTTAATTACATATCTTTGCTATTGTGAATAGTGCTGCAATAAACATGGGGTATGTGTATCCCTTTGATATACAGATTTCCTTTCCTTTGTGTACTCAGTAGTGAGACTGCTGCATTGTAAGGTAGTTCTAGTTTTATTTTATTGAGAAGTCTCTATACTATTTTCCATAATGGCTGTACTAATTTTGCATTTTCACCAATAGTGTATAAGTTCCCTTTTCTCTGCATTTTTGACAGCATTTGTTATATTTTCATCTTTTTGATAATAGTCCTTGACCTAAAACTAAAAAATTACTAGAAGAAAACACGAGAGAAATATTCTAGGACATTTATATAGGCAAAGATTTTATAAGTAAGTCCCCAAAAGCACAGACCAAAAAAAAAAAAAAAGACAAATGGGACCATATTAAACTAAAATGCTTTTGCACAGCAAAGGAAACAATTAACAGCGTGAAGAAACAGCCTGTTAAATGATAGAAAATGTTTGCAAAATATTCATCAGACAAGGGATTAATAGTAATAGCCAGAATACGCAAGGAACTCAAAAGCAAAAAACCAAACAACCCCATTAAAAAGTGGGCAAAGGATCCATATAGACATTTCTCAAAGGAAAATATACAAATGGCCAAAAGGTATATGAAAAATGTTCAACATCACTAATCATCAGGAAGATGCAAATCAAAACCGCAATATAGTGTTACCCCCGTTAGAATGGCTAATTACCCTCCTTCTATCTTTCCATTTCACTATAAAAACTTTTCATTCTTCTATTATTTAATAACATTATTCTGAGGCTTATGTTGCAGGTGGGCTAGGCAGTAGGGAAACAATAATAAATGAGACAGAACTTTTCCCTGCCCAGCTACATTCTGGTGAGGAAAACCAACAGTAAACAAGTGAACAGTAATAACCAGGAGAGTAAAGGGTTGCTGTTACAGATAGTAATGGAGACCAGTTCCTTTCTACGTAAAATATAAACACTTTACCTAGTGTTCAGGAAGACCTTCAAGAGTTGTATTTAGGCAGAGATCTGAAGAATAAGACCACTTCAAACATGCAAAGAACCTGAGGGAAAACATTTCAGGCAGAGAGAAAGGGCAGGATCAGGAAAGAGCTTGTGTGCTTTTGAAAAGACCTTTCGAAATCCAGTGTAGCTGTGGGATAGCAGAGTTTCACCGATTGAGCTTGGTGAGTGAGACTGAGGACAGATCACATGAGAACCCTGGAGGTATAGCAAACTCCTGAAGAACAATCTAGGCTCTTTGGGTGGAGTGACCTTGTGAGAACTGTAGTAATTGACTCTGAAACCCAAGTGATAATTCCAGGAAAATCACTGGCTTGGTAGATTATGTATAGACAAAATTGGCCTGGACCTGGGGTGGGGGTGAGGGTGAGGAAAGAAACTCAGGAAGTCCATTCTCATGACTATTGTTCACAGAGAAGTATCCAGAAGAATCAGCTTTTGCATTTTCAAGAGAACATTGTGGAACGTAATGTATACATTATGTATCTCCTAGCACCGGGAGAATGTCTCACCTTTTATTTCCAGTCCATACTTCTACCCACTCACTGGGTGATATGCTTATCTGTGCATTTAAGATCTATTTATCAGTCATCCAGGTTGACAGGGAAATGGAAAATTTTAGGGAAATTTAACTAAGCCCAGCCTACTTGAATTCAAACTAAAACCACCTCAGGAAATTTCTTTTAGTTTTTCATTTTCATGGTTATTTTCTACATGGATGTCTATTGAATTTGGACTTTGTACAATATTCCACATCTGTTAGTGTTTTACTTTTTTTTCATTATTAATATGCTTTCATCACCTCCCTTGTTGCATTTTAAAATGTAATCATTTGATTCCTAACCACCCCTCTCCAGTTGATTTTTGTTTGAGGATTACTATCAAGCTGTAAACTTCTGATACTTTGGTAATTGTTTTAGAAATTTAAAAT
This sequence comes from Homo sapiens, assembly GCF_000001405.40. NCBI lineage: Eukaryota > Metazoa > Chordata > Mammalia > Primates > Hominidae > Homo > Homo sapiens. The sequence continues at coordinate 107,163,560 of NC_000008.11, forward strand.
ACAAATGCACTTTCTGCATTATTTTCCAACAAAGCATTTTTAAAAACTTAACTTCAAATGAAAAGTTTAACTGGCTTCTTTGAATAACAGGTTGAGCCATAGGTGAAATAATATCTTATTATTATTTGTATTTCTGTATTTCAGAGCATGTGACTCTGTGGAGACCTAGGAAGAGTTACGAATACTGGCCCCAGAGGGTGGAATAACACATGTTCTATGTCTTAGTATGAGGAACAGATCAAGCAAGTAAACTATTCCCAGACCTTTATTACATAGCTCAGGTCTGGAATGATTATTGTGCTTCTGGCAAGACACAAAGGTGGAAAACAGACATTTAAGTAGAGTTAACATTAAAGGAATTATTGCATTCTTTTCTGAACATAATCACCTGTAACCGAAAAAGCAATGGTTCCACATGTCATGTTCTTTATTGATTTCTGTTAGATGTTGGTACTTGTTTGACCTGAGTATAGATGTCGGAGGTTGCTAACATAGAGATAATTGAGAACTTAATACAAGTATACTTGGTTTGCCAAGTGGCTATTGATAAGAATAGAGGAGTATATTTAGAGCAGGGAGGGGTCCCCAACCCTGAGGCCGTGGTCCAGAGACGGTTCGTGGCCTGTTAGGAACCAGACTGCACAGCAGGAGGTGAGTGTTGGGTGAGAGAGCATTACTGCCTGAGCTCCACCTCCTGTCAGATCAGCGGTGGCATTCGATTCTCATAGGAGCGCAAACCCTATTGTGAACTGTGCATGTGAGGGATGTAGGTTGCATGCTCCTTTTGAGAGCTAATGCCTGATGACCTGAGGTGGAACTGTTTCATCCCAAAACCGTCCCCTCTGCCACCTGTCCCTCCATAGAAAACTTGTCTTCCATGAAACCAGCTCCTGGTGCAAAAAAGGTTGGGGACGGCTGATTTAGAGTATATAAAAGCTAGTATTTCAAAAAACATAAATAGCATGCTTGTGTTAAAATACATAAAATCATGCCCTCCCTCTAACACCTATATAATTTTAAATAAATTGACATCTATTTTGTTCTCTTAGTGCAAATTTGTGGAAATAATTTTGTTTAATCACTTTGTCATATATATTTCTGAATACGTGTTGTAAACCTCTTTCTCAAGACATTTCTTAATCTGAAGTCCCTATTTTCGAGCTACCATCTTAATATCTCATTATTATTATTCTTCATTAACACTTTATTTCTCTTATTGAGACTACCTGGATTTTCTGAATATATTGTTATTGTCTAGGAAGAATTTTTCCATTATACAGCATGAGAGTCCTTTGATTAATATAGCTTTTACAAAATTCAAAAAATTAGTAATTGGACCAAGGCTAGTTCCAGAAAATACCTTTTTTTGGCTGAATACAACCAATATGCACCAAGCAGTGCATTGCCCAGACTGGAGTGCAGTGGAGCGATCTTGGCTCATTGCAACCTCCACCTCCTGGGTTCAAGCAATTCCCCTGCCTCAGCCTCCCAAGTAGCTGGGATTACAGGCTCCCGCCACCACACCCAGCTAATTTTTTGTATTTTTACTAGAGACAAGGTTTCACCCTATTAGCCATGCTGGTCTTGAACTCCTGACCTCAGGTGACCCGCCCACCTCTGCCTCCCAGATTGCTGGGATTACAGGCGTTAGCCACCGCACCTGGCCCATCCTCCATCTTTTAGCATAAAACATAGCTATCTACAAGAGACAGATACTCAGAACTCCAAAGAGAAAAATCACAAACAACTCTATTCATAAAGCTCTCTGGGCTTTGATAATACAATGTGTGATAATGGGAAAGAATAAAAATAGTTATCCTACCTTTCCTGTATGAATTTTATCTTAAAAGTATCCAAATAGCTTGTGAAGGAAAGTTTTTATTTATTAACTAATTCAGGCTAGTAAATTCAAGAAACGAATTTAGAAAATCGCCTAAAACGATTCTTGCAAAAACAGAAGTGTAACTCAGGCCAAAGTGTCAAGGTATTTTATCTAGTTAATAACAATAATAATAATAAAATCCTGTATACAGAATTTCAAACACTACTCCAAGGTCTCCTTTAAATAAGGATGGAAATTTAGACACAGAGAGGTAAAAGAACCTGGCCATTGTCATGCAGGAAGCAAGTGGCTTTATCCATACATACCATTATCAGAAGCTAAGTCTTGAATGCTGGTCTCTTGTCACTCTTAAGATATCAGACTGTGATTCTGGTGCTTTTTCTATGACACTCAAAGTAGAATGTCCTTGGAACGTCCCTGAGGATCTACCAGGGAAACAAAGGCAATGAGCCATCAAATAGCTGTTGTTTTTACTTTTATTTTGCTGGAAGGAGCCTGAAAATGAAATAGCGAGTGAAGACTCTGAGGCCTCTCTCCACAGATTGAAGTTTAGGGAAGTCCATGTCTGCAGTGGTCAGGTTCATCGATTGTCCCGTCAGTTTTAAGAAAAAACTTTGGTTCTCCATAATTAGTGGACCTGTGGGAAGAAGGACTCGGCCACAGATTCTTCCCCAGCCTTTTCCATAACTCTGTGGCTTACTGGTCAGAAAGAAGGAAAAGTATGAGGAAAACAAACGGAAACGGACCTTCTTTGCGCATTGGCTCTCGGCCTGCTCAATCAGCGGGCTGGACGCGGAGGCAACTTCCTTACTGTGTGCGGACTTCTGCGGAGTTCTGCGGCCTTCTGCGGAGTTCTGCGGCCTTCTGCGGAGTTCTGCGGCCTTCTGCGGACTTCTGCCTGGGGAAGTTGGGAAATATGTATTGTCGAATGAGGCCCTGGGAGATTATCCTTGGAAGCAACAACCTCTGAACCTGTGTGTTGATTGAAAATCTCTTACAGCCAGAGTTTCACAAACTTGATGCGATTGCCCCCTCCCAACACAAAAATTATTGGGGAACAGAAAAAAAATCATTAAGTTTTGAAATCCAATCGTATGAGTGTGGTTTCTTCTCAAGATAATTTATCTCTGGAGCACTGAGTTAGGGAAGTATGGAAATAGGGGATAAACTGTAAGACACTCTGCTGCTTTTTAGGGTTTTGTGAACCATTAAAATGTTAAAATAGTGTTATCTATTTACTCATAACTCATTCAACAGTGGTTTTTGAGCTCTTTCTACATGCAGAGCCATGGAATGGTTACGGGAAGGGATACAAAAATGGGAAAAAAAAAAAAAAGCATGATCCTTCAACTTAAGGAGCTGACACAATTTACCATCTTCTTAAACATTTATAAGAATAAATATTTGATATAACTATTACTTTAAGAGTTCAGTCTTTCTTGAAATATATGTAGCCATTCAAATATCATTTCGTCTCTCTTTCTCTCCCTAAGTTAGTGTCCTATGTTAGTGTCCTATGATAGTTAATATCTGATGTTAGTCTGAGCACATGAAGAATGGAGTATGGCACACATAACCTTCAGTTAATGGGAAGGGCCCGGGTCCTGAGGCTCCATGCTGTGACCAGCTCTAGGACAACATCCTTCCTCCAGCTGGTGATGCTAGTTGTCTTGCCATTTGCCACTGAAGCCTGTAGCTGACAAAATATCTGAATGGAGTCTTTCTCAGCGTGGTCAAGGCTGAGTAGTCTGCCCTGGGAAATGAGACTTGCATTGGCTTCTGCTGTGTTCAGACCCTGAAGGGGTCTGACTCCATGAAACTTCAGACTTGTCCTCTGCTCAGCAACCCCTGGTACGAGTCCTCTTGTCAAACTAGTGTGACAACCTCCCCAGCCACAATCTCAGTTGCTTTAAAACTCAGAGTGGTTGCAGAAAATTAACCTCTGAGGCATTCCTCCGTCTGACTGCCACGTGGTGCCTGGGTGCGTGGCCACATCCTGGCTTTGTGACTGTGGGATTTTTCAGAGGTAGCCTCTTTCTAGAGGCCTTCATGTGGAACAGGCATAGCTTTTCTCTGCCTTCAGCGTTTCCCTCACCCTTTTGAAATGTTCTCTCTTCTCCTCCTCAGAGAGGATATCCGTCTCACACTCTTGTTTTTCTCTTCTCTTCTCCTTCCCACAAATTCCTAGACCTGAAAAGTGTTGATCATTTCTTTTATTTCTCTCAAATCACATCTTCTCTTTATATTCAATTAACCCAGATGGAACATGTTCTCCACACCACAGTGTGTTCCTAGGCTTACTCGTTATAATCTAAAAGGGGGATAAAACCTCCATGGAATCTGAAAATTCTCTGCTCTTAACAATAGCCTGTTTTGATCTTAGAGGTTGAGTATTACTTTGCTTTTCTCTTTATAATATCCAAATGTCCCCTGAGGCTAATGGATGCTTCGGGTAAGTGAATTTTGTATTCAGAAAAGCAAAAGGAAAAACATATAATAATATGTAAGGCATCATCTTGTTTATATTTATTATGCTGATCATTTGGGCTTGTCTTTCTGCCAGAGGTCCAAAGGACTCAGGACTAAATCCTCATTCAGCACTAAAGAAATAAGTGAAACCTAGTCTAATTTTCAGTGTAACCTTCGTGAAACAGTGAGACCATAAACTTTCAGGAGTTTCTAGCAATGATGAGAAATAGTGCCAGAAGTTTCTAGAAATGACAGAAGCTACTCTAGGTGCAGTCAGTAGAGCCCTTGATGTAAGTAATCAATTGTCTCAAGACAGCTATGGCAGATTGGCAATACCTCCCTTTGGTGCCTGTCAGTTCCTGGCCAGCCCCAGCAGGAATGGAGATGAGAATGCAGGAGAGTTGCTTCTTTAGGTTGCTTAGACAGAGAATCGATGAAAGAGGAGGAAAAATGGAAGAGGTCAAGAGTCCTAGTCCATGAAGCACATGGGAGATAGTCTGTAGGAGATTTCTGGAACTTTTCTGGAAGCATGTGAGAGAGTCTAAGTTTCTTAAGCATCAGTGGCAGCTTACAGAATGGTGAGGAAGACAACCTGGAACATTTCAAGATTTCTAAGCTTTTATTTCCCCTTTCCCTCTGTTAGGACCTGGGAAAATTCCCATTTTGGGTCAAAATGGAAATGGCTAGAACCATGTAATTACTACTGATTTAATTTCTTATTTTATATTGCTGATTTAGTCTCGTTATTTAGGAATTTAAGTATTGTTGTTTTTTCCATTTGTAAGCATCACAGCATTCATAGATCATTTGATTCTGAAACCCAGCTGGTTTCTGGGTACTGATGACTGCTTTTTAGAGTTATTAACACAAGTGATGCTAAAATAGAACTTTTGTACCTCTCTCTGCCTAGAAACCCCCTTTTTCCTAGTTTGTACATGTTTAGCTTCTACTTATTCTATTTCACCAATTCTCAAATCCAACCCCCCATACTTAAATTAGGCCCCTAATATACTTTCTCATTTCATTCTGTATTTTTCTTACTTAGCACTTAACTTGATTTGTAATTATATATTTGTGGGTTTTTTTTTTTTTGAAACTACAGTTCATTTTTCAGAGAGCTAAAGAAGAGAGGGATAAAGAGATGATTGTCACAGATGGCAAGCGGGGGCCAGGAACCTGAGAACACACACAAAGGGAATGCTGAACACAAACACCTCTGGCCATGCACACAGCACCTGCTTCTTGGGTTTTACACTGGATGGCCCCAAGTCATCCTCAGCCTTCCTCCTCTGCCCCACCAAGAGCTCTTATTAATGATCCTTACTTCCCTACTCAACTTCCAATTTATTCTTCTTCACTTTCTATTGTGCCTTCTCTGGCATCCTCTGTCTGAGCCCCAGCCCTAGAAAATTAGATTGTAAAGACATTTCCCTCCATTTTCCAGCTGGATGGGAAGGGACAGATTTTGAAGGAGGTAGTGGAAGGAATAAGTCACTGAAGAGCTAAAGTATAGCAAACGTGCTGTGTACATTAAAAAAATAATATGGTCATGAGGATCTAAAGTAGTAGAAAAATGAGAGTCAGTGGATGTAAAAACATGCCTTATGGTATGCAATGGCTTGGGAATTGAACCCTGGCCACTCTCACTCTAAGGTGCATGATACTCCTGTAACACCCAGCTGCCTGGTGCTCACAGCTCAGCATCATGATTGACCTAAATTCAAATCCATTCCTGACATTGCAGTCATGAACTAGGCTCCTTAAGTTGGTTCTTTTATGACGAAGTTCCTATTTCAATGATTTTCAGCATTCCATCATTTTTTATTTGCCCCAACATACCTTCACAACAAGATGCTTTTCTATCAGTAAGAGTGCATGTTATGGTAGAGTGGAGGCTGGATGGAGGTAGAGTTACATACTTTGCATATGGACTGCCTTTACTCTGATCAGTTTCTGATATGTGCTGCCAAGGGGGAGTTCTCCCTTCTCATTTTTGAGAATCCTTTTCAGATCAGAAGGAGGGTCACTTGTGCTGCAATCCTTGCTTTGTGAGCCCCTCCAATGTCTCAGTTTCTTGAGACCAGGACCCACAGATGTGTCAGAGATTTATTCCTGAACATACCTCCCCTGGTACTGTAGTAGGACGAATTGCAGACAAAACTCGTCAAACGGGTTAAAGAAGGAAGAAGCTTTATTCGGCCAGGAGCTTCGGCAGACTTGTTTCAAAAGCTAAGCTCCCCGAGTGAGCAATTCCTGTCCCTTTTAAGGGCTTACAACTCTAAGGGGGTCCGCATGAGAGGGTCGTGATCGATTGAGAAAGCAGGGGGTACGTGACTGAGAGCTGCATGCACTGGTAATTAGAACAGAACAGAACAGGACAGGGATTTTCACAATGCTTTTCCATACAATGTCTGGAATCTACAGACAACACAAGCAGTTAGGTCAGGGGTTGATTTTTAACTACCAGGCCCAGGGTGCACACTGGGCTATCTGCCTGTGGATTTCATTTCTGCCTTTTAGTTTTTACTTCTTTCTTTAGAGGCAGAAACTGGGCATGAGGGGTGGTCTCCTCCCTTAGTATATGCTACAGCTGCACCTCCCAGGTCCCGACTTCCCAGGTATCTTCCTTAACTTCTCTGTGTTGCTGGCTGCCCATTCTTTTCCAGCACCATTCCCATGTCCTGCCACACCTCTCCTCTTCTAACCCCAGCACTCTCCAGCACCACACTTTCTTCACTGACTGGAATGTCTGCCAGCTGTTTACCATGAGTCTTTGGCACATCTGTGTAGAACTCCTACTCTTTATTCATACTCAAATAAGTCCCCAGAGGACATCCTTGTGGTCTGTCTGGTGTCTGGGTCTCCATCATTCTAACTTGACTGCCATGTCTGGGTCTTCCCACCACATAGATCCACACAATTATCTTTTGTTCTTTATTGTTAACTTGAACTACTTTTAATAGCTTTGTCATGGATGAATGAACTTTTAAAAAGGGAAATGTGTCTTCCTTATATACATTTTTATACGAATTCTTGTTTTATAGTCCCTGAATGAGTTGATTTTTTCAGGAAAACACAATAGAGCACAGATGTGTGGGCCAAGGGTGCTTGCTACATAATATTCTGTAAAGGAGGCTTTCAGGCCTATGAATATTCATAACCAAAGATGGACATGTTTCCCATTTAGAGGGCTTAATATATATATATATTTGGTCAGATTTGTCAAAAGTTGGATTTATAAATTAAATCTGTGAACTATTTACTTAAAAATATCACTAGCAAAATGCATGAATGTATAATAAAGCCATGAAACCACTTAACTAAAAACATTGAACCTTTTAAACGTAAACTTTCTTCACTAGGTTGGGGCCTGCTGGCTCATATTCTTGCCCAGAGGAATTTCTATTGTTTTTTTCCTCTGAGCCATTGAGAATAACAATGGCAAGAATGTGTTGACATGGCATGGTGTGTTGTGGTGCTACTGGGTGGGACCTTTGTCACATATCCATTTTGTAAAATTCACTGAAGGAAAAAATGCTGCAACATGAATTTCTATTCCTTCTGGTAACTGTGGCCATAGCAATTGCCTGAGACAAAATGGGCAATTGACTTCCTTTTCCCCAAAGTGGACATAAGCTAACAACATACTCTGGGGATGTAAACATTAGCTACTGTGTTTTATATTTTTTGATCTTCCAAGGTTTTTGCTTATGATGGGAAGACTCACACAGGGGCAGATAATAGTGGGCAAAACATTTTCAATTAGTAACAAAGTACATTCAGATTTTCACATGAAGAGGTTTTGAATACCTGAAACTTTGGAGTATCATTTCCCGGCTAATACTGGCATCTATCCATCTATCTATCTATCTATCTATAGATATATGCCCATATAGATATATGCAGATATAGATATAGAAATAGATATATTCAAATTCCAGTAAAATGATAGGGTCATACAAATATATTCAGTTGACTGTGCTGTTTCAGAGAAGTTCAGGATAAGGTCACATATGAAAAGTGAGCCTGAGCTGCATTCTGGAGAAAACGCCAGTTTGGAATTTCCATTTTTAAGACACCCCTCCCCGCCAGCCAATAAAATATAGGTTATATGATTCCAGAGCTTTCAGTTAGAAAGGTTTCCTTTCAGGGCAGAAGGAAAAAACTGCAAGTTATTATAGACCACGGTATATATTTAGGGAGAATGGGTAGTAACACATAATTTCGACTTATTTCTGGACTCAATTAATGTGATTCCATATTATTTCAGACCATAGAGCAAAATTATCTGATAGAAGCTGATTCCTTTCCCAAATGAACTGGACTGTCATTTACTTTGATCAGTATTTTCTATTGGAACTACTACCAGCCAGATATTTTAAGAAAATAAAATCACATTTGTCTAATCCTATTGCAAATTAATAATACAAATAACAACTTAATAACACAAACTTGCAGGATATGTGCCTGTGCTTTCATTTTCCTGTTAGTTGGGTTTTGGTTGATAAGGGGGGATTGCCCATTAGCAGTTATCTGTCTGCACAGCCATCCTGGAATGTTCTAATGACTATCTACTTTTGTGATGTCACTGGTTAGATCAGTTAGAGTTGACGTATGGATTTGCATATCATGCTTTCAACTCCCAGCCACCTTGAAATTGAAATTAATTTTTTTCTGGTTACCTGAGAATTTATGCAACCCATAATTACCTGTAGCCCAGAGGCTAGAAAATGTGGAAAGTTTAACTAAATATGGCTACCCTCTTAAAGGAAAACAACAGACATTTACAGGAGGCATTTAAATAGGTTGAAATGTTGTCTGAGAAAAACTTGAGAATTAAGATTTTTTAAAAACAACAAAAAAACTATATTTACTTAGAAGCATTCAGAATGTCAAAAAAACAGCTACAATTTCTTCTGCAATTACAGAGTAGTATTTACTACTACTCTGTTAACAGATTAGTTAACAGAACAATTTCATGTAATTATTTCAGTGCATCTGAGACAAATGGGGATGAGAAAACCCCCATCCCTGTATACGATTAATCAGTGCTGTGTACCAAGAACCTACTTTAAATTTCCATGACAATGTACAGCTCCCATACTGTACCAGGCAAGGTTAGTGTCTACTGAAACCACCACCAGGACAGAGCTATCTAAAGATACATTTGGTGATGTGCTAATTACACAAAATAAAGACACTGTGCAGTTTGAAAATAAACCTTAGACAGCACCACATTTTAATCTTTTTTCTTTAAAAGGAGTGAGTTGTATACAGGAGGATTAAATGATTTATAGACAAGAAAAACAACTGTTAGAACCAACTCATTCATTATGATCTTCATCATCTTCATCTTCCTTCTTCTCATCCTTTTCATCTTCCTCCTCTTCTTACTTTATCTTGCTTTTTTGCAGCCTTGATGACTACCTTTTATGCTGCATCAGGCTTTCCTTTAGCTCCATGTACAGCAATATATTTTTCATATTTTTCCTTCAGCTTTGCAGCCTTCTTTTCATAAGAGTGCATGTCATCTGCAGCAGTGTCATTCCACAACTCTTGTTTCTTCACATCTCCAATGGATAGGCCGGGATGTACTCCTTTGACTTTCGAGCAATACTCAGAACAGAACAAGAAAAAAGCTGAAGGAGGCCTCTTCAGTACATTGGAATCCTTGAACTTCTTTTTTATCTTCCCTTTAAGAGGGCTATAGGTTTCAATTTCTTTCTTAACGGGTCTTGTTCACCTTTGACATGTCTGCAAATTTTCTTTTTTCTTTAGCAGACATAGTCTTCCTCCTATCTAAGCACTTCTTCGAAAACTCTGAGAAGTTGACTGAAACATCTGGATGCTTCTTCTTGAGCTCCTCCTGACAAGTTTGCGCAAAGAATGCATATAATGACATTTTGCCTATCGGCTTCTTAGGACCTCCTTTGCCCAGGCTTAGTTATCTTTCCTCAGCGAGGCACAGAATTGCTCAGTGCCCATTCAAGTCTCAAGTGCCCCAGTGCTGTCTCTACAGAGCTCAGTGTACTGTCAATTAAGATTCATAATTGATGGTGAACTACACATTTTAGAGGGCACATGCTGGTGCCCTCCTACTAAGAGGAATAGTCAAGATAGTCAGCATGCAGGAAGAATTTATCTTAGTCAAGATGAATGGATGTGTTCTCTTTCAATCAGATGAATGAAAAAAAAAAAAGAGTTAGAATTGAGAAATGTGCTTTTCTTTACATTATCTGGTTAGTTTCCCCCAGATAACACCATTGAGCGGGTTAAAAGATGTGCCTCCAAGATGAAGAAAAATTGAAGTCTACAATACAGACTATCATGGCTCTCAAAGTGTTTGAGGTAAAAAAAATAAAATAAATAAATGAATAACAGTAATGCGGTAATGGAGAGAGCTGATCTGCCCAACCCACTGGAAATGACCCTGAGCATAGCTCCTTGGTAGGGAGTTTCCCAGACAGAGTGAACTGATGAGACGTGATGCTCATGAGAGGATTAGACCAGCCCCATGCATCTCAGTGGAGACATTGCTACTACAGCTATTATGGGGTAGCCGCTCCCCAGGAAGTACTTCATGGCCCAAAAATAACTGATAGCTTTCAGAATTGTGACCTCTAGACCTCTAAGATAAGTCATTATGGGCCTCTTTTCTGCCATCTAAAAAAAATCAAATAGATGCTCTCCTTAATAAATGTGATTGCATACAAATTACTTAGTCAAAAATGTGTTCAAAGAAAAGAGTGTAAAACAAGTAAAAGCACTTAGCAAATATTTGTCACTTTTATCTTTATTATGTCATATAAATATCTACTAAAAATAAGAAAAGCCTTAATAGTTTCAATAGACATGCATAAAATGTATAAATAACTAATCAATATTGAGAAAATGGAAACATTTTCAATATCAGTAATAACGTAATATAAATGAAAATGTCAATTCCTGTTAAAAAATAAAAGGGGTATTCTCACCCTATTAATTGTAGCACAGAAAAATTATTAATGGAAATTATTTTCTAGTAATCAATTTGTCAGTTCAGTGTGATGGAAGCTCCATTCTAAGTCAGTACAGCCAAGAACCCAAGATTCCTGCCCTCTGCTCCAAGCTCCCAGTTAAGAGCTATGGTATCTCCCCAAGTGGGGCAGGAAACCAGCATTTCTCAATTTCTCAAAACCCGGCATTTCCCAAGTGGGGCAGGAAACCAGCCCCTTCAATTTTGTGCTACAGAGGCTATATTCTAGGTGAGTGAGGCCAAGAGGTTGGAAAAGGGCTTTCTCCACCCAAGCCCCTCTCAGGGTGAAGGCTGTACTCCAGGGGTAGCAGGCCAAGAATGCTGGGGCCCCAGTCTACCTCACCGGAGATCACTTGCAGGGAAAAAGTTCAGTCCTTGGAGAGGTAAGTTAAGAAGACTAGATGCCACTGTCCCTGCTGGGTGGCCTGCTCTTAAAGCAGGGCTATAACTCCATCCTGTTGAAAAAGTTCAGAGATTTTGCCCAGCAGGGAGAAGCAGGCCATAATAATACAAGGCCCTAACGCTCTCCTCAGGGAACTGACTTTATTTAGAACAGATGATGGGGGAGTTCAAGCCTAATAACACTTTTGGAAACCATGAGGTTTTGGTGGTAAGAAATAAAGAGGAGGCTGGTAGTTCCATGAGAACAACAAACTAAATATTATACAAGTCCAGCTAATTTATTAGAATCAGGAACAGGAACAGCTAAAAAGAGTACTATTCAGGTTCAGAACTAACCTCCAAGTCTGGCCTCAAAAAGTATCCCTTCAAAGACGCTCAAATTTAATTGGATTAGACTGAAGCAATTTATGTCCCAGGGAAATGTTGAAAACAATAGAGTAATCAGATAGCAATAAATAGAAGCTAACAACTGGGTGTGATACCTAAAGAGGCAGATAGTTAAGAGAGATCAGGGAAAAAGACAAAAAGAGACCTTGCTGAAATTACTATCCACATGTCCAAGGCTGTGCCCTGTGAGGCGCAGCATCAGAGGCTTCATACTGCTAGAGATACAGACATCACTAAAATAGTCCAGCCATGTTACTAAACAAATAAACAATAATCTGGTATACGGAGTGGGGAGGGTCAGTATTTAGAGCTGTTACACTATTTTATCTAAAATATCAGTTTTTGACAAAAATTATGAGACATGCAAAGAAACAGAAAAATATGACTTATATGCATGTGGGTGAAGACGGGAGTGGGGTGAAACATTCAGAAATTACCATAAGAAGGCCCATATGTCAGACTTAACAAAGACTTCAAAGCAGCTATTACAAACGTGTTCAAAGAACTAAAGCAAACCATGATTAAAGAAAAAAAATATGATGATAATGTCTCAACTAATAGATACTATCAGTAAAGAGAAACATTATAAAAAGAACCAATGGAAATTTTGGAGTTGAAAAGTAAAACTGAAATGAAAAATTCACTCAAGGGGCTCAACAGTACATTTAAACTGGCAGAAGAATCAATAAGCTTAAAGAACAATTGGTAGAGAGAGATGATGTAATCAGAAGAACAGAGAAAAATTAATAAAGTGAAAAAATAATAAAGAAAAATGAGAAATGTGGGACAGCACTAAGCATGCCATGTTTGTTGGTAGAGTCAGAGTGGAAAGAGGAAAGTGTAGAGAAAATAATCAAAAAAAGAATACTCAAATTTGCTGAAAATCATTAATTTATACCTCATGTAACTCAAGGAATTCCCCATAAGATAAATGGAAAAGATCCATACACAGACACATCACAGAGAAAATGATGAAAGCCAAACATAAATAGAACATCTTGAAAGCTGTAAGAGAAAAACAACTCCTCACATACAAGAGAATAATATTAACAACTGACTTCTGATTAGAAACAATGAAGGCTAGAGGCAGTAGGATAACATATTAAAATTGCTAAAAGAAAAATAAATGATCACTAAGGATCTGATATCCAGCAGAACTATCTTTGAAAAGTGAAAGCAAAATAAAGACATTCCAAGACAGACAAAACCTAAAAACATTTTGCTAGAGGCCTCCATTGCAAGAAATACTAAAGGAAGTCCTTTCAAGCTAAAAGCAAGTGACACCAGACAGTAATTCAACGCGTGTAAAAATTGAAGAGCTTCAGTGAAAACAATTATATAGGTAGTTATAAAAGATTGTAAAAACTACATATTTCTCCTTCTTCTTTTAACGGATCTAAAGTCACAGTGTTATTGGCCTATATATGGAAATATAACCTATTTGACAATAATAGCACAAAGAATTTGGAAGGGGGGCCCACTTTTATTAAAGAAATACCACCACATGGTAACTTGAATCCACAGAAAGAAATGAAGAGATCACGAAAGAGTAAATAAGAAAATTAAAATTAATATAACAAACTACATAAATATAAACTAGATCTTTTTCCTTCTGTCAGCCTCTTTAGAACACATAATACAAAATAATAAATACAAAAATGTATTATTGGCTTTCTAACATATGTATATATCATACGTATGGCAACAATAGCATAAAAAAATGAAGGAGGAGAAAAGAGCTATATAGGAGTCACAACTCTATATCTAATTTGAGTAGTGTTATTCATAGTATATATCTGAAGGAGATTTCTATAAGATATATATGGTAAACACTAAAGCAACCACTGAGAAATAACTTTAAAAAATAGTGAAAATATTATTAAAGGAATTAAATATGAGTAAGTCTTTGTGACTTGGGTTAAGTAAAGCCTTTTTAGATATGACGTTCAAAACACAAGCAAAGAAAGAAATATAGATAAATAGTTCATCAAAATTAAAATATTTTGCTTTTTAAAGGGTACCACCAAGTATGTGAAAGGACAACCCACATAATGCAAGAAAATACTGCATTGATAAGTGACTTGTATTTCTAATGTATAATAAGTTTTTTTTTTTTTTTTTAAAAAGAAGGATTTGCTTTGTCACCCAGGCTGAGGTGCAATGGCATGATCATAGCTCACTGTAACTTCAAACTCCTGAGGTGAAGCAATCCTCCTGCCTCAGCATCTCAAGTAGCTGGGACTACAGATGTACACTGTCAAACCTGGTTAATTTTAAAAATTTTTAGTAGACATGAGGTCTTTCCATGTTGCCTAGGCTGTTCTCAAACTCCTAGGCTCAAGCAATCCTCCCGCTTTGGCCTCCCAACATGCTAGGATTACAGGCCTGAGCCACCATTCCCAGCCTGAAATCTTACAATAAAAGACATAACCCAATCAAAACATGGATTAAGGAACTGAAGAGACAATTCTCCAAAGGTGATTAAAAAAACAGATAAAAGATGCTCAGCATCATTATCCATCAGGGAAACATAGGATACATTCAAAACCACAATGAAATACCTCTGCATGCCCACTAGGATGGATTTAATTTTTAACAGGTAATACTAAATGATGACAAGTATGTGGAAAAATTAGAACACTCATCCGTTGTTGGTGAGAATGCAAAATGATTTAAAAAAAACCAGCCTGGCAGTTTCTTAAAAGGTTAAACATAGAGTTACCATATTGCTCATCAACTCCACTCCTAGGAATACACCTAAGAGAAATGAAAACATATGTCCTTACAAAAACTTATACATAAATATCCATAGCAGCATTATTCATGATAGCCCCAAAGTGGAAACAACCCAAATGTCTATCAACTGAGGAATGGATAAACAAAATGTGGTCTGTGCATATATAAATACACACACACATACATACACACACATACACATATACATATATGTAATTCCATTTATATGAATTGTCAGTAATAGGCAAATCTATTGGGACAGAAAGTGATTAATGATCGCCTAAGAATGGGAAGACTGGGGCAAAATGGAAAGTGACTGCTAGTGGGTATGGGATTTCTTTCAGGGTAATACTAATAGTCTAAAATTTATGGTGGTAATGCTCGCACAACTCTGAATATACTAAAAACTACTGGATTGTGCACTTTAAATGGATGAACTATATGGTATGTGAATTTTGTATTGATGAAGCTGTTTTATGTAAATAAACTAATTAAAAGTATTAAATACATACAGCCCTTATTACAAAAGCTGCACCAATATACAACACTTCCTTCTCTATAGAAGTAGACTATTTCATAAACTCCCTATAATGTTAGATACCATGATTCCATGAAAATATTTAAAAATAAAGATTTCTATAATGGCAAGTTGCATGTAATTAAGTAGCAAAGTATGAAGAGATCTCAAGAATGAGAAGAAAGTGGCAAGATCCAGATTTCGGCAAGTCTTGGGGAGGGTTGTTCTGGAGAAGATGAAATTTGATGGAATCCTTAATGGATGGGGATCACTATTAAGTAACAACGCTCTCATGGATAATCATGTTTTGTTTTAAAAATGATTTTTTCTTTCAAGTAGCTGCTATTTTGTCAGGCATTTTTTCATCACACATGAATTTTACAAATGAGAATACCACTGTTTTTAAAGAGGTAATTTTGCTAATTTTTACACAACCAGTATGTGGCAGAGTAAAGATAGAGTTCAGAAGTACTATATCACTCTGTGTTAATTATTGTTGTTTAAAACGCTGCATGATTCACAGAACATATGTTATTAAAACAGTTTTCATAGTATTTGAGTCAAAATGAAGAGAAAATTGAAATTCATGCTGAAAGTTATTAATTTATGGATAAATTCCAAAATTCCCAAAGTTCCTGAGACTTTCAAAAATATTAAGCCTTAAAATAGTAGATCATTTTAGTAATTTTTCCAAGTGAAAGTAATGTAATTTTTTCTCTTCCTGGACAGATATAAGTGAAAATTTTTATTTCTTGTTTAGTTCTTTAAAAAATAATTGTATTAGTCTGGTAAGTTAGGAAATAATAGTCATATCTAAGAAACATCTTAAGAGGTTTCTTCTCTCTCAGGCTGGAACGTGTAACATATCGAATACTTTTTCAAATCAACATATTATGGCAATGTCCCTTATGTAAATAAGATGTCTTAACATAAGCAACATATAATATACTTAAATGTTACACTCATCTTTATGCTTTAGATAGTAAAGGGAGAGAAACATCAAAACTTGTGAGAATTTTAAAAATTATTTAATTGTTTGCAGTTATTTTCGTACAGAAAGAAATTCCCCAATGGAGACATAAACCAGCAATGGAATATTGACAAGGAGGCTTGCGTTATTCCAATTATAATTTAGGTCACAAAGAATAATAAATATATTGCTTGTAACTTCCTGCTTGTGTGAATCCCTCAGAATCCCTTCCTGTAGAATGGAATCTTTGATGAGGTCATGCCTTTGCAAACATCATTTCACGAACATCTGGTAGAAAGATACCTCGGGTTTGATTCAGACAGGTTGATTTAGACAGACTATGCTAATTAAAGGGGAGAGAAAGGGTGTCCTCCAATTAGCATAACCAAAGCTTAAACAGACTAGAACTTTACTTTTATGGATTGATTTATTTAACATTTTACAAATTTATAGACTTGTCTCCATTCACTTTATGGCAACCTGAATGATTCCCAGAGAGGCAAAATGCCCAACATGTCTTTGAGAACAGACATGTAGATTGCATGCCAGCTGTCTATGTCTTTTGATATAAAGGGGAGATCTTTCTGCTTTTGAATTTGCAATGACTTATTCTTTTTGGCCAGCATAACAGAGATATCATGGATCAAGATGAAAGGTAGAAAGAGTAAAAGGTAGATCACAGGAAGCAATTACAGAACAGTAACACAGAGCAGGAAATGCTTGTTTAGATAAATGAGGCATATTAAAGGCTAAATGTCATTCATGGTGACTCCCATCTAGAAAGGATTTAAAACTCTAGGTTGAGATAAAAGCACATATGGCTTTTAAAAATACATGGTTAGCCAGGCACAGTGGCTTTCCCCTGTAATCCCAGCACTTTGGGAAGCTGAGGCCGGCAGGTGGCTTGAGCTTAGGAGTTGAAGACCAGCCTGGGCAATATGGCAAAACCCTGTCTCTACTAAAAATACAAAAATTAGCCAGGCATGGTGGTGTGCCTGTAGTCCTCACCTGAGAGTTCAAGGCTGCAGTGAGCTGTGATCATACCACAGCACTCCAGCCTGGGTGACAGAGTGAGACCCTGTTTCAAAAAAAAAAAAAAAAAAAAAAAAAGAAAGAAAGAAAGAAAAAAGACATGATCACACAAGTACAATCCAAAGCCTTTAAAAAAAAAAAAAAGGTTATGTAAGAAAGATGTCATTAATTAAATTCCCTTCCCACATACATACCAAAATGAATGATTACAGAAAAGCCTAATGCTGGAGAAAGACATCTCTGGGCTTCAGTTTTCTTATCTAAAAAAAATCACAATAAAAATACTTGCCAGCTTGAACTTGTGACCTCTGAAATTCTTTCCAAATTAGTTTTTATGATTCTGGGTAAGATATACTTATTATAAGTTCAAGGTGTCACATCTACCAGGAGCATATGAATTTTCATAAGTAATGAAGAGCCTTCAAAGCTCAATGGGGTGAATCTCTAAGGATGAAATGTCATGCAGCCTGACAGGTTTGTGGTGGACATGTATGTGTGTGGTAGGGGGAGGGGGAAAGTCTTCCCACCACCCTTAAATCATACTGCCGTTTTCCAAGCAATCCCTAACAAAGAGTTCTCAAGCTTAGCTTCACATTAGAATCTGGGGAGCTTTAAATGATCCTGATGCCCAGGCCACACCACAGACCAATGAAATCAGGATCCCCAGGGATGGAATCTGCACATCAATATTTTTTACAGATTCCTAGGGAATTCCAATGTGCAGCCAATGATGAGCAACACCACCTCATGCCTTTAGTTCACAGAGGAGAAAACTGAGATCCTCTGAAGTTAAGTGATTGTGTTTATAGGTCAAGTAGTCAGTGATGAAGTCAAGACAAGAGTCCAGGTCTCTCAGCTCCTAATTCTCTTCTTTTCACCATACTCTTGTCGTCCTACCTCTCCTTATTTCATATTGTTGCCTTTGAATTGGCCTGTGAGCTTAATTTCGGATCTTTCATGAGGTACTTTTACATACCCCATGCAATGATGTAAGCAGCCTCTCCCAGTGCAATTTTCGCATATTATTTTCGTCTTCACAGGCATTGTTTTTCTAGGCTTGCCAACTTAGAGGCCACCCTAATTCTTCCATTTTGTTAGAGAAAATTGAGGCCCAGAGAACTTAAGTGTCTAGCCTAGAATTACTCCAGTAAAGAGTAAAGTCCAGAACTGACATTGTTTATCATCTTATCTAAGTTGCTTCTACTCTTCCAAGCCCCCAACTTTGATGATGGGAATTTTTTGCAGGAGAACTGGCACCTTTCATCAAAAAGCTAAAACACGTTTGTTAGAGGAATAGAAGAGCTGAAAGAGGATCAGGTAGCGACTGCCATTGCAGCAGCTATCTTTTTATGTTTGGAGGTTAGAGGAGAGTCCAAAGCACTGCTGCAATGCACAAGTTATCGCTTATATGCTAACTCAGCTGGTTTGCAGGGCAGCAACCCAGCCCACAGCTTCTCCTGCAGGACACTTCTTTCACTGAAGTTGGAAGCCTGGGAGCAGTGAGAGGCCACTGCAGGTTTTTCTTCCTTATGGGTTCCAGTTCAGCCTCACAGGTTCCAGATTTCCCTTGCTTTCCTCTCAAGTCCACTCTTCCTTCCTAATGTCCTGCTTTTTGAACTTCTGATTCTAGCACCAGACACAGAAACAACGAACAATAGCCTCAAATTGACTATGTACCACATTTTCTTTATCCGGTCTATCATGGATGGGTATTTGGGTTGGTTCCAAGTCTCTGCTATTGTGAATAGTGCTGCAATCAATATACATGTGCATGTGTCTTTATAGTAGAATGATTTATATTTCATTGGGTATATACCCAGAATTGGGATTGCTGGGTCAAATGGTATTTCTGGTTCTAGATTCTTGAGGAACCGCCATACCGTGTTCTACAATAGTTGAACTAATTTACATTCCCACCACCATGGAATACTATGCAGCCATAAAAAGGAATGAGATCATATCCTTTGCAGGGACACGGATGAACCTGGAAGCCATCATCCTCAGCAAACTAACACAGGAACAGAAAACCAAACACCACATGTTCTTACTCATAAGAGGGAGTTGAATATTGAGAACACATGGACACAGAGAGGGGAACAACACACACCATGGCATCTTGGGGGTCGGGGGTAAGGGGAGAGAACTTAGAGGACAGGTCAGTGGGTTCAGCAAACCACCATGGCACAGGTATACCTATGTAACAAACCTGCACGTTCTGCACATGTATCCCATTTTTGGTTTTTTTTTTTTTGAATTAAAAAAAATCTAAAAAAAAATTGACTATGTAACCAGTTCTGATAATTACACATGGCCAAACCCCCATAGTAAATATTACATTTACATCTCCTAGGGGTTATGCTTTTTTTTTTTTTTTGATGGAACCCTGTCTCACAGAGGGGCTAGGACTCTATAATTAGAATCAATTGGCATCACTATCTTAGCCATGATTCCCTTTTGTCTTCAGGCAAAAAACTGGAATTGGAAAACCCAAGACCTGACAACACTGGGTCTTCATGACCTTTTGACAACCTGCTGGGAAAGAGAAGCGATTGTCCCCTCTCTATGTTGTCACTGTCTCCATCCCTGTCTATTAAGTCTTACAGTGGCCTGTTTTGCACATTTGCTTTTACCTGCCTGGACCTGCGGCTGTAGTTTGCATCCTCCAGTCAGCTCAAATTCAACCAATGTTTGGCTTTTCCCATAACCTTTTTCTGATACCCATTTGACCATTTCTCTGATTTTTTCATGTTGCAGATTTCCATGAATTTTCTATGTCCTCAAGCATGCTTGCATTGCTACTAGCTTTCTCACTTGTTCTTCTCTTTACTTTTTTGTTAAAATTTGAATCCTTGAGTTTAGAAGGTAATCATTCTTAAACCTCTTTTTTTCTATGGAAGGAGTAAGACAGAGTTAGGATTGTAGTAGAGGCTCACTAAATAGCTGTTAATAGCTCTTTATTGAAGGCCCATTGTTTATGTATTACTATGTTTGTTGGTTTGAAAGAGTGCTGATAATTTGCCTTTGTGCACATGCTTTAAACAGGGCAATAGCATTAACCTAGAGCAACTGCTGTCTGCCTTTAGGATGTCTTCATAACACTCACAGATCTGGTTAGTTTTGTTAATTAGTTGAAGACAGACAATGACTACACACACACAGTCACATACACACACATACACATTGCAAACTTTTATAGCCACAGTATTTTGAAAAGAAGTACTGTATATTAATGATTCAATATTAGAGAATAGCTTTCTTTTAACAATTTCTTTAAATTATTTAAAGAAAGCTATTCTACTATTGAGAATGGCTTGAAAATTCTGTTTTTAGAGCAGTATCACTAATCCATTTTCAAAAAACATAATACATTATATGAAATTATTTAATCTTGCTCTTACAGTGTGAGAAGATGGACTTGTTTTCAAAAGTTGCAACCTGCAAATTATTAGCTTTTCATACTTATATTCTATGTCTACAAATGCTTATAGAATAGTTCTGTACATTTTAAAATAGGGTAATTATGTTATAATTGTGATCTATTGTGAAAAAGAGATATAGGCCAGGTGCGGTGGCTCACGCGTGTAATCCCTCGGCTTTGGGAGGCCGAGGCAGGCGGATCACAAGATCAGGAGATCTAGAACATTTTGGCCAACATGGTGAAACCCCATCTCTACTAAAAGTACAAAAGTTAGCCGGGCATGGTGGCACATGCCTGTAATCCCAGCTACTTGGGAGGCTGAGGCAGGACAATCATTTGAACCCAGGAGTCGGAGGTTGCAGTGAGCCAAGATTGCGCTGCTATACTCTAGCCTGGGCAACAAGAGCGAAACTCCATCTCAAAAAAAAAAAATTACTTAATACTTGAAAAATAGAAAACAATTTACTTATCTACAGTTGCAGTTTTTCATTTCAGTATAAATATGTGCATGACTCTCTCTCTCTCTCTATATATATATATATATGCTCATTCCATATGTGCAGATTTATAGTCTGTTTATTTTTTACTTACAAGTATAATTTTACATTAAAACATAATTTTTTAATGCTCAATATAATATTTTATCCCATGAACATAACCAGCGTACTTGAATCTCCTGCTGTAGAAGATCTGATTTATAAGTAATGGTTCAGCAAATTTCCTTGCTCATCTATCTATCTGCCCATGTTTGGTTTTTTTGTTTTTTTTTGAGATGGAGTCTCACTCTGTCACCCAGGCTGGAGTGCAGTGGCGCAATCTTGGCTCACTGCAACATATGCCTCCCGATTTCAAGCAATTTTCCTGCCTCAGCCTCCTGAGTAGCTGGGATTACAGGTGCCAGTCACCATACCTGGCTAATTTCTGTATTTTTAGTAGAGGTGGGGTTTTACCATGTTGTCCAGGCTGGTATCAAACTCCTGATCCCAGGTGATCCACTCACCTTGGCCTCCCAAAGTGCTGGGATTACAGGCATGAACCACCATGCCCGGCCTGCCCATGCTTTTAATAGTAATTTTAGGATAAGGATTTTAAGGTGAAGTTGCTTAAAATGTAAGTGTATTTTAAAGCTTTTATTACATATCTTCTGTTTGTTCTCAGAAAGAGTGTACCAATTACACATTCATAAATAATTTATCCTACTTTTAAATTTTTGACAAACTAATAAGCATGAATTATATATAATTTTTAATTTTTCATTTTGAGGAAAATACACATTTTTACACCTGAGATAAGATTTGATGTGTTGAAACATGCATTTCTTTAGATAGTGATAGAAAATATTGTTTTCAAAGGAGGGGAAAAAAGCATAATTTTAAAATGAGAGAAACAAAGTCCAAGCAGGAAAATTGCAAAATAATCCTTTTTCTATTCAAAATCAGTGGTGGGTAGGGGAGTGAGATCTACCCAAAGTGGGGATTAAGCATCTCTGGATATCAAATGGAGAGTAAGACTGCTAACAGCTTTGGCTAGAACTCTGAAAATGTTAGCTGTTTTAATTGATAAGGCACCAAACAAAACTTTATATATCCAAGACTGATAAATGAAGTTAGAGTAGAAACATCAGTAGATATTTCTACAATTTTATTTAGCTCAAAATGATATCCTTGAAGTTGAAGATGGTGAATAGAATAGCTTTATTATGAGAAAAAGGGGGAAGGCCTGGCAAATTACTCAGAAATTATACATTCATCTATGCTAATTTCATTTGAAAGGGAAACTGCATAAGTTTTTTGTGCAATCAGGCAGAGCTGCACTAGGTATGATGGAGATCAGCCCTATGCTCACAGTCCTTGGCTCATCAGAATTCTTTGAAGACATCATTACTGTGAAGCTGCTAAGCTGTTTTCAGAAGAGAAGAGGAAGCACAGAGTAGGTGCTGTTATTGCTTTGAATGGAACTCAGCTTGCTTGTGTGGGTTTGGAGTTGATATCATCTACTAAGAGAAGACTTAATTGTAGTCATAAACAGTCTGTGAATGACTTGGGTCCTTCTGAAGTGCTGTATATGGGAAATTTCTTTTTAACTCTCCAACATTTGGTAAGAAAAATCTTCCAACAAATGGAATTGCCTTTCTATTAAAAAATAAAAAATACTTGAGAACATGGCAGTTTTAAACAATGGGCTAGTATGGCAAATGTGTGAGGATACTTGCAGACATCCGAACCCACAGCTTCTCCAATACATCTGTGGACCTCTCAGAGGCAGAATAGTCCGAAGGCTTGTTATGGCCCAAAGTTCAAAGAAAATACAAGAGGGGAAGATTTAAATGGCAGAAGAGAGATAAAGTATAGCCAATCATTCTCTCAGGAAGTCTTCTAAGAACAGTGCTCTTTTATGTACTCTTCATTTTCAGCTTGAGTCTTTCTTATATCTAAGGTCCCTTGGGCCCACAAAACTGGGCAGAAATTTTCCTAGCCAATAAAATGCTTGACATTTCTCTTCTGACGTGCAAGGAAATAGAACAGTCTATCATTTCCTGCTTTAGAACTAACTGGAAAGAAAAAAGGAGCATACCATGTAATTTACCCTCAAGTATCCATTTCAACACAGTGAACACTATGTTAAAAAAAAAAGGAAATGTCAATTATCTACCTGAGATAGTTGGTATATACCCTTTTCTTCCATGGACCCAGTCTTGGCCACTCTAGCAGTTCTCTAAACCAAATGAAACAAAAATACAAAAACATTAACAAAACCCTCCTTGAAGATCTGAGTAACTAAGTCACTGTCCTAATTCAAGAATCTATCTGAATTGCTTCTATTGTCAATTTTCTGTCCTAGTTTAGATTTAACTTTCTGTAATCCAGACCTAGTCATTGTGAAATTGAATAACCACAGAACATTTACCAGTTCAAATGGTGGAGCCTCTCAGAAAAAGGCTCAATTACTATTTAAGCTAAGCATGCAAAGGAACAATCCTGAGTCTAGGATTTCCCTTGAATAACCCATTCTGCCTGGGAAACAGCTTCCTATCTTTGGCTGCATCTGAAGCATCCCTCAGGGCATCCTTAGACAGAGTGTGCTGCCCTGGCTTGATGGGCATAGGGTGCAAAGGACACTTGGTTGTACCTGCATGCCCAGATGGTGCCCACAATCTGTATTTACTTTCAGAAACCAAAGACAATAGGATTCTATTTTATTAAGCCACAATCCTAGTTACTGGAGAACATTGAGATCAAAGGTATTGGCACTGCAACCAGCTTTGGCAAGCCTCTGGGAAGAACATGTCTTTTCTGGCCTAGTTGAGTGTGTTTGCAATATATTTCCTTAGTTCAAATGGGGTCACCCAATCATAATTCTTCACTCTAGTTTCTTTTTAGTAATCTAACCTTATCTTTTATCTGGATATGCTCAGCTCTGAGTTACTGGAGAAGCTGAAATATTTTATAGGGGATAAAAGAAAGACAATTATGGACACTATGCTAAACTGTTTCTTGTGACATCAACCACTCTTTGTGAGGGTTATGATGGTCGAGGGGGTAACACAGTAGGTGAGAAATGGGAGAAGAGGATTTGTCAGGATTGTTTGTGTTCCCCAATAAATCAATAATGAAAGACTTGAGAGTCATTTTAAAAGTAGAGTTCAGCCAGTGGGAATGTTTCTACAATTAGGCAAAACAAGCAACTGTGCATGTTTAATTACCATAAATTTTCTTGACCACTTCAGCATGGAGAATTGGTTTTCCAATGTTTGTGCTCTCACATAACATCTCTTTCTATGTTATGTCTTAAACCAACCAGTTTCTCATCAGATTTCTGTGTGTTTCTTGTAACACTACTAAATTAAATGCTCTTTGAAGGCTAGTGCAAGCTCTTATAGAACCTTCAACAGTGCTCTGTAAGCATGGTAAACTTTCATCAGTTTTTTTGATATCTCATTGGTATGATTTTATGGACATTGGATAGCTCATCATGCTCCAGCACACATTCAAATACTTTCCATCTTGGTAAGTCATACCACTTGATTTCTCAATATAAGGCTTCATTTCTTTAGGCTTGGAAATTTCTCAATCTTTAACCATGTCCAGTTAAAAATGCAAATATCCCTGGGTAAAGTCCACTGTGTCCTCTTATGGCAATGGGTGCCTACTCACCTAAGATATTTCTCTTTTGAAGGTTTTTTCTTCTAGTGTCTTCTTTATTTTCTGGAGAAAGGATGTAGAAGATATAAATATTTTAATTTTCCTTGCAAGGAGCTTAAAATCATTGCCACTTTGTATTAGTATACCAACTCAAAAATTTAATTCTAGCTCATATTTATGACATTTTTTACTTGTAACTTTGATGCAGGCAAGTATCTGTGGCTTAAAAACCAAATTTGACTCATTTTTTAAAAAGTTCAGAGTAATTTCACTTAGGCTCAGGATTGTCCCTTTGTATGTTTACGTTAAATAGTAATTTAGCCTTTTTCTGAGAGGCTCCACCATTTGAACTACCATAGTGTTCCGCTTTGGTACTTAGGAGAAAAAGCATTAATTTTTATAAAAACTAGGAAGACAAGTGATTACTCAAAGGAGTTATGATCTGTATTTCCCTATTACACATAGGTATTCAATGCTGGAAAAAAAAATTTCACAGTTTCCAAAAATTTATGCTCCAATTGCTTTAATCTGCAAGGGAGATGTCAGGATTGCAGTAGAGGAGGAGGACTGTTTCTAACTGAGAAATCCCTGTCCTGCTCACCAGCCTTGCTGTCTGTGAATCTGAAGCCTTTTAAAATTTGGGAGAATTCATTCCCTTGCTCTTCACTTCATTATCTTAAGTTCATGAATGTTCTCCACTCTTCTCTGGCTCTTTCAAGAATAATTAGTACACTCATCAATTTCCCTGTCCTGGCTCATTTGACAAACAAGTGCCATATGAGTCAAATGTTTGCATTCTGTGCTGAGCAGAATTGAGGGGCAGTTTCTAAATCTGTAGGTTTCACAGCAGTGGTACTCCCAGGAGAGTCATAAGTGAATTTGTGGCAATGCAAGCAGCTCTGGACGGCTGACAGGGTTGCGTTACATCTTTGAATTGGCCTTTCATTTCAGTGATTAACAGGTGAGGTTCAGGAAGCCTTTTGTTTCAGCTCCAATTAATTCAACAGCCTACTTTACTTTGTTCCCGTCTATGAAACCAGAATACCAGGCTTCCAGAAGAATATTTCTGCACATATATTTTAGAAATGACAGAGCTAGAAAAATCAAATGCAAAGCTTGGTAGTAAGCATAATTTCCTGGGTTTTTAAAATAATTTAATAAACAGAATAAATTATTTCAAGCTATATATCTCCCTAAAAATTCTTAATATCACATTACAAATTATGATTGTTAAGCATTAAGATGAATCCTAAATCAGCCATTTTCCTGATTTTCTTCCTTTTCTCCCCAAGTACCTATACCTGGGCAATATAGTTGCTATTGCAAAGGATGATTATAAAGGAGAGTGGGGGATGTAATAATATAATTCGTTAATATTTGTTTTCATAGAGGGTTAACAAACTGCAAGAGTGAGTGGGCAAGATAACTCTTTTGGGAAGTTTCTCCAAATTGCATTGCTATCTCTTCTTTCATCAAGCATATGTGACATACCTACTGCATACTGAGTATTACAGTTGGCTGTGTGTGAGTACTAAGAAAAAACTACATTGTTTCTGCCTCTCTGAGAATGAGAGACACACCAGTGACACATAAAGAGTAATACACGTAGCTTAAAGGGTCAAGGAGTTAAAAATAGAAGAGATGGCACCCTGGATTTGAGGCTGTCAGAAGTTTCTTGACTTTTAAGAAAGAAAAAGGAAATATATTGAAGGCAAGAGACACAGAAGCAATGAGAATCAAGTATGTACACCAGAAGGGTAAGGCTGAGTCAGTGGAACATACTGGGAGGAGTAGGATGTCATTTAAATGGCTATGGAAGCTGTTATTCACAGGTTAAGAATAACGGAACTCATAGTGTCAGTGAAACGCTAGCTTCTTAATCAGGACTCTGATGTGGATAAAGCTTTTGTACCTTTTCTTACTGCCATCTGAATCAGACTTGATGTTCAGGAACAGTTAAAGCTCACGTATGAAAGGACAATTTGGACAAACTAATCAAGCATTAGTAATACGAATAATCAAGAGAGTGCTCAAAATCATCTAATGTTGGTTTGTTTTCCTGAGGTTAATAGTAATTAAAATTGATCAATATTAATAAATTTGTTTAATGGTTCCAAGTAACTTTAAATATTAAGAGTTCCTTTGGCCATCCATGTTTCCAAGTGATCTTCCTTAAATAATTATGAGGCAAATTTATTACCCGAGATGTGATCAAATCCAGACATCTAAGACAGGAAACCTACAGAGCAGGTTATTGACATATTCTATTCCTTATCATGACACTTAAAGCCCTGGAAAGTTAAGGGCTTCTTATTCACAAGTTTATGGGATTCATTGGAACCAACAATGACCTTGTAATCCCTGTAGTCAGTATTCAGAGAAATCTTGCCAACAATATAACTGAAAGCAGAGCTGTCATTATAAAATCTAGATTTAAAGTAGGGATTTATGATTGGTACAATGTTCATGATATGCATTGCAGTGTGAATTAGGCTATGATATAGCTTGACATTCACTGGAGATATTTTAAAAGCAAAACTTGGCTTTAGTTTTAGTCAATAGTTTCTTTATCTAAAACAGAAGAAAGTATTATCAATGCATCAATCAAAGTTTCAGAGATTTTGGAATGTGCAATTATTAATGGACTCGGGAGGCTTTGCAAATTGTCTACCTAAAATGACTTCAATGTTATTTTTATTTTTAATGCGAATACTAAAGTTATTTGATTATAGCAACTTTGCCTTACACTTACTCAAGAACAGATACATGATCCTGCTTTTAAGCTGAGTTTAAAGTTTAGAGAGATTCCAAAATGTAAGTAAACATTGTAATCAATACCACCCTTTTGACAAGACTCAGGGAAATACATTAAAAAAATGAAACAAATTTTTCTTCTAAAATGAAACATAAATTAACAAGATTTTCAAAATGTAGTTTTCATGATGTATTTTGGCTGCATCCTCAGTTATGTTTTCAAAACATGAAAATTAAACTAGAGCATCTTGAATTGAGAATCCAGCAGACTTTGGAATCAGTAGGAACATTTCCATATGCTATAATTTTCTAGGCATTATTTTGATGTTAATTTATTCTTTTATATATATTTAGTACTATTTTGTACTGGTTATGAAAAATTATAGCACACATAAAGAAATTGGAAGAAAACTACTTGCCACTATCCATTCTCCCATTATCTCAAGATATTTTTTCCAAGTTTTCAGACCATTTGGGCCATGATTCTTTTATTTTCCCCGCATAATCTAAAGAAGGTTTCAATTGGAATCTAAAAGTAGATTCAGCTTAAAATATAGTTGGGTTAGTCTAGGTTGATTATTGATGAAAATTTAGAAATAATCAATATGTACCCCCCCGCCACACACCCAGTTTTTAAGATTAGTATTTCAAGTTGGCTGCTTTGGGTAACTCTTGATTTTCTTTGAAGGACAGGGCTCCTAAAATAATTTTTAACTCAATAAAAAAGATTGTTCTAGATTTCAGAATGTCATAGAAGTATAGAGGTAATGAGAATGAAAGAGCTGAAGTAATCCAATGCCCAACTTCATTTCAGGAGTCAGAAGGAAGAAGGCAAAGAGTGCAAATAAGGATATATGTGTGGCCAACATTTAAGCCACTCTTAAGAGTTTATAGATTCTGTACAGAAATGGAGTGTGTGTGTGTGTGTGTGTGTGTGTGTGTGTGTGTGTGAGAGAGAGAGAGAGAGAATCTAATCCTGTTAGAGTCTTTGGAAACCACATTTACTATGGACAGAAAAACCAATTCAAATTAAATGGACAACACAAAAGAGAGGCCAGTGTTACACATAATTCCTCCATGTGTTTAGCAAGGTATGGGTTCCTCCTCTTGCTGCAAATGGGGATATATTGCAAATATTATGAACAAAGAACAGAGGACAAAAATAAACTAAGAGAAAGAGTTAAAATGATCTCCACATTGGCTGCCTGTGAGAATTGCAGTGGTTTGTTGCTCCTACTACCAATAATGACAAACAAGATAGGAGCATGGCCTTGGGGGCAAATAGCAATCTTTATATTTGTCTATAGGATGATATGTTTGCAGACTGTGAAACACTTGGGCAAAAATATCTGAAAGCTTAAAAGGCAAGTCTGGACAAGGGGAGTAGTAAGATTGGCTTAGAAAGGTAGTCTGGGAATGATCTACAAGAAAATGCTGTTGTAGGAAGAGAGTAGTTTTCTGCTAGGGAAAAGGAGCTCTGGGCACCATTTACTCCAGGAGCCAAGCCAAGTGGGAGCCAGTCCCAGACACAGGGGCAGCAAGATGAGGTAGGAGTGCAGAATGCACTTTCCTGGAGTCTAGAATTTCAAAATTCTGTATCTGTACTATTCCTGCCTCCTCCTATGGTTTGCAATTCAGAAGCTTAAAACTAACAAAAGACAAAAAATATTCCTGAAAGCAAAGAGAAGACAAATGCCTATAAGAATGAGGACAAGCAATCAGAAGATGGAGGTGCTCACACAGGCCAAGTACAAAGAGAGTGGGTGCATGGGATGTTCATCAGATATGTGTAGGTTACATTATTCTATCTTAGGTTATTTGCCACAGCATTTTCATGTGCCACTTGAAGTACATGTTTGATTCAGGATTTAACTGTACTTCTTTTCATTGACACTATGAATCAGCATTTCAGGTCTGGTTTTCTTTTCTGTATAGAACACCTTGATAATTTCTGAGTAGTATAGAAGACAATTTCAAGAAGTTGGCAGTCTGGCTGAGAAACTGATAAAGAAACACTGAATAGAGGTTAGAAATGTGCATAGTTAATTACTAAATTATGAGAATTATAAGTCAGTTGTGGTTACAGAATTTCACAATTTGCAGAATCAGTGCAGGCTAGAAAACTAAAAAAAGCGTTCAAGGAAGAAGAATATGAGCTTGGCTTTGAGGGATGAGAAGGATATGACTGACAGGAAAGGAGAAGAGCATTACAAGTATGGGAAAAAGCACTAAGGTGGGACCAAAGATGGCATATTAGAGGTCTTGTCAGAAAACCAGGCTCTCAAGAACAAGTGTATATCTAAAAGCAGTGGGACCTAAAGTTATCTAGTTTAAGGAGAAGTCAAAAAGCCAAGATGAAGAGTTTAAATTTCAAGCTGTGTCTAGGCAACTCACCTGTCTTCACTTTCAGAAGGTGAGGTTTGGTTGCAGCTGACAAGGTGCCTGATTCGGAGGATTTAGGAGCCTCTGTGAGGTGATGGGGCCAGTCTCCCTTCCCACATCACAGCTAATGAAAAGGTTGCTGTGCTGAAGTTCCCTTCACCTCATTGGAAATGCTCCATGTCCTACCAGCAGCCAACAGCTGGTCCTGGGAGCTGCAACTCTACCATGCCAGGACCAACACTATCCTGCAGCTCTTCCTCTCCTCCAGAACCTATTAACTATGATTCTAACACTCAGCTAAATCAAAGCCTTATGCATAAGACTTGGCAATTATGTAATTATTTTAAATGAAAGTTACAAATCTAACTCTCAACACAGAATGCTTCATGCAGTAAATGGCAATAAATGGACTATGTGTCTTATTTCTCTGCAACCTCATACTCTAATTTATCCATTCCATCTTGAATTTTCTTTCTACCATTTAAATACCGTATTAGCTTGTTTTCATACTGGTATAAATAAATACCCAAGACTGGGTAATTTATAAAGGAAAGAAGCTTAATTGACTCACAGTTCCACATGGCTGGGAGGCCTCGGGAAACTTACAATCATGGTGGAAGACAAAGGAGAAGCAAGTACCTTCTTCACAAGGCTGCAGAAAAGAGAGAGAGAGAGCAGGGGAAACTGGCACTTATAAAATGATCAGTTCTTGCAAGAACTTACTATTACGAGAGCAGCATGGGGGAAACCGCCCCATGATCCAATCGCCTCCTACCAGGGCTTTCACTCAACACGTGGGGATTAGAGTTGGAGATGAGATTTGGGTGGTGACACAGACAAACCATATCAAATACTATTATACTTTAAATTTTCTTTTTAGGAATAAAACCTGCTTCTGGCTTCCAGTTACCAACAATAGTTTGCAAAGTGTGATCCCCTGACCAGCAGCATTAGCATCACCTGGGAACTTACTGAAAGTGTACATTCTTGACCCCACTCAGACCTGCTGAATCAGGAATTCTGCAGGTGGGGCTCAGCAATGTGTATTTCAAAAAGTCATCCAGGTGATTCTCAGGAGTGCTTGAGTAGAGAACTACTCACCTGCAGGTACAGTGATGACTCCTTAAATATCATTCAAGGTTCTTTACGGTCTTCCTAACTTTTGCAGCCTCATTTAGCCCTAGCCTGCCACCCAACTACCACACTGAGGACATTTGTATTATACGAGACACATGTACAATTTTCAGCGTCTCCTGACCACACCAAGCTCTTTGCTATTGTATTATCTCTACTGTCTCGTCTAGAACATACTTCTCTCACCCTGGCTAACCCCTACTTTTCTTCCCAAGTTTCAACATTACCTCCTCCATAAAGACTTCCTTGATTCTGGCCAGCAGTTACTCTCTGCTATATTCTTGAAATCTTTTTTTATGTTCTGTGAATAAAATAATTATCACAATGAATTGAATGCTGTTTACATGTGTCTAGGCTTAAGGACAGGATTCTTGTATTCAAGGAAATACTTAGGAGCTAACAAAGTGTTGGGCACATTGCTAAGACTTAGTAATGCTTGTTTAACACACAAAGACATGATTTAACAAAGCAACAATTTTATATTCAAATCACCAAATTAGTTTCCAATTGAAGATAAAATGACATAGCCTCTCCAGCCCTAATTTCCCATGTGCTGGTTGTTACAGTTTTTGAAAAGTGGTAAACATCAAGGAATGTATCTATATGAACTCCGTGGATTATTTTCCTTATCAGCAATGGCTGACTCAGTGGCAGAGACAGGCCACCCACAGTACACTGAAGCAGCAGTTTGCTACCAGCAATGATTTGGTTAACCTTTGATTAAACATAGGAATTTAAAGCATGAAAAGGTCTGGAACCTGACACAACCCTTTGACACCATGCTGTCTGTCATTAATGATAATCCACCATTAGATGTTCAGCTTTGAAAATGGAATTAGACGACTTCAGTTTTCAACCCTAACCCCGATGTACTGTAAAGTGAACCCTGCTGTGTTTGGAGACTTCCTGATTTACTGCTTTGCCTTTTAACTATTTTCAGGCAGATTGGGGGTAGAGGGAGGGTAAAGAAGTCCAGGGATCAAGTGAGTACAAACAAGGCATCTTACCCACCATCAAGGGAAGCAACTTTCTGCTTAGATAAGTCACCAGGTCAAAAGAGCTTTATTCCCACAGTTGATTTTATCTTCTTCTTCTTCTTTTTTTTTTTTCCAAACTAGGTGTAAGAATTCTTGCTAGGACATCATGCAAGAAATATTTCGTATCCTTTTACACTTCCTTTGAAAAACAACAGCAATAATGTTAGAGCTCCCTGGGGTCCCTCGTCTCCAACATTTTTTTTTCCTTCTTAGCCATAATGTATTGGTGCAGCTGAAGGTCCTACACCCCATTTCATGTGTAGCACAGTGTTCCCAACAGGGTACAGTACATGCCTAAGTGCTTGTTGAATGAACAAACGACGAAATCTGCCTCCTAGTTCCATAGCTGTGGTTTACACATAAAAGCAAATTTCAGACAGCAATAAAACTACAAGCAATTGACCTAGACCTCTTCCTGTTAACAATCGACTTGTTATTGTTTGGTTCACTTTCTTTTTCTGGCTTTTGAATCCCTGGCTACCCCTCCCTACTCCCACCTCCCAGGCTTTTTGGCTAATTGGAGTTGAGAATCTCTCTCAACTTAGCTCAGTTGACTCCTGGGATTTCAGTGTTCCTAAAAACATTGGTGAGAGACTCCTCCTCCAGTATTTACCCTGCAGAACCCTGGTGGAGAAGCAGAGTTCATCTCTCCCATCCCCTGACAGGAGAGAGATTTGGGCATCATTTCCCACCTACCTAGGTGAGAAGGGCTGGGGAGAACTGTATTTTCTTTGGATCCTTCTCAGATATTCTGATGGATCATTTGTGTTCTCTTTCCCAAATGTGATTACATCATTTCACTGCCATACAAAGACTTTCCAAACTGTAGTAACCCCAGTGAAATTTTTCTTTCAAGAAAGGGGATATGATATTGGCATTACTACTATAGCAACTACAGAAGCATTACAGTACTTTGAGAATCTGTGAGCTATTCCAGATTAAATCACCTGGCCACTGTGTTGGGAAATGTACTTTATTTAACAAACATAACATTCACCATGAACCAGACACTGTTCTATGTGTTCATATGTATTAATTCACTTAAATTTTAAAACAATGTAAGAGGCAGGTACTATTGTTAGCCGCATTTTAAAAAGAGGAAAGTGAGACAGAGTTACTTATCCAAGATGAAACAGGTAATGAATGACAGAGTCGAGATCCAAATCTAGCTAAGTACTCCAGCTACAATCTGTGCTCGTAACCATTTTATGTTGATTCTCTACCTGATTCCATGTATTAGTTAGCATTCTCCAGAGAAACAGACATGGATTATGTTATATATATGACATATGAGAGGAGATTTATTATGAGAAGTGGTTCACATAATTATTGAAGCCAAGGCATCCCACCATCTGCTGTCTGCAAGCTGGAGGACTTAGAAAGCTAGTGGTGTAACTCAGTCTGAGTCTGAAGCCCTGAGAACTGGGAAGCTGATGGTGTAACTCTCAATGATGCAAGTCCCGCAGTCCCAACGACTGAGAACTAGGAGCTCTGATGTCCCAGGGCAGGAGAATATGGATGTCTCAGCTCAAGAAGAGAGAGATTTTACCTTTCCTCTGCCTTTCTATTCTATCTGTGCCCTCAATGGATAAGATGCTGCCCATCCACACTGGTGAGGGCAAATCTTCTTTATTCAACCCACTGATTCAAATGCTAAACTTTTCTGGAAACACCCTCAAAGGCACACCCAGAAATAGTGTTTTAGTATCCCTTAGCCCAGTCAAGTTGAGAGGTAAAATGAACCATCACAATCCATCTGCCATTTCTCAAAGCAGCTTGAGTAATAGACATATGATTCAATGATATCATTAAATATAACTGCTGGTAAAATAATAACAGGATAAATGTTTTTACTAATAATAAGAGGAAAAATAAGATAATTTCTCCTATTATTTGAGAGTATTGTCCATGTTCTGGTATATACATGCCCTCATATATATACATATTCGACACAGTTTTGATATTCATTTTTAAATGAGATCACTATAATATTTACTGTGATACAGAGGCACTATAATGTCAATTTTTTCTTTGTGGTAAACATAAGACCATCAAATTTGCCATTTTAACCGTTTTATATGTATAATTCAGTGGCATTAATTATATTCACAACATGTGTTACCATCACTACTGTCTACAATTTTTTATTATCCCAAACAGAAACCACTAAGCAATAATTCCCCACTTCCCTCTCTTGTAGCCACTAAGTTAAGTTCTATCCCTGTGTATTTGTCTATGCTAGATATTTCACATAAGTGGAATCATACGATATTTGTCCTTCTGTATGTGACTTATTTCACTTAGTGTGATGTTCTTAAGATTTTTCCATGCTATGCATGTATTATAACTTCATTCCTTGTTATGATTGAATAATATTTCATTGTGTGTACTTAACACATTTTGTTTATCTGTTCATCTGTTGATGGACATTTGGATTGTTTCCAGCTTTTGGCTATTGTCAATAATGCTGAGATGAATATTGGAGTATATGTTTCTGTTAAAGTACCTGTTTTAAATTCTCTTGGAATTGTTAGGTCATATAGTTTTTTAAGGAACCACCAAACTGATTTCAACAGCTTCTCTACCATTTTACACCTCCACTAGTGATGTATGACAGTTTCAGTTTCTCTGCATGTTCACCAGTACTTGTTATTTTCTGTTTTGTATTTTATTATGCCATTCTATAAGGATGAAGCAGTATCTCATTGTGGTTTTGATTTGAATTTTCCTAATGGCTATGATGTTGCACATATTTTTAAGTGCTTATTGGTCTTTGTATATCTTCTTGGGAAAATATATATTCAAGTCATTTGCCTATATTTTAATATAAATATTAAAATATTTATATTTTTCTGTTATTGAGTGGTGGAAGTTCTTTATATATTGTGGATATTAATTCTTTGTCAGATGTGTTATTTGTAAACATTTCCTTCCATTCTGAAGGTTGTCTTTTTGCTTTCTTGATGATATCCTTTGCACAAACATTCTTGATTTTGATGGTCTAATTTATCTAATTTTTATTTTGTTACCTGTGCTATTAGTGTCTTATTTAAGAAATCATTGCCAAATCAAAGGTCATGAAGATTTGCTCCTATGTTTTCTTATATTTTATTCAGTTTTGAGATAATTTTTGTATATGGTCAAAGTAAGAGTCCAATTTCATTCTTTTACATGTGGATATCCAGTTTTCCCAGCACTAATTTTCCCATTTCTTGTTGAAGAAAATGTTCATTCCTTGTGGAATGGTATTGACATCCTTGTGAGAAATTATTTGATCACATATGCAAGGGTATAAATATGTGAGCTCTCTGTTCTATGTCATTGATCTATATGTCTATCCTTATGCCAGTATCACACTATTCTGATAACCATAGAAAATTAGTATTCACACAACTATATTCTAGTCAGCCACTATCAGGCTTAAGGCTTATCAACTCTGTATAGTTAGATCATTTGTGTTCCATAAAAGACTGAGGCTAATTACCCTAAACATGCAATTCTAATGTTTGTTAGAGAACTAGAGCTCACTAATATCCAATTTGTTTTCAGTTAGAGAAAATGGAGTCTACAGTCACTCTGCATTCCTCTTACCTAATTCTAGAAAAATTCTAACCTACTTCTATCTTTATAGATTTATCTTTTTTGGACATTTATATAAATAAAATTATATAATATGCAGTAATTTGTGACTGGTTTCTTTTACTCATCTTATGACCCTCATAAAGCTGTGAGGGTCATATGACTAGTTCTGGCCAGTAGGCTCTTAGCAGACATGACATACATCACTTCTAAGCCAAGGCATAGGAGACTGGCCTTGAGGACCCCATGTCTCTCTTCTCCTTCTTTGGCAACCAAAGATGTGGTGGGATTTAGAGGATCCAGCTACAGAGATGGAGCCTGGCCTGTGTCCCTGCATGACTACTTGGAACAGAAACCTCCCTCTCGACATTAGCCTACCTTAGGTGGACAAGTAGCTTGTATGACCATTTTTTTTTTTGTTGTGCAAATATGCCACAAGGATTTGAAAACATATTTGTTAAAATTATCATATGTGTTCTGGATGTGTGGTCCAAGACCAAGAACAGTAGCTTCAACAAGAAATTTACTAGCGATGCAAATTCTCAGGTCTCACTGGGACATGCTGAGTCAAAAACTGTGGGGATGGAGCCCAGCAGTCTGTATTTTAATAATCCCTTTAGGGTATTCCGACGCAAGTTAAAATTTAAATACCACTGCAGTAGCATAACCTAGCCTATCCTTTCTAATAATTGATAATTAGTTTTTCAACATGTTAAATAACAAAATATAGTCTTTGTAGAGGAAAAGGAGAGCAGTAACTGTATATTTTTCATTCGAATCTTCCTTACCAATCCTACTATTACCACCTTAGTTCAAGGGGATATTAAGTCTAGCCGCAGTGTAGTATAGGTCAAGACTACTATTGAAAGGATATTGTAAGTAAAGATTTGGGTCATATTAAACATGATATAGGCACAATTAGTGTTCAATAAATGACGATTGTCTTTCTTTTCCTTTCATATCCTTGGTACTTCTTGAATAGACCAAGGCACAAACTCCCAACTCTCCCTATGTTCAATTTCTCTTCACTCTAGTTCCCGCATATTAAGATTACATTTAACTTTTTGGAGAAATTCAGCTTTGATCATATTATTTTTAACAGTTTTATTAAGATGTAATTCAGAAACTATATAATTGAGCCATTCAAAGTATACAATTCAAAGGTATTTACTACATTAAAAAAGTTGTGCAGCTATTACCACAATCTAAATTTAGAACATTTTCATCATCTATAAAAGAAACCCAATAGTCCTTATGGTCACTCTCTATGCCCCTTATCTAATTCTAGAAAAATCCTAATCTACTCCTGTCTTTATAGAGCTATTTTAGACATTTTATATAAATGAAATCATATAATCATATAATATGCAGTACTTTGTGATTGGTTTCTTCCACTTAGCATAGTGTTTTCAAGGCTCATCCGTACTATGTCATGTCTCAATACTTCATTCTTTTTTGTGGCTGAATACTATTCCATTTTAAGGTTGTAGTACATTTTGTTTATGCATTCATCAATTAGTAGACATTTGAGTTGTTTCCACTTTTTGGCTATTATGAATAATGCTGCTATGAACATTTGTGTACAAGTTTTGTGTGCTCATATGTTTTCATTTCTGGTAATTATCTACCTAGTAACAGATTGTTGGAGTATGTGACAATTCTATGTTCTTTTAATTTTTTTTATTTTTATGAATTTATAATAGTTGTACATATTTATGGGATGCATGTAATATTTTGATATGCTTACCATTTTGACAAAGTGCCAAAATATTTTTCCAAAGAGGCTGCACCATTTTACATTTCCACCAACAATATATGAGGAGTTGAGTTTCCTTCACCCTTGTCACACTTGTTATTATTTATATTTATCATTAAGGGAAGGCTAGTAGTTATAGAGTGGTATCTTATTGTGACTTCAATTTGTATTTCTTTAATGATTAATGCTGTTGATAATCTCTTTCTTTGATAATTGACCATTGGTATATTTTCTTTGAAGATATGTCTATTCAAGTCCTTGGCAATATTAAAATTGGATTGTTTATCTTTTTATTATTAAATTGTAAGAATTCTTCATGTAATCTGGATACATGTCTCTTATTAGAGGTATGATATACAAATGTTTTCTCTCATTCTGTGAGTTGCCTTTTTACTATCTTGATTACATAATTTGCAGGAAAAAGTTTTAAATTTTGATCAAGTTCCATTGATGTATTCTTTCCTTCACCACTTGTATCTTTAATGTCATATCTTAGAAATAATGGCCTAACCAAAATTCTTGAAGATGTTCCCGTACAGAAGTTGTATAGTTTTGCTTTTACATTTAAATCTTTGATCTATTTTGAGTTTTAGGTTTTTTATTGGTTTGTTTATACTGTGAGGTAGGAGTCCAACTTCATTTTTTTGCACATGGACATCTATATTAGTCCATTCTCATGTTGCTAATAAAGACATACCTGAGACTGGGTAGTTTATAAAAGAAAGAGGTTTAATTGACCCACAGTTCAGCATGGCTGGGGAGGTCTCAGGAAACTTACAATCATGGTGGAAGAGGAAGCAAACTTGTCCTTCTTCACATGGTGGTAGGAAGGAGAAATGCAGAGCTAAAGGAGAAAAAGTCCCTTATAAAACCATCAGATCTTATGAGAACTCACTCACTATCATGAGAACAGCAGCATGGGGGTAATCACTTCCATGATTCAATTACCTCCCACTGCATCCCTCCCATGACATGTAAAGATTATAAAAACTACAATCCAAATAATATTTGGGTGGGGACAAACCATATCATTCCACCCTGCCCCCCCAATCTCATTTCCTCACATTTCAAAACACAATCATGCCTTCCCCACTGTCCCCCAAAGTCTCAACTCATTCCAGCATTAACCCAAACTTCCAAGTCCAAAGTCTCATCTGGAACAAGGGAAGTCCCTTCTGCCTATGAGCCTGTAATATCAAAACAAGTTAGTTACTTCCTAGTTACAATGTTGGTACAGGCATTGGGTAAATACACCCATTCCAAATGGGAGAAATTGGCCAAAACAAAAGGGCCGCAGGCTGTTACTTCAGAGGGTGCAAGCTCCAAACCTTGGTGGCTTACACATGGTGTTGGGCCTATGAGTCTCCTCATATATTGTTGGTGGAAATGTAAAATGCAAAATCTAATAGGGCAGTCACTAAACATTAAAGCTCCAAAATGATCTCCTTTGACTCCATGTCTCACACCCAGGTCATGCTGACACAATAGGTGGGCTCCTATGGCCTTGGGCAGATCCACCCCTGTGGCTTTGCAGGGTACAGCCCCACTGCTGGCTGCTTTCACAGCTGGTGCTGAGTGTCTGTGGCTTTTTCAGACATATGGTGTAAGCTGTCAATGGATCTACAATTCTAGGGTAGATCCATAGAATTTTGCGTGGTCAGGCTACAAATTTCCCAAACTTTTATGCTATGCTTCCTCTTTGTCACTTAGAAATTTCTTCTGCCAAATACCATAAATCATCTCTCTCAAGTTCAAAGCTCCACAGATCTCTGGCAGAGGCAAAATGCCACCAGTCTCTTTGCATGGTAACAGTGACCTTTACTCCAGTTCTCAACAAATTCCTCATCTCCATCTGAGAGTACCTCAGCCTGGACTTTATTGTCCATATCACTATCAGCATTTTGGTCAAAGCCATTCAACATGTCTCTAGGAAGTTCCAAACTTTCCCACATTTTTCTGTCTTCTGAGCCCTGTAAGTCTCTAAAAAGTTCCAAAATTTCCCAAATTTTCTTGTCTTCTTCTGAGCCCTCCAAACGAGGGCCAATATTCAAATTCAGGAAACACAGAGAACACCACAAAGATGCTCATCAACAAGAGTAACCCCAAGACACATAATTGTCAGATTCACTAAGGTTGAAATGAAGGAAAAAATGTTAAAGGCAGCCAGAGAGAACGGTCAGATTACCCAC
This sequence comes from Homo sapiens, assembly GCF_000001405.40. Taxonomy (NCBI): domain Eukaryota; kingdom Metazoa; phylum Chordata; class Mammalia; order Primates; family Hominidae; genus Homo; species Homo sapiens. Next base: position 107,203,322 of record NC_000008.11, read on the forward strand.
AAAGGGAAGCCCATCAGACTAACAGCAGATCTCTCTGCAGAAACCCTACAAACCAGAAGAGAGTGGGGGCCAATATTCAACATTCATAAAGAAAAGCATTTTCAACCCACAATTTCATATCCAGCCAAACTATGCTTCATAAGTGAAGGAGAAATAAAATTCTTTACAGCCAAGCAAATGCTGAGAGATTTTGTCACAACCAGGTCTGCCTTATACTTAAAGATTCTTTCACACACAAAGTACTTTTTGGATAAAAACAAGGAATTTGAAATGGTATAAAAGACCTGCATTTTATAAAAGACCTGCATTTTTAGTTCATTTATAATGTTCTATTTATTATTTTTAATTGATTGGAGTCCAACCAATAAGTTGAAATGCTATATATTGCCAATATATTGTTATTCACTTTCTTTTAACTTTAAATTGCTCTAATATTCTGACATTCTGATGCATTATTTTTGAATCCAATTCTTAAAATACTCTAGACTTTTCACTATTTTATGTGTTACTCAATTATTACTGATATTTATGTGGCATGTTTCCAATAAAAGCAAGAGGTGTATTATAGTAAATACTTATAGTAAACAATTCACTTTCATAGATATGAAACAATTTCAAAAAGAAACTACTAAAGAACCAAGACAAAACAAAACAAAACAAAATTACAAGTAACTTACACAAACCTGAATTTGGGGAAGATAAATTGAATTAATTTGAAAATGTGTAGTTTGTAGTCTTTTAACTAAAAGTGGAGTTATTTCAAAACTTATTTTCTTCATTGTGTGTACTATTCAATTAACATAAAAAGGTAAGTTTAGAATGCATGGCTACAGACAAAGGAGTGTTTAACATGAGCTTAATTGAGAGCTTTCTTCCTCCCTTGAAATAAAGATTAAATTACAGTCTTATAGTCTAGGTTCACTTTAAAGAAATTTAAATTTTGACTTTTTTTGGTCTGAGTTTTGCTAAAAGATGGAAATCACTATTTTTTAAATTGCTCTCTCTGATAACATTGCCCAGAACATTTGCTAAAGATAAACACAATGGAATCAATGCAGTAATATGATATTTCCTGATGGAATACTAAGCCTACCCATTGTGAGACACAAATCCCATAATCAATTGGCAGGGTTGTGAAGGTCTTTCTTACATGCTAGATTGATATGATAATCCATACTATGTTTTGACATATTCTGAATATTACAACCTATGTTATTTTGCTTCTATGGCAAGTGATGGCTTTATACACTGGATTTTGAAGCACTAGGGAAAGAAATACATTGGCAGAATGCTTAGATTTTCATTTTTCCCTAAGATAGAAAAAGCAAGATACTGAACAACTAGCTATGATGATGTGACAAGAGATTATTTAATCGTTCTTGGCATGCTTCTATGTAGCCAAGAAGTAACCTTAACTTGGCTAAAGCCTACACTGATTTAAAAACAAACTTAAATACAGAAATTTATCTTTGTTATTTTAATTAAATAATAGATTTTTTCAGTATAACTGCATGCAAGGCATATGCTCTGTTTCAGTACCAATGTGAAAAAAAATTGCAACTTTTAGTATACAAAAGGATTTTAGTTTTCCATAATTCTGTTTTAATGATACAAAATTGTATATATATATATATATATATATATATATATATATATATATATATATATATATATTTAATCTTGAGTTTCTCTATAAGGAAATTTAGTTAAGTATTTGCATGTTTTTGTTAAATTTTTTTAGTTTCTTAATTGGCTAGTGATTTCTATTGAAATAAGTCAGGGGTTGGTAAACTATGCCCTGTGATTCAAAAGCATTCCATTTGTGTTTTCTTTTGTCTTGTGAGCTAATAATTATATTTATTTTCTTAAATTGCTAAAAAAATAATTTTTAGTTATAATAATACTCATGAAATTTATCTGAACTTCAAATGTTAGTGTCCATAAGTAAAGTTTTATTGGAAGATAGCCATGCCCATTCATTTACATATGGTCTGTGGCTGCTTTTGTTCTCTAATAGCAGAATTGAATCACTGGGGCAGAGACCATCTGGTCTACAAAGCTGAAAATAATTTACTCTTTGGTCCTTTATAGAAAAAGTTGGCCAACCTCCAAGACAGTTACCTCTATAAATCTTAGATGACTCCTAAAATGCATATACACACTCACACACAATGTACCTGGGTCTGTACTCTGTGAAAATGTTTTCATTTCAAACACTTTGATTCATGGGAGCTATCATTTAATATTTTGAATATCCAAGTTTTAAAATTATTAGGAAAATAGTTCTCTATATTGGTAAGACTATGACAGTTTAAAAAAAAAACACTAAAAGCAACAGTTGTGCAAGTAAAAACCCCTTGGATTAAATACAGGTATACTTAAATCCTAGAGTAACACATAGAATGAACTGACATATGGAAAATCCATGTTCTTCTACATTCTGCACCATTGAGTTAAAACATTAATGTCACTATTTTAGGACATTTGTTGTCTACATGGTTGATATCAGTATTAATGGTGGTATGCTGGATCATTACTGAAAAATGATGGAATCTAATGTAACTCTACAGAGTTAATTTAATTTTAATGATTTGCATTTTGTTGACTGGAATTCTATGTTATTTAACAGTCTAATGCCTAATTGACATAATAGCTCTGTGATATGAGAAGCATATCTGACATTTTACACTCTGGTCTGCATTTTACACTCTGGTCTGCATTTTACAGAGAAAGAGAGATCAACTGAAAAGAGTTTTCAAACTGCGCAGAGTTTTGGGGAGGGAGTAGCTTGTGGGAGACATATAAGGAAGAAGCCAATGGGTTTAGATCCTTGACCTTTGCTCCTTTTCAGCTAAAGCACTTTTGTTTTTGGTTTCTGATACAATATTTCCCCCTTATCCACAGCGGATACTTTCCAAGATCCCTAGTGGATGTCTGAAACCATGGATAGTACTGAATCTGACTGCCGTCAATCAGAACACCTTTCTGTTCATGTCTTCCACCCACAAAGTTAATGCCTTTTTTACTTTAAACTCTTATTACATACTATGGCTATAACTTTTGCGTTTTGAGGTGTGACAGCAAAACTAGCATAACTTTCTTTTTCCTTCTTCAAAATTTCATGGATAGAAGATTTGTTCTTAAGATAGATTTTAGCAACTTCAGCATACAGTTTTTTTTCTTTTCTTATTAAGTGAAGAACGTTCACCTTTTCACTTGAAAGCACTGTCCATCCTTTCTCTGGCATATCCATATTGCAAGCATCACTACTCTTGCACTTTTGGGTCATTATGAATAGTAAAGTAAGAGGGACTTGAACTCAAGCACTGAGAAATTGTCAGTCCATCTAACAACCCAGACAACTACTAAGTAACTATCAGATGGAGAATGTCTACAGCGAGGATATGCTGGACAAAGGGAAGACTGATATCCTGAGTGAGACAGAGCAGGATACTGTGAGATTGCATCATACTACTCACAACGGCATCAAATTTAAAACTTATGAATTGTTTATTTCCGGAATTTTTCGTTTAGTATTTTCAGACCAGGGTTGACCATGAGTAACTGAAACCACGGAAAGTGAAAACACAAATAAGTGTGTACTACTGGATTATAGATCCTACATGAAGATTTTTTATGGTTCTACTGCTAAATGCAGTGATTTTGTACTGTGTCAGCTTAGCCTAACTACAACTACGTTTTCCAGAATTCCTTTTTCTATATTGTTTCAGATTAGGGTTGGTCACAGGAAATTTTGTACTAGATGTGGTAGGTAAGTGAAGAGGTATCATTATGCTATGAAGTTCAGTATAGAGACCAGCTTTTACGTATTGTCACTAATCTGCCAGATTACTTTGTTTGCATAAGACAGCAACTAGTCCTGTTGCTTCTTCAACTTCTCCATGTCCTGAGCCAGTAGCAATGCAACTCTACTATGGCGAAGGGTGCTAGTTTTTTCTGAAAGTTGCCTTTCTCATCACAGGTAGAGGGGGTACAGAACAGAGGTAAGTTCCAATTTGATCTCCTGGGTTTCTGTTGTATTTGAGAGTTCTGTTTTGTCCATGTTTTCCCTGCTTCATGTTAAGCATTTCTTTCCAGATGTTGACGCTGGCTCTGTTGACCTACAGCAACTTCAATCTCACTACTGACTATAGATGCAACAGCCTTCCATAGATATCTTCACAGCTCCCACCATTGTATATGGTATGATACATAAAATAAGTTCCTTATTCTATATCACTCAAAGACCCTCTGCTTCTCTGATGGAACCATAGAAGATATACTAAATGTGATTGAAAGCTACTCATTATTCATACACATTGTTTTATAAGCGAGGAAATTGCAATACAGAAAAAATAGTAGTAGTAGTAGTGGTAGTAGTAGTAGCTGTAAAAACGTACTGAGTGCTTATTCAGTAATACTTTAAACATGTAACGTTACCTAATCCTCACTCTAACCCTATGAGTTCATGTTACTGTCTTCTCCATCTTAAAGGAGAGGAAAAGACTGAAGCAGAGAGGATGTAAGTTTAAGGCCTGAGGTTACAGTTATTTAAATAGTGGAGTTGGAATTTACATCAAAGTAGTTTGACTCCACTCCAAGCTCTTAATCATAGCTTATGAATGAGTTTTTGTAGAGATATAATAGTAATAATTTTAAAAACACACTATTTTTCTACGTTTCCATTTTTCCAGACAATTGCTTAAACAATTCACAAATATTTATTAACTACTATATGGTTTGTTATAGGCAAGCATGACAAGAATAGTTCCTGCCCAGATGGAGAAACCATGTGTTTTGCTATACCTGCATTTGTGAAATGAGAACTGTGCTCCTATTTTAGGCTATATCTATCGCTCTTGCTGTCTATCTCTATATGTAGCTATATTCCATTGCATTTAAAACATAAAATATTAGAGGTGATTTTGTTAGTGTAGGTAGCTAGACAGACACAAGCAGGGCGGGAGAGGCTCCTCGCCCAGACCAGGAATGCCAGGAGACCATCAGATGATGGAGAGGCACTTGTTAAACTGCCCCTCAAAAATGATAATTGGCCACAGCCAGCACTGAGAAAAGACAGTCTTCCAGTAGATACAAAACTGAAGCTGGTGATCAGCAGCTTCCTCAGGAGATCTCAGGAGCTGGGTGAGTGAGCTCAAGTATTTGCAGTAAGAGTCAAAATGGAGGAGTTCAACCAATATATGACCTTCCTCTGGGAATGCTTGACTGATAAGGGAAAAATGCCTCAAGTGAGCATGCACACAACTACAGTAAACACACTGCACATGTGGCCCCTCCCAAGTACTGCACATGCAGACAGCCTACCTCAAGGGGAAAATCAAGGGGGGAGAAACACAAACCTTGGAACCATGTCAATGCATAAAACCCTAAGTCAAGGGCTGTATTGGGCACTTTGATTTTTCAAGTTGCTGCTTGGCCTTCTTCCAAGTGTGCTTTACTTCCTTTTGTTCCTACTCTAAAACTTTTTAATGAACTCTCACTCCTGCTTTAAAACTTGCCTTAGTCTCTCCCTCTGCCTTAAATCTACTTCTGTCCTTCAGCTGAATTCTTTACACTGAGGAGGCAAGGATCAAGTTGCTGCAGACCCGTATAGATTTGCCACTGGTAACAATTTGAAGAAAAACATAGGCATTTCGATCAAATGTATGCAATGGCAAAGAATAACAAAAATTGTGTAGTTTCCAAAATATTTAAATTTGTATTTTTAAAAAACATAATAATGTGACATGAAAATTATGCCACATGTAATTTCTGAAGAAAATTATATAGGTTTATTTTTAAATTCACAAATGAATAGACAAGTTAAATATGTACTGAGGTTGCCTGTATGTTATCATGAATAAGCTACAGCAAGAAAACCTCTTTAGACATTTATGCCATTTGGAGAACCCTATTAGTGGTCACTGTGAAGATTCTTGATACCCCATGTAATGACTATAAACTAGGATCTACAGTAACTCTGGATCTAGCATGAGATTTCTGTTATCCAAGAATTGTCTTTCCAGAAACCTCAAGTTTCTATAACAAGTTCCAGCCTTTAGGTAGTCTTTTAAAATGTGCTTTTGTTTGCTTGTGAGGAAGATACCCTAAATAACAAAACCTGGTTGTGCCTATCATTACTCAGGTTGCTAGGACAAAGGGGGCTTTCTTTTGAAAGGCAAGTGTGGCCAGTAAACCATATGCCTCCATGCATTAATTGGGCAGCTTGTGGGAGAAGTGAGAGGAGATGAGGAGACAAGAAGAGAGTAGTCTAGACAAAGTAAAAAGGCAGCATAATCAGATTCCCCACAGAGGTGACTGCAATTAGATGAGGCTGCAGGAGGGTTGAGTGGCAAACATTGGCTCAGAGGAGGAATCAGAATGGGAGAACTGTGGGGGAGGGCCATGAGCACTTGTGCGTGACCAGCCTTGAAATGCATAGGACACCATGAAGTCTTAACTCTGTGTCTTGTTGGATCCAGGAACCTCCATTCCCCCTGCTTTCTGCTTCCTTTTGCGTAGCATGTCATCCTCCTCCTGTTGCCTGACTCTCTCTTTCCCTTGACGGGTGTGGTGACTTGTCTATAGAATTTGTGACAAGGACTCTGTAACATTGTTTCTTCTGCTCCTTTTTCTCAATGGGGATATGCTGGCTATTTAGAGCATGTGTTCTGGTTGACTGCCAGCAGTGGGACAGGTAGAGAGAAGAAGGATTTGCCCGTTTTGTGGAAGTCCGGAGGTTGGACAACATTGCCTATGACTTGAGGGTAAATCTCTCTGATTCTGGGGCCTACCATTAGAAAGTCCACTGTTCCTTGCTCAAGTGCCATCATGTCAGGCTGTCCCAGAACTTGGATAGTGGCATACCCTGTTTTCTTACTGGGAGACCAAGAGATATTTGGGAGTACTGAGAAGGAGGAGATGTGGCTATTTCTGGGTAATCCCTTCACTTGTACCTCACATGGTGTAAAGGCTGCCCAATCTATTATATGAGGAATCTTTAAAATATTCATGGAAAGTGCTTATTATAAAAAGAAAATGCATGGATTTCACATTTTTTCCACCAAAATAAACTCATACTAACTTGTTATAACATGTTTGAACAGGATCTAGTGTGAGGCTCTAAGAAGGCTAAGACATCTGTTTAAAAAGAACTCCTGTCAGAGCAATTTGAATTTTGCTAAAATTCAAACAAGAGCAAACATCAAATTTAGGATGAAGCTTGGGTGGAAGAATGGTGAAATTACTGATGCTTTATGAAATGTTTATGGGGGCAATACCCCAAAGAAATCAGCATTTACAAATTGATAATGCATTTTAAGAAAGAACAAGACAATATTAAGGAAGAAGCCTGCAGCAGCAAACCATTTGCATCAATTTGTCAGGAAAAACTTCATCTTGTTCATGCCCTAATTGAAGACAACTGATGATAAACATCAGAAATGATTACCAACACCATCGACATTTCAGTTGGTTTAGCTTACACAATTCTGACTGAAAAATTAAAGTTGAACAAATTTTCCACATCATGGGTGCCAAACTGTTATGCCCAGATCAGCTGCAGACAAGAGTAGAGCTTTCAATGGAATTTGAAACAAGTGGGATCAAGATCCTGAAGCATTATTTCAAAGAATTGTAACAGGAGATGGAACATGGCTTAATAAAGCATAATCAAAGCAATGGCTACCAAGAGGTGGAAGTGGGCCAGTCAAAGCAAAAGCAGACTGGTCAAGAGCAAAGGTCATGGCAACAGTTTTTTTGGGGATGCTCAAGGCATTCTGTTTGTTGACTTAATGAAGGGCCAAAGAACAATAACATTTGCTCATTATGAGAGTGTTCTGAGAAAGTTAACCAACACTTTAGAATAAAAATGCCCAAGAAAGCTTTACCAGAGGGTCCTCCTTCACCACGACAATGCTCCTGCTCATTCCTCCTCATCATACATGGGCAATTTTGTGAGAGTTTCAATGTGAAATTAATTATTAGACATTCACCTTATGGTCCTAATTTGGTTCCTTCTGACTTTTTTGTTTCCTAATCTTAAAAAAAATCTTTAGAGGGCACTCATTTTTTCCCATCAATCATGTAAAAAAGACTGCATTGGCATGGTTAAATTCCTAAGACCCTTAGTTTTCAAGGGCTGGACTAAATGACTGATATCCTTGCTTACAAAAGTGTCTTAAACTTGGTGGAGCTTGTGTTGAGTAATAAAGTGTATAGTTTTTACTTTTATCTTTTAATTTCATTTTTCCATGAAATTCTTGAAGTGCCCTTTTATATACAGTCTGATGTCATATACCTAACCCCCAGGGATCCCACTGGGCTGCAGTGCTAGAGAGTGACAATGGCATTATCATGCAACTAGAAGTGGCCTCCTACTCCTTTTCCTACTGCTTATAATGCCCATGACAGGAAGAAAAGCATCTAGGGAATGACTTGGACAGCTCTATACTAGGCTTCAAAAATGATGCTAATTTTTCTGTGGGTTTCTCTTCCCATGTCTCTTCTTACCATTTATAATGATGAAACTACAAAGGCTGAGCTTGGTCTGAGACAAACGTGCAGACAAAAATCTGCTTAGGCAAACTGGAGACAAGAGTGTCAAGAGAAAACCTGTATGTTTCTCACAGCAGCCAGCCAAGTTTGTGGCATAGAAGACCAAAGAAGAACTCAGGGCTAAGGTCTATCAAGTAATAAAGAGTATTTTTGTCCAGAACATCAAGTGAGCCTCTCTCTCAGAGGCCAGTGTTGGCAAAAGGCATCTGGTCAAGGATGATCATTTCTGGATTCTGGCTGTTTCTTTCTTTTTCTGATGAAACTGATGTCATTTCACAAATAAATTGGCAAAAGCCCTAGGTCAGTGAGTCTAAGGGGATAGATTATGGACAGAGGTGTGGTAATCGTTTGAATTCTCCTAAAATTTTTTGTAACATGCGACATTCGCATCTTGCAAAATATCATCATCTAGGTTCAGATTGTAACTTTTCTTTTTGTGATCCTTTATTTTAATTTCAAGCCTCATTTATATACATTGAAAAAAGTCCCCTAGTCTTTATCAATTTGTTTATTCAGACATCTACTTTGAAAAGCTTCTGCAAAGTGTTGGATTGTGCCAGTTAATCCTAGGTATCGTGTTTATCTGTCTGCTTCATCCTGTTGCTCTCTGTGGCCTGAATGCTCTGTTCTTTTGGTCTGCTTTTCACTGGATGTGCTCTGTGGACACAGATGATGGTCACATTCTCCTCCCTTAGAGGGGAAGATTTTCTCACTTCTTTATCAGGTTTAGTGTTGAAAACTAGAACCCCCTTTTGCATAGCAACATGCATAGATTTTTGTGTAGCACCGTTACAGTCAGATCAGAGGCACTGCTGCTGAGAGACTTCACACCCACTATCATGTGGGATTTGGGATTTGGGAACTTGATTATCTACACCTCACTTCTGTGGCTGTTAAAGGTATTAAGAAACAATAGACAAGCCAAAACATGGTTCACAGCACATCTATCAGTATCAAAATATTGGTTGTGTTGTAGATGCCATATTCTAATATATGCAGTAGTTTTATAACTGTGCTCTAGGGAGTTCTGAAAATTTTGTGTAATTGTCTAATTAAAAGAATATTTAGATTGAGAAGTGCTGCATAACTACCTTATGCAAAATTTAAATCATGCAGCCATATTAAAAGCAAGTAATTCTGCAATAAATATAACTGTTTAATTTTGTTTTATCCAGTATTTCTGGAATTTATTTGAATGTAGAGCTTTTGTTGTTCTCATGAAATCCTTATTTCAATTGGAAAATGATACTGAATGAAAAGCAAAGTACATAGCGATATTATGGGTTGTGCTCATGTAAAGAGAGTTAATGAGCATTTATTTGCACCCAAAGACATAAGCACAGGAAGGATAAATAAGGTAATACAATATAGATTTATGTCTTCTGTTTAATATTAGGAGTAAGAAAGGAGAGTTGTTGAAAGTCTTTGTAGGACGCAAACATTCACAGACTACTTGAGTAGAAAGGGTATGATGAAACACCTCTTTTAGTGGTGTATTAAAACTGTGCTCTGAGGAATCTCTTAGGCCCCCTTGATGCATATAGTGAACATTGCTGGGTTTCGTTGATAACTACTCCTATTCTAGCAGGCATGTGGGAGACTGCATTTCTCAGCCCTTTCATAGCTGACTTGGCCATATAACTATTTCTGGCCAGTGAAATGTCAGTAGAAGCCACACATTTCATTTCCTGGTTAAGTCAAATAAAGACTCTATGTAATTATTCAATCTGTCTCTTTCCCCATCCTCATAACCAAAAAGTCCATGAACTTCTGAAAGTAAAGCAATGAGCTGGAGAAGTCTCCTTAGCTTGGATCCCTGAGTGACTATGTGGAGCTGAATCCACTACCTCCATCTTTCCTTGCCCATCACTTACACTTACTTATCTTAGACATAGAGCATGAGCAAGAAATTCTTGTTGAATAAAGTGACTTAAACTTGAGATTGTTTGTTTCTACAGTTTAACCATGTCTCTCCCGAGTGTGTGTGTGTGTGTGTGTGTGTGTGTGTGCGTATTTTATAGGGTGATGATAGCTCAGGCCTCACTACTCTGTGTCCCCTACAAGAGATTTCTTGAAATCTCTTTCCCCTCCTGTACTATAATCAGAGAAGCTATGTGTTGGTCTGTTTACCAGATTGGACTTCTAAAATAGACTTTCTTAAAACAAAGAATTCCACTGCTAAAAATATTGAAAGTCACAGCTAAATATCATCCGCATTTCAATTCAGTGAAGTTATTCTGACAGTAGTGGAAGCAGAAATAGAACTTGGATTATTATTGTTTTTAACTTATTTTATGTTTTTATTTTATTGTACCATAAAGTTGAAAGTTCGTGATAAAGTAATTTAAAGATAATACAGAACAATAGAAGAATAAATATAGCATCCATAGGCCCACTACCCAAAGACAAACCCTCTCTATTTTTTTATATATTTCTTTTTTATCTTTTAAATTAGTAACAATAGGAATGATCATCTATATTTATTGGTTCCTCCCAGATGCCAGGCACCCTGGGAAAAGCAAAGCTTAAAAACAAGGCTCTCTGAAGGCCGCCTGGCAGACTTATCAGTTATGTGACCTCAGAGTCCTCATTTTATCAGATTCCTCACCTTTAAATGTTTTACTATGGCTTTATGGAGATTAAATAAATTTAGAATATGTACAAAATACTAATACTTTGAAGAGTTTCTGTATTATTATAAGCACTTATAAATCTTACCAATCTTACTTTCTACTTTTTCCCAGTTAATGCCCACATCAAGCCTATGCACTAGGTATTATAATCTCTCTTTTCCAGATAATGAAGGATTCGAGGTTAGTAATTTCCCAGTCACATCTTCTTCCATGTCTCTGCAAACACTTTCTAGATCAATAGTTTTTAAGCCAGCATGCACATTAGAATCACCTTGGGATCACTTAGCAAAAACCAACGACAGCACCTCATTTCTAGAGCCTATGGTTTAATTAGTTGAGATAAAATTTGGCATTGGCATTAAAAAGAAATTCCATGAAGGGATTCTAATGTGCCGCCAGAACAAGACCCACTTCTTCTCACAATTAAATTATTGTAATCTCCGAATTCTATTTTTCTCTCTTGTCTCCCTGCCAGGGAAATCCTTGCTCACCGTTTCAATCTTGCAAACCTCTGTTCATCTTTAAACATTCAGTTGAAATTAGTTGTGGCACTGAGAGGAGAGAGAGAGAGACTCAGAACAACTTCAGCACTCTCATAATATATGCCCACTCCCCTCCACATTTTTTCTCCTGTGAAGAGTGACATTTTATCTATTAATCTAGTAAAAAGCGCTATGTATGCAAACACAACTGTAAGCCACTCACTGGTGACCAAATTGCTGCCCCAAGACTTTCCTAGGCAGGTATTCTGGAACCACTGTTTCTAGTATTACAACTTCAGTGAAGTCTTTTCTATCCCTTGGGTAAATTAGAATGCCCCTTCCTGTAGCTGGACATAATATGTTGCATTTTGGCAGTGCTTTGGTAACTTGTCATCATGCTGTACAGTCACTCGCTATTTTCATGTTTCTAGGGTCACTGAACTTTACAGATGGCAGCAGCAGAAGTGTCTTTGTCATCTTTTTATCTCTACAGTTTAACCCAGCATCTGGGTCTACAATAGATAACTCAATAAATGTTTATCTAATGCATGGCTTTGATAACCAACCCAGCTGCTGCCAGTTAACTACTACAAGCTCTGCAGATCTCTAAGGGAGTTAGGCAGATGAGGAATCAAGTCATAAGGAAATAACTCTGACCTCTTGCATCTTGGCTTACCCACCAAGTTCACCTTGGGGTCATGTGGCATTTCTATTATCAATCTTTATTTTCAAGTCTTTGCAGTTTATATGGAAAAAAATCCTTCCATGTGTTAGAGTGTAAGTGAAATAATTCCAACCTTTAAAACATTAGTTTCTGCTTCTGGAGTATGGAGTATATGCTTATTCCATTCCTTCTTCAGTTTAGGAGTTTGGGATATATATTAAGTTCAGGATGTGCATCTCTCCAGTTTCTTTACATCTAAATAAATCAAATTAATGAAAAGCCATTATATACTATGCTTTTAATAAGGCTTATAGTCTTTAAACTGAGATAGGCAGAAAAGCCCAATTTATTTTCAGCTTTTCTTAAGGGAAAATGTGATCCTTAATCTTAATTAGCTTGTAGGAGTGTGTTTTTTCATTCTATAATTTCAAGCTAACTAAAGATGTCTGAGTTTGTTTGTTGATAGTCTTTGTATTTCACCCTGTGTGCTCTGATAAGGTTCCATTAAGCAACTGTCCTCCCCTTGGGTTAGGAGTTAATGAAAATAATAATAATAGTAGTTATAAAGATTATAATTATGTACTGACTGCTTACTGTGGACCAGACAATAAGTATGTACATGCGATGCATTAGCTTATTTAATACCTACTATTAAAGTTCAAAGAGGTAAAATTATTTCTCAGTACTGTCATTGCAGGAATGAGCTGGACACAAAGCTGGGCTTTCTGAAAGGCCTCTGGATATGTGACTGACACACAGAAACATGCTGCATCGCCCAATCCTAGGGGTGCAAGCTGCTGAGTGCCCCCAGAAAGTGGCTCTGGAGAGTTCTCATGATCCCCCCGTAACCATGAGTTACCTAATGCAAGAAGTTGTCTGAGCATTTCTGGCATAAATAGTTTGAACCCAAATTTTTCTTATGTTTTTGTATTGATTGTTTACAAAGCATGTCATAATATGGATAAAGAGATGTTAAGCCGTGATATAATCATGTACCAAGTAAACTTGACCTCTGTATATTTTGCATTCTGTGAAGACTTACCTTTCAACTAAGAAACACAGATAAAGAGGTTTTTTGTTTTTGTTTTTGTTTTTTTATTACAAACTAAGCACTGTGTTTGTTGAAAGCTTACCCTGAAAGGCAGAACATATAGTTTCAAGGAAATTTGAAAGAAGATTTTAGATTTAGAGTTGGTTGCTTAATAATAAAGAATTATACTTTTAGGTTTCTCTCATGTGTTGTGATTAATTTATTAGCTAATTAGTTAATATAGGCTGCATATTTAGTATTATCTTGATTTTACATAAATTATTGTCCTGTCACGTCCATGCCAATTTCTATTTAGAGTGTTCAAGAAAAATCATTATTATGTTTTTCCAAAAAAATTGTTTCTGAGTATTAGTGATTTTACAATATAAACAATCTCTTTTGGTTATCAATATTTAGTGATATTTACTTGCTTTAGAAATAAAACTTCATATACTCTGTTAAAACCAGTAGCATTGTATATGGTTGGTGATTTTCTGATCACCAGAGGCAATAAACACTGTGTATGGACTCATACCGTGGGGTCTGTTTAAATTAATAGTGGACTCGTCCGGGCATGGTGGCTCATGCCTGTAATCTCAGCACTTTGGGAGGCCGAGGCAGGTGGATCACCTGAGGTCAGGAGTTCAACACCAGCCTGGCTAACATGGTGAAACCCCGTCTCTACTATAAATACAAATTAGCCAGGCATGGTGGTGCATGCCTGTAATCCCAGCTACTCAGGAGGCTGAGGAAGGAGAATTGCTTGATCCCAGCAGGCAAAGATTGCAGTGAGCTGAAATAGCGCTGTTGTACTCCAGCCTGGGCAACAAGAGCAAAACTGCATATCAAAAAAAAAAAAAAAAAAAAAAAGTGGACTCATTCTCCCAATGGAAATCATTTTATAGCACTCTGTATACAAGGAGATGAAACTGATTTTCATTAATCAAAACATTTTCCCTAAAGACGGCTTGGTTTTTGTAACTAATGTAATAATTATTCTTCTGTTTAAATTTCACACTCTGAAAGAGATTGAGCCACATTTCCCAAGGATGACTAATTATTTGATAAAGATGTTGGTGAAAAAATCTCTTTCTGTTTCTCTCTCTCCCCCTCACCTCCACTCTTCTTCCCTCCTCCCTCCTTTCTTCTTTTTTTGGGGGGTGGGGGGGTGTCCTAGTTTCTGAAACTCTCATTGAGTGTATACAGTGTTTATTCATGAATGTATGTGAGCTCACTGTGTACCTAAAATCAGGCTTACTGTCTTATATCCCAAGCCTACAACTTGAAAGGTAATTTCAATTCAGTCCATACCAACAATAATAGCAACATCACCAATAAGAAGTAATTGTATTCTGGAAATACAATATCAGCATATGCTTTATCTGTATTATTAAACCACTTCAAATCATTCCATGTCTGAGGTGCTCCCTCTCTCTAAAATTAAATACACATGAAAGACACCTGGTGTTGAAGTTGGAAATGAAATGCAAACCAGATGTATTCTGTTGAAAATGTGGTCCTTGACTCTTATGCCGAAATGGGAAATTGATTTTTTAAAATGACATCTACAAATACAAACTTAAAAGGCAGCTTTTGTTGGTCACAAAGTCAGATGTTAGGGATCTTGGGTTTTGGCCTGTCCCATGAAGTTGTCCTGTAAAGTATGTGGCCTCTTGTATTTGAAGATAAGGAAATACAGCTTCTGATGAGATATAGTATCTCAAAGTACAAAATCGTTACTTTTTTCCAAATTTTAAGACAAGATCATTGCTTTAGCATAGTAATTCATGTCATAGAATGGAAGGAAAATAAGGGGAAAATTTTAATCTTAACTTGTTTTTTCAAATCTATATAATTAAATTTTATAAATTACAATATCAACCTAATTATTTTTGGGGACTTCCTTTGTGCCAAGTCCTAGGTCTATCATGGTAAACAACCGGATTTGATTCTTACCTTCATGCTGCTTAGTGTTATGAAAATATTTTTCTTCATTGCTCTAAACAAGTTTTACAAAATGAATCAATTAATTGAAGAGAAAAAAAACTAACATAAATCAAGTACTAACTGCACCAGGACTCGGCTAGGTTTTTGCCCTCTTACTTAAATTTCCTAATGGCTTTGCAAGGTAGTTACCATTATCTTCATTTCACAGGCGAAAAAGTGAGGGTTGGAGAGATTGAGCTCTTGCTTAGGGTCACAGAGTAAATTAGTAAATAACAAAGTAATCACTTGAATCCATGTGTGATTCCATAGTTTGATACCTCTCCTGAGTTTAGTGCCATCAACTACTATACTGAATTTTTATTCAAATTGCCCTTTCCTCTGTTTCACTCAATAATTTAACTTTATCAAAATAAATAATGTACAGTGGAACACAAAATATTGTACTGAAAATAGAGAAATCTGCACACTCAATATTGTTATTGGCCACTAGAGCTTTTTTTTCTTTTAATTCTTCCCATAGGGCTGAAGACATGAAGTGAGTAAACATACTGGATAGATTTTACAACTAAAAATCCATATAAATAAGAGGATTATTTTTTAAATTATGTTCTTAAAAGAGGCCAGCATTTAACTGTTGCATTTTCCTTGCTTTGGTCTTTGATGGTATAAAAAGACTGAGGCCTTTGCTGGTAAAGATGGGATTTTGTGGGAGGTGGTTTCCACTCATTGCTGTTATTTTCTCCAGAGAGATACCCTCAGTGCATGCTCCTGTTCTTCCAGGCCAACTGACATAAACTTTAAAGCTTACTTTTTTTCGTGTACTTCCTGATTTCTCTCTATAGTCTACTTGCCAAGTTTCTTCCTGCCTTCTTTTGAATATCTCCAACGATGAGACTCTCACTACCTTTTAAAAGAGCTCATTCCATCTTTGAATATTTGTAATAATGAGATCATTGTTTCCTCAGAATATGACAATGCACATGTGGTTCTCAGGTACAGAACATATTTAATTCCTATTCAGTATGACAATCATTCAAATTTATCCCATGTAGGACATATCTAACTTATTTTCTGTGTGGCGAGCACTCAAATTTGACACTATTTAAAAATAGCTGTTGTGATCTCTATGACTTCTCCAAATCCCCAATTCCTTCACCAGCTCCTTTAAGAACAGAACTTAGAATATCTTCACTTGAAACAAGATAGTAATAGAAATAAGTCCCACATTCCCAGTGTAATTTTACAAGTAAATAGCACGTCACTTCTAAAACCTCTTCCCCCCGCTATTCTGATATTGTTACTATGTTTCTCTAAATTCATATTAGTTTATTTTGGAAGTCACTGCTTAATTTTGGCTGAGAATGAGTATATTCTTAACTCAAACTCCTATGATTTTTTTAAACCTGTGCTGTGTTCCATTCCAAGTATTACTTTCTATATTGTTGTAAGGATGTTTACTGTCAGTCTAATTTTCCTTCCTTTTTATATTATCTGCATTTCCTCTTTATTTGCTTTTGAAATTTATTTTTTGTGTTCTATAATTTTATTATGATAGGCTTAGTTGTTATTATATTATATTCTTCATGTCTTATATCCTCTATATTTGTATTGTGTTTTCTGAGTATTTTATTCAGATCCATGCTTGTTTCATTAGGATTTTGTTTTGTGAGCTGAGTTTGAGTTTGGACATTCCTAGAGATTTTCTAGTAGTTAACAAAAGTTTTCATGTATTTTCACACTTTGCTCCAATAATTCCACTTTTTAAAACTCACGTTAGTGCATAAAGATCTGTGTATAACATTGTTTATTTCAGCATTATATGTAAACCTGAATCTCAATCTATAGGAAATTAGTTAAATAGATATTAGTTCATATAATGGATTGTCATGCAATTGCTAACAAGAATTATGTATGAGTATACATATATACATACATACATACATACATACTACATATAGGTCTCTCTGTATATGTGTGTGTGTATGTGTAACTTGATCCATTTATGCAACCTTTAGAAAATGTATACAAATTAGCTACATATGTATCTATATGCATATAGTCACATAGAAAATATTGAAAAGGTAAGCAAGAAACATTGAGGCGTGATTATATTTGAAAAGATTGTAGAAGTCCAAGAAAAAATAAAAGAATCTTATAATATTCACTTTATAGCCTTCTTTCTTGTTTGATTTTTTTTCTAAGATTATTTTTTAGAGTGAATATGTACTGTGCTTCTACATTTAAAATAAAATTAAAAACCTATTAGATTCTTCTCTTCACTCCATTTATCTTTTTCTGTGTGTGGGGAGGGAGGGATTCTGACAGATGGTCAATAGGTTAGATAGCCTCTAATATACTTCATGTCATCTGAAAATTGGTTAAGCATGAAGTCTATAACATCATCAGTCATTGGTAAGAGTTTAGAATGCCTTTCCAAAACCTCCTTTCAGGGAGGTCTTATCAACTGGTAGGCCTGGAACAAAGAAAAAAGACCTAATCTTTCTTTCTTTCACTCTTTCTCTCCCTCTCTTTCTGTCTTTCTTTCTTTCCTTTCTTTTTCTTTTACCCTCCTTCCGTCCCTCCTTCCCTCCCTCCCTTCCTTCCTTCCTCCTTTCTTCTTCCTTTCTTCCTTCTTCCATTTCTCTTTCTCTCCCCTTCTCTCTATCTCTTTCATGTGTATATAACATGTCATGTATTCTGCTAAGCATATTTATTTTTAAGACAACTTTGAAATATATAAATATTGGCATGTTCATTCCCTGTGTATTAGAAATTTTATCCTCAGCTTTCCTTGGGATTACCGAATTGTGAAAGGCATATTTTGATCATTTCTCAAAACTTTTAAGCATCTCCTTTTATTATGTCAAGCTACAAAAGCATTCTTGACCTATTTTTTTCTGTCTTGACACTCATAAACTTCAAGTTATAAGTCTAGAAGATAGAAGACCATCTTAAATTAAGAAGAATTATTGCTATAAGCCACATAAAGTCTTCAATTTGAGTCTTTCTTTCCATGTCATCCTCCCTCAATATAACATTAAGAGTTCAAATTAAAGACAAAATTGAAAATGCCTTTTGCCAAATCTGAAGAAGCAAATAAAACTGCTTGCTAGGAAGTACAAGTTTTTGTTGTGATTCAATTTGACTTTCTCTTCAGTGATGCTTCTTTCGAATGTGCTTCTGTGAGGTACCAACAAGTCAACAGGGTTAAAAGTACTTTTTCAGTTGCTGTACATTTAAAGCCCTGTAGCATCTTTTCCGAAGCTCTCCAAGCCTGTGGGATACTACTGAAAGTCCCTGGACAACTATCCAGAAGACTCATGCCTCCTAAACTTTTCTCCTAAATTCCTGGAGCAAAAGGGAATAATCTTTTTGCAGTTCTTATTTTCTTCCTATTCATTTCTAGGTACTATGCAAGATGACAGTTTCAAACTGCACATCTTTGTGTTATTGTAAATTGCCACCTTTGGGATTCCTTCTGTTTCTTCTCCACATTCCATGAAGATCAATCATTATTCTCATCTTGATTGGGTTACTGTTTTAGAAATATTAACATTTCTAAATGCTTAATATTGTAGGAAGTCTGGAGTGGGTACTGTAATTTGGCATCCTCTGGTTGACTTTCAGAGAACAGTGAGCATACCATTTTAGGTCACCTGTTCTTTAGAAGTCCAGAGAGTTTGCTTCTTTTTAGAAGTGTGGTTTTATTTGTTTTGTGTATTTTAATATATATAAATTTCTTAAGATATGGTAACTCATTATAAATAATTCATCATGGGGGAGTGGCTAACTTGTCTGAATACATAGAAATATAAGATGGATCCAAATAAAATTAATGTTGTATTGTTTTTCTTATAGTTGGTTGGTCCCAGTCCAATGTATCAGGCTTCAGAAACAAAAGACAAAATTACATAATTTTAGAATTGAGTCAATCTCAAGTAATGTTTACAGACAAAATTGGCCCAACTCTTTTGACTGATTTGAGTGCTGAAACTAAAATTACATGTATTCCACAAAATAAAACTAACCAATATCTGCTAGAAGGGATCATATTTTTTCCCATCTAAATCTGTGAAGTAATGAATATAGCTTATCCTGGTTGTATATCTAACCCAATATGTATAAATAAAATTTGCTTCTTTTATTCTGAATTTACAAGTGTATAAAACAATGTAATACATCCCAAATCTGCTAAACACTGCTTGAAAACTTTATAAAATTTATTTTATTTTATCCTTGATTTAACTCTTAATTAGAGGAATTAATATTGCTAGCTCTGTTTTGCAGATCAGAAATTGAGGCTTGAAAAGGTTAACTAACAAGTCCAAGGTCACTCAGCTAATAAGCAAAGAATTTGTGATTAAAATAGAGGCCTAGGTCAATGACAGAGCCCAAGCTCATGACCATTGTACTAAATAGCTTCTCATTATTGCTGCATTTTGCCCATTAGATGAAGATAATATTCACTACTGGTAACTCCATACTAAGGAAAAAGTCAAGTTTGCAATTTAATCCTAATGTATCTGATACAAGAAGTTTGTGTGTGTGTGTGTTTTATTTTTAAGGCAAGTACCTGCATAATAGTTGTCCAGTAGGAATCATGAATGTTACAGGTCAACAGTTAACTGAGGAGAATTTCAGAGATGCTTGTGCTGGGTCTGGTTCTAATTAGTAGTTCACTGTGAAGAATGCCAAACACAGACAGGCGCTCAAGATTAAATGAAAAAAGAAAAGGCCATTTTATCCAATGGAAACCTTTAAAAAAATGTCCTGAATAAATTGTTGCATACCTAACAATTTTCTCCTAGTGTTTATTACAGGATGTTGCCAAAGTTGGCCTATTTGGTGCACGGCCAGAAGTTTTGCAATTTCCCTCTGATGTGAAAACATTTTTGTCAGACTTTCTTGTGAGTCATCAAATTTTCCAGACATCACACAGTTGAGTCAATTAACATAAAGTTAATTGGTATTTTTGTCATTTGCCAAATTAAATCATTTCTTATGGAGGAGTTTGTACATTGCTGGAGATGCCTTTTGGGAAGGTGAGAGTTCAGAGGTAAAGGCCAAGAAACTGTTATACTCCTTTGGAAAAAAAAAGTGATTCTCTTTCTAAAAATAAGAAATATCATTTTAAAGTAATGTAGATGCCAACACTTGGAAAAATAATCTCTTGTGTTTCCTAGGGTTTTACTTAAGTGTGCCTGCAGAGGAATGTAAGTAAAACTGAGGGTCATAGAGAAATCACCCTGAGAGACTGTTCTGTTTCATAAATGTTTAATTATATTATTTTATTCATTATTTAACATTTTTTGTTTAAGGCTTATGGCACACATTTGGAAGTTGAGCTCTTTGGTGGTGTCTTATGTAAAGTTCAGTTGAAAATAGTCACATCTTCTAATAACTTCTTGACCTTCCTTCCAAAACTCCTCTCATATGGTTGCCTGTATTTTTTAGGTGGATCAGGAACCAGAAATTGTTATAGGCTCACTGTGTTCTTTCTTTTAATCAAAGGACTGTGCTGCACTGCTGACGGTCATTTTAACAACTTTAATTATGAAAGTCATCATTTATTTTACCTATCATGAACATGGTGCTGGAAATATCAAACAAATTAATACTTTTTTTCTTTTCATCTACTGTCGTAATAGCTTTATGAGGTAGAAATTATTCCTATTAGAAAACTGAGGTCCAGATAGGTTAAGGTTATTTGCATGAGATCACACAGCTTTAAGTGGGAGAGATTCAACCCTTTCTCTGCATAGAAAAAGTCATTTTCAAAAGCTGTTCTATTTACTCTGAATATAGTTCTGAGTATAGGCATGGAAATGATCAAAAATTAAATTTATTGGTAGAGAGAATTAACTAGGAGTTTTGACAATATAGAGACACAGCCAGATGATTAATCTGAAGGAAAAGAAAAAGGGTACACAAAAAGAAAGTGTCTATTTTTTTCACATAATGTTTCTAATTGACAAATAAAAAGTATATACATTCATGGTGTACAACATCATGTTTTGATATGTGCATACATATGGAATGACTAAATGAAGCTAATTAGCATATGCATCATCTGATATATGTATCTTTTTTTGTAGTTAGAGCACTTTAAATTTACTTTCCGATATGGTTTGGCTGTGTCCTCACCCAAATCTCACTTTGAATTGTAATAATCCCCACATGTCAAAAGTGGGGTCAGGTGGAGATAATTTAATCATGGAGGTGGTTTCCCCCATACTGTCCTTGTGGAATAAGTCTCACGAGATCTGATGGTTTTATAAATGGGAGTTCCCCTGCAGAAACTCTCTTGCCTGCCGCCATGTGAGACATGACTTTGCTCCTCATTTGCCTTCTGCCATGACTGTGAGGCCTCCCCAGCCATGTGGAACTGGGAGTCAATCAAACCTCTTTCCTTTATAAATTACCTAGTCTCGGGTATGTCTTTATTAGCAGTGTGAGAACAAACTAATACACACTCTTAGCAAATTTTAAGTATACAACATGTTGTTATTAACTACTGTCACCATGGTACAGAACAGATCTCTTTAACTTATTCCTCCTGGGGATTTTCAAACAAATAGTTGTTTTCAAACAAATAGGTGGCCAGTAACAGATGTCCCTGGCTGCAATAGGGAATGTGCCCCTGTTGCCTGAAAAAAAAGTGGCAGTCAGTGTAAGAACACTGGGGAGCAGACCCTGAATCGAGAAGCATCTGTCTGTTGCCTAATTCTGTTCCAAAGCTTTATTTTGATTCTGATCATCATTTAGGAATTTTTGGCACTGATTTTTTCAGTAGAAGTCTACTCTGTTGTTACTACATCCTGCAACAACAGAAGGACTTGACTATCTTAGAGAACATTTCACATCCTGAAAGTTTTGCTTCATGGACTTCATTTTTTAAAGATTGGCTTTATTCACTACTTTCCTTCCTATAGTTAACCTCTAAAGAATTTAAACCTCTGCCTGGTAGACATTGCCGGAATAATATTAAGGCAAATATTTGGCATATGCCCTGGATCATAGTGCTACTAGAAATAAGACAGGGATGAAAGTATCACAGATCCAGGTGTAGCTCTCATCATAAAGCAGAAACATTGGGATAACTTTTAAATAATTAATCGGATCACACTGTTCTCTGCTCAAAACTTTTCACTGCTTCCTACAATACCTGCAATAAAAACTAAATCTTTAAGTATCCTACAACAGTCTACAGGACATGGGTACTGCCACCCAAAGTGCCAAAGGCCACTTTGACCACTCCCAGCATTTGACTCCCTCCACACTGACTTCTCTATCCTTAGCACACCAAGCCTGGGCCTGCCTCCAGGGCTTTTTACTTGCTACTTCCTCATGAAATATTTCTGTCCCCAGAGCTTTTGCCTGCTTCATTTCTTCATGTAATTCCAGCCCCATTAAAATCATCTCACAATGATCTGACAAAGTTCTCTGAAATAGCCTCCTTATCCCCTCCTCCTTTGTTCTCAAGTCCTGCTCTGTTTTGTTTTCTTAATGGTGTATTTAGCTATCTGAAGCTATGTAATTTATTTATGTATGACTTGGTCTCCCCCACAAAGATGCAAACTCAGTGATGTAGAGAATATGTTAATCTTATTCCCAGTTTACGACAGTACCTGGTTTTCAGCATTTACTCATTATATTTTTTAATGAACAAACAAATAAATGTTGCAGTAGGTGGCCTCTAATCCCCTTCCCACCCTCACCCACACTCCCAGAAGTCTCTGGTGTCTCTGTGTTTAAGGCCTAAGAGAAAAGGGAAATTTGCTTCTTATTAGCCTAAAATTGGCCTTCTGAAGGTAGCACTTTCTCTCCAGGGAATGTTCTCTACATTCAAGGGAAAAACTACCCTAAACTATACGTTATGAATTATCCAGGACAACTTCTTAAAACTATTGTTTTATCTTACTACTGCCTTACCTCTTTCACCCTCACCCCCAACCTTATCCTAAACTGGACGTTGCTGTTGATTTTGCCTTGTTTCTGATCGAATTTCCTAAATAATTTTGGGTGCTCTGCTATTTGCTCCAAATTCAACAAAATATTAATATGATATCCTCCTCCCCCAGGCCACAGGACAAAATTTCCCCAAGCAGGCTTCCACACACATACCCAGATATGCACTCAGATCCAAGGCCTTCTTGTAACACTAGTGAAATTATTGATTTCTTTTTTGGATGTAGGCTTAATTAATGTTGGTTCCCTGACAATCCCATCTTTCTAGTTGGGTCCTCCATTATTCCTAGCACACTTGTTAGTAATATTTGCTGCTCAGAGATGCATATTGACTCCTAGGTGGGGATGATCTTTTTAACTGTCATTGGGTACACCTTTTATTTTGGAGGCACCCTCAGTTTTTTTCTTCCCCTTTCTTATTTGAGAGTTTCAGTCTTCTCTTTGGGAATCAGGCCCTAATTCTCTTTCATTATTTACAGGAAGAGATTAAAAGGCTTCATTCAAAAAGAACCTAGGAAACTTGCCTTAGCATCTCAATGACGGGTGGAATTGATCAACAAGCTGTATCTGGTTGCTCAAAACAGTGCAGCAACCACAGTGTGACAGATCATGCATGAGATGTTAGTATTGTAGAATCAAAAAACACTGGAGTGCATTCACTTATTAACATGCCATTCAATTTTATGTCTGAGTCAATAGCATGATATTAAGGGTTTGACACAGTGGTGTCCCAACTGTATTGTTTATTCCTTGTAATAAAATGCTGATTTTGTTTTTATGCATGGTACTGCTACAGCATTTTCCACCCAGTGGGTGCTCTATAAATATTGACTGATTGGAATTTGGAATTGTAAGTGGCATAACTTAGAGGTTTTTGGCTCCTTATAATTGCATTTGTGAACTACAAATGCAGCTAAAATTGGAGCTCTACTCTGAAACATTTCCATTGAGCTTCTGGTCTAAGTTACCCAGCAAACACTTAAGGTAAAAATTATCCTCTTTTTACAACCTCAAGTCTGTTATTTGAAGCCAATAAATAGCGGTTAATAATGGAGAAGTCTTAAATTTCAGGCATGTTTTTAGAGACTAAGCCTAATAAAATTATTAAGTGGAAGCAAAGCAATATTATTTGTTTTGGTCGTAGACTTTGAATATCCAAGAGAATCATGGATATCATGTCTCAGTAATGGTTTTGAGGTTTGACTCCTGCTTCCTCAAATGTAGGAAATGGCATTGAGAGTGGTATATGGCTTTATTTTTAGGGTAAGAGCCTACCTTTTAAAGGAAGCAGGTACCTGTATATGTAACATCCTAAAGCAGATTTCAGATACTTGGGGAGAGCCTGTTTTTAAGAATCATGATGAAATATTGCTTGCCTTAATGAAATGGCTGTTATTGTAAAACACTGATAATATCTATATACAGTGTCATTAAAAGGTGAGTGAAATAAACCTTAGATAATAAGTACAATAAACCAGACAAAATATCTGTCTCTGAAAGAATAAGAATATATATATAAGAAAATATATAACTTAATTGAGATCTAATCTTTCAGTTTTTTTTAGCTCCATTAACAATTATTTAGCATATGCCAAGCCCTGAGCTTTTATATAGGTTTACAAATATGAATAAAACCTCATCCCCATGTAGAATTTTAGGAGAGACATGGTTTCAAAATGGGGTTCCTACACCATGGATTTACAAGAAAAGCCTTTGATTACAGGAAGAAAATACCAAAATGCTTATTTCTGTTTATTTTTATAAAATAAAGAAATATGTGAAATGTGAAATCCAACGATTTCCAATGCAAAGAAATTAAGACAAACTAATCACCCACAGGGATCGTGGCATCTTGACTCTCTCACATTTACTATGACGAATTTGGAGTGGTGAAAAACATATAAACAAATACCTATACCTCTGCGTAATGTTTAAAATCATAAGAAATGCAATTAGAGTCTTACAAAATTTTACTAAACATAATAATCAATGTTTAAAAGGTTTATCTGAGGTATGTTACTTAATGATGAAAAAAAAACTTTTAGAAACATGCTTATTCTTCCTACCACAATAACAATGGCCAAAATAATACATAGAAAATGATATAACATACAGTTATATACTTAAATGCATTCCTTTGTCATAAAATCGTTGGAAGATGCACAATATTGATACAGTTGTAAATATTAGACAGAAGCTACCCCACTTGGGAATTTTGCAATGCCTTGGAAGAAGGCAGAAATGTTTCTAACATGTCCCAGCTGCTGGTATTTTCTCTATTCTGTTTCAACAATAACATACACAAAGAACTACTTGTTTTTTTTAAACCACCAAAGGAGGGCTGTAGCAGAGATAATATATTCTCAGCAGAAAATTATTTTTTTAATAAAAATAATGTTTGTGGAAATAACTGTGAAGTGTAGTTACTGATGAAGCGGTTGCACTTTACTGGAATTTTTCAGATGGTTTTCAGGGAAATGTTGAGGAGAGAATATAATTTCCTGAATCCTTCATAGGCAAGCAATTTAGGCCAAAAAAAAGTGCATACACTTAGAAATGCATATAGTGCATAAATTCTTAAGAAATAGCCTCTTTATAATAACAAGGCATCTCAGATATAGTAGGATCTTTGAAATATTTTTTAAAGATTTTTTTTTGAAAAATGTTGAAATGTTGTTGGACTTAAAGCTAATCTACATGCTTATTCTTTTACATAAAAAGGTATTCCAAATTTTTTGACAAATGGACTTTACTGGTATAATACCTAATTAATCTGTTTTTAGGAATCACACACTCTAAAACACATTGATTTTTAAAGAAACACAGGTTATAGAAAATTCATTTTGAAGAAGAATATAAAAACTGTTTTCAGGTTAAATGATTTCCTTTTTGCAAGTGTTATGAGTACATTTATCTGTGACATTATTCATTATTTCTACTTATTTAAAAAATATTGGAGGTATGGTATTATCTTACCTGTTAAAATTTTACAAATAAAGAGTTCTTATGGGTTTTGAAAACTTTTATTAAATATTCAAACTAATAGTTTGCAAGAAAACTGGTGACATCAAGGAAAATGAAGTTATCAATCATATTTCAACAAAACTTTGCCTAATTTATAAATCAAGTTTAAAAATGAGTTTATCTAATGAACCCAGTATCTGATGCCCTTCTACCATTTGAACTTGCATATCTTTATAAGATTTCAATCTCAAAATGCCTGATTATCTTATAAATGTACATAATAGCTTGTTTGTTTAAATAGGGATCATATAAGCTGGTCATTAGACCTAGCTAGCAGTGGTTGCATCATATTGGATTCAATTTTGTTTTCGGCAAGAATGCTTCATAGACAATGTTGTGTGCTTCAGTTAGGAGTCATTTAATATTTAGTTCTTTATTTGTATTATGCTAACAACCATCAGGTAGACCCACTGGTTCATTATGGGCTGCAAAATAGTAATATTGTGATTTTATCATTCTGTAAAGATAAATATCTACATCAACTATTTTTTTTACCCTAAGGTACAGTTTGTCTAGGACAAGAAGGATAAACACCTGATTCTTTCATTTGTTAGTGTTCAACATAATGATTTTGTTTCTTAGCATTATCCAAAGATGTCCAAAGTATTTAAAAGATAAATTGACCATACTTGTTCTTTTCAATAAATTCAAGCATACTTGCTTCGTTTTAATCCATTGCATCTTTTATTTTTTTGTTGAGTGGGCCTCTTTAAGCTTATTTCAGAGTCTTTTTGACAGGCTCCCTCTAGCCTTTGATAGCATCATGCTTTTTTGGTACCTTTTTTCCCTTTCAGATCTGAGTTTAGCCATTTCTTCAAAATGTCCTATTTCCTATTAGTCAGAAATAATAGAAATTATAATCTGGATGTTAGAGGCATTTTTTGCTACTTGGTTGGTCATTGATCCCAGGTCTTTTCAGGAGAAACTGCAAAAAAGCATGAATTTTTTAAGATGGTAGCATGCATCTTGAATCCATACTGATAATACTAATTCAGAGTCAGCACTTGGTTTTTATTTAACCTAATTGATCTTCATCGGCAGCACCTTTTTTCCAGACAGAAGCTCCTGGTCTCCAAAACATCAACATAATTTTTCACGTAATTTATCCTACAAAATACACATAGCAGTCTCTGGATGACAAAAACTCACATTACCAACAACAATATGACTAATTTTGTGAGTACATTTGGCAGATATTCCACCAGAGCATATTGTCAAATCACTGTGCTCTAAAATTAATTGAAATCGTTTATTTTTTTGGTTGAGCCAGCAATGCAATGCACAGTTAACACGTACAATTCATTTGCCATTCAATGTATCAGTTTTTTTTGTTTTGCATTATAATTCTATAAAATAATCACATGGTTCCAAAATGAAATCAATAGAACAAGGTATATACATGGAAGTCCTATATTCTGGTACTCTCTGTGTCTGTTCCTGGGTTCATGCCATTCTCCTGCCTCAGCCTCCCAAGTAGCTGGGAGTACAGGTGCCCGCCACCATGCCCGGCTAATTTTTTTGTACTATTAGTAGAGGTGGGGTTTCCCTATGTTAGCCAGGATGGTCTCGATCTCCTGACCTCATGATCCGCCTGCCTTGGCCTCCCAAAGTGTTGGGATTAGAGGCATAAGCCACCGCACCCAGCCCCTTATAGGAAACTTTAAAAAAAAAAAAGTCTTTGTTTTGGTTTTGGCTCATCCAGACACTGTTTTATACAGAGTTTATCTCTACAGTGAGATAAACTTTGCCAAATGCACATTCTCATGCAACTCACATTCCTGTCAACATAGAGACCATTTATTTTATCCTAGAAGATTCTCCCAGACCCTTTCTCAGTCAATCCCACTCCCCAGAGAGAGTCACTGCTTTTATTTCTTGTCTCATAGTTTTGCCTTATCTAGAGGTTTATATAAAGAAAATTCATACAGAATGTATTCATATGTGGCCAACTTCTTTCACTTAGAATAACGTTTTTGAGGCCCTTTTATTTTAGTGCACTTATCAGTAGTTTAGACCTTTTTTGTTGCTGAGTAGTATTTCATTGTTTGGCGGTGCTACATTTTAAAAAGTATATATATTCACCATTTGCTAGACACTTAGGTTGTTTACTATTTTACCTATTATATATAAAACACATATTTTTGTACAAGTCATTTTTCTGTAAGTATGTTGTTCCTCCTTGTGTGTCCTAGGGTTGGTACAGTTTAACTTTATGAGAATGTGCTAAGCAATGCACAAGATCTCCATCTGTTTCACAAACTCTACAGCTTTTGATGTTGTTCATCTTTTAGTTTATCTTTTCCATGCAGTTGTAGTGGTATTTCATTGGGTTTTAATTCCCATTACCTTAATGGCAATGCTATTGAGCACCTTTCCTTGTGCTTTTTGGCTTTTTCTGTACCCTCCTTTGTGAATTGTCTAAGTTTTTTCTCTATTTTTCAAAAGGTGTTTGTTGTTGTTTTTAAATATTTTCATTTTAAGTGTTATCTATTTGAAATACAAATCCTTTTTTCTAGTTTCTTTTTTGTGTGTATGTGTTTTTGCTGAGCAGAAGTTTTTAATTTTGATGAAGTCCAACTTATCAATTTTTTTCTGGTACGGGCTTTCTGAGTCTTTTAAATAGGTATATCCTAAAGAATTAAATTCAAAATTAACAAACCAATCAAGGTACATCACTTTCTGTAAAGAGCATTACTAATTGTATAGAAAAATGTGTTTTTCAATGCATTAAGACATTTCAAAATGCCTTAAATGTTGTCATTTTACCTTTATCTGGTGCTTACAATGTCAATTTTACATATACCTTAAAATACACAATACATAATTAATAAAGGAGTATATATGTAAATTTATGCACACATAAATATATACCTGCATACATAAACAAATAAATATACATATTGAGGTGCATATTCAGCAATGTTATTGATAAAGAACATGATAAGAAATTTTGGGACCACTGGACAGTCATCTCAAAGTAGAGACAGAGGTATATTCAGGATATTATGGTCATCCAGAGGAAAGACATTAAGCCAAACATGGAATTTAGACAAAACTTTCTGAATAAGATGACTGTCCATGTGAATCTTAAGAGGTTAGTAAGAATTATGCAAGAGGCTATGAGAGAAGGCATGTAAGAAAGATACAGCAAGATGAACAAAAGCATAGATGTGTGAAATCTCATGGATTATGGGGGAAATTATATTTCACACTTACTAGAATTTTAAATCCAAGAAGAGATTAGATGGGTTGGTAGGGACCAGATCGTGGAGGGCCTTGTTTTGCCATGCTGAGAGAATGGATTTAATGCTCAAGGTGACAAGGAGCCGCCCACTGAAATGGTTTAAGGAGAGGAGTGCCATATTCCAATTCTAAATGCTCACCTTTGTAGCAATGGGAAGATGAGTTTGAGAAGAAAAAGCTAGAGCCTTGAGAACAGTTATGGGATATTGCAATTGTGTGGGTAGCAGATTATGAGGACCTAGATAGGAGAGGAAGGGGTGTGTTTGAGAATCATTCAAGGAGTAAAATCAGGAGGACCTGGTGATTTGCTGTGAAGGTGGATCAGGAGGTAGAGAAAGGAGAAGGGTACCTAACTCTCAGGTTCTGGTTTGGGTAGCTGAGTAGGGAAATACAAGACGAGAAGTTGCACCAGCAGGGTCGCTGTTTCCAAGCTTTACTCTGCCTGTGCATCCATACAGGCTTCTCTGCATTGATAGCTACCAGCTCGTGTCACTGTAAAATAAACTCCCTAGGAAAGCATTTTTAACTGTGTTATATTTGGAACCTAAAGTTCCCTTATATTATATTATCTCTCCAAGTCTGTCTAAATGATATACTGAACACATATGGAAGTGCAAAATGGGGTGTAAAAATGACAAGCCTGCATTTGAATAAAATTTATTCAACCATTTATTCAAGAAATATTTATTGAACAACCACTTCATGTCAGTAAGTGCCCCAGGTACAGGGCATACAGTGGTAAACAAACCCGATCTGGCCCCTGCCTTCAGGTTTCTTGTTTCCAGAAGGGGCACAGAGTATGATATTGGGGATAGTACAAGGAGTAGTGAGGACATAGAGAAGGAAGATCTATTTCCCTCAAAAGTCAGGAAAACCTTTTAGAATAAGAAGAAGAAGGAATAAATGGGTATATGGAGGGAGTACTGCAGGCAGTACTGCCTGTAATATCACATGATAATATAAATATCATATACACATACATAATACACAAGGCACAGGGACAAGAAAGAATCAAATCAACAGGATGAAATGAAAGTTCAATAGGACTGGAATACAGAGTGCAAGGGAGAGAGGGAATGATGAGATTCAACAAATATTTTTTTTGCTGTACAATGTTCGACAAGGTTGGGTTTTACACTAAATTTAAAGAATATGACAATGAGTTAAAAAAGTTCCTGCTCTCAGAAGCTCATGGTCTACTGAGAAAGAAAGTCACAAGCAATAAACAAATCCTGTACTGGGTACTCCAATAAGAATTTTAAAGTATCATGGACTCATGGGCATCCCATCAAGGTTACTAGGAACCAGGGAAAAGATAACAGAAGAAGGGGTGTTTCAGCAAAGTCTTAAATGATTTTATAAAAATTCCCAACAGCCTTGGACACAGGGTATAAAATGGAAGGCATTCCAGACAGTGGGACCCAAATGCGCAAGTATAAGGGACTTGGGTTGGAGGGGAGACATTTATGTTTGAGGATCATATTTAGAACAGTTGTTACTGAAATATATTTCTGGTCCAGCTCTCAGCCCTCCAGCATCCCAGGGCCATCCTTCTAATGGACACACTCCTACAGGCAAAAACAGATAGAAATAGAGCATCATTTGAGGTCATTTCAAATGGTGAAAGATGTAAGGTAAAAGTACGGCCTTGCAGAGTAGTAGAACTTCCCAAAATTATAAAATGCAGTCATTTTATGTTATATGTAATAAAGGCTTAGGTAGTCAAAAATTATTATTCTTTTTCCCAATTTCTGTTATATAAGGTTATATGAAATTTCTTTCCATCTTTAGTGAATATTCAGTACAGAAAGATCATAGACTCATGTTCATATTTAATAACATTTATAAGCAAAATTAATATAAGAAAGGTGTTTTAATTTGTTTTTCAAGAATTGCTAAAGGAAGGTACATGTTTTAGGAAGTGAACCAGAAGTTTCTGCACGGAAAGAAGAAAGGGGTGAGGGGATTATAATCCAATATGAATTGATATTATATGTTAAATTGATAAGAATATTTTAAAACTGTTCTTATAAAGCTATTCCTCTGGAAGACTGAACAGCTTTATTAAGGCTAGCTTGGAATGCTAGAAACTATAAAATATTAAAAGCATCAAAGAATCCCTACAGCCTGGTTATAGATTATAAGAATTTTACATGACTTCAGAGTAAAGCACACTGGATCAGGGATCATGAGACCAAAGTTTATTCACTGTGTGGTCATTGATAAGGGCCTTAATGGACTGCATCTGGCTTGCTTCATTGGTAAAATGGAAGTGCTAATACCTTCTTTTTAGGGTTATTTAGAACCTAAATGAACTACAGTTGACCCTTCAACAATGCAGGGACAATGACCCCTTGTGTGGCAAAAATCCACATAGAACTTTGACTCCCCTAAAAGCTAATTACTAATAGCCTACTGACCAGAAGCCTTATAGATAACACAGTCGATTAACACATGTTCTGTGTGCTGTATGTACAATATACTCTATTTTTACGGTAAAGAAAGCTAGATAAAAGAAAATGTTATTAAGAAAGTCACAAGACAGAGAAATATATTTACTATTCATTATGCGGAAGCGGATCATCATGAAGGGCTTTATCCTTGTTGTCTTTATGTTACATAGGCTGAGGAGTAGGACAAGAAGGAGAAGGGTTTGGTCTTGCTGTCTTAGGGGTGGCAGAGGCAGAAGAAAGTCGGCCTGTGAGTGGACCTGCACAGTTCAAATCCATGTTGTTTAGGAGTCAATTGTAGTATGCCTAGCGCATTTAGCATGATCACTGATGCTGTTAGGGTATGTATCTGTAAGTGTGCTCTCTAGACAGCTATTTCTGCACAATAGAAATAGACTGCATGCCACATGTGTAATTTAAACTATTCTAGCTCTACATCAAAAAGTGTGAGAAGAAATGGGTAAAATTGATTTTAGTAACATATTTTATTTAGCCCAATACATTCCAGAAATGGATATTTCAATATGTAATCAATATAAAATTATTAATGAGGTATTTGACATCACTTTCAAAATATACTCAGCCTTCTTAATCTGGTGTGCATTTTCCATTACAATACATCTCAATCTGGATGAACCGCATCCCAAGTGCTCAATAGCCATATGTGGCTAGTGGCTATAAAAATGGGCAGTGCAACCTTGGGGTACACTGCTGGGTTTAACTCCCAGCACCACCACTTAGTGGCTGCATCTCTTTGGGCAGTTCTTTACCTTCTCTGTCCTTCAGTTTTCTCCTATATATAAAGGGTATACTAATAATGCACACATGATGGTGTCATAGGATGAAATGGCTTATAGTAATACTAAATATATGCTAGCTACTGTTAGTAGTAGTCTTGCTAATAATAGTATCAGTATTCAAGGTTAATGCTAACTACTACAACTGTTATGATTGTTTTATTTTCACAATCATCATCATCAGCAGCATTATCATCATGCAAAGGGTCCAGTCTGATGGTGGAGCTCTGTATATAAGTCTCAGGTTGGAAGCTGGTCATGACATTTCTAAGAGGTTGTAAGTGTCCATCCTATAAGAAGCAGCATCTCAGTCAGTGTGTATGGGTGCATGAAGGCATGATCCAAGCTTTTGGAAGAAGTAGCTGGCATGACTTAGGTGTGCTACCAAGGCCCTAGACAAATAATCTGTGATACGGTCCAGGGTCTCAGCTTCAGGGAAAAAAAAAATAGTGGAAATCAGACAATCTTGTCTGAAACCCATGTTTTTCAACTGGCATAACTGATAGAAATTAGAGACCTTTAGGTTTGGTGGGCATGTGAATACCAAGGTCTTCAACCCAGACTGATAAGCCACCACACTGAGATCAGTAAGGTTAACTTCAGATCCCCTGGATCCAAATATAGTCTTGGATTATCTAGAAGTGGCTCAGGAACTGAGTGATGTCTACCTGTTTAAATGGGACTAATACAGGCATAACACCCACCACCCCCAAAATTAATTATTTAGTTCTAAAAATTTTGTGTGGCAGAATAATTTTTAAGGTATTAATGTATATTTTTCTACTTGTATTTTCCTCATTCAAGAAAAAGTCAAGCTGTTTGCTCCTCTACCTTTAGGGATATTTTCGTGAAAAGAAAAGTAGAAATTAATTTCAAGAATTTTTCATTATTAGATATTGTGTCCAAGAACCTAAGGCCATAGGGATTATGCTAGGTTTCCTGGAGAGTGATCCAACAGGGCATGCCTCTGAACAGACCTGCTCTTAAGTAGGGCACCGGGGAGCTGCCATGAACTTAAGGTGGGTGGGGCCTTTGAGACACTGCTCCTTACTCTTTTTTTCTTATATTCAAGGGCCTATGAAATAAGTCTCCTTTCAAGAGTTATCTTGGACAACCCTGCACTTGCGGAGTTGTTCTAGGCATTGCACCCTTCCAGGGAGCAGCCAGGCCCAGGGGAAACTCAAGGAGAGAGAAAGAGAGGGACTTCCCCAGACTTAAATGTAAGGATGCCTGGAGACTAAGAGAGGAAAAGAAGTCCTGGAGTTTTTCAAATAGCAGAAACCCATACCTTATTTGCAGATAATTCCCAAAAGTGCAGGCAAAATGGGGTGTTGGGGGAAAAGGCTCTGTGGCTTCCTACCTAAAGTGTGGCTTGGCCTCTGCAGGGCTGGATGGACTGAAGGAAGCAATGGAGAAGAACAATGGGTGTCTCAGGGATCAAGGATGTGGAATGATGACTGGAAATGTGTCCCCAAGACCTAGGCTGTCCATTTGCCTCTGGGTCCTTTACACTGTGCTAGAGTGGGGAGGTTGCGAAATGACTGAAGTGATTTCCTTGCTGTCTTGAATGGGGAGTTTGTAGGCAAAATGAAAAGTTGATTTAAAACACATAGCCCGGGCGGAGTGGCTGATGCTTGTAATCCCAGCACTTTGGGAGGCCAAGCGGGGTGGATCATGAGGTCAGGAGATCGAGACCATCCTGGCCAACATGGTGAAACCCTGTCTCTACTAAAAATACAAAAATTAGCCAGGCGTGGTGGCATGCGCCTGTAGTCCCAGTTACTCACGAGGATGAGGCAGGAGAATTGCTTGAACCTCGGAGGTGGAGGTTGCAGTGAGCGGAGATCGCACCACTGCATTCCAGCCTGGGGTGACAGAGTGAGACTCTGGGGAGAAAAACAAAAAACAAAAAACATAAAGTATTGTGATATTCCTTTCTTGTCTGGACTTGTGAAATGAGATTTATACCCAAAATAGATACTTAAATGATCTCATTTTTATTTTGAAAATGGTACAGAAAAGGAGGAGAAAGCAACTACGGTACCAATGTTTAGTAACTGAGGAAACAATTTCAGAAAGGTTAAAATAATTTTTCAGGATAAATACCAGTGTTCGGTCACTGGGCTAGATCTTCTGATAAATAGGTAGGTAGGTAGGTAGATAAATAGGGAGATAGATGGATAGATAGATAAACAATATGTTCCTTCATATGTATCATTTTCAAAACCTTAGATTATTTTACTGATAAGCAGAGTATTATTATGCCCTTGGTTTGCCATCTATGGTAGGCAGAATTCTATATGATGGCCCACAAGACTTCCCACCCCCTATTGTACTTCCTCTATATAATCCCCAAGACAATGAATGTGTTGGATTTAACTCCTGTCTCAGACCTATAGATGCATATTTAAAGGGCCCACTCATATGATCAGGTAAAACCCATTCAGATCACCTGCCCTGAGAGTAGCCAGGTGCTGAGTATGACCCCCATCTGACATCCAGCAGACAATGGGACATCAGTTCTACAACCCCAATAACTTAACTCTGCCAACAATAAACTTGGAAGAGGACCCTGAGCTCCAGATGAGAATGCAGCTGCTCACCATGATTTTTGCCTCATAAGACACTAAGCAGAAGCTCAGTGCAACAATGCAAAAGGATTACGACAGTTTGAAATGAATATTTTGATAAAATGTTTCCTGGAACCAATAAAATTATGTTGGAAAGCAATAAAACACCTTAAAATATTTTAAGCCAAACAAATATTTTCTACTGAAATAGTAATGCTGAAAATCATCATGAGTTTGCACTTTTGACAGCGTGGAAATTTGATACAGGACTAAATATATTGTGGGTCTATATAATGAGGAAAGAATGAGGTTGGAGCAATAGAAAGATTGCAGGGAAATTAGCATGGGGCAGTGGAAAGCATGCCAAAAATGGCAGAGTAAGGAAATGTGTGGAAGTAGGCCACTAGCTTGGATCTGGCACAATGCAACCACTACATATGGGGTGCATTTAAATTGAGGGGCACTGTAAAAATTCTGATGACTCCCTTAATACTTAAATGTTTCAAGGTTATGGTTGTGGAAGCATCCTCCCATGAGGAAGGGAAATATGACTGCCTACTCTCATTCATATCGCTCCAGGTTCATCTCCCACTTGGAGAATTCCGCAGTCTCATGGCCATCCTCACAATTACCTCACTGATTCTTGATGTAATCTACTTACCCAACACCTATGGCTCCATTCCTCTTTGGATTTCCTCTTGTGTATCTAAACATAGTCTTACACTTTAATCCTGCTTGAGTTCAGACTCATATATCCAACTACCAAACTTGAATCACTACTTCTAAAACTCAACATGTAAAACCTAGCTCATTAGCTACTCCCCAGAACCTGTGTTTCCTATTTAGGTGATTTAGACTGCCCCCTATTTAATTAACCAAGACAAAATCTGGAATGATTTTGATTTCCCCCCACCTCCCATTCAATTATTAAGTTCCTTAGATTATTTTTCCTTAATATCATGCAAAATCTAAGCTTAGGAACACGACTTAAAGTCCTTCGTTATGTGGCCCCAGCTCCAGCCTCTTCTCCTAGTGCTCTTCCCTCAAATAAACATTACAGTCCATTTATACTGAAAAACATGGAGTTCCCCACAACTCCATGCTTTCTGACACCTGTATGCCTCTGCAGTTCCTCTTCTCAGCCTCCACCTCCTGGGATCCAGTGACCCTTCCCCCTCAGACTCCGAAGCAGCTAGGACTATAGGTGCACACCACCATGCCCGGCTAATTTTTGTATGTTTTATAGAGATGGGGTTTCACCATGTTACCCAGGCTGGTCTCAAACTCCTGGACTCAAGAGACCCAACAGCCTTAGCTTCCCAAAGTGCCATAGATGCCATCTTCTATGAAAATTTGTGCAAATTGAGGGAGACCTACATGTTCCTTTTAATTTTAAAAACATCTCTATATAAAACTTGCTATTGCATGGAAGTTCTCATCTTTTATACACTTGTTATTTACAACTATACACAACATAAAATTCAGCAGATTTAATCACTCCCATCTCAGTGTTCTTGTAGCTTTAACATTGAATAATTTATTAACATAAACACTTTTGTACGAATGCTTATTTCTTCTTGTCTGTTTTTCTGACTAATTGTGAAGGTCCGTATGCCTTAATTATCTCTGTATCTTTAAGTACCTTCCTAATGCTTTACCTGGATGCTAGTAGGGGTTCCATATGTCTGTTAAATATAATGCACATTCTGCCATTAAACCTGTACAATTATTTCCCAAGGATAGGGCTTATGGCCCTATAATCCAGCATTTCAGTATGAATATTACAATGGTTTGTGCCTTTCTCCTAACGGAAATATTTAAGTTAATTTAGATCCTTAATGATGTTCTCACTCTAACCTTTCACACCATTGTTTGATGTTTACTCATTGTATTAAAGTCCACACAATTGAATATTACCTGCTTGGGAGGAGCCAAGATGGCCGAATAGGAACGGCTCCGGTCTACAGCTCCCAGCGTGAGTGACGCAGAAGACGGGTGATTTCTGCATTTCCATCTGAGGTACCGGGTTCATCTCACTAGGGAGTGCCAGACAGTGGGCGCAGGTCAGTGGGTGCGTGCACCGTGCGCGAGCCGAAGCAGGGCGAGGCATTGCCTCACTTGGGAAGCGCAAGGGGTCAGGGAGTTCCCTTTCTGAGTCAAAGAAAGGGGTGACGGACGGCACCTGGAAAATCGGGTCACTCCCACCCGAATATTGCGCTTTTCTGACGGGCTTAAAAAACGGCGCACCACGAGATTATATTCCGCACCTGGCTCAGAGGGTCCGACGCCCACGTAGTCTCGCTGATTGCTAGCACAGCAGTCTGAGATCAAACTGCAAGGCGGCAGCGAGGCTGGGGGAGGGGCGCCCGCCATTGCCCAGGCTTGATTAGGTAAACAAAGCAGCCGGGAAGCTCGAACTGGGTGGAGCCCACCACAGCTCAAGGAGGCCTGCCTGCCTCTGTAGGCTCCACCTCTGGGGGCAGGGCACAGACAAACAAAAAGACAGCAGTAACCTCTGCAGACTTAAAAGTCCCTGTCTGACAGCTTTGAAGAGAGCAGTGGTTCTCCTAGCACGCAGCTGGAGATCTGAGAACCCGCAGACTGCCTCCCCAAGTGGGTCCCTGACCCCTGACCCCCGAGCAGCCTAACTGGGAGGCACCCCAGCAGGGGCACACTGACACCTCACACGGCAGGGTATTCCAACAGACCTGCAGCTGAGGGTCCTCTCTGTTAGAAGGAAAACTAACAAACAGAAAGGACATCCACACCAAAAACCCATCTGTACATCACCATCATCAAAGACCAAAAGTAGATAAAACCACAAAGATGGGAAAAAAACAGAACAGAAAAACTGGAAACTCTAAAAAGCAGAGCGCCTCTCCTCCTCCAAAGGAACGCAGTTCCTCACCAGCAACGGAACAAAGCTGGATGGAGAATGACTTTGACGAGCTGAGAGAAGGCTTCAGACGATCAAATTACTCTGAGCTACGGGAGGACATTCAAACCAAAGGCAAAGAAGTTGAAAACTTTGAAAAAAATTTAGAAGAATGTATAACTAGAATAACCAATACAGAGAAGTGCTTAAAGGAGCTGATGGAGCTGAAAACCAAGGCTCGAGAACTACGTGAAGAATGCAGAAGCCTCAGGAGCCAATGCAATCAACTGGAAGAAAGGGTATCAGCAATGGAAGATGAAATGAATGAAATGAAGCGAGAAGGGAAGTTTAGAGAAAAAAGAATAAAAAGAAATGAGCAAAGCCTCCAAGAAATATGAGACTATGTGAAAAGACCAAATCTACGTCTGATTGGTGTACCTGAAAGTGATGGGGAGAATGGAACCAAGTTGGAAAACACTCTGCAGGATATTATCCAGGAGAACTTCCCCAATCTAGCAAGGCAGGGCAACATTCAGATTCAGGAAATACAGAGAACGCCACAAAGGTACTCCTCGAGAAGAGCAACTCCAAGACACATAATTGTCAGATTCACCAAAGTTGAAATGAAGGAAAAAATGTTAAGGGCAGCCAGAGAGAAAGGTCGGGTTACCCACAAAGGGAAGCCCATCAGACTAACAGCAGATCTCTTGGCAGAAACCCTACAAGCCAGAAGAGAGTGGAGGCCAATATTCAACATTCTTAAAGGAAAGAATTTTCAACCCAGAATTTCATATCCAGCCAAACTAAGCTTCGTAAGTGAAGGAGAAATAAAATCCTTTACAGACAAGCAAATGCTGAGAGATTTTGTCACCACCAGGCTTGCCTTACAAGAGCTCCTGAAGGTAGCACTAAACATGGAAAGGAACAACCGGTACCAGCTGCTGCAAAATCATGCCAAAATGTAAAGACCATCGAGACTAGGAAGAAACTGCATCAACTAACGAGCAAAATAACCAGCTAACATCATAATGACAGGATCAAATTCACACATAACAATATTAACTTTAAATGTAAATGGACTAAATGCTCCAATTAAAAGACACAGACTGGCAAATTGGATAAAGAGTCAAGACCCATCAGTGTGCTGTATTCAGGAAACCCGTCTCACGTGCAGAGACACACATAGGCTCAAAATAAAAGGATGGAGAAAGATCTACCAAGCCAATGGAAAACAAAAAAAGGAAGGGGTTGCAATCCTAGTCTCTGATAAAACAGACTTTAAACCAACAAAGATCAAAAGAGACAAAGAAGGCCATTACATAATGGTAAAGGGATCAATTCAACAAGAAGAGCTAACTATCCTAAATATATATGCACCCAATACAGCAGCAGCAAGATTCATAAAGCAAGTCCTGAGTGACCTACAAAGAGACTTAGACTCCCACACATTAATAATGGGAGACTTTAACACCCCACTGTCAACATTAGACAGATCAACAAGACAGAAAGTCAACAAGGATACCCAGGAATTGAACTCAGCTCTGCACCAAGCGGACCTAATAGACATCTACAGAACTCTCCACCCCAAATCAACAGAATATACATTTTTTTCAGCACCACACCACACCTATTCCAAAATTGACCACATACTGGGAAGTAAAGCTCTCCTTAGCAAATGTAAAAGAACAGAAATTATAACAAACTATCTCTCAGACCACAGTGCAATCAAACTAGAACTCAGGATTAAGAATCTCACTCAAAACTGCTCAACTACATGGAAACTGAACAACCTGCTCCTGAATGACTACTGGGTACATAACGAAATGAAGGCAGAAATAAAGATGTTCTTTGAAACCAATGAGAACAAAGACACACCATACCAGAATCTCTGGGACACATTCAAAGCAGTGTGTAGAGGGAAATTTATAGCACTAAATGCCCACAACAGAAAGCAGGGAAGATCCAAAATTGACACCCTAACATCACAATTAAAAGAACTAGAAAAGCAAGAGCAAACACATTCAAAAGCTAGCAGAAGGCAAGAAATAACTAAAATCAGAGCAGAACTGAAGGAAATAGAGACACAAAAAACCCTTCAAAAAATTAATGAATCCAGGAGCTGGTTTTTTGAAAGGATCAACAAAATTGATAGACCGCTAGCAAGACTAATAAAGAAAAAAAGAGAGAAGAATCAAATAGACACAATAAAAAATGATAAAGGGGATATCACCACCGATACCACAGAAATACAAACTACCATCAGAGAATACTACAAACACCTCTACGCAAATAAACTAGAAAATCTAGAAGAAATGGATAAATTCCTGGACACATACACTCTCCCAAGACTAAACCAGGAAGAAGTTGAATCTCTGAATAGACCAATAACAGGAGCTGAAATTGTGGCAATAATCAATAGCTTACCAACCAAAAAGAGTCCAGGACCAGATGGATTCACAGCCGAATTCTACCAGAGGTACAAGGAGGAACTGGTACCATTCCTTCTGAAACTATTCCAATCAATAGAAAAAGAGGGAATCCTCCCTAACTCATTTTATGAGGCCACCATCATTCTGATACCAAAGCCAGGCAGAGACACAACAAAAAAAGAGAATTTTAGATCAATATCCTTGATGAACATTGATGCAAAAATCCTCAATAAAATACTGGCAAAACGAATCCAGCAGCTCATCAAAAAGCTTATCCACCATGATCAAGTGGGCTTCATCCCTGGGATACAAGGCTGGTTCAATATACGCAAATCAGCAAATGTAATCCAGCATATAAACAGAGCCAAAGACAAAAACCACATGATTATCTCAATAGATGCAGAAAAAGCCTTTGACAAAATTCAACAACCCTTCATGCTAAAA
This sequence comes from Homo sapiens, assembly GCF_000001405.40. NCBI lineage: Eukaryota > Metazoa > Chordata > Mammalia > Primates > Hominidae > Homo > Homo sapiens. The sequence continues at coordinate 107,244,434 of NC_000008.11, forward strand.
ACTCTCAATAAATTAGGTATTGATGGGACGTATTTCAAACTAATAAGAGCTATCTATGACAAACCCACAGCCAATGTCATACTGAATGGGCAAAAACTGGAAGCATTCCCTTTGAAAACTGGCACAAGACAGAGATGCCCTCTCTCACCACTCCTATTCAACATAGTGTTGGAAGTTCTGGCCAGGGCAATTAGGCAGGAGAAGGAAATAAAGGGTATTCAATTAGGAAAAGAGGAAGTCAAATTGTCCGTGTTTGCACATGACATGATTGTATATCCAGAAAACCCCATTGTCTCAGCCCAAAATCTCCTTAAGCTGATAAGCAACTTCAGCAAAGTCTCAGCATACAAAATCAATGTACAAAAATCACAAGCATTCTTATACACCAACAACAGACAGAGAGCCAAATCATGAGTGAACTCCCATTCACAATTGCTTGAAAGAGAATAAAATACCTAGGAATCTAACTTACAAGGGATGTGAAGGACCTCTTCAAGGAGAACTACAAACCACTGCTCAAGGAAATAAAAGAGGATACAAACAAATGGAAGAACATTCGATGCTCATGCGTAGGAACAATCAATATCGTGAAAATGGCCATACTGCCCAAGGTAATTTACAGATTCAATGCCATCCCCATCAAGCTACCAATGACTTTCTTCCCAGAATTGGAAAAAACTACTTTAAAGTTCATATGGAACCAAAAAAGAGCCTGCATCGCCAAGTCAATCCTAAGCCAAAAGAACAAAGCTGGAGGTATCACACTACCTGACTTCAAACTATACTACAAGGCTACAGTAACCAAAACAGCATGGTACTGGTACCAAAACAGAGATATAGATCAATGGAACAGAACAGAGCCCTCAGAAATAACGCCGCATATCTACAACTATCTGATCTTTCACAAACCTGAGAAAAACAAGCAATGGGGAAAGGATTCCCTATTTAATAAATGGTGCTGGGAAAACTGGCTAGCCATATGTAGAAAGCTGAAACTGGATCCCTTCCTTACACCTTATACAAAAATCAATTCAAGATGGATTAAAGACTTAAATGTTAGACCTAGAAGCATAAAAACCCTAGAAGTAAACCTAGGCACTACCATTCAGGACATAGGCATGGGCAAGGACTTCATGTCTAAAACACCAAAAGCAATGGCAACAAAAGACAAAATTGACAAGTGGGATCTAATTAAACTAAAGAGCTTCTGCACAGCAAAAGAAACTACCATCAGAGTGAACAGGCAACCTACAAAATGGGAGAAAATTTTCGCAACCTACTCATCTGACAAAGGGCTAATATCCAGAATCTACAATGAACTCAAACAAATTTACAAGACAAAAACAAACAACCCCATCAAAAAGTGGGCGAAGGACATGAACAGACACTTGTCAAAAGAAGACATTTATGCAGCCAAAAAACACATGAAAAAATGCCATCATCACTGGCCATCAGAGAAATGCAAATCAAAACCATCTCACACCATTTAGAATGGCAATCATTAAAAAGTCAGGAAACAACAGGTGCTGGAGAGGATGTGGAGAAATAGGAACACTTTTACACTGTTGGTGGGACTGTAAACTAGTTCAACCATTGTGGAAGTCAGTGTGGCGATTCCTCAGGGATCTAGAACTGGAAATACCATTTGACCCAGCCATCCCATTACTGGGTATATACCCAAAGGACTATAAATCATGCTGCTATAAAGACACATGCACACGTATGTTTATTGCGGCATTATTCACAATAGCAAAGACTTGGAACCAACCCAAATGTCCAACAATGATAGACTGGATTAAGAAAATGTGGCACATATACACCATGGAATACTATGCAGCCATAAAAAATGATGAGTTCATGTCCTTTGTAGGGACATGGATGAAATTGGAAATCACCATTCTCAGTAAACTATCGCAAGAACAAAAAACCAAACACCGCATATTCTCATTCATAGGTGGGAATTGAACAATGAGAACACATGGACACAGGAAGGGGAACATCACACTCTGGGGACTGTTGTGGGGTGGGGGGAGTGGGGAGGGATAGCATTGGGAGATATACCTAATGTTAGATGACGCGTTAGTGGGTGCAGCGCACCAGCATGGCACATGTATTCATATGTAACTAACCTGCACATTGTGCACATGTACCCTAAAACTTAAAGTATAATTAAAAAAAAATATAAAAAAAGAATATTACCTGCTTATAATATTTTCTTTTAAATTCATTTTTAACTTACAAAATTTAATACTTTTTTTAGTTGATTCCAGTCCTTTATAGCATATCTAGAAAGCAGATCTATATTTTCAAAATTTAGTTACTGTAAGAGAACTCAGGTAAGGGAGTCACAGTAATTCTGTGGCACAATTGCGTGATAGTGGTACCCTCCCAGCTTTCACCTTCATAACCAGCACATGGACTCCCTGGGGGCCAAGATAGAGTGCATGGATGGGCAGGAGGCAGACTGCTTTCATGAGGAGATAGAATAGGAGCTTATTTGTAAAAGGTACCAGGACGCAGCCTCTTCTTCACCAAAACAAAATAAAATAAAATAGCCTTTTACATTTGATGACAGTTCACATGTCAGAGACTGTCCTGTGTTAAAAGGGAGTTATTAAATTTTAACCATAATCTATCATTTACTCTTCATTGAAGCTGACTCCATTAACTTGCTTTCTTGAAAGAATACAGGTGATATAATGACTTCTTTAAGTTTTTCCCAGGAATCCCTTAATTATGTTCACTATCTTAACTTCAATGATGATATGTAGTAATTAATAAAATGATTAGAGAAATACATGAGGAAATACTAGAAAAAGACTTCAGTCGAATCTTAAATCATAAGCTGCCCAAATTTGTGTGTTTGTGTGTGTGTGTGTTTGGTGGGTTTTATTTTTTGTTTTTGTTTTTGTTTTTTTGAGACAGTCTCACCCTGTCACCTGGTTGGAGTGCAATGGCCTGAGCTCGGCTCACTGCAACCTTCGCCTCCCAGGTTCAAGCCATTCTCCTGCCTCAGCCTCCTGAGTAGCTGGGATTACAGCTACCTGCCACCACGCCTGGCTAATTTTTTGTATCTTTAGTGGAACTGGGGTTTCACCATGTTGGCCAGGCTTATCTCGAACTCCTGACCTCATGATCCACCTGCCTAGGCCTCCCAAAGTGCTGGGATTATAGGCGTGAGCCACCGTGCCTGGCCCCAGCAATAATATATGTGTAAAGAGTAAATGAGTAATTACCGTTCAATGGTACATTTTCTATATTTACAGTTTTAAGTTTAAAAGAAGCATGTAGGTTTCCCTCAATTTATATAATACATATGTTCCAGCGAAGTTGATAATAAACTAGACATCTGAGATAACTAAAATTATAAATTCGGACATCTTTTTCTGGAGGAGAATGGCCTAAGTTTAAAGTCTGAAAATAAATGACTCAACATAGTGGTCAAATCTGAGAGTTGGATTTTTTATAGGTAGAAGTGATTTCTTAGTCTTTCAAAGCAATTCAATTCCATTCAACAAATAACAAGTTTCTGGTAGGTACTGTGGGGAATTAAAAAAAAATAAGTAAGAGGCAGCCTTTTATAAAACCCAAGCAAAATATGTTGAGCTGTAAAAGTATGTATGTATTGAGAAGGTGACAATTAATAGAGGGCATCAGAAAAGGGGTCATGAAGCAGCTAATGTTTTTATGCATCCCAGAGGGTTGTTAGAGGATTGTTTTGCCCATCTGAGCTGAAGGAAGGGACATTTGGGATAGCGGTCCTGAAAGCTCAGGATGCATAAAACTCACACGGCTGGCAGAAGGGTAGGTGGGGACTGCAGCACTGTATTCTGTATCAGGTAGCTATTGCTACAATAATGATGTTTAACAAAACTCTGAAAAAGAAAATGCAGTGGTTTAAAACAACAACCCATTATTGTTTCTCATGATAATGCACGTTAGCTGAGCAGTTCTGCTATCTGAGCCAGGCTCAGTTGATCTCAGTTGAGATCACTCATGTATCTGGAATCACCCATGGGTCAGCTGTGGGCTGGCTGGTCTAGGGTGGTCTCAGCTGGTAGACTAGGCTTTGCTCCACATGGTCTCTAATCCTCCATTAGGCTATGCTGGACTTTTTTTCATGCCAAAGGTAGAATGTTTCTGACCAGACTCAGAACTGGCACATAGTTATCACTTCTGTTGTGTTTTATTGGCTACAGAAGGTCAGAGTTAGCCATTCAGGGAGTAAGGAAATAGAGTTTATCTCTTTATGGAACAAGCTGCAAAGTCGCATTGCAAAAGGTATGAATACAGAAAGGGGAAGAATAGGCATCATTTTTGCAAGTAGTCGACCATGGGGCTTCTTTGTTCTGATTGGAATACTGAGTAGGTGGAATGAAGCTGTCTGGCAATGCAGGCTGAGATTAACCTGACCTGTTTATTTTAAGTTCAGGGAGTAGTGAGGAAACACTGAAGTGTTTTGAGCAGGGAAAAACCATGTTCAGAAGTCTGGCTTTAGAAGGAATAAGCTTTTATGGTTACGAGGTGAACAACAGCATAGAGAGGCAGGATGAAAGAGTGTCTTTTCCAATCATCTAGGTGGAAATTAAGGAAGGTTTGAATCAATGTAATGGCAATAGGAGCAGAATCAAGGCCAAAGGTAAGAATGCAAGGACTGATAAGACTGCTGATGGCATGTCAGGTGAGTGAGACAAGTAGCATCTTCTTTACGCTCCTTCCTTTTCCCCCTGTATACCAAGCTCAGATTTTTAACACACATCCTCTTATTCTACATTCAGAGTTCCCAGAATATATTGTCCGTTGCCACATGATAATATGGCATGTAATAATTGGCAAGACATGACAATCATATTGTAGGGACATGGGACTGAGATCCACTGCTTTGATCTACCATTCTAATGAGGCTAAGCTTTCTTATTTCATCCCAGACTGAAAGTTGTTCTAAGATTGAGGCTTTAGTTCATTTGGTAGGTTTTTGTCAATGATTCTATATCTTCATAAATCTCTAATTTAAATTTGGCAAAATACGTATTAAAAATAAAATGAAGTTGCACAAATATTACTTTCAATTTTATTTAAATCAAATAATGTTGTGATGATATGAAGAACTTTGCATAGAAACCACATGAATTTTAAAGACAAAATTCGAATACCTAATTATCCTATTCTGAAACAATTAAAAGAATACACATGTTAAATTGCCATAAACATGTACGTATTACATAATACACATAACAATCATAAAACATTTTATACTGATTTATTATAAATAATTGGAAACAATATTTCATTTCTCAAACCCAGACAACAAAACAGTAAATATCATGCTTTCTTTTTTTATTATTTTATTTTGTTTTTGTAATATGAGTTTGGAAATAGTATTCTTTATCCAAAAACTGGTTTAAGAAAGTGTCTGTAGGAACACAAAAGGACAAAATACTCATTTTCTTTCCCTTAAATGAAAACAGTTGAGAAGTTTTTAGAAGGAGAGGCTTACCTGCTATGAAGAAGCCACCAAGAATAGAAAAATGGTATAATACCTGCAAATATCACTTGTAAGGCAAAAAGGGGTAGAATACAGACACATAAATATAAAAAAGACTTGATGGTAAACTTTAAAAAGTATTTTTCTTAACAATGTGAATAGCTTTATTTTCTCAAATGGAGGAAACCATTAAGGCATAGTGGATCAAGTCACCAAGTTTGAAACTGGTATTGCTACCTTGCCAACAACTGTCTCTTTTATGAGAGGAGGCCCAGTAGCTTTATTTCAATTTTCTCATCCCATAGTGACTCATGTTTTAATAAAAACTGTTTACTGTCATAACCTTGGACACTTACAGGCAGAGAAGACTTCTTGATAAAATAATGCAGTAACTTCAAGCACCCCAAAAATTCACTTAAAATACATTATCCCATAGGAATATTTCCATTGAGTTATTTATGGCAACTAGCAGTCAGAATTTCTTAGTCAGGTGACTATGATTAATTTTCTTTTTGTATATATTTCCCTTACATATAATAGTTTTGCCAATTTTTCTCCCCTGATAATAATTTTTAAAAATTAAAAATTGCCTAAGGGAATGGACTGAAGGAGAAATATATGAAGAATGATGTATTTCATTAAGGGATATAGTAGATTTCTTTGAGCATTTGTGTTATTTGCATCAATTAAGGACAATGTTGCATATTCCAGATTAATTAGCTATTAGGTTTTTTGCAGATATAAACATGCTATGTACAATGATATTTATAATTATTTTATTTTTTATAGACTTCAAAGTGTTTCTTTTATAGACACTGGAACAGTGTGAATCTGGTAAGCATGTTTCAGTTAATTAGCAAAATTTAAATTAGCAAGACATAACAGGGTGAGTATTGGAGTTCTAAAAATATTTTTAAAATAATGAAGTTACATGTATGTATACACATGCAAGTAGATACTGTAAAATGAACTGCTCCAGAGTACTTGCTTTTACTTCAACTTAACATACTCCAAAATATTGCTTTCCTGTATAATATCAAAGGAAATATTAAATGCATGTATATTATTTTAAGAACTTGATGATATATTTTACATTCTTTTAACTTTACTCAGGCTATAAATATATTTATATATCATTCAATCAGTTTTTAGAGTAAATGAAAACCATAGTATGGGGGTGGTAAGTTTTCACCACATACATCCTTACTTGATTATGTTCATTTCTTTTTCTGAAAACTGTATCAAAAATCAGAGTAATGGAGTTTGTTTCTACCACACACTTATTGTCCATGTACTACAGTTCATTATGGCTTACAAAAATGGAATTTTCATTTGAAGATGGGTAAGCAGAAATCAACTAGTAAGTATGATACTGGAATTAGGCTTCTGAAATCCATTAACATTTAACCAACTCAGAGGACAATGCTGTTCTAAATTTTTATCAAAATTGTGCAACAGTATAATTTGTTAGTAGGTTTGCATAGATATAACACCTTTTCACTGGTATAATACATCTTTTCCAAAGGATTATGGCAGGCTTGTTTCTATTCTTCATGTATATTCTCTTTTTCACTCTTTTTTTCTGTTTTACATGAAATTAACCATATTTATCATCTGGCTACCATAGTTCCAAAATAAGGTCCAGTAGTAGTTTGAAGCACAGCAAGCTCAGCAGTTTCTTCCCTTTTTAAAGCCCGACAGTCAGTGGAGTTTTCTATAGTCGAGCCACGTGAGCACTGTCACCCCAAGTAGAGACTCTTGTGAACTCAAACGGCTCCAGATTCACGGTCAAGAACCTTGGTGACTTCACATAACTACCACTTATTGCTGGAAGGGAGACAATATTGTTTGCTTCTGAAGTTTTCAAACAGTTTCTCACCTGGCAGCTTCTCCGGATTTCTTTGTTGCTTTCATAATCGCTTCTGACATTGCGCTTTCAAAAATCTAAAGGTCGAATCATCATAGTTGTGGAACGTAAGGAGTAACTGGGCCCTTTGAAGTAGTGCCACTTTATCCCATTCAGTTTTCCATGGTTTTGTCCCGCAGTATAGAACATTCCATTTAGATTGGAGGGGCCACAAGCATCAAACCACCATCCTGAAAAAATAATTCATAATAGAAGAGAGAAGGAGAGGCAACAATTTTAAGTAAATGGAATATTTGGAAATTAATGGCATTAAATGATGGGAAACTTGCTTGTTCTTGTTATGCTTATTTGCAATTACGAGGCATCAGTAAATATATTCCCAGTAGTGAAACTGTTTTAAATGACTTCTGATTTAAGATTTGTATGACCCATCACAGACAGCAATGCTCTCATGGAAAGCAGCTTTCAGTGTGACTCCACTGGAACTCACTTCTTCTTGTAATGATGGGAAGCCTCTGGGCTTCAAGATACAATCTACATAAGAGATGGATTTACATTTAAGACAAATGCAATAAGGAAAATGCATATACCCATAAGAGGCATTCCATCTTAAGACTGTTATTGGGAATAGAACAATTAATTATTAGTGAAGAAATGCAGAAACTTAGACAAGCAACTGAGATCTAAATAGAAAGATATTCTCCATCTACTGCATATGTTTGTCAATAATTGGCCCTAAGCTGCTTCTAAAATTAATTGGATACTGTGCAATGACTATGATGCTCAAAAGGGCTTTTAATTAACGTACCCTCTCTGTAGTTTATAACAGTAGAAAAAGTGTTCAGCAATAGTAGCCATTCAGTTCCTGTACAGCCATATTTTGTCTATGGTTATTTAAGTGCTTTCCAAACTTAGTAAAAAGAAAAACAACTTGATGAGTAACATGGAAATTCTATGCTTGTATAGCTCTCTATAAGGATAACTGGATAAGTCAGTTTTATTTTTTAAATAAATTAAGTTCTTAGATTTTTAGATAAAGCATAGTGTTTTTTCCTGTCTGCTGAAGTAACACTACTGAATCTTTAGGGAGAGATTTATGCCAGAGACATTCTGGCATATTTTTTATTTGGATACAGTTGACCTCTCTTTGATTACAGACTTATACCTAAGGGACTAATAGCTAAAGAAAGAGAAAGCTGTACAGCTGATGTTTAACTGTAACATGAGCACAATCTTGCAGAAACTTTAGAAGAAGTCAAATGGAGAAAAGCTAGTTCTCATTTTTCAACTTTAGAAGATGAGTACAGCTGGCTTGTGTTTATAAAGTCACACTAGAGGCGTAACAAGCTGCATTAATCACCAGTTCATAGTGGGGAACCACAAGGTATGTCTTGATGAATTTGGAAAGACATTATATTCCGTGCAGTTTTATCAACTGTATGCAAACAACATAAATGTTAATGTAGTCAAAACATGAGGGACAAAAAGGTTCTTGTTTGGAAAAGAAGGAGGAACTGCAAGTAAAATCCTACCTTTGTTTTTCTTAAGATTAATTCTTCTAATTTTTGATCAGTACAGCTGTTAAATATGCTGTTTATATTATAAAAAGCATTCTAATATTAGTGAATTTATTTGCCCAAAAGACTCTTTCTAAAGGACTAAAATAAAACTCTAAGATGAAATTCAACTTGATTGATTCTGTTTTTAACTTTTCTCCTCCTTTTCTGTGACCTTCTTGAAGCACTTTTCCATTGCATTAATGAACTTTTTTATAGTCTTTCAAATATGCACCATGGTCTCTCAAGCAAACACACTTACTCTATTGTTGAGACTGACAATGATTCATAGAATTCTCTTCCAAGTTGCATTGGGGTAAAATGTGTGTTTTTGTTTATTTGGTTTATAGAAAGTCACAGGAGTCCCAGAGGAGTGCGGAAAGACAGACGTCTGTTGCAACAACAGCCTGGCAATAAAGAGCACAGGCTAAAGGATACGCTCATTGGGAAACTTTGGGAAAACTTAGGAAAGAGACAAGAAACAGTAAGAGCCTGTGAGAGAGTCAGGTAAATTGATCTTGTGTAGCTTTTTGAAGGAATAAAGTGGGGTAATGTTTGCAATGAGTAGAATGGCATTTTGGAGACATTGAAGGAAGGCCAGTATGGCTGGGTCACAATCAACGAGGGGGATAGTCACCTGAAGCTAAGTGGGTCTGAAGCAAATCACCCAGTGTTTTGTTCATCATCCTAAAAACAATGGAAAGCCATGGTTTGTATATTGGCCCATCTCCTGTACTTAGTAGGACACCTAACGAAGTTTGCTTCCCAAATGACCGGCGGGTCACTGCAGGCTTGTTAACTGATTGACTCTCTGATTGGTTCTCCTTGTGAAGTCTTTGTTGTCTGAAGTTGTTTAGCTTACTAAAATGCTGTATTTGATAGATACCCCAAAATGTAACACCTGTCCTTATTGTATTCATTTTTTTCTTTATGTATCCATTCAATATATAATTATTGTGAAACGTTGTTACACAATACTCAAGACAGACATAGTCCTTGCCTTCATGAAACTCACTTCTAATGGGAGAAACAGATGAATATATGTAAGCAGGCACATAAAATAACTATTAGGTTGGTGCAAAAGTAACTGCGGTTTTTGCCATGACTGTTATTGACAAAAAACGCAATTACTTTTGCACCAACCTAATATAAATTATGACTTAAAATGTCATGAAGAAAATACGTAGGAGCTCTGAAGGAGAATAACTTGACTTTTCACATTTGTGAAAGAAGCTGATATTTAACGAGACCAGAAGGAGGAGAGAGACAGCCCCAAGAAGATGGGAAAAGACCCTGCTAAGCAGAATACAGCACCTGCAAAGGCGATGAGGAAGAAAACAAGCTTGGGATGTGTAGGGACATCAGTGCAACTGGTGCACAGTAAACAAGAAATGACTTGCAGGAAATGAAGGTGGAGGAATAGGCAGTCCTGGTGAGAAGTTCAATGTTTATGGAACAATTTGTAGTTTAGCCAGCCTGCTTGTCCATGATCAGGCAAACAAGTAAAACATTCTCTACAGATGGGAACCACAATCGAACCAGAAGAACCAGATCTGCTAGGTTAAATGTTTAATCAAACATGGTTTAGAGTCCTCATTCTCTACGATCTTCCAAAGCCATCCTGAGCATATGTGACAGCTTAAAAAAAAAAAGGAGAAAATTGAGTCTAGAATCAATTCTGCAAATATTAACCAATGGATAGGGATAGGGGACAGAAATTTTTGGAAACAAAATTTCTGACTTTAAAGCATGCACAGTTTTGTGTAGGAGACAAACAAAATGCTACACATTGAGATGATAGCCGTTAAACTAAGAGAAGAAGAAAATTTGATGGAAACACAGAGGCAGTAGGTGCTAACTGTCTGAGGGACCACAAAGCTCACTCATTCAACAGCTGCTCTGGGTCCTGAAAGATGGGTATGAGTTCACTGGACAGAAAGAGCTTCTATATAGTCTGTACTCTGGAAGACCAGGGGAGAGTGTCTGCCAGCAGGTTGGCTTGGCTGGAGTGCCAGTGGGTTAAAGGGTTGGAGAATATAGGGCTAAAAAATAAACAGGAGGGAAAACATAAAGGTTTTTATTACACCTTTAGACATTTTCTTTTGGGCAATGGGAAGCCTGGAGAGCGCCGGAGCAGAAGTTAGAAGACCCAGACTTTTCATGCTTACTTCATCAATAAATAACCAAGAGATCCTACACAATAGTACCAATAGTATTTGATATTTATTGAATCGTTCATATGAAGGTATTTATATGCATTTTCTCATTTTATCCCCCAAACAGCCTTAAGTGATGTGGCAAGTACCATAATAAAGATACTAATGCTCACAGAGTTTAAGGAACTGCTTAAGGTCACATTCATAATACATAGATTCTAAGAGCTAACCAACCATTTTCACAGCACAGTTATAAGAATCAAATAAGATAATGCACTATTACAGCCTGTAAAATCCTACTAAAGTGCCAGCTGTAAGTTATCTAGAAAATGGGGCAGAATGTTTAGGCCAGAAAAAAAAGAGACAAGACCTTGTGGAGCATCACAGTAATTTAATAATAAAGACAAGGTCATCAGTGCCAACATATTTTCTTATTTGCTTAGTGGGGTTTATTAGAGAAATATGAAAATAATTAGACCCAAATAAGTACAACTGTACAATGTTCATGTTATAAAAACTTGGCATTTAAGTTCCTAATTTTTTTAAATGTTTCATTTTGATTTCATGACAAATCAAGGAGTTTGAAATGTTCAATTAACTCTTTATCTTAAGACTAGTGGGCCATGAATTCTGTGATCTATCTCAGAGCAACTGATAATAAAGATGATGAATTAAGATGGAAGAAAATGAAATAAAAGAGCAATTATTTCTCATGACAATTTCAGTTTTATTATAAAATATCCTAACTTCAAGGTAGAAGAAGTAATTACTTCTGTGTAGGCAAGGATTCTCTGTTTTCTTTGATATATACATTAAAACAAACTAAATAATTTGTTCGTATCAAATATTTCAAACAGTTTGTCCACTTTCTACCTTTATTTTTAAAAATTAAGCATGGCCAAGTCTTTTAAACACAAATCCTGAAAATATGTGGTTTAAAGCATTTTTTCAATGCAGGCAAAAGTATAGCAGACTCCTCATTACTCATATGCATTCCTTGTATTTACAGGTGATCATAGATACTCAGTACATATGGTAAATCTGCATGGGATGAAGATGTTCTATGAATATACAGAAGAGTATGCCTGAGTTTACAGTTCCTCTCTGATAAGATTCTGAATAGCTGAATTATATATTCTGTGCAATCCTGGGAAAACACTGACTTTGTATTTTGTTTATGCTTGGGAATAACAAATAAGAAATATCCTAGAGCAATTCATTTAGGGAAGGCACTTCAAGCCTGAAAGAACTCAATGATGCAAGCAAAGGATTGAAAAAAAAGTTACCCTCTGCTATTGGGACAACTGATAAAATGTCTCAAATGTTTTTTTGTTTTGTTTTGTTCTGTTTTTTTTTTTGTTTTGTTTTGTTTTTTTTGAGATGGAGTCTCACTCTGTCACCCAGGCTGGAGTGCAGTGGCACAATCTTGGCTCACCGCAACCTCCGCCTCTCGGGTTCAAGCCATTCTCCTGCCTCAGCCTCCTGAGTAGCTAGGACTACAGGCATCCGCTACCACGCCTGGCTAATTTTTGTATTTTTTTTAGTAGAGGTGGGGTTTTGCCATGTTGGCCAGGCTGGTCTCGAACTCCTGACCTCAGGTGATCGAATCACCTCGGCCTCCCAAAGTGCTGAGATTACAGGCGTGAGCCACCGCGCTCAGCCTCAAATGTCTTAAGGTTGGCAACTGCTGAGATGTACTTTCGAAGCATTTTTCTTCATAACCTGTAACCTCATGTATATTTTAATAAGAAATCTGAGATTCATGTTTCCAATTCATTTACACTTAACTCATTAAAATTTAGTTTAGTAATAACTATCCCAGGCCTTTTAAAATCATTTGTGTCTTTTATCTTTGAAGCAGAAAATTCACATTTTATCGCTAATAGATGAAACTTTGCCCAGAAAATAGGAATTTGATTCTCAACTTTGTACTCAGGAAGTTCAACTTTATTTGAACATCAGGAAATCTAACTCTTAAATTCTTCTGATTCTAAACAAAACACCTCTCAACACTTCTTTTCTGTGGTAAAATGTACAGCAAAATGAAAAGGTATATTTGTTTTTGTAGATTTCTTTTGTTCGTTTTCAATGCATGCATTCTAATCAGCAGTATGCAAAACAGCTTGCACAGAAATTAAGATTTTCATCTTTCATCACTAACTAAGAATGAGTTTAAACTAAATTGATTGGTGCCATCAATGGGATCATAATGGAAAAAATCTCTTGGTGAGTTTATGTGGACAAAGTTGGCCCTACGCAAAGCAAGCCTCAAGAAGCAGCTGCATGGGTCTTGCATGCAGGAGGCAAAGAACCTTGCTAGAAGTCCATTCCTTCTGTCATCTCTTAATATATCCTCTTCAGGCCAAGGACTTGTTTTTGTTTCTTTTTTGTTTGTTTGTTTGTTTGTTTGTTTTTGACTGTTCTTTCTTTCTCTCTCTCTCTCTCTCTCTTTCTTTCTTTCCTTTCTTTCCTTTCTTCTTTCTTTCTTTTCCTTTCTCTTCTTTTTGTTCTAAAGATGAAAAGTTGTTTATCCTGGCTAGGAATATCAAATTCACTTAAAACTTCTAGGTATTCTTTTACCTCCTCTCTTCTCCCTCATACTTCATTTTGCTTTTAACCATGTTTAAATGAGGAAATGCTTGCAAAAAGATGCTGCAAACGGTACAATAGAGCTCTGTCATTCTCTTTGAATGTCATCCCTTTTAATGGAGGCAGTAGAAAGAGTAGATAGAACAAAGGCCTCTGGAGGTTGAGTACCTGCATTTAAATTCTACTTCTGACAAAATTCTGTGACCTATGGCAAATTATCTAACTTTTCTGTATCTCAGTTCTTGCCAAAAGTATTATTGTAGTCTGTATTTCCAAGAGTTTTTGGAAGCTTCATATATGTTATTAAATATAAATCATTTAGAATAATATAAACGTATCCATTAGAAAGAGCTCAATAAGTTTTTAAATATTATTACTGAGTACAATACAAAATTAATTGGTTATTTCTCATCCACTGTCAATTATTAAGCTTTGGTTGTAGCCTTGCACGAGAGGACTATCGGTTCTGATTCACCTTTTTCCAAACTTATAAAAGACATTTTCTGATACTCTTTGCTCTTTTTCTAAGAAATGAAACTTTGCCCGAGAAAATAGGAATGTAATCTTAAACTTTGCATTTTAGGAAGCTCAAATTTATTTGACAGTCAGGAACCTAACACTCAAATTTTTATAATTCTGCAGTTCAGTCTTTTGGGGTTTGGTTATTCTTAAGTTAGTTTCAGTCTTTGATAGTCATCTCTTTGTTCCATGCTGGTGCATATAAATACATGTATGTATTAGGCATTTTAAATATAAGTTCATGCAAGAATCACGTTTATACTAACATTCATTTATGTATTTTCACCAGAATAATTTGTAATTTTGCAATGTCCTTTCAGAGTCTCTGCTAACATTTACTCACTAAACCAATATTTATTGAACATATGCTATCTGCCACACACTATGGCAGCCACTGGGGATACAGTAGTGGACAGCATAAAATCCCTGCATTCACAGAACTTACATTTGTGTAGAATAGGCTTACGTTTTATGTACTAAATATAGAAATTGGGTTGAAATAAAAGTAGTGCAATGTAGATTTCTATAGTCAATCTTACATTAGTCATATGGATCTTCTTTTCTCTCAATATTTTTACCTTGAAACAGAGAATTTTAGTTATCTGATCATGCTTAGCAGGTCTTTCTTGGGTTCCCAAAAATGCTAAGACAATTATATTTTCCCAAAGATCTTGTCACTTCAAGGTCATACACCAGTTGAAAAAACTGCTAGCTTCTATCATTTTCTTTGTCTTCTTTAAGATTATATAGTAGGCAAAGTGAGCGTTTGTCAACTGTCTGCTGTTAGCATCTGGAAAGTTCTAGATGTACTAAGAAATTTACGTGTATGGCTTTATCCCCTATTTAAGGACTGAACTGAAAAATATCCTTCGTTAGCTTTAGAAAGTCTTGTCTACCAGTTGACATGGTTTATGCATTGGGAAAAGAAATGAGAGTTTCTACTTCAATAGATTCTTTCTACAGAAAGTTAGGTCACATTTTTACATAGCCTTTATATTATGTACTAAATATGGAAATTATACTGAAACTAAAGTAAGGAATGTAAAACGGTAACATATTTGTTTTTGTTGTTGGCAACCTTTAATAATTACAGTTTATGAAAGATTTTTAGAAATAATTCTTTAATTATAACATTAATAATTTTAGTTAACTGTAGCTTAAGCAAACTTTCAGAAATGCAGACTTTGAAAACTCCTAATTTAGTATCAAAGATTTTTTTTTAGCTGAAGGTAAGTTTGTTTTGAATGTGACAATCTAGTAACAAAAATTTGTCACTGTCTTAATTTTGGAATCAGAATTTTTCACATATTTATCTCCATATACAATAAATCTATACAAAAAGTATGCATTGAATGAGATTTCATTTTCATTTTCTTAATGTTAAATAGTAGATAAAACTATTTCTTTTAAATTTTTAATGAAACTTATGCTCTAGCCTGTCTTGCTCATTTGTTTAATAGTAATTAACCCCCTTAAACTGATAGAAGAAAGCCAAGAAATAAGGAAGTTAGGAAATGAAGAACAAAGATCAAGTCCTACCTTGGGTCTAGCTGAAATACCTTCTGCTTTCAGTTAAGCCTATTTCCTGCCATTCAGTCTTTTACCGATAAGGGTAATGATACCAGATTCTCCAGCT
This sequence comes from Homo sapiens, assembly GCF_000001405.40. Classification (NCBI taxonomy): domain Eukaryota; kingdom Metazoa; phylum Chordata; class Mammalia; order Primates; family Hominidae; genus Homo; species Homo sapiens. The sequence continues at coordinate 107,260,242 of NC_000008.11, forward strand.
AGAATTCCTCTATGTACTTGAAGAAAACTAGGATAGTTAGTGGGCAATAAATCTTATTTTACTCTTAATCCCTTTTAGAAGAAACAAAGGAAAAATATATAAATAAACAAGATAAAACAAAGCTTTAATTGATGATGACAAAGAGCTATGAGTTACTAGCTCCAAAGAGTATGAAGTCTCACTGCTTAAGAGAGGGTATTTTAAATAGGCAACAGGCTCAAATACTAAGTTTAAAAAGAAAAAAAAGGAAAGGAAAAATCATTAGATGAGGAAAATGGCTCTAAGGGAAATTTTGACAGAGAATAAGTAGTAGTGGTGGGGAGTAACTAAGTAGGACCTAAGTTCCAGGCAATACTCCAGTTACCTGGACTGTCAATGACATTCATCCTTATGTTCTCCAGTTCTTAGCTATCTAAATTCCACATTTTAGCTTTCCATAATAAATAGCTTTGCAAGACCTGGATTCTTTCAAAGGGACATTTGATAAGGTAATGGCGTTTATTACAAAAACACATTTACTTAGACTATTCCAGCCCAAGCAATAAGTGGAAATATTCTCTCCCAAACATATGTGTTTATTGGTGAGTAAGAATTGGGTCCAAGAATAATTATGGATGAAAGAACATGACGAAGTTCAATCATTTAAAGCAGAAATAAAATCATAAATCTGAGCAGTGAAGTTTTCTCATTGAAAACCAAGATGTACATTCTTCTCTTTGCTTCACTCCATATTTTCATTATTATGACAGAAATATGAACATATTGGAATACTCTTCTAAGGACACATTTGAAAGATTTTACTGTTGGTTTTTTCATGTATTGTATTTATTTGGTAAGAAAAAATATCTTTGAAAATAGACATGGAGAAAATAAAGCATATTTCAATATTAAAATGTGCAGGAAACTGAAAAATCAAAGTCCCTTTGTCTTTGTATAAAGTTGCTGACAATTTCATTTATGAGATCAGGGAAGTAATAAAAATAAAAATTTTCTATCAGGAAAAAGCTCAAGACCTACCTTGTGTGTACCATTTAAAAAAAAATATTAGATTTGTAGCAACTAGTTTTGGGGGTGAGGGCTGAGGGAGGAGTCATAAAATTACATATAGGAGACTTTTTAATATTTGATGATGTTAAATATGATGCCAAAAGGATAGTTCAAAGATTAAGGAAAAGAACATGAAGCCGGGCACGGTGGCTCACACCTGTAATCCCAGCACTTTGGGAGGCCGAGGCGGTCGGATCATGAGGTCAGGAGATTCAGACCATCCTGGCTAACACAGTGAAACCCTGTCTCTAGTAAAAATACAAAAAATTAGCCGGGCGTGGTGGCAGGTGCCTGCAGTCCCAGCAACTTGGGAGGCTGAGGCAGGAGAATGGCAAGAACCCTGGAAGTGGAGCTTGCAGTGAGCCAAGATCGTGTCACTGCACTCCAGCCTGGGTGACAGAGCAAGACTCCATCTAAAAAAAAAAAAAGAAAGAAAGAAAGAATATGATAGAATATGATAGAGGCAGAATCATAATAGGTTAGTTTTGATAATATTGGGGCTGGTATCATATTGAAAAGATATCAACATAGGTGGCATGGATGGGGTCAATGGGCTGTGATTTGGTGATAATAGTAATAGAGGGGTTGGGGATAGGGAGGAAGACAAAAGATTTATCCCAAACCAGCTGGGTGTGGTGGCTCATGCCTGTAATCCCAGCACTTTGGGAGGCTGAGGTGGGTGGATGACCTGAGGTCAGGGCTTCGAGACCAGCCTGGTTGACATGGTGAAACCCTGTCTCTACTAAAAATACAAAAATTAGCCAGGCATGGTGGCACGCACCTGTAGTCCCAGCTACTCAGGAGGCTGAGGCAAGATAATCACTTGAACCAGGGAGGCGGAGGTTACAGTGAGCCTAGATTGCGCCATTGCACTCCAGCCTGGGCAACAGAGTGAGACTTGGTCTCAAAAAAATGATAATCATCATCATCCAAAACTTTCACCTATACTCTACCAAGCTCTATTCGTGGATGAAGATAACATCAACCTAATGATTTATTTATTTGGTTTTAAAATTTGAAAGTTATTTCAAGAGTTAAAAGATGGTAATTCATGTACTATGCTCATTCATGTACACTACTACTTCACTAATTCAGGTACTACATTTTCTAATAAGTTTCTATGTGTCACAGTCAGCTGTGCTAGATGTTTGGGATGAAATGGCAAATGCTAGCTGTCATTCATTTTCCTCATGTACAACATAGAGATGAGTTTCTCTCCCTGCTATCTCACAGAGTGGATCTGGAGTTCAAGTAAGATAGTACAACATGTGCAGAAACACGTAATATGTTTTAATAATGGTAGTAACGTAGTGTTGGGAAAGGAAAATATTAGATTTGAACAATTTTTTCCTTGCTAATATGAAATCATGTTTTGTAACAGAATAAGACAGAAAGTATATCAGAACAATTGAAGGTGGTAGTGATTATTACAGTAAGAGAGAAGCAGCACTAAAACTGTGAGAGGAGAAACACTGAAATAGGAATTTCTCTTACAATTTTGTTTGTTGTCAACTCCTTTCCTGCCAGAGCCTATAACATTCTTGAGTGATATCATTTGCCATTGGGTTTTATCTTAGTGTTTCCCAAACTTCAGACAGTCATGTATCAACTTCACAGTTTTGCCATATCCATTTATAACTCTTATTAATATGTAACAATTTTTTCTTTAAATCTACTATTTGTTAAATACAGAATATTGTGAATGCATTCTAAAATGCAAGTTTATATCATTCATTTAAAGAGGAAATCAGCATCATTTGCTGTAACAGAAGTTAGATATAGCCAGGTGCCATGGTGGCTCATGCCTCTAATCCCAGCACTTTGGGAGAGCAAGGTGGGCGGATCACTTGAGGTCCGGAGTTCAAGACCAGCCTGGCCAACATGGTGAAACCCCGTCTTTACTAAAAATAGAAAAATTAGCCGGGCGTGGTGGTGGGCACCTGTAATCCCAACTACTCGGGAGGCTGAGGCAGGAGAATCGCTTGAACCCAGGAGGTGGAGGCTGCAGTGAGCCGAGACAGCACCACTGCACTCCAGCCTAGGCAAGAAGAGCAAAACTCAGTTTCAAAAAAAAAAAAAAAAAAAAAAAAGGAAGTAGATAAAAAACTCATAAAATTAAAACAAACTAACATTATTTAATTTTAGGTATGTGCCATTGCTTAACCAAGGCTCTGAGACTATGGATAAGGGTTTTTTGTTGTTGTTATTGTTGTTGTTTTTTGTTGTTTGTTTGTTTTGCCAAGAAGCATCATTGGTAAGTGATGCATTACATCACTGAAGAAGTATTACAGAAATGAGAGCACCAAATTGAGAATTTCTCTGTGGGGCTATCAGAAGGCTGGAAAAATATTTAAAATGTACAAAAGGATTAACTTTCTTACTCTATGATATGATACTATTTAATGGTATCTCCTATACTAGCTAAAATATCTTGCAATGATTAATATTATGTAATGCAAAACTCTGGTATAGCTGGTCTGAACTGTGTTACCTTTGGTTTAACTACACCTCTTTATTTTTCTTATCTCATTTCAACAAAATGATCAATTAACTTACTACATAATTGCGAAGTATTTTATAAGAAGTAATTGCTGTATATGCTGAGTTCCCAAACTATTGTTCATTTTACTAAGGATATCAAGATACTAATTTAGAAAGTAGAATATCTGGGACTTAAGAGACTGAAAAATGTATTCAGAACCAAGCTTAGCACATTTTCACTCTTGATGTTGGGGGAGGACGCAAACCTCTAAATATGCTAGCAATGTCTTACACAAGAACGCAGGGTAAATTCGTGGGCAGAACAAAATGATCTCTAGGGACTTGCTCTTAAGTTTCCTGACCATAAGATCATACTCCTTTCTCATAGATAAGAAACCTTAAGCCCCAAACCAATGAAACATAGCTTAGAGAATGGCCCCATAGGACTTACCTCCTGTTAACATGAGGGCACATTTGCACATACAGTTGTCATTATCAGCATCTTTAGTGCTGAAATCAGCACCGTGTAAGATCAGGCTGCTCTGTTTTCCTGCTGTCCCAGTGTGACCTTTTAAATACAACCTGAAGTCAAAAAGAAAAAAAAGAAAGATAAGCCATTCGACAGAATAACAGAACCCAGAAGACCAGCTTGTTGAATGTTTGCCTTTTTCATCATTTTCTTCTTTCTTTGAACTCAGCCCTTCCAACAAACCTCTAGGAGACCCAAGCTATCTGAACCAAAAGAACAAAGGAAGGAAAAAGTTTATTTCATTATGCATGCTCAAACTCATGTGGTTCTCTGATACTGCAGGATCCAGAAAACATAAAAACTTGGGTTTATTGTATTAATACAGGTATTAACCTCTAAACATAAACGCTTTTTACAATGTCAATTCAGCATGTCACTCCCTTAATCCATTAATATCTAATAGTGCAGATGTACTAAACATTATTAATAGCAATAAAAGGAGGAAGTTTCATTGATTGGGGATTTCCTCTGTGCCAGGCACTATGTTAAATGATTTCCAGTGTTTATTTGATTAAATTTTTATATTAAATCTGTGATCCAGACATTAATATCCCCAATTTGTATACTAAGGTTTAGGGAAGCTATGTAAGCTGGAATTTAGCTGGTATGAGTCTAAAACTCAAGCTTTGAATCATTATGCATTCCCTGGACAAATATTTGCTGAGCACAAACTACATACCAGTTATTGATCTAGGCACTTAAGATATATAAGAAAAGAAAACAAAAATCTGTGCTTTTGAGGGACTTGTATTCTAGAGGTATCCCTAAAATTAAATTCAAAATCCCATCTGTTTAATATGGCATTCTTCGAAGAACCTCTCTTACTATCTAGAAACATTTCTTATATAAAACTTGCATTAACCTAGATCAGTGGCCCTCTAATGGATGTGCATATAACAAATCATCTGATCTTTTGTTTAAAAGGCCTATTTACTAACCCCAGGAATGTTTGTTTTCAACTAGCATCTCAGATTTCTCTTTGCAGACTGTCCAAAGAGAACATTTTGACAAGTATTGTCCTAGAATCCGAGAACTAGTGGGCAAATCACAATAGTTGTCAAATGTAGTGACCTGTCTGATGTCTGCTCATTTCCTACTGATCGTACAAGCTGCTTTCATATCCTTCTGGGCAACGTAGTGCTTAGAACTAATGTAAACTTGCTCACGTCCTTCAGTGGCTCCATAGGGCTTAGAGTAGCTAAACTGAAGTTGTCGTATCGACAGCTTGAAGCTCAAGGTGTTCTCTGGCTAAGACTCTAGCCCCTCTCTCTCTAACTCTACCTAACACTGCTTCTCCATACCAGCACAATGTTTTCATCAGAATCATGTAGTAATATCCCCTTCAAATTCATATAGGTCACCACCTGTATGCCTGGGTCTTATTTATGAATCCTGTCCACCCACAGTATAGTTAATGGGTGATTCACATCTCTGTATGAGTGAGACACTCCTAAAACCTAGGCTGGCTCTGAGCAAAACATTACATTATTATGAAATAGAATAATAAAGATCAATTAATATTTGGAGATATATTTTAACTTGTGTTTTCATCTAGGTATATGTATATATCCTACTGTTTGTGGTATTTGATATTATTTTTAGCAAAAAACAATATTATTGGATGTTTGTGCAATATTTTACAAATATTCTGCAGAGATTTTGAGCCAGAGCAAAGTATACAAGTAAACCTCAGTCAGTTTTTGTTGGTTTCAATAATTAATGGAACTTCTGGTTCACAGTAGTACAAATAATCTTCTAATGTTGAATTATCACATACAAGCTTGTATTTTAAAACTCTGAGAGGCAGACTACAAGTAACTGGTGATGCAAAATTGTAGAATTTTTTAAAGTGCCAATTCACATTTGAGGCTGCAGCCAGCCCACGTGGAGGTGGGTTTCACCAGGAGAAAGTAAGATGACAGATCACCAAAGGGAGTTCTGGGACATGTTACCTGGGTGAATTCGCCACCTTCCAGAGCTGGTGAGAACTTTCAATTCAATCACTTCTTTGGAGGTCCTCAGCCTCCCAAAGATAGACACACATTGGCAAAACTAACAAGAGACTTTTGTCAGGCCTCCATTTGCAGTCCAAGTAGGAATATGGTGGGGACCCAGTCTCATGGTCTTCTTAGAGAGAATTTCACACAGAAAGCCAAATTATAATCAGAAAGTTACTTGTTTGGTGAAGACAGAATCAGAATTGAGAGAATAAGTGAATGATTCCAAAATTAAGTAGCTACGTCTCTCCTAGCGTGAAATCTGCTCTACTGGGCCTGGGAGAGTTTAGCCCATAGGCGCTCTTGAATGAGCAATGGCAATTTTAACTCTGATTTTTTGTTTCTCTGTGATTTGTAATGGCCTTCCTTTTTACGGTAAGTCAATGCCATTTTCTCCGCAGTAGCTTTAAGCTCACTAATAAAGACAGACTTTCCAGGATGTAATGATTTTCTATAGTGTCTTTGCAGGGAATTCAGCACAAATGTTTGATTTTAAATAAGAGACTGCTATGTGCTTGAATACATAGTTTATACTTTTACCCTTTCACATAAGATTTACAATCTAAGTCTCATAATTTATAATTATTTATTTGTGTAATCAAGGCAATACAAATGCATGATTATAAATTTGAGAAGAAAAGCAAAAAGAAGAAATAAAAATCAACCCAAATCTCATCACTGAGTATAACTACTCTTTTCATATTAACAATTTTTAGTATTTTACTTGTTTCTCCCCTCTAAATATAAAATATTATTTATTTTTAAATATATACGTATCTGAACACATTCTTATAAAATTTTTGAACACTATAAGTAAAGCTTCTGCCCACAGCCCCATTTCATCTCCCTCTTTAGAGGTATCCTTCAAAAACAACCTCTCTCCATGTGAAAATACAAATAGAAATAGAATTATACTTTACATGTTTCTGTATGAGATTATTTTCAAATACAAATTTGTGACCACTTTTTCATATCATTACATTTTTTTCTCTAAAATCATTTGGAAAATATTGTATGAATATATCATCAATAGTCACAAGACTAAGGCTGCCTTCAGGTATCTCTCTATATGTGTGCTGGTATAGGTATAGGTATATAGGTATAGGTATTAGGATTACAATATAATCCACATTTCTTTCCTGACCTTTCCCCGTATGAATGTTATCAATGCTATGTTAGGCTATCAGTAAAGAGACATCTTTCCAGATCTATTTAAGACTTGGAGGTCAGTTTCTAGTCTTGGCAGTTCTTCTCTGGATTATCAAAGAAGACTTACAACTAGTCTCCCTGCCTTGAGTTTCACTTCTTCTTCCCCTTCCCCATGAAGTCCATGCAGCTCATTCAAAAACATGCATCTCATCATTCCTCTATTCTGGTTAAAGTTGCTCGGTTGTTCCTCCAAAATTCAAAGATAAAGTCCAAATTTTTTACTGTGATTTGCAAGGCCTTTGAAGTCTAGTCCTTTACTGTCTACTTTTTCCCATGTCTCACCCACCCTAACCCTCCCATATCTTGTTATTTTCTGCACGTACACATAGTGCTCCAGCCTTACCCACTCACTTATTCCCTCTAAGCAACACTCTTATTTCTCCATACATTTGCAAGTACCATCCCCTCTTCCTAGAAGGTACTCTCCAGGTTTGAACAGCTGCTGAACTCCTATCCATCCTTTAAGATTTGTTCCAAGTATAACCTCAAAGAGCATCAAATCAGCATCTTCATGATGACACTTACTTGCTGTATTTTAATTGTCTTTTCACTTTTCTGTTTCCCATAATAAACTGTGAGCTCCTTGAGGCATAGACTATGTCTTACTCATCTTTGAATCATCAGAATCTTGAAATCTTGAACAGTCTCTGAGATAGAGAAAGGCCTCAATGTTCATTGACTAGATGGATGATGGGTTTACTAACTGATTAATTTTTGGTAAGCTCAAGGTAGCAAGCAAAAGCAAACTCAAATATAAATAACTCTAATATCAAAATATACTTGGTCTACATTTCAGAAGTATAGCTTTTACATCTCATTTAGTTAGGTACTCAACATACCTACCTGGGTACCCACTTCATTGCCCATCCAACTCAAATAATTAAAAAATACACATGTAGGGTTGTGTGTGTGTGTGTGTGTGTGTGTGTGTGTGTGTACATAGATACAGTCTCTCACATCCTTCTTATCTTTCCAGTTTTGTTTTTGTTCTTATTTTCTCAGAGACTCCAGAATATAAAAACATGAGCAAGGCATTATGCAGATAGAATAAAGGAAAAAAAGGCCATGTCTTAATTCCTATTATTCCTTACATTTTATTGAACAATTTATTTGTATTGTATGAATAGCCAACTGAAAACAATTTGAAAGCAAATTCAAAATAAAAATATGCTTAAGGTTAGTGTTTCAGCTAAAATTATTTTTTAAAAAAGAAATATTCTAATAAGGTGTGAACATAATTCCTTAAGGTCCTGCCCAGATTAAGCATTAAAACATAAAGCAGAAGTAGAGAGAAGTCTCAAGATGTGCAATGTAAACAGTGACATATATTGGTTGAAATGATGTACAAGTAGAAGGGACTGATATATTGAGGAATAATGAATGTTTCACTGTTGGATACTTAGTAGCACTTGTAATTTACATGAAGTAGTATTCATCCCCCCATGTTTATATCCTTAGCATGTCACAGAGGAGCGGCTTATGCTCTTCTAAGGAAGAGACACACAGTCTCTTGCACTGGGAGATAAAGATGAAATGTCATAAAAATCATTTCTTCTAAACAATATTTTAAAAACTTTGCACATGAGGACAACTGTACTTCTGTGGAATCCCAGAAGGACTCTGGGAGAAACTATGCAGTCCAGAGAAGGTCTCCTGCACAGTTCAGGGGCTCATTCTTTCTTAGCAGCTCTTTACCTAGCTCAGAGTCCCAATTTTTGGCCCAAAGCCAACGACCACAGCTAGTTATTTGATACAGGTAAATTAAGGACCAGTCACTCATTAGTGCCAAGTATTTCTGTAATTAGATTTAAAAAAAAAAAACTTCTTTGAGTTGAGGCTCAAACAGAACATTTGGATGATTCTTTTTAACACTGGTTCTGGCTAATATCTAGTCCTTATGTGTAATTAACTATCATCTGTGGCTTTCTCTATGAAGCTAATAATTGTTCCAAATAGACTTTCAGTTTATCAAAGAAAAATCAATATACAGGATGGCTTTGCACCTGACTACCGTGACAGTGAATTGGAAGTGTGAAACATTAGTTAGAATACATCTCCCAAAATAACAGCATGGGAATCCTGGTTATTTATTTCTTGTGTTCAGCCAGTGTAGACATGGCCTGTATGAAAGACGATATGTTAGAAGATAAAAACAAAATGTTCCTCCAGAAAAAAACATTAGGGACAGACATAAGGAAGCTGTGAAAAACAAAACAAAACAAAAAACTCCAGAGAATCTAATTTGATGTGACCAAAAAGCAGCCACGACATAGAATTATGGCATTTATTCTCATCCATGTATTTTCTCCTAATAAAGAAAAAAAAATGAGTCCCTTCGACGGATGACTATAAAGAATGTCAGCATTTTTATTTTTTCAATTAGCATATCATGGGAAAACTGATGTCCATTGAAATTAGTCATTATTCTCTAGTCATCTTTGATAAAAGTTACTCCTTTTCAATCACTTTTAGAAATTTCAGTAATTATAAAGACTAAATCATCACATTTCTTAATGAATATAGGACAACAGTGAGTTCTATTATGGAAGAACAGGCTTCAAAATATTCCTATATATCATCCAAGAGATTCTAGAACTTTCTTTTCTTTAAAATGGGCAGCCCAATCTCATGAACCCAGTTTCTTACTAATTTTCTCTACTTAAGAGACTCACTCTCTTCACATTTTTGCATCTTCACCATACTCAGGTGGCCAAGTGTCTCTTTCATGATCCAAGGCAGTGGGAGTTGTTTGTATGACAAATTGAAGTTTGGCCTCAACCCTTTTAAACAGTAGACAGACTCGCAGATATCTGAACTTTAAGGTCGTAGGTACTGACAAGCTGAGCAGATTTTTATTTTGGCTCTGAGTTCTCTCCCTGCCACCATATGGAACTAGTTTATCTTTCTCACAATTACTAAGAAATTCAAAATGACCTTCATGGTTCTCTTTCAGAGGCTGGTAGCAATGGCTCAATCTGACAAGAGTTTCCTGATGTGGCTATGATTTCTAGTTGCTGCTTCTGGGCTGTCTCTGCCATATTCAACCTCTCCAATCCTACCCCCTTTCCACTGAAAGAACTGGGCACCATTAGCCAAGAGGGATGTCAGAGCATGTATGTTAGCACTGACTTTTTCACATCCTGGAGATATATTCTATAACTCTATTGTCCATACATGAACAGAATTCTTTACTTATTTGCAATAGCCTATCAATGAATATGTGAGAAAATGCTAGAAAAATATATGAAGCAAAGTTAATACACTTACGAAAAAGTGAGTGAATATATTAAAGACATTCAGTTATATGACAATAATCTATAATCCAGAAAAGAAATGTTTGAAAGAAGTTTCCAAAGAAAAGAGGATGTGAGTAGGAAGACTAAAAGAATTGATAATGTAAAGTGTGACTAATCAAGAATTAAGGCTGTGATAAAGACTTATAGATATCTAAAAACATTTTAAAAATATACAGATCAAGCAGATACAGGTAATTTGGTACAAAATAAGTACGAATGAAAGAAATAACCCTCTATAAAGCCATTAACCAAAACTCTTCCTTTTTTCCTCCTCCTCCACACACACGAAATGGAGAAATAAATAAGCCATTGGCTTCTGCAAATTAAGGCTGTGTCATGACCACTTGTGTCTGGAAAGACAGCATGACATCACAGAGTTTGTAGTGTACCTGTTTGGGTTTGCAATCTAGCTCTTATTCTTTCTGATCCTCAGTTGCCTCATCTGTAAAATACCTCTATGTCCTGCCAATATTTTGTGAAGATTAAATGAGGTGATACCCGGAAAGCCCTTAAAAAGACTGCTGCATGCAAAATAAAGTAAGTACTTGACTATTTGCAAAAAAATTAAAGTAATCAAACTTCCTTAAGCAATAACCATAAAATATACAGTAGTTCAATAGGCATGAATTACGGGAATGACTAAGGCTAAATTACACAGGTATAAACATATGACCTTGATAGACATATGTAAGTGTTCTGAGAGTGATAAAAACAATGACATAGAGATACAGCTCATGAGGACAGGCATGGAGGCAACAAGCCAGAGAAATTAAAGATGAAAAGGATCAATTTTCTCAAACCCATGAGGCCCCATATCCTTTGGAAGTTTTTCTTATTTTCTATAGAGGAAGCAGAGTACTAAACATGAAGGACAAGAAACCAAAGAGTTGCTTTGCTGACTGACTATGTAGTTAAGATCTATGTTAATTTGACTCTAGATGGTCTGAATAAATATCCTTCAATTAAAATGTTTATCTTTTAATAAATTAAAATTTCAGACTTTTGAGAACCCTACAATTTTCTTGCCATCATATAATATTTTGTTGAATGAATCCAATATATATTTGTTTGGTTTTCCTTTCTTTACTCATAATTGATACTGGTAAAAAAAAAAAAAAAAAAAATTCCTGGAAAAATCATCCATGCCAACCTAGCCTTTAATTCTCATGACTACTTGCTGAAAGCTTTCTTTTTCTCATTAAACCTTCCACAATTGGTGTCATTTGTTTTAACAGGGAACTGGATAATTGGGAATCACCAGAATTTGTGCATAATAATTTTACCATTATGTTAAGAAGGAAGACATTATCTTATTTGTTTCAGAAGCTACAGATGTCCTGAGGTAGATATGCTATTCATTTTGGAATATGTGTAATGGAAGATGTACACAAAAGTGTGAAAAAATATGAAAAATGTTTGAGATAGTAATGGTCCTGGGAATCTGTGCTATGATTAAGGAAGATAAATTTCCAAAGCTACAGAAAACCTCACCCCAAATGATGAAAAATCTTTAGAAAATTGAGTTTCACTTAATCTCTGATTCTCATATGATTGTTTTAGATATTAGCTTGTATAACACCTGTATAAATTGTACTCTGGATTTCCATGTAAGTTTTTGATAATATACATTTTTAATGTCTCCCCTTCACTTACAAACATTAATATCTTGTAGAATTTAGATAAAATGAGCTTATCAACCTTCCAGGTCTTCCCAAGCTCTTGACATTAGGAACAGTGTTAGCAGTAATTTTTGTTTCAAAACTCTGGTAAAATACAGTTCTTAGTGTTTTGCAGTGATAGACATGAAGCTTGCATATGCTCAAAACTCATGATAAATTTTTCCTCCAAAGAAAATAGCAAACCCACGTACTGTTATTGTTGTGTGCCTTTCAATAGTGCTGACAGAGTGCTCTCTATTCTGTACATCATATACATATATAATATATATTATATATGTATGTATATATATGAGATCTGTGACAATGAAATATTTCCCAAATTTCAGAAATACATGCTCAGTGATTATGTTTTTAGTTCAAAATAAGATAAATAGTTATTCCAGTATTCCTTCCCTTTTTTAAGAATACATAAAAAAAAAAAAAACTGAGTGCCAAAATGAATCACGTGACACCAAGACCCCTGTTTAAAACACAAACAGTCCCTTAAACATATTTGGATTTCCTTGGCATCATGTGTGACTGATAGAGTCAGCTTCCAGTGAGTGACTCTCTGGTCTGACCCTCTTGTGGTGCCTAAAAGACCAGGCCAATGGCCATCTCAGAGAGTTTATGGGTTTTGCTTTGTTACCAAAAATTAAGTCAGGACCTTGTAAAACTTGTGATTGAAATTGGTGATTTTTCAGTCTAAACAAATTCTCGGGAGGTAGATTTGTTCTCATTTTTTATTTGTGTTTAAAGAGCAATAAGAAACTTTCTTTCCAGCATTCCCTTGGGGTAGATAGAGAGAGGAGAGGGTAAGCAAAATGTTGAAAACCATTGAGATGCATTGTCTGAGGTTTCTTGCAAAGAGAAAATACTTTCCCTTGTTGTACTTGGACATTGTATTGCTATAAGGTCTGCAAATAAGCCTCCAGCATGCATTAGCAGATTCTTCTGATGACCAAAGTCATCAGTGTGCTTATTTGTCTCCACAATCAGTATAAGCTAGAGTCGAAAATCTTTGTCATGGATTCTAGCCCTCTGTTATATGTAGCACAGTAAAGCCCTGCATACAAGATGTCCTCTAAATACTTGCTGTCCTCTAAATAAGGCAGACTGTCTCTCATCTCTGCATGTGTGTCCACATTGCTCCTCTGGCTGGGATCTCAAGTCCTTCCTCCTGCCATTAACTACCATACTTGCCTCATGAGCGCTTACTCATTTCACACATCTCTAAGGATTTCCTCTATGAAGCCTTTCCCAGTCCCATTTAATCTCCTCCAATGAACCCTATCCATTCCCAACTCCAGTAGAATTGACCACTATTTTTTTTTAAGTAACCAATGATAGCCTAATTCCAAGGGTTCTTTCCCAGGGACTGTGAGTGTAAAGGTGAATTACACATAAATTTATACAAAATTTTGTGTTTCTTCATCATTCTAGGGAAAAAGTCCTTGGCTTCATCATTAAAAAAAAAAAAAAAGATCTATGGTTCCTTGATCAAAAAACAAAACAAAAGAAAAATCAAACAGACATGCTAAATCACTTCAGCTAAAACTTTTGAGTCAACTATTCCATGTTTTGTTTCCTTCTCCTAAACTATTAGCCCCACAAGAGAAGGTATGGTGTGTCTGTTTGGTGTAACCAAAGTGTTATTTCTGCATCAGCATCACTTTGGTGCACTTGATAGGACTGAGAGCTCTAGGTCTTAACCCAGGATAAGAATCTCTTTAGGTGCGACTCAGAAATCTGTACTTTAAACAGGCACCCTAGTTACCTATATGCACATTCAAGAAATAAAACAACTGGCATAGTGCCAGGAAAATAATAGTAACACGGTAAGTGTATGGTGGTTGGCTGGCTGGATAAAGCAATGAAGGCAGACTCTGATTTCAAAAGAACTATAATAACTTTTAAGAGAGTAATTTTAGTAAAGTTATGTAGGTAAAAGCAAAACTGTAGCCAGTTAAGAGAAATGAACAATGTATGCTGTGGGACAATTTTATTAATTTTTTTATTTACTTGCCAACAAGCAATATAGAAATTCTTGCATATCATTTGCAGTTAAAGATAAAAGAGATAAAGATAAAAGAAGCTAGAGTTTAATAGTTCTAGAAAATAAATCTTATTTAAGCAACAACAATCCAGGGAACTTAAGGACATGATACTTTATTAGAAATCTTAGTGGCAACTGTCATTTTATACCATAAACCTTTGGAGGCAGGATTTTTGACTTGTTGCTCTTTGAATTTCTGGTATCTAGATCAAGAATTGCCATGTATTAGTCAGCTGTGTGGATTCGCACAAAAAAATCACCTGTGTTGAATGCACAAAAAAACCTTGTCAATATGTCTTTTATATACCTATTAAGAAATGCTTTTTTTTCGAGACATGTGCCAAGCATTGTGAAGAGGTTCCTGTCCTCCTAGAGATTACAGTCTAATAATAGGGAACAGCAATTACAACCCAGTGTGATGTGTACTCTGATAAAGACATGCCCAGAGCACAGTGGGAGGACATGGAAGGGGCTCCTAACCCAATCAAGGACGAAGAGCTCTATGGACTGAGCTAAGACTTAAAGGATCAAGAAAATCCAATTAGGCAAAGTGAATAAAATCTTGAAAAATAGAGGTTGAGTTCTGTGGGGTTTTGTTTCATCCACAGTAGCTTGCATATTGTTGTTGCTCATATTTACCAAACAGAGTAATCAAAATATTGAGTGTGAAAAAATTGATGTGAGAAAAGGCCGTATCAGAGCAATATTGCCCCCAGAGGCCATGGCTGCTTACCTGTCCCAAGTCTGCCACAAGCAGCGGTTCTCCTTTCTCTTAGCATCATGATTGCTCATTATTACCCCCTTACGCTCTAAGCTTAAGCAACAGTTAACCACTTGTAGTTTCCTAGCAAGACGTGCTGAGTCTCACTTCTGAGCTAATCCCTCTTCTACCCCCATCTCTGAACTATTCCCCAACTAATACCAATTTGCCACATTTATGTCACTTTAGGCCACTATTTGGAAGCTTTCTCAACCTTCCAAAACTGGTTAGCCCTCTTTAGTCACAGCACATTTGTGATTGTAAGTGAACTGACTGTGTTCGTGGCATTGTAATTGCCTGTTTGGCTGTCTGCAACCATCCGACCCCACTCCATATCCATCACATATGGGTATGCACCTGCATGAACACACGTATACATGACTGTACTGAAATCTCTGTGGACATTTTATCCTAGGATAGCACATGATGGATGCATAACAAATATTTCATGGAGCCATCATCTTTTTGATAGTGAACAGCAGTAGGGGAACCTAGAGCAGTGGATCACAGGACATCACCTTAGATAATTTATTGGAGGCAGTGCTTGCTAGCTGGTTCTGGCAACTTTTGCCAACCTGTAAGTTTCTAGGACAGCAGTGGTCTGAGTCTTAGCATTACCCATTCTGTGACAGGAATCCTCTGGGAATCCTTAGACCTAACAGCATGCAGGCATTTGTTTTCATCAGCTTGAAAAATATCCAAGACTCTAGAGACTGACATTCAACTGCATTTTTAAGTGAAGAGATTTTCCCAACACTTAAAAGACCTAAAGAAGGTGCAAAGTGACTGTAAGAATGTGCTCATCCGTGCCTCTGAAGACCCAGGAAGCCTTTTTTGTCTTCAGTATTTCATCTCAGTCAAGGGGATTAAAATATAAATTTTGATGATTAAAACAACTTCTCTGTTTTAGGAAGTAACCACAACAAAAATCACAGTCTAAATAAAAGTAATGCACCTTCCAAGTTGGAGAAATTATTTGAAAACACAAATAAGACTCTTTAAAACCTTGAGTTTGAAAACCTATGTTAGGAATTGAGGGAAGTAGAAACTGCCAGGAGATTTCCTACATATTTTTTCATACCTTGATCAGTCCAGAACTGCTGTAAAAAAATAACTTTCCTCTTAGTATTTCAACATATTTGCTACTGGTTCCATCCAGGACTATGTAGCCCAGAGGATCAGAGAAATAAGAAACATTTCACTGAAAGAAAAAAAAAATGAAACAAGTTTTGCAATATCTACAAAAATGCAGGGCTTAAATTTACATGGGAGGCTCGAGAGAATTCTTTTCAATCCACATGAATTTGTTTTGTCCTTGAAATACATACACGGCATGGGAGTACTTTAATGATTTAAAAAAAAAAAATGGATTGGGGAACTGGAAAGAACTTCAGCCTTACCTCCTCATTTTACTTCTGAGGATCTGAGACTTAGAAAAGTGAAGCAAATTGTCCAAGGTCATTCAGAAAAGTAACTGCAAATCCAAGTCTAGAGTTCATGTCTCTGGATTCCCGATACAGTGTTTTACAAATTACATCAAACTACTTCCCAATGAAGATCTTGGCCAAAAACAAACTTGCGCAAAAAGATATTTAATGACCAAATTATTTTCAGGTTGTTTTCTTCACAATTTTGGTTTAAAATTCTGTTCATCTCTTCATGTGGAATCTTTTCCAGAACAAGGCTTATGATAGACATCAACAGTCAGTTCTAATCTAATGATGTCATTTATCCTCAATAAATAATATAAAGTCAATAAAATATAAATATCCACAAAATGTGCATTATAAATTATGTAGTAAGATTATAATGACAAGATGTGCATTAAAAAATGTTAAACATTATCATTCGGACTTAACTAATACTAATTTTCTATTGCTTAAAAGAGAGGCTCATGATACCATCTGTGACAGAGGATTTACTAATTAAGTTAATAGCATAAAAGACAACAAAATAATGAACTGTAAGGAACAAACTGTTCCCAAGATCTGAAAATAATTACCTGCAAAATGACTTTATAATGGAATATGTTCACTAAAATTGTGTCCTTTTAATATTAAGGCAGAAAAATTTTTATATAGTTTTCTTTTAACATTTAAAAATAGTACAGTGAAATTTATTTCCAACTGGTAAATTCTACTTTTTTATTTATAATAATATAACACAATGGTTTTTAAACTGTGCTGTACTAATGTTTGAGATAATAGCAAGAGGAAATATTATACTACCTTCCCACAACCATTTCAAAATAGATCAGCTTTACGTGTTTCATACATTATGATCCTTTGTAAGAATTTTGGAGAGAATAGGTATTCCATTAAAAAACCAAAAACAAAACCTTAACAAGTGATTAAGCTTAGCCCAATCAATAATGGAACAAATTAATCTTTTGTGCCTTTGGATGTGATAGAATGGGAAATAGACAATATCATTTATTTAGTATTCTTCTCAAGAAAGCTTTAATCTGAATCTAATCAGAAAGAAATAGTCAGATAAGCCCAGAAAGAGCTGTTCTGGGAAAAGCTGACCCAAAGTCTTGAAAAATGTAATTGATAGATGAGTGGTAGACTGTTTCAGGTAAAAGGCGACTCAAGAGACATGACTGCAAATGCAATGAGTGAAGCTGGATGGGATCCTGAATCCAAGTAAATAAACAACTATCAACCAGCCAAGGACATTGTTGGAGACAATAGTGGTGATTTCGATATAGAATATATAATTAAAAATTGTTTATTGACTCAATAATATATTTCTTGGGCATGATAAAAATTTAATTTAAAAAGTCTGTTTGCTCTTTTCTTTTCTTTTTTTTTTTTTTAAAGACAGGGTCATGTTTTGTCAGCCAGGCTTGAATGCAGCAGTGCAATCACAGCTCACTGCAACCTCAACCTCCTGGGCTCAAGCAATCCTTCTGCCTCAGCCTCCTAAGTAGCTGGGACAATGGGTGTGCAACACCACGCCAAGTGAATGTTTGTTTTTTTAATTTTTAATAGAGACAAAGTTCTCGCTATGTTGCCCAGGCTGATGTCAAACTCCTGACCTCAAGCAGTCCTCCCACTTTGGCCTCCCTAAGTGGTGGAATTACAGGTGTGAACCACTGTACCCAGTCTCTAAACAGCTTTCGTATTAGCATGATATTTAAGTTTACCAAATACAAGGTATATATGTACACTCTTTTTGATTCGAGGATATTATTCCCACTGAAAGATAAGAAAACTGAGGCATAAAAGTAATATCAACTTGGTTAATCTGGGTACTCCATTTCCCTGAATCCCCTTCATTGTAAGGTTCTAAGCTGGGGTTGGCTAAAAGAGAATTTTGTGTGAGATTTGGAAGGCGAAAGTGAAGCAGTGGCCTGACTCTGAGAACGTCATCAGATATGGTGAAGTCCAGGGGCAGAGATGCCTGACAGTTTCTACATTGTGTATTTCTTCACTTAGCACCCAGCTTGTCTTCCTGATGCTGGCAACAGCTCCAGACCCACCACAAGATGCTTGACTGCACAACCTCATTTAATGGAACTACAGCAAGGCAACAAATTTCTGTAGATCTTCCCTTTTGTGGTTCCACTTTGGTGGCTACACGTGTTTGGTTTCTTAGATTTTCACAAGCTCTGGCTTGTCTGCCATGCCAAATTTCAAGCATATGTTTTAACCTTATTTCCGTAAGACTCATCATGGCTCTGCTCCCCTGACTGAACACTGACAAATACAACCATGCCAGTTTCCCAGGTGGTAGAGCCAGATTTCTTCTCAGCCTCCACATCCTGATTCCGACTCCAGAGCTCCTTCCAGTGGACATAGCATCTCCTCAACCCTACAATAAATCTGCTATTATTAAAATATTTTTAAAGCATTTATTGTTGCAGTGGTGGTTGTGTATTTGTTTTTTTAAACTGATAATAAACTCTCAAGTGTTTATTAGAGAGATCAAATTTAATTTTTTATCAAAGAATTGAAAGGTAATAAAAATAGTGATGCACAGGTAAAGGTAGTTCTATTGTAGAAAATTTTTGAGCTACAAGGTGCTTTACAAATACTTTAACTTGTAAGAATAGAAAATTGAGAACTGGAAAGATAGGTAATGTGTCCAAAGGCATTCAAATTATTAAAGAGAGAAGTAGGGTTAGAATAAACATATACTATATCTTAGAGTATGTGTTTTGGGTTTATTTAATTCTAGAAATTAACTGATGAACTTCTTTATTTGAGGATGCCCATATGGTGGGTAGTTATAAGACCAAATTTCAAATCGGACTCCTACTCATCGTTATCAGTGCCTGTGACCTTGTGCAAAGTACTATGCCTCAGTTTTCTCTTGTGAAAACAAGACATCTGGTGTATAGTATGTGTGCCTCAAATATAGCTAGCTTAGTCAGTAATTTGGCTAAATTAGTTACATATCTTGAATTTTTCCAAAATGGGTTCTACACTTTAAAAGCTTAGAACACACACACATACACACACACGTGTACACACACACACACACTCAAAGGAAGGGGGGGGGAGAGAGAGAGCACAAGTTAAAGATAGTTAACAGTCACTCATTAATGACTTATAACAGGATTTGGATCCTGGATAGTTATCCAGAGTGCTACGGGTCAATGGGAGCACAGAGTATCCAAATTGGCCTAAGAATGAGGGTGATGCATTTCTCTGGGAAATCAGTGTAGGGAGGTTGAGAAGGGAGAGGTCCCAGGATCCGTGGCAGAGTGAAGCATGCAGAACTCAGCAAAGGGAGATTCAGGGCTCACATGCTGTCATGGTGAAGACTTCAACTAATCTGAAGTGGAATTTTGGATTCTGAGGGGCTCTTCAGAATTGCCCCAAATTGGGGCAAGAGGGTCTTCATATTCTTATATTGACCAGTCATTAGATACAATGTATCTTGCAAGAAGTAATCTTGGGTGATGTTACTTTCTTTCTTTTTTTATTTTTTTTTTTGAGATGGCGTTTCACTCTTGTCGCCCTGACTGGAGTGTAATGGCGCAATCTCGGCTCACTACAACCTCCACCTCCGGGGTTCAAGTGATTCTCTTGTCTCAGCGTCCCGAGCAGCTGGGATTATAGGCATGTGCTACCACGCCCGGCTAATTTTTCTTTAACTACAAACAGTGCCTGGAAAGGGGACTTCAGCTGCAACCTGTCAGTCAACATTTCCCGGAAGTGGAAGAAAGAAGCGCTTTAGTATTGAAGGAGGCAATGGGTTGACACGTTACATCTACCACAGTAGGTATCAGGGAAGACTTGGAATAAGAGAGAATCTTAAAGATTTAAGATGTATCCATGTGACAAAGTTAAGTTTATGTGTTGAGTGAGTAAGAATATAGCATAAACAAAGGCATGGAGGATTTAGGGCAATCGCAAATAGTTACCAGAACATAACCGTTAATGAGAAGGGTATCCAGGTAGGTAAAGTTAGGGAGAGTGTATGGCAGCAATAGGTGCATAATTAGGTAGTGGCCAGGTCACGAAGAGTCTTAGTGGTAGACTTTTACCTGCAGATATTTGAACACTGTTGAAATATATGAAGGAGGGAAAGACCAAGTTGTCTGTTAGAAAAATCATCTCAACAACAGCATGGAAGATATATATGAGAGTATGAAGACTAAAGAGGCAGGAAGGTTCTATAATTGCCTGGGTGTTAGATGATGAGGATCTGGATAATACTACCTCTCTAGAGGAAGTATTAAATAATTTCACATTGATACATGTTAGTTCATATGCTATGCTTATCATGACACTCTTACATTATTATTTTTTCTTATTTATATTCTCTTGGGTTCTACAGATTTTATTTTCTATCTGAGAAAATTATTTGGAGTTTCCTTAGAGGATAAAAGAAAAATATGTGTAATACATGCACATTTATAAGCTCATCTATCCATTCACAACACTTTCTTTTAATTAATATGTCAAGAGCATGATAAATGTTTTTTTAAAAAACAACACCACAGTTAGGTTTAAACATTAGGACCACACCTGTTACAAGAATTTTCAAACAAAATTTCCATGATAGAATATGTTTTAGAAAATAAAACCTCAAACAATTCTGAATTTAATTTAATTTAATTTAATTTTTGAGAAAAGTTATAGAAAACAAAAAATATAAAACAAAAACCTAGTATGAATTTCATAGTTTTATATTTCAGTCGGAATTTAGTTGAATTTGACCAAGTCAACTGACCAAAACCTCAGTTTTCTTATTTTTTAAATGTGTCTAGGCCCAGAGCAGTGGCTCACTCCTGTAATCCCAGCACTTTGGGAGGCTGAGGCGTGCGGATCACGAGATCAGGAGATCGAGTCCATCCTGGCTAACACGGTGAAACTCCGTCTCTACTAAAAATACAAAAAATTAGCCAGGCATGGTGGCAGGCACCTGTAGTCCCAGCTACTAGAGAGGCTGAGGCGGGAGAATTGCTTGAACCGGTGAGGCGGAGGTTGCAGTGAGCCGAGATCGCGCCATTGCACTCCAGCCTGGGCGATAAGAGTGAGACTCCGTCTCAAAAAAACAATGTGTCTAATAATACCTACCTCCAAAAGAGGTTTATATGCTTGTAGTGTTAAAAATCATTTCATAGGTTATGGAATACTGTGCAAATCTTAGTATTAATACTTGAAACAATTGATCACAAAGACACACGCCAATTCAGAGGGACGAGACATGAATGGACAAAAAGCACATGAGGCAGTGATGGACAATGTGAGTTCTAACTGCAGGCCACGGGAGGCATTAATGGGCCTAGAGAAGCAGTACTGGGCATACGTGATGATACAGGCAGGGAGAAAAGTTGCAAGGGCTTAGCTTCTGTTTTCAGGCTTCTGTTCCATTTTTCTTTGAAAAAGCGAATAACACCATCTTATAGTGTGTTTACTTTAATGAATCTTTCACCAGAGTAAGCATTATGTTTTAATGAGTTCTCATTTCCCATTTCATGTCAACGTGAATCGTATACTTGAATTGCATGAGAAAATGATGACTGCACATCTACTTTCTGTTAGGTCCCTGCAGGAAAGAGGCCAGAACCACTAACTTCATGTCAGCAGCATGACAGAACAGAAACCACATTGAATGAGGCAGGAGTTAGACATCCCTTATTTAAGTCTTTCTCCCTTTTTGGGCAAAATTATATATATGAGGCTCATATGTATATATATGTGTGTATGTGTGTGTGTGTGTGTGCGTGTGTACACATGCATATGCATGTGTGTGAGGCTTGAAGAGTTCATATATATTATATATCATATATTATATTATATATATATTACATATATGAACCATATATATATATATATATATATATATATATATATATATATATGAGCCTCAGCTTTCCTTCCCATAAAACCAGAGGTTTGAAATTAAATTGTTACATTTCTTCTGGCTTTATAATTTTGATTCTCAAGGTTCACAGTTCTATCAAGAAAGAAAAATGGGGATATCAGAGTGTATGCATCACCCTAGCAGGGAAGACTTACTTTTTGATCATAGATCCCTACTGTGTGGTGAGAATACAAAATCACACAGATGTCAAAGAAATGAGAAATGCTCAAAAGGGCAGTGGGGCACTCTAAGAGGAGGTGAGTACTCCTTCCTCATGCAGATGGCAGAATGGCATACACATCATACACTCCGAAGTGCACCACAGATGCCAACAATCCTCCTAACCCTGCCCCAACACTCTGTCCCGCAACACCCTCCAAGCCTGACACACATGCATATGCATGTGTATGCACACACACACACACACATGCAGCCACCTATGAAAAACTGAGAGACATTTTGGAAAGGAACCAAAGCAAATTCTTCAGGAGCCTAGGAAAAGACTAGACTAATTATTTGCTAGTCCTATTGTCAGGCTGTCTGACATTAGCCAAGTTTCATATAGTTTCAAGTTTCAGGTCAAAACATTTACATAAGAGTATCCCTGATGTTTAACAGTGGTTTTCTTGTTATAAAACTTTCAAAATATTGACCTCCTTGGAAACATTTCTTCTTACACTCCATTGCATTTTATAAATGTCTCTTCTTTGGTTTCTTGAGCTGCCATTAAGTACACCCTCGCTTCCCCTCCACCCCCACCATGAGACTATCAACTCTTTTAGATCTATTTCTCATTCTCTGTTGTGGTGACATCATTACTATTTGTCGAGAAAATGATTATTATGTCTCCAAGGATCCAACCCCATACATAATCCATTAAAATGAAATGAGTTGTGCCTATGAAAATATGCAGAATTCAAACTTTTAAAAAATTAAAAAAAAAAGGTTTGTCTTGAAAAGACAAATAAGCAGCAGAAACAGTTGAACTATGAGATAACCACACAGGTTGAAACAAAACACACGCAAGGGTTGGGTTGCTATTGTTGCAATTACTTGAAGCAATGTGCCCACCCTTTAATTCATACAATCATATTTTCAAGACAGAGGTAGAGCAGTCACAATATTGAGAGTTAAAAATCATTACAACTCTAATTTACTAAGAATGAAACTGAGGCACACACAATTAAAGACCTGCTAGGCATCAAGAATTGCATTAATGAGTAGCAGTAGAAGAGTAACTAAAATATCTTCCCTGTTCCCAAGGAATGCCAGCCAGTTTTTAGTGACCTAGTTAGTAACAAAGCTTGACTTTGACGTCTGTAAGACCAGCGCCCAGTAGAATTCCAGGAACACAGAAGTAACACAATAAGTGTTCGTGCAATGAATCCACCACATCACATTATTTCCTTAGCCATATTTTTGTGTGTTTATTTTTCCCTAGTAGACGAGCTTCTCATTGAAAAAGGATAATTGGAAACATGTATCATTAAGTGTATAGTTTATCTATTTTTACATCTGCAATCATGTATTATGTATATTGATGCCATTATTACAATTTATTTTTGCTTTTTAGATTTACCAAGAAAACCCTCTAAATCATGCCTCATCTTCTCTTTTATGTAAATCATTCAAACATAAAAAAATTTTACTTTTGTCATCTTCAAGATCATTTGAAAAATGCTAATTCAAGAAAGGTCATCAAAAAAAGTAGAACCAGAAAATCTTTTTTTAGAATAAAGAGATTATTTAAGCCAATGAGTTTGAGTATGAAACTTATCAGTTTTATATATATGAATTCACTGCAACTGCATGATAACCACAGAACAACAGTATGCTTGACTTCATTCACCATTCCCTAAAATTTAAGCCAATATCAAAGATAGTCAACCTACGAAAACTGAAATTTAAATCTTTGAAAAAGTCTTTACAGGCTTTTTTGTACCTCTTTGTAATAGGTCTAGACAAAAAAAAAAGAATTTTCATTTTGAAGGATGATTTTCATTTCTTTTTTTCATATTTTCCCACTACAATTATTAAGTGGCTAGGTAAAAGGTAGTCGAACACTACACTGTAGCATGACTTACCTATAGTTTTGCTTTTCATTTCCTATGTGGAATCTGTCATACTGTGAATAGGCTCGGTTCCCTTCCCAGTCCATTAACTCAATTCTTAGCATGTACTGCCTCTGACTGGTAATGGCAAAAATAAACTCATTCCCCAGCCAATATTCACCGGAGGGATTTCCAAAACCCTGGGAAACAATATAGAGATGCAGTTGTTACTTTAGAGAGGAATTCTTTTCATGTTCAGCATTTAACTATTTTCTAAATAATAATTAAAAATTATTAAAAAGTAAAGGTTTTTGTTTTTTACATTTTACACTTTTTCTCCAGTGATTGACATTTCAATAATTCTGTGTCTCTTCATCAAAGCTTCTGTCTAATTCTTACTTAGTACAATAAAACCTCTGTTATTCAAATCTGTGTGGATGAGACATTTTGTATAAAATAAATCTAGTTAATAGGTTTAACTGGAAAACAATTCTCAATTCAAGGTTTGCTTTTGAAAATGTTTCTAAATTACTAGTTAACAAAATATTTTGAATAGAGTTTAAAGATTTTTCAATGAACACTATGAGAGTGATATTAGACAAGTTATTTAACAATATTATTTTTACTATTATTATTCACAAATGCAATTATGTTTCAACAATAACTTCATATTTAGGTTGGTGCAAAAGTAATTGCAGTTTTTGCCATTACTTTCAATGGTAAAAACCATAATTACTTTTGCACCAAACTAATAGATTACTAGAACCATGACTTTTGGAGCTTTAACTTTCTTATTTTTAAATATTAATAAGCAACCCTGTAAATCCATGACTGTAATTATTTACAAAGCTGCACTGGCATTGGAATTTTGAGGCAGAAGGCTGATTTGTAAGTGCTCCTGAGTGAACCTAGCTGACTGCTTGGCTTCTGAATGTCAACATGACTTTATTGTTCTCTTTGGGGGAAGTCAAGGTTGTTAAGTATTCAAAATAGTTTCTTTGTAGGGAGAAAAAAGTGGTCCCAAAAGAAAGCCAGCGCTTAATGTTGGAGATGTTAGTGATAGGAAAAGAAAGAACCCCTAGAAACTTGCTGGCATTCTAGATTTGGAGTATTCACAATTGCCTCAGAAAATACTCATTGGCAGTGCTTGAAGTTCAATGTAATTCTTGATCTACATATTTGTTTCACTGGCCATGTTGTGAGCTCCCTGATGATAGAAACTGTGTTGTATTTGTGAATTTCCAAAAACCAGTGAAGAGCTGACATGCACTGAGCATTCCAATAGGGTTGTTTTGAAATTCAAAGAAAAAGGTAGAAAGGAAAGGATAGAGGAAAGAAGCAAGAAAGGGAGAGAGAAATGGAGGTAAGGAGGAAGGAAAACAAAATATTACAGCATTTTACAATAACACATGGAAAAGTAACCTTAAAGCACAATTCTTGTTGTAGACAGTACAGTTGAGTCTTGGTGAAATGTTTCTTAAAGTGCCCAACTGGGTCACTTGCGCACTACCTCCTCTGCCAACTGAGTTACTTACCAAAGTTCAAAGGTGTTTGGTACCAAACCCATTTATGCCAGTTCAGTTATTGCAATATTTATAAAATGTTATGCAAATAAGTTAAATATTAGTGGGAAAAGAGAGTTTTAATTTTTTATAAATATCCGGATTTGCTCAATAAAAGCAAATTAGTAAAACTTTTTTTAAAATTACGAATTGTTGGAACTCTAAAAGACTGGGAAAAATTTTAAAAATTTAAAGAATTTTTAACATATTGCCTTGCATGTGTCTTCATGTACTGTTCTATTTTTAAAAAACTGAAACTAGAGATTGGATGCATTCTACTATGGGAAAGTTTTAGGAAAGAACTGATGACACAGAATTCCAGGCTTTGGCCCTCGTTTTATTTTTTTTTATTAATGGGTATGTGATGTATACTGTTATATTTAAAGTTAAAATTAACATATGTGTACACTTTTAAAGTTATTCCCCAATTTAACTAAGTTTTTTGATAGGCTGAATATGCTTGGTCCAGATTGCATTGAGTATATACTCTTCTGAAGACCATCCACCCATAGCTCACAGTAAAGCTATAAGACCACTGAAGTTAGTACTCCATTGGCTCTTTACTTCTCTGTTCCTAAGATGCTCAAGTCACACTTTGTAAAAGTTTCACAGTGGCAGGAAATATTAGAGCAATTTCTGGTGTGCTAAGAATTTTACACATTTTTATGGCAGCCAATGCTACCTACTAAGGAGAAGAGCAAAGCTTACCTTCTCCAAAGCATAAACAAAACAGAAAGTTACAGGAGGCTGAAAGTCAAAGAATTAGCACTTTATCAATTACAACAGCCCCTGGGAAGAAAAAGAAGACCACTGGGATTTTCCTTGCATTTTTTTGCAGCTCAGACATGTCAAAACTCTCCCTCTTGCCACTTGATGATTCCCTTTTCTGTGCAGTCATTGAAAAGGGATTCAACACTTATACTCAATGTGAATAAAGAGGCTGGGAATGATGAAGTGTTAAGTTTTGGGTCACATATTTCCATGCTGTTGAAAGCGCTGTGTGGATAAAACTCTCCAACTTCCCCAGGGAAACACGCAGTGATCCTGGGTGAGCCTTAGAAATGGACAAGCATTAGCCTCATTCCTAGGACAGCCTCCATCCCTGTCTCCACATGCAGGCCTGTACTTCCCTCTAAATGGAAATAAATATCCCTTCCTAAACAGTTTGCATTTTTGTCTTTCAGGAAGAAGTGACTAAAAAGAACGCAGTATAATTTGCATTTAGAAACTAACATTTATTTCGAGCTCCTTCCCAAAAAACTGTCCAAGCATGCTCTAGTATGAGAGCAAAAGGTTTGAGTACAATGAATCAAAATGGCTGCAATATAGGGAGGAAACCTTCTAATAGCCAAGTGCAGTGATCCAGAAACAACTGTTTCATTATAAAGATGAAAAATACGTGAAAGAAGGGGAATTGTGTTCCCACATTAGTAAACTGTCTTTTGGATAGTTTACCAGGCATGACCACAGATCTGATATGTAGGACAAAGGCTTGGCTTGGATGAAATAACCTCTACCCCTTATCTCTGGCTCCAGATTAAAGCCTTGAACTGCCACATATTTGCTGTAGAAATATCGACTTTGTTTCTGAGCCTCAGTTTCTCTGTCTGCAAAACAGGGATTACAGACATCATTTTCATATACAAGGTTTTGAGAATAAAATTGATAATATAACCGAAGCACTTAACTGAGCACTGATAGACAGAAAACACTTAAAAATCTAGCTGTTGTTATAGTTAAAATATATGTCATAATACACAGTAATTTTCTGGTTAGTTGCTTCTCTTCCATGAGACTGTGAGTCATATGTGGGGAAACAAGTTCCTTTCTACTTTGTATAAGAAAAGGAAAAAGAATAATCTTGGGTCTTGTATTAGCCCAAAAATTAATAAAGGGATACTGAAATAATTATTTAAAAGGCTCTCAGAGGACTAATGTAATATTTTACTAAATTGAGAGTTGGTTTATACAAATGAGTATTGTCATTTTAATCCAAAAAGTTAATTATTAAATAAGAAATTACAACCAACTGATTTCAATTGGGACTAAACTATAGTACTAATGAAAGCACAGACTACTTTCTTATTCTTACCTTTGCTTCCAAGTACTTAAGTATCTGTTTCCTTCGACTCTCCCTTAGTGCTATCTCTTTCAAGCCCTCTCTTTCCATATCTCACGAGTTTTAGGAGCTACACAAGAGGTAATTTTTAAGGTATTATACCATGCTAATAAGTTAATATTTGTAATAATTGCTTTCAACCAGGAATGCATATCAGAAACAGCTGTGGGGGTTTTAAAAAAATACAGATGGTTAGGTCCCCCGTGAAGATTCTGATTCAGTATGTCTGGGGTGGACTCAGAGGGAGAGCTATACATGTAAAAGGTTGCACATGTAAGTCTGCTATGAACTGAAGGTAGAGATCCATATAAATATGATGTGGAATAGATATTCCAAGTGCAAACTAAAAAGAACATATTAATTAAATCAAATTATTTGAGTGGTATACAGGGAAAATGCAGGAGTAAAATCTCATCTTCATACTGAGGTCCCTATAGGGAGGCAAATTTTGATTACATGTCTGGGACTGTCCTTCAAAAATTCATATTCATGCCTAAAAGACAGAGTCAACCAATGCATATGCTCCAAAATAGGCTTACACATTATGGCACATAACAGTTTACCACAGGTCTTTATTTTACCCCCAATAGCCTGTAACTTCCATAAAAATAAAAATGAAAGTATATATGAAATTCTGTGCTGATATTGAAAAAGCAGCAACGAATGAGTAAACAATTACAATACAATTTCCTCTTTTTCATGAATAAAATCTAAGGATACTATGCCATGTACTTTTGTAAAAATGATGTTTAATGATGTCAAACACAATCACCTGAAAGGTTTTGATTCAGTAACTCAGATACATTGTTAATTGATTTTATTTCTTCTCTAACGCTCTAATAAAAGGATAAAAAGACACTGAAATTTAATCTGAACTAATGCTGACTTAAAATTGGCCTTAAAAGGCACATATTACTCAAAAACACATGCAAAGGAAAGATCAACATTTGTTAGTTTTTGCCAAAACCTGCAGAAATGTTCAATTTTGGTTTGTGCTTTTCCAAGTTAATAAAATAATTGTCTCTGATACTTTATTTGTTTTGTCTGATAATGCTCTCAGGAAGCGTTGACTTTTTATAGATGAAGTAAAATTGAAACCAGACACAGCCCATGTATTCCATGGGTTGCATCTTTTTTCACACAAATTATTTAAAAAATAAAAAACAGATAAGACAGCGCTGTGGCTTTCAGGGCACTTTCATATGCAGTTAAATTGTG
This sequence comes from Homo sapiens, assembly GCF_000001405.40. Taxonomy (NCBI): domain Eukaryota; kingdom Metazoa; phylum Chordata; class Mammalia; order Primates; family Hominidae; genus Homo; species Homo sapiens. The sequence continues at coordinate 107,289,548 of NC_000008.11, forward strand.
CATCTCCTCTAAATGCTGAGACGTGCAACTCAAGAAAGACTGAAACAAATTTTGTATTTCAAAATTTTTAATTTCATATGCATTTTTCTCTTTTTAATGTGAAGATGTTAAAATATAGCTGAAAATGTGCTCTCAACTTCTTTCCAGAAACAAAGAACTCCCAGAAGGAATGGTGCTCACACTGAAATTTTTGAGTGGATAGGAAGCTCTGTTTATGGGGGTAATTGTTCTCAAAATAAAGCAAGTTTGCCTCCAGGACATTAGTCATTGCCTACAACAGTATAAAATTAGGCCATTTTGGGTACTATCTGGAACTCCTAGCCTCATTGCGTTTTATATGTGAAAGTACTGCTGATAAGTGTTACTGCTGGAGGCCACTAAAGGGTATCCTTATGACTTGAAGGAGCTAATATCTTCCCTAAGTGCCTCATTAAAAAGCCTACTCCAGACTTTCCTTTCAGACAAACATCTTTACAAATCCATAAACCAGATTTTGCTGAATCTCCTCATGAGGAAGGTTAAGTGACAGCTAAGCTTAGGTAAGATACTTGTAGGCTTAAAGCCAATGCCGAGAATCCAAAAAGTGGTAAACCTTTCATATTGACAGAGGTTTAAAAATAATGATAATATATAGTATATATTTGTAATTACATGTGATGGAAATCTTATGAAGCAAGAGGCAGCCCATAGATATCAATCACTATGAAGGGAAGGAAGGAGAGAGGAAAGGCAGAAAGGAAAGAGAGAGAAAACTTGATTTCTGCACTCATTGCCCAAGGAAGAAATGTAGCATCCTAGTATATATAATAGTAGATTGGTAAAGACTGGAGAAGAGTTGGGGCATGCCAAGTTCTTGTTATCCCGAAGGATGTACACCCTTAGCTGAAGAAGTGAGCAGGCAGTTCTTTGGATGCAGGAAATAGAAGTAGGTGTGATTGATAAGAACTGGCATAAGGAGTCTATATCCATTCCTGGTGGAGTCATGTTATTTTGTCTTTAGGTGAAAGAAAAACTCTAGAGAAAGAACCGAAACACTGTCTACCATGTGTTTTAACCATCTTGTAACATATGATGAATATTTTCAATTAAAAAAATTCAGCCTCATTTTTAGCCAGAATATTTCAAAATGTTGGAGCTTATCTCATTTTTTGATCATGCAAAATTGACATTCATCTGATAAATGTTTCAAGTTTGAATAAAGCATGATAGCCTTTCTTATTTTAAAAAAGGGAGGAGGGGTAAACTCCATAAAACATGATGATTAAAGAATTTCAGTTTTGTTCCAATAATGAAAAAAGAATTGCTTAGAAATGGATATATTTGGTAAATACTTACAAGACATGAATTGATTCCATACTTAACAAGTCAGTATCTCTTACTTAACATGCCTAGCTTGCCAAGGCAGCAGATGTTTACAGTTAAGAATTCACCATTTTGGAAAGTCACCATGATGACAACTTTATATTTATTTTTCTGTTATCATTAATTTTAATAATAATGTATTTCAGATTAGCCTGAGTCTCTATCTACAGTCTGATTTTCAGATGACTTCTTCACATCACATTTTAGTGGTGAAAATAATCATGAATTCAGATGGTTTGCAAAACAGTATTTTTGGCATAGTTAAGTGAAATTTTTGCTTTGATGTTTTCATCTTGGATAATAAAAATAACTACTGTTCACTGAAAATTCAGTGTGCCAAAGTGCTTTACTTACATTACTTCTAATCCTTGAAACATCACTGTGAGGCAGGTGAAGTATTATCATTGTCCTATTTTAACTAGTTAGAAAGCTAAGGTGCAGGTTAGGTGATCTGTCGAAAATCTCTCCTCTTGTAAATGGCAGAGTGAAGACTATAATTGTGTTTTGTTTTGTTTTGTTTTTAGACAGAGTCTTTCTCGGTCGCTAGGCTGGAGTGCAGTGGCGTGATCTCAGCTCACTGCAACCTCTGCCTCCCAGGTTCAAGCGATTCCCCTGCCTCAGCCTCCCAAGTAGCTGGGATTACAGGCACGTGCCACCACACCCGGCTAATTTTTTGTTGTTTTAGTAGAGACGGGGTTTCACCATATTGGCCAAGATGGTCTCGATCTCCTGACCTAGTGATCCACCCACCTCGGCCTCCCAAAGTGCTGGGATTACAGGCTTGAGCTACCGTGCCTGGCCTATAACTGTTAATATAAACATAATTCAAAGTCTTTTTGTTTTTGAATATAGATAATCTTTTATCCCTCATATATTTTTAGAATCACCTAGGTAGGAAGAGGCCTTCAAATCTGACCTAGCATTCCAATTCTCCATACCAATCCCAAAAGATAATGATATACTTTCTATTTCCACTGAAGATGGGGGGGGGGGGGGGCTTGCCACTTAATAGGCAGTCTATTTGATGTTGGGATTAATCATTAGAGAGTTTTGTTCATACTTGGTCAAATTTTGCCTTCTTGGAATATTACTCCATTCATTATTGCACTCCCCTCTCAGGCAGTGTTCAAATGCACATTCTAATTCAGTAAATCTGGTCCAGAGCTTGAGATTCGTGTTTCCATTCAGTTTCCAGAGGATGCTAATACTGCTGGTCCCTGGACCACATTTTGAGAAGCAGGCTCTACTATCACCTACCTCCATCCAGTTAACTAAAATAGCTATCAGGTTTATGCCTAATTCTTTTTTTCTCCAGGTGTTTACCTGTTACAGATGTAATTTCTAAATTCCTCCCATCCTGCTTATAACCCCTAGGATAAGTTCACTTGTTTGAAAACCTCTAGAATTGAAACTATGTTTTTGATGTAACCAGAACATGGCAGACACCAGTGAGTTCTGCATTTTATGTGACCCCCTAAACTACTAGTAATGTACACTGAGTACATTAATCTTTGTTAATTCAAAATGAGCTTAGAACCAAATAAACCTCTCTTTCAAATACTAAGTCCTTAAGGCAATTTGTCACCCTTACCCTGTTTTCTCAGAGTTAATTTAGGTATTTTTTATCTAGGTGAAATATTCTACAATCATCTCTGTGGAATTATATCTTGCTGGCTTCAGCCTACCTTTCCATCTTGAGTTTATGAAATAACAAAGACATCAGGATTCCAACTTTGTGTAAGTCCAAACTTTTTAAACGTGCTTTCAGACTGTTCGACTGAGTATCTGATAAAAATGTAGATGCAGTGACACCACTAGAAACCTCCATTCATTTATTAAAACCCCTTATTTACTGTCATTTGACCAACTATGAGCCTATTAATGGGCAAACTCTGATGCAAATCAACCATAGTTTTTACAAATTGTCTGCAAGAATATCAAGACAGAACTGAGGCTAGTATAGCATTTCTTTCTCTCTACCTGGTGAGAGAAAATTTGTCAAAAAGTCAAGACAAGAATTATCTAGAGGTTTCAGCTGCAAAAGAATGAGAATCCATAAATATAGATTCTCCTGCATTACTATGCCTTTACATTCTGTCAGCAGATTTTAATAGTTAATATTGTAGGCACCGACTATGTGATTACTGGATTTTGGATTATTTCAACCCTTGCTCATCTCTGTTTCCTTTTAAAATGGGCATAGTGTTAGTTAATAGGGCTGATATTAAAAATTGATAAGAAATTACATATAGGGCAGACATATTGAGCATTAAAAAAGAGAAGAACTGTGATGATGATGATGATGATGATGATGATGATGATGATGATGCCTGCTGTTATTTTGCAGACCCCAGTGAGCCATGGCTCACAGTTCATACCTTTGTGTACTCCTCGTGCCTTAAATCTGGACTTTCCTTTTGACCAACCATAACCAACAGAATGCAATGGAAGTAACACTGTTTCATTTCTGGGTCTAATAAAACTAAAAAAGGCTGAAAGCTCCTGCTTTGTCTTTGGAGGATGACAAGTGCTACGTAAGAAGTCTGATAACCCTGGATCACTTTACTGAAAGAAGCTTAGCTTAGCCACATGGAAAGGTCACATGGAGAAGCTTCCAGTCAACAGCCAGCAACAATTAGCCAGTTATGTGGGTGAGGCCATTGCTATTACCCATCCTGTTCCACAACCTGCAACCCTGCACAGCTCCCTTGGTCAGGCTCACGTATCCAACGAAGGTCTGAGTTCTAGCTTCCCCCACCCTCATGCAACTAGGAACAAATACAGACAATACACAACAGTTCACCAAATAATTTCAGTAATACGTTTTTCTTTCTGACGCACACGTGGAAATCATTTACTGAAAGTGATTTATGAGTGTTTTGTGTCTAATGAAAATAATACTAATGTATCATTTTATGTCAAAAATAACTCAAAACCACCTAAAAATACCAAGATTCATCATATAGTATGGAGAAGATAACTTCAAGATAAAACACCAAAAAGCACCATAAATTCTTGCATCTTACCATTTTATATTCCTTCCAGCCTCTTTGGAAATCTAGACTTCCATCTTCACGATGTTGTATTACAGTCCAACCTCCCCCATTGACATCCATATTGCAAAACACCTGACAAATGGAAAACAAAGTCAAGTAAAAAATACTTCTACTTTAAAAAACATATATCCTACATGTTTCAAAATAGGAATAAGGCGAACAGGTCTGCAGATTACAAAAACCGAAATTACTATATTGAACAATGTTAATTTAGATATATTATTGGTTATTTCTTCCTCTGATTCATATTTGAGTTATTTCTGATTAAATTCCATCAATGATGAATAAATTACATGCACAAATTTTAGTCAGCTGAAAATTAAGTCTTTGTCTCAGACTATACAACATTTTAAAAAATCTTTGTTTTAAATGAAAATAAGCATTTGAGTATGTTCAAAGTTTTGGAAATGCTACCAAATTTCCAAAGTTACAGACCATTTGATTGCCAAAACACATGACTCAGAATTTTAAAACTTTAAATTGATTGAAATGGGAGTACAATAAGAATAAAAAATTTTTAAAATATAATGTCTTTAACTATCACATATTTCATTGCCTATCAATTCTTATATATGTACATGTTACAGTAGATATCCTTGAGTCAATATTTCATTAGAGGCAACATTTGTGGCATAGCATATGTAGAATATATTATTTGCTTGTATTTTAGTCACGAACAATAACAGGAGAACATGACATATTGTATCTCTTCTGACTGTGACAATAACTTCTTTCCCATGTGGAAAATTTATACAAATCTTTCAAAGACTTATGCATATTTTAATTATTCAAAATACAATGGTATTTATTTAGAAATTGACTCATTTCCCCCAGGGTCTACCCAAGAAGAGAAACATATCTGTAATGGGATTATCGTCGGAGAGCAATCACTGTAATTGATGTAGCATGAATGTGGCAGCTTGATTATTCAACGGGGACTATGGGAAACACTATTTCCTCAACAACTGAATACTAAAGCATGTTGAAGCTTGGCTAAAGGTGGGATATGATGCAACAGCAGCAAGCAGGCTATGAGGACACAGAGCTAAGCCCTGATTAAAGAAAAAACCTCAAGTGTTTTCCCTGAGGCATTGCATTTGGAACACAAGTAGCAAAAAGGGTATAAAAGCAGTGGCAAGAAATGTCATTCAAAGAGCGAATTGTCCATGTACTTCCTCAGAGTGGAAGGGTCCAAGATATACATGCCTACTTGTGGGCATATGAAATAGGACAACTCTCCTCCCAAGGCTCTCGCCCTACTTTGACAACAGCCACACATACAGTATGTCTTCATTAACCCTAGGAATTGACTCACCTCCAAGATTGTACATTTGAAATGTTGATTCCTGTCCCAGTAGTCCCCACCACCACTATTCCTTTAATTTCTGCACCTGCTCTCAGTCAACATAACCTCGAGCTACACTTTTATTTTCCGTAATTCTACTTCATTTATTCATTTATTTTTTGATTTACTCAACAACCATTCTTGGGCATCAGTTTTCACTTACAACTGGGGGTATTATTATAAATAAAATATGGGTCAGGTACTCAAACATCTCCAAGTTTCAATAGTGACTGATCCCATAGAATTAAGGAGACAGAGTTCACAATTTTCAGCTCTAATAGCCTGAAGAATCATGGAGACAATAATCTAAATGAGAAATTTAAGAAAGAAAACACGAGCAAAGAAAATGATCATAGTTTTGGATACCTCAAAGGCTAGCAAAGAAAATGATCGTAGTTTTGGACACCTTAGCCTTTGAGGTAGCACAGATATCCAAAGAAAAAGTTTATCGAGCACTTCGAGATGATCTAGACCAAGGATAAAAATATGGATAAGAGCATAAGGAAGAAAGAAAGGAATTGCTATTAACAATGACATGCTTGTTAAGGACCAAATAATATAAACACCTTACATGCATTTTCTAATTTATTCTCATGATAGTCCTAGTAGGATGTAGGTATGATGATCATCTCCATTTTACAGATGAAAAAATACTGAGGTTTAGAGTAGTTCAGTAACTTACCAGTGATTATACTCAACAATAAGCTCTGGATCTGGGATTTAAAATTGATTTGAACTGGATTCAGAATTGAATCCTATGTCTACCTAATTGAAAATTATTGGGAATAATCTGCTTAAAAGCATTTGTTAATAGCATGAAGACAAATGCAATTACTTAAATAAGTAAAGAAAAAGGTGGAAACAGATGTGTGTGGCAGGGAGTGAGAAGGGTCAAAGAACGGGCTTTGGTGAACACCTGAGAAGGACAGAATACATCAGGAAACTTTAGGTGGGCAGGGATTTCTTTCAATTGACTGCTGTCCCCAGTACCTAGAGGTGTGCTTAGCCTGTAGCGGGTACTGAATGAATATTTGATAAACAAATAGAGATGGAACAGGAGAGATAAAATAGGAAAATTTGATTAATGGAATGCTAAGAAAGATGGATTTAGAGTTGGGGAGGTGATCATCAAAGGTTTCAGAAAAGTCAAGATAAAAAATGATTAAGAAAATATAACTTCAATTTGAATGAAGAAGCCTTTAGTGACCTTGGTGAGAGAGAATGCAGATTCCTGTGGGAATAAAATCAGATGGCATAGTTTCAAGAGGGCATAGGTGGTGATTCAAGAGAAGTGGTCAAAGTGGAGCTTTACCAGTGAAATTCAAATGAGAAAAAAGGGAAGTGAAAATATCAAGGAAACATTTTTCTAGAAGCAGCTAATATCACTAGTTTCTCAATTAAATTTTATCGTGCCCTGACTTGTTAATCCAGAATGAATGTTTTTATTCAAATTTTTATTTCCTAATGGACACTGATTGCCTGAAAGTTTGCCAAGTTGTGTTTGCAAAGCTGTAAAGTCCACTTACATACTCAGGGAAAAGAATCACTACATTTATAAATGTAGAGTGCAGAGAGGAAACTATATTGTACAGTTTTTAAATTACTGTTACCTAGATTATTAAAACTCTATGCACTTAGTTTTTAAGTCACTCACAAATTTTTGAAAAAGACAACTTTCCTTCTAAACAGAGGCATCTTAGCTTTTAAATCACTCGGAAATTTTTGAAAAAGACAACTTTCCTTCTAAACAGAGGAATCCAGTGACTTGTAAATGTTCAGATGTGCTGAGAATGCTTCTTAAATAAAGACCTAGAGGAAAAACCATTGGGAAATATAAATTACCCAGGCAGATTACTAAGTTGGAAGCTGAGGGACAGAGAGGTTAAAGGGTTGAACATATGCTTCCCAATTCTTATGCAGACTTAATAACATCAATGATAACAGCTGCTCTTTGTGTTATATAGGCACAATGGAGCTGAATGACACCTTGGTTAATAGCGCCAACTTGAGTGCTACATTGCCTGAATTTAAAATCCACCTCTGCTCTCTGTATGTACCTCTTAGATATTTTCTGAGAATTTGATGAGTTAATGCATATAGAATTTTTAGAACAGCATTTGGCACTTAATAGGCATTGACACTACTCCCATCTCTTACATGTATTACTGATGACATAATATATGTTTATGCTACGCATTATACACTCTATGTATATAATGTAATATTTAATATGTATATAATATTTAAATTTAATATACTATAGTTATATAACATTGCATACAAATTTTATAATTTATTATAAATAATAGAAAATATACAAAACCAAAACATGTAGAAGTTCAATAAATTATCTTTATAATTATGATTTCTAGGCTCTAGTTATTATAATATTGGCATCACTAATCTTTGAGCATGCCACCTTTCTATATGTATTATGTATGCATATATATATATATATACACACACACACGCATACATATATCTATATTTAAGAGGTTGGACTCACTCTAGCAAAGACAAAACAAAAGCCTATTATTTTTAGTCAGAAAAAAAAATAAAAGCCTATGCTTAACAGATGAAGGAAATTTAAAAAAATAGATGGTAGGTTTTAGAAAGATTTGAGACATGAAAGACTTGAAAAGTTCATTTGCCAGTATTGTGTGGTCTGTGCTATCTGGCAGTGTCCTTCCTGTGGACAAGACCCTGCTACATTAACTATGCCTATTGCATTTATTGATCATATGACTTGGGCTTAACTCTATCCAAGAAATGACTGAACTGGCTCCTATCCCAGGCAAGGTCAAAGCTTTCAAGCATTAAACACCTTTTAACATAATACGGAGGCTTAAACCCAAACAAAACGGGGAAATTTGATTCACATAGTTTTTATACTTTTATGTTCCATAGAAGTTGGAATGATTAGACTTGTGAATGTTAATTATTTTTCCATACCATAAATGAAAAGGGCTTAACCCATTTGTTACAGTACTTTTCCAAGAATTAGGGGAATTACGAGTTCAGAATCAAATTTTTAATATTTTACAATAAGCAGAGTAATGATTAAATGGTTTGTTTTTTGGATGAAACTAGGCATTTGGTTTTGGAAACATAAAATGAAAGGGAAAGTCTTGTTTCCTACTACTATACATTGAAGGGAATTCAGAAAGAAAAATAAACACAAGCCATTAATAACATAAAAGCAAAAAGTAAATACAGAAATGACCTAAATCTAATTTTCTTTCTGCTTGAAAAGTTAAATAGTCCTAGAAAACCGTCTTTGGCTTCCACATTTGAAAAGATAACATTTCTCTAACTTTCAAAGACATTTTTTTTTGGCATGGAACAATGTCAATCGAAAAAATTACTGTACTACAATCCTGTTATACTTGCAACTCACACACTGACTACAAGATGAATAATTTCTGCTCATTGGTTTGTCACTTTCCTTTAATAACCCTAGTTTATTTTTTCGTCCATACCATGCATATTTGATGCTTCGGTTTTTGTGTAGGTTGCCTTGAGATTCTTACCCTTGCCAAAACTTCTGGAAACATTATAATGAGCAATGCTTTGGCTAAGCCTACCCAGGGGTAGCACCAAACTTCCTGTTTACAATGTACAGTCTACATGGAAGGGTGAAAGTCTTAACGATGAATTTTGCTAGCACTTTTTATAGGATTGAGAGAATGCTGACAATTTATTTCAAGATGGAAAAAACTGAGATTATAGGAAGGTGAGAATGAGGTGGGTTATAATGAGAACATGAATCAACTTACCTAATTTTCTAAAAATAAACCCTTGCCTGTGTAGCTCACATGTCACACCATGTGTTTACCACCCCATGGGGCAACAGGTTCATATTTAAAATTATAAATGATACAATTTCAATTATCGTTAACATAAATAATGATCCTGCTTAATCCTCTGATTAAAAGGGTGTATCCTAGAATTAGATTCCTTTGTTTCAAAGTCAATATTCAATATTTGCTAAGAATTTGTATGGGGCAGGTTAACTTTCTAAAGTAGGGATAATGGGAGTCTCTATCTCATAGGGTTGTTGAAAAGAGTAAATGAAGGAGTGTATATATATATATATATATATATATATATAAACATACATATATATACTAAGCATATATATATACACTAAGCATATATATATACTAAGCATATATATACTAAGCATATATATGTACTAAGCATATATATACACTAAGCATATATATAGATATTTAGATATACATAGCATATATAGATATATATAGCATATATAGATATAGACAGCAGATATATAGGTATATTATATATCTATATATAGATCTCTATATATAGATATAAATATCTATATATAGACATATAGTTATATAGTATATTTAGATACATACTATACTATACTATATATACTATATATATAGTTATATCTAGATATACTATATATCTAGATATGTAGTTATATCTAGATATACTATATATCTAGATATGTAGTTATATCTAGATATACTATATATCTAGATATGTAGTTATATCTAGATATACTATATATTTAGATATGTAGTTATATCTAGATATACTATATATCTAGATATGTAGTTATATCTAGATATACTATATATCTAGATATGTAGTTATATCTAGATATACTGTATATATACTATATACTAGTTATATCTAGATATCTAGATATAACTATATATCTAGATATCTAGATATGTAGTTATATCTAGATATAACTATATATATAGTTATATCTAGATATAGGTATCTATATCTATAGAGATCTATATATATCTCTATATATCTATATATAGTATATATATAGTATAGTATAGTATACATCTATATATAGAGATCTATATCTATCTATATATAGAGATATATATGCTTAGAAGAAGACTGGCAAACTGTAAATGCTCAATACATTTGAGCTATTTTGTTAATCAGCTTGTAAATTACTTTTGAGGAAATTCACACAATATTTGTTCTTACCAGTGCTATGCTATGCAATTATACTAAGGGATTAAACACTAAATTTTTTACCTGCAAAAATGTGTATGTATGTCAGTCTGAAATACCCATCTTTATTATAGAACAATGTTACTACTTGTAAGAGAATCTATGATTATAATAGGGAAATAATAAAACAAGAGAATGAACATCTAAGTCCAGAAGAAGGCCAGGTCTTTCTCTCTTCAGCTCAGTTATCTCCCCTTCTCACCACACTCTGCTAGTATTTCAATAAAACTAAATCTAAATCTAACAATAGTCCTGACCAGGTAATATTGGAACTTCTCCTTCTTCTCTCTGAAAAGCCATGGTGGCCATTCAGCAGTGATAAAATTTGCTCCTTATGGGTACGTATGGGTATGTTACTGCTAACCTGTTCAGATTATTATTTTTTCTTAGCCTAAATATCAGAAGTTAATTCAGTAGGTACTTGACATTTGTGAATATAATATTCTAAGTTTTATTTATTTAAGAAAACCCAAAAACTCCATCATATTTAAAATCCACCATTTTGTAGAAGCGTAAGCTTGAATCTTGCTTTCCTGATGAAACCAACCCAGGAGCCAGCCATGGAAGGAGTAAATTGGATTCTCCAACATTCTATTTTATGTAAGCATGAAAAGCAAACCTATTCAGGATTATGAATTGAGGTGGGATCTTTTTCTTCACATTACCAGGCGCAGTGGTTCTGCAAATAGCCTGTGCACCATTTGCATCTCATAATGTTTCAAACTAGAGTGTAGTTGTGGTTATATATGAACTAAAGTCCATAGAATGACTAAAGCTGTATTTGTACTGCACCCCTTCCCACAGACCACATGGTAGTACTGATGATGAAGTCAAAAAAATTCTAAAATTGTGAATATTCTTGATCTGAAAACTTTGGGAATTATTTTTCGATTCATTTATATCACAGAATCACTATGAGTCTAAATGGAAGTTCGCTTAGTATTTTTAGTTAATTTTATTTTTATAGTCAGATTATAAGCTCTAGTGGAACTGACAATAATTTAGAGGTTCTTTCAGGTCTTGAGTAGTACTGTAGGTAAATGATAAAGCAAATGTTTTAACTCCACCTCCTACTCCAGATCAAATTCTCACATACTTCATCTGCTGTGTGTATGGTGTGTGTTTATGATGTGTGTGTGTGTGTGAATTGAATTTAAGCTTAAGTGTGATTTTAGGATATCTTCCTTAGAATAAGTTATCTTCATCTCCTCATTCCCAGACTTGCCATTGTATTTCAATTTTTCATTTGTTTGCTTCTTTAAGCCATGGGATTCAATGTAATCTTGCACAGAAATCAAACATGAAAAACAGCAAAACCACACTTCTCTGGTAGATGGCTGAGGTAGCAAAGTACAGAAGAGTGCCTCCTGCCTGTCCTCCCTCCTGTGCCCACTCCACTCCTACATTTTACCCCCTTATAGACAACATCAAAGGTATCTTTCAAGAAGAAAATTTTGTCCCAGCAAAGGGGAAAAAGAAACCATTTAGAGCTAACATAAACAACTATTCATTACGGAAATCAAGAGAGACAGAGGACAGTGGTAAAAGGGAAAATAGAATTGTATCAGACCTGGACTATAGTCCAGACTTCCTGGGTTGCCAATTAAGTGGCATCTGGCAAACTGGGCTCCAGGATTCATTTCCTTTGCCTATCAAAGGAGACTAACAATCAGGAAGACTAAGTAAGTTAGACTGATTTACTATGCACTGCATGGAAGTGTTGATATTGCCATCAGCAGGTCACTTACTCATTTATTCCAGCACATATCTATTGAGACCTACTATGTGCCAGAAACTATGCTAGGTTCCAGGAAATCAAAGATAAAAGGCACAATCTCTGCCTTTTAGAACTCTGGTAGTGAGAAAGTCATGTAAAGTTGCCTGAGGGAATCAGAGAAGATTCCAAGAGCATTGCACAGGCCCCAGAGGAAATGGGGATAAGAGACAAGTAATTTAGGTGGGGGCATGAGGGGAGGACAGTTGTTTTATCCTGTAAGGGCATGCGGTCCTCTTGGGACCCTGGGCTTCCAGTTAAAACTCACAGACACTGAAGAGCAAGGTTCTTGCCTAATCTCACTCTCTTCAGCTGTCTCACCTCAAAACTTCCCATATACCCTGCTTTACACAGACCATTTCTATCACTATACTTATTGACAGCATTTTATAACTATCTGCATAATTGTCTATCTTCATCATTACACTAGAAACTGTTTGCTCTATATTCATGTTCCTAACAAATGCATGATATCCACTTAACAGTATTGAATGAAGGCATAGATGGATGATTTAATGAATAAATGGTGGAAGACAGTATACAAAAGAGATGTTACAGCAGGAAGATAATGTTTGCTTACTCCAAAGTTTACCTTGGGTCCTGTTCAACATACTGATGAATCCGATCCTCCAACCCACTCTTTTATGTAAATATGGAAAGCAAATTCTTTCAAGATTATGAAGTAAGATAGGAAATGTTTCTCCTATCCTAACAGGAGCAATAACTTGCAAATAGCTATATCTACCCCTCCCTCTCCTCACAGTATTTGGCTTTGGATAATGTGTGTTCTCTGGATTGTTGGGTCTTTGGAAGATGGCTTCTCTTTCCCATAGACTCACGGTAGACATGACCTCAACATGTAATCTGTACAAGGCAAACATGTATGAGCAAGGGGACATCCTAGGGACACCAGGGAATAAATGCAAAATTTTGTGTGAAAGAAAAGGTGTGTGGATTGGGGATTTCTGTACAATAGGGTTTTCATCCTTTATGGACCTGGGAAACAGAGTATCTCTGGGAGAAAAAAGTTCAGGCATCTCTATATATATTTCCAGTTTAACAAGCTCACAAATCAATCTGATTATCCAGCAATTCAACTGGGATCTGGCTTACATCTTGTAAACAAACACTTCTGGTTTTACCTTTTTGGGTTCTGGCATATTATTAATATAAATAGTGTAGATTCCACTTTTATTAAAACCAGCTTGATATACATCTGCACAGTCTCTAAATGGTTTCTCTTCCTCTCTTTTTCCTCCCTTTAGTAAAACTGCAAAAAAAAAAAAAAAGATTGCAATATGTGAATATCAGTACCATTAGTAGCCAAACTGACTCCAATAATAGCTAAGCATGTCTTCATTTCCTCCACACAAATGTCAATATCGCACATAGTAAAAAGTCAATCATAAAGACAATACTAGATTTTGAGGTAGCTTACAAAATTAAAAAAAAAAAACTGAAGGAAAAAGCTGTAGAGCCATTTTTAACTGAATGCTTATATTTTACTTAATTTCTTAATTCTTTTTTTTCTATGTATCCTTTCCAAAACATCAACTTAAGGAACAAATGACCTGGGCATGTAATATCTTCAATTGGTAGCAATTACGTCAAGTTTCCTGCAAAATCTCTAAAACGTTCTTACCTACATTTCACAGGAAAGTCTAAAAAAAGTGCTAACACACTTTTTGGAGCAGGAAGACATGAAGATAAATTCAAACATAAAAATGCAATATGGAAGTTTAAAACACTAAAACAATGGAAGTACTGTTTTTCTGTGACTTTATATTGAAGAGCTTCTAGAAAATTTTACCAACAAAACAAAGCAAAACAAAAAGAATCAACAACTCTTAACAATAATTAGATTTGGGAAGTAGAAAAGAGTTTATGACCCAACTTAACTACCTACAATGAAAATGAAACCAAACTTTACTTTGTTCTTTCTTTAATGCCCTAAAGTTAAATCATCAGGCAGATGATACACAAATAAAAGAACAAACAAATAAGACTTTGAAATTAAATTATACAGGTGAAAGAGTCACAGTAAACACTAGAAGTCAAGTGAAGACAGAAAATCTATTAATAGTTAGAGACTGTCTCTACTGAGGAAAACCTTATTTTATTTACTGAGCTTTATCCATTATTAACTTCTTACAAATGAAATAAAAATGCAAAATGACCCACATTTAATAGTTCTTAGCTAAAGATATATGTGTTATATTTATAAAGTATTTATGATTTAGTATTTTCTATTATGTATTATTTTAGTAATTGGTTTTATTTAACCTTTTTCTAGAAATTAAGATTAAGACTATTTTGTTATCTTGCCCTTAAAGTTTCCTATCAATAAATATCTGCATTCAAACACATTGAGTTATAATAGTCTTTTATAATAAAAATAACAAAGGCAAACTATGAATCAGAACTTTTACATTAATTTTAAATGATCTAAAAATCTAAAATCCTGGCCTAACTTAATACTGGTTTCATACTAAATACTGGCCTTTAGTTGCCTAATGTTTACTAACTTATAGGTATTGAGCAGTCTAATCTTTATGGAAATAATTACTATTTCAATATAAATTACTCAGATTTTTAAAAAATATTAAATTATATTTCAAGAAAATGAAATATTTATGTCAGATATGTTGCCACAGCAGAAAAATAGTACTAAAGCATTTAATAACATTATGATTTTCTATGTAGCTCAAGTCTGCACTAATGGTTTTAATGAATCATACTAATAATTACATCTAAATACCACCATCACAATTGCCATGTCAACACAAAATAAATCAACTAATTAAAGGGCTACAGATTCATATGATAGTGAAGAAGTACTGCACAGAATGTATGCAAATAGCAATTTAAAGATGCATATATAAATGCTTACTCAAAAGCCATCTTTAATGACACTGAGGATGTCAATGGATTATATAAAGGTATCCATTTCAAAAGCATTGACGTAGTTTACTGGTATTCGTTTATTCTAACTTTACGGACTGCTATTTTTCTAAAACAAAAAAAAATTTTAAATCCCACCTACTGGATCCTTTATTCTGTTGGAAAGTTGAAAATAAGCAAATCAGATGCCCAGAAAAAGAGATGTGAAGAAATACCAACTAAAATTTATGATCACTTGAGAGGACAAAAAACACAGGAAGATGTGGTCAGCAGGAACCCAACGGTAAACCCATTTTTCTCTTTTGAGAGAGAGAAAGTCATTTATCTATGGAGAAAATGCTTCTCTTGTATATACCACATCCTGCCCTCCCTTTTTTAGTTATGTATGGAGAACACATTCCCTTCACTCTTGTCTGCCATCTCTCCTCCCATTTTTGCTTTTTCTTTCCACTTCAGGAAGATGTTGGTGAAGTGGCTATGTGTGGGAAGAGGAAGCTATTTCACACACATTTTTAGTAACCGAGAAAAAAGGAAAAAGTTGGGTATTAACTTATTTTTGTGAAAACTAACAGTATAAATTTGTTGTCAAAACCATGAATACAAATTCTATACTTGGGAAAATGGTTTGAGAATTCTACCATCAAAAGGTACACCTAGTATTATGGTTATATTATGGATTTTTTGTTGTTATGGTAACATATCTGAAATAGATATTGTATTTTCTTGAAATTTAATTTGGTATGTTTGAAAAATTGAGATACTTATATTCTTTCAAAAAAGTCATTCTTTCCAGAAAGATTAGATTGATTGTTTTTAATTACTTACCAACTAGCAAGCATATGCCTGAAAGTTAATTTAGGCTACACTTTAGAGTAGCAAGGCATTGAAAATCATTGTAAAAGTTTCATCCACAGCTTACCTTTGGTATTTTTATTATATACTACGGTTTGAATAAGGTCCCTTTGATAAGGGTAGATTGACCTTTAGAGTTTTTTTTGTCCTTAATCTATAAAGTGAGGTAGTTATAAATACCTCTGAGATGGGTGTATGAATTACCTAACACAGTGCAAAGACAGTGAAGCATAATAAGTACTCAAGAATGGTAGTTGTTATGGTAATGACAACACTGTTAACAGCAATATTATCCTGTTACTCCTTCTTATGGAAGAGACACTAGCAGAATGTGGAAGGCCAGTCTAGGGGGTGGTGGATGCTGCTGTCTTCCACCTTCTAATTAAAACATAGCAGTTATAGTTGACTAGTTATATTTAGGATCACATTGAATTAGCCTCTCCTGGTCAAATTTGGCTAATTGGCTGGTTTCATTCATTGAATAAATCAGATTATACCATTGTTTACATTTAAGAAAACCCCAAAACAGGCAATCTCATCTTGCTGTGTATTTTAAGCTTTACCTAAATAGTTAAGATTTAAAGATTATTTCAGATGAAATTATAAACGATTTATATGTCAACATGTTGGTTATAGAAGTTTCAATCTCATGACTTTTTGCATGACTCGTTTCTTTGTTAAGTACTGCAGAGTTCTGAAGTCCAATGTCATGCATAGATATTATAAAACTGGACACCTAGGAAACATTCTAAAACCTAGAGAGACAATAACATTTGAATTTCCTGAACATTGCAAGTGTCAGCACCAGTGATAAGATTTTTAGGAGGTCTTGAGCTTCAGTTAGATAGAAGATAGAAATTGGAGGAATATTTAGTAAATGACACGAGACAGATAGATACAATAGACTTGATGGGGCCAAGAGCAGTGGCTCACCCTGTAATACCAGTGTTTTGGGAGGTAGAGGCAGGAGGATCCCTTGAGGCCAGGAGTTCAAGACCAACCTGGGCAGTACAGTGAGACCATGTCTCTTCAAAAATTAAAAATTAAAAAAAAAAGTCTGGACTAAGATTTGATGGAAGAGTAAAAGAAGCATCACCGAACAGATGTCAGGGGGAACCTTCCGGAGACCTGAAAGAGGGCTGTATCTATCTCTCAAAGTGGTTTACACTTTTTGTAATAATGAACTGATTTGAAGCACGAGTTAAAAGGTTGATCTTTATGTCTAAAATTCTTTCTTTGACCAGATATTCTTATTTTTCCTTTCTTATTCTTTAATTTCTGATGAGTTCATCTTCCCTCTCATTGAGAATTTAGATCCCTGCCATTCCTATCACTGCTTTCCGAGCCTCCCTTTTCTTTCTTCTTAGCCTCGATCCCAGAGTCAGGAATTTAATAATGGTCCATTTGGCATCCCTGGTCTCTCCACCCATTGTCCTTTCATCCACTCACCTTTGCATAGGTAAATCCCAACCCCCAGATGGGCATTCATTCACTTTCTCAACCCCCTTGTAGACTGCAAACACTGAGTCATTTGTAATAAACTTCCTACGACATTTCCTGTAGAGTGTATTGCAAATCTTTCTACTGTTTTAAAAAACTACATCTTATCTTCTCTCACTCTTTATAAATGACCTTTATGGTTTACTCTGAAGATCAAAGCCATTTGATATGTCTCCTCCACTCCCTTCCTCTACCCTATAGAAGTTGTCTTTGCCTATCTTTCCCCTCGCGTTTTTTGTTGACCTCTCCTAGTCCCTTTCAACTTCTCCAATTGTTTTTTCTCTTTCCTCTTTTATCGGTTTATTTTCCTCTCATCACCTACCATATAGATGTTCACTAAGTTTCCATTCTTGGATCTCTATTTCTTATATATCTGTTCATTTTGCAAACTATCTATCATGGCTTCCAACTGCGGCACAAAAGATTTCTAATATACACAGGCACTTTTTAACACTGAGTATTTGCCTCTCTCTTTACCTTCAGATTCATATATCTACTTGCCTGTTGGGCAGTCCTTCCTGCTACACCAACTTTCATTTGTTTAATGTTCCATAATCTTTCCTTCCAAACCAGGTGTTTGCTCTTTCCCTTATTAGTCCCACTATCCTTCTCCAGTTTTTATCAGTTAAAAATTAATTAAAGTGTTAATTTTTTTCTAATAAGACAATTAGAGTATGGCTTTTCCATTTGTCCCTCTGCTTCTTATCCTCTCTTAGTTCAATCATCCTATATTATTATTTCAACAAATATTGATGGACATTTGCTATTTTTAAGACTTCTCCTAGGCAATGGAGATACAGACATAAGAAAGCCCAAGCCTGCCTGTCATGTGATCACAGCCTGATGCGAAAAAGATCTTCCATGAACGCTATACCCATGATTAGTAACTTTTATGATAGGACAAAACTCAATTCAAGGTGGCTTAAGCAAAAAGATAATTTATTGGATCATGTAACTAAAGAATCCAATGTAGTACTTTAAGTAAGTCATGGTAAGGTTTCAAACAATGTGACCAGAAATTGGTTTCTTAGTCTTTTTCTTGACCCACTTATTCTTGGCAATCAACCTGGTCACAAGATAGCTGGCAATAACTTGTAAGGCTATAATGTCACCAGTTTAAATACAGCACCAAAGAGAGAGAATGCAGACAATTGTTATCTTAGAGGTATGTATCAAGCACATTGGGAACATGCAAGAATATACTCCTTCTGCCAGGTGGACACCAGGAAGGCTACCTAGAAGAGATAACAGTTGAAAGAATATAACATATAGAAAAGCTTATCTGACCTAAATTTAAGAGCCTGGTATGCTAGTTCAAAGACTTTGCCCACACCAATATCAGCAAATAAATCTAGAAAGTCCTAGGAAGGAATCATTATTCATTCTTTTCATTTAGCCTTATCTATACAACCAAATCTTTGTCATCTAAAGGGATAGAATAGAGACACAAACAGGTGCATGTCTGTCTTTCACCAGCCAACATTCAGTCAATAAGCAACCTGAGACCCTGATGCTAGCAGCTGTTGACTTTATCCTGATCTTCCCTTCCTTTACCCAACCAATTTAAATCTAGATGGTGCATCCACCACCAGACTGACTTCAGGGGAGGACCATGAAATCTAAGGCAGAGGGTCACTTCAATTCAGATGAACCCTCAAGAAAAAACTTCCTGGAATGTGGAATTGGTAATTATTAGCCTCAGCAACACTAGCCGAGAACACAGAAGGCAATTAGCCTTGCTACCAGAGACAGTGTAAAAAGCCAAAGCCCTTTCTCTTACCCATTTTCTGATGAGTTGCTATAAAGAAATCAGTTCTTCAATCGTTCATTTTAAACCTTAAATATGGCTAATGGTTCATGTATTTCCAGTATTTACCGAACATCAGAATACATGTGGATCAGGTTATTTGTTCAAGGATAGTCCTTGAGACATCATTATTAGGAAGATCATAGCACTAGAAATTGACCCTGAACCTGTGATTTCAACACAACAGGTCACTGAAATTAACTGAGCATATAAAGGAAGAAAACAGCACATCTGACAAGGTGCAAACAAGCAAACAATTGATGGATTAGATTTTGTGCTTTTCAGCCAGGTGTGTGGGCATTTCATAGAGAAAACATTTTGAAGACACTCTCTGGAATCCTAATTTATTCAAAAGAATCTTTAAAAGTGGAAGAAGGTAATGTCTTGCATTTCAAGGGTGTGGAAGAATTAAAAGATTTCCAGGCAGTCCAAGTTTCAATATTTTATGGGTAGGTATAGGGGTGAGGGATATTTACCAATGACTTTATAAACAGATATACAAATATATATAGCTACACAAATACATACAAGCTGTATGCTTATAAATGGAAAATGTTGAGGTTGGTATTTTTTTCTTGTAGAAAGCATATGCATACAAACCTAAATATCTGTGGGCTGATATCTCAGCATGACTGTTTTTAACCTACAAAAATGGCAATTGAATATGGTTATATGTGTGTGTGCATGTGTGTATGTGTGTGAGACAGTATAACAAACACATACATTCTATTCTTAAATACTCTTAATTTGAAGTCTTTGATTAACTAAAAGTGTACTTTTTTATTTAAAACAACTACTTCTTTTCTCAAAGTCCCTCTAACCCTGGAATAAGGGAACACTTGAACATCATTTATCTAGTGAATTATTATTTTAATTAAACATTTTTAAAAAAGAACTTCTTTGCTCTCATTTAAATTATTTATATGTAATTTTATAGATAATCTATAAAATCTTAACTACCATTTTTTATGGAACTATAATAATCATGATCATAATAAAATCAACTAGCATTAATTGAACACTTACTATGTGGTAAACTCTGAATTTTGTGTGCCAAGTATGTTTTACATGCTTCATTTTGTTCAATCCTTATAAATTTCTTATGAGGAGTATTTATCAATATATTGCTTTACATGGGAAGTTGAAGCTCAGAAATGCTACTAACTTCACCAAAACTTGTAAGTAGTAGAACTCTCTGACTATAAAGCTGAAAATCTTAACTACTTCTTACTGGCCTTTGAGTAAAGTGAAACCCAAATAGAACTTCAGTGAGTCATCTGTCACAGAATCCCCAGCAATACTTATCTCTGCTGACAAGAGCACACCCAAGGTCCTGAGTTATTCAGTATAAGCCATAAGTCTGAAAGGGTACAGCCTCATCTCATGGAAGCAGGTTGTATGGGAAAAGAGAGAGGAGGCAGCAATGATAAGAACAAAGAATATGTTGACATGAGGATAGCAGAGAGCCACAGGCAGTAGAATTGTCTGAGATGAAAACCCTCAGCAGAAAAGTGAAGCCGTGACAGCCCACAATGTCAAGAGCTAACAGAGGATAAGTGAGAGGTCCCAAAGCAGCCATATTGGATTTTATCATGTTCATACCCTTAAAGTCACACTGACTCAGGATTTACCCCTATTAATTTTAGGTATTATTCTCATAAGCCTGGTAGTTGGTCTCCCAGCCTACGGACTATTTGCTAGAAGCTTCAAAGACAGAGAGGATAGGCTGGCGGGGTAGTGAGAGTGGGAATATGTGTGTGTGTGTATGTGTTAGTGTGAGTGTGTGTGTGTGTATGTATGTGTGTGTGTATGAGTGTGTATGTGAGTGTGTGTGTATGTGTGTGACTGTGTGTATGTATGTGAGTGTGTGTGAGTGTGTGTGTGTTCATCTTCTAGTATCAGGCATGGAGACAAGAAATTGGATCATTGAAAGTATGTGTGTGTGTGTCTGTGTTCATCTTCTAGTATCAGGCATGGAGACAAGGAATTGGATCATTGAAAGTACGTGTGTATGTGTGTGAGGAAAAGACAGAAAATTTTAAAAAGTAGGCAAAACTAAGAAATGATAAGAATTTGGGCACTGAACAATATAAAGGGGGCATGCTATATACTTTTCCAGAGGCATCACGGTATTATGATGAAAATTAATTCATATGGATAATAACGGATTAAATTATTAGAAAAAAAGCCATAATTTTATTCAATTTTCTCTTCCAAAAAAAGAAAGGAGAGGATAAAAAATGCAGGTAATTTTTCATCACATTTAAAAATTTTCATAAAATTTTACTAAAGGGATACATTTTAATTATCTGAAGAATATATTGCCCATGATATATAATTGCAGATATACAAATTTTCAATAATACTACGATATACATAAGACATACAAACTCTTACATTTATGTAGAGATGCAAAGCATCCTATGTCATAAGTGTAGCTCTAATTTAAAGTCTGTTTTAAAGTGGAAGAATAATTAAATATCAATTCTACATATTTGTACTGTAGTTTGATTACCATGTTCAAATAAATTTTGCAATTATCTTCCAATGTGAAACGAATCTCATGTGTATAACAACGTATATTCAATGCCTATTACTACCTAAAGTAATCAAGAATGGGGAAAAAGCTGGGTGCGGTGGCTCACGCCTGTAATCCCAGCACTCTGGAAGTCCGAGGCGGGCGGATCACAAGGTCAGGAGATGGAGACCATCCTGGCTAAAATGGTGAAACCCCGTCTCTACTAAAAATACAAAAAATTAGGTGGGCGTGGTGGCGGGCGCCTGTAGTCCCAGCTACTCGGGAGGCTGAGGCAGGAGAATGGAGTGAACCTGGGAGGCGGAGCTTGCAGTGAGCAGAGATCGCACCACTGCACTCCAGCCTGGGCGACAGAGCGAGACTCCGTTTCAAAAAAAAAAAAAAAAAAAGAATGGGGAAAAATACTTGACTAAAAGGTACAACTGGAAATACACACCATCTTTGTTTAATCAAGTAATCTTTCATTTTACATAAAATTAATTTCTTTGTTTTCCCTTTGGGCACCCTGTTGGGCAGTTACGAATGCTGCACGGCCCTTGCCATTTGTTCAGGAGCTCATTTTATTCACAAAGACATTTCAGGTGTTTCGTGTGTGTTAATTTCCCATATACTTTTTTTCAGCCTGGCTAAAATATATTGGTTTTGTACAAAAGATTTCCCATACATGTGGGAAAGCTTAAGGGGCATCTTTTGTGCTCTGCTATGAGCAGACAAATATAATTTATTTCAGCAACAGCCATTAAAAATGGAATGAAAGTCCTTGGGCAATGCTGTAAACATAGAAAGCAGTTGCCAGATGTTTTTGAAAACTGACACATACACAAAATTCCACTTTGAAGTTTTAAGTAAATAAGTCCTGACTGTCACCACAAGTACGTCACCTTGATTCTTACTCTTGTGGTGTGATATACTTAAAGAACAGTACTTGACTACCAGCCCTGGCTCTACATGGGCTTCTCCTCTGAATACAGGGCTTCACCGGTTATTAGGAGTGACACAAAACCAAGAGACAAAGTTGGAATGCTTGATATGAGTCATAAAGTATGTAGGTTTGTGTAGGATACCAGGCAAACTCTAAGGTGTGCCATACTTCTATGTTAAGCAATCTGACAGCAGAGCTGGGACTAGAACAGAGATGTCATGATTCCTGCTCCTTCTAAACCACCATGCCTGCCCTCTCGATGGTATACACCTGCTCCCAGATACTGGAGAGAAACCATCTCAATCTATAATTCCTAGCTCTAGAGAGATAGGTTGGATAATTAATTATGATTAAGATTAGGTTTGTGCGTGTCTGTGTGTCCATGAGGCCTAAACAACTGGCAAAATCTCCCTTTAGAACCAAATTTCCACTTAAAATTATACCCAAAGTTCAAACTCACTATTCTAAAGGACGTCATCCCACTTGTGAAAATGGAACGTTCACACCTAAAAATAATTAAGATAATTAAGATACATGCAAACATATAATAAATACACAAGTTAAAAGAGGTCTGACATTTGATATTACATTTGATAATCTGACTTATTCATAAATCCATTAAAAAGATGAGTAATTCTTTGTAGGCTGCATATTAATATGACTCCTTAGCAGACATAACCCCACTCAGAATGTGAACACCCAAACTAGCACAAGCATGAGATTCCAGTGTACTTAAAGTTAGTTTTCATGTTGATATCCTTTGGTTGATAATAAATTATGAGTTCCTATAGGAAGCTAAAAATGTTACTAGTTGTTTTTTTTTTTTTTTTTTTTTTTTTTTTGAGACAGAGTCTTGCTCTGTCGCCCAGGCTGGAGTGCAGCGGCGCAATCTCAACTCACTGCAAGCTCCACCTCCCAGGTTTCTGCCATTCTCCTGCCTCAGCCTCCCGAGTAGTTGGGACTACAGGCGCCCACCACCACTCCTGGCTAATTTTTTTTTTGTATTTTTAGTAGAGATGGGATTTCACTGTGTTAGCCAGGATGGTCTCGATCTCCTGACCTCGTGATCCACCTGCCTCGGCCTCCCAAAGTGCTGGGACTACAGGCGTGAGCCACCACGACTGGCCAAAATGTTACTAGTTTTAAAGATTCTTTGCAATTGACTTTTAGAAAATCTTATGCTAAAAATAAATATTTGTTTATACACATTTAAAGCTAAGTGTACAGTTGCAACATTCCCCAGATTTTACCTTCTTTTTCTCCCTTCTTACAGTATAAAAAATTTCATGAGGTCTTCACTCTATAGTTGATATGATGCATACATATTTAATGCTGTTAATAAAACATTTTTTCTTACTGTCTCTCAGAGTAATTATAGGTGTCATTTGGTTCAGTGTAAAGTGCCATATCTTATCCGTGACTAATGTCTACTGTTCTGTTTTGTCCCTGGTTTAGAAAATATCTGTTGAATTTGACTTGAGTGTGGATGAGACCAGGAAATGACTTAATTGAAAGTCTATTCAAACTATCTGTGCTCCTTCGCTTTAGCCAACCAGGCTATGAAAGCATAAGGGAAGAAGGATGGAGTTTGCTCATGGTAATATTGGAACATCAAGGAAACACTCTTTTTGTGGCCTTTTACCCCTGTAACTTCCAAGCCCAGCTGGAACCAGGAGATATCCCTTTTCAGATAGTTCATCTTGTTTCTGAAGTTAAAAACTCCAATTCCAAAAGAGAATTAACCACAAAATTTCAAATCTCCTCCGAAAGATGGGGTTTAGAAATAGTTCATGGGAGAGGTCAAGGACTATGTTATTTTTTATTTTGTTATCATTAATTTGGCTATCCACTATTCACAATTTTTTTTACAGAAATTATGACTATTCTAAAAGGCAGATAACACGCTCCATCAAAAAGGAGAAATATACCATTTCCAAAAATAAACAGTCAATTTTGCCTTAAGCCACTGGGTTTTATGAAAGGAAGTGCTAGATAGTGTGGTTCATTTTAAGGAAATTGTAAATGTTTGACATATAATTTTCTGTCAAGATAAAGCATTTCCCTCATTAAATGGAAACAAGTACTCACTGCAGTGTTCAGCAGATGACTTCCTGTATTTTTCTTTCTCTTTCTACCTAATCTTAAATTGTGCACTACAAGTAGTAAATGAAAAACCAAGTATTTTACCCAGTCAACGAAACTGATATATTCCATTTTTATCAATGTTTATATGACTGACATTCAAAAAGTTTTAATTTCCTCCCATCACTTGTGATGTTTTTAGAGTCATTCTTAACTCAAGGGACTTGCAGTTCAAACTATCTCATCCCTTACAGAATGATATAAACTTCATAAACTCAACAGACACAACATGGGAGGTAAATTCCTTTCAGATGGTAGAATTATTCTGAGAATCAAGCCAAATGACTCCTCAGCACTGAGAAGAAAGCAAATGCCTCATTTCCCCCTTTAAGAAGACTAGAGGACCCATAATAATGATCAAATGTTCCATACCACTGCAATCAGCTTCTGGGAAAGGCACTTTAGCTCAAATAGTGGTCACTTAAACATTTGTAGTATCAGCCATTATGTCTCTGTGATAATGTGAAATGATTCTTAAAAATGAACTTCATGAGAAGCTCCTATGAGTTGAAATTTGAACTTCTTATGAGAGAATTAAGTATATAAACATGTTCTTGTCTCTCAGTACTTATTTTTAAGTTTCCTCTACTCCGTGTGCCTCCCTACTTAAAGTTGTTATCTGTCCTTTCACATTCAAGTTTCTTGAATGCAGGTATATAATGATTTCTGTTAACTTCCTCTCACTCATTTTAGTCTCTGAGATATGCAACTGAGCCATGTAGCATACCAAACCTCTGCATACAGAAGGTTCTTTTTAAAAACTTGACTGTCATGCTTACTTGCCACTGAAAAGAACATCCTTCATAACTGTCCTTTTTTTTTAAACCTTCCCAAAACACTGCTTACTACTGTTTTTCACACTGTCTATATTTTTCTTTCGGTCTCTTTTTTTTAACCTGTCCCTTAAAAACCTTCAAATTTTTCTGTCTTTGATTTTACACTGTCATTTTTTCATACAATGCACTCATAACTTTGGTATGTAAATGCTCTCAAATTGTACACAAATGTGTGCTTATATCCTTGCATTTTGGGGTTGGGGTAAGTGGAAAGGAAAAATAGCCGTTTGCATCTGGTTTCCTGATGGATCTGTGACCCCTACATGAATAAGAGCCATTGCTTTATATGCACTTTCTATGATTTTACCTCTTGTCTCCTCTGAGGACAAATCATTGTTCTCCTTCTAGAATCCGATTTATCTGCCTGCCAGACTCTGTCCCACAGGCAACTCAGTCAAAATATCCCAAACTAAAACTCACTATTTTTTCCCTTCCAATCTATTTCATCTCCCATGTTGCTGGTTTTAAAGAATGTGATCTATGCTCCCTCAGTTGTTTAACCTAGAAATGTGCAATTGGTATTAGATTAGACTTCTAGGAAGTCATTATTTCTTGCTGATTCTAATTTTTCTATTTTTACAAATTTCTTCCACTTACTTTTCCATTTACCCCTGTTTAATATGGACCTTACTATTTCTTTCCTAGAGATCACTTTGAAATTCTGACAAAAATCATCAACTCTACCTTCCCTGTCCAATATGGTGCAGCGTGTAATGTACAGTATTCAGAACAAGACTCTGGGTTCAAATCTCAGCTTGCTCACTTGCTAGTAGTGTGATATTTAAGCATTATTCACCTCTCTGTGCTTAGCTTACCTTTCATATAGAGTTGGTAATAGAACCTATCATACAGTGTTGTTACCAGAATTAAATAAACTAATATATGCAAAGGTCTCAGAAGACTGGCTTGTGTCAAGTATTTGCTGATATTATAATAACGGTAAAAGCACCCATCTGGTCCCCTACTCCAGGCTTCTCAGCTTTACAGTATATTTTTCCTACATTGTCACTGGGGAGATTTTTGTAAAACACAAATATCACCATTATCATCATATATTGACAATGACTGCTCATTGATTTTATAGAAAAAATGTGGCCTTTTTGGTCTCCCTCAGAGATCCTCTCTCTAAATTCATTTTAAGACTTAGGCTACAGCCCGCTCCCATGACTTCTGGAAAATAAACATGCCGTTTGTACTCTCTGGTGTGTCCTTCACTTTCTTCATTTTTTAGACTTAACTATCATCTTCCCACTAGAACAAGCTTGCTTATATTTTAATCCTAGATCAATGATTTCCAGCTTTGTAACTTTGGGCAAATTCTCAAATTCTCTGTAGAGGTTATAAAATTATGCTAGACATGGTAACTCCCTCATGTTGCTGTTGTAAGGGCTAACACGTGGAAAGCCTAAGCAAACTAGAATCATAATAAGGATTCAGTAAAATCCCCAAGAAAACTCTAGAGATGCTGGATTCTGCCCTTATCCTTCTGTTCCTGCCATGATTTTAATATTTCTCTGTGAGCTTTGCTCGGGTCCAGGCACCCTAGGCTCACTTCTAGCAAATAATTCTGAAAAATAATTGTTTACTTTTTTCTCTCCTATCAAACCCTAGGTTCCTTAAAGCCACAGAATGAAATACATCTTTTCTTCTTCCCAGTAGTCTGAGCAATATTTGGCACATTATAGAAACTTACCAAATATTTGTTAAATAAAAATGAATAAATATCATTTCCCCAGAACAGAACAGTTGCTGCAGAACTGTTTTGAATGAATGGATAAATTTATGAACCACATCCTGCTACAGCAGAAATGAGCTTCGAGCTGATTTGAGCAGTGTGAGACAATCAGACTATGTAAGTTTATAATACAGTCTAAATACTTTTTTTAAAAACTTTTTCTTTTCTTTTTTCCTTCCTTCCTTTTTTTACATGCTGTTAGTAATTAAATTCCCAATTATATATTTGCCACGTGTATGCTCAACATGAGATGACATTTTAATCACCAGTGTACATAGATAACCAGTGAATTTATTTTTATTTTTATTTTTTTTTTTTTTGAGACAGAGTCTTACTCTGTTGCCCAGGCTGGAGTGCAGTGGCGTGATCTCAGCTCACTGCAACCTTCGCCTCCTGGGTTCAAGCAATTCTCCTGCCTCAGCCTCCTGAGTAGCTGGGATTACAGGCATGTGCCACCATGCCCAGCTAATTTCTGTATTTTTAGTAGAGATGGGGTTTCACCATATTGGCCAAGCTGGTCTTGAACTTCTGACCTCAAGTG
Organism: Homo sapiens; assembly: GCF_000001405.40. Lineage (NCBI taxonomy): Eukaryota > Metazoa > Chordata > Mammalia > Primates > Hominidae > Homo > Homo sapiens. Next base: position 107,317,870 of record NC_000008.11, read on the forward strand.
ATCCACCCACTTTGGCCTCCCAAAGTTCTGGGATTACAGGCATGAGCCACCGCGCCTGGCCAACTAGTGGTTTTTTAATAGTCACAGTAACTGATTACTCTCCCCTGAAAGATTCCAAACCTTGTTTGTATGCCTTATTAATGTAAATTACTTAATTCCAGCAAATATTTAATTTTGGTAATTTTGAATTGCCAAAAACATGAAGCAATAGGCTGAGCTTTGACATTGTGATAACACTGAGGGCAATATTTCTTTAGTGGATAATGTTTCTAAGAATAAATGTGGCCCAATGTTTGCAGATGAAGGTTAGGCAAAAATAAATGTGTTACTCAGAAGCCTTACAAAGTGGATGCAATTCAGTTTGAATTGACTATTTGCCTAAGACACCATTATTGTCTATTAGGAATAAGAAGAGGAAAGTTTGGTGAATTATTTCAGATAATGTGTTTATTAGTTGTCCTTCTTAAAAGTATCTCACAACATCAGATGTGTTAGTAGAAAAAGTGCTGTGAAACTAAACAAAAGCACTCTCTGAATGCAAAGATAGATTTACAGTTTCTGGATCAAACAAATGTTTGGGAAAAAAAGTACATGTCTAGCCAACACTTCCTAGGAATTCTTTATCATATAACTTTAATGCATTATAGGCATTTTAGAAGGCACTAAAATAAAGATAATTACGATTATTTTAATGTTGACTATGACTTAACACAGAAGCTATGCGTTTTATACTAACCTCTTTTAATATTTCAACATTTAAGAAATTAATTCATTTACTTGTTTATGTATGTATTTATTCTAGGCCCTCTATTTCTTTTTTAAATTTGAATTTTTTAATGACAAATAATAACTGTATATATTTTTGGAGTAAAACGTGATGTTTTGGTACATGTATACACTGCAGAATGATCAAGCTAATTAACATATCCATTACCTCACATACTCGTCATTTCTTTGTGGTCAGAACATTTACAATCCACTTTTTTGGCAATTTTGAACTACATAATTGACAAAAGTTGTATATATTTATGGTGTACTACATACCTACCGGGTAGATATTATGATCCCATTTTAGAGATCAGAAAATGGAGGCCAAAAAAGCTGCCTGGATGACTGTCAACACTCAAACACTCCGGGGCATTGTATTTAAACATTTTCTGCAGAGGAAGTTTTGCTTATAAAGCACATAATGAATGTACTTAACTGAATCTTGTCCATCGAAGGAGAAAGAAGAAACTAAAGTTTAATGAATCAACTGTGTCTTCAGCAATGGGATCTTCGCTTGTATATTGAGCATCTAATGTAATTCTTTCCCTATTGTGGTGAAATAGACAGAATTCTCCTGACTTTATACATGATGAGACAGCTTCCTTAAGGTTAAACTGGTTGCCAATGACAGGGGAAGCTCATTAACATTTTTTTAGTCTGGCCTTGCAGTATTATATTCAGGCTGTCTCCACAGATTAGTGGGTCAGATTGAAACCAGAAGACCTTTTAGGGTCAATTAAAATGTTTGGCTTTTTGGATGACGACACAGCTCGTGTTTTTTAAGATCTTGTAGAATACCTATATTTGAGCTTTAAAATGTACATTTTAGAATATTTGATGCGTTTATTCTGGTATGCTTATTTTGAAATATTTGCATATATATAAATTTATAAGTAAAATATTTACATATAATCCTTCAATAAATAATAAATTTATATGATATATAAATTTTGGTCATAAAACAAAGAAAGGCTTTACCCATGTGTTTTAGAATTTGAATAAAAGTTCATTTTAATAACTGATATTCAATCTAGTATTATGCTATTAGCCATTTAAAATTTTAAATTCACCATAGCCAACGACTAAGGCTCCAGTGAAAATAAAGATATGCAGACAATGAAAATCTTCATAAAAACCTTATGAGAGCCACTTTCCACTTTTGTGTCTCTTATGAGTTCTAAAAGTAACTAAATATTTAGTTAGAACGCTTAACAGTAAGATTAAAGAAAAAAGAGATTAACAAGAAGCAAATAAAATCTATGGTCATGACAGCAGAGAACCTATTGGAAAATTAGGCAATCACCTTAAATTAAGATGGCAAATCCTGTAGTTAAATCAAGATTCATTTCAGAGTTTTGTCATTAAAAAGAAAAGATATCTAGAGGCCTGGAATATTTAGACAAATTCAGTTTCTATGATTATTATTACTATTTTTGGATATACTACATCATAGAACAGACACAGTTACTTTTTTCACTTCCTGAATGGCTATGAAGGGTACCATCTATCATGGCTATCCTCATTTTTCAAAAATGTTTCTTAAATTGAACAGATGTTTGCTTCCCTGATATTGCGCCCAAAGTTGAAACCTAGCCAGAATGTTTACTTCTAAAGTCACATCCTCTTCCTCTAAAAGCTTAAAGACACATTTATTAGGCAAATACTCAGAAAAGAAGTTAAATTATGATAAGTACGCAGACATATGAGCTCTGTGAGAATCACTAGGGCTTGACATCCCTAAAATCATGAAATAAAAACCACTATTCCACTCCATGTGCTTTAAGTCTTAGGATGATAAGAAAAATGTGTTTTCAATCTTTCCCAAAATGTATTCAGCTCAATATGAGAATAGATATAACTTGTATTAATACTTAATCGTTAAATACTCATGAGTTCTATTAAAATTCTCTGGCAAAATACTACCATGCTTTCCTTCCAGTGGACTCTAACTCAAGATTTTGGCAGAGTCTGACTGATTAGCAGGCTTTTCCCTTCCCAACCACATTACTGAGCACACCCAAATGGAGCTCTGGGAACTCACTGTTTAAAAAATATTACTTTACAAAGCATATTAAAGGCTTGTTTAGACTATCTAAAGGAGATATAACTCGAGGTAATGGAGTGTAATAGAGAAATATGAAATGTCTTTAAAACAAAATCACTTAATATGGAGTTATCTTCCCTATTCATAACTATAGATGAAAGCATGAAATTGAACAAATTTGTCACATAGCTCAAATCCACTTTTAAATTAAAGGAGCCTCCCCATGTGTACATTGCATATGCTCACTGAACCACTTCATGAATGGTCACATAAGCCACAGCTTAATAACAACAACTTGCAGATGTAAGTGGTATTCTCTTTCACTCATCACCATTTACAATTCCATCTTCATTCAGAGAAAGGCTGATTAGAGAAATACAGAAGATGACTTCAAGTTCCAAACTTTGAAGAGCTCTACTGAGGCTCACTAGAGGTTCTGCTTGAAGGAAACAGGTGCAAGCAGAGGCATTCATTCAATAATTGTTAGGTGGATGGATGGATAGACAGATGTATGCCTTCTAAAGAAATACAGGGTTGTAGATATTCCCAAAGGTTCAATGACTCCAGACATTCTAGTGATATCAAAAATTTGTATCTCCACTGTCACAAAGATACCCCAGAATTAATGAACTTAAATACCCTGATTAAATCTATCCTGCACAGGACTAAGCACAAGTGATCTTAATAAACATTTTTAATAACAATAATCCTGCCTCACTCATAATACTTGTTTCAAATAGTCTGTCTCCGTTTCTCTGCAACCCACAATTTCCTACCCCATTCCCTTTAAAAGGAAATAATAAATATTCATTTAAAAATGGAAATCCTCCTGAAACTCTCCCAGCACTATGAACTAATTTTTAACATTGGCTCATCTCTGTCCTATATATAGTTAAGTGTCTAACACCATAATACCAATTATTTATTCACGACAGTATCACAGATTTTATCTAAGGTTAAAAGACAAAGAAAGAAGAAATTAGAAAGCTCTTTCAGAAAGACATTGTGGATTCACAAATTTAGGCTTATGAATACATTCTCCAGGTAGAAACATGAGAAAATTATCAACATAACTTCATAAATGATTCTAACCATAAAGTTCTTCTGCTATTTTTTACACAGCAATCAATGCACTGTAGAAAGCTATATTGAGTATTTACTTGATCAAAGGAAATAAAATATTAACAATACCAAAGTGAGGAAGACATTCTTACCACCTTCTTTAGTGCAAAGATTGACAAGGTTGTGGACTGTGTCCATCAGCTCCAGTTGCTGCTTCTGAAGGACACTGTTGTTGGTGGTAGCTCTGTTTAATTGCTTTTCCAGCTCCTGGATTATATATGTTTGACGAGTAACCAAGCCTTGAAGGTTCTCTTTCTCTTCCTTTAAGGTGTCCAACTCTTCCTTGTGTTTTCCTTCCATTTCTAAGATTTTATGTTCTAATAAACTACAAGGAAGTGAAAATAAAACTTAGATTTGAAAAAATGTTATACAAAAAAACCCTTATAATTCAATTGGTTCCTGAATTTATTTAAGATGAGAAATTTTACATTTCACTGTAAAAATATTTTTAAGTGAGAGACTTAAGAATATGTATTCTTCAGAATAGGAGTTACACATATAACATGTCAAATAAAAAATAAGTAAACCAGATATTGTCAGAGTAATGTTTGCTTTTAACTATGATTTAGTTTCTTGGTTTCCTTGGGTGTATCTTATATCCAAGGTAGCTAACTTACACCCAAATAGCTACACTCTAAAGAAGTTATAGTATAACTTTCACTAAAGAAATGGGCCTAAGAGGAAACAGAATAGTTCAGGAAAAAAACAAACAACACGTAGAAACTACTTTTTATTCACTTTGCTTCATTTATTTGGGGTTTTCAAAACGTTAACATTGACTAAATTTCACGATAGTTCTGTGGGATCAAGAATAGTATATTGACCATCTGCAAAATCAGAAATAAAGAGAAAAATATGAAATAATCAGAAACACAAAGGTTTATGTACAATGACATTAAGAAAGAAAAAAATCTCTTATTTTGAAACTGTTGAAAATATTTTTAATCATTTTAAGGATATTAGAAAATGCTCAAAATATGTTAGGTGAAAAAAGAAAAAACAGCAATATACATTCTCAATCACACACACATACAAAAAGAAAACTATATTGACACAGAAACCACAGGAGCCAAAAGTGATCTATCTAAAGTCACAATGAATTCTTGTGATTTTTGATAACTGGTCCTGTATCATAACCACTAGCTTCCTTTATTTCTCAACTCAAGCTTCAGGATGAGGCTTAATGACACTACAAGTTCCCAAGTCACTGTATAAATGGTAACAAAAGGAAGACTCCCTTTGGCTGATGGTATGGTCTTCTGAAAGGAGTTGGGATGCTTTGCTCAGAGTGTTGAAATCTTTAACTGAGGCCCTTCCTTCTCCCTGAGCTCTTTATAGGATATTCCCCTTGTATATTGCACATTAAAAATGATAGAGAAAGCAGAAGCATTTTTGGAGCCTACCAACTGACTGGAAATAAAAAGCATTAACATTTTATGGAGTGTCTAATATACTAGTTTTCCTCCGGGGAAAGGCTTACTCGGTTTTCTCAGTTCTGTTTTCAGAAGGTTCAACCCGTCCTTAGTTTACAAGGTGTTATTAAAATGCCACATACCAGAATGGGCACTTAATTTACCTTGGAGAAATACAGCACTGAATCATTCCTTTCAAAAAGGGGACACTAGGGAGTGTTTTAGATTCAATACTTAAATTATAAAATAGAGCATGTTTGAAGAGCCAAATCTTCCAACACCAGGTACTGGGGGACAAAGTGTAACATCTGATTGTCTTTTACACAGATTAAGAAGTGTGGGTCCAAGGCTTAAATGGCATAAAAGACTGTGAGGGAATCGAGAGAAGTCCATGTGGCAGAAGCTGTGCCATCCTGGTAGATGCCAGAAACCTTGTGGATGGATCAGCATGGTAGATGGTGATGATGATGTCAATCATACTAGTCATGATACCTCTCATTTATGACATGGTTGCTATGTGTCAGGTACTGTTTTTTTGTTTTGCTTTTTGTTGTTGTTGTTTGTTTGTTTTAAGACAGAGTCTTGCTCTGTCGCCCAGGCTGGAGCACAGTGGCGTGATCTTGGCTCAATCTCTACTCACTGCAAGTTCCGCCTCCTGGGTTCACGCCATTCTCCTGCCTCAGCCTCCCGAGTAGTTGGGACTACAGGCGCCTGCCACCATGCCCAGCTAATTTTTTGTATTTTTAGTAGAGATGGGGTTTTGCCGTGTTGGCCAGGATGGTCTCGATCTCCTGACCTTGTGATCTGCCCGCCTCGGCCTCCCAAAGTGCTGGGATTACAGGCATGAGCCACTGTGCCCGGCCAGTGTCAGGTACTGTTTTAAGTGGTTGTTACGAGTTCAATTATGGCCTGCCCATGCTTGCCCCCCAGCCAAAAAAAAAAAATATGTATATATATATATGTGTGTGTGTGTATATATGTATATATATGTATATATATATGTGTGTGTGTGTGTGTGTGTGAAGTCCCAACCTCCAGGAAGTCAAGAATGTGGCCTTATTTAGAAACAGATTCGTTGCAGATGTAATTAGTTAAGATGAGGTCATCCTGGAGGAGGATGAGCTTCTAATCCACTATGATTGGTGTCCTTATAAAAAGGGAAAATGTTGAGAGACAGATCAGATGTGCACACAGGGAAAAGGTTGTGTAAAGATTGGAGCACTGCTGCCTCAAGCCAAGGAACTACTGGCAGGTAGGAGAGAGGCCTGGAACCGAGTCTTCCCTAGGGCCTTCGGAGAGAGCCTAGCCCTGCAGGCACCTTGATCCTTGATCTGGGACTTTCAGCCTCCAGAATATTCAGAGAATACATTTCCATTGTTTAGAAGAAGAGGAAGAGGAAAAAGAAGTGTGGCCAGAACTACTCCTGGGCATTCCAAATCTTTGCCAACAAACTTGTACTCGAAGAATATGGCAGGAAAGCTGCCTGTGAAGTCAAGCCTGAAAAATACCTGAGGCTGCTAAGACTCTACTAATTTATAATACCTTTAGTAGTGTGCACACATTCACATAAGAAAGTTTCTCATTGAGACCCATTAGCAGAAACTGTGTGACTTCTGCAGTAGAAGTCCCATTTCTGTTTTGAATTGCTTTCATTCTACCAATACCAAGAGAGAAAGGAGCCCTGCCCTGCACCGATCATAAAGTAAACCCAATTTAGATAGAGCTTGGGTACAGTAATATAGGGAAACTGTGATGATCACTTATTTTTTAAAAATTCTTTTGGAAATGAAAAACTTAGGCAAGGTAAGCAGTGTAAGATGAAAAACAACATCTGTAAGGGGTAGGTATGATTCATCTTCTTTTACCATGTTATTTTTCTTTGCCAGTAACTTTTTGTTGGAGAAGTTCGTGGTAAAACACAAACAAAAACAAAAAACTTCTTCACTATCTTTATTGGTTAAAAGTTTCATCCCACCTACTGGGGTAGGCGTCAAAGGAGATCTTCTCTGTGCCCATTAATTTTTGGCCTTTAGATCTGAGAATTAACCACGACCAGTGTCTTAGCTTATTCTCTGTTTACTTTTTATTTACTTTTCTTGCTAGTCCTGGGGTAATGATCAGAGGCAAGATGCCCATAATTTAGAGTTGTTAACTTATAAGAAAATTGCCTTTTAAATTCATAGGCGTTATAGTCTACTAGTGAGAAAACTTAGCATTACCTATTAAACTGGCAAGCATGTAGATATCAAAATTTGAACGTTATAGTCATATAATACTGGATAAAAATTCTGAATTACCATTTTGTACTTGAAATAAGATGGGCACTGGCCTTTCAGTTTTCCTAATCAGTAGGTAACATTCTGGTTTGGAAAATATCATGCTATAGTTATAATTTGTATTTATTAGTTGCTAAGTGCCAATAATTCTGTAAAATATAAAATGACACTATTCTTACTCTAGGGTTTATTTTTAGAGAATAAAAACCTCAAATGAAAATGCAGAAGCTAAAAGAAACTTCTGTTTCAGACATAATACTTTTTTTTTAAATTTTTGCATCAGTGTTTTTCTGTTTATTTTTGATGTATTCCTTGTTCAAGCGGACATATGCGCAGAGATAGCTGCTATCTGAGATGTCAGTAAAGAAGGTGGGCTTGTTTGATTTGTTTTGTTTTTCAGGATAACTTGGAAAGAGCTGAGAATGGAAAGTAGATCAAAGAAGTCCTGGTACTAAAGGAAACAATTCTGGACACTGGCTTGTGGAAAAGATCTGCTTTTCTGAGTAAAAGGAATACATAATATGTATAATATATAATATAACGCACATTAGCACGTTAGACAGAACATTAATTTTCATAATTCATCAGACAACCTTTAATGCTCCCTTACTAGCAGGTATCAAAAGATACCCATATAGTTTGTCATCTTAGAATAGACAGTGCATGTAATGTGAAAAAGAGACTGTCCATGGAACTAAGAAGGCTACTCTACAGCACAGACATTCCACAGGATTTGGAAACCCAAGTAATATGCATAACAACTACAAGCAAATTGGAAACATGTTACATTGTTTCTCTAATGGCAAGTCTTACCAGTTAATTATCTCTTCTCATCATTTTCTCATCACATTTCTTCACTTGGAGCGCCCTTAATAACATTTGTACTTCAGTAATTATCTACCAACTTTATTTATTAGGGACATTTTTCATATTAATGACAACTTTTTAGACTTCTTCAGGCAAGACTGATCTCTTCTTGACCCTTCCATTTCTTTTGACTACACTCATCCCCTTTTTTCATCTTCTCTTCATATTTGGCTTCCAAAAGACTGCTCTCTTCTCTTTGATTCCTCCCATTTATTGGCTAGTATCTACTTTGGAAGTCAGCCCTTCCTTGTCATTACTTCCAAAATGGTTTCAATGCAAACCTCACTTGCCAGAAAACTCCATATACCATCTCTACTTATTATCTTATTCTTGTAACACACCATTATAGTTATATAGCAATTTGAAACCTTTATCTCCTTTGATTCTTAAAGCAATATAGTAACATAGAATGAGCAGATGTTACAGACCCTCATGGATAGGTAAGAATCAAATGTTTTCTTCAAAATCATGCAGATATTAAGTGTCAGAACCAGGAATAAAAAGCCATGTCTTCTAAGTTGTTAGACTGGAAATCTACTCAAGACATCCCACTGCTGTGTCAATGAACATCCTATAGTCTCATCTCTTTGACTTAACACACTATAATCTCTTCCTATTCCTTTTATTCATCATGTTATACCAGGAACCAAGGCACTGCCTTCACATATCCTTAATATTTGCTGCTCTCCATTTAGTTGTTCTGGGAGCTTATCCTTCACAATATTTGAACCTGTTTATCTTTCCCACGTATAAAAACAGAATTACTTTGTCAAGTCGATTTTTAACATCTGGACTAGAATTTTCTTAAATACTACCCTGTCTTAATACCTCTTCCATTAAATTTATGTGTTAATTTTAATTATATTGTTAATATACTGCTCATATTTCATTTTGTCCCTGAAGCCTTTCATTGATTCTTTACTATTTTCGTTATCCAGGTCCGTTGGGAGTGGCCACCTCAGCTAGCATGGGGATCTTTATATAGAGAGGTTGATATGAAGGACAACACTGCAGCCCCAGTGTCCTAAAGTTAGATAGTCAAAGTAGTCAGATTTTCCCTGATGACAGTCTCAGCTACATGTTTAGCTTAGGTTTGCATTTTAAACACAAAACCTGGATGGTTACTGAACACCAGTGCACTGTTTCCTAGAGCATATTCAGTATGTTCTTTGAAGCAAAATAAGAGTTTCATTGTTAAGATTTAGGGAGGCCTATATTAAACAAACAGTTTTTATTAAGATGCTTCTTTTAGGATTAGGGTTCCATGGAACAACACTTTATGAAACCATGCACCTAAATCTATACAAATTGAGCTAGAAATCCAAGGAGAGAGTTTCTCACAGGAGTCTTAGGACTTCCTGTTTCCCGTCTTTCTGGAAACACTTTGAGAAGAGACATGCATAGAATTCTGGCACTTAGCTTCTATTTGAGGCAGAGGTGCACTTTAATGAATAAAATAAACAAAATAATCTGTGCCTCGAACTTTAGTAAAAGGTTCTAAATGAGTGTACAGCAAGTCCTATTTGAAGTTTCTGGTAGACTTCTCCATACCCCTGTTTTACACTGCCTTCTCCAACATCTTATTGGAAATATTTCAAATCATTGAACATATCTTGAAGCTTTCACAGAAAAGGATATCCCTTTCAAATTGTTTCCCACAATAGAGTTCTTAACATAGCAGCCAATGAATTCACAGTGGTGACAGTTGCCTAAGCTCTATGAGTATAAATATAGCCCTTCAAACAAGGAGGAAGATGTTGAAAATATAGAAACCTCATTTTTATCTGTCTGAATCTATTTACAGATGTTCCAATATTTTCCACTATTTTCAACATGTATGGTGTCAACATGTGTTGCAAATATGGGTTTGTAAAGAGTAATTTTTCTCCCCATTTAAATACACACAGATTTAGTTCAGGTTAAATTTATACTTTACGTGTCTAATTGGAATGCAATAAATTTCCTCTCAAAGTCTGAAATCATATTTGTTTGGAAATTCAAATTTGGAGTAGAAGCATAGATACTATAAGTAAATATTGGCAAATAAATGTAAAGTTTGGGGTAAAGAAGAATAAGCTAAATGTATTATAAAAACCAGCAACTAAGAAAAAAAAAGATTGATACATTTCATAACACAGAGATGTAATGTTTCTATTAAAAAATAAGTTGGACAATAAATAATAAACTAGAGAAAATTTTGTAACATATATTACAAAGTTTTAATATCCATTAAAGAGCTCATATGAGTTAATTTAAAAAAGGATAAACAATATAGTAGAAAAAATGTTAAACATACGTAAATAGGCTAGTATGTAGTCACAGAAAAAGAAATCTAGTCACAGAAGAAATGCAAATGGTTAATACACACAAAAACATGCACAACTTAACTTCTGAAGAAGCCGAGATTAATTAGATGGCTAGCAAAGTTTTGGGAAATTTGAAAGCCCAGGTACTCTTAGGGAGAAGGTAAAATGTGAAGATAACTTGTGAATATCTATAAAAAATTTAAATTATCACATCACTAATTATAGTTTTGATAAATTATATATCTATTAACATAAATAATACTTATAATAGGTTATAAATTATAGTGCATCTATAAAAATAGATTGCTACTCATTCTTGAAAATGAATGAGGTATATCTGTTTATGGTTATATGTGTAATATATGTATGACAAATTATTATGAAATAAATAGTAGAAAAAACCCCAATGATAAAATAATCTACACATATATGCACATATCATATAAACAAGTACTTGTGCATGTGTGCAATTATATATGAGTGTACATCTGTGTAAACACACACATAAATATGCACACTCTATATATACACATATGTTAGTATGTTTAGAGAAAACATCTGGAAGAGTAAGCACTGAATTTAATCTCTTAATGATGATTCTCTGCTAGCAGGTGGTATGGTGTAGGGGTGTGGAATTAGGGGAAATTTGACTTACAACTGTATATGCATGTATATAATTTAATATACATGTATATACAACAAGTTTGTCTTACTTGTTTTTATTTATCATAGAAATGGAGGAAACAGTCATAGGTCTAGAATGGCCTGTGCAAATGCTATCCAGAAATTTTAAAGGTGGGCTGAATTAGTGAACCTCAGAGTATACAATAGTAACATTGAGTGCCATGCAATGGGCTTTTGACAATGCAGAATAGTGGTGTAAACACGATCTCTATTTTATTCATGTTGAAAACGATAAATGGATTTACAGTATTTAATGTAAACAATATGATTTGTTTTTTCCACTATAAGTATTTTTATTAGTTGTGTGTGTGTGTGAGTCTTTGTGTGTGTGTGAGTCTCTGTGTGTCGTATGGATAAATGGCATTTGTTGGGTTAGAGCTATTGGGACATTTCCCAGTTCCTTATTCATTTAGCATTCAAAATGCATTTAATACTAAATATGCTTATGTGTAGAAAATTGTGCCCGGGAGCAGGAAGACAATGAAAATAAAACACATTCTCTGTGTCCTAGAAGGTCACAGCCTAATAGTATGGATATAGATAAATAAACATGCACACACAGAAACATACATATATTATAATGTGATCAGATAAGTGAAATTATGGGGAGGAAACAGGTACAGGGCTATCACATAGGTCATAATGAGCAAATCTATCTGGTAGAGCCAGAGACGGACTGTTAGAGAAGCTGACACATGCAATGAGTTTCCAAGGATGAACAGAAATTTGTGAGTTGAATAAGGAATGTCAGGCAAACATCAAATATGTCTGAAATAACATCATGTGTTCAGTGTCATACTAACAACTAACATGATTAAACACTGCTGCTCATGTCAGGCACTGTTCTCAGTGATTTACACACATTAACTCAATCTTCATCTTAACTTCATACAGTACAATTATTGTCATTGTTATGTTACAAATTAGGAAACCAAAACACATAGAGTCTATGTAAGTTGCACAAAGTCACACAAATAATATGTGACTTAGTCGATTATCCCAGGAATCAAGGAAAAGTGAAACCAGGCAGTCTGGCCTCAGAGCTCATGCTCTTAACTATTAGCGTGTATCCTCTAAAAAATAAGATTATTGGAAGTAAGTCTGCAAAAGTAAGATTATAGTGATCATGGACTGTATTGTGTGCTAAAGAACTTGAACTCTCTTCTATCAGTTATAGAGAATTGTCATTTGGTTGAGAGGGAATTAATAGAGGAAAATAGTCTGACTTGCATTTTAGAAAGAAGACTTTGGCACAGCTTCTGGATAAGGACTGGAGTGGCACATAGCTTAAACCCAGAGGTCACTGCAGTGGCCTAGACAAGAATTCATGGCAGCTTGACCTAAGACATAGTCAGTGGGAATGGAAAGGATGGGACGGATTAGAAAAATATTTAGAAGATGGAATTGATAGCATCAACAGTGACTGGTGAGTTGTGGGGGATTAGGGAAAGAGAAGAATTAAGATGAGCCTTAGATTTCCAATTTGATCAGAATTGTATTTCATGCCAAGATACTACGGTTATTATAATTTAAAAAAAGGAAAATGCTATATGCTATTAAATATTATTTTAAAAATTAACAGGGAAAAAAGGTAACATTCTAGTATGTAGGTGTTCTATTTACAAGAAAAAGACTAGAATAATATAAATTCAAAAAGTCACCTTTTTTATCCTTGTTATAAACAACTAATATAATTCAGCCTAGTTTAATGTTAGAAGTTAGCAAGTTACTTTAGCATTTTGTAAATAATTTATCAAATGAAAGATAGCTTTAATTTAAAAGACTATGATTTCATTTTTCATTTCTTTAGGCATATTAAGCATTAAATATCAATACTGTATTTTATTGCAATAATTAGTAAGGCATAATTTGGTATCTTGAAGTTGCACATGTTTCAATCACTTAAAATTAATTAACTTAATAACTTCCCATAACTCCAGCTAGAAGATAGATGAGCATGTCAAATAAGTTCAGTGAATTCCCAAGGTAAAATAAATAGTTTATATCTTCTGCTCTAATATTAGAAGGACTAAATAATGACCTATATAGTGACAGGCCAAAAACAACTGGTCTACCCCTTTCTTCAAATGAATATTTGTTTGTTTTAAGAGAATAACTTGACAACTACATCAATTATACTTGAGGCCTCATCACATTGCAAAAATATTTTTATAATAATTAAGGCAGAGAATCACCATGAACTTGAACTCTAATTTTGCCATATCCTTAGCTGTTTGGTCATAAGCAACTTACTTGATTTCTGTGAGCCTCAGGGCTTTTTTTAAGTGTAAAATAGAAATAATAATACATACTTTGCAGGATTGGTTGGAGGATTGGAAATAGTAAGTTAAAGCACCTGGCACAGATGTTTACCTTGTACTAGTAGCTATGCGGCAGCTAGTATTGCTCAAACTATGTAGGAATGGCCATCACATGTCTCGTTTCAGTTCACTCTGAACGGTCTTACTGAAGACTTCCTTAATCTTCACTCTGCATACTCAGCACAATCAAGAAAGCCCGTGTGCTCCGTCTTTGTATACATGGGGTTTTGATTTCCCTTCCTGTATACCCTGGTGAGACAGAAGGGCTCCTTCTGGAATATTCTTTAGCCTGGCTTTGCTTCCGCCTTGCAAAAAGTTGGGGTTAAGTCAGAGATGGGCGGGTGCTGGGAAAACTGGCCAGTTGACCAAACCTTTCGACTAACAGACCCAGTCACATATTTGGTTCAACTGAAGGAAACTGCATTAGGACATCATTTCCTGTACACCTCTATTCCATTGTTTTAGAAAGCAGTAGGAAACATACTGGAGGAAACTAGTGAAAGTTTACATTTTGTGTCCTACTTTGTGTTCATCTCACTCCCTTTGTGGGCAAGGTAAAATATTAATGTTTCCCATTTACTTAGGTTCTTGGTTGTGTAATTCCAATTATATGGTTGAGTTACAGATTCCTTACTCCCAAGTGTTGTTTCTTTGAGGTAAGAAACAAAACCAGGTTTTAAGTTTCGGGTAGCATCCAACAAAAGAAAAACATATTGCCTAAAGAGAGCAAACTGGAAGCTTTTTAGAGTGACTCCCTCTGGACTGTTAGGAAAACAAACAGCAGAGCAAACGTTGCTAATCCTGTTTCTGCTTTGTGCTTCTGGCCATGTAGGGGATAGAGAAGTGAATCTCATGAGGCCAAAAATCCATTTCCAATCCTACAAGTGATGCATTTAATTTGTCAGGATGTAAATCAGCAGGACCTCTCAGCATGTTTGTGTAGTATAATCCTAACCATAAAATATTCCTCCTCATTTTGCCAAAGCAGTGGTGGACCTTCCTAAGGGCCAGCTCACTGACTTGGCGGCTGAAGCCCCATCTTACTCAAACCTGGTAAGTCCCACACCCAGACACAACCCCTGACATTCCTTGGGGAGGAAACAAAGCTTAATTTAGATAATCCCCCCTGCAAAGTGTATTAGCTGATCCAAACCAGACCTGACCAACTAAAGGCATGTTGTTGCTGCATTTCAGAGATGCCTTAATGTAGAAATAGCTTCTTGTTGCATTTGGAGGATTAAGATTCATATAAGGAATAACCAGTGGTAATCGATAAACTATTTTTTTAAAACATAAACAGCTTCATGCTTGACTTTGAACCTCTCTCCACTTAAATAGGAGGAGCACATTTCTTTGTTGCAATATAAATTGCCTGGCAGAGCTCCCCTAATTCCATTGCACATATGAAAATAAACAATAACAATAAACAGAATAGGGAAAGTATGCTATGTATCACAAATGGGTATTTTTTATTTGTATAAAGAAAAACACTTCTCTTTTTTTTAAGTTGTTTATGGAAGACTATGTCTAATTTAAGAACAGATGTTCTGCCAATACTCCATCACACACATTAGGCCCTTAGACAAGAAGATAGACAGATAACTATAGAGATACAGCAATACCAGGAGGCATAGAAATTGATAGAAAAATACCCCAGAACCACATGTGAGATAATGCCATACTTGAGGGGTCCACTGTCGAAAAAGAAAGAGATGTGGAATGGAAGTGTAAGATGCATGCAGGTTTTTGTCTGTGTGAGCACAGAAATGAATTTCCAATTAAAACCCAAATCTCTGAATTTGTAGTGAAATACCTATATTACTAGAAAAGGAAATTGCTATAATCCTGAAAAAATTAACATTAGCAATAAATGATGTGATTTACACGTGTAAGAAAACCTGAGTTTTCTGTTGAAATTAGAATTTAATGAGAGGGGAAAGTTCATCAGCAGAAGGCACAAATATGTTTGGGATCAGAAGTCAGATTCCTTTGAGATACTGAAGTGCATGGAAGCCCCTTCTACCTGACCCAGAGTGGAGCTCTTTTGAGAGCTTGCACCCTAACTCACTTTTACTGATAGAGCAGAGAGAACAACTTTAAAGCAGTTTGCCTTTAAAATATAATATTTCATAGTGAGAATTCTATAGTAGGAAATGATACCAGATGCTGCATAAAAATCATGATGGGAAGACAAGAAAATCTGAAATGATCCAGAATTAAGGTAGAAAGGATACATTTTTAAGAAATAAAGAGAAAGAAAGAAAGAAAGAAAGAAAAAGAAAGAAAGAAAAGAAAGAAAGAAAGGAGGGAGGGAGGGAGGGAGGGAGGGAAGGAAGGAAGGAAGGAAGGAAGGAAGGAAGGAAGGAAGGATGGATAAATATGAGAAGGAGGGAAGAAAAGAGAAAGAGACAGAGTACCTGAGTACAAGTGGTGCATAAGGATGGCATTTGTTTTGCAGTTAGGGAGGAGACTTTTCAGGCCTCCCAGTTTATGTTATGGTATCATGACAGCTCAAGGGTCAGATACAGACAAAGATATAATATGCAGATCAGTAGGGAAAAACTAAAGAATGTAAATTCATGCTGGCAACTCTTTCAGAAATAAATCAGGTGGTAACATAACTACTGAGAGATGGATTCAAACCACCTTAGGTTATACCAGTAAAATGAAATATGCAGTTATTAAGAATATTAGAGAATATTTTATTAATGTAAAATGACATCTATCTCCAAAGAAGTCAGACTTCCAGACTGTGTGTAAGGTATGACAGAACTTTTTGTGAAAATGATATTTATATATAAAATGCAGCAAAATATGCAGCTCTTTCTGTATGATAAAGCTGTGGTTTTTAATTTTCCTGTGTGTTTTTTTTTGTCCTTATGCTATAATAAACGTGCTATTGTATAATTATAAAACCAAACGACGACTCAGAAAAATAAGGGAAAATTGTCATCGTTTTACTTATCCATGATTCCTGGGCAAAGCCTTCACAAATAGCATCTTGAAATATGACTGTAAATGTGGTTCACTTTTGGTGACAAAATTAAACCATAAAGGGGTGACCCTAGATTAAGGGGTGGTTGAAGCATACCTATTACATACATGTATAGGTCTGGTTACTGTGAAATTGCAGGAGAATAAATGGTATATTTCAACAGGATTGTTAGTTCTAGAACATTTAATCATGCAATAAGGGTCAAGTCCTGTCAAGTTTATTTGTAGTTATACAGCTAACCCCATGTCACAGTACAAGGATAAATAAATGTAACACTTAGAAATACAAGTCATACAGCATGAGTGACCCCTTTCAGATTCTAAACCAACAGCCAGGTTTGTATTTTTCATGCAGAAGTTTAATTGTAATTGTTGCATTATGCTCTACTTTTAGCATGAAGTTGGGAAATTCTTTTAGTTTGTAGATAATATGAAGAGGCCATGTGTTATAGTGGAAAGATCCTGACACCTAAATTACATTCCAATTTCGGCCACTAGCAAGTTGTGTGACCTTGGACAGGTCACTGCCTTCCACTGAGTCTCTGTTCCCTCACTTGTAAAGAACAGAACTAGCAGTCCTCTTAGGTGCCTTCCTGGTGTGGAATATAAAGGGAACTCTAGTGCCACCAATTCAATGGCATTTAACCAGTTTCTATCAATACCATGGTCTTCACCTCAATATTATGCATAGGAACTGAACCTTCTTCAAGTTATCTAGATACCCCGAAGAAAAATCAATGTAATGCAAGAAACTTGTCCTAAGGAAGTCAGTGTTTTGAATTGTTCATCATCAATGTTAATGACTTCAAAATAATACACTCTTTCATTGTCCCAGCATTCAAGATGTCTAAGTTCCAATTCAATCAACTGAAATGATTCATAATTTATAAAACAAGATGGTGTGATGACATCTATAAAGCTAACCAAAGAAATTTACTATGTCCAAAGTAAATGGCTGTAAATGACAACTAAAAAACCAAACCCTTGATCAGCTTTATAGGTAAATTATTTTCTAGAAAAAATATACATTTTCCTTCTCTCTAGTGCTATATTTCTGAATTCAAAAACGCTGTAGCTTTGTAAAAGCCTAAGAATTGGGGTTTGAGTAGGAATTTAAGAGGCTCTATTCTCTGTTGTTATAGGTTTTCATTCTGCTGAAAAATGTCAATATTTTATGTCACTTTATTTAGTCATAGAATCAAATTTTTGTAGATATGGTGAGATTTGAACTACTACCATTAGAGAAATTAATGCTAAAAGTTATATAAAGCAAATATTTCAAGAGTATCAGCAACAATATTAATTTATTCCTGACATACTAGCTGAATTTACCTTAAGCTCTCCTTTATTTTTATATTAATATTAATTTGGCTCTATATTTCATTTTTGTAAACCACCTCAACCTTATTTGTTTAAGAGTTGGCAGAGAGGTGAAGGATATAAATAAGTACACACAGAAACATTTTTGGAATAAAGCAATCCTCACCTGTTTTTTTCATGGATCTTCAAGATTTCATTTGTCTGTTGAAGAAGTTGCTTCTCTAGCTTGTAGGTGGATAATGAATTCTCCAGCAGCTGTATCTCAAGTCGAGAAGTTTGATTTAGTACCTTAAGATAAAAGATGAAAATATTTCAAACTTCAGTCACGAATCAAAGAACTTTTTTAAGTTTTATTTTGTCGTTAAATATTTTTTCAAGAATAATTTAACAAATGGTTTACCGCCGGGCGCAGTGGCTCACGCCTGTAATCCCAGCACTTTGGGAGGCCAAGGCGGGTGGATCACGAGGTCAAGAGATCGAGACCATCCTGGCAAACATGGTGAAACCCCGTCTCTACTAAAAATACAAAAACTTAGCCGGGCGTGGTAGCGGGCGCCTGTAGTCCCAGCTACTCGGGAGGCTGACGCAGGAGAATGGCGTGAACCCGGGAGGCGGAGCTTGCAGTGAGCCGGGATCGCGCCACTGCACTCCAGCCTGGGCGACAGAGTAAGACTCTGTCTCAAAAAAAAAAAAAAAAAAAAAAAAGGTTTACATTCTACTTATATTCTACCAACTAATGTTTTACATGCCTTTCAGATATTATTTTGGTTTGAGATTGAAATTGCAATTGAACAAACATATTGTGTTTTAGGACTTCTGTGTCCTAAAACCCTAGGATATTCTCCTGTGCTAGTTGCTTCATATATTTTATCTCCAATATCTGTAAGTGCACGTTAGTATTAAGTACAAGGTCTTAGATATTGTGAATAATTAAGAATAACTAATAGGCATGTAAAAGATACCTGCCTTGGTGGATCACCTGGCAAAAAACAATTAGAAATGTGCAAAATTCTCTTGACATAGTTTAGAAAGACTCATTATCACACATTTATAGAACGCCTATCACACTAGGTAATGCTAGCCTTTCCGGATATCATGACCACCTATCAAAGGAGAAATTGTTATCATCACTTTACAAATGAGAAAACTGAGCTTCAGACAGAAGCCCAAGTTCACACAGGAACCAAGGGAAGAGTGGGGTTTCAAACTCAGGTAGTTTTATTCTGATTCTGCTGCTTTGCAAAGAAAATTAAGGAGACGGTGAGTCAAACCAATCTGAGGAAATGAAATGACCCAGAACCCAGATTGTATGAGAGACAGATTGTTCTCATCCTTTCAACACCACTATTACTACTCTGGTGGTCCTCTAGAAACTGTGAAGGCTCAATTCATCTTGAATCACAATGACCCATGTGTCCAGCTGGGCCTTATTATGACATGAGTCTGTGAGCTGTGCACCTAAACCTATCATTCTCCAGGCAAAGAATGCACACTCCAGTCCTAGCAGATGCCTTCAAATTGTGTCAATGCCCTGTTCCTGACTCTTTCTTGTCCTTCCCTCTCTTTACTCCTTAAGGGAGGTATAAAACAAAGAAAGAAGATAAATTAATTTTAAAAGCTCCTCACATTATTTGAAACATTTTTTAACTACCACATCTTTCCTAAAACTGCTTATTTAAAAGGACCTGGAAATACTTCTGCCAGGTCAATATCAATGTAAAGTTCCTCTACAAATGATGCCATTAGAGCCGTCCTCCTTTTCTGCAGCGTCTCTAAATCTAGGATTACATCAGATGCACACAGAAAGTCTACTCAACATATACCAACAGGGCCAGGTGTGGTGGCTCACACCTGTAATCCCAACCCTTTGGGAGGCTGTAGCAGGTGGCTTGCTTGAGCTCAGGAGTTCAAGGCCAGCCTGGGTAACACGGCAAAACCCCATCTCTACAAAAACATACAAAAATTAACTGGGCATGGTGGTTTGTGCCTGTAGTCCCAGCTACTCAGGAGGCTAAGGAAGGAGAATCACTTGGGCCTGGCAGGCAGAGTTTGCAGTGAGCCATAATTATGCCACTGCACTACAGCCTGGGTGACAGAGTGAGACCCTATCTCAAAAAATAAAATAAAATAAAAAACAAAATACACCAATAGACCCTGGGCTGGACTTGGGCTACAGGAATTTGCAGGAGTAGGGGATGTATTTGAAGGGAGCAAGGCAGGAACTAGGCTGAGGTGAGAGAGGCAAATGCCTCAGTTGCAAAACTTAAAGGGGTGCCAGAAATCTCAGTAATCAAGGTAAGTAATATTTTAATGTAACATTTTTAAAATTTTACAATTAATTCAAGAAATCCACATTTAACAGAATATCATTTAAAAATAAAGACAGGATCTGATTCTGCACATGTATGATTTGGTCTGATGTGGTCTCACTTGCCTCACCCTACAGTCCTAGCCCCGCAAGGGGTGGAACAGGAGGGTGAGGAGGGGATGGGGCAGAGAATGGTGAGATGGAGCATTTATACTCTAAAAAAGTTTAAACTGCTATGACTCATTTATACAGTCATTAGTAAGGATCTGAAAGCCCGTCTAAAATGTACTACTACTAATCATATTCATGTTTGTAAAGGGTTTCAGCGTTTTAAAAAACATTTTTTCTATTCTGTATTATTTCATTTCAAAACAAACAATTTGAAGGTAGAGTTTGGAGTAGCTCAGTGGGGATAAATGGTAGAGAATATAAATATTGGAGATGCACAAGATATAACTTTCAACTATTAAACATATTATTGTCCAAGTAAGATTTGTATTTGTTTATTGAGTGACAATTTATAAAATAATGAAATAGGGAATGAAACACTTGTATGTTTTGGTGACATTTAGAACAAAGCTTGGCACAGAGACAACACTCAATATTTGTTTATGGATACTCAGTATTTGCTTATGAGGTACATTGTCTCACTAAATCAAGCATATCATATGCAGTTAAATGAAATCTATTTTCTTTCTTATTCGCCGTACTCTCTGATCACAGTTCCTGACATTCTCAGACACCAAAAATTTTAATTTCCAAAAGACAGTAAGTATTCTCCTCCATGTCCATTGAGAACAAAATGGAACCATTTAAAATTGAAAACAAAGCTGCCCATATCTCAGTCTGGAGACCACTACAGTTCCCAGTTTGTCTTCCTTCTCCTACTTGCCCTACCTCAAGTCTATTTGTCACACAGCATCCAGAGGGATCTTTTTGAACACATAAATCAGATCATGCCATCTCCTTTGCAACATGCTAATGGCTTCCCTTTGCAATTAGAATGAATTCCAAAGCCCTCAGCCTGGTCTGAAAAGACCCACGTGATCAGAACCCTGTTCACTTCTTGTTTATTATGCTCCAACTACACAGTCTTCTTTCTGCCACATTGACTAGCCAAATTCATTCCAATCTTGGAAGATTTGCACTTGCAGTTTCCTCTGCTTGGCATGCCCACCCCTTCCTAGATGCATGGCTGATTTCTTCTCATCATCTTAGAGAGTCCCTTTCTGGCCACCTTCTTTATAGTAATACCTTCCTCACCCTCCATCACATCACCTTATTTAATTTTCTTTACAGAATTATCACTATTGAAAACTATCATATCTATTCACTCATTTGCTGTCTTTCTGCCCCTCCTAGAATGTCAGCTGCACAGAGGCAGGAAGGCTCATCTGGAGTCCTCTAAGCCTCCAGACCCCCTGGGGGCCTAGGACACTGCAGCGCTCATAGCTGAGTTAGATGACATTCTGGGCAATGGACAGTGAGCTGTCTTTCAGGCTTGAGTCATGGTCACAGAAAGGGTAACAGGGCCGACATGAATATCAAGTTAGAGGTCAGTGATGACAGTCTAAATCTAGAGCAGCATCTGAATATAGGAGAAGGAAGGAGTCCAATATCAGAAGTCCAGGCTAAATGCCGATCTAAAGATCAGGGCAGTTTAGAGCACAAATGCCAATCCCTCCTCTTCTTTCCCCATCACCTTGACCCCATTGCTGCTTTATTTCAACTCTCTCCACTGATGTATTAAACTAGGTCTGAAGCGGGCAACCAAGAGAATTGCATAGCAAACTATGATAAATTGACCACTTTCTTGCCATGCGACTATGGAATTCGCTGCTTAGCAATAGTTGAAGTGTTCCATTAAAATGACAAAAGACATTTCCTTCTTAGCCTAAACACATTCCAAAAGCACATCTTTGGGGAAAAAAAAAGAAAATTTTTAAATAAGAAGAAGGAAAAGGAGTAAAGCGTATGTGAAACATGCCCCTCAAGGAACAATTTCAAAGAATAAATTTTCCAAAATATACCTAAGAGTAAGAGAGACATAAAACCTGAAATTGAGGATTTACGGGCTACAAAATTTTAGTTCTTTTTTTTAAAAAAGTAAACATTTAAAAATGAAAATTATTAGTTTCCAAGAGAAAGTGAGCTGGAAAATTTCACCCAGCTCCCTTTAATATTTTCAAGAGTGCCTCTGATCCTTTAAATTAATATTAATGCTAAAAGTCAGAGATTGAGGTAGAAAGAAAATCTCTTTTTTTTAGAGACAGAGTCTCACTCTGTCACCCAGGCTGGAATGCAGTGGCATGACCACAGTCACTGCAGCCTCTTGGGCTCCGGTGAGGTGTGCCCAGCAATTGTTTGTATTTTTTTTTTTTTTGTAAAGACAGGGCTCTGCCATGTTGCCCAGGCTGGTCTCAAACTCCTGGGTTCAAGCAATCTGCCCACCTCAGCCTCCTAACGTGCTGGGATAACAGGTGTGAGCCAGCGTGCCTGGCCAAAAATCTCTTTCAACGACTCATTAACTTTGAAATAGGCCCTGTTTTTAGGGTTATGTTTCCTTTTGCTTTATTTTTTTTTCCAAAGAAAAATTTGTAACATAAAATATGATGCCTTGGCAATTAATTCTAACAGAAGAATTAAGGTTGATACATGCAGAGGGAATGAGAGAGTTAGAAAATCAGCATTTTGCAAAATGATTGAAGTAATTTACTTGGTTAATAATGGACAATGTGACCAAGTATTACCCTACAGGTTATCTGTTAATTTCCTAGGGAAAAATGAACTATCGAGATGCAGTGATATGGAGGTTATAACCCTAACCAAGTTAAAGAACAGCATAACTAAGGGAGTGGCAATCTGGCATATGTGTCTCCTGAAGAGATCCAATAGGAAGTGACCAGTAATTCCACAGAACACCTCTGCCACAATATTCCATTCAACCTAAACCAGTCTTTAGACTCAACTTCCAGTTTACAGAAACCATAGGGGATTGAAGGGTAAACTAAAGGTCATAATAAAGAAATATTCAGACAAATGCAGAACGTGAAATGATTGACAAAACAGCCCAGTTTCTTAAGAATGTCAATATCAGGGAAAAAAAGTAGAAGACTGCTCCAAATTTAAATGGACTATTAAATCTTGAAAAACAAAACTCCTATAAAAGTTTTAGTGGAAAAATGAGAAAATATGAATGTAGAAATTAGATAATCTTATGGAATTATTGTTCATCTTAGTTGTGATGTAATATATAATTAATATTATATAACTATTACATAATATTCTCTATTTATTTATATATAAATATATTTTATTTATAATGGTAATACCCTCATTATATATGTATATATTATAACATAATAATATAACCCTATATTATATTTATAATATAATAACCACTTCATTTGGTTACAGAATTTAATAGAGATAAGACTTATATTACAGACAGAGAACTGTGGGTAGAAATAACTCTCCCAATACAGCTAATGCTCAGTAGAGTCAGAATGCAACCCAGAGAGTCTATCTCCGGAGTCTGGGTTGTTTCCCACAGGCTTATCGAGTAGCTGTAAATAAGCAGCTTCCCTCTGGTTAGTGACACCCTCTAGTCACTAACAACTGCTACCAAAATGGCTTCTTTCAAGTCGCCATGAGGTGCTCTGCTTGTTGCAGCTGATGGCATCCAACTCTCTCTCCCTGCCCCTGCCCCCTAAATTAGCATCACGAGTAAGGAAGGAGTCCAAATTTCTTATGCTTCTCAGAGTACGGAAAAGAAAAACAAACAAACAAAAAAACCCAAAAAAACATTCACTCAGTGTTCTTAGTTGGGTCAGACATCTTTGCAGTAGACTGCTTCTGTTCAAAGTCCTCTTCTGACCCATCAGCTATTTGTGGGTACCTATTACAATCAACACACAAGCCTCAGCATATTGCCCTCAGGCTTGGTGACATTGGGCTGAAACCTGCAGAGATTAAGGGACTAAAACTTAGTCAATGTAATTATTTCACAAGTATTTATTGAGAGCCTATGCACCAGTCCTGTTCTAAATCCTGTCGATAGAGCAGTGAACAAGAACAAGACAGAAACATCCCTGCTTCTTAGGAATTTATATCCTAGTGCAGGAGTTGGTCAGATTTTTCTGTAAAGGCCCAGACAGTAAACATCTTAGGCTTGGTGGGCCAAATGGTCTCTTGTGTAACAATTTAGCTCCACCATTTTAGTGAAATAGCAGCCATAGACAACATATAAATGAATGAGTGCAGCTGTGTCCAATAAAACTTTATCTACAAAACAAGATGGCTGGTCAAATTTGACCTGTGGGCCATAGGCTGCTGAGCCCTATCCTAGTGGCTTATCAAACAATTTTCCTAAACCTTGTAAGAAAACTAATTACAGGATATTTTCCTTAGATGACCCACTAAAGAGTTTGTTTCATCATTTCAGTTAAAAGATTCATGCTCATTGAACAAACTGTTCCTGAACTGCCTAATACACACACACACACACACACACACACACACACACACACACACACACACAAGTGTATATATATATATATTTAAAGATAGGGTCTTGCTCTGTCAACCATGCTGGAGTGCAGTGGTGTGATCACAGCTCATTGTAACCTTGAACTTCCTAGGTTCAAGGGATCCTCCAGCCTTAGCTCCGTGAGTAACTAGGCTACAGGCACGCATTACCATGCCTGGCTTTTTTTTTTTTTTTTGTAGAGATAGGATCTTGCTATTTTGCCCAGGCTGGTGTCAAACTCCTGGGCTCAAGTCATTTTTCCACCTGGCTCTTCCCTAAAGTGCTGAGATTTTAGGTGCGGGCCACTCTACCTGGCTTGCCTTATATTTCTAATGAGTGCTATTGAGGTCCAAACGGCAGATGTAATCATTTGTGATGTCTGAAAAGATGATTAAATGGGATTAAACATGCAGGAAATATATTAGGGGAAATGCCCACGAGGAAAAATTGGGAGGAAGCCAGAGGAGGTTTGGAGAGGCTTCAGACCGGGATGGTCTAATTACAGGAAAGAGGAGAGGGAAGGAAGAAGAGTTGGGTGGAAGTCTTATCCCTCAAGGCAGCCGTGCAACAGTTCCAGCAAGGCTGATGAAGAGCCCCTAGCCAAAGTCATGTGTCAGTGGACTTCTACAGCTCCCAGGAGCAGGCCTACATATCCCTGCCACAATGAGTGGAAGTGACTGCTGGAAATTGTGGTCTCTGGACCAACACAGCAATGGATTTCAGAGCACAGCCATTGGTGAGCACTGGTCAATTATACTTCCGCAAGTAGGAGATTGGAAAGGTACATCTTTAAGGCCATGAGGAAGGGCTCCACAGATCATTAATTTGACTGAAAGTTAAGAAAGAAATGACTTAGAAGCATTTTGCCACATTAACTCAAACTCATGAAGGTAAAGACTGCTTTATTTGTTGCATTCTAATAGGACCTATTAAAACATCTTACATCAAGGAAGTACCCAAAGGCAGGAGTGGTTGCTCATGTCTGTAATCCAAGCACTTTGGGAGGCCAAGGCAGGTGAATTGCTTCAACCTAGGAGGTCGAGACCAGCCTGGGCAACATAGCAAGACCTGGTCTCTACAAAAAATAAGGAAGTTAGCTGAGCATGGTGGCACACACCTGTAGTCCCAGCTGCTCATGAGGCTGGAGTGGGAGGATCACCTGAGACCAGAAGGTTGAGGCTGCAGTGAGCCCTGATCAGCCACTGCACTCCAGCCTGGGTGACAGAGTGAGACCCTATCTCAAAACATAATAATAAAAGATAAGGAAATAAACATAGGATGGTATATCATCTACCTTATAGAATTCATTATTATTATTAAATAGCCAATATATGTAAAATTACTTAGAACTGAGGCAAGCATGGATTATTAGAGGCAAATTTTAAGGCAATTTGTTTGTCTGTTAGTTTCCCCAAAAACCAAATTTGCCTGAGAAAGAAGTGAGAAATAGAATGACACTATAGGAAGTGACATGAATAATTCCTCCTACAAACCCCTTCATATTGTACTCTTGGAAAGAGGAACTTGAAGGCCAAGAGATATTGGTACAAACTGATAACAGAGTGAGAAAAACACTGCAAGCCAGACTAAGGGGGAAGGAAAAGGCATGGTGGTGGTTTCTGATTCTTGCCACCATGGCCAGCAGAGTTATTCAGATGTGGTCATTACTGGTATCTTTCCTGATCATGACACTTTTTTGAGCACAAGAGGATCTTAAAATGCCATTGGCATGAACCTGTGGCTTTCTGCATTTTGTTAAGTCATAAATCTAGAAGGTCAGCAGAAGATTAGAAAGCAATAAGTTAATTATTTCATAACATCATCATGTGAAAGCTAGTGCATTAAAATATATTGGAAAGACATTGTCATGAGTTCCTGAAATAAACTGAGGACCTGAAGTCAGTTTTAGGAAAAGCAACACTTACCACTGTGAAGCCAAGTTAGATGAATATAGGAGGAAAACCATGAGAGCATGCCTGGATAGCACAGAAGGATCTACTGGTTTTATAAATGCTTATTATAAATGAATAGAGTGTATGGAGGTTAAGGAATAATTCAGGATTACTTTTGTAAACTTGGCTCTGAATCAGGATTTGAGTTCACTTGAGTGATTATGTCTAAGCAGAACATGTCCTGTTGCAATAGTTCAAATAAGTAGCACGAGGGTATACATTTACATATAACAGGTTCGAAGCATCACAGCTACAAATAGCATAAGCAATTGGAAGACATGAAAATGAAAGTGAAAAAAACACATAGGCGTCACTTCTTAAGGTAGGGCATAATTTGAGCCATTGTCATCCTTTTCTACTTCCCTCTCATTGCTACTTGTGATGGATTTGTGATTTTTGAAATGTTTTCTGGGTTTCAGCTATCTTAAAATTGTTCTCACTGTATCTAATAAACTTTCATTGGTCTTTGATAGTAAGTTTTGGCTGCTTCGTATAAGGAGTAGTTATTCTTTTTCATTGAATTTTCTGTACCATTTTCAATAAAGTACACATCTTCTGGCCTTAAGGATGCAGAACAATTTATCTCTCAATACCTTACATAGCACGCATCTTAACAGTTTGGAGATTAACGTGCTAACAATGGGACATTTTTTTTTCCCACAACTCCAACTGCTAGGTAGACAGAGATTAAAAAACAACCCAAGACACAGTGTTTTAGGGGATAAAAAAATTAAACAAGACTCTGCCATGTGTTCCAGAAAAGTTATTGTAATAGAAACTTATACAAATTTCAAATATGCAATTAAGTAGGATATATTGTGTATTTGTTTTTGAACATGTGAGAGTATTTTGTAGGAGAGGGTGAGCATTCTGTTCTAATAAAATAAAATAAATAATACAGTCACATTATTTATACCACAAGAAACCAATGTGCATATATTATCAAACTTACTGTGACAATGAATGATTAGATAAAGTCTTGTAATTTTCAGGGACAATATGTAGTTCCGTCCATCTCCCATGTTCATCTGATGTTGATGGGCAGCAAAAAGTATTTTCCAAAGCTAATGTGAATCACTGCCCCAATGTAATCAATACTTAAGTTCTTATTCAATTAGTTAATTATTAGTGTTACTAATCAAGGGAGATAGAAAAGAAATGAGTACCCCAGAGTTTGAATCCCAGATTTTATAAACTAGCTGCATGAATGTGAGAAATCACTCAAGCTAGTGATTTCTAGCTAAAAGATCTATCTATCTGCTCTAAGTGATTTTCATAAAAACCATGTGTGCACGGGAAGTTATGTTATATAGGTTTTATCTGTATCAGTCATCATTGCTATTTTTCTTTAAATACCAATCTACCTGTGATGCCAGTATCGCAAATGAAAGAAAATAGAAATCATGTTGCACCTTATTTTTGAACATATATATTTCAGCTTTCATGTCAGAAATCAACTACATTGGGATAGAATCATCCCTTGGGTTTCAGAATGGTAACTGGAATAATGATTTTCATGGCTAAAAGGGAACCAAGAGACAATTAAAAATGACAGTCATCAAAATGATAGTCATCAAAAATGATATTTGCTATTTGCCAGTAAACTATGATGGGGTGTTTGTGACAATGGTGATCAAAGGATATCCCTAGTTTTTACTCGTTGGTACTCAAATAAGTACATCATTGGCCCTAATAGGTAGATATATGTATATACACACATATTCCTCATAACTTCATTTGAGATTGTCCTTTCTATCTGCTGAATGCACAAACCGTCTGCAGGTGCCCTTATGGCTGCAGCATTACCAGAGACAAAACAAAACAGGTCAAAAATGCACAACAAAGACACCAATCTGACTCAAATGGTTACTTTGTTTGACACATATCATATCACAGTTGGTAGCTGCAGTGCTTATTTGAATTTAAACATTGATGAGGTCCTTTGCTAGCTCTGTTTTGGCAAACATATGCAAAGCTAAATATACCAACCCTCATTAGATCAAAAAAAACACGCATAGCATGTCAGGCAGTCATTGTTGTTATTACCAATAAACAAAAATGTATGTTTCCCTAATCACAGTGCTGAAATGTGCTCTGTGTTTATGGAGAAAGCTAAAGAAAAAAAAAATTTTTCCTTGTTGAGTCTGTGGACTCTGGCCCTGGGGTGTACCTGGGTCTCAACATCTGTCAGCTTTCTGGTCTGCTCTGCAGTCTGAGAGAGGAGGCTGGTTCCTATCTCCAGCATGGTAGCCGTGTGGTTCTGAACTGCATTCTGCTGTATCTGGGCCATCTCCGACTTCATGTTTTCCACAATGTAATTCTCAAGCTGCAAGAGATAAAGAACAAAACATATTACATTATAAGCAAGGCCTCCCAGTTCGGGCATGTAATATTTACAATAACAAAACAAGACACCGCTGGCAAATCAGCCATCTGGCGGGGATCCTCTACATCTCTGGGAGTTGGAGAAATGGGAGCAGAGCACACAGGAATCCAGTTGTCAACAAATTCCTAATATACTGATACATATATTTATAATCATCACAATCATAATGACAATTTGCACTTGGATCACACTTTCCCATTGTTGACATTATCCATTTAGCCTTTATAGCAAAGATGTATCACAGTCAGCTTTATTGTTTTGTTTATTTTATAGATGAAAAAATAGAATCAGAGAGGCCAGTGATAAACCCAAGGTTGACCAGCAAGAATGCAGCCAAATTCACATACTAATTTAAATCTAATTCTTGGTGCTCTGATTTTTCCGTTACACCATACTGACCACTTATCTCAGAAAAATTCAGCCTCCTGCTTCCATTTTTGTAACGATAAATAAAATATCACACTGCTTTGGGGAAATGGGATGAGGAGTGGGAGGAAGGATGATGTCCAAAACAAAAACCTTTAAAGGAATATTAAAATATAGGCAATGATATATGAAATGAGCTGCAAAGCCTGAGAGCTAGCTGTAATCATTCTCCATGCTCCTTTGCAAGCTCAAAAATAGGTACTGAAAGTACAACCCATATAGCAGTATTTACTCCTCTTGCTTTGGGTAATATTTAGTCCTTTATGGTGCCATCTTAGAGAACAGTATAGTGCTAAAATAAATGGTGCCATAGGGACCATGGAGAATCATTAAGTGACTTACTGCAAGGGGTCCTATTAGGTACCTGGGAAAATAAAGCTGAACATATGCATTGTTTGAAAAATACAAGGAAACCTGCACCTCCCTGTCAGTGCATTTAATTCCTCCACCACTGTGTGGTGACTACATTTTATTACTCTACTACACATATAGGGAAATTGCATCCCAGAGAAATCAGGTCCAAGGCCACACACCACAAAATCAGCCAGACTTGGACTTGAGCACTGAAGTCCTTAACTCTCATACCAACACTTTCAACCACTTGATAGCTATGACAAGTCGTGCTTCACAAGCCGGGTTCCAAATCATTAACAGCTATGTGATTTTTACTGATTTAGTGAACCATAATACATCCACTATTTCATAATCCATAGTAAAATTATTATCATGTAATAAATATAGTCTAAATGTAAATTCCCCTTTGTAAAGCTTTGGCAGCTCACTTGCTAACATCATCCCTTGCTTATTTCTATTTATCAAGAACAAATCTGTCCCATGCTAACAAAAATGGTTTTCAATCAAACTCTTATTATTATTAATACATTCTAAATTCATTCTTGGCCAATATAAGATAATTCCCCTTCATTCATTTTTCCCCCAAATTAGACATAGGAGGGAAAAAAATTCAACCTATAAAAGTTTATTATAAAACAAATACAAAATATATTATAATAAATCTCTGAAAATTATCAAAATGTAAGGCCTGTAGGCCAAATCTTGACTTTATTCCAATTGAACTAACATATTTAAACAACAAGAGGCAGGTAGAGAAAAAGAGGGTAGGACAGAGTAATAAAAATTTGTCATTTTGGATTCCACATCCTATGTTCCCTTTTTCCTAATAGCATTCTTTAACTTTCTTTTGGGAAGTTATCGTTTTGCCCTTCGGAACAAATGCTTCAGGTAGAGTTGTCCCAGCCTAGCATCACAAATGAGTACAGGTTCTAACTTGTCAAGCCAGAATGTTCTGCTCCTGCTTCATAGGTGTGAATTGTTCAAGAATGGAAAGACATCACAAGCAAGGCCATTAGCCTCAGTTCTCAAATTTTATCAAACTCATTTATAAAATAACTTTGTTTTCCTCTGTGGTTAATAAGCTGGTGACATATGCCCAATACAGTTGATGCCCGATTTTGCCACCACAAAACCAGAGTCAGCCCAAAAATGAAGCTGACTCAGACAGATGTTAGATAAGGAGATTAGATAGATAGATAGATAGATAGATAGATAGATAGATAGATAGATCTATGTACATACATAGACACTTGGATGCATAGATAGACACAGAGTCAGGTGATTCCTTTTGAGCACCTGGACCTAGCTATATTTTTAGCTAGTTCCACCCTTGGACATTCAGTTGTAAGTTGCATGATCTAACAGTCTCCCATTGAGCAGCCAACCTTTTTTCCCCTTCAATCACATTGATTTAGATTTTTAACACTTACAACCAAGATTTTGGATTGTTACTTTTGATCAATGTTTAGCAGAAGAAATTTCAGGGAGGAAAACGTTAAGAGAATATTCCTTACTTTTCCAGGGAATTTGAGGTTATACATGAGTGTAAGTTTCTTAAAAAATTACAGATAAGTCTCCATTATAAAGATAATAGCTATCATTTATAGCTGACAGTTATCATTGCCTACTATGCAACAGGCACAGAGCTACGTGTTTTCCTTTTATAATCACACTTAAACTTCACAATTATATATGTTATAGCTGCTTTATAGATGAGACTATTGAGGCTCAGAAACCCCCAAACAACTTGCTCAAGAACAAACAAGGATTCAACCCACAGCTCCAAAACCCATGTTGTTAACCTCTAACCTATTTAGCCTAGCACTGATTTGTTATGCTATGCATTTTATTATATAGCTCTTAAAGCTTGAGTGTTCATCAAAACTACATGGGGAGAATTTTAAAATGCAGATGGAGGTAAAACACACCAGAAATCTTTAAGGGCATGTACTGGGAAACTGTATATTTTATAAAGCTTCCCAGTGTAATTCTTATTCAGGTAAAGAATCAGTGCATCTCAAAGTGTGGTCCATAGAACAACTGCCTGTATGAGACCTGCTTGTGAACAGTCAGCCATGAAATGAGGAGTTTGCACCAGGATGTAAATTATCTAGGTCACTAAGCACACTGTTTAGTTCATTCACTTGATGTATATATATACAAACACACATGCAAAACTTTCTCATTGAAGAAAGTGATGCTCTAGTTTATATTCTGGTGCAAACTTCTTACCATGTTTCCTAAATGACAGCAATGTCATTGAGTAATACTCATTTAAACCATCAAATTTACTTTGAAATATCAGATTCCCTGCTTATCAAGAAATCTGTCTTTCTATGCAAATTTTCCTCCTGAGAGAGTTCACTAATCAGTGAGCTCCAATACAAGATCTGCTTGATAATTGTACATCAATTTCTTATGCAGTTGGTTAGCAGTAGTCTGTTCCCAGAGTTTGATTTGCTCCAGGTGTAATAACAATCATGTACCCTAGTCTTCACAGGGAGGACACCCTCAGCATAGGTGGCTACATCAAGGTTCAGTGTCTTTGTATCAGCTGTTGACCATTCTGTACTATTGTGCTTTTTTTAATTATAAAAGTTAACACCAGCAAAGCAAAATAACTATTTCATGCTAGCATTCATCACAACCATAAAGTGCCTCTCAGTTCTGCTGACCCTGTTGTAGATATAAAGTAAGTCTCCAACCTACACTAAAATGCTCATTTAGGCTGCTATGATGAGTAGCATGAATATAGCTCTAGTTAATTATTTTTTAATCAAATGGGGCTGCTTTCTCCAGGAGTAACTGCCTTTTAATGCAAAATCTAATGCCACACTTAAGTAGCAAGAACCAGATGTAGTTGATTTAAAGGCTGGAGCAGGAGGCAGAAGTCAAATATACAATGTGTGATTAATAAGGAGGACTGCTTTCATCTTATCTCTAAACATTCCTCTGTAGATGTATAACTGTGAAATCCATCTTGATGTGCCATAGCAGCCAGGTTCAGAAAAGATTTGTAACAAATTTGATTGTCTTCATATATTCCCTACTGGTTTTAAAATATGTTTACAGAAAATGACAGCCACCTCAAGGTTCAATATTTTATAAACATCTAAGATGTGAATTTTAAGCCTAGAAGTTGCTGACCACAAGAGCTAATGAGTTATAATGTAGGAGTCTCTCAACCTGAATAATAAAATTATTTGACTATACTGCCATGCCAGAGTTTTATAAGTTATTGACCAAAATGCTAGGAAGAGAATGTGATTTGAAATGAAATGACAAACAATAAATGATTACTTTCAAGCAAAAAAAAGTTGCATTTGTTAAGTGATTTAATATTTGCATAGCTTTTGTACACATTGTCTGACTTCATCCTTATACCAAACTTGCAAGGAGAGAACTGATTCCATTTTATAGTTAGAAATCCGAGGCCTTCAGTGACTTCATAGAAATCAAAGAAAAGCCAGACATCAAAGAAAAATCTCAACTCTATCTTCTGATGTTCTACTAGCCTCAGAGTTGCGGGAAGTGTTCTGTTATTGGACTGGTTGGCTGGATGATTAGTTGACTGATAATTTCAATTTTAGTCAGCTATTGCATATTCATTATTATAATATATTATAACATACACAATATATTATAATATTTATAATATTTATTCCTTTGAGAAAAACATGCATCACTAGAGGGGGATTACTTTCACTTGGTTTCACTATAGTGGAGACCAAGTTAATTTGAGGTGGGATGAGAAGCCCTAGGGCCAGGTATGTGGAAAGTTTATTTGCCAGTACTTTTAATAGAATGGAATCATTAAAGTCCTCTCATTAGTTCTTACCTTTTTTTCTTAGTAACATAAGTTTATTTTGTCTGCTCATTCTATTTTCTTGCCAACCATTGTAAAATACAACAAAGGGAATAACAATAATACACAAAGCCTCTACAAAGGCTAGATATGTACCAGCTTTTACAAATACGCAGTTCATTGAATCTTTAGAACAATCCAGGTACTGTAAGTATTATTTTCCTTATTTCACTGATGTCTAAACAGAGGCTCAGGGAAGTTAAGTAAACTGTCTAAGATCATACAGTGGGTTTTTGGCAGAGCTGGTATGTTGCTTTGAGGCTAGATTGACCAGTAGCTTGTGCTCCATTCTGAAGGAATGTCACTCATCAAACACAAGCATATTGTTACCAATGTTAAAAACAAATTCTGATAACATACAATATTCATGCACAAAATATGTAAAAATGAAAGCTACAGAAATGATGAGGTGAAACTTGTTCAAAGATTGACCATTTTTTAATTTATACATTTGCATATTGATTGATGGCTGTAATATCTTAGGAAATGTTACCCATGGTGAGAAGGCAAATATCCAGTCAACTGTATGAAAAGTCTTAGTATTAAGTAGGCAAAGAAAACATATTTTTAAGAAGGTAATATAATCAGCCATTTGTAGTTCTATCATAAATCACATGCCCCTGTCTTTTGCCCAATGACCAGGGGAGAACTGATGCTATCATTCTCCATCATGAGAGAGAATTTTGGGAGAGCTTTTACTAGACTCTCAAAACCCTTGCGGGCTTCAGTTTCATGAGAACCAAAATCTGTGTGAGATTATGACATGTCTTGTATGTGAAATGCATTCTGTATCATTTCACTTGAAGAAACCACTTCAAGGGGTCTCTTAAACCAGAGCATATCTTAAAGCACAAATAATACAATTTCTCCATGTAATTCTTAAGAAAGTAACATTTTAAACCCTATAAAAATTGACAAAGGCATTGTTCACTTAAAATATGGTGCAGATTAAATGGACCTTCATTGGATGTTGGTGCATATGGCATTACTCAGTTATGACAAAACAACCATGAAATAAAGCAAAAGGGTAAATATGGGAAAGCAATAAAAAGGTAAAACAATGCAAAAAATGCCTTAAATGTTGATGGTTTTATCTAATCTCATTGTTCCATAAATCAATGGCAATATTTAAAATGCAACTATATCTAGGTTTATGGCCTTATTAAAAAAAAAGACAGCTGAAGCCAAATATATTATTTTCAGGGATTTCTATTATTAGATCTCCCAATATACTATTTCTTTTATGAAATGGAGAAATATAATTGTCTTTTTAGACAATAGATCTATTTAGCTAACATTTAAAATGGTTTCTGTGTGGATATACATGCCATGGATCCCATTTCTCATTTTGATATCTGAAAGAATATTTACTATTTATGGAAGAAAGAAAACCATTAGTACAAGAGAGCTGAAAGAGACATTAAATATTATGAGCTCCAAGGATCTTGTTTTATAGATGTGGTGACTGAGGTTCAGAGAGGTTATAGAAAGCAAGGTGAAACAGCTAATCAATGTCAGATGTCAGGTCATGGCCCCTCTGTGTGTGGGAAACCCAGGCTCACATCACTAGGCTGAGCCAACAACAATGGCTGTCGGTACCTTAGACCCACCCCACATTTCTTTCCCAATTCCCTGGTTCCTGCTACTTGCTTTGCCTTTGCTGATTCCTGATTTGGATCTCCCCTTTCGCCAACTCATGCTCCATCCATTTCAGGGGTCTTGACTTTCTTTGCTGGACTCTGTTCTTGCTTCCTACCATTGATACCCATCAGCTGCCCCCTGGTCATTGAGCCTCAGCAACCCCTTGATTTTTTTTCTTCAGATGCATCACCTCACACATGGCAAAAAACAGAACCAAATTCTAAAATTAGTTCAGGCTTATCACCCCCTGTGTCAGTTCAGTTTAGTCTTAGCATATATGTGGTAAGTGTGTGCTGTGTACTAAGCCTGGTGCCAAATGCTACAGGTACAAAGAGTTGAGTCTAGCAGGAAATAGAAACACGTGAATGAGTCATTTCAATAGAATTGGTGAATGGGGTCTGCCTCTGACTATGTTTCTTTCTGTAAATATTCTTTCTGCTTGATAGGGAGATGCTCTCAGATACTGATACTAATAATGTGAGTGGATGTTTGTTACTCAGCCTCCAAAGGAATAGTAGCAACATCCCACTGAGGCATATATAGAAGCTATCAAGGGCAACCCAGAAAATCCCATAGGAACAAATTCTCCTGCCATTGCTTTTTTTGGTAATGATTCTTGTGGGACCACATTCTTGTGGCTGCTGAAAGTTGCCAAAGTCATTTACATTGCCCCTAGAGTTGGGCCAGGACCCAGGAAAGTCATTCTCTCTTTGCATAAGCGAATGTCTCCTGTGCCAAAACACATTTTACTAACCTGGCACCTCTCTTCTACACCTACCTTCTCACACTAGTAAAATGTCAGAGTCATGGAACCTCAAGCATATTTGCACGTCTGCTTAATTTTTTCCTTTACCTTTTTTTAAAAGGCACATGGCATATAGAAAGCACATTCAGCCAGGAGTCAGGATATCTGGATTTTAATCCAGGTACTATCATTGATATACTCCATGAATTTGGAGAAATCACTTAAACACTTTGGGTTTAAGTTCTTCATCTATGAAATAAAGGGCTGGATTCGATCATTTCTAATGACTCATGAAGCTCTCAAACTCCTTGATTTAAAACTTCCTTTATAAAGTACAAGAGTCTATAAGGTTTGAATATTAATTTATTATAGAAAATTGAAATCTGAATGTATATATCTATAAAATATAACATACATATCCTTAATGGCAGTAAAGAAACAATGATACTAGAAACAATAGCAAAGCCCTGGACTGGATCATGTCTCCATAGCAGGCACATCTGTTTTAAGATAAAGAGCTAGAATCTCTGAATCGCTTAATCCCCAGGCACCATTCTGTCCCAAATATATTCCTTGTCTTTCTCCAACACGACTTGGCTTTCTGTCTTTAATTTTTATCACAGTGAACGGCACCATTACCACCTATCTGTTCATCCAAGCCACAGAGAATCACCTTGATTAGTCTTTTCCTTCTTTTTCTACATTAAATCCACACCAGATGGTGTTGCTTTTTTTTTTTTTTTTGAGAGGGAGTCTCTGTCACCCAGGCTGGAGTGCAGTGGGGCAATCTCAGCTCGCTGCAACCTTCGCCTCTCGGGTTCAAGTGGTTTCCTGCCTCGGCCTCCCAAGTATCCAGGCACATGCCACCACGCCTAGCTAATTTTTGTTTTTTTAGTAGAGACAGGGTTTTGCCATGTTGGCCAGGCTGGTCTCGAAGTCCTGACCTCAGGTGATCTACCCACCTGAGCCTCTCAAAGTGCTGGGATTATAGGCGTGAGCCACTGTGCCTCGCCCTCTGCTGTCTCTTGAAGGCTGCCTAGGTCCATCCCTCTCCCGCTTCCCTCTCTCCCTACCAATATCACTTTATTCTCACAGTCACTGACTAAGGTCAGACTCTCATCAGTTTTCTTCTGGATTTGTTAATGGCCCCATAACTGGTCTCCTGACTCCAGACTTGCCTCCTCCAATCCATCATCCATGCCATAGCCAGTGGGATCAATCTAAAGCACAGATTTGGCTTTGTCATGTCACTGTTCAAACTCTTTCAGTAGCTTCTACTACCTGCAGATAATGTCACAACACTGTATTCGTCATAGATGATTCTTAACAATCTGGACCCCGACCCTCCCACCCTACATGTACTTTATGCTCCAGACATACCAAATGACCACAGTATTTTCATTTCACTAAGCAAACACTCTTTTTGACTCATGTCTTTGCATATGACTTTGCTCCAACTGGAATGCTTCTTTTCACATTTATTCTCCCTTTTCTTGGGCTAGGTCCTATTTTTCAAAACTCAGTTCAAGCTTTTCCTCCTCTAGGAAGCCTCTCATCAATCTTCTCTCTGTAATACCCTTCTTTTCTATTTCTAGAGCACCTGTACCTCTGTTTTTCATAATAGCCTTATTCACCACCCTTCCTTTCTACTTCTGGAGCACACTGTGCCTCTGTTTTTCATAATAGCTTTGCTCACCATCCCAGTATAAGTTCCTTAAGCACAAGCACTACCTGGTTCAACTTGGTACCACTTCCTTTCACTGCCTGGCACATAGTGGGGTCTCAATACCATTTTGATAAATAATTTAATGCATAAATGAATTTGTGTATGAAAATACTGAGTCTCCCATTGTGAGCTTAGCTTAGTTCCATTTGTTTCTCTAAGTAAGAAATATCATATTAGCAATTATCAATGATCCCCTTTTGAATGGCAAAGGAACCAGCATTAATGATGTACATAGCTCTGAAAACAAATATCCTCACTTTGTGGACCACATAAACCCATCTTGTCTTACTATGTCTTTCTACTTTGCTATTCCCAAACATCTCGACTATGAGTCATTGTTTAAATCAAGTAAAATCCATGAAACACATTGAAAACTAACCATGTCTTAATCATTGCTTCATACATAAAAGCAAAAGAAGTAAAACTTAATGCTGTTCATTGAGACTGCTTATAACATAAGCATGCTACAAATGCTGGACTGAAGGTATCAATGTCCTGCTTGCCTTCCTGCCTGCCTGATGGGTAGAATAAAGAAAGGAACAAATCCTCTCAACGAGAGAATCTAATAAGTCTTTCCAGAGGCAGTCCCAAAGGAATATAGAAGGGAGGGCATACATTTCTTTTGTCTCCTTTAATATAAAAAAAAATAGCCTTATGGCAATGACACTGCATTCCAGCCTAGGCAACAGAGTTAGAGCTTATATCTGAAAAAATACAGCCTGGAAAAATTGAGGGCTAGGGGATAAGAAAGGACTCTGGGAAGACTTTGAGAGCATGCAAGGAGCTGTGCTTGCTTAGGCAAGATGACTCTCCTGCTTACCTCCTGAAATGTGCTTCTTGGGAAATCAAGAAATAAATCAGTCAGAAGCAACAGCATACCATTAATGCCATACCACACACATGCGGCAAGGGCACAGCATCAGAGTTTTAATATGGGATTCAGGTAGAAGGCAAAGACAGATAATTTCTGTGCACTTTACCATATTTTCAGACATAGTAAGCATAAGATTTACCCATTTAATAACATATATAAGAACATATGTTGTATGTACGTATATACAAACATACACACAAATACATTTGCACAATTATGCTCTTGTACACACATATATTTCCCTATTCCCAACCTACATGTGTCCAGTTCTACATTCATGCTTTGTAGTTATGTTCATTTCATTGCAGTTTATTTTCTTAAAGATCCATTTAAAATAGCCAACGCATCACTCACCTTTGAATGAGGTGTATTTGATGTAAAATTTAATCACTTCAGAAAATGCCCATTAATCTGTCATGGACAGCTCCAGTATTCTGCCTAACAACACAGAAATCTTTTTCCCAAATTCTAAAATTATACTTAGATGACAGAAGAATGGAAGAATTAAAAAGCAACTTGGTATGCATTGTTTTTATAACAATAAAAGGGATCTTTTTTTAACTAAACAAGATACTGTTTCAAACAAAATTGCAAACATGTCTCCCTTTACTGTAATGCTTTTTAGTTTCTTGCTTAT
The DNA here is from genome assembly GCF_000001405.40 of Homo sapiens. Lineage (NCBI taxonomy): Eukaryota > Metazoa > Chordata > Mammalia > Primates > Hominidae > Homo > Homo sapiens. Next base: position 107,357,426 of record NC_000008.11, read on the forward strand.
CTGAAATGCAATTTAACCCCCTGCATGCTACACAAAATACATTCTGTTTCACTTAAAAAGAGAAAGATTTGACATTTGAACTACAGACCACCCCAGCAGCTAGTAGATTGGGGGGATTGATGGGGTAAAAGGCTCTCCACCAGATAATTCTTCTAAGAAACATTTTCTGCAAACCACACTTACTTCTCCTCTGACAAATGGCAGCGATGCAAACACATAGCTTATAATGATGATCTTTTAAAAGAAATCTTCTGCATTCAATGAAACATTACAGGACAGATCATGAAATTTAAATACCCAGCAGATGATATAAGATACTCAAGAACAGAAGTTTGAAAGCCTTAACAATTAAGGGATTTGTCGATTTTTCAGGAATACCATGACTAGGTAGAAAATTGTCATCATTTTACTCTGGTATTTTGTATGAAATTGGAAGGTATTAACACTTAAAATCAAATCTCTTTCAATAAAATCCTTCACTGTTCAACACTCTGACTTTTTAGGCTGTTATTACCTTTTCATTTATGCTACATCTTTTCTTGCTTACAATGAAGTTGCTTTGTTGGTTGTCTTTCTCTTCTGAAATATCTTGTTTATGGGTTTTTAAAATTAATTTTCTTTCATCTGCTTAAATAAAGTAAAATAAATGATAAAAGTGTGTGCATATATATGTGTATGCGTGTGTTTTCTCCCACAATATGAGATTACTCAATGGAACATATAGTAAGTTTGTACAGGCATAAAACTGTCAATGTCATTGTATAATAAACATTCCAAAGCATTATGTGTGAGGTCCAACTAATTTTTTTCTGAATAATATTTGTTGAGTAGTTCTTATTTAAATTACCCTTGGTCCAAGTACTGGAAGAATTATTAGGACAGAAAAAGTCATTCAAAGCATAAGAAAGGAATAATGATTGCTGACATCTTATAAATGCAATAAAATCCCTATTTTTTTTTTTCTCCCTTTGATCAAAGGACTAGAGACAGTGGGCATTGTTTCATCTTTCACAAAGGCCATTTTGGTGCCCTGGTGATGCTTGTTACATCCCAAGTGCTATTGGATGAGAGACCAAATTAGCATTACAATGAACTGGCTTCTCTGAGAATTAACCATACACCACAAGAGAATGAAACGAAGCATGAGTAACTGCAAAAATACCTGCTCTTGTGACTACACATATTGCCAGAGGAATTTTGTAAAAGTCAGTTTTAAAGACTCATTAATCTAGTTTTGGCAGCTGTAGATCACCTCCCGGTGTTCCTCCTGATTTAGTCCCCATCCCCAACAAGCTGGGAGAACTGGATACTTTATATATTCATTAACTGAAAGAAGCCTGGGCTAATTTATTGGAAAGTCTAAATCCTGGGTTCTTATGATCATGAAATGTGGATAATAGAGACCAGAAAGCTGCCATACCTACTTAACAGACATCACACTTTGACATATTTATTTTGGATGTTTTCATTTTTAGTAAGAAATAAATTACTACATATAAAATCAAGGTCCCACAATCAGAATATAACCTTTATTCTGAAGTTGATGTGGGCTTTTTCTCCATAGGTTTATATTCAAAATAATATACTGTCTGGTACACTTTCATGATGTACAAAAATGTTACCTTATTGCATGATTTCTTCATTCTCTTATTTTTAAATCAATATTATGTTTTTGAGACTTAGATATATTAACAGTATTGTTTTACTGTAATTACAGGACTGAGTTAGACTTAGTAATTCTAACTGCTAATAAAACATTCTCATATCCCAACGCCTGACTTACTCCGAAGAGAGGAGTACAATGTCTTTCAGATTCCTGTTACCCTGAGTTCTAGCTCAGACACAAGAAGGAACAAATTGTTTCTCAGACTCTCACAAAGCCCCCAGGGTCTCTTCTCTAAGGATGTGAAGGAAAGCTGTGTAATGAATCTTCCCCTATTTAAATACTATATCTCAAGAATCTGAATGAATAATTTTTATATTTGGCAAATAGTTATTTCCCAGAGAGAGCAATTAGGGGGTTGAGAAAGAAAGGAAACATGTTACCAGAACTAAAAATTGATTCTATAGTTATTCTCAAACATAAATTACTACATTGAGTTTAAAATAACCATTACCACAATTATAAAGACAGCTCCCCCAACTTCCTAGCAGCATTCCATTGAATAGACAAGATAGTCTTGATTTTAAAGTGCAAAGTGGCTTCAGTATACTAGCTTTCCATGGCTTACAAACAAACAAAAACCATTTCTGTTCAGCATAATACACAGTACACAAAATGATATATTTAGCATGTTCTCAATTATGGTAAGTATATTCAGACACAAATTTGTATGCATTTGAAAAAGAAAAGAAACACTGAACTGTTAATAGTGACGATCTCTGGCTGACGGGAATACAGGTGAATTTTATTTTCTTCTTGAAATGGTTTGGTTGGTTTTCTCCTTTCTTTAGAAAATGAGAATTCAATTTTATACCCAGAAATAAAATAAAGAACTAGAGAAAGAAAGAAATGTGCTTGGAATGCATTCATTCTTAGTAGGAAACTTACAAACATCTGGCAAAGTTTAGTGGTGGCCTGGTTGGAGAAATTCTGGAAAACTCTGCTGCCCTCCATAGACATTCCCCACTGGCTCAGCCAGTTTTCCTCGTCTAGTCTTACTCCCTACCTGCCACCCCTAATTCTCTGGTTTCATAAGAAGTCAAGAAAACAAACAAATAAGAAGAAATAAACAAAAGAGCCAAAACAGCCGCAAGTAGGTCTTTACCAAGGGGAAAGTGCTGTGTGCAAAGCCTGTAACAATCGTCTTTGTTTTTTGAATACTTCTTGTGGATCAGCCAATGAGGTAAGGTCTTGAGGTTCTTCCTTTAATTATTTCTCACAGCAGCCCTTTGAAATAGGTATGGTTACCATCTCAGACCAATGAGGTGGCAGAAGTGATGAGAAGTTCAGTAACATGATCAGGACTACAGAGCCCAAATATTGCAGTCGATATTCAGACTCAAGTCTCTTTGATGCCCGGGTCACTCTCTTTCCGCTTTATTCAGCCCCATGTTCTTGGTTAGGGCAAGAATTACAAACAGGCCCTTTGCTGCCCAAGTTCAAACAGCCAAAGTGTTTTGTTTGACTAGCACATTATTTTTAAAATATGGTTTCAAGCCTTTAACAAGAGTATGTAATCTCTAGTTATCCACAGCCCATACCTCTCTTGGATATAAAACTTCTGGCCCTTTTAGCTATTAAGGTCAGTTGCCCAGATCCTAATGGCATTTGAGTTGCCATCATTAAGCGGGAAATGAAGGCACCTAACATTTGATGATCACCGTCAGGCAGTAAAAAAGTCTTCATATACTTGTTGTCCTTTTAAAAATACAATGAAAAGTCCCCCTCACCACTCTCACGCTTAGAAATACTGAAAGAATGATTGAATCAACATGTGGCAAGACATTTGAGGACTTTGTAAGCCCAGCATAAATAAGAAACATAATAATTTTATATGACAAGTTGACTTATTCTTTCCTCAGGTCCATAGTGACATGCTATTTATGGCCACATTAATTATCTTTGCTGAAAAGCATTAGCATTTTCTTTCATTTACTCAACCAAAACAGAGACATCATCTTCACGTGCATATGGATTAGTATCATGTTTGTTCTCCTGTTCATTACACCATAATTCCTTCAAATAAGCACAAATATCAAGCAAATATGGATTCTAACATTATTATATGCACATAATATTAGAGCATATTCTCATAGAATGAGCTCTAATATTATGATTTTTTTTAAAGTTTACTAACAAAATCCAATCAATATTCAAACAAGCCATTTTTCTTTGGGAAATAGTGTTTTCTTCTTTACTAAACTAAAACATGTTGTACTGTAAATTGAACCTCCTGAGCTGGAATAATTTTATCTCAAAAATGTTTTGGTTGTTGAAAGCAAAGTTATGCTTAAAGAAAATTTGCAGATATATATATATTTGTATAGAATCTTAAATTGGAATATATATAGAATATATATAGATCTATCTATAAATATAGAATATATACATACATATGTATCTGTGTATCTATATCTATATCTATAGAATATATGTATATATTATATATCAATATAGAATATATGTATATATTATATATCAATATAGAATATATGTATATATTATATATCAATATAGAATATATGTATATATTATATATCAATATAGAATATATGTATATATTATATATCAATATAGAATATATATATGGGATGGGGTAATAGACAGTTCATGTTTCCCCTTGAAAATGCCATATCTTATTAAGTATGTATAAGAACACGGAATGGTAGTTTAAATGTCAGCAAAGACAGGCTGGCGCAGTGGCTCATACCTGTAATCCCAGCATTTTGGAAGGCCAAGACAGGCAGATCACCTGAGGTCAGGAGTTCAAGACCAGCCTGGCCAACATGGTGAAACCCTGTCTCTACTAAAAATACAAAACTTAGCCAGGTGTGGTGGCAGACGCCTGTAATCACAGCTACTCAGAAGGCTGAGGCAGGAGAATCACTTGAACTCTGGAGGCAGATCAATGAGCTGAGATCGCGCCACTGCACTCTGGCCTGGATGTCAAGAGCGAGATTCCGTCTCAAAATAAATAAATAAATATTAGCAAAGACACACAGATACATACACATATGTAGATGTGCATATGTATTATACATTTTCACATACTTTCTTATATAAACACATTTCAATGAGCATTTACTCAGTAAGTTTTATATGTGTCCTATGCTAACAGGCAACGTGCCATGAATACATAAATATGAAAAAGATGCAGTTCTTGCTTAGTCCCTGGCAAGTGAGAAAAACAAGTATATAAACAGATATCATTATAATTAGTAGCTGTTAAAGTGGAAATATTCTCTACAAGATTGTAAAAAATATACTCAAAGTTTATAAAATACATGACACTTTTATTCCATATTCTCATAGAGAAGAAATACAGTTTCAAGGACTTCTTAGTAAATTCAGAATTACTTAGTACAAACATGTCTTGGAGAAATACATACTTCATCAGCCTTTTTTTCTGTCCTGATGTGCATTCCCACCCAGGGCTGGCTGTTCTCATAATTCATAGCTTTAATATTAAAATTGTATCATCATCATTATCTCCAGGAAACCATGAAGCCCAAACCTGATAGATTCTAGGATCTCATTGAGGCCTTTTGCATTCTTGACTTCTTAAAGCCAAGGGTTCTCATGTCACAGAGATGTGTTTAATATGAGATGTGTTATATTAAAAAGTCTAATGAGTTTACTGGAAAACCACCATTATAGAAAAGAAATTATACATTTGCTTTTTCATAATTCTCACCATTTTTTTTCTGTAAAAAAGGAAGAGTCAGAGATTATAAGTAATTTCCCAGAAGACATACAGTTACATGAGGCTTACCCAGCTTGTCTAGGATTGGGCTAATCCACACCATGCCTATCTTCCCAGTTGTAAGAATTTCTCATATCAAAAATAGAGAATCTTTGCAATCTACATGACTTCTTCCAAACTGGGGGAAATGTCTTGGTGAATTCCCACAGGCAGGTAGAATGTTGCGGCATGAAGAGCTATTTTTAACATGGTGCTATGGAGAGCTCCCAGAATGTGTCAGCAGGGAACCTGAGTGCTTTTTTTTTTTTTTTTTCTCCCACTTGTCAGCCATATGAACTCCAAGGTCTTTTACTTCTGTGAGATAAATATTTCTCATCAGTAAAGCCATCAGGCTAATTGTACCTGTCCTAAACATCTCAAAAGTTTCTTGTAATGATCAAATGAAATAATACATGTCAAAATGCTTGGTCAGATGTAAGGTGCCATGTAAATGTCAGATACTTATACTTCGATGTGGGTAGGTTGGAAGAAGCAGTTTGAGAATCTATTAGAAGTGTGAATTCTCTGGTGTAACTGCATATACAGTTATCAATAAGAAGACAATGAACAGCTAATACTAGCCACCATATTATTGCTTTTTCCAAGTTCTGATTTATATTTACGTGAGAAGCAGCACATGAGAAGCAGTGTTTGAGAAAGAATAATAAGTTTTGGACTCTGTTAGCTCTAAGCTGGCAACTGGCTAGCTGTGTGACTTTGAGCAAGTTGCTTTCCCTCTCTGTGCTTTAGCTTCTGCATCTAGAAAAAGCGAAGAATAATGCATCTGTATCATAGTATTGTTTGAGGATTAAATAAGAAAAATCATAAATATACCTAAATTGAAAAATAAAATAACAAGCTTCAAATGGGAAGAATGGGATTAAACTGCCTCAGTGGGCATGGATGTGACAGATGGCATTGGACAGTAAAAAAAATAATAATAATAGAAATTTGTTACAGAGGCCTAGCTTCCTAATACTTATTAACACTGTGACTATGAACAAGCCACTTAACTACTCTAAGCCTCAACTTCCTCATCTGTAAATATAATAATATCTACATCAAAGCAGTTTTGTCAAGAATGAAACTATTTCATTAACTGTAGCTATAAAAATATAGTCCCCTGACTGACACTTGCTGACTGACTAATACTACAGTTACGCAAATCTAAGTATCTTTCCTTTTAACACTATTTCAGTACATCTATATACTACAGGCTGGCCATAAAGTCTATAGGTAATAATATCCTATTGCATTTTAATGTAATGTCAGAAAGCCATTTACTATATATATTTACTAATTTTTCCAGCCTTAAGGCCACCAGTGGACTTACTCTTTTGGAATTTTTTATATAGCAAGCAAGCATCCACAAGGATGTTTTTAGTTATATGATTAAATAAAGAAATGCTAAATCCCTGAGGTTTATGAAATAATACAATGGTTAATATTATTATTACTACGATTTTTTGAGACAGCGCCTCACTCTGTCACCCAGGCTGAAGTGCAGTGGTGAAATCTCGACTGACTGTAACCTCCATCTCCCAGGTTCAAGCAAGTCTCCTGCCTCAGCCTCCCTAGTAGCTGGGATTACAGGTGTGCGCCACGATGCCCAGCTAATTTTTATATTTTCAGTAGAACCAGGGTTTTGCCATGTTGGTCAGGCTGGTCTCAAACTCCAGACCTCAAGCCAGCCACCTGCCTTGGCCTCCCAAAGTGCTGAGATTACAGGCGTGAGCCACTGTGCCCAGCCCGATGGTTAATATTAGCTGTTGATTGTCTTCTCATTGATAACTGTAAATGCACTCACACCAGAGAATCCATTCTTCTAATGGATTTTCAAACTGCTTCTCCCAATCTAACTACACCAAAGTGTAAGTATCTGACATTTGCATATAAAGAAACATCTTGTATAACACGTGCTAGTTGTTTCAAAACTTCAAAGGGAATTTTCTCCTTGAGCAATTTTAATCCAGAAAAACCTGTAATTATGATTTCAATGATGAATAGACCACAAAGTGCTAGGCCAGCAATTAATAAAGTGAGAGACTGCAGTGAACGCAGTTCCTAGATGTCTTTCAGAAAAGAACTGTGCAGGTAAGAGGTGTAGGGAGCAAGGATTGGAGGAAGATTGCAGAAGGGGGAAAAAAAAAGACATTCTAAACATTATAGTTAACACAACTACCTGAACATCTGACTTCAAGGAATGAAGCATAGAATTATTCATATTATAAAAATATTCATCACCTTATGTAGTACACAAGGGCCCAGAAAGTAACAATATTGCAAGCATTTAAGGTTTTTATTAAAACTTCCTGATAAATTGATAAATAGACTGATAAGCTGAAGCATTTCAAGTTACTGATGATACTATCAATGCAATGGTAAGACAAGGCAAATATGACATTAGAATAAATACAAAGCACATTTATTCATATGGTTCACTACCGGAAACTCAGCATACTTGACAATGGGCAGCCTCAAATGGTGCTCTCCCCCATGAGAAGTAGTGCCTTATTAAGACAGATTGATGTTTAGAATTTCATAAACCTCAGGGGCTTAGCACTTCTTTATTTAATCTTATAACTAAAAACGTCCTTGTGGATGCTTGCTTGCTATATAAAATAATTCCCAATGAGTAAGTCCACTGAGATTTCTGAGTTTCCTGTGACTCTCACCATTAATGCATCTGCAACCACCATGGTATTGGGCATGAAGCAATAAGCTGTATCCTCATCTGGGGCATGTCTACTGGTCTAACATGGAAAGGTCATGATTCCATGAGCATTGGGATTTCGTCTTTCAATGGGATTGTAAACAGGAAGAGGCTCTCCAACAAAGAGACATTAAAATACTCTGCCTTCCAAAACATTCAGATAGATGCAATCACTAGAAGAGAATAAGATTGGTTCTTCTCAGGAAAAAAACATAAACATAACTAAGTCAGGTTAAAGTAGTGGTTTTCTCATTTTCTTGACTGTGACCCACAGTAAGAAGTGCAGTTTTAATTAGGACAAGAAACAAATACAACACACACACACACACACACACACACACACACACGATTTTGCCTGTATACACAAATAGAAATAAAAGTTTCATTAAAAAATACTAAATCCAATTACACAGTAAACACTAGAACCCAGGTCTCTGACCCTCTGATATTTTTACAATGTTTAATTTTATTTCATTTGTACAAAAAGGCTTGACTCAATCCATTTTTAATTTTCTCAACTTACTGTGGTCATAATGTTCAGTTACAAAACACTGAATTGGAAATTGATGCTCAAAATATTATTTATTATGTTATCACTATATGCCCAGTAATGTGCTAAATAGTTTGCTCACATCATAGCATTTAGTCCTCAAACCAACCATCAGAGATGAGTTTTACTAAATCTACTTCATGGACAAAGCATCTGAGATTAGAATTTAGCTCTGCTTGTGCAGACAGGAAATGGGAGAGCAGAGATTAGAAGTCAGTCTTTTCTAATTCCTACTCATTCAAATACTTTCTAATTCTTATCATATTACACCACCAAAAAGCCAAAAGTTGCTACTTCAGGGCAGACTAAACAGAATTCTGGTTAAATTAGCACAAAAGTATCTCTGTACAATTAAAAAAATATAACTGGCAAAACCTGAAATACGTTTGCTGTGTTTTTTTAAGATCATTGTATATATGTACAATAAACTCAACACAGTTGTCCTTAGAACATGGGCTCACTGTTTTTTATCCAGAAAGCTTGTTGTCATTATTTTTAAGTTAACAGTTGTGAAACTTAACTGCGTATTGTTACTTATAAACACTTCAATTGGATGAACTCAAACTGATTATTGAATCTAAAGACAACATCAATATGGTGATCAGCTTCTAAGATGGTCCAGCGATCCCTACCTCATGGTAGTTATACCCTGGCATAGTCCCCTCCTGCATTATATCAGAGTTGATCTGTGTGATCAATAGAATATGGCAGAATAGATGCTATGCCACTTCAAATATTGCATTGTAAATGGCACTACAGGTTCTATTTGCATTCTGTCTCTCTGGCTCTGTCTCTCGGGCTCTGTCTCTCTGATCACTCATTCTGGGGAAAGTCATACTGTAAGAAACCTTATGGTGGAGAGACCCACATGGTGAGAAACTGAGGCCTTCCAACAACAACGGGGGAATAGACCCTGCAGCCCCAGTCAGGTCTTCAGAGATTGCAGTCCCTGAACCAGAATCACCCAGGCTAAGCCATCCCCAGATCCCGAAATCTCACAAACTATATGAGATGATAAATATTTGCTATTTTAAGCTACATGAATACTTTGGAGACATTATGGGTTTGGTTCCAGACCACCACAATAAAGCAAATAGTGCAATAAAGCAACTCATACAATCTTTTTGGTTTCTCAGTGCATAAAAAAGTTGGGTTTACACTATACTGTGGTCTATTAAGTGTGAAATAGCATTATGCCTAAAAAACAAGGTACATATTTAATTTAAAAATGCTTTATGGTTAAAAAATGGTGAAGATCAACTGAGACTTCAGTGAATCCTAATCTTTTTGCTGGTGGAGGGTTTTGTCTTGATGTTGATGACTGCTGACTGATCAGGGTGGGGTGATGATTGCTAAAGGTTGGAGTGGCTGTGACAATTTTTAAAAATAAAACAGTGAAGTTATCCATATCAATTGACTGTTCCTTTCACTAAAGATTTATCTAAAGCATGCTCTCTGTCTCTCTCTGTCTCTCTTTGATCACTCACTCTGGGGAAAGTTATACTGTTTGGTAGTATTGTAACCACAGTAGAACTTTTTCAAAATGGGACTCAATCCTCTGAAACCCTGTCAATACTTTGTTAAAGAAGTTTATGTAATATTCTAAATCCTCTGTTGTCATTTCAACAATGTTCATGGTTGTTGACCAAGAGTAGATTCCATGTAAAGAAACCACTTTCCATAAGAAGCAACTCCTCATCTATTTAAGGTTTATCAGGAGATTGCAGCAGTTCAGTCACAACTTCAAGCTCCACTTCTAATTCTAATTCTCTTGCTATTTCCACCACATCTGCAGTTGCTTCCTCAACTGAAGTCTTGAACCCCTTAAAATCATCCATGAGGGTTGGCATCAACTTCTTCCAAACTTGTGTTAATTTGGATATTTTGACCTTCTCCCATGAATCACTAATGTTCTTACTGGCTTCTAGAATAGTGAATCCTTTCCAGAAGGTTTTCAATTTACTTTGCCCAGATCCATCTGAGGAATCATTGTCTATGGCAGCTTTAGCCTTCTAAAATGTATTTCTTTAATAAGACCAGTAAGTCAAAATTACTCCTTCATCCATGGGTTACAGGATGGATATTGTGTTAGCAGGTATAAAAACAATATTAATATTCTTGTGCATCTCCATCAGAGCTCCTGGGTCACCAGGTGCATTGTCAATGAACAGTAATACTTTAAAAATAATCTTTTTGTTTGAGCAGTAAGTCTCAAAAGTGGGCTTAAAATATTCATCATGCCATGCTGTAAACAGATGTGCTGTCATTCACGCTGTTTGGTTCCATTTCTAGAGCACAGGCAGAGTAGATGTAGAATAATTCTTAAGGACCCTAGGATTTTTGAGTTAGTAAATGAGTATTCCTTATACTTATTTATAAGTATATTCCTTATACTTATTTATAAGTATATTCCTTATACTTATTTATAAGTATATTCCTTATACTTATTTATAAGTATATTCCTTATACTTATTTATAAGTATATTCCTTATACTTATTTATAAGTATATTCCTTATACTTATTTATAAGTATATTCCTTATACTTATTTATAAGTATATTCCTTATACTTATTTATAAGTATATTCCTTATACTTATTTATAAGTATATTCCTTATACTTATTTATAAGTATATTCCTTATACTTATTTATAAGTATATTCCTTATACTTATTTATAAGTATATTCCTTATACTTATTTATAAGTATATTCCTTATACTTATTTATAAGTATATTCCTTATACTTATTTATAAGTATATTCCTTATACTTATTTATAAGTATATTCCTTATACTTATTTCTTAAGAATAATTCTTAAGGACCCTAGGATTTTTGAGTTAGTAAATAAGTATTGTCTTCAACTTAAAGTTACCAGCTGCGTTATCCCCCTTACAAGAGAGTCAACCTGTCTTTTGAAGCTTTGAAGCCAGGCATTGACTTTTGCTGTCTAGTTACACAAGTCCTAGAAAGCATCTTCCTCAATATAAAGTTGTTTCACCTACATTAAAAATCTGTTGCTTAGTATAGCCACTATCATCAGTGATTTTATCTAGATCTTCTGGATAACTTGATGCAGTTTCTACATCGGCACTTGCTGCCTCACCTTGCCCTTTTATGTTATGAAAATGGCTTCTTTCCTTAAACCTCATGAGCCACAACCTCTGCTAGATGCAAACTTTTCTTCTGCAGCTCTCTCACCTCTCTCAGCCTTCATAGAATTGAAGAGAGTTACGCCTTGCTCTGGACTAGGTTTTGGCTTAAGGTAATGTCGTGGCTGGTTTGATAGTCTATCCAAACTACTAAAACTTTCTTCATATTAGTAATAAGCCTATTTTGTTTTCTTAACATTTGTGTATTCACTGGAATAGTATTTTAATTTCCTTCAAGAACTTTTCTTTTGCATTCAGAACTTGGCTAACTGCTTGTTGCAAGAAGCCTAGCTCTCAGCCTGTCTTGGTTTCTGACATGCCTTCTTCACTATGCTTAATTATTTCTAGATTTTGCTTTAATGCTAGAGATGTACAATTCTTCCTTTTACTTGAACACTCAGAGGCCACTGTAGGGTTATTCATTGACCTAATTTCAATATTTTTGTGTCTTTGAGAATAGGGAGGCCCATTGAGAGGGAGAGAGATGAGGAAATGGCCCATGAGTGGAGAAGTCAGAACACACATACCACTTATCGATGAAGTTCTCCTACTCATTTGAGTGTGGTTCATGGCACTCCAAAACGGTTACAATAGCAATCTCAATGATCTCAAAGATCACTGATGTGCCAAGTGCAGCAGCCTCCCAGCTACTTGGGAGACCAAGGTGGGAGGTTTGCTTGAGCCCAGGAGTTGAAGATCAGCCTGGGCAATATAGAGAGACTCTGTCTCCACAAAAACATAAAATTTGCTGGGTGTGGTGGCACGCATCTGCAGTCCCAGCCACTCAGGAGGCTGAGGTGGGAAGATTGATTGAGCCATGGGAAAGTCAAGGCTCAGAGAGCCATGATCATGCTATTGTGTTCCAGCCTGGGCAACAGAGCAAGACCCTGTCAAAAAGAGAGAGAGAGAAAGAGAAAGAAAGAAAGAGAGAAAGAAGAAAGAAAGAAAGAAAAAAAGAAAGAAAGAAAGAAAGAAAGGAGAAAGGAAGGAAGAAGGAAGAAAGAGAGAGAGAGAAAAAGAAAGAGAAGGAAAGAAGAAAGAAAGAAAAGGAAAGAAGAAAGAAAGAAGGAAGGAAGGAAAGAGAAAGGAAAGAAAGAAAAAGAAAGAAAGAAAGAAAGAAAGAAAGAAAGAAAGAAAGAAAGAAAGAAAGAAAGAAAGAAAGAAAGAGTCAGGGTCAGTGGCTCAGGCCTATAATCCTAACACCTTGGGAGGCCAAGGTGTGCAGATCATGAGGTCAGGAGTTCAAGACCATCCTGACCAACATGGTGAAACCAGCCTGCCCAACATGGTCTCTACTAAAAATAAAAAAATTAGCCGGGCATGGTGGGCGTGTGCCTGTGATCCCAGCTACTCAGGAGGCTGAGGCAAGGGAATCACTTGAACCCAGGAGGTAGAGGTTGCAGTGAGCTGAGATCACGCCACTGCACTCCAGCCTGGGTGACAGAGCAAGACTCTGTCAAAAAAAAAAAAAAAAAAAAAAGAGGAAGAAGAAAGGAAGGAAGAAAAGAAGGAAGGAAGGAGGGAAGGAAGGACAATGAAAAGAAAAAAAAGAGGAAAATAATCACTAATCACAAATAACCATAACAGATAAAATGATAATGGGAAAGTTCTAAATATAATGAGAATTACCAAAATGTGACACAGAGACACAAAGTGAGCATATGGCATTGAAAAAATGGTGTCAATAGACTTGCTCGACACAGGGTTGCCACAAACCTTTGATTTGTTTAAAAAAAAAAAAAGCAATATCTGTAAAATGCTATAAAGTGAAGTGAAATAAAACAAGGTAGGCCTGTACTAAATTTTGGTATAATTTGTTAGGCAACCAACAGATAATCGATGCAAACAGTTACAGCTTGAACCTGGCGAGATGCCATCTCAATAGGGTTTTTATGTATGTGTTACATGGTAACTTTAAGGCTGGAAAAGGAAAAGGAAAAAGAGAAATAAACTAAATAATCAGTGTAGTAGGATCAAAGTGTTTACTTTTAGGCTTTCAAATCAAACTACACAGTGTGGACTAGAGTCTACTGATGCAATTTCTAAATCATTGAGACTACTAATCCCAAGCAGCCAATAAAATAATTTGTCAGTCAATCTGTGAATTTGTCAGCATCTCTTTTCACTCTTGTTCTCCCCAGTCCTCAGCTATTTTGAAAATCACATCTCATTGGAAGTTGAACCAGAAAAAAGAAGAACACTGAAGCTTACATATGTGTTCTGCTACTCTTTGTGGTTTGTGGTGGAGGCTAGTTAGACTAAATTTGAAAGTTGGCAAAATTGGGCACCATAATCCTTCTTCAATCCCCTCTCTCTTGGTGCTGAGCATTCTTTTTTTTTTTTTTTTTTTTTTGGACAGAGTCTAGTCCTGTTGCCCAGGCTGGAGTACAGTGGCACAATCTTGGCTCACTGCAACCTCCACCTCCCAGGTTCAAGTGATTCTCCAGCCTCAACCTCCCTAGTAGCTGGGTTTACAGGCACCCACCAGCAGGCCTGTGGTGCCGGGCATTCTTATGCTGTCTTCCACCTGCCTAAACCCCTCTTCTATGGCATTTACCCAGGACTGCCTTTCCCCACAATAACTTCTCATTACCTTAATTCACATAAAGGCATGAATGAATGGTTTCCAACTTATTGCTCTTCTGGCTGTTTTAATTTTCTAAAAGATGCTGTTTGCTCAATTAAATTCTGACCTTTTGGATCTCAGGGAGCCTTATAAGCTGAGGTGATGATTTTATCATTGAAAATATATGTATCATACCTATGTCATATGGACCAAAAGTGAAATTACTAGAAAAAAAAATGTGTTGTATGATATTAGGAGTGTTGTTCAGTTATTTATAGATTTAAATAGAAATTTTCAACTTCAAAACTATTGACACTTAGGGCAAGGTGATGTTTCATTGTGTGTGCATGTTTGTGTGAGGAAATCCATGTGTTATATGTAGCAGAGCCTCAGTTTACTAGATACCAGTAGTGCCTCCCAGCTGTAACAAGTAAAACTGTCTTCAAATATTGCCAAATGTCCATTGGTGGCAAAATCATGCCCAGCTGAGAACTACTGATATAAATAATTGCTACCATTTTGAGCAAGTATGTGTGTGTATTTAATAAAGGGATATAAGAAAAAAATGTCGGGAAATGTGGGGTTATTTAGGAGATGACCATTCTCCTGGTGCCTCTAAAATTACAATCCATGTAATAGAACCAAATGCATTTGTCTAATTCTTATCCTGTATTCTAATAAAAGGCAGAGATTGAAACTATTAGTTTCATGTTTAACTCTATTATTTAACTTATCAGATAACTAAGATTTGGCCATATTTTCAAAACAGAAACAGAAACACAATGTTAGAGCTGAAATGATCACGGCTGCTGTTTCTCGAAATGTCTGCTCCTTAAAGACCATGGCCCAGAGAAAGAAAGTCTCACAGAAATGCAGTGACACAGTAACGATTAGAATGCAGGTCTATGACCATCTGTTCTCCAGTGAGGAGGAAACAACAAAAGATACTTTCCTCTTGGTTAGTAGCTCACCGACATTACATTTTCCTCTGGATTTTTGTGTTATATACGTTATATGTACCTAAAGCCACCAAGCAGAAGACGTGAGCGTGACTAGAGTCTACGCCAGGTATTCACATGACCTAAAGGTAAGGCTCAATTTCTCTGCCTCAGTCTCCTCCTCTTTAACATGGGGCTAACAACACGAAATTATTGTGAAGTACTTTGAAA
Source organism: Homo sapiens (assembly GCF_000001405.40). NCBI lineage: Eukaryota > Metazoa > Chordata > Mammalia > Primates > Hominidae > Homo > Homo sapiens. Next base: position 107,372,978 of record NC_000008.11, read on the forward strand.
ACTATTACCTGCAATTAAAATGTGATTTACCTTATTGTCATGCTAAAACATTTGAGACATTTATACAAATGGTGACTACATGCAAGTTTATCTCAGACAGAAAAGTGATAATCCCAATGCTGTCAGAACTAAATTTACAAGGAGTTTATGCTGTTGCTGTGATAAGGTGCTAAAAATGACCTCTTTGACAAAGTGTAAATCCTTCTCCATTTCCTAACTTTTCAGTATCTCAATTACCTACTCTCTTAAGTGGTCATTAACTTCAACACTATTTTTAGTCAAGTACAAAATAGATTTTTTTTTTTTTGAATTAGAGAGTGTATTTGGAGGAGATCTGAAGAAAACATACAAATTTTGAAGGAACACTGTCTTTTTACCAATGGGTTTCTAAGTCACAGCATCTTATTTAAGATTCAGAGGTTGAATTTTAAAATATGCTGAAACATGAAAATGATACAATTGACCACTCTGGAAACTGGATAGCAAATGCAGTGCTGTTGGGTTTGAGTATATCTGTCATGTTGGAAGAAGGAATGAGAGGTGGATTGAAGGAGTGAAATGATGTAGTCCATGAGGGATCATTCACAGAGACATTTCCTCTCCAAAAAGATACTATTTACCACTTGAGCCTGAAGAAAGAAGTGAGATAAGTTCTACGATGATGGAAGTTTTTCTTTCTAGGGGCTCTCTTGAATATATTCTTTAATGCCTTAGCAAGTCTGATGAACTGAAAGATTTACCATATTTTTCTAAGTGCCTCACTTTCCCTTCAGGTACAACCTGGGCTTTCAGGAAAAATCTGACTTATTGTGTCTTATAATGAAGTAGAAAGACTTATTAAAAACAGAGAATTAAGTAGATGAACATAATGATCTTTTTAAATGACCTCTCATTATTCTCTTAGAAGAAATGACTTAGTTAAGAAGAAGAGTCTTGGAAAGATACTGCCTATGCTAGCACTCAACTCGTGAAATGCTTCTTTCTCCAGTGAAAGTCAGCTGTTTGGTTCCCTTTCCAAAGAATTTCTGAACTTAGCACCACTTCAATTTGCTGCTCTAAGAATATTGACCTTAATTCCCATTTAAGAGAGTGAAGGGTTAGGATTAATGTTTCTTTTTTATATATGCTGCCTTGCAAAACCCTTTCCATTTACTCATAAAAAGGGCTTGCCAACCTTTTTTTATTGAATGGATAAAGCCCAGGTTATTTCCATCTTAAAAGTATGATCAAATATAGCAGTCGTAAGAAAACAGGAGACCAGAAGAGCCAACTGCAATAGACTGTAATATAATGCTATAGACTAGTTTATCAGATATCTTTATCAGGAAATTATTATAAGATTAGAAAGTATAATATTTACATTTAATTGTATTTTACACAATGGCAGTTCTCATGAGGAAATATACCTTAAAAGAAGAAAAACAAATTAAACTAACATGTTCACATGCACTGTATATTCTGGCAGGAGGTCATCACAGAGTCTTGCAGATTCTGTCCTGCCCAAGGCAGCCAGCCAAGGGTGTAAGTGGGGGACGAAATCCAATTCACTTTGAGCTCACTAAACTCCAATGCCTGTTGTAGGACTGGGCGGTTTTCTAATTCTCTCAAAAGCATTATATGGGCTACTGGTGGACACTTCTGGACTATTTCTGTCTGGTCGCAAATTGCCTTCTGTCTAATGGTCTAAAAGCAGTCTGTCTCTCTTAGAACAATCTATCTGACAAAAAGGGAGCACATGGCTATTGGCCAAAGAATTGACTTGCATTTCCCAGACTGACCTGATCCCACCCTCAGTCCCCAGAAGGGAATGGAGAAACCTACTCTTCACTGATAAAAATTCTGGTGGAAATCTGGATGGTATCAGATGGTATTTAGCTAGGGAGATAAGAAATGCTTAAATCTGGCCAGGCGCGGTGGCTCACGCCTGTAATCTCAGCACTTTGGGAGGCCGAGGAGGGCGGATCACGAGGTCAGGAGATTCAGACCAGCCTGGCCAACATGGTGAAACCCTGTCTCTACTAAAAATACAAAAATCAGCTGGGCGTGGTGGCACGCGCCTACAGTCCCAGCTACTCAGGAAGCTGAGGCAGGAGATTCGCTTGAACCCAGGAGGCGGAGCTTGCAGTGAGCCGAGATCATGCCACTGCACTCCAGCCTGGTGACAGAGTGAGACTCCATCTCAAACAAACAAACAAACAAACAAACGAAAAAAACTATCAGGATAAATCTAATTATTTATGATAAAATTTAGCATAAATAAGAACAGAAATTGCCAGTTATAGAAATAAGGTTGTTGAAAACCCTTAACAAATATGGCAGTTAGTATTTTTTTAAAAAAGAAATGCTTAAATCCTTCTTTTGTCCAGCAATGGCCTTGTTCCCTTGAGGTACCCTGTGGAAATATTAAGCCAGGGGACAATGGTCAAAAGAAAGCTAAATTCTACATTATTATTAATTGGGATTTTGTACCAAATTTCAATACAGAGCTCTCAAATTTTGCTGAAGTATAAAGCCTAGTGCTGAAGTGTAAGAAGGCCAGCCAATCCTCCACTGAAACTAACATTCAAATATTAGTATTTTACCATCCTCCTCCCAACCACAGGAGACAGACCTGATATGTGTATTGAGCACACATGAGTGAAGGCAAGAAGAGTGGACGAGGGACGTTAGCCAGGCTCCATATTGGTTTAGGACTGCCACCAAGGGTAAGGGTGGGATTGGGCACCTCAAGGAAAGAATGGAATGAAGCAGAGAGGAAAGTACCAGCAACAAGACTTGGACCTCACTGCTCAGGCCACATGGAAATAGGAAGCATGAGAAACACTGAGAAGCTGCCCTGATAAGAGCACAGGGGAGGCCCAGAGAAAGGGCCGTGTTCCTGAGTGTGCAGTTTTAAAGCAGCTTGCCCCTGTCTTCCAGGCTATATGGTCAATCATTGTTCTAGAATATGACCCAATTGGATTTGTATATTTTACTATTCTTGAGATTGAACCAGGAAAGGGCCTATGGGAAGAGACCTCTTGCTTTCTTTATTCAGGTACTATTTCTGTTCTTACAGATTTTTATCCCTATTCCTTTTTTCCAAACATTTCCCTTCTTTAGGAAGCACTTCATGAGTATGTAACTTCTCTAAACTATCATGTCATGACATTTAACCTTAAGAAGTAGAGCACAGCATTATAATGTCCCTCTTGTTCCATGCCTAACATTCTGTGCCTATGTTTCCACATGTAATCAAGTTGAGAACATTGCAAAATTTTAAATTCATAACTCTTGCCACAAGTTGCTCGCCATGTGGTTGAAATGATAGGATCCATGTATGTGGTAACGTGCAGCAAAATTTTAAGAAATAATTTCAATATGGAAGTATGGGGAACCCTGAGTTCTTTTCCAGGAGAGATTGCTGCAATTTAGAGGGGAGGGGAAATTGTTTATGGGAAAGGTAAAAATTAAACTCAAACCTGATTAGTGTTCAGGGAGGAGGAAGAAAGGAATTGCTATTAGAAAGAACAGATCTTACAAAGGGATAGAAGACAGAAAATGCACACTTGTTTGTTTGTTTTTGTTTTTTTGTGGGTTTTCTGTTTGTTTGGTTGGTTGGTTCAGGAGGAGGGAGCAGTGCATATTCTACTCCAGCCATAGCAGAGCTTTGGAAAGTGGTGAGAGATACGGTAAGGCCTAGCCAAACTGTGGCAGCTATTTAATGTTGGCTAAAGGCAATTTGAATTTTATCCCACTGAAAAATAAGAAAATCTGAGGATATAGGCCTTCAAGTCTGACTTTCGGTTCTCACTAAATTCCAAAATTTTTACATATCTATTATTATTATTGGAAACATTATTTCTAAGCTATCAACATGTAATTTGTGGTTCAGTGTGTCTGGGAAACAGAGTATTTCTATGATTTTTGAACTTAGAGTTTAGGAAATTTCCAATTTTGAAGCAAATATTCTCTTAGTGTCCCAAAAGATCAAGTACATTTTTTTTTCTTCTAATGCTTGGTCTGCACCATTCCATCTCAAATCACAGCTCATCACTGATTACACAAATACTTACAAGCAGGGCCCATTTTTAGTAGGTAATGAAGTGTAAGGATGAAGCTTAAATGATGCAATATACCCAATGTCTAGCCTTACATAAATAAATAAAGGGCCATTTGTTTCATTTCACTTCAATACACACTTTTGCAAGGGAACGTTCTATTTCTTTTGGCACACACAAAAAATTCTAAGTATACATCAACATTTTTTAATGTTGAAATATAGTTTTGCTTTTCCTTTATTCTAAAATAACTATATAATAAACATACTGGACATTTTTTGGTGCTTTGTTCAACAATGAACAGGCCGAATTTCCTCCCCAGATGCCTCGTGACATTGGCATATGCATAGCAGGAAACGTACACACTCCAAGTCATAATCCTGTCTGGATAAATCTGCCATGTGTGCTGGGCAAGCCAGACCTCATTCACCTGTTCATACTGACATTTAATCCATCACCAAACCTTACCTAGGGACTTTCTAAAGATAGTAATCTCACTGAAGGAGAAATGTACAGATTGCTACTCTTTGGGACTATTTTAAAGTATTTTGATGTTTGGAGAAGTGGAAGAAGAGAGGAAGATACAAGGGAAGAAACTACACTTGATGTAGAGTTAATCCATTTAAGCTTCAGAGCCTACCTTGTGATGTAAGCGTTGTCTCACCTATTTCCAGAAAAGGAGGTTAAAGCCAATGTTACATCACAAGTAAGCAGTGTAGATAAAATTTGAACCTGAAAATCCCTGGCTCAAAGTCCAAAGCTTTCAATTACACAATCTTGTCAAGAACGTAAAAACAGATGAGTGCATTGAATAGAAGAAAAGATGGCCCAAAGATTAATATTTGTAAATCTCCTCTAATATCTTGGTTAAATTTACCACCCAAAATAAACTTCAATATTGTCATGAAAAAAAAACATATCAGTTGTCAAAATTGACTCCATTGCACTGGCATACACTGCAGCTTAAGATATCCAAATGACTTAGCAGCAGAGCCAAGCGAATAGTTGAAAAATCACCCACTGTACTTCTAATTGAAATAGCCAATCTGTATAATATGCACTGTAAAATATGACTTTTCCATACAGCATTTGAAGCAGAATTCAGATAGATTCACTACTCAATTAAATCAGCCTTCATAGGGTTTAGACACACTTGAATTTTTTGGTTTAAAAATGGTGAAGGGAGTGCTCTTTTATACTTTGTTGTTGTCATTATGATTATTGTTACTTTAGGAACCATATATTTTAATCTGCAACTGCCTCTGAAAATGTCTATTCACATTTTTCAAAAAAGAAGCAAGTAGTGAGAAAGGTGCATTTAGAAATATTACCAACTCTCAAATCTCCAGTGAGCATCTGTGTATAGTATAAAGGCAAAATGCAGATGCCACTGATATGTTAATTATCCTAAGAGAAAGAAGGTATTATGTACCTAAATACAGTTGTATATATGTATAATGTGTGTATATGTTTATGTTTATACACACACCATATATACCTAACTATACTCTATGTACACTGTTACGGCTTGGCTCTATGTCCCCACTGAAATCTCATCTCAAATTGTAATCTGAACTGTAATCCCCATGTTTGGGGGTTGGGACCTGTTGGGAGGTGATTGGATCATGGGGTGGTTTCCCCCATGCTGTTCTCATGATAGTGAGTTCTTGCGAGATCTGATGGTTTTATAACGGGCTCTTCCCCCTTCCCTTGGCACTTCTCCTAACTGTGGCCTTGTGAAGAAGGTGCATTGGCTTCCCCTTCACCTTCCACCATGATTGTAAGTTTCCCGAGGCCTCCCCAGCCATGTGGAAATGTGAGTCAATTAAACCTCTTTTGTTTATAAATTACTCAGTCTTAGGTAGTATCTTTGTAACAGTGTGAAAATGAACAAATATATATATATATACACATACATATATATATATATACTCTATTATATATAACTGCTTCAAGACTATTTTTAGTCCTACAGTCTATTCATATTTTTCTAAATTTTCAAAAGTTTTACAAACTCTGTTTCTATTATTTTATATATAAACAATGTTAAAAATATTCAGAGCAATGGATATTTAGGGATGAGGGATGGGAGTCATCCACCCTGAGGGGAGATATATTTTTTCATGAAAACTGCTTAGAATTGTCAGGGCCTGATAATAAATGCAGACCAACTATTAGTTGGTTTTGTTACTGTCTTTAAATTATCTCCTTAAAAGGCAGACATTCATCACCTGCACCTAGAGTAGACCACCTCAATTGCTCCCTCCCTTGGTAGGCCACTAGCTGAAGGCCTTCTAGGAGAAAGTCATCACGTCTAAGTGTCTTGTTTCCTTAGTGGAACTGGAAGTACTTACTCCATAAGGCTGCCTTGACAATTAAATAAATTACAATTTTGAAAGTGGTTAGAACACTGCCTGAGATAGAGCAAGCATTACAGCACTGTTTGTTTAAGTAAATAAATGATATTTATGAAAAGCCTGATGTAGCAGTCCGCCAATTTTATAGATGAAGAAACTGAGTCTCAGAGGAGGTTAAAAAAAAAAGACATCAAACAGAAAATGATTGTGGTTTAAAGTAAAGATATTGACACTAAACCTGTACCCATTCTACCTCTCCCACACAAACGGGATCATGGCTTTAGTTTTTATTGTGTTATCCAATTATTGCCTTATTTTGCATATTTACTTCCCAAATTATTTGTGTACATATTTTTAACCTATAGCTTTATGGTATTTCAGAGCAGGTGCACTGAAGTATGGCAAGAGGGAAGATGACAGTTATTAAGAAAAAGTGAATTTATTCAACTTTTTAAGCTACTAAAAGCGTGCAAATTAGATTGTTATTGTTATTTTAAGAAAAAGAACATTATGTATTGAAAAAGTATGCCTTTCCAAGAAACCACTAACCAGATGTTGGGGTCTTGAGATATCCCAAAGGGATACTGGTAAAAAATGATGAAAGAACTTCCACACAAAAATCTAAGAAAGCGCGCACACATGTTATAACTATGAATATTGTTTGCAAAAATTTAACAAATCTGCTTCATCATCAGATACTACAGCCCCGGGATAGCCTGGTCTGGAAATGTGGTTTAAGGAAGAATAAAAATACAAATAGAGGAAAAATTACTAGGAAAATGTTAACACAATAAATTAAGTAGAATAGAGAAGGAATGCCAATATCTAAAGTTTATTACACACATGTGCCATTACCTGTGTGGTAATGGACTATTCAGTCTTTGATTCTATTCACAAGGCAGCAGTTAAAGGCTACATGATATAATCAATCAACTAGTTATTTGACATCGAATGTTTATTGAGCGTTTATCATGTGCAGGATGTTTGTGTGTGTGTGTGTGTGTGTGTGTGTGTCCTGCACAAAAACACATCTGACTATATATACGTATATATATGTATATATAGTGACAAAATACATATACTATGCATACACATTAGAAGCTAGATGCCATTTTGACTGTTTGGATTTTTTTTTCCCTGACCTTACACTTTAAAAAAAATTTATTTCTTAAAGCAATTGGTTAGTTTTTATAGGTGATATAGCCAGTGTGAGTTCACCATCTATGAACTGTAGTTTTCTTTATTAAGAATATTATTGTTTCAACCAATAGCATGCCAATACTTTCTCATTTTATCAAAACTGGAAATGTGTCTCCAAAAAATGGACCTATTGCTTTCTGAGGGGAAAATCTTTTCTACTGCATATCATCCCCACTTATCCATGTATCTTTGCTACTCAAGTAGGGCAGAGCCACAGAGAACAAAAGACAACGTCTTACTTTAGTGATGGCTGTGTAGGACAGAGAACCTTAAAGGACCCCACCACTCTCTTACCTGTGTTTGTTTATAGGGGTTTTGTTTGCCTGTGTGTGCTTGCTTAATGCTTTGCATTTGCAAAGTAAAAGCAAGGTCATCTCTGTTGAGAAGCTTGTTGGGTACTCCAGATGGATTTTGCTAATTCTTGGGAAGGCCTGAAGTTTAGATAAGTGGAGACTGTAGAAAAGTTCAATTCTTCCTGTTACTGATTTCTTTAGTGTTTTAACTCCATCTCCTAGTGGGCAGCTCTTTGTTTTATGTTGCTGGGTGGATGGCCATTGGCTCTCTTTCTGGTTTTATTGGAAGTTTCTTCAAATGGCTGTGGTAAATTTCAATGAACTTTTTTATCATGCTCATTTCACTTAATTTGGTAGTTGTGGAGTTCCAAGTCAAACAGAAATTTCAGGCAAAATGCTCAAAGGGGAAAAACTTGAATCCAAATCAGCAGGACTTAAAAGCAACACTGTGTGTGCCGGGAACTTGCCCAGAGATTAACCCTATTGAATAGTGACAGGCAGCTATGACATTACCTGTCAATGTTTGCTTCTCCAGAGGGTCCCAAGAACCACTTCATGCTCACTGAACCCCTGCTTCATAGCTTGGAGCCTGAGTAATTGGATATCTTTGAAAGAGAAGAGTAGGTGCCCTCGTGGAGGCACCATGCTGGGTCTTGGCAGCAGTGTGAGGGCAGCCCTGAAGAGGAATTATACTCATGAAGACTCCTGAATTCCATCTTTGTGAAACTCCATTCACTCTGTTGCTTGTTTCTGGCAAACTGAGAGCATCCTGAGAATGGGTCAAGGATCTTTCAAGGGAATCCCTGCTAGCAAGATTGAATCACATTTCCAAAAGCAAACTGGAACAATTTTCCATGTCAGAAAGGATCGTTATGACAACTGTATACTGGGACAGTGGGCATGACAGGAATTGGAGATGGAAACATAGTTTTCCAAAAGAAAAGCAAGCCCTACAGGGTATTAATTTTTCAACTTAGCTAAGGTTTGTTGGCTGATCAGAGTAAATGCTGCTTCTTTGCCTGGTCCATAGCTTTTTCCTGCTCTTTGCCTATTCTTCCTCTATATGTGAGTGGTCAAGAACATTTTGTAAGACATAGAGGAAAGACATGCAGGAGTCTTGGCAAGATGAATGGGCTTGATTTATATCAGGAATTTTTACTCTAAATTATTGACTCCGTTATTTCTTCCTGCCTCTATATTCTGAATTAACCCAAACAATAGGTCACCTGCTACTTTTAATGGCAAAACCCACAATTACTTCTGCACCAATTTAATATTTCAGATAGAATAAGAGAACTTAATTATTAAAGAGTAATGGAAGAAATATATTAATAGGTCATAAATCTGGAGAAATATGAGAAAAATTTAAAAAGAAATTTTGACACAGCATTTATAAAACTTCCCCTTCCCTATTACATTTTTATTCTTTTCTTTCAACAAAGTAGATTACAAAAATGCAGAATATTTTAGATACATCACATACAATAGCAGAGTATCCAAGTCGAGCTGCAGTGTGTGTAAATCCCATATTTGTCACAGAGAGGTCTGCTGTGCTTTTCTACAAGTCGGGCACTATAGCAAATTCCCAGTTACTATGTATGTGCTCCATAGCACCAGGGTATTGCAGATATCCAACAGTGCTGTGCTGATAAATTTTGTCTTTGAAAAAGAAAAAAAAAGTCCCTATTTATAGCATTTCCCATTTTCCATGGCATAAATACTTCCCACACAGTAGACTTCAAGCTACCAACTGATGTCACTAAACACAGAGCTGGGAAAAAAAAATGTGCATAATTGGCTCTTGTAAGCCTATGCCAGTCTCCCATCAATATACTTGGAACTAGGAGACAACTTAGAAATTCTCTACCCAAACCCCGAAAGTTTTGGAGTAAATGAGGTGGAATGATTTGTGAAAGCCAAGCAGGAATGGCCAAGTTGGGAATAGATGCATTATTCCTAGTTCAAGCTCCTTTCTTCTACACTAAAATACAACTTATGAATTTGCCTGTGCATCTGTATATTTCAATCTGAACAACGATAAATGAAAAACAGACAATGAGTGGTTGGTTATATCTTAAAAATAGATGTAACCAAGCTAATACATTGAAGCAGGCACTGGTATTTGCTGAAATGCTATCTTTATTTCTCCTTATTGTACTTACCTCCTCACATCTGTCCATGTCATCTGGAAACTTACAGGATCAAGTCTACACTGTACAGAAACCAATTACTGCTCAGCAGAACTGAGCTCCAGATCCCTTTCTGTCTGACCACAGTGCACCACCAAGATTTTCTAATGTGGCTTCCTTCAGATCAGTATGAAGCAGCTTGTATTTTTAGTGACCACAGAGAAATGGCTCCTTTGGACTTCATCTCAATCAATGGTTGTGTGGGTCTCAGCCAAAAAGAAAGTGATTCAAAGCAGAGCTCCAAGAAAGGGCTGGATGTACACCTGAAACTGAAATTGCTGGGGAGAACCTCAATGCCAAAGCCATAGCCAAAGCAAAAGTCCAGCCTTACAAACTGAGCAAACATAGCTGTGTCAGAGAACAGCTGTAACTGAGCTTACTCACAACAGGACTTGTTCTTCTTGCACCGAATTCCAGGTTTATCACAGCAGTAACATTTGTGGCAGCAAGTCATACTTCAAGTCCTGGTGGTTGTTGAGTGTGAAGGTGTTAATTATACCGCCTGTCTAGGTCTGAATTACTTTAGAGGCAGGCACTTACCGACACACAACACCTTTTTAAAAACCCATAGAAATCTTGAAAATTTTTCAGCCTGAACAGGTACCTAGAAGAGACATTCCAACATCAAAACTTTGGGAGAAACTGTTAGACTATCAGGGGAAACTCCAGATTTTATATATGAAAGGTTGAAAGATTACAAACTTTCAGAAAGGAGGGCCAGAATTCTCCTCAAGGGACATTAGCCCTGCAAGCATATTGTTCTATTGTTTAGTTGGAAAGCTTTTCAGGAGCTGATAGAGATTTTGGAGCCCACAGAGATTGTTATATTTCCCACAGACCTCCCTATAGTACCTCACCTTTCTGTAATCTAATGAAATTTTCAGAAGGAGACACATTAGGCACCTGTAGCTGATATTATTCATCTAAACTTACTCTTAAAAATAAGCAATCTTCCATTGCACATGTGGTAACATAATTAAGGGTGTCAATAATCCCTTAAAAAGACACCCAAAAGGGTTTGTATTTGAAGAGGTGGACATGGTCATCCAAAACCTGTGGAGTCTAAGGTCCAGGATTTAAGGTTCAGCTTGCAAGTCTTGAATGATTCGTTTGACTCAGTGGTTCTCACTTACCTCTCATTAGAGTTGTCTGGGGAGTGCTTAAAAAATGCCAAGGTTGGCATGGTTTTGTTGATTTGTTAAGATACTCAGGTGACTCTAAATATACATACAGGATTAAGAACCTCTAAGTCACTTTTCTGATTCTCAATAATATTCTATTTTAAAAAGGAAAAATAACATCTAACTTTCAGGAACCTACACAGACATTGCATATAAAAGTTCTTCATAATCAGGAAGGATATTACATGTATATGTATTATCTGTGTTAATTACAAAAAAAAAATAGACTTTGCTATATGAGAAGTTCTATGTTTTTACTTATAACACTGATATTTCTTGATCAGTAAGTGCATAGAACTGTTCTGTAGGTAACTTTTTTCATCCTTTGGTAGCGACAAGCAATCTTTCTTTAGTAAACGTAAGTTTCAGTGTTTTGTAGTATTTTATTGGGGACTTATAAGAGGAAAAAGGGTAACAAACAGCAAAAATGCTTTTGGAGTCTTCCTCATGAAGTCTTTGCCCAGACCAATGTCCAGAGTGGTATTTCTTAGATTTTCTTCTAGGGTTTTCTAGTTTTAAGTTTTACAGTTAAATCCTTAATCTTGAGTTGATTTTTGTATAAGGTGAAAGGTGGGGGTCTAGTTTCAATCTTCTACATATGGCTAGCCAGTTACCTCAGCAACATTTATTGAATGGGGTGTCATTTTCCCCTTGCTTGTTTTTGTTGGTTTTGTCAAAGATCAGATGGTTGTAGGTGTGTGGCTTAATTTCTGGGTTCTCTAACCTGTTTGATTGGTCTGTCTGTTTTTGTAACAGTACCATGCTATTTTAGTTACTGTAGCCTTGCAGTATAGTTTGAAGTCCAGTAGTGTGAAATCACCAGCTTTGTTATTTTGCTTAGGATAGCTTTGGCCATTCAAGCTCTTTCTTGGTTCCAATTGAGTTTTGGAATGTCGTTTGTTTGTTTGTTTGTTTTCCAGTTCCATGAAAAATGTCCTTGGTAGTTTGATAAGAATAGCCTTGCATCGGTAAATTGCTTTTTGTAGTATGGCCATTTTAACAGTATTGAAATTTCTTATCCATGAACATGGAATGTTTTTCTACTTGTGTGTGTCATCTCTGATTTCTTTCAGCAGTGTTTTGTAATTCTTGTTGTAGAGATCTTTCACCTTCCTGGTTAGCTGTATTCTAGGTATTTAATTCATTTTGTGGCTACTGTGAATAGGACCGCATTCTTGATTTGGCTCTCAGCTTGGATGTTATTGGTATATACAAATGCTATTGATTTTTGTACATTGATTTTGTATCCTGAAACTTTGCTGAAGTTGTTTATCAGATCTAAGATCCTTTGGGCAGAGATTATGGGGTTTTCTAGGTGTAGTATCATATCATCTGCAAAGAAAGATAGTTTAACTTCCTTTCTTCCTGTTAGCATGCCTTTTATTTTTTTTCCTTGCCTGATTGCTCTGGCTAGGACTTCTGGTACTATGCTGAATAGGGATGGTGAAGGTGAACATCCTTGTTTCATTTCAGTTCTCATGGGGAATGCTTCCAGCTTTTGCCTGTTCAGTACGATGTTGCTGTGGGTTTGTCATAGATGGCTTTTAATATTTTAAGGTATGTACCTTCGATGCCTAGCTTGTTGATGGTTTTTAGCATGAAGCCATGTTGTATTGTATCAAAAGCCTTTTCTGCATCTATTGAAATGATCATGAGGTTTTTGTTTTCAGTTCTGTTGCTGTACTGAATCACAATTATTGATTTGCATATGTTAAACCAACCTGTGTCCCAGGAATAAAGCCTACTTGATCCGGTGAATTAGCTTTAACGGTGGACTGAATAAAGAAAATATGGTACTTATACACCATAGAATACTACACAGATATTAAAAAAAAATCAGATCCTGGCCTCTGCAACAACATGGATGGAGCTGGAAGCCATTATCCTAGGTTAGTTGATGCAGGAACAGAAAAGCAAACACTACATGTTCTTACTGTTAAATGGGCTAAACACTGAGTACATGTGGACAAAAAGAAGGGAACAATAGACAAGAGGGCCCATTTGAGGATGGAGGGTAGGAGGAGTGAGAATTGAAAAACTAGCTCTCAGGTATTATGCTAGTTAGCTGGATGACAAAATTATCTGTATAGCAAACCCCTGCAACATGCAATTTACCCATGTAACAAACCTGCATGTTGTACACCTTGAATATAAAATAAAATTGGAAAGAAAAAACACATTTATTTACAAGTACACAGCAAGAGAAAAAAGAAGAGAGGCTGCCTTAAAATTTAAAGTACTTCACAAACTGCTGGTAGCCCTTGAGTTGAGCATCCAATAGGTGGTGTTTCAATGGTGTATTTGTTAGAGATAAGCCAACCTTAAATCACATAGGTTAGAAATAAGCCAACCTTAATGATTAAGAACGATGACTCTGGAGTCAGCTTGCCTGGAGTTGAATCTTACTCAAACACTTAACTTCAAGTGTGGTATTAATTGTACGAATGATAATTATACCTAAGATTTGGAAGAGGATCAATACATATAGAGCATTCATTATAGTGCCTAGCATATATAAAGTCTTAGCAAATGTTAGCTATTATTATACACTAACACAGTCTCGAAGTCAGTAACTAGTTAATACAATTTGCAGAGTGCCTTTCTCTGACAGACTACAGGGTATTCTCTTTTGGAATTAATATACAGTAAAAACTGAGTAATCTATGGTAACGTGATATAATTGTATTATTTTTGAGAGTGTATTAATTTATTAAAAACAAGTTATTAGACACAAACTATGTGCCAGCTACTGTGCTAATGCTAGGTTACAAAAATAAATGATATTCCTTTAATAATTCTTAGTTTAGTGGGCTAAATAGACAGGTAAACTATAAAAACCCATAACTGAAATGTGTGCACAGCACTGTGAAAACAAAAGTAAAACACCCTAAGTAGTCGGGAAAGGCTCCACAGAAGGGATAATTTTTAAAGCAAACCTTAAACAAAGTGGTAGAAGACAGAGAAAGGAAGATACTAAGGATCAAAGGTGCCAAGTATGAGCAACGTTGATGAAATGACCTGAAGATATTCTCCAAGTTCAGATTCCTTTGTTTGAGTTCAGATCCCTGCTGTATTGAAACAAAATAGGAGTTGCTAACTTCTTCACATGAATTCTTCCTCTTTTGTGCCTATTGTTAAAGCATTATTGACATAAAAGGCCAAAATGCTAGCAAGTACCTTTCTGTGTGCACTGCAAAATCCCTGGGCAGCAAAACTTTCAAGCAAATAATTCTTAAACTGAAATAACAGTTTATACTTGTTGATCATTTGGGAGAATTATAATATTACCAATGGTACAATAGACTATTTGTAATAGTAATAAATAGTACGATAGCACGAATCATACTATAGTACGATCGTACTATTTATTTTTGCTCAAGATTGTGAATAATTGACACTAACATTGATTATTCACAATCTTGAGCAAGGATAAACCGAAAAAAGCTTTGACAGAGAAAAAAATGGTAGGAAATGTTGAAAGAATTCAGATTCTGGCTGTGCATGCTATTTAAAGACTTCATTCCAAGCAATACTATAATCTCTACCTAGGTTTTTTTTTAAGATTAAATTTTGTATTATAGGAGGAACTATTGATGCTGTTCTTTACTTTTCCCCACAACTTTAAAAATAAATTTCTTTGAAGTAAATAAGTAAAATGTCTGAATCCCAACTCCTTTCTAAATTTTCAGTGTCTTAAAGAATATTTTGGGAATCTGTTATATATTTCTGGGTTTTGGTCGACCTATTTAAGAGTATGAATAAGTTAGACAATAATTGCCAGTAATCTATATTAATTGTTTCTCAAGTTTGCTCAATTTATAATGAGATGAAAATTTTTTTATGAAGAAACTAATTCATATTTTCACAACTTAGTTTTTAGTAACATGAATTGCATACAAATCATAATTATGAGTAACAAACGGTGGTCTCAACAGCTTTGGATAAAGTTCCTGAAACAAAATATTATACAGTATATCTGAGACCGGGCAACATAGCAAGACCCTGTCTCTACAAAAACTTAAAAAGAATTAGCTGGACATGGTGGCATGTACCTACGGTCCTAGCTACTTCAGAGGCTGAGGTGGGAGGATCACTTGAGCCCAAGAATTTTAGGTCATAGTGAGCTATGATTGCACCACTGCGCTCCAGTTTAGGTGAGAGAGCAAGACCCCATTTCCAAATTATTTTTTAATAAAAATAAATAAATAAATAAATAAAACAAAATATCCTAGTCAATGATCAATATACCTGAAAGGAGTCAGGTTCCATTTTGTAAACAGAAGCTTATTCTGAGCCATCCTTCTCAAAACATCTTAGCTCGTTGTCATTTGAAAAAATACCCCAAACCGCCTGATTATACCGTTCCTGTACACCACTTTTATGGACTTTGCATAGCATAGTCTCTAGAGTGGACCTGCTTTATTGCAGAATTTTCAACGCACACCCGTGAATCTGTAAAGAGATTGAGACAGTAACATTCTGTATCCTGGCAGAGATTAGTGGCAGAGCCGAATTGATTGGCTGAAGAGTATGGAGCATTTCCTGTGTTATTTTCCTGCTGCTAAAAACTCTTTCTGCAATGTATGGATCAAATTAACACTAGAAGTTACTCCTTTAATTTCTTTGATATGAAATAGTAAAGTATTACCAGAAGGGCAGTTTCAAAAATCATTATTGTACACTTTTGTTCAAAGGAGCCTGACATATTGTTTATTTAATTTGAAGATCTATGGCTATATGGCTGCATACACAGTGGAAATACATTTATTCACACAGTTAAGATAGTCTCTGAGGATTCAGATGGAGCAAATGGACCCAATATTTCAATTCTACATCCTTTATAGCCATGATGACCCAGTACTAATATGACTTTCTAAAGCACAAATGTAGTGATATGAAAATAAAAATTTACTGAGCCTGGAAAGCTGGGTTCTAATCATGACTTTGCTACTACCTAGCACTGTTAATTGCAGCCTTTTATTTCTGTAAAAAATGAGGACAACATGTTTTCTTCCTATCTCTTGGGTTTGTTCTGATCATGGCAAGGACTACGTGCTATGTCTGACTGCCCAGCAATAGTCCTTGGTTTTCTTTGAGTTAGATCTAGGTCTGCCATGCATAACATGTGGGAGTGCGGTTATCCAAAGTTAGATTAGCCTGGGAAATGAAGAGAAGGATAATTCTGCAGGGGGACGGGAGGAGTAAATTTGGTATGTAAGGCAATTACACTTCACAATAATGAATGTGACAGGACCTTGACAGGAATAGCAAATTAAAGAAGATTCTTAGTCTCTGTTAGTTCCATTGCACATGTTCCACTGGGGGCTCTTCACATCTCCAGATTTGAGAATTGGCTTGATTTTCCTGAACATCTTTTGTCTGTTTCAGCTTACAGTAAGGCCAAACAGAGGATAACATATAACAAAAACAATTATATACTGCCAAAGTAAACCTCTGTGCAAAAGAGTAGGTTTGTAGCTCTTTAGAAACATATAAAATATAATTAGGGATATTTAGGGACATATATATGTATAGCACAGAGTAAATTCAAACAACAGCGTTTTAGAAAATAGTTGTGGCTACTCCCTCCATCTAAAAATATTTTTGACCCAGGCAATGTGGCAAGGGTGCTGTACCATCCCTCTGTACATTCTTCATTCTTACATTCCAGAAATATTGAACCATAAGGTTTCTTCCTAAAAAAAAAAAAAAATCATGCTGCAGTAAGCTCTTTGAGAGCACAAAATTGGCATTTTATTGTTCCTACTTCCTTTCCAAAATGTCTGGTAAATTATGAATTTCAAAGCCTGTAAATCTAAACTCAATAACTGCATTCCCTTTCAGGTTAACTGGCCAAATACAACAAAAGGTGAATTACCCATAATAATTTTTAACACATCATTCACTCTTCAATAATTCCTAGTTCCTTATTTTTAATCTAATACTCAGAAAACTTATTTCCAATATCAGTCCACATTTCTAATATGTATGTGACTATTAGAAAGGGGCCTGCAAGTATAAACTTGAAGTTTATGAAACTGAGCACATTGGAACCTAATACTGGCCTTGTAATAAACAAAAATATGCACTTGTTTATGATTGGAAAGCAGGACGTAATTCATTGTGACTGTGAGACTCTGACCATTCAGTTCAGTCTGGTTTAAAATATTGAGCTGAATACTCTGAAGCTTGTCTTGTGCTGAGTACAGATACTGAGATGAGTGTTACAAAGTGACGTTCTGAAGCTAATGAAATAGTTGATATTGTATTGTTCAAAGGTGGTAACCAAAATCATACGTGGGATTAAATCATCAGACACTCTGTAGTTTCAAGAGGATCCAGAATGAATCCTCAAAGAATTGCTTAGAAAATGGTACAGGATGATCAGAAAATAGAAGGAGGGTTTTACTATTCATGTATTTAATAAACACATAAATAGGAGATTTCTGTTTACCTGGCATTATTTAAAATATTTTACAAATAATAACTCACGTAATTCTTAGAACAACTCTTTGAGGTAAGCACTACCATTATACCCATTTTTCAGAGAGAGGAACTGAGTCACAGAAAGATTCAGTGACTTGCTCAAGATCACAGATCTAGTGAGAGGCCAGGCTAGGTTCTGAATCTAGGAAGTCTGGCTTCAGAATCCATGGTCTGCTGCCTCTGCTACTTATCCCTTCATTATTAAAACGGAGGGACAGAACTCCATTATTAAATAACTCCATTATTAAAACTCTGAGCCTTGTGACTCAGAGTCCCAATGTGTAATATTTGCTATCATTAAACATTTTTAAAGGTTGTAGATTTAAATTGGCATACCAGTTACTAGGTACTATTGCAATGAAAAAAGTTTTAATTTAAAAATTAATTACTACTAAAGACTTACTTTAACTCACAAATGTAGATGTCCAAACCCAGAAGAAATCTGTGGCCCTAAGATGTATATTTTCACATCTCTGGTTCCCATCATAATGTGGGGCTGAATCTTCTGGGTATGGGAGAGCAAGTTTCTCCGAAAATGTGACAGTCATTTTTTTGTCTCCGGCCCCAGGCCACCTGGAATCCTGGCTTAGTCTTTTTATTTTCCCATTTATATTTTGTTAATTTCAAAACATATATGTGTTTATTATACATTCATGTGTTGGGCCAGGAGCAGTGGTTCACACTTGTAATCCCAGCACTTCTGGGGGCTGAAGGAGGCAGATAACCTGAGGTCAGGAGTTTGAGACCAGCCTGGCCAACATGGTGAAACCCCGTCTATACTGACAATACAAAAATTAGCCAGGCGTGGTGGCAGGTGCCTTTAACCCCAGCTACTTGAGAGGCTGAGGCAGGAGAATCGCTTGAACCCGAGAGGCTGAGGTTGGAGTGACCTGAGATCATGCCAGTGCACACCAGCCTGGGCGACACAGTAAGACTTTGTCTCAAAACAAACAAACAGACAAAAAACCATCACAGAGTGTACTTACAGAATCATAGATGGGATAGCCTAGTATACACCTAGGCTGTATGGTATAGTCCACTGAACCTAGGCTACAAACTTGTTCAGTAACCTGTAACCACATGTTAGTACACTGAATATGGTAGGCAATTGTAACATAGTGGTGTGAATTTGTGTATCTAAACACAGAAAATGTAATGCATTGCCCTATGATATTACCACAGCTACAATATCACTAGGCAATAGTTTTTCACCTCTATTATAATCTTATGTGACCACCAGGGTATATATGGTTCCTCACTGATGGAAATGTTGTTATGTGGTGCATGACTGTAATAGCTGTAATCATTCAAAGTTGTATTTTTAAAAATAATAATCTCCTCCATTCTGAAACCTTTGAGCTAACAGCCTGATATCCTGGTATGCGAAATCCCATAACTTTCTTTATGTTTATACATATAAATATTTGTGTATTAATTTGTTTTAAAATATCCTTGAGGATAATCTTGTATATAATTATATGAATACTGGCATTTTTATTCCAGTAGGATAGATTTCCGAAGTTATGTGTCATATTGCAATCCCGACAAATTTCTTTTCACAATAATGAAATAAATTTGCACCCATTCCAGTGTATTAGAATATGTCTTTTCCCATATGCTCAAAAGCACTAGCTGTTACTTATCTAAAGTTTTGTCGATCTGGTAGAAGAAAAAAATTATATTTTATTGTCATTTTAATTTCTATTTTGACTAATAATAAGGATGAGCTCCTGCTTATTATCATCCATTGGGGTTACAGATTTACTGAGATCATGATGTTCTTGCCATTTGATTAATTTTTCTCATCAGTTTGCAGGCAATTTTTGTATATGAAAAATATTAAGCCATTAACACAAATCTATCTTTATTTTTTACTTTGTTTATGTCATTTTTGCCATGCAAATATATCTATATTGGATATATGTGGCTTCTGAGTCTCCCACTTTCCTTAGGAATATTAACTCTACTCCTGTTCTTCTCACAAATTATTTTAGAATATTTTAATGGGATTTTTTGTATTCAAAATTTTAATCTATGTGGAATTAGTTTCATATGTGGTATAATGTAATTTTATTCATTCCAGAAGAAGAGTTGTTTTTGCCAAACTGTTCACTTGGTAAATAATCTTTTTATTACTGAATTGAAACGCCACCTTTGCCATATATGAAGTTCCCATATGTGTGCGGATCTATTTCTGGTCTCTCTGTTTCATTCCATGGATCTCTTTGTCTAATCTGAAGCCAAACTATATTGTTTTGATTATGGCAGCAGATTCCATCTTTTTAATTGACTGGAGTCTAACAATGGGTAATAGTGACTATTTGAACAAGTTATGCATTCTGTAGAGTAAAAAAGTTGGTGTTCAACTCAGAAACTATACAATTTTCACACCAATCATGTTACTTTTTCATGATTTTTTTCCCATCAGTGCATGCTAACTTCTTAACTTTTTAAGCTGTAACTATTTATTATAAGCATTATTTTTTAAAAAACATCTGAGTGTGAACATTCTGAAAAAGGCAAGACTATAGAGAACAAATATAGATCAGTGGTTCCCCTGGGCTTGAGAGGGGGAGAGGGGACTGACTGCAAAAGATTTGGAGGGTACTTTTTGGATGATGGAAATGTCTATATCTTAATTTTGGTAGTAATTACATGACATTACATTTGTTGGAGCTCATCAAACAGTCTACCTAAAAATGTGAGTTATATTGTATGCTAATTATATCTCAATACATACAAATTTAAAAAAATTTTAAAAGTGAATGTGAAATATGATCTTTTTAAAAAAAATTAGGGGGATGGGTTGGGTGCAGCGGCTCACGCCTGTAATCCTAGCACTTTGGGAGGTGGAGGCCAGTGGATCACCTGAGGTCAGGAGTTCGAGACCAGCCTGACCAGTGTGGTGAAACCCCGCCTCTACTAAAAATACAAAAATTAGCCAGGCGTGGTGGCAGGCACCTGCAGTCCCAGCTACTTGGGAGGCTGAGACGAGAGAATCACTTGAACCTGGGAGACGGTGTTTGCAGTGAACTGAGATTGCACCACTGCACTCCAGCCTGGGCGGCTGGACGAGACTCCATCTCAAAACAAACAAACAAACAAACAAAAAAATGGGGGATGAACCTGACCTACTTCCTGCAATAGATGGAGCAACCGTCTTGACTTGGCTTTAACCTGCTAAGACAAAACAAAAGCAGAATCGTAAGTGAAAATATATAGGGACTCCTGCCACTAATGCATTTTGACTTTCAGTCTTTGGAAGTAATCCACATTTGACCTGTTTTACCTCTGCAAAGATTTTTAGAGCCCATTCATCCTGAGGAAATGATACAGGTTTATAGATTTTATTACAGTGCCCGCAAGCATTCTTGGGACTGTGAAAGATACCGGTATTTTCCTAAAGCTAGGGGTTAGAGCTGGAGAGCTGATCCTCAGGAGAATCTAAGAAGCAATTTTCCACTTGAAGAAACTGAGATTGTTTAGTTATGGTTGGCAGAACCATGGAGCTACAGTGTTGTCATTCCCACTTTCTCTAGTTTTGATCAATGCATTTTAGGGAAAACTCTTCTAGTTGACTCTTACTAGAATATACAAGCAAGAAACTAGGCTGTCTCTCAGAGACCAGAGGTAAGAGGCAAGAAAAGATTAATGAGCATTTTTGCAGAAAGCCAGCGCCAGTCTCAGTTCCAGACAGAAGGCCAGGAGGTTCAGCACAGTGATCTATTGAAATAGCCCTGATGGTACCTACAGATTTAATGTTATCAGAGTTTATCCCAGAGGAGTTAGTTTTCAGAGTCAGAATAAGGAGCTGGGGGGAGGGAAGGAGACTAAGCTTAAGAGATATCATGACAAAGCGCCTGCTTTTTCTCACTTGTGAAAATGTAGGCTATCTGGAGGTAACATGATAGGAGCCATCTTGGATTAGCAGATTGTCACTAACGCTATTTATCCACATATCCTGAAGTGCAGAATAAATCTATGTGATTTTTATTGCCCAAACCATTCAGTCTTCAGGATGATTTTGTTAAGATTTCCTTTCTGTATTTATATTTATATTTATATTGGATTACATTAATTTTTGTACTCATTATTTGGACTGGATAACAGCATATTAAAGCAACGTGGAACATTAATAACTCATAAAAATATGTAGCTCTTCCTAGAGCTTCCTTATGGATTTTTTTCCTCTTAAAAACCCTAAGGATAATTAAGTTTGACATAGTGATCCAGTTATTTTTTTTAAAAAGCAGTAGCTCTCTATCTATAGATTGAAGAATATCTAGATGATATTATAATAAATGCCATAAGGTAATATAGAAAAGAGCACTCTGCATGTTGGAACTGTCCAAAATAGAGTGAGCTGCCTTCTGAAGAGGATTCCTAGAAATGTCCAATGTGAATCTAGAGGCTTTTATCTGTTTTTCATTTATTCACCATGTCTTCATTGAGTACTTACAAACTCTTACCGAGAATGTAGTTAAGATATTTCATGCTGGGGGATAGGACTGGACTCCATGACCTCTATGATTTCTTCCATTTCTATGGTTTTTAAAACATATATTTTATATTTGCATGTGCTACATGTGAGTATAGACTATGTAAGGATCAAGTCGAGGTATTTATATCACCTTGAGTATTATTTCTATGTGTTGGTAACATTTATATGCATTTACTTCCATGTTTCCATATTTTTGTTAAGAATTTTCAGTGTATTACACTAGGCCATATATAATCCACAAGTTTCATGATTCTACTTCTGAATGATTTCTCACTGTATCTTTGCCAATTAAAGATGACGGTAAACATCTTTATGAGTTTTCATTGATTTATGGAAGTCTAACAAAAAATGGCAAATATAAATACCCCTCTGTAATATTTCACTTTGGCCTGAACTGTAAATAAGGATATTTTGTAATATCTACAACTAAGATATGTTGTCACTTCTATATGTTAGGAAATAAGTTTAAAATATGGAGAATTATTTATGTATGTGTTTCTTTGAAGCATAACATAGATTTCACTTTAACTTTGTCAGTTATACCATTCAAAGACATAAAATCATTAGTTCTCAGGAGCAGGAAAACAGTTAGAATTTCCAAGAAAAAGATAGGATGTACTTCTTCATCATTGAATGCCCAGAGCTAGACACTGGGGATAAAAGAATTGGTCTCAAGGAGATTATCAAGGCATTTTTCCTCCTCATTCTTTAGTGAGTACTCTAATTCAACAACATTAGAAAAGACACTTATGTCCTGTTATGATATTAGGAAAAGTGATTACTGGGATACAAAGTGCTTCAGAACCTGAATGGTAAAGAGAAAAGCTTGTCTCAGTAGTTACTATTTGATGGAGAGACCATGATCTGTTTATTCTTTTGATAGTGATAGAGCTAATATATAATGATAACTTGATGACCTTATCAACTAGTAGCTAAGGCTCTTGTCTACTTTGGTAACATGACAAGAAAATTAGAGATTGACTAAACATCATGCTGGGAAATTCAAGGCAGGCATTTGTCTATCTTCAGTATGGCTATTTATCCTATCCAATTAGCCAAATTACTTTTCATTCATCTGTGCATTTTGGCCCTTGTAGATATTGACTTAAAACACCAATAGGCATTTAAGTCCAGATTCTCAAACCCAAAATAATCACAAAATTATTATAATAGGTAAACCAAAATTATCTTTAGAAATGGGAAAAATAGAGATATGTAAGGACATTAAAATCAAACATAACTAAAACCCGTCCTTTTTAGTTAGCCTTTTTTCTTTTTCTTTTCTTTTCTCTCTTTTTTTTTTTTTTTTTTTTTTGAGAGAGGGTTTCACTTAGTCACCCAGGCTAGAGTGCACACCATGACCAAAACTCACTGCAGCCTCAAACTCTTGGACTTAAAGGATCTTCATGCTTCAGCCTCCCAAGTAGCTGGGTCTACAGGCCAGTGTCACCATGCCTGGCTAATTTTTCTGTACGTTTTGTAAAGACAGGGTCTTGCTATGTAGCCCAGGCTGGTCTTGAACTCCTGGCCTCAAGGGATCCTCCCACCACGACCCCCTAAAGTGCTAGGATTATAGGTGTGAGCCACTGCACCCGGCCCTTCTTTTAAAACACTGACTAAAAACAGCCAATACTTACAGTTTTATTTCCTACTATTTTATGAGATTGACTAAAAGTAGGTAGAAGCTGTTGACCGGCACTTCAGCAACTCTCCTTTCTATCTAGTAGTGAGGATGTTCAGTAAGGGATGTGAACAAATGTTGAGAGCAGAAAGAAGAAAGGGATGCTGGGCAGGGAACTATAGACCTGTCCTTAGTAACTATAGAGCTGCTGTACCTTAAATGACTATTTAATGGCCCAATTGGTAATTTTTGTCACTTGCTTTCAATTTCTTCAGTAATGACATGAGTTACCCGTAGAAGGAACATGTCATTACTTTGCTTTTTAAGTTAGCACAAGACTACTACAAAACCATCATTCCTAGAGGAAATATGCATATATGTATTTATTTGTTTCTCATGTCTTTCTCCTTCTGAAAATGTCCCCAAGGCCAATGTGCCAAGGATACCTGAAAGCCCTAGGGCAAGCAATATGAAAATGGTAAGAACTGGAAAATGTTAGGCTCCAATAAAACAAAGCCAGATGCTTTTGACTCATACAAATATTTCCCTTTTCTTAGGGTAACATGAGGGGATTTTTTCCCCTCAAAAATGTTGCTTGTGTGTGTGTGTGTGTGTGTTTAATTTCCATCCTTATATAAGTCACAAGTCTGTGATAACTCACAAAAATACCAGCTGTTTCATGAACAGAACTTTGTTGTTGAAATGGTTTTCAAGGATCACTTCTTTTACAGCTTCCAAATCATGGAAGCTATATCCAAGTTGGCAGCTCTGCTTTCTTCTAACCTTAAGTAGGGACTGGGGAGACCGGGGAAGGTGGTCAAAAGAACCATTTGGGTCTCAGAACCAGCAAGTCAACTCTTCATACTGGAAACATTTTCCCATTTGCTTCCATTTTTCTTACCCCTTTTCAGTCCTATAATCTTGCACTGGGGTCTGTTGAGGTCATATTATTAGCTCTCAATGGCCACATAGAAATCCAACTAGTGGAGTCCCATTTTTTCACTTAAAACATTTCCTTCTGAGCAAAACCTCATCAAATGCCCTAAAAAACCTACTTGTTCATACACGGAAGGACTTTGGTTTCCTATGATTCAAATACCAAAGTTGAAACAAAACTAAATTGAATTATTACCAGATTATCAGGGTTTGGCTGAATCTTTGCCCTGTATCATGATGCAGACAGATTCTCCTGAACTGGCTTGCTCCCAGGTGCTGACAATAACTCTGAGGGTATTATGGGAGGGATAGAAGTGTTAAGTATCTCTGGATGATTTGTATGTATTTTAAGCATGCAGCTACCTGAATAACCCACAGTCAATATGCCCAAAAGAGTAGAAACAGTTTTTACAAATTTTGTTCTTATTTTATGTCAGGACTTTGATTCCATTGAAAATTGTAAGTTTTAGAATAGTTTTTGTTAGTGGGTGATAGGTACATTTTGGTTTTCTTCTGCTTTTGTGTGTGAAAATTTCTGGCAAGTCAATTTGAAAAATGCAATTTAAATTTAAATGTTAAAAATCCATTTTAAGCCCTATTATTTCAAGAAAAGCATGAGGACTTTACTCAAAGATTTGCTTGGTTGTAAAGGCAAATCATTTATAAGTTTTAAAATTCTTTTAAAATTTAAATATAAATGTTAATTTTTTTCTTTTCTATTTTTTTTTTTTTTTTTGCTAAGTGTGAAAACACTCTGTGAATCAAATATTTTGTACTTTTTGCAGTACTCACAAGTATGGAAGTTCTGCTGATGGGTCATATAATCCTTGCTCTGGTCTCAAAGCAAACCTAAAACTGTTCTGGACAGAGTGGTACCTAGCTTTTTAAAGTTTTAATCTCCAGAGAAAGCTAAGAATACATTCATGTGCTATTACAAAAACCAACATCATTTCTTATTATGTTTTTCAAGTCTGCTTTTACAGGGTGGAATGGTAAAACAAGGAAAGATTACCTTTCAGAGAAAGAGTAATCGCTATTTCTCTAGGAATGGGAGCCTCAGAAGACACTGGGACATTTTCAGTATTCCATAGCTCTAGATGTTCTAGGAAAATCATGAGAAAGATTCTTTTGGAGCTATTTCAGTGGCTGTAGTACTTAGCCAAATTAGGGTGTAAGAAGTTCAGGTAAAATATAAAAGAAATTAGAAATGTGTTTAAACCAAGCAAACAAATTTAAAAACCCACACTTTTCGGAACCTCCATTCGTATTCCAGAATATCCAACTTTCACTGGTATTCTAATATTACTTCTATTGGTAATAGTGTCACAATCGGTGGGTATTACTAGGGGTCAATATTTGCACAGGAGAAGAGGGGGTCAACTTTAGGCCTGAAGTCCTCACTTCATCTCCTATTCCAGAAGCTTCTCTTCATGTTTTCTGACCTTCTTTCTGACCTATACCTTCTCCATCATCAACAACAGTCTTTTCTAGAGTCAGTGACATAAGTCAAGGACTGTGATAGGCTTGGAGATGGTTGGCATTTTAAAGAAACTTTCTCTGAAAACAGGACTTGGTTCCAAGAATGTTATAACATGTTAAGTAAAAAAGTTATCAGAATAAAGGCTTGTAATTTTCATTGTACTATCAAAAACTATTTTCTGCTCTGGACATTAATTAGTATGAAGAGATACACACTTCTCTCCCAAAATTGTTTATGTCAGTCTCTTAATTTTGACCCATTAAAAACGCATCATTTAAAATATAGGTGATTCACGGTCTCACAGAGAAGAAACAGTAAAGGCCTTTCAAGATCCTTTGCACAAAGGAAGGGTATGGGCCTGTCATAGGATAGTGGCTGAGCCCGGCTCCTGATTCCAACCCTCTCCCAGGAATGCCCCAGGGTTTCAGCCTCAAACCCTTTCCACTCCATTAAAAGAACATGAATCCTGATAATTCACATGGCACAGTGATGTGACTCGGAAGAGTCAACACAGTGGTCAGTCACACCCGCAAACACCACAATTGCCTTGAGATGCCAATCTCACTGAACTGAAGGAGCCAGGTGCCACACTTGTTGGGTAGAAAGGGCTTAGAAAACATCAGGGTAGTTGAGATGTTGCGACACAACTGGCCCGCATTACAGGAGAGTTCAGCATGAAAGTATAAATTAGAGCGCTAGGTTTCTCTCCCTCTAGACCCCATCTTAACTAGAAACACAATAGAGCCACATGCACACCATCAAAAGGAGAGTGGGACTTTTTCTTAACATGTAGGTATTTATTAAATACAAACCAATTCTGTTCCAAACTCTTTTTCTGAGGTAGGACAGTGATCTTCTAGCCTCCATTTGTGGGAAGTCATGTCAGGAAAGAGGAGACCCAGCTCCTTTCAAATTGTCTACACAAATACATTTCAAAGTACATTTGGTAAGTTAAGTCTCCATCCCCAAAAGAACGAGTAAAACGAACACATCTTGATCTCACAACAAAGTGGATGAATTCAATAGTACTTTTTCTGGACAACGTTCCATAACAACAAGATGTTTAGTTCAGTTTATTCCCTGCTATAGTCTGAATGCCTAGAACAATGCCTTCCACATAGTAGGTCCTGTATAAACAGGTGATGGACACATGAATGAAAGTTTTTTCACAGCAGTAGGCATCAAGCGTCACTGTCCATTGGAAACAATAATTGTCAACTAGGAAAAACAGGAGGAGTCCAATCACTGCTTCCTCAGCAGGCAGCAGTATTAAAACACTCCTGCACTTCACATTTCTTTCTTTTTTTTTTTTTTTTGAGACGGAGTCTCACTCCATTGCCCAAGCTGGAGTGCATTGTCGTGATCTCGGCACACTGCAGCCTCCACCTCCCAGGTTCATGCAATTCTCCTGTCTCAGCCTCCTGGGTAGCTGGGACTACAGGGGCCTGCCACTACACCTGGCTAATTTCTGTATTTTTAGTAAAGACGGGTTTTCACCATATTGGTCAGGCTAGTCTCCAACTCCTGACCTCAGGTGATCCGTCCACCTCGGCCTCCCAAAGTGCTGGGATTACAAGCGTGAGCCACCGTGCCCAGCAGATATTTCTTTTTAAAGTAACTTGAAATGTAAAGATTTACACTAGATCATGCTAGGAAATGGCTTATCGGCTTATCTTCTTCAAAAACACATGAATGCAACACCTCCACCCCGCACACACCCCACAAATGATTGCTTTTGACACAAAATTCCACTTTCTAACCTTTAATCCTGCTGTTAAAACGTTACTTTTGGAAATGTGTTCCTGGTGCTCCTACAATCAGCTTTCTAGCTTGCTGACTGGCATAGCGTTTTGAGTCCATAGACTTTGCTTTTTGACAACCAAGAACCACATAAAATATTCAAAACAGTCTTTATTGTCAGTACTTCTTATTCATACACCATTTTTCTACCGTTTAGCACTTCATTTTGGGTAATCCATTAATAGCAAGTGATCTTCTGTCACTAAACAAGAAAAAAAAAAACTGTGGACTATTTCATTTCCGCTTCTTGTCATTAATTATATTTTTTTAAAGTGTAACATTCAGATACAACTTCTTTTCTCTGTTTTTTCCTCCAAATAAAATACTCTCACAGGACCACTAAAATGTGAGTTAATCAAAGAACCACTGTAACAATCTTAGCTGTTTCTACAGGTTGGAATAGTCATTTCATTTTGGTAGCCTTTATGCTGTTGAGTAGATCAGAGAGATGAGATAATACACTAAAGATCTGAAGTGACCTGCTTTTAAATCCTCAAAAGGTTAATGCATAACTGAGGGCAATGAGTGGGTTGATTGATAGGCATTAGCCAAAGAGTAAGATAGTTGAACTTCACATAAAACTTCCATTAAGTTCAACTGTCCTTTGATGCAGGATTATTTTATTTGCTCTTAATAATATGATGAAATTCCTTGCGGAATTCAGATTTGAATGTACACATAACACTGCAACAAACATATATGTTTATATGGATATAAGATGTGTGATGTTTTTAGATGTCTCTCAATGCTCATTTTATGGATTCTATTTCTCTAAAAAAATCAGTGTGTAAAGATCTAAAAATTTTAAAAAGGAATTCACGATCAGTGCTCAAAACTACAATATCTTGGAAATGTGATGTCCTTTTTTTGCCTTCATGCTTATTATGTTGGATAAAATAATAGTCAGACAATGGGTCCCTAATTTTGCTTCCATCCTCGCCACCTCCAGGATTTAAAAATAATGATGGAAAAATTCAATCAGCACATTGGGTGATTAATGTCTGGGGTGATAAAGAGCAAATTGCTTCATTGGCTGAAGAATGGGACTAAAAAACTATAAAAACTCATCACTTCTGAAGATCCAATGCTTGCATGCTATGTTGATTTTTAAAGAACAAATTGGTATTTGAGTAGAACAAACTCATTTTTTAACGCACTGCCAATCCTAAGGATGTTTCAGGTTGAGATCTTCTGTGTTGAAAGTCCACACTGACTCATCACTGTAATATTATATTCCAGCCCAATTTGTGGTTGCAGCAAAAAGATAAATAACAGATGCAAAGGCAAACCGAGTGGATCCTAGAGACCCTTAAATACGACAAAATATTTGTCCAGATAAAGATCTCAGACTTATTATTCATTTCTTCACTTATTAGATAAATGTGTATTTAGCAACTAATACATATCAGTTACTAAGATAGCATGGGAGGGTACACAGAGGAAGAAAGAGCACCTGCTCCCATGCTAGCACTAGAGAGTTCTATTAATTTTACAGCTGTTAACTTGTTTAAGCCTCACAGAAACACAATGAAGTGGATATTTTTATACCCATTTTACAGATGAGCCAACTAAAGAAGTGACAAGTTAAGTCACTGCCTTAAGCAGACCAAGTAGTAAGAGTGGGCAGAAACCTAATTGATGGGTAGCATATACCTCTTTAGTCCATGATCCTTAATCTCTAAACCACTGCCACAATAAAGAAATATAAGAATAAAAAATAAAATCATAAATTCTGGTTATGATGTTCTTAAAATAATTTATATTTAAAGTTATTCTAATCTTTGAGCCAGGAATTACACTACTAAGAATTTATTTCAGGAAAACATTTGGAGAAATTGATAACGTTGTACATTTAGTACATTTAGTAATGAACATTTCAGTTTTGTTTGAGAGGATGAAAAATTGGAAATAACCATATATCAGTTGAATTGCTTTTGGATACAGGTGAGAATAACTTGATTAAAGTGGATCAACCAATAGTTGTTTTTCAGCCCATAGGAATTTCTGAAAGGGAGCTTCTAGAGTGTGTTCAGTAGTTCAGAAATGTCATTAAAGATCCAGAATCTTTTATTGTTAAAACTCTGTTATGATTGACATAGTTTTTTTCTTAGGTTTCATTCCTCATGGTCACAAGACAGCTCCTGTAGCTCCGGGCATCACATCTTACACAAAGACAAGAAGAAGGGCAGTTTCTCCAAGCATGTCTATTTTTCATCAAGGAGGAAAGCCTGTTCCTGGAACTTTGTTATTTGCGATGATTAGCCAGTTTGGGGACTCATACCTACACCTTAGCTGCAAAGAAAACTGAGAACGTGAATAACTGTTATTCGGCCTCTATTATGGGAGGCAAGATTTGCCAACAAGAAAGAGGGAGAGGCTAATTACACTGGCAATCAGTTGGGCCTGGCAGAAATTTTGGTGTCTAAAAATGAAATATCCGTATAGTAGAATCTTATGCTGATATCATCAATGATGATAAGGGTAAAGGGAGTATCACATGAAAAAAAATCAAGTTATAGGAAAACTGATGCACACAAAATATATACACCAAAATGCTAACACCTGTCTCTTTGTGATAGGATTAGAGGGATATTTTAGTTTCATTGCATTTTTACATACTATCTGTTATTTTTAAATTAGCATAAGATGCTTGTACTATTTTAAAAATAGGGATCCTTTCCATTTTGAAAAACAATTTAATTCAAAGGGAAAAATTATTTTATATCAAAATATCAATGTTCCTTGGCTCTGCTTGAAAGCAGAGAGTTGAGTAGTGAAAAAATGAACAAGATATTTTTATCAAAATTTGTTTTGCATTACTGTCATGAAGAAATGAAAGACAAGAAAGAAATCAAGCAAAATGGCCACTGGAGAATTTTAAAATTGGAAAAATAAAAATGTTTTGTTAAGAGATGATGATACCACCAAAAGCCTTAAATAAAGGGCTGTTGCAACTTAATATATTGGATATATTGCTCTATGGATTTCTCCTCCTGTGAGAATGCCTTCCACTCTTGCCAAGATCAGCTTCGTGCCGGCCACAAAAATTAAAATATTTTAAAAGAGAACAAAAATACTCTTATTTTGTAGAGAGTAATTCACAGTTTCAACTAGCCTGATGATATCTGCCAATATTTTAGTGTTTGGTTAAAACAAATGGCTAACAGTTTTCTTGAGTCACTGATCATTTTAAATCATTCTAATTCTATGGTATACATAAATACTTCTCACTGCAAAAATTTCAAACACCATAGAAGAATAAAAGTTCAACCCGAAATCCCTGTTTCATTGCCTCCAAAGATCCTTGGTTCGTGTCCCTCCAAAGAGATAACCACTGTTAAATTTAAGATTTATTTCTTAAGATATTTTCTATATATTCAGATTTTTTTAAACCTCAGTTGAATCATACTATACAAATGGTTGTGCCATGTCCTTTTTTAAAGATCATATGTATTGGACATCTCTCTAAGCCATTACATGTAGATCTCTCTCAACTATTTTTTAGCAGCTGCTAAATCTGTTTAAACATTCTTCTTTTGATGGACATTTAGATTGTCCCCAGTACTTTGCTATTATAAAAGATACTGCAATGAACATTTTGTACATCAATTTTATTCACTTGGGTAGATGTGTTTGTAGAATCTGTCCTAGCTGTGAAATTGCTAATTTTCAAGGTGTGTTCATTTAAAATTTTGGTAGATAATGACACACTGCTCTCCAAAAAGACTGTACCAATTACACACTCCAGGCAGCAGTGTTTGAAGAGGACTGTTCTTTCTATCTTCAGCAGCACAGAACTTCAGCAAACGTGGAGGGAAATCATTGTGATTGTTTTAATTCATATTTCTGTGAATAGTAGTGACATTGAACTTCTTTCATAAATTTACTCAAGTAAACATTTATGCTAATAGCAGTACCTTGCATTTATATTGGGCTATTATTTCTTGAGAACACCATGGGTTGATGATTCCATGTTATATCAGACATATTCATCTATAAAAAATATATATTAATTGTAGTAAATTTTTTAAATGCCAGTACATATCAAGAATAAAGAAAAAATCACCTACAATTATACCACATTTAAATAATTGATATTACAGTTTTTTCTCATTCTATTATATGCAATTATATATGTATGCATATAATGTGGATTTTTAATATGTGATGTAGCTTTATTATATGTAGAGCTATATAGGAGGTATTTGTTTATAAATTGAGATCGTACTCTATATTTTTAATATTCTTTTTCTCCTTAATGGTATATTGCAAATAAATGTACTATATTATGTTTTTATATTGCAAGTTGAACATCCCTAACCTAAAAATCCCAAATCTGAAATGCTTCAAAATCTGAAAATTTTTGAGTGCTGATATGATGCCACAAATGAAAAATTCCACATCTGACCTCATGTGACAAATCACAGCCAAAATGTGATCAAAACATTGTTTAAGGAAGAACATTATTTAAAATGTTTTATAAAATTACCCTTCAGGCTCTGTTTATAAGGTGTATATAAAACATAAATGGATTTTGTGTTTAGATTTGGGTCCCATTCCCAAGGTGTATGATTATATATATGCAAATATTCCAAAATCAGAAAAAATCAGAAATCTGAAACGCTCCTGGTCCCAAGTATTCTGGATAAGAGATATTCAACTTGTAATTAGTCTTCACACTATTGCTATCCTATGACTATGTCATAAATGTGTTAGCCAGGTCTTTATTTTGTGTTGAACTTATAAATTATTTAAATTTTTTATTTAAAATAAAACTGTAATAAATATCCTTGTAAGTAAAATTTGATATTCCTCTCAATTTTCTTCATCTACTGTAAATCAAATTATTGGCTCAAAGAGTATAAACATTTTGAAGTCTTACAACTTCAACTCATATTTTAAACTGTGTGTTTGGGTGTTTATGTTTAAATAATTTCTACTCTCACCAGTGATGTTTGAGAGTGTTCATACTTCTATGTCCTTGAAATAATAGGAATTAAAATAGTTTTTAATCTTTTTCATTAATAATTAAAATATAATATGTAATTGGCATTCTTATAGTTAAAATTGATATGAAAGATTTTATCATATGTGTTTGAGTCTAACCATTTGTATTTATTCCCCATTAAATTTCTTCATCATGTTCTTTGTCTTTTTATATTCAGTTGCTATACACTTTCATGTTGATTCATGAAAGCTCTTTACATAGTAAAGACAGTAACATCTGTCTTCGGTTTCTTTCATTTTTTAACATTTATCTCTTTAATAAATCTGACATACACACAAGGTACAGATTTAACAAGCAAAAATGCATGACAATAGGCATTAAAAATAAGTATTTTAAAAAAATTGGCCTAGATTTAGAAATCTTGTTATATATATGTGTAATATATACTCTAGAGTGATATTTTCAAGTTATTAGAAATGACCATCAATAGCTAAAATTATATAAAATTCCCTTTTGAGGATCCCAGAATCAAACTACATCAATTAGTAGGATCTCTGAGAAAGTTTAAAGTACCTGAATAAAATATAAGTATGTAGTCTTTCGAGTCTCATATTATGTTGTGGAGTAAGATAAGGAAATTCAAATCCTGATGTGTTGTGAGCGTCAGCAAATACTTTTCTGTGCTCCCTTTTTGTCGTTTATAATAATACACATGAAGAATAATGATCATAACTATCTTATATGGTTTTTAAAATAAATTATGTAAAGCACTTAGCATAATGATTGGAATAAAATTGTTACTACGTAAGTCATCATCATGAATGTTAAATAATTATTTTTATATTTACAAAGAAGTCCTTCTACCATTAAATCCTCAAAAAAAAAAAAAAGCAATTCTACATAAAGTCTACCTCCTTTAGGAAATTCCTTAAGTCAGTTTATATGTGATGAAAGCCTGCAGTGTATTGGTCTTTTGAGAAAGACCATCTTTGAAGTGTTGGTGACTCAGATTGATGTGTTCCTTCCTCTTTGGTGTTCATTCTTAGACCTTGGACAATTGAAACAGAAAAGACATGGCCAGAGGGCATTCTTCTCCACAATGACGCTTCCACAGATTTGACCCAAACCATGCATATGGCCCTCAGTAGGCGGATTTTATTTAAATGAATGAGATTGTTCTATGTTTAATTCATGATACAAGCATTTAAAAACACTCTGATGGAGAGGGCAGATCAAAACAGAACTCAATGTAGACCATGTTTTTTTTTTTGTAAATTGCTGGCAGCCCTTTATAAAATGATAGAATACCAAAATGCATAATTCAAAAAAATCTACATATTTAAAGCTGTATGTAAATACCGAGGATGGATGAACTGCTTTTGAATTTTCACTCACTACTTTGTGACTTTCATTTTTGTTCATCATTGACATGGCTTCATGCACAATTTAAAAGCCTGTTTTCAAAAGAATGGGGATGGAAATGTTGTGCTTTAGTGTCTTGAGAATCTGGCAGCCTACCTGGACCTCATTCAAGGGCTCTGCACCCTTAGCCCATTGCAGGGAAATTGGTGGTTAACTATCAGAGAGGAAAGAAAAGACAACATGAAAGTCTTCTCAGAAAAACACATCTGAGAAAGCTCAAAGGAGTAAATAATAGAAAACAGCCAACACTCAGTCATTTGGGGTTGATCACTTGGTTTGTTTTTCTTTCCTCTCCCTCCTACTCCCTGCCTTTTGGTCATTTCACTGCTCCTTGGCACTTCTACGAGAGGCGGTGTGTATGCAGGGTCAAGCAGGGGAAGGGAGAAGATCATCAGTCAATTTTGCATCTTGCTAGTTGTTCCAGAGAAAGATTGGACAGAAAGAGATGACCACAATGAGGACTGGGGATTATCTGTAACTTTCAAAGACCATTGTTCCTCCATTATTATGAAAACTCAGCAGTGGGCTGCAGCCTCTCTTTTATTTATTCACACATATGGAGAAAGCGAATTTGGTAAGCACTGGCATATAGTCCAGAACTCAGCACTGAAAATAAGAGTAATGTACAGAAATGCTATTTTCTTACAAAAAAATAAAAATGATTTGGGTCAGGCCCAATTAGATATAGTCAAAATCCAGCTGTTCTCAGGGTTTATCCAGCATTAGTAACATTGTGGTATTACAATAACAATATAAAATGTGCTTTCAGAGGTGTTTTTCCATTTAATTCACTAACTTCTAAATGTTTGCTATTTTATCCATATGTTTCTAGTTTGTGTACATGGGATATTTTGTAAATGTCATTTTGCAAGAGCTATTTGATGTTCAAGAAGGCTCTTTGGTTATTGTTAGAAAGCAGAAATCATGATTTGTAGAGGAAAATTTTATAAGTTTGAAAAGATTGCTTTTGAGGTTTTGCTTCCCTTCATTTCCCTTGATGTATTTTAGAGAGAAAAATGTGTTCCTCCGTCTGATACTAAAAAGAGTCTTCGTGCTGAAAGTAGAAAAACAAAGTAGGAGATAGGGTTGGGAGGGTGAGGGCTCTGCTGTCTTTATGAACTGCTACTGTTCAAAGTCAACCCATCCAACTCCTTGAGAAGTACAACTTCAGCAATGAAAGATGTTTAAATAGTGATAATGGATGGCAAATAAAGGAACTCTTATCTTTGGAATTTTGGAGTAGACACAAGCAAGCAGTGCAGATTTAGTTTAAGGCTTACCCCCAAAGCTGAACTTTCATGTTTTATAGATCAGTCTCTGCTTATGTGCTTCAAGAACACACAATGAGGCTTTAGAGGCTTGGCTAATCACATATCAAAATAAAACTACAGCACTTTATATAAAAACCAGTAATTTGAGGTAAGATTATTTTCTGTTTTCCCACAATCACAGTGTCAGGTGAATGAGGACATGAGACACTATCACTTAAAAAGTATTACAGGCAGCAGAATAATAAATTATACTCCAACATTTATGCCTTCATTTGCTCATTCATTCATTCAGCAAATATTCTACTATCAGTAGATCCTCCTCAAATTTGGAAAGCTAAAGTAAAAATGATCATAGACAAAGCTTATTTCTATTATTATGCATGCAACTCCTCTCTGATTAATCCAAAGGCAACTGATAGATGAAAAATCAAATGGCTTCAGATGTGGCAAGAAATATTCTTATCTGATGCAAAGGAATTGTTTATTTAAAATAGCCCCAGGCTTTCCTTCTAACTGTTACTAAACCAGTGGCCCCAAAGTCAATTCTGTCATCTCTGATTAATATAATAGTGTCACATTTCCATCAAGAAAATATCACTCTTGCACAGAGTTCTTAGCATTTTTCACAATCAGACTTTCTTACTGCAGCTTGTCTGTTGAGCTTGGATTCCCAGAGCGCAACATTCTGTCAGGTTCACCAATGGGACTCAGGCCAGTTGGTTCTGGACAGCCTCGCTCCAGGTCCCACAGTCCCCAGGACCCAGGCTCAGTGGCTCTGTTCTAGTCTGTTCATCTCTGCTCAAATCAGTTCAGCTTGAACAGCAGTCTGGGCTCTC
Source organism: Homo sapiens (assembly GCF_000001405.40). Lineage (NCBI taxonomy): Eukaryota > Metazoa > Chordata > Mammalia > Primates > Hominidae > Homo > Homo sapiens. The sequence continues at coordinate 107,409,539 of NC_000008.11, forward strand.
AGTTATCCCTTCCTTGAGAAGTTTTCTCCCCATCAAAAGTCCCTAATTTTCTTACTGCTCTACTTTTACCTTTTCATAGACAGACTCTCTAAACACCAAGTCAGGGCCAATGAGATTATAATATTTTTTCCTGAACATATATTTGCATTTTAATTATGGTCATTTTCATATGAAAAATGCCTTTTTTTTTTGAAGACTTTTCTGAAGTCCATTATCTTTAGCACTTTATTTCTTTCTAAAGTTTCGGAACCCTCACTTAGAATTCTTGTATTTATTTTACCTTCTTTTCTGTTTAACTAGACAGTGGGCCTCATGAAAAGTAGGAACATAATGATTGTGTTTATTTGTGGGTCCTGTGCATTTTGTATAATACCTGGCATGTAATAAATATATGTGATGAATCCATCCATCCATCCATCCATCCATCCATCCATCCATCCATCCATCCAACCATCCAAGATTTATTGAGCCAGATGCTGTGCTAAGTAATAGGAAAGTTATGCCAGACCCAGGGGGAAATAATCAGGGCCAAGTGGGCCTCTTGATGCCCTTCAAATCACACTCCACTGGCAGCTGCTTACACACTTGTGCAGGCCAGCCTGGACAAAGGTCAGAGGGGTCAAGCACAAGCAAGGACAAAGTTCACAAATCAGTGGCTCCTGACACCATTTGAAACTGTTACCTTCAACTTCAAGGGTCTAATACTCACCCTGCCAAGAAACCTTTTAACGCTCTAACCCCATAGTTTCCTCCCCAGCTAGTGTCCCACTGCAATTGGCAGATTTTAGGACTGATCTTCTAAGAACTAGAAAGTCCCTAGGTCAGGTCCTAAGGCTCTGGAATGCCCTTCCTCCCAAGTGCTGCTTTCTTCTACACAGGCCAACATGCTAAAAGGCTCCCTTTTACCCCTACAGTCCGCAGGTGACCTATGAGCATCAAAAACTTGTGTTTTCTAAACCTCTATTTCCTTCGTTCTGCAGCTAGACACTAATTGTTTTGGTAGAGGAAACTGTCTTGTCTGAAAAGCTAGGTTATTTCTGACCTCTGAAATCACTAGGAAAGGGAGACTGAAAAAATAGATTAAATCAACTCAAACCCTCTCATGTTTCATTAATTATATATAAAAGTAACTTTCAGATTATGACTAAAATACCAGAACATGTGACTTAACAAACAAATGGACAATGTGGTAGTTTCTCCTGCAAGCGCAAATATATGGTCAGCATAAAATATTTAACTATTACCCATTAACAAAGTGAAATCTTAGCTTTTTTAAATGAGATTTCAGTAATTTGCAGTTATATTTCTCAAAAACTTTGCCCAGTTACCATTTGTCTCTTACTTAGTATTATTAAGCTCTTGAGCTTCATAAAATGTTACATAACTGTTTGTGCCAAGTAATTCCTATTTTAATTTTTTGTAGGTCTCTACAACCATTCTTATTTTAAAGATATCATGAGCTAAATAACACTGGTTTCTGTGGATTTGAACAAAATCATAGGATAAAAACTCAAAATCCTGAGGCTTTGATTGACCTTTTTAACAAATATTTAAAGATGTTTTAAAAAATGTGTAAGAAAATTCACATAATTCTGCTATTTTTGTTTTTGTCCAAGGAGAGAATGGCTAGATATGCAAGTGATGAAAGAGAAAGAGCACTAAACTTATAGATTTCAATCTCTGCAAACACTAGCTTACAAATGGTATTTTGCCTCCCATGTTGACTCCAAATTATTTCAGCTGGTATTGTACAATTTTCAAAGACCAGCTAAATATAAGTTGTATTAATATTTAAATAAACATTGTTTGTTTGGTACACCTTTATTCTTAATTCCACAAATATATCTTTAGTTTCCTATGAGGTATAAGGCACTTTATCTCACCTACATCATTCAATGAAATTGATAAAAAGACTTATAAGAATATGTACAAAATAAATTCAGAGCAAAAATACACATAAATAGAACGAAGATAAAAGACTATGTAAAAAATTTGAATGCAGATATGCAGATAGAAAAAATTATAGTTATTCAGATTGGACTATAAATTAGCTTTTAACTTGTTGAAAACCAAAGTAAAATGAAATCAGTAACTGGATTCCTATTATTTAATAAAGAAATATATATCAGTTTACATAGAATGCTTTTAATGGCTATTTAAAAATAATCTAGCTCAAACTGACACAGCAAATAGGAGACATATTGGCTCAGATCACTGGGAGTCCACAGCCAAGGTCAGCTTCAAAAATATTTGATCCAACTATGCATTTGGAGAAGTTATCAAGAATCTACAATCTTTCTCTCTTTCTTCTATAATCTGCAGTGTTGAGCTTTATCCTAAAGCTAGTTTTTCTGTGGTTGTATGGTGGAAGGAGCCAACAGAAAGAGCTACATGCTTTCTCCTTCATGTTAGATCAGGGTTTCTCAGCTTGTACATTCTTGATTCTTATTTGGGCTGAATAATTAGTTTTTCTTTGAAGGATGTATTTTGCATTGTAGGATGCTTAGCTGCATCATCTTGGCCTTGACTCACTAGATGTAAGTAGCATCCCCCAAATGTGACAATCACAAATGTCTCCAGATATTGCAAAATAGCCCAAGATTGAGAACCGCTACTGTAGGAGAAAGGCTCTCTAGGCAAACAAGGGGAGATTTTCGCAGAAGCCCCTGGAAAACATCTCAGTTAAAAGTGACCTAAATTGCATGTCCATACTGAAGCCAAACATTGCTAAGAATAGAAACACTTTCATTAGGACTAATTGAACCAATCAAGTCCCTGGCGATAGAGGAAGAGTCAGTTTCTCTTGAATCATGGGCTTCATAGGGAAGAGTGAATTCCTGAACAAAATCAGGGATCCATTAGAAATAAATAAAGGGATAATGGATTCAGGGTAGGCAATCAACAGCACTCACAAGACAATTCCTCAGGAAAAAAAAACAAAAACAGACTGATTCTGATAGTATATGTACACATATATACATTGAACATATGTATACATGTATACATTCAAAAGAAATTAGTTAAGTCATCACAGAGGAAATATTGAGAAATGTGGTCATTTATTTAAATCCGCATTGAGTATATCCCATATTCCAGGCCACTAGGTGATAGAGTCATGGTGATGAGCAAGATGAATACATCCCCTGCCTTCATTGAACCAGTGAAATATACACTTGAAAGAGATCATTACAAAAAATATGATGAGTGTTGTGTTGCTGGGTGCCATGGAATTATTACCTCACTTTGCCTAAGAGTCAAGGAAGGGCTCTTTGGTATTTGCCTGCCTGGTTCACTCTCTATTTCTAGCAGATGGAAATGTGGATGGCTCATAGTAGGCTTCCATGAATATTTGTTGAATGAATAAACAAATGGATACTAAAATATTAAGTTCCTATGATGTGCCAGGGAGTGCTTCAGGTTAAAGAGAAAGCAGTGAACAAACAGGTGGGAAAAGACAGGTAAAAATCAACTAAAAAGATGTGGCCAATATGTATTACAAAACTAGTCTGGCTTATGATGTAACTAAGAACATAAGTATTTTTCTGTCATTTTTATTTTATCAAAAGGGATAAGTTTACTCAGCCCTGGGTGAAACAGTGTCAGGCATATGACTATTCAATTTACTCTTAAGTAATTTAGCCTATGATCACTTTAAGTTGCAAATATATTCTCAATCAAAAAATTGAGTGGCCAATCCCGGGTAATTATGAACACATTAAATTTGACTTCGTGTTAACTCTTCTTCCTGGTCCCCTTGGAACAGCTTCAGGCTGGAAGGCAGACCTGCTCCCTCTGCTCCCCAGCCTTCCTGCCTCGAATCTTCTGTAGCTATTTTGCTCCTGACTCAGGTAAAATGGAAAACAATAAAGCCAAAAAATGGAGGTATGAGGGAATACTGTTGGGACTGTAGTGAAGTGAGTGAGGTACTTGCCTCAGGCTCAAAATTTAACCAAAAAACCCTCAGTAACCAAGATAAATAAGATTTAGTGAACTATTACATATTAAATATTACATTAAATTAAAATAATAAATATTAAAATATTTGGTATTATTTAAATTAATATGCATTAATTTAATGAATTACTATTTATTAAAATATTTAATGTTGAAATATTAAATTAATATTATAAAATTTATATGGAAATATTAATTTTAAAATATTTTAATGAAATATTTTTAAAACAAAAATAATTTTTTAAAATTCATGATGGAAAAATATCAACATGTTAAATAAAGACAAGATCAGTGACCATGACTTGGTGAGCCACATTAGAGCGGGAAAGAAAATAATTTGTAATATGATGGCAGGGCAGTTAGTCTTGCAGAAGGAGGATGGAATTTAGAGATATGTTGTAGGTAAGATGGTAAGAATGAGTGGTTGGCTAGATGTGGTGAATGCTCACCAGTTATTGGGAAAGGAAACATAGGAAGAAAAGTGGGTTTGGTGGTGGTGAAATAAATTCAGGAAAAATGAAGGTCAAGTTGAGATTGCAGTACCTGAAAATCTTCATCTGTTCATGATTGCAGAGGGCCCTTGATCCATGGGTATAGGGTTTATGATACCTTGAACAGCATTAATCGTTCTGCTAGGAACCCTAAATATACACTGAAGGGAGAATGCTCAAGGATAGCAGTTCTTTGGGATCAGGATGGGAAGGAGTAAGTGGGCCCCCAAACAAGGGAATCCAAGTGCACAGCTTCTGGCAGTCCACATTGATCCAGAGATTTAAAAGTAGGCTAGCTACAATGCATTATTATGTATTGTATATTTCAAAATAGTCAAAAGAAGATTTTAAATGTTCTCAATACAAAGGAATAATGATTATTTGAGGTGATGCCTATGTTAATTCATCTGCTTTGGTCATTCCATGATGTACACATGTACAGAAACATCACATTATACCCTATAAATATATACACTTATTATTTTTCAGTTTAAAAGAAAAGAATTTAGTGACATTACCTTACCTGTCTGTAAAAGGGATTGGAAAATGTAATTTTTTGTGTTCTATTTTCTTCTTACAAGGTAGCCATCAGCCCAGGTAAGAAAAAAATGAGGGTGATAATTCAGAGAAAGCAAGTATGGGGATAGGAAACCAGTAACCTCATCCAAACCAGGCAACTTGTTAAGATTGTCTGAACTAACATCAACCTTTGAGACCTAGTATAGCACTTCCCACTTCCAAGTGCCCATCTGAGTACTTCTAAATGAAGTATAATACCTCTACAAAATGAATGTAAATCTTTAAATTATTTGGACATCTCATTTGTCTGCTAAAGGGAGAGGAATCTATGAATAGCCACTGGTTATAAGAAGAGGTTTGAAGAAAGGGAAAAGTATGACATCACTTTCCACAGAGCTGCCACTCTTTGAATTTTGTCAAACTGGTTACAATATTAGTATTAAAAAATGGCTTTGAACACACAAAACAGATAATTACAGAATGCAGGCCTAAAATACACTTCTTGCTGGAATTTTAATTCTGAGTGGTTGCTGAACTAGGTAGGTGGTTGTCAAATTTAGTTTACTCTGCTCTGATCAAGGAATGTGGGTTGCATCATTCAAAACCAACACGATTTAAAGATATCTTGTAAAAAGGAGTAGTGCTAAAATTAGTTGCTTGTCAGTGATTCTGGTCACCATGATTATATGGTAAAGTATTTGTGAACATGGCATACAGAAGGGGTTATGTCTAAGTGGAAGGATTTTCTCATAGAGCAAAACTGTTGAGCAAGACTTGATTTTGAATGATCTGGAATGAAAGAACCCAATAACTTTGACCATTATCTAGGCTTGTATTTTGAGTCAACTAAGATTCTTTTAGTGACATTCTACCCTAAGTGGAAACCATTGATAACTTTATAAAATGAACCTGAAACCTTTCAAAGACCATACTCAAGTTTCCCATCATAGAGCTCTGTATGTCAAACCAAGTGTGTGAGTTTATTAAGGTATTCCCCCATTGCCAGAAAAGGTTTACTTTACCCATTAAAACCTCACTCAAATAGATATCAAGTATCTCTTATATCCTGTTACATGATGTAATTTAAGTCTGAAAATACCCATGCTTTGCTTTAACCAGAAATTTAAAATCTTTCTCAATGGAAGCAATAGAGTATATCACTGATAAGGTAAAGGTGATCCAGTAAAAGGTCACAACTTAGCCCCTTCTGGACAAACAATAAAAAGAAATTTGTCTGCTCGCATGTTATGTGGCATCAATAATCCAGCCTATTTTAGCACATCAAATCCCTTCTATGCTTTGAAGCCAACCTTTCCCTATATCCAGTATATACTAGGTAGTCATGGAGGGCTCCCCCTTGCAAAGTAATTATAACGGAGCTATAAAAGTAAGACCAGAAGTAAAGTGAAGAAAGGGCAGACAGATGGTTCGTTGCCATATTGTCCATTATAGGGGAGTGGAGAAGTTTACTTAATTTATAATCATGGGATAATCTGAAGGGAAAAAAAAACCCCACAAACTCTCTTTTCTCTGCTGTCAAACTACAGCAATCAACATAGAAAACATTTTCCCCCATATACCAAGCAATCAATCAATCAATTCTGCAGGGGAAATCAGCTGGGTGTCTTCTAGTTCAAACCTGACACTGTCCACCTGGAGACACCATCAAGTGCTCAGTCCCACAAAACTGCCCCCTTCCACTGCAGACACCAATCGCAAGTTAGGGCCTCTGGAACTTCTCACCAACTGGCTTCAAGTTGGAGTTCCCATGATTCCCTCTGTAGGTTCAATTAATTTGCTAGAGCAGCTCATAAAATTCAGGGAACCATCTACTTATATTTTCTGGTTTATCATAAAGGACATTTTAAAGAACACAAATAAGCAGCCAGATGCAGCGATACATAGAATGAGGTCTGGAAGGGTCCCAAGTGCAGGAGCCTTTCCTCTGGGGTGTTGGGATGCCCCACTGTCCAGGCACATATATAAGTTCTTGTTCACCTTCCTGTAGGCTTCCCTGAGTTCAGCTGTCCAGAAGTTCTCCGTACCCTGTCCTCTTTGGCCTTTTATGGAAACCTCATTGGACAGGCAGGATTGAAGCATGGACAACCATGTAGAAGTGTGATTGGACAAAAAGGGTATAATCTAATACTAATAGACTGAGAGGGGAACCCAGCAAGACCTATCTGTTGAAGTTCTTCTTGGCCTCTCTATGCAGCATTCCTTCCTCCAGAGCATGGGGCAGAACACCTTCTGAAATAGGGGTCTTATGACCTACAGACAAGGTGGGTCAGATAATCTTTTTTTTTTTTTTTTTGAGACAGACTCTCACTCTGTCCTGGAGTGCAGTGGTGTGGTCTTGGCTCACTGCCACCTCTGCCTCCCTGGTTCAAGCAATTCTCCCGCCTCAGGTTCCCCAGTAGCTAGGACTATAGGTATGCGCCACCATCTTGGCTAATTTTTGTATTTTTAGTAGCGACAGGGTTTCACCATGTTGGCCAGGATGGCCTCAAATTCCTGACCTCGTGATCCGCCCACCTCAACCTCCCAAAGTGTGAGGATTACAGGTATGAGCCACCGTGCCTGGAGAGAATTTCTGTATGGCCAGCTCAAAGACAGAGAAGATTAGAGTATATTTTTAGTGTCTATGGCCTTCAGGAGAAATAAAAAGGGACATGGGAGTTATAAGCCAGAAACCATGGATAAAAACCTATATGTATGTGACATATATATCATATCATAATATCATAGGTTGCCATTATAGATTCTTGCTAAGAGGGAGGAGTCATTGTACCCTTGAGAGAATGATCTGATATCATGATGTCAGGTAGAATGGATGGGAAGGCCAGTTAGGGGCTATTGCCATTGTTATCACATGCTACAGCCCCAGGAACATCCTAACTATTATCTGGAACTCTGAGACAAGTGAGAAAAGGGCAACATTAGCATTTGCCAAATTCCTTCTCTTTGGAAGGATGACTTCCAAACTTTCATTCTAACTTAAGTCTTCTTCAATCAAAAACCTCTGCAGAGCCATTTTTTTTCATCCCCCGTTATTTTCATTCCTGGGAATAATTTAGCATCTGTCTACATTTAAATGTTACCTTTCCCCCAAATAGATTATGACCACCCTAGGACCAGTTAAATGGGGCTTATCTCATTGGAGAGAGCTACAAATTCATCTGTGGGAATGAATTCTGGCCAGGAAATATCTGAAGGGCATATTACTTTCTCTCTTCAACAAAAAGCAAGAAGTTAGGAGATGGGACAGAAATCTTCTGTGGCTGTGAATTTTAGTCAGTTTGTTTCAATCCTGAGATACTTAAACGTAAGGCATTTGCAACATTGAACAACATTGACATCTTAAAATCATGTAAGTCTACAGTGTGAAATGAGGGCCTCGGGGGACAGGGTTTCCCTCATAGTCTTGTAAAAATTACAAATACACCTAGTAAGGTAAATAGAATTGTTCTGTCTCTGCAAATTGGCATTTAGATGTTTATCTTCTGGTAACATGTTGTGACCTCAGATCATGCACTAGAAATTAAAATTTCACAGCCTCTTCAAGAGACTAAAGCATCATGACACACTTTTTCCTTTTTACATGAGATATATATAAACCAGATATTTGTTTCTAACGTAGAGAAAGTTTAGACTTTTTTTATGCCAGAGAAGACAACATATGCAGTGAAAATTATTGTATTAAATTGGGTGGAAAACAGTAATTTACTTTATCTTCTCTAGATAAACCCCCGTCACCATTTTACCATTTTCCATGACAACTGTATTTAGCTGAGTACGATATAAGCTTTGCAAGCCAAAAGCATTACAGCTGCCTTTCTTTGGACACCATCAACAAAATCTGTTGAAAAAAGTTGAGAAAAAAATGGGCACATGAGTGTCTGTGTTCTCTCGTTTGTGATGATACCAAGTTGCTTAGTATTCCGTGACATTCAACTGAATTTTGTATCGGCTGGGAATAAAACAACCGATATGATGAGACATGCAGCTAATTGGGATTGGCAATTTCCATGCTTCTTTAGATATTTGTAGAAAATTGTAAAGATGAAGTGCAATATTTGCTGATATATGTCAAAACTATCTGGAAAATCCAGTAATGAACAATGGGAGATAAAAAAGAATAATGGCTTTTGAAGATATATGTAAGTAGCAGTTTATTTGTAAATGACAAAGGAGTAAAAGGGTGATAAAAATCTGGCTCATGAAAAATAAAAACTTTGGATCCAACATAGAAGCTTCCATTTTGCTCATATAATGGAATCCCAGTTGGGGCCAGCCATGGTGGGCTCCAGCTCTTCCTTCAACTTCCCAGAACTAATAGAGATTTGTTTCTATTCAAAGTTGCAAAACTGTCTAGGATAAGTACTCTCTCAAAATCAGGGGAAAAAATCCCAGCCTCTGGAATTATTTGATGTATTTAGTTATTTGTGCAAAACGCAAATACATATCTTTTACTTCTCTTCTGATACAGAAAGTTAAACCAGTATCCTAAAGCCAAGAACAAACTGATATGTGTACATGTATCAATAGTATATTTTCTAGGTCTAAAATCGGTCATGATCCCCCTTCAGCCTGTCATGCACACAGATGAAGAAAGACAGTGGGGAGGATTCAGAGACAGGGAGATGATGGGGTTCAGGACTCAGTGAAACTCCTATTTTGATAGGGTTCAAAACACAGCTTCTAGCCATTTGAGGAAACAGCAGAAGCAAGAAGGTTTCTCTGACCTTCTCTTGCCCTTCTCCCCTGAAGCAGGCTTTAAAAGAATTCTCTCTGACCCTTTCTCTGAAGTAGGTCATAAAACTTTCATTCCAGAGGTGCCCATTCTGTACCCAGAGGGAAGGAAAGGAACATCCTTATCCTCAAAGCTATAAATGCCAGGATGAATCTGCATAAACAGGTTTTGCTAGGTCCCCCCAGTTTGTTACCATTAGATCATACCCTTTTGTCCTCCAATCACATTTTTCCATGACTTTCCACTCTTCATCAACCTAAGCATAAAAATATGTGCTTACTTGTTTCTTTGGGTCTTCATTTCTGAAAGTCCCCATGTCACTTATTAAATAAAGCTTATTAAGTAAATTTGTATGCTTTTCTCCGTTAATCTGTCTTTGTCAGTTTTATTTTCAGATCCAGCCAGGGACCCCGGGAGAGTTGAGGAAAATTTTCCTCCCCTACAGAGACAAGGAGAGAGAGACAGGGAGTTAACATGCAAATCGACCCAACAGGACAAACTTCAACCCAGCCAAAGCTTTGGGTTATCTCAAAGCTTGTCTTGTGAGTTAAAATGATCAGATATCTAGGTTTGACTAATTTCGTAGGGTTTTAATGCTTTTAAATTGCTATTATAAATAGATCTCATATTGCACTGCTATTTGATGTCAACCACTACGCTAAATGCTTTACATTCGTGACTTAATTTAATCTCCGCAAACATCTCATTAGTTAATATGTGCCCATTTTACAGATAAAGAGGAATCTTAGGTTTAGAGAGGATTAGGGCAGAAGCCAGGATTTCAACTAGGGTTTCTTTGACTCAGATACCATGAAGCTTTTACAGAAGCTTTTAGGATTTCTATAATTGATTTTGTTCATTGATAATTGCCTATGACTCCTACAAATTTAATTAATAAGCAATTACTTTTTATCTGACTTGCAACCTGAAAACTATTTGTATCTATTATTATTTATAGGTGCAAAATGAAGGACTTCCAGTGCTACTGCCAGTATTGGAAATAATGCCTCTGATAAACAGCTAAAGGAGTGAACCTGTGCTTCAAGCCTCCCCCAGTTCAATGTAAAAAGTGTTTCTAATCCTTGGCCAAGGTAGTCGTGTACCATACGTGACAAAGCCTATCAGTTCTTAGGAAAAAAACAACAAAAAAATTGCTGTTTGCTTTATTCCTGAAAGAAATCAGTAGAATTTAATACTATGATTGTGTGTATCGAAGGCAAACATTATAGGTTAATTGTTAGTTGTCTCTCCTCTATTTACTTTACTTTTCCATCATAAATTTGATAGAACAAGTCGTTAAAGTTGTACATCTTCCCAATCAGACGGAGAAGAACAGCCTCAGGTCTCATATCCTCTCATATATATAATACTCTCCTTATCAACCCTGGAGAAAATGAGAATTGGCCAAAACTTTTGTTATCAATCTGTTATTTAGGTCAGCATTCATATATGGTCCATGGAGGATGAATCACAAGATATTGAGTTTAGAAGTGTCCTCTAATTTCATAAAACACATAAGAACTTTGTAAGATTAAAAATAATAGTTTGTATCATCCTGTTTTTTTAGCTCTAAAAGTATGCCTGTCTATATAAAAACATATAGATATATATGAATTCCCTACCCTGCTAATCATCAAAAGAAATGATTTCATATGAAAATTATATTTATTCACTAATACTCCTGCTAACATTTATATTTGTTAATTAATACATAAATTGAAATTTATGCAAAAATTATTCTCCACTGGTTTAATTCTTTATTCTACCAGAATAATTCTTCTATTTGGAATTTAAAAACATATATCCATAAATTCTGGCATTTCTATCTCATCAGTTTTTGTAGAAATGTATGACAATATTTTATTTTATATTGGTAGAGTGAAAACGATTTTACATATTACTAACATTTTCTATTTTGCACGGAAAACTTTAAAAATTCATCAAAAGGTAAAATGTATAACCTTCATTTTTCCAATAGCTGTTAGCATTTCTCATTGTGAGTGAAAAATTGTCTTGTCTTTTCTCATCAAATTGCAATGGAAGTAGTATTAGTCACAGTTTGCATGGAAATCTGCCAGTAAAAGAAAGTCAAAAACATTTCTCTTCAAGCCTAATAAAAATGTCCAGTGGCCTTTTGTGAAGCTATAAAGTATGACTCAAGATACCAGCCAAAACAAGGAAAGAAAGAAAAAGACAGTAAAGTCTCACTTTTTCTGTACCACTTACAAGTATCCCAAAGCTATGTTTTATAAGAGAAATTCGACTTCGGTGTCTCTATCTATCCTCCCCTGAGCTAGGAAAGGAAAAGAAAACCTTCCCCATCACAAGTATACAAAAGAGGAGTCTTGCTGGTAAGGTTAGCATCTGTCAATATCAGGTCCGGTGTGAAAGCAAAGCCGCTCTTTGAATTGTTTGCTTAATAAGATCTCCAGTGAATGGAGTTTATCTGCAGCTTGGGGTTTCACAGGGAACACAATGCTTCGTGTGCATTATTTTAGATAGGAAGGAAGTTAGTTTCAGTAAAGCAAGAGAGAAGTGATAGGCTTATCATTTTATTATAATTTGAGTTTTTGCATAGAAAACAGTGAGTTTTCTAACATTGTCCATAAGCATGATAATTCATGTATTTCGTCGCAGCCATCTGATTTTTCTCTGGGACATTATTATTTGTAATGACTTCTATTCATTGTTTGTGTTCCATTTGTGAACCACTGCTATAGAATTTTAATGAGTTTCATGTTAAACACCTTTTAGAACACATTCTTTCAGTCATTCTATAGAGAGTAAGAAAGCCCATCCATACCTCTAAAATTTACTAAAATCTACTACAAATGAGAATACTTCATTCCAATTTTAAGGGTAATTTCGAGAAACATAAAATCGTTACCTTAGTCTACTGAAAACTCCATATTCAGTTCCAAATTCTCAGCTTCCTACACTAATTACAGGAACTGCTACAATGTATTATGCAGTTACATGGCAAGCAATCTGATTCCCCATTTAAACTTGTCGGCAACCTGGGAAAGAGGTATCACGGTTCTGATGAGAAAACCAGGGATCAGAGAGTCTGAGCATGTGCCCAGTGACATGCAGTTATAATTCCAATCTGAACCTCTCTGTCCATAAACCTCAAGTTCTCTCATGCCACATTGCAGTTGTCCCATAGTGTTCACAGAATAACTTTCACAAAAACACCTTTTACAAAAGAATAAATACATTTCTGGGACCCATGATACTTACCATGGCTAAATTCAGAGCACAACTGATACTAATCTTGTTTCCTTGGTCAGGCTTTGGAAATCTTGGTTCGTGGCTCCAGAGTGTCTTCCAGTTGCATCTCATCAAAGTTTTTAACATAATCGCCCACATTTGTAAATTTGCTTTTAGTCTCAAACATTCAGACACCTCTAATTATCACACCAACAACACAAAAAGGCCTGAACTAATTTTACATCTAGAGTTTCCTTAGCATTCAGTCTCATTTAAACTTTTTACTTAACCCAAACAAATCGGTCCATTAACTGCCCAAATTAGTGTTTAGATGTTACCTAAAAATAATAATAATAATGGTTTTACTCAAATATACATATTGGAAGAAAACTGAATTTGTGCAAGCAGGTCTAAATGATACGTGAAAAACTCTATAGTAAACATTTTCGCAGAGAAATTTGCAGTTACCTGGTGATTTCAGGTTGTATATAAAGAAGAATTGAGCAATGTACTTCTTGTATGATCTCCCATTTCACAAAAGGGATTAATATTATTTTTACCAATGGCTTAATGAAGATTAAAGTGCTGATGTGCTGGAGTCCGCTCATACCTTTAAGAGCTGTATGTGCACATCTCTTCACAACTCTGCATTCACTAAAATCAAGCTGGTAACCTGAATTTGGCCATGGTAGGAGTATTTACACCATGAAAACTGACAGACTATAAATCAAGCCTACTTTCTCTTCCCCCCTACTTAGATCCAGTTATTAAACATTTACTAGCACAATACTGACTAAATGAGATAAAGCGTCAATAATGAATACTGAAGTGTGCCCGCATGGTTGCACCAGGTGCAGGGAGTGCTGACTGCTGAGGACTTATAGCTGTACCTTCTCTGCAGATTGCCCTTAGCTAAGGGGAGTTGACTTGCTCAGGATTATGCCCCTTCCACATCAGACAGCTGGATGGATGTGGAGATACAAAGACCTGGGCCCCCGAAAGGCCATTCCAGCTCCGCAGCGTCTTGTGGGATTAGCTAAGTGGTCTGTTGGAACTGCATCATAGTTTAACATTTCCCTTTGCCTAGTCCTGCTTTCCTCCCTCTGAGAACACCCCCCGACTCCTCCTCACTCCCTGCCACTAAAACTGTCTGCACAAATCTCTCTCTGTCTCAGAGTCTGTTTCCCAGGGAATTTGACCTAAGACATACATGTAACATTACCTAGCACACAGTACTCGAAAAGGGTGTGAGTTTCTAATAACATATCTGTAATCATTCTTTCACTGTACCTTAGTTCTAATCTAGTTGTTAGTTGTTAGAGTTAGAGGAAATGATTTCAGGTACCTTTTCCTTTTCCTTTCTTTTTTTTTTTTTTTTTTTTTTTTTTTTTCTGAGACAGAGTCTTGCTCTGTCACCCAGGCTGGAGTGCAGTGGCACAATGTTGGCTCACTGAAATCTTTGCCTCCTGGGTTCAAGCAATTCTCCTGCCTCAGCCTCCCGAGTAGCTAGGATTACAGGTGTGCACCACCACATCGGGCTAATTTTTGTATTTTTAGTAGAGACAGGGTTTCACCATGTTGGCTAGACTGGTCTCAAACTCCTGGCCTCAAGTGATCCGCCCACCTCAGCTTCTCAAAGTGCTGGAATTACAGGAGTGAGCCACTGTGCCTGACCCCTTTTCCTCTTATTAAGTTAAAAAAAAAAATTCTGCATTGGACAACACAACCAAATAATGGCTATGTACAATCTTAGTTGGCTTCAAAATGCTAAATCTGAATCAAGTCATTTTGGAGGCCAAGCAGACAATTGGAAATTCAAATCCATTTAAGAGTCAGAAAAAAATAAAATGGTTAAACTTGACTCTGGTGATAAAATAATTTCAGGAGTTCATCAAATTTTGGTTGGTGATCTTCAAACACATCTAATTTTGAACTAAGAAGACACTGTACTCAGGGATCCTCAACTGTAACACGAATGCAAAATTGATAACTCCACTGTTCCGAGAAGGGTAACTAACAGGATGTTTCTTTAGTAATCAGATTAGCTGATATAAACCTTCTTTGGTCAATTTCAAAGAAAAAAAAATTGAATGTGATGGCCATGTTATTCCCCTCCTGAGACCACACAGGACCTAAGCATAACACATCCATTGGGAGGATTCAATGCAAACCACAACTGGAAAACATTGGGCAGCCATTCACAGCCACCCAGTAAAATAATATTCTATGTACATTCTTGGTTATGCATGAATGTTATGATGACTGCTACGGGATTAATTATTTTATTTGGAATCATAATATTTCTCAGAATCCTATGAGGAATTTTACAAAATTAAGCCATAATAATTCATATATTTGTTATACATTAAAACACAATATCTCAAACAGATTAGAAAAACTATTCTTTTTTTAAAAAAATATTTTTCAAGACAGAGTTTCTCTCTTGTCGCCCAGGCTGGAGTGCAGTGGCATCATCTCGACTCACTGCAACCTTCGCCTCCCGGGTTCAAGTGATTCTCCTGCCTCAGCCTCCTGGGTAGCTGAGACTACAGGCACGTGTCACCACGCCCAGCTAATTTTTGTATTTTTAGTAGAGACAGGGTTTCACCATCTTGGCCAGGCTGGTCTCAAACTACTGACCTTGTGATCCACCCACCTCAGCCTCCCAAAGTGCTGGGATTACAGGCATGAGCCGCTGCACCCAGCCAGAAAGACTATTCTTAAAGCATTCCTTTCTATGCATTGGAAAAATCACATTGAAGGAATATTGTTTGGTATCTGATTTCTAGTATGGAATTCAGGCTCAGCAATATGGTGACCATACGCTACTATGGGAGGTTACTATCTTGATTTTTTTCTGTTTATTCGCTGACTTATTACTTAATACAGACAACCCTGGGCAAGACAGTAGAGAAGGCACTAAGGATAATGAGAGAAATTTAGAAAGGTTATTCCTTTAATAAAACCCATAGCTTTATGGAAGAGCCCCACATGTATGAAAACAAATTCAATTCAAAATAGAGGTAATTTAGTGGCTATCTTCCCGGCATGCTTATCTTGCTTTTCTAGATAACATCACACTGCTCCTCTACATCCTTTATCCCCATTATCCTTTCCATGTTACTCTGTTGGCTCCCAGTCATAGAAACTAAATCCCTTGACACATCAGTCTCAAGGTGTGCTTGTGAGAGGCCGATCCTGGGGTTATCCCAACCGAAGTTTCTTCTCTTTTGGATCTGGAAAGATGTGAAGCAGAGGCTGAAGACAGTTACTTTCCCACAACTTGCATAAGAAAGCCAAAGCAAAAGAAAATATGAAATGGTTTCCAAGCTCTTGTCCAACCCCAAGAGCTGGTTTCCATCACTGATCCCAGAAGCAATCTTGGTATCCTTTTCAACAAGCTTGAGTTGAGTTTCTCCAGCTCTCAACAGAAAGTGCTCACCAAAGCAAGCATCGGGAACAGCTCCAGGTTTTGTGGGGCCCCAGGCTTATACCATTTGGTAATCCTCTTGGAAAATGAAAACAAAATTACAAATGCACCACCAGGTATAAAAGTGCTTATTTATTTTGAAGGAAAAGGAAAAATAAAAGTTACTGGACTTCTGGGGACTCATGTCTCTGGTGCTTTACAAACATGCTTACACAGAATTGCTTCCCAGTTGCAAACTGGCTTCCCCTCCCACAGAGAATTCTACAACAACCAGCAACTCCTTGGACACAAAGGGGCCTGTGCGCGTGAGGGATCCTGAAGGTCAGGCTTCACTCACTGCCAGATAAATCTGCCTCCAGCAGCACAGATGTCTAAAGTACAGTGGGAGAATAAAGAGAGAAAGGGCAACCCCAGTACCAGGAAAGGTTTCTCAGAGGGGTGAGCACTCTCTGGATGATTAATCAGCATTCTAAAACAGAAAGTGGGCGGGTGATCCAAGGTTGAGTGAATTATTTGCACTAAGTTACAGTGTCAAGAAATAATCGCATGTTTGAGGAAAGTTTATCTATTTAAACATGAAGACACATGAGAAAAAAAGATGATTGCAGAGTGGCAAATTGAAGAACCTCTCTCCATATAATCCTAGAATATGCTGGTTAATTTTGTGTTTTTCCTTCCCCCCTCTACTCTTCTTCCTCCTTGTATTCACTTTCCTGGACTTTGATCTTCTAGGAGGGAGGATACTTCAAAGCCCTGCTTCCAGAATTTGTATGTAGAGCATACGCCTTCTATTCTTGGGATAGAAGATTCTCCACCAAATCCCACTATTTTGTCCTTTTCCTTAAAATAAACATAGCACTCAAAAAGGGAAGAGGATAATGGAGCACAACAATAACAAATGATGTTTTACAGCAAGATCCTTAAGACACTAAGAAGCTTGAGAGGAATAACAAACACTACTCTTTTTCAATATAGGACCTATGTCACCAAAAGTTCACCAGTGTGGTGCTGGATGGAGTTGTGTGGAAAACCAGAGGATTTTTTTTAACTAGAGGGAAATGACCCTCCATATATTTAAATATATGTGTATGTATTAAAAAGTTAGCATCAAAGCAAATTGATTCAACTTTTCACAGAATTTACACAAGAATTCTAACATAGAAAAAGAATATGGGTCCACACTCTGTTCCCCATGCACTCCCTTTTCCTGATTCTGATTTTAAAACATCACTTAGCCTGGGATATAGTGGGCTTGGTGAGTCCTGTTAACTGTACTCAGGACCAGCTTGCATTAGTTAATAATACTCTTAAAGCTAAAGACATATTTGTGTGTGTTCTGGAGGAATGGGGGTTAGGGGCTGCCTAGGGGCCAGGGCTGAATTTTGTTTCAACGTTCCTGCACTGTCTCATTGCTAAGTGTCACTACCCTATCAGACATCCTGCCCTGTCAAGCTGTAATGCCAACTCAAGACATGCATCAGAGCCAGCTCTTGTCTGTTTTGTGAAGCAGATGCTGTTTCCTGAACCTCATCTGTCCTGCCCTGTACCAGCTATCTGTTGAGGTCCCTCTTCCTCCCTGTACTTGCAGACGCTCTCCTGAAGATGCTCTTGTCTCTTCAGGACAGAGTGAGACACACATGGGCTTGTCTTTCAGGTCAATGTCCAGTGTTGTTTACTTTTCTTGCTCCCCTTGTCCATAACATTTCTGTTTGATTCTCCCCTCCCTTTGTCCAAGTAAGATCTTCCACAATAATTATAATCATGAAGGGAAGGTCTCTTTCTTCCTCCTCTAGGTTTGAAGCTCTGTATGAATGGTGGATTGTTTTAGACTGTCTCTCAGTATAGTCCCCAGGTAAGACCTGGGTAAGACCAAGTTCCTGTGCATATTGATCTTCAAATTTGATCTTCTCTCAATAGGAGGAGGAGGAGAAACGGGAGTTATTATTTCTAGTGTCATTTCTGGGGAAGACACAGCTCCTAAAACAGAATGCTGAAATTGGGAAGACAGTCCTTAGACTAAGCAAGGCATTACAGGACTTTGGGAAGGCTAGGCTCCCTGAAGGCGTCCACCTGGTGAGTAGATCAAGGCAAAGGGATCCCTGCGTTACAAATTGAAGAAGCCATATTTTGAAAGGCAGCTTATCCAGTAGGAAAATTTTCAGGAACAAGGCAGCACTGTAATTTCCATATGGCCTTTCATGTGACCTTTCTCCACTTATTACCAACCACAAAGCAACTGGAATTGATGTTTAAGGAGAAAGAATGTTTCTTCGCAAGCTACAAATAATGAAATGTGGTATATAGCTTTCCTTCCCAGATGACATTCACCTTTTATGTTTCCATCTATTACCCACATCTCAGTATACATGAATTCAGTTCGTGTGGGTATAATGTCTCCCATGTGTCTAGCTCATGCTGGGCAACTTGAGAGATTACAAAAGAGCTACAAGCTCCAGAGTCTACCCTATGGGAGACAAGACTGACCCCCATGAGACTTTTTAATGCAACAATAGACTTTGCAAAGTGCAATATCCTATCCTAAAAGACCCATCCAAACAGAAACAAACAGAATGATGCTATTTTCAAGTGTGTCTGAGAAAATGTAGGTTTTCCTAAGGGTCTGTCTTCAGCTCCTTCATTTGGTCATCCCACACACTGTTTTTTGATGATCTCTTGCTTTCTAATTTAGGTTTTTCTTGGTCTTATTATTGTAGTAGTGCTGGTAGTTTTTTCATTTTGTGTGTGTGTGTGTGTGTGTGTGTGTTTTCGAGTGCTATAACTAAACAAGAACAATCACAGATACCTGCCAGTGCTTTTTTAAGCAAGGACACGTTGATAGCCACAGCATCAGTAGCTAATTCACCTTTATGGGAATCCCATTTGTTATTTTGACCTCTTGGCTCATTCTCTAACCAAATTGGCAAAATTCCCAATCCACCCAAAGGTATTATAAAAAGCATTCATCCTATTATTGTCTTCTCTTAAACCCTCAGGTAAAATGAAAGAAAAGTGATTCATTCAATATTGCCTTTCATCCATTTTGAAAATTTGAGTTTATTTCCAAATACACTAGGAACAATTCTTTTGGACAAGAGGGTTATGCTATTCTAAATCATATGCATCGGGCCATGTTACATGGTCTGAGAGTGATTTAAAAGCAAAAACAAACAAACAAGCGACAATCAATAGTTATATTTAAGACGCTTAAGGGAATGGATAACCAAGTTATTTAAGGATAACTAAGTACCAATTGCTCAAATTAATAGGTGCTTATATGTCACAATGTCAAGCTGTGACATGATTCTTTGCCTCTTACAGGGCCTTGAGAGAAATAGGGGTTGAGTCATTTAAAGCATGAAGGAACACAGTGAGGCACTCATAAGATGAGACCGGTTACTGCAGGCGAGTGAAACCCGGACTTCCCGGGGAGGCTCTCCAATCACCATCTCACCACTTAACAGTTCAGTTAACAAATTTGGACAAAAAGCAACTGAAAACTTCATCCTTAATGATCAAACCCCCTTGAAGCCGAAGTTTCCAAAGGCTTTACTAAAAGAATGGGTGTCACTAATCAATAATGACACTGAGCGGGACACTCCCAAGGAGCTTGCTTTCTGAGAGATGTTTGTTAACCCAGCAGGAAGAGTCTGCAGTGAAATGCTTCTTACTTCAGGGTTAATTATTTGTCTTTTTTCTCCAGAGCCAATAGGAGCTCAAAGAAAGAATAAAAGCCTATTGCTGAGCTCCAGGAGGAAAAAAAAAAAAAAAAAAAAAGTCGACTCTGCTGGGTTCCCAGCAACTAGTTAGTTTTTGGATTGCTTTTGTCTTGGTGAGAGAGAAATTCCTGGAGTGTGGTCAAAGGATCGTCACTGTTTTTAATAGAGTCAAGGAGTTTTCTGTAGACTAATATTATTTTTGAAATGCAGGCTTCCACAAATCTTTTGTTTTAGGACACTCTGACAGAATGATGGTTTATTGTGATTAACATAAAAGTAAAAGCAATAAAAAGGTAACAAAAAGAATCACATAGTTGGGTCAATAAATGGGTAACATTTCATTTCTGAGAGAAAAAAATCCATTTGTCATGTGGGTGATTTTTCATTTTTAAAGTCACAGGTTAAGTAATAACATACATATGAATCAACTTTTTGGTTAGAATCTTACTTCTGAAACGTACTGAAAGAATGTGTGCTTTTTTTGTTTGTGTGTGTGTTTTTTATTAGAATTTTTAACTAATTAGTATACAGAAAAAAAGTCCTTGAAAGCATTTTAACTCCTAAGGTAATGTTTAATGTTCTTGGAATTTCACAAGAATTCTGAATATAATTCTAAATGAAAATGGAGTTTACTATTAATGAAAAATTAGTTTGGGACAAATGGTCTTTACTGATGTTTTAAATATGAGAGAATGTTTGCGTGGTTCTTTCTGTACCATCCTCGGGCTAAGTACTCACAATGCAGCCTGCAGCACCTTGTCACATTTTACTATCACTTTTGGTTCACATGGCTGACTCCCAACTATACTTTGAGCTCCTTGAGGGCAGAGTTCATACCTATTCACTCTTTCTCACCTACAATTTAAACAAATATTTTTCTAGATTGCATCCGTGTGGTAGGCTAAATAATGTCCCCCTTCTAAACCTTGGAACTTGTGACTATGTTACCTTACATGGTAAAAGGAAATTGCAAATGAGATTAAATCATCCAGGTAAGCCCAATGGAATCATAAAGTCCTTTATAAGAGAAAAGCAGGAGTAGTAAAAGATGTGATGGTGGAAGCAAGAGGTTATACTGATGCAG
Source organism: Homo sapiens (assembly GCF_000001405.40). Lineage (NCBI taxonomy): Eukaryota > Metazoa > Chordata > Mammalia > Primates > Hominidae > Homo > Homo sapiens. The sequence continues at coordinate 107,430,696 of NC_000008.11, forward strand.
GGAAGTAGTGGTCAGCGGGTCAGGGTTTATAGGTGACCTCTAGAAGCCGAAAAAGACAAAGAAATCTATTCTCCCTTTAGGGCCTCCAAAAGGAACCAACTTTGCCTACACCTTGGTTGACTACATTTGAGACAATGTGTTACAGCAGCAATATGAAACAGCAATACAGTCTGTTATTATTTGGTGCACTAAGATTAACTATTCTCCTTGAGTTCTCTGATGAACCTCTTGGTATCACATATTCTTAGAAAAGGCAGCAATTATTTGAAAGGTGAAAATTCTTGAGTTTCTAAGTTAAACTTCCTGGATTCAAAGCTCAGCTCTGTACTAATTGCTATCTGAACTTGGTGTCATTTAACCTCTCAAAACCTCACTCTCCCCTTGGTAAAATGGAGATAACAATAGTTCTTATAGAACAGGCTATTTTGCCTCTGATAATTAAATAAGGTAGTGCATGTGTGTGTGAGAGAGAGACAGTGTGTGTGTGTTTAGCACATTACATTGTATATAGTATATTGGTCAGTGATTTTGGTTTATAATTAGAAAATGTAAGCATAAAAAAAATTGACTGTGTCTAATAAATCACCTTGCAAAAACACAGATTTTGGTTGGAAGTCACTTGTCGTGTTGCCCATTACAAATGACACACACCTAGGTTGTCACAGAGCAGAGGAGGAATTTTCTAAGTGTTCACTTTTCCAATAGGTTTAGTAACTGAGGACAGATCCAGAACACAACACACTTAAGCTAAAGTGACTTCATCTTTACTCTGGCTCTCTTAGACTGCCTGAGTTCTCTTCACATTACATGTCCTGCCAGGTCCCGGAGCCTTGCACAGGCCACATGCCCTCTTCCAGGAATGTCTTCATCTTACTATCAACCTCTTTCTTCCTTAGCAAGATCTGCAATCTCTGTGACGTCTTTCCTGCCTTCTCAAGCTCCTAGTTTTGAATTCCAGTTCTCCCAACATACTGTCATAAGAATCTCCTTAATGCTTGTATCTACCTTCCTACCAGATTTTCAGGGAAACTACTCTGTCTTTTTTTTTTTTATCATCAAAGTATCATGCTAGGCACTGAGGAAACAGTTCAAGAAATTCAAAGACTAGATTGCTTCATAAACCAAGTCTTTGCAGATGACCCAGTGGTTTAAGTTACATTAAGCATATATCCCTCCAGAAATACATACAAATACCTTATAACAAACTTACATCTTAAAATGAATATTACCAGCCTCAATATTTTAATCCATTAGAGTATTTGTATTTGATACATATTTCAGCAAACTCTGGCAACTCAATTGAGCATAGATGTTGGCATAAGAAAAAATTATTGGTACCTCTCTAATAACACAATTAATACCATCATAAAATTAAACTTTTTTACTGTGTGACAAAAGAATTGATATTTGAGGGATTAAAATAAAAATTTACAAGATCATGCAATTATAAAAAAAAAAAACTGAACCGTAAAATCTTTTAAAAAGAGAATACTTCACTTTCCCCCAAAGACATTATAGACTAAAATATAAATATTCCTTATCCCAAATAAATTATTTTGGGATTATTCCTTTTCTATAACGATGTTATAAGAGTCAGGTAAGACAATAGGATTTACTTTCCAGAGAATTTTCTGAGATATAGCTTTCTTAGGAAATAAAAAGATATCTGCTTTTAATTCCTCAGTGAGGCTGGGCACGGTGGCTCACGCCTGTAATCCCAGCACTTTGGGAGGCCAAGGCAGGCAGATCACGAGGTCAGGAGATCGAGACCATCCTGGCTAACGTAGTGAAACCCTGTCTCTGCTAAAAATACAAAAAATTAGCCACGCATGGTGGCGGGTGACTGTAGTCCCAGCTACTCGGGAGGCTGAGGCAGGAGAATGGCGTGAACCCGGGAGGCAGAGCTTGCAGTGAGCCGAGATCGAGCCACTGCACTCCAGCCTGGGCAACAGAGCGAGACTCCATCTCAAAAAAAAAAAAAAAAAGTCCTCAATGAACAGGTGTTTAACTCACCTTTCAGATTTCAAATAAATGCTTAATGTATTAGATATCTGATAAGTACTGTTAATAACAAGGATTTATTTCAAAGGATATGTATATTATACTCTGGTTCATTCAAATAAATATTCAAGGTCATCTTGACAATGTCAGAGAATTGTCCTGTCTCACTATCTGAGTTCTTTGCAGAATCTTCTGGTTTAATCGTTCTTTTTATTTGGACATTTATTTCTGTAGGCATTCATTCCAGTTTGCAATTTATAATTTGTTCTTACAAAGAGAGTTTTTATAAAAGCAATGATGTCTTGACTTAAAAAAAACCTCAAATTAATAAACATTCATATTTCACATTCATGTGAAATAATTCTCTTTTTCCCCTCTTTTTTTTGTAAAAGACTTTTTAAGCATTTAACTTTCTTAAATAGTAGTTGAGATCATTGCCCATTTGGTGTGGGTATAGGGGAAATTGGGCTGGTTGTTTTTTTCATTTTGTGCTAATGAGTCCCAAAATATAGAATTGATACCTGGGGGTAGAGAAGACCAGCTAGAAGTTAACTTCAGACCTTTGGTGTCAGATTATTCTTTTTCATTACTGCTACCAAGTAGCAGATACATATCAGGGAAGGAATATTCTATTGCAAGTGATTGGATAGGTAAGTGTTTTTCCCCTAGGAAACCATGGTTGCCTTATGAAATAGTTCTGTGGCTTTCAAGATCCTGTGCAGAGAAAGGACATGTCCAGACATACTATTCAATCAGGTTATTAATAAAGAGACATTGAGTAAAGTATTAAAAGCAAAAAGATTGTCCCTGACATGAAAGATGGACAAGCAAATAATACAAATAAAGACACTGGGCAGCATTTTCCTCATCTAGAAAATTACTGGATTGAAATATCATCTTTCAATTTATTTCAGCTATTATGGTCCATAATTTTAAAAGGATGAAACAGGATATTAGCATCTATCATAAGCCAGGCTTCTAGGACCAATCCTTCAAACATTTCATTCTGTTCATGCTTTTTCTTGTCTCTAACTGAAGGTTTAAAAGTTTCAATAGATATCTGTGTAAAAAAGATACATACACACACAAAGAGAGGGTAGATGAGCATGAACTGGAGAACTGGAAGTGTACATCTCATCCAGATGTCTGTGCCATTACAAGTGCAACAATTTTCAAAGGCAGGATGTTATAGATTCCCTCACCCACACACAAATTTATAAATTCATCAAGCTCCTACTATTCCAAATACTGTGAAAGGTGATAGGAACATATAATTCACTATATCATAGTCCTTATCTTTCCTTTCCTATACTAAGTTTGAGTTTCAAAATATCATACTCAGTGAGTCAAAACTGAAAAAGAGGCAAATTTGATTGAGGAAAGGGGTGACTATTGGAGAAGTATTTGAGCTGTTATCAATAGAAGCATTGAACTGTGGTCCAAATAAGATTTTAATATCTAAGTAGAGAGAAAAGGTAATAACATTCCCACAGGGAGGGAACAGTTTTAGTAATGATACAGATGTGTGATATGCTTGGCAAGTCTTGAGAACAGTGGGAAGTGTAGCATGTGTAATAGGCCGGGCGGGAAAGTGGGAGTGGCAGGAATGAAACAGGAAAAGGAGTCTGGACTCAATGCATGCTAGGGATTTTGGACATCATTGCGTGGACAACTTGAAATCATGGAAGGTTTTTAAGTGGGGGATTTGAAATACTTCGCTTGGGGTTGGGAGGCAGAACTGTCGGGGATAATGCCAGAGTGATGGGGTCAACGAAATCGTGTATTGACCTATTCAGAAAGTCCAGGGGAATAAGCTCAAGGACCTGAATTCAGTAGAGGAGATGAACGATTAAAGAGACTTTGCCCTAAGAAAGGCAGTCTCAGCTAAGACAAACTTTAAAAAAAAAGAAAAAAATACTAAACTTCAATAGCAAATTAACTAAGTTAAAGTATATAGGCTGGCCTAGCTCTAACCCTGATTACATGGCAATGATTTGTAATTAGTGGATTAAAGGAAAAGACTGTCTCATGGCTTCTATTTTTGATATACTGATAATGTTTGCTTGTAAATGTATACCCAATAAGTTTAGAAAATAATTATTTGAAATGGTTTTTCCCTGAAAGTGGTAAATGTCCCCACTGAATCATGTTTAAACTCTTAGCTGTTGAGCAAATCCATTTAGAAATAGTTAATGACTATTTAAACTGCAGTCAAATTCATTCAAAAATCACTTTTATTTAGTGAAGTGTGAATGAAAGAGGAATACTTGTTTGCCCTTTAGTGATTCTCTAATCACTAAATTAGATTTTCTATGTAATCACCATAATAATATTATTTTAATATACACCGTTTCCCTCATGATGGGGGTGGATATTAAAATAATATTTTCATAGTAGTTGGAGCTGGGAAGGAGAAAGGACTGTAAATGAGCACAAGGGATCCTTTAGAGTGACAGAAATGTTCAGAAATTTGATTGTGGTGCAAACTGCACTTGTCTGTAAATTAACTAAAAGTCATCGGACTGTACATTTAAAATGAGTGAATTTTATGGTAGGTAAATCATACCCCCCAAAAGCTGTTAAAGAACATTATTAGTGTGCATGTGTGAAGGACTTTAAATCTGCTAAATGAGACAGTAAATCTTGCAGTCATTTATCTAATAACAGCTTATAGAGACGTTACTACGGACAGGTGTTTTCTAGACAAATGCTTCTCAAAATGTAATGTGTACAAGAATTAACAGAGGATAGTAAATGCAGATTCTAATTCAGTAGGTCTGGTGCTAGGCCCATAATTTTACCATTTTAACAAACTTCCGGGGAGTGTCATGTGTTGGCTGAGAAACCACATCTAAATGTCAAGGTTCTGGGCACAGGGATCTGGCAAGGGAACAAGAAGGTAATTTTCTTACTCCTACAGAGCTGACATGCTAAGAAGGGAGGCAGGTAGTAAGGAAGTAAACAAATAAAAGCTCAAGATTGTTTCTCATATTTACTACACAGCCTTCAGAAGAGCCCTATGATTCAGCATTCTTTCAAAACCTTTTATTCATTGCCCACCATGTGCCGGGGATGACGATAGGCACTGGAGATACAATTGTAAGCATACTGTAATTTCTGATGTTATAGAATTTACAATCTAGTGCCAGACCCATTGCACCTTCAAAATAACCCTATGAGGTATATAATACAATACAATTTTACTGATTGATTGATTGGTTGATTAGACAGGGTCCCATTGTGCCACCCAGGCTAGAGTGCAGTGGCCTAATCACAGCTTACTGCAGTCTCAACCTCCTGGGCCCAAGCCATCCTCTCACCTCAGCCTCCCGAGAAGCTGGGACCACAGGAGTGCACTACCATGCTTGTCTAATTTTAAAACTTTTTTTTGTAGAGATGGGGTCTCTCTATGTTGCCCAGGCTGGTCTCCAACTCCTGAGCACTAGCAATCCCCCTGCCTTGGCCTCCCAAAGTGCTGGGGTTAGAGGCATGAGCCACAGTGCCTGGCCAATACTCTCATTTTTAGAAGCAGAGCATGTGAATCAGAAAAGGTAAGTCCTTTCTTCAAGGCCACACAGTATTCACACTGGGCCTCAATCCTAAGACTTCATGTCAACACTATGCTAGACTATACACTCTTCAATTTCATTGCTACAGGAAGAAATGGGAAATTTACATTGCATTCATCCTCCAGAATATTATGTTCTTTTGGGCTTTGGTGCCCTTGGCAAACTGTACTGTCTATTTGTTAGCTTAGTTCTTTCCTCTTTCTGGGTCTCACGTTATTCAAGCCCTCTTGTGCTTATATGGAACGTTGTAATTTAGATCTGCATTTCTTTCTCTTCTTTGCTACCAATTTCAGCAACCTTCTGCGGATCTATTTATACTCTCTCCTCCTGGGAATTTGAAGTTCATCTTCATTTATCGTCTGCAGATGTACTTCTCATGCTACTTACTTCCTCTTTTCAGCTCACTAATGATGTTGTTAAACAAAATAGAACCCAACACTGACCCGTGAGGACAGCCCCTCAGATTCTGTGCTCATTTTATGTCAATCATCCATTTCTTCAATGGAATGTCTTAGCTTAAAGTGCTCGTACTGGGACAAGAACAAACCACTGAAGTTTACATAAGAATATAAATTCCTGGATACATATGGGAGAAATATTTGAAAATCAACAACTTATTTGTATAACTATGAAAAATTACAAGAAATATAAAATGGAAAATTATATGCTAGTATATTTAAACAGTTGAGATAACATTTATTGAACACAAACATGTCAGCTACTTAATTTTATTATTAGTATCTCTAATTATTAAAGTCATCTACCAATATAGTTACATTTCACACCAGGAACTGCTGGTTGGGTCAGAAACTGAGGGACAGTGAGGTGAGGTTACATTTCCAGGACTTTCTCCGAAGTGCATATATTTTTCTAATATTACATATTGCTTAAATAAATACATATTTTTGGTTGTCATTTTAACTGGCCTGTTAAGAAACTGTGCTACTTTTCTAATTTGAGATATGAAACTTCTCATACTCTCCCAAAGAGTACCTGATTTGAAGAATGTGAAAAAGTGTTCGTTTCTCCTTGACTCTACAAGAATCAGTAATTTTCTGACAAAAATCCGTAGGTCTAGCCTGTTATAGAGAAAGGTATCACTAACTACCTTGAAATTAAGTTTTGTGAAACAATTTCCAGGTTTTATAAAGCTGGAGGAGAAAAGAGAAGGAAGACAAAGAGAGCTGAAGTATGTAAATGGCCTATAGTATTTGAATAGCTATGGTTTCAAGGCAATTATATTAAGTACACAAACCTGATTTTAATGGCCATGCTTAGAAGATGGGCAGAGTGCTAAATGTGTAAGTCATTATGAACTTGGCACAGTAGCTCTGTTTATTTTAACCTTTCTTTTGCTGCTTTTGTTGAGGATGTTTACTTAACCAGGCTCTATTAAACATGCTAAAAACATTATTGCAGACTTTGTCTTTGTGAGCACTTTCAGTTGACAAGCCACAGAAGTGACAACTCATCAGGAATCATAGATGACAGCAGATAAGCTAGAGTGGCATGAAGAGGACAGACAGATATCTTTTCATCTTGGACTAAAAAAATAAGAAAAAGAAAAAGAAAAAAAAAACTTTAGTGAAATTCAGTGTTTCTAAAATGCAAAGGACTGGTTGTATTGGAGACTGAATTATTGTATTTACCTGAACAGCAGAACCTGTGTAGGGCACTCTGGAGGATGCTGCCCTCCAGTGCGCTGTGACCCTGCTGGACCTGCGTGACTAGCACACTCTGGCGTGGAGAAAATCTCATGCCTCAAAGTCCATACTGAACCTTGTTATTCTAAGCATCCGATAGGTGCCAAACACCTTAACCCTCCACAATGTTACCCAAGTCTAGGAAGGAAGAAAGCTCTTTTATTTGTTTCACAATGCAGAGATAAGGAAATGAGAAACTACAGAATCATTTGTTAATAATGGCCCATGTGAAATCCCAGTTTACCTTTAGCATTATGATTATTTCTTTTCCTTCTTTCCTTTCCTTCTACCTCTTCTTTGTCCTTCTTCTCCTTCTTTGATATCATCATCTTCTTCTTCTTCTTCTTTGTCACCTCCATCTTTATTAGTCTTTGGAGGGGGTCTTTTTGTCATTTGATATAATTCCAGTGATATTTCCTGATAAAGACTGTTCATCCATATAAAAATACATTCTAAATACTTATTGAAAATAGTTTGAATCTTTCTATTTTGAAGATTTTAAATATCAGGTTCTTACAAAATATGTTCCTAGTAGAAAGGTGGTAATTTTATTCTAAACACGGAAACTGAAGAATTTTTGTTATACACTGTAATTATTTATGAAAACAATCTTCAAAGACAGCAAATTGGCATCAGGGGAGAAAACCATATGCTTATCTTTACTATTTATATAAATGTTAACCTGATATTTTAGGCTATGGTTATCACCAAAATTATCTGATATGTTCTTTTGAAGTTTGTTGACAAAAACCACTCCAGATGCAAATTCATTTTATGTAGTGGGTGGTCTTAGAAGAAAATAATTGTCTTATTTATTGAAAAATGAGCATCCAAAAATATTTTTACCAGGGTTTAGAGAGGGCAGGATTAATAAATATAATAATTAACATGAGAGAATGAATGTATGCTACATAAAACCATATGTTATTTGATTTACGAACAAAATGTATTTTTTAATGAAATGAATTTTTGAGATCTAAAAACAACATATTATTTTTACATAAAGTTGTTCATGTTCACATATATAGAGTCTCCTGTAGATTGTGGAATATGGACTACTGCTTATGATAGTGTTTACAATCTAATATACTTTTTATGCTAGTGAACATCACTTGCTTATGAGAAAAAAAGAAAGTTTAGATACATATTAGTCACTCAGACTTATAGGAAATCACTTAGCAAATTTCTAGGTTGTTATCATACCAGACTTAATCTGGAAATGCCATTAATTTAGAAACCAGTAAATACAGATTCCAGTGCAGGCCCATAGAACTAAGAACCAGGGCTTCAGAGTCAGACCTGGGAGTAAGTTATTTAACTTCTTCTAACCTTATTGTCCCCATCTGTAAAACGGAGATAATAACTGTATTGTACAAAGTTTTCTAGAAAGCCAAAATGAGAAAATTAACATCATGACCTTATGTCAGTGCCTAAATGTACTCAACCAATTTTACTTTCCTTTACTTTAGGAAGTAGGAATGTTCTCCACAGGGACAAGAGCCATCTTTGATCTATATTTATGGCTGTCAGAGAGCTTGGTAGAGTGTTTTACATGAATCACTTTTTAACGAATATCTGTAGAAATAAGGAAGAAAGGAAAAAAAGACCTGCTTCCAATGCTAAACCAATTCCTGTTCTAATATGAGACAGAACTTACATAAGTAAATATTTATGTTTGAAATTTGCATGTAAAAATAAATACTATCCTCAAGGCACATACCAGCTGCTAAATTACACTCAGGAAAGGAGTTTGTATTGCTGCTCAAAAGGATTTGAATAAAAGTATTCTGTGGTTCTTCATAGTGTCCATGAAAATAAGGAAACAATACAAGCAGGCAGGCTCACCAGGAGGCCCTTAAAAGAGTCTATGTGTGCTGAGCTTGGCTCAGGCTGAGACTGTTGAAATTCAGAAGTAGAGGAAGAAAAAACACTGAGTAGGAATCAGTAGACTCGGTATTAGTCTGGACATGGTGGGTAATTGGAATGGGGAGGGGATGCCAGGGGTATCTGCCTCGGAAACCATGGTGCAGGGAAAGCAGAATAGATGGGCTAAGGAGGGATCATAATTCCCTTTTCTTCCCCATGTTTAGATTTAGGTGATGGCAGAACATCTAAGTAAAGATGTTCCATAAACAGAAAGAAATATGTGACTGGGTAGAATATGAAAGGTCAGGGCAGGAGAGGAAGTTCTGGAAATTGTCTGCATAGAGGTGGGTGGTACATAAAATTGAGGGCTCAAGCATCTTGACTTGCTCAGAGAATGTGGCTTGCAAACCACAGAAGATGATTAAAAACATTCACTATTTTAATTACATTTTTTTAAAGTTTCTACATTCCCTCTGGGGGTTAATACAGCATCAAATTTTACACACTTACTCATTTAGATCTAGGAGAAACTTGAGAAAATTCTGATCCAATTTCTTTAGTTTATAGGCAGGTAGCAGCCCAAGTGGGTGAAATGACATGGTCAAGGTTATTGAGCAAATAGGTTTCCATTTTTTCATTCATTCAGTAAATACAAATATGCAGATATACATGAGAGCAAATGTGGGATGATTCAAAGTCCTATGCTAGCATGCATTTTTGTTTACAAATTGTCAATTCTTTTGTGACTATAATTTAGATTCGCACTTGTGCTAAATTAAAATATGCATACTTTAAATGATTGACTTAAAGCAATGTATAATACCATAATTGGAAAACCAAAGGTCTTCTACAAGCATTAACATGTCCTTTTAAAAACAACAGGCTGATGGTGTTTAACTATATTCACCTTTAGAAATATTTCCTCACTTTAGCAGAAGTAAGTCAGAATAACCAGTAGGTAATATAGAATATTTTCTAAACTTCAATTTGAAGATATATGATATTTCTGTTTTTTAAAGTTGATCCTGCCATGTCATATGCTTAACTTAAAATGTCTAATGTGGACACTCTAAACTAGAGAAAAGAGATACTCTTTCCAAATCACCTTTTATGTACTTGGATAAAACCAAAGGAAAGGAAATAAATCTAGCAGAAACCAACCATGGCAATGCTTTCAGGTTTCAGTTGTTTATTTAGAAAATCACTCAATCATTATCTTGATACTTTAACTACACAGTTTATTCAACTGACAGTAGCCAGAATAAAGCAAATTCATTAAGCTATGAGTTTTGGCTTTGATTTGTTTCTGGTAATAGTCTTTCAAATGATTACACAGCTTATAATTAAGTAAGTCAACCGACAGAAAATTGATTACCTTCCAAGCAAGTGCTGTCTATCTATCCTTAATCATCTTTCTTGGAAAGTTCTCTCATATAATATTGTTTTCCTAAAACTTCAACATACATACTGGTTTATTTTCTACCCCTAGGGATCATGCAAAGCAATCATAATAACTCCTTTGGCCTGGTAATCTTTTCAATATTCGAAGAAAGCTACCAGGTTCCCTCTGAGTTCACTTGTACCCTAGTTATTCCTCCTTCTGAATTGCACTAAGTCTCTTGCTCTACTGGATTTTCTCCACAGAATTTGTTGTTGTTCACTTAGGACTTTCTATAATGTGGTACCCCATTGCCAAGTAGAGAGAAAATCAGCTCATCAGCTCAGGAGTCGGACAGATCTTTATTTGAATTGCTGCTTCATCACTAACAGGTTGTTTAATCCTAAACAATTTATTCAATCTCCTTGAACCTCAGTTTTCTTATGTGTAAAATTGGAAATGAGAATAATAACCTCCGAGTCCTTTGTGATGACTAAATGAGATTATACGTGGTTCAGGGCCTGGTGTGGCTCTTATCTAACCCACACCCCTAATAGAAGTCAGGTCTTTGCAGATTAAAAAGGGGAGTCCTGGCCAGGCGCATGGCTCATGCCTGTAATCCCAGCACTTTGGGAGGCCGAGGTGGGTAGATCACGAGGTCAGGAGTTCGAGACCAGCCTGACCAACATAGTGAAACCCTGTCTCTACTGAAAATACAAAAATTAGGCAGGGGTAGTGGCGCGCATCTGTAATCGCGGCTACTCAGGAGGTTGATGCAGGAGAATCGGTTGAACTCGGGAGGTGGAGGTTGCAGTGAGCCAAGATCACGCCATCGCACTCCAGCCTCGGTGACAGAGTGACACTCCGTCTCAAAAAAAAAGCTGGGGGAGTCCCATCACCTCGTAGATCCAGAGGTCATGTTTTAGCTGGAAGTCAAGGAGAATTGAACGTGTATTTAAACATTTGCATGTTTCACATATGCTCATGCACGTACCTCCTTAATAAAGTGATCATGAGTATGACATCACAAAATACTTCTATTGAATATCTGTGGCAATGTAAATGACAGAAGATGAAAAAGGAAAAGAATACATTTGGGCAAAGAGTAGTTTAGACCAACAAATACAAACTAGTGTAGGTCATGTTGCACTCACATTTTCTTATGTTACCATCTAATCTAGTTTCAAGTTGTACTTAGCTTCCTATTTTAATCTATTTTTATTTTAAAGGTTTTACAAATGCCACATCTGCCTTGTGTAGCTCCTTACTAGATAACAGATTTTTCAAGAAAGAAGTGTAAGAGTAAGCAAACCAAGTCCCTTAAAATATTGTCCAAAAGTGTGGGTTGCTTCTCTTCTAAAAAGATTTCCTTCTATAAGACAATGGAAGCTATTGGGTTAGCTTTATATTTCTCATAGGATGACCCTAACTCCGTATCTTCTACCTTCCTAAATTATCCTATTCCCTCAAATATAGTAGTTTTGGTTTATTGCTTTGAAAGTGGCAATGACTGCTTTCAAAAGACACACATGTGCACACACAAACTAAATCTTACAGTATAGAAGTATTGCTAAAACTGTCCCAAAGTTTTAATTTTCCACAAGTCTTAGTAACTCAGCCTGCTAAGTATCTGCTTGTAAGAAGGTGCTATATTTTTTCTGCATAGAGCAAATAAGAAACATCCCTTCAGCTGCACTTATATTTTTGGTAACACCTGCACAGTCTCCTAATAGCAGAGACAAGAATTAAATATTCTTTTCCTAATGTAGAATGCCCAGCCCAGTCTTTCTTTCAAAATCCCCAAGATTCATTCTTCATTAAGCATGTCCCAATTACCTTTCAGTGTAACTGATAACTTTGTGTTTGTGTGTGTGTTCCCCTTTTCTACTTTATATACTTCCATCAGAATATCTACATAACTTAAAAGATCTGCATTCTTAGCTGTCTTCCTTTGGGGCCATAAGATTTCTGAGGGCAGGGAAGATATCCTAGTCACCCCACAGGTCAGGAACAATACCTGCCTCAACAGATTTTCTCCTCTCCAGTGAATACCTTTGGTGAATTAAGACAAAATCATGCAGTGGAAAGATTGTGACCGGAATTTAGGAGGCCCAGGTTCCACTCCTGGTTCTGTCTCTCAGTTATGAATCAGTGTCTTTGAGAAAGTTAATTAGCTAATGTTAGGAGATTGAGCTAAGTCATCATTAATATTTTCTCGGGTCAAAAATTCTGATTCTTAGGATTCAAGTATTCATGATATACTTAATAATATAGTGGGCATAATAAAAGATTTTTAAAAGTAGACTAGTATACCGGCCGGGTGCGGTGGCTCACGCCGGTAATCCCAGCACTTTGGGAGGCTGAGGCGGGCGGATCACCTGAGGCCAGGAGTTCAAGACCAGCCTGACCAACATGGAGAAATCCCGTCTCTACTAAAAAAAAAAAAAAAATACAAAATTAGCCAGGTGTGGTGGCGCATGGCTGTAATTCCAGCTATTCAGGAGGCTGAGGCAGGAGAATCGCTTGAACACAGGAGGCAGAGGTTGTGGTGAGCTGAGATCATGCCATTGCACTCCAGCCTGGGCAACAAGAGCGAAACTATGTCTCAAAAAAAAAAAAAAAAAGTATACTAGTATACCACTCTAACCAAAAAGATAAAATGAGATTGGATCATTGGTATTGGAGAACATGAAGTTACCATGCAGACAAACACAAAATGAATTCTCGTTAATGTCTTCTCTCAGATTTTAAGTACAGATTCATACTATTTGGTATGATTTAGTATGCTTAATGGCAATGTCATTAAATGTGTTCAAGAAGAGTCTATGTCCTTCCAAAATTGTCTAAATTGCTCTCAGAAAGTATTCTGTTCTGGGAGCATCTGGCTCAATTGTCCATGGGTTATATGTGGATGTATCATTCCTGAATCACTGGCACCAGTGCTTAATGCCAAACAAAACCCCTAAACCTCAAACTATTAAGTGTTGAGCAAGATATTTAGCAACACTGGGAGTTCTAAAAGTACATCATATTTTGGCTCAGATACCTAGGGGAAAGGACAGGTTTTTAGGATTAAATTGATTTCTGAGCATCATTATCTCTCCCACAGAGGCCATACACAATTTATGAGGAAAAAGCAAATCACACTCTCTTCAAGGATACATTTATATGTCAAGGTAATAGATCAGCCTTCTTCTGTTTATGTCAGTTGGTCAGCCAATGAAGAATGTGGCTGAACATGCAAATGAGCTCAGCAGTCTAGAAGCACGAGGTCCTATCCCTCATTCTCAGTGAAACAAAACCACTCTGTAAATGCAAATGAAGATTTTGCAATTTGAAGCAAAATTGTATAGGTTTCCAATAATAATGTCTAGAAAAATCTTTAAAATTTGGTAAGTTAAGCTGGTATGAAGTCAAAAGACATAGAGACTGACAGACTCTGCTTATGTGGGGTTTCCTAAATATAGTTTTAACAGGGACTATCTACAGGTTCAGGCATCAGTTTTATTACTTCACAATGATGAGAGTGAAAAAATCACTTACCCTGACCAAGCATGTAAGACAATGATTTCTAGATCAGATGATAGCTATTAATTTTTCATGGGAGATAAATTGCACCTCTCTACCCATTTTCTGAAGGGCAGGGCACTCCAGAGACCAAACAACAAACCAAAAACCCGGGGAGTGAACTATAAAGGAGAAATTCAGCATGGCAAAAGGAGATTTACATCAAATTAACATATCTTGAGATGTTATTCTTCTTCCCTGCAGGGGTATTTCTGTCTAGACACCTAGGAATGGTCATTAGAATCCGCACTTCACCCTGAAGGGGGCTGACAATACATACTAATTTGCAGTCTCTCACTTTGCATTTTCTACAGCTGTGGTTCTCTCTGCACATGCTGCCTATAGAGAATCACATCACATCTCCTATCATATCAGAATCTTTTCTATTGGAGGCAAAGAGCTTCGGGAAACATTTTACTGTCTTGCCACTAGATTATAACATATATCGGATTGATTATTCTGACGGATCCTGCTCTCATCTCATTGCTTAGTGGATATTTTAAATTTAAATTTTATTTCCAAAATCATTGTATTTGGATGCAATGGGGAGGGAGAAAATACAAAAGTGAGAAGAAGAAACTTACACTCTTACCATTATTTTTGTCCCTTGGAAATGCTCCTAGGTTCCTAGAATTCCTTCAAGAGTTATAATTTTTAGTTCAAAAATTATATGTGGTCAGTGGTCAGCTAAAATTGGATGACTTTGGCCAAGTATTTAGGTTTCTTAAATATATATTATGGACCTCCTACTTTTTTTTTCCAAATTCTATTTTACATTGTAGGCAATCTGTTCACACATCAGTGTCTGAGGAGAGACATCAATCAGAAATCCAAGAACTTCCAATTAACTTTTATCGGGCATCTAGCCAAGAGTCCTGCTGGGTCCTGGAAGGAGAAATCAAACATAATTTCTGTTTTCAAAAATTCAGAATCTATCAGAAAAATAGATACGAGTAACACTGTGTAATCACACAATGGGATGTATGATTTAAACTAGAACTGTTTAATAGAAATAAATTACAAGCCACAGATGAGAAACCACATATATGATTTTAAAGTTTCTAGTATGCTACACGTGGAAAGTAGAAAATAAATAGGTGGAATTAACAATGTTTATTATTTAATTAATTAATTAATTAACTAATTTATGTATTTTGAGATGAAGTCTAGCTCTGTCACCCAGGCTGGAGTGCAGTGGCGCTATCTCGGCTCACTGAAACCTCTGCCTCCCGGGGTCAAGCGATTCTTCTGCCTCAGCCTCCTGAGTAGCTGGGACAACAGGCACGTGCCACCATGCCCAGTTAACTTTTCGTATTTTTAGTAGAGACTGGGTTTCACCATGTTAAGCAGGCTAGTTTTGAACTCCTGACTTCATGATCTGCCCGCCTTGGCTTCCCAGAGTGCTGGGATTACAGGCATGAGCCACCACGCCCGGCCAATAGTGTATATTATTTAACCCAATACATCCAAAATATTACCATTTCAGAAATATAAAAGTATTTGTCAGATTTTTATATATTTTTGTAGTAAGTATTTGATTAAGATGCAGATTTTACATCTGCAGCACATGTTAGTTTGAACTAGCCATATTTTAAGTGGACAATAGCCCCATGTGGCTAGCTGCTACCATATTGGACAATACAGTAAGCAGCATATGATAAGTTCTGAGTGAGAAAAGCCAAGGAACAGTTTAATTTTCTTGGGGCTATCAGGAAAATTGAACAGAATAGTTGACATTGGAATTTGGCCTATAAAGATAAAGAGGATTTTACTAGATAAAGTGGTAATAGATTTTGGCCAGATTTTGAACCTCTATATTACATTTGTATTTTGTGTTTTAAGCTATGGCTTAGCTATGGCTAAGCAGGGAGGAATAGAATCAGGGTTTGCTTTGAAAACGTAAATGTTGGCAGGATGGAAAATGCATTGGAATATGGAAAGAATAGAACTTAATAGACCAGTTATGTGGCTATTGCAGAGTATGGGAGATGGATTTAAATATCTTCTATATGCTTGAGGCTCTCAAATTTTACTCTTGAACCCACATCTCTCTCCTAAATTCCAGACTCAACAATTGTATACTTGACTTCTCACTCAGGTGCCAAATAGGCAATTCTAACATAAAATAACGAAAACTCAGCTTCCAATTTTCCACTCAGGCCTCTGTATACACAGTCTTCCCCATCTCAGTTGATGGCCACTCTCCTTCTAGTAGAGTTGCCCAGATTGAAGACTCCTTTTTCTGTTCCTCTCTCATAGCCAACGCCTCAAGAAATCCTGTTGACTCTACCTTCAAAACATTTGAAATCTGACCACTTCTATTTCTACTGCGACCACCCTGGTCTGAGCCACTATGATCCCTCACTGCATTATTGTAATGGGCTTCTACCTTGTCTCCTTGCTCATGCCCTTTTCCCCTAGATTATATTTTCAGTACAGAAATCAGATGTGATTGCATGTTTGAAATTGGAATCAGGTTATCTCTTGAAGCCATACAAGGGCTCCCCATTCCACTCAAAGGCAAAGTGCCTGTGGGGCAGATTAGATTCTTTCCAACTCATTATTCCCTCTATGGTACAGAATTATGCACTCATGCCTTCTGCCATGTGAATTTCTAGTATTTCTTAAAAAAGCAAACAGACTATACATCCCTGCCACATTAACTATGAGCATGAACAAATGTATTTCTTTGGCCAGTGGAATGGGTGGAAATGATCTTGCCTTAGAGTGTTTGCACAGGCTAATCCCTCTGCCTTAGACCACTCCTCCTTTAGTTATCTGCATTGTTCACATCCTCATTTTCTTCCAGTTAAATGTCACCTTCTTGGTAAGACATTCTCACAGCCCACTTAAAACTGCACAGGCAGGTCATGACACATATACAGTTGGGAATAACAGAATTTGAAAGTAATTTAGAGGGCCACCAGTTCAGTGGCTTTCCAATGAGGCTCCTAGGCAATGAAATATTCTGTAGGGTTTCTTTGTAGAGTAAGAGTGTGGAGTAATGCTACAGTGGGATTCCTGACACATACACAGACACACATACACACACAATCCACAAAAGCAGATCCAGTGACTACCTGTGTCTGAGTAAGTTTACGCAAAGGATTTGAGCAAGGGATTTTGAAGGTTAACACAATTCTGAAAGTTATGAATTTGAATGTCTGTTTCTTCTTTGGACTTAGGCAGAAGCTGAAGCCTCATTGAGTTATGTGGCTTACTTCGGGTCCTACAGTTAGTTAGTGGCAGAGGTGGACTTGCTGTTTGTGTGAGTACACAATCTCTGGGATTTACTCTCTTATTTACATGAAAGACAAAGGACATGAGTTCTGAATGAATGAACTGTGGTATGGTATGTTCTCCATAACTCTCATTAATGTCAAGTTTTAATAAGAAGGTAATTACATATAAGGACTTACTTAAATACATTTTATCATTTCAGTGATTCTTAACTAAATTGTTCAAAGTATTTTGTAGGTAAATCTATTTCTCTACATTCCTTAAAACTAATGAGATACTCTTCTATCATAATGCAACTTTTTTATGAAACTGTCCCTGAAATAGAGGCTATATTGACAGAACAAATTAATTCGATTAATTCATTTCTTCCTCTATCACTTTTCCATTTGTTTTCTATTATTTTCTTCCTTGAAATACAGAAAGCTGACTATGTGGTTATATATAAGTATCTAGTAAAAGAGCAAAATTTCAGAGGATTGCTAAGCAGAAAAGGGTAATCTCCCAACTCTGCTCTTACGGTGTATGTTTTTGAGGAGGATGGCTAGGGAGTACAGGAGAGGACTCTGGAGGTGGAATTTGATAGGACTGGCAACCCAGGAAGTGACCAGAAAGCAAGTGACCTTTGTCATTTGGGTAAATTATTTTAGGTATGGCTAGGTCAAAAGGAATTCTCTTTATACCCCAAATCAGGATTATCTATAAAACCACTCTCATTGAAATAATGCAAAAAGAACGTCTTTAGATAAAACATTCTATAGCGAGAACCCAAAAAGAATCCCACCTACCTAAGTTTGCACAAACATGTGCATTAGTAAGTAAGGAAAGACATAGCCAGAACTATATGCAAAGAGTTAATTTTGCCTATCACGGGCCAAGTTTGGACACAGAGAGATTTTTGGTAATCAGCCTATAAGTCTTCTTATGAGAGGGTTCACAGGCTGAATTGACATGGTCTGACTCATTGTTGGGGGAGTGATGGCAGAGGACATAGGAGATATCAGTGCTCTACATGAATCCTGAGGAGCACAGAAGAAAAGGAAGGAAGTGATTTCCTTTAGCCATGTCTAGTCAAAATAAAAGGGAAATTTTCTCAATAGCAGGGGAAGTTCTATTACTCTAGTGATGCCTGTTCATTTACTTGTCCCTACATCAAACAGTTGTTAAAAACCTGCATTGTTCTTGATGCTGTAATAGATAGTCAGTGGAACAAAGAATAAAACACAGACACCCCTCCTTGGTGATGTTTTTGGTCTAGTTGCCTTTATGACATAAAGTAACCTATTTAATGAACTATGTATTTCAATCTATAGTAGGCAGAGCTTTTTACTGACTTTATAAACCCCTTATTAATAAAGCACCCACACACTCACACACACACATGCACACACACACACACACACACACACACAGAAAACTTCTGATATATTAAGGGAAAATTTACTGGGAGAGCAGGTCCTCAAATCAACAGTTTCACTTGAGATTCAGGGGCTCAAACATGATGGAACAGGTAATTACCAGTGCTTGAAATGGGTACTTAAGCAAAATTGCATAGAAGGAAGTATTTTCTCTGTTACATAATATAAATGAGACCTATTTATTTACCACTTCATCAAACTTTGTAGCCAGATGTACCTTACCTTGGAATAACTATGTTTTCAACTGTTGCATGACTTCCTTGCATTAGCACACACGTTTTGAGTTTAGGCCATGTTGTAATATTTATTGATTTCTTAGTTTGTGCAAAGAACCCGTCTTCATTCTTTATACGTATTAACTCATAGAAATCTAATAACATTATGTGTGTGTCTTTGCATATTCGTCCTGTATGATGAATCAAGAATAAATTATATTAAACTTACTATCAAATAATTTTCTTTGGGTTAGACTTGCCTTCTCTCAATTTGTTATAGTGTGTATGTACTTACAAAGCTTAGAAGCACCTAAATATCTGATGATAAAATTCTGGTTTTAAGAGTGAATTTTGCAATAGATAACTGTTTGAATCTTTAAAATATGAAAATTAGTGTTTTGATTAAGGGCACAAAATTAACACAGTATGGCAAAAGCATTCTACCTGAATCCAAGTAAAGCTGACACAGAACTAAAAATGACCTGAGAACTAAAAATGACTTGGAGGAACCATATGGGACATACGGTATTGTTGGAAAAGGCTTGAGTTTTTAAAAAGTAATTTTAAAGCCATTGTCATAGATAAACTATTGGTATTACTTCTTGTTAACAAACACATTTCATCTCTACAGCTAGTTACACATTCTGAGCATCTGCTAAAGCTCAAATTCTGCTCTAGCTTCCTGTAGTAGAGTTAAGGATTACTTGCTTTTATATGGTTCATTTACATCTGTGTTATGTGATAAAGGTGGTGATTTCTTGACGCAGCAATATAGATGAGTTTCCCCATTAAAAGCTCTATGGGCGGAAAGAGGGACCTTTATAAATCACTGTGTGGTCTTCTACATTGTGCTGTTTTGTGAGATATTTTCCTCCCCAGTTTGGATCGGAATAACAAGCACATAAGAAATTGCCAAGAGCATTCAGAAAGAAAGCAAAATCAACCAAAACAAACACAGTAAAGTCTAATATTATTTTAAGAAAAAAGTTCTGAAAAATGCTTGACCCAAATGAAATATTTTCAAGGGTATTGCCAAGAACATTCAAATGGGAATAGGTGTGTGTGTGTGTGTGTGTGTGTGCATGTGTGCATGTGAATATATATAATATATATTTTAGAGCAGGAAATAATAGATATTAAAGTTATAATAATACTAGTAATAGTAGAATAAATCATATTTATTGAGTACTTACTCTGTGCTTGAAACTCTGCTAATTACTTTCCCTTGATTTACCCCACAATCACCCCATGCAGTTAATATTACATCACAGTTAGTATTATATTGCAGATGAGGCAATGTATGACTGCCTTCTACATATTTACTAGAACGTATTGTAAATGCACCATGATACTTTTTTTGGAAGTCACTTCTCATTTAGGTAAAAATTATTTGCCAAGACATAATCTCCCTCCCCACTTTTAATGGCCATACCTTTAATCACGGCCAGAGAAAGTGGCTTCATATATATTTCTTAAATTAAAAAAATACTATACTACCAGAATTTGCATTAACTCTTTCCTACCATCTGTTTCCTTTGATGATTACCAACAGGAGACATCAATTGAGCAGTGACTGCATATAAAGTACAGATTCAGGAAGGGTTAAAAATGAAGAGAGAAACTGCTCTTCCACCACTTACACTTATACACTAATACATACATAACAGACACACACACACACACACACACACGTGTACGTGCACATTTTATTTCAACCTTATGATACTAGGTTCAATATCTTCCAGAGAATACCATTGGCCCTAAGAGAGTTCAGCTTTAATAGATATTGAGGTTAATTTATGACAAGGGGAGAGATTTTATCAATAGAATATTCTGGTTCATTGTCAACAGTGTTGTAAATGCTTTAGTACTATAGAATCAGATCTATATCCATATGGTGACATTTATTCACTTCACATTTTCTCAAAGTGACTAAAATGGATGACTCCCTTAAACATGGAACTTGTTATTTTATAAATCATTTGGACAATGATTTGTGAGAAGGTCTAACTGGGGCATAGAATGGGAAAACAGATACGAAAATCACATTATCACAGGGATGCCATTGTGGAGGTCATCTTACACCTATAGTAATCTCTTGTTGAAAAAGGAAGGAAGATGTTTCACTGACCTGAGTATCAGGGAAACTGTGTTTCTCCTGGATTCTTAAATGTTTATGTTCATTGTGCTTACCTTTTTATTTGACTGCCAGAACTCTTAGTTTAATTTTTGATTCACCATCAGCAATTTTAAAGGACTATTAATGTGTTTTTCACCATGTTGATCTTTGTTTTTCTCTTTGTTTTCTGTTTACTTAATTCCTAAATTTTTATTTTATACTTTATATTTGTTTATATGTATGTATACTATTTACATGTGTGTTCGTGTGTACATGTGTATGTGTGTGTCTTAGCCACAAGTTCCGTATAGAATGAATAGAATAAGACAGGATATTAACACTTAAAAAGATAAAATCAACCAGCCTTCTGACACGATGTCTACCACAATATATACTATTTTATTATATATTATTATTATTCTACTACCGTCCATACAGAGAGATGTGTACCAAATTTTTTCCCTCTAAATAATAAAATGAAATTAGAGAAAATGTGAGCAATGACACATCCTCATATCCTTTATAATTAGGATCTTACGGAGAGACCATGGACCATCAAGCCAAAAAGCCAAAAAGCTGTGGATCCCAGTTTCATATTATTGCACCATGCACATTCATATTGTAAACACACCATGATACATTTTTGGAAGTCACGTCTCATTTAGGTAAAAATTATTTACCAATACATAATCTCCCTCCCCACTTTTATTTCTTTATTTTTATTTTTTTATTTTTATTTTTTTTGAAGTTTGTAATAGATATGCATGGCTAAAATTTATTGTTACATTAATCAATATATTTTATAAATTGGGAGAAAATATTAAAAGTTCCTCCCCACTTTTGATGGCCATATATTTAATCACAGCCAGAGAAAATGGCTTCATATACATATTTCTTAAATTTTAAAAAATACTTATATTTCCAGAATTTGCATTAACTTGTGTCAACTTGCACAAACTGCCCAAACTCCAAGAGCTTTCTCATATCCAAAGTGGAGATAATAATTTTTATTTGCCAGGTGTTTCTAAAGATTAAATGAGATTAAATATATTTGACACATAGTACAGGCTCAATAAATGCTTGTTTTTTGCTTAGTCTTCCTCATGGAAATCTCCATTCACAAGATTTTCACTAAACACACACTAGACATTCTGAAAATGATTAATAAATAAATTTTGAGAAATAATTTATATAAGCCTATTTTCCTTTATTGAAATACATTGCACGGGGAAAATTCACTATAACTTTACATCCAAAAAGGTTAAATGCTTAATGAACTCTTTAAATGATGGTGCCCAATGCTTGTAAAGATGCACATGTGTGTGTGTTTCTGTATGTTGAGGAGTGATCATTCTCACACAATGCTAACATAAACATACATTAATTTGGCACAGATTATCTGAAGTATTATTTGGACCTCTGTATTATTATTTTTATTCCAGAAATTCGATTTCTAAGAATTCTGACTAAAAACAATTAAAGAATATTCATTTACAAAGATGCTCATTGCAATACCATTTTTAAGTTTATATTAGTCTGTTTTCATGCTGCTGATAGAGACATACCTGAGACTGGACAATTTACAAAAGAAAGAGGTTCAATGGACTTACAGTTCCACATGGCTGGGGAGGCCTCACAATTATGGTGGAAGGCAAGGAGGAGCAAGTCACATCTTACATGGATGGCAGCAGGCAAAGAGAGAGCACTTATACAGGGAAACTCCCCCTTATAAAACCATCTGATCTCGTGAGCCTTATTCACTATCACAAGAACAGCATGGGAAAGCCCTGCCCCCATGATTCAATTACTTCCCACTGGATCCCTCCCACAACACATGGGAATTCAAGAAGAGATTTGGGTGGGGACACAGCCAAACCATATCAAAGTTTTATTTTCTTTTTAATTTACAAATAATAATTATGTATATTTTGAGGACAATGTGATGTTTGGCTATTTATCATAAAAAATTGGGTTAGAAATCTAGATGCTCAACAGTAGATGATTGGGTAAAGTGGATTTAAATGACTATTAAATGAGGTGGCGAAGTATATTTCTTGACATGAACAGATGCACATAGTATATGCTGAGATTTAAAAAAAAAAAGATCTTGAAACGCCATTTATAGAGTCACCATAGTTTTAAAAAATAAATTCACACATCTGTGAAGAAAAATACCTGGGAGAGTTTATTTAAAAGATGTTAAGAATAGGTATGGTTGTCTCTGTTATGTGGTGGTGATTTGTACTCATTTAGCATACCAAGATTTTCTCATTTTTCAGTGATGAACTGATGCTACTGATATAATATGAATGAAAAGACCGCTGCCTAAAGTCCTACCTATTTTCATGTTCCTTCTGGTTTTTGCTTCACGGGTGGTGCATTCCCAGGCAAATGGTTCAGAAAAGAACTAAGCATAGTGCATGGCGTGTTACATAATCCCAGCTTTGTTTTTTAATAGATGTACTTGAGTGACCTTAAAAGCCTAAAAATGCAATAGTTAAGAGGGAGTTGTGTAGGGAGGGTGACTTGTGATGTTATCAGCAGTATTTAGATTCTATCTTTATTCAATTTCAAGACATGCTGCTATTGGACAAGACTGTCTATTCTATTTATTTGTTAAAATACAAATCAGTTCTCAAACAAGTCACTTAGAACAAGTTTTGAACCAGTTTGCCTTCACTTTTGATTACCTGGTAGTGTTAGAGGCAACTTGATGCAAATCTGTAACTTTATTTTTTTAGTCATTAGAGTAGTGTTATCTATACATGTCTTCCTACATGTCTAGAAGTACACACTAAGTAGCAAGTAGTACATTTTCTACTTGCAAATAGTATCACATATTTTGTTCAGCAATCTAAACAACCCGCTAATGCGCTGAGATGTAATGCAAACCCTAAGTATTCATAAATGCCGACTTGAAATCAGCATGGGAATGTCAGGTTTCTCAGACAAATTTCACCTGCCTAACTTTGTTTCTGGCTCTTCAACTCACAGTAGTATTTATTTCCCTGTCCTTTAAATACATACACATATACATATACCTACTCCAGTGTTAAAGGGGTCTGTAAAATACCTTAGTATGCTCTTATTGAGAAGGCAAAGAACAAACAATGGGAGATCTGTCTAAGAGGTGGAAATGTCTAGGGTGTACTTCCTCAAAACATTGCCTGGGCTTGTAAAATGAAGTGGTTTGGAAATGGGTTCCACCCTCTTCTACTGACCTTTGGCTTCTATATGTCTTCCTCTCTGGCCACTTTCTCAAAATATTCCTTCAGAAGCCTTTTACTCAACCTAAAAATAGCTCCCAGATGCTACCTTACTTTGCAGTCTCTTTCCCGCTTACTGAGATTGTATGATTAGGAAAGATAGCAGGAAGAGTGTAAGGACAAGACCTTTTTGGTTCAAAATAAGTTCATTCCTTAGCAGAGCCTTTCGTGATCTCCATGTGAATAGCTCAAAAATGTAGACAACTGTTTCCTGTAAGTTTACTTATAAATAATGTTTGAAAATTTTAGCAACTTCTTTGGTTTAAAATCTAAAATTAGATGAGAGTATTTGTCTAATTTTAGATGGAGTTGTCTTACATATTAAACTATTAAGTGACTTAAACTCTGTACATCAAGTCATCTGCTAAACTTTTCATTGAATTCTCTGCTTACATTTCCAGCAAATGTATCCTGTTTTCCTACATTTTATGTTTAATAACTATCACTGAATGTCCTGGCAATGTGGTGAATAAGTGGTTTAATCCTGGCCTTCCATTCTAGGAATGAAAGTCAAGTAAATACAACAGCCTTTGCATCATGTATCTTGTTGAACCAACTTATGTTTTGAATTGGGCACAATGTTTCAAAGGGAGACTTTATTAACAAAAAAATAGATATTTATAGTAATTCCTGCCCTCTACTCATGAGTCATGTGGGTAATGCTTGTGATTTTGTTTTCGTTGTTAAATATTCCTTACCTGTGGTAAATCTCATGATAAAAATATTTGCAATAGAAGAGGCAGTGAGGCTGGATTAAATCACAATCAAGGCTTTTATCTCCAAGAAAGAATCTGGTAGAAGAACCTCCCTCCTCATTAGTCTCTTTTGTCAGTATTTTCAAGCATGGCAACAGCCTCAGAAAGACCCAAAATACACAACTTGGGGATTGGAATGAAGCCACAAAAAGCATGTTTTTATAAGGACAAGAAGTCAGAAAGTTGATCTTCATTGGTTTCCTGCCTACCATGTGAAATGTACCTCGGAGATCTGGTATATGTATCAGCACATCAGCAGATGAGAGAGCAACATGATTGTATTAATAACAAAGTTTATTGTGTATTTCTTTCAAATGAACAAAAATTTTGAAAAAACTTATTACAGGCTCAAAAATGTCCTTTGTGTTGTTATGTTTAAGTCAACCAAACATGATTTGGTCAACGTTAAAACAGAAAGCTGGGTAACTGTTGAAGTCACAAATAGTTTTCTGCGAACTTGGACATCTTGAGCAAAGCTGAGATGTTTGCATAATCTTTTCTGTAGCAACAACATTCCACATGCATATTTCTCTTTAAAAAGAAACTCCAAGCTCAGTGGTATTCTGGGTTCAAGGCCTGAGTAAAAAGCATCTCAAGTCAAAAGTCCTGTTCTAAAAATTGAGATGTAGAGAAGGTCATAAGCGTTTTGACTTATCTTTTAAATCATTCATGGATGATTAAAAGTCACATTGACTCAAAGTACAAATTTACTTAAGTATCTGAACTCAAACTAGCTCAATTTCTTCTTCAAAATCCTCTAAAATGTTTTAAGTTTCCACAAACAAGATAAATCCTTATACATAATACTGAGCAAAGGGGAAGGTGAAACGTACAACAAAACCTGCTTTCATAAATTGTTCTTAAGGTCTGGAAATAAAAATGTTAAATGTGACCTTTTACTTTAGTGGCATTTTTCTAAAATACAAGTCTCAAAGTGTATATGATGTAAAATGTATTATTTTAAAATAGAAATATAAAACCTAGAGAACCAAATGTATAAAATGAAATGTAAATCTCGAATTATACCTATCTTGAGCATCTTACTTTCCTAGGTACTTGATCATGCTAAAGAATGAAATGGGATCTGCTAAGGAATGAACTTATTTTGAACCAAAAAGTTCCTGTCCTTACACTCTTCCTGCTATCTTTCCTAATACTTCATTAATAAAGCAGTATTTTTATGATAAAATGACTTTTCTTTCTGCTTTGAGCCAATAGAAGATGTGTCAAAAATTGTAACTTGTAACACAGTAGAGTTGTGTCATATGCTCTTAATTTTATGAATTTAACTATGTGGCTGATATCATAACTCTACTAGTATGAAGAATAAAAATTCTACACAATATTTATGACATATTTTTCTTTATGATAGACTATATTTATTAGGTGATTACACATTGATACATGTCACTACATAGAGGTATATATGCAAATCTAAAACTCCTGTGTAAGATGCTCCCAATAATCTAATGTAGAGATGGCAGAGCAAAATAATTAGCACATATGAATGTCTTCCTGTCATTTGGAAATAATAATAACCAGTTTAATAATGATTATAACAGTAATAGCCAACAAAAGTATCCTAAGGAATGAGATAGTCAACCAACTAACCAAGCTGTCATATTGAATGAAAATTAAACATCAGTGGAATAAATTATAATAAAGATTATCAGTTAACTTAGCTTTCCACATGAGGCTTCTTTGTGGTCGCTGAGGTGAAAATTGAACCTAAACACTCCAAATTAGTGCCATTAGCAGAAATGTACAATAATAGATAAAGCTTTGCCAATCCCAACTTTTCTTTTCTGAAGGGAAGTTACAAGCACACGTGTCAGCTCTACCACTAGCCTGAAACCAGGCAGCTGAATTTTTTATATCTCATAGTCTTTGTCAACTCAAATTATTAATATTTGGATAAGGCTCTTTACCAGAAACGAGTAGTTAGTTTCACTTTTTGAAGTTTAAACCACTCACTATGCCTCCCAAGAAGTTTCTGATTTGGGAAATTATTCACACTCACCCCACACATACCCACTACACACACACACACACACACACACACACACACACACACACACCAAGAGGGGAAAAAAATACCTATGAAAGCATTTTCTTGGACATTGGCACTGCAGATAGAAGTGAGTTAGTAAGCAAACTGTTCCAGTTCCTCCTCCTATAAAAGCTATTCTTTAAAAAAATATTATGATCATATTGAGTGTGAAAAAAATAAAATAAAAGGCCATCTGATTTCTGTTCAGTTTCAAGTTTCTGAAACTGATGGCCAAGTTGGGATTACAACAATTATTGTCCATGTGTAGCTGAAATTCCAGTATGTACTGATAAACAAGATTTGACTGATGTTGCAGACATTAATTACAGTGATCTGCTAACTGGCCTTCTGGACTTAATTGGGCATTTTATGATCACATTCTAACATGCAAGACTTATACAAGAGTAAACAATGAGTTTATTTATCTTTCAGATTCCAATAGTTGCTATTTCTCTATTGCAATGTGTTGGAAAACCTGCTAATAGAAAATCTGCCTTGTAAATTCAGCTTGTGATATTAATAAATCTGTTTCTCAAAAGTTCTTAGGATTGTCCATGTCAAAAGACAGTCTGAATTATTTGACATAATTATGGGTTAGACATGCTTCTAGTCAAAAGAGTAGAAGTATACTAAAGTATAAAATATTTTCTAAACTAAAACAAAGAAAAAATAATTTAAAATATTTTCAGCAAGATTTAGTAACTATGTCTAGTAGATAATTATTGGTGAGTGTGAATGACATTACCTCTAAGGAATGTGAATATATATATTTTTAGATTCTAAATGCATCAGAATGTTATACTATGTTTGATGCAACAATATAACATTCTGTTATAAATAGAAAGGTGAACTCTAAATATCAGCTTCTTCCTCTCCACTAAATAAATATTAAACACATTGAACATGAGCCCAGGAGGTCTAACATTAATTGAACCATTCCTTTGTGCTAAGTATCCTGTCAACTGCATGCATGTATTATCTCATTTAATCATTTCAATAACCCTATCAAATAAATTCTATTATTCCTCCTTTACATATGACATACGACAAAACTAGGGCCCCAAAAGTTTAAGTAACTGACAGAAAATCACATAGCAAGTGTCACAGCCCAAATTCAAACCTAGAAGAGTCAAACTTCAAAGTCAATGCTTGTGACGCCATCTTAAGACAACCTGAGCATCGTCCCGCAACTTTCTATTTCTTGTGATGCTCAGTGCATTAGAAGGGCTGACAGGTATAACTCTGTATCCTTTTGTCCTCTCCCTCAACTCCTACTCTCTTACTCAATATCCCATTCAGTAACTTTTGGCTTCATTTTATATTTAAGGAGTAAACTTGTCCAAGAGCTCCGCAACTCCATGGAGCTTTTAAAACACTTTAACCAGGTGAAAAATTTTCAGTCAATAAAACAAATGAAAAGTAGATTATGGCCAGGCACAGTGGCTCACGCTTGTAATCCTAGTACTTTGGGAGACCCAGGCGGGCAGATTACTTGAGGTCAGGAGTTTGAGAACAGCCTGGCCAACATGGTGAAACCCTGTGTCTACTAAGTCAGCCGGAAATCCCTTGAACCTGGGAGGCGGAGGTTGCAGTGAGCCAAGATCGTGCCACTGCACTCCAGCCTGGGCAAGTGAGTGAGACTCCTTATCAAACAACAACAACAACAACAACAACAACAACAACAACAACAAAACAAGTAGATTAGAATTCAACTCATATTATGTGGGAACGAGGAATGCATAATACCCTATATGCCCTACTAGCAATGTTTACAACAGTTTTCGTGGTCAGACCTCAAAGATGACCATTTTCACTTTATATTCGCCAATATAAGCTTTAGACTTCTTCGGTACATGGTCCAACATGTTTGCATAAAATAAGTTATTTTTTGTATATAGTCTTAGACTTTTAAAAATATGCTTCATTGCCTTTCTAGAATGTCATTGAAGTAGAGGGAAAGTGGTAGGATCCAAAGACGCATCAAGTGAACAGCACAGGGTGTTGAATGAAAATTTAAATTGACTCAAAAACTCATTTTCAATGTTCTGCCCTTTTCTTTAGAAAGAAATGAAAAGAGAACAAAGGGTTGTTTGTTGACTAAGTGCCAAAAACTTCTGTCACAAATTTCATGAACTCCAAATGATTGTTGGCAGACTTGACCTGCCTATGAAAACACGCTGAAAGCATCATCACCATTTCACTACTTGTTTTTAGACACCCATGTCTCTGGGTTATGCTTCCATTCCAGGGACAAGGACACGTCTGAGCATTTCACAGTACGAATCTGGTGAAATACTCCAGGGGTCCTAAAAGTAGAATTGCTCAACATTTCCCAGATGTGGGGATGTATAAAGTATTTACTTCTAATTCTGCATTTATAAGCACATTCTGTTTTGTAGCATGTATATATTCCCAATCCTTTTGGGGGAGAGGGGACTGTTAAGGAGTAGGGATCAGCTACAGGTGGGATCAGAGATGAGAAGTTTAAGCAGAAGCTGTATGTATAGACCATGTCTTTGGGAGAATTAAAAAAGAAAAGGCAACTGGCTGCCTATTTTGATGTAGTAAATAAAACTAAAAATGAAATTAGATAAATCTTTCATAAAATAGATTGAACCTGTGCATTTATAACTCAAACATCTGTGCACGTATAGATGAGTGCTGCTTTGCTATTGCATGAATGAACAACTCCAGATCTTGGTGTAACTCTGCCACTGCTTTTGACTCTGATCTGTGTAAATCCCTGCTGCAAAATGAAAAGTTTTCTACAGAAATATTTCTGCAACAAACACACACAAATATGCAGAGAACATGATGTGCTAGTCAAATTGCTGCCTGCTTGACACACATGGGGATAAGAAGGAAAAAGAGCATTTAATTCAATTACAGGCAATTTTTATGATCAAATAAGCCAATTCCAGTTATCTCTCATTTAGATATGATTTTCAGTTAAATCCTAACAGACATAATGCTTCACAAGAAGATACTGTCTGGATAGAGTCCAACGCAGAAAATTTGTGTTAATGCTCTTTAATTAAACTAAGCAATTTATCTTCGACCTTTTGTTAGATTTGGGGAGTAATCAAAAATTATGAAGTTCCTTTGCTAACTCCATATATTGCCTCTGGTTGCCTGACTCTCCAAGGGTACTTGAACCTCATAGCCACATTGCAGTGTGACAGATACACAAAGCTAAACGAAAAATATGAAACATCTTTATGGAAAGATAATTTTATCTAAATATGTGTAACTAAAAACCTGATTTTATATTTGAAAACTGATTATCATATTTGTCACTATCTTATTTATTTTTATAAATTTTGAGCTGGGCTAGATCATTTCAGGCTTGACCTACAGACCCTTGGGATTTCATGGTTTTCTCTACTTAGGAGCATTTCACTTTTGAAATTTGGGAAACTCTGGTAATTAATTACACTAGGACCAACATAAGTTAAGTTTTAGTAAAAGGTACTTATGCTATTAAAAACCTGAAGCTGTAGGCCACTTATCTGTATTCACAATAGATACCTAAAGCAACTCAGTATTTCTTTATACCTCTTAATTCTTACTATTAATCAGCTTAAGATTCGGTCCTATCACATTTTAATTTGTCCAAGTCAGGATACTTTTTACAACCAAAGTGGTAAGAAATGATAGCATCATAGTTTAATTGGCAGTATTTTCATTTTGTCACCTAAAATAATAATGACACAACCACTGGTGTCCTAGAATGTCCTAGAATCAATAAATACATTAAAAATCATTTAACAACTTCACTGTATTATGGATTTAATATTACCAAGCCTGTCATTTAAAACCCATCACTTTTAACCTATATTCAGATAGGATACATGCTGTGGCCAAAGTACACCATTAACAAATTCTGGATGCTAATTACATTTTGCTTGAATAGTTCTATTTTAATAAATGAATGAATGAATGAATAACTATGTAAATAAATGCATATTGATGGTATGGGGCGATCTCTCTACACACTGAAATATACACAATGTTAGATAGCATTGTTTTCAAAACATGCCAATAAATGTATTATTATCATTATTTCTTATTGAAGAATACAGCAAAGAAGTCCAGGAAGTGTCAGTTTAGTAAACAAACCACTAGTTAAGAACATTTATGTGGTCAAAGCTTTATTCATTGCTATTATAATGAGCACATGAGTGCTTTGCCTTGGACTATATAAACCTTCTGGAAGACAGAAGGTCAGGCTATGTCTAGTTTCATTTTCTCGGAAGTTAGAAACAGTAAAGTTCATTTTCTTGGAAGTTAGAACAATCAAGTTCAATTAAACCCTATTGTTTAATTGAAAAATAAGTGCATGCTTTTAGAAGGTAATGATGAAAATGACACTGGCAATGAAAATATGAAGAGGGAGAGAAAACAAGGACCAAAGCTGAAGGCTAAAACTGAAATTGGTTCTGGGAGGACTTCTCACTGCCATCTCTTAAGCAGTACAGATTGTGTCTGGGTAGCACGAACATAATTCAAGCCTCTTGTGAAGGAGTCAATATGAACTAGACAATTTGGTTCAGCCATGCAAAAAAAAAAAAATAGGATCACAATGTAAAAACCACAGATTCAAAAAGGGAGTTTTTAGAGCAAACAAGCAGAGAGGACATTTAAAATCCAGGGGTTGAATGCATAAGACCTTTACAAGTGAGGTTGCTGGCACACATACTTCATGTCACAGGTGATCATCAGGATTCCATTGCTGGGGCTCCAAGGATAAAAGAACAAAATGTGACTAGATTTGGAAGGTCTTTTGGTAGTAAGGGCTCATCAATCACAAACCAGCACCCATAAAAACAATTTCTTGAGGCTATTCAATTATACATGTATACAACCCTCACTACAAAGTAAAAACTTTTAAAAGAGATTTTACTTTTTACAATCTGTAAACTCACAGCAAGCAGAAAACAACCGACTAACCAACCAATCAACCCTTCCCAATCCAAAAACAAACAAACAAAAATATCAAAACTGTTATAAAGAGGGAGGAAAGCATAAATTGAGTGCCAAAAGTTAACCTGTTTCCCCTCTCAGTCCCTTAGACTTATAAAAGAAAGTTGACATTTCTGTCCCTATAGTGAGGCAGCCTTCTAAGGTAGTCCTAATTGTCTGGGATCCTAAAATTCACATACTGTGTAATCCCCTCCCCCGGTGCATGGACAAGATTGAGTGACTTACTCTAATCAATAAACTGGTAAAGTTGATGGGATGTCACTTATATGACATGGTTTCAAAAGGTATTTCTTTCATCTTTCTGGTAGACTCTTCACTGCCTTTTCAGCATGCATGCTTTGATGAAGTAAGCTGAATGTTGGAGAGGCCCATATGGCAACAAACTGTGGTCCTCAGCTCAACTGCCCACAAGAAGCTGAATCCGAGTGAGCTTGGAAGCAATCATTTCCCCACTCAAACATTCAGAGGAGGCCTCCACCCCTAACTAACACCTTGATTATGGCCTCTGAGAGACTCTAGAGCAAAGGACCCACGTAAGTTGTGCCCAAATTCCTGAACCACAGAAATTGTCAGATAATAAATGTGTGTTGTTATAAGCTACTAAATTCTGGACAATTTATTATGTAGTATAGAAAACTAATGCAGCCCCCAAATGTCCTCCTGAGAGTTAGAATATATTCCAGTTCATCTAGGATCAACAAGCATTCTATTAACAACATCTTTCCAACAGTAACACAACAGTCTGTGAGTAAACGTAGAGCAGTGACTTTGTCATTGTGCCATTATCTTTTATTTTTAATAGAAACCTATGGCTGCAGAGTAAATTCCCTTAATCTTTTTTGAATAAACCAATATTTAAAGATAATGTGATTATATATATAATCAATTCCCATGTACAGCTGCTGACAAATTTAGGGTACTCATATATAACCTTTTAAAAAGTAAAAGTTCCCTAGAATAAATTAAAGAATTGCCTTAAAAGCTACATAAGGATTTCTCTAGGTAACTTTCGTAGACATGTAGAATACATTACAAGGATCAAGAAACTCCAGATCTCAAATTAAATAAAACATATATTGAATGCACTATAAAATCCAGACTGTTTAAAGATGAAGATAAAGTTAGAATAATTATAATTTTTGAAATATAGGGAGACATTTTTGAAAGATTCTGGGACTTAACATTTGCTTCAGTTTAGATCTGGCAATAATTACATACGTGAGAGCCAATTTAGTGTGGTGAGTAAGAACATAAATTCTGAAACCAGCCAACCTCAGTTATTTTTCTTGCTTTGCCACCTGCAGCTTTGAGACATTGGATAATCTCTTCATGCTTGTTTCCTCATCTCCAAAATGAAGATGATAAGAGCATCCACTTCACATGAGGATTAGAGGAGATAATACACATATAGTATTTGAAATGGTTTCTGGCATATGGTCAAGGGTTAAAAACTACAAAAGTGATCCTATGAATATGACTTGCCTCTATGCATCATGGTTTTTCCAACTACAAAATAAGAGCTTGAATAAGACAAATTTTGAATGTAATTTTCAGTCTTCAAATCTTGACTATTTTTGTTTACACTCGCTGAAAATACTTGAAATCAGTAGAAAAAAAGTGTATTCATTCATTTATTCATTCATTCAATACACATTTATCTTGTCCCTACTATATTCTAGGTGGTGTACTAGATGCTGATAATACTATGATCAAAGCCTATCCCTGACTTCTAGGAGCGGATCTAGAAAAATAGCATAAGGTAATTGTCAAGAGCTCAGCCTCTAGAATCACGCTCTCTGAATTTTAGGGTTTTATGACGTTGGACAATTTCCTTAATTCTCAGTGCCCCAACTTCCTCTCCTTTGAAATGGGAATGATAGTTACAATCCCGTAAATTTATTGTAAGGATCAACTGAGTGAATACAAGTGAAGCTCATACATGGAACTTGGAGTACCATAAGTATTCGATAAATTCTACTATTGTCAGGAGAAGAGTCAGACAGGAAATCAAGCACAGTGTGGTAAGTGTGTTGATGGTGGGGTGGCGGTGGAGGACTGTGCAGTGCACAGGGAACTAGAGCAGGAAAACAAAGAGGATGCCCAACACATGGGGGGATCAAGAAGGTTTTCCAGAGGAGCCGATATTTGGTCTCCTATAAAATAATTAAGAGAAGTGGCTGAAAAAGGTAGTTATAATATAGTTAAATATTTCAGTGTGTCAGAGTAAGAGCAATAGCTGTTAGTCATTCCTCTTTGTGGGAGAAGTGGGATTTGAGTTGGAATGGAAAGATTCAGACAGGCTCAGTGGGGTTAACTATGTATAAATATACAGAAGTAAGAATTCAGAATGCTCTAAGAAGCATCAAATATATTCAGAATTAATGTCAGAACTTTATGGACTAAATTACTAATTGTTAAGAAAATATCCATTAAAAAACAAATGCATTGTTAAAGAAAAGTCCACAAACTGGCAAACTGCTGCATATATTAGTAAGAAATGTTAGGGATGCTTTTTGGCTCTTCCAGGTCTGGAAATGTTGTTACCTTGTCATAATAAGAACTAATCACAGTGAATTTTTCATTAACAAATATAAAACCAATTGAATTGGACTAATTTAAAAAGCATATATCTTTAAATTGCATATTATATTTTCATGCACTTTGATTGATGCCGTATTTCACAATAAAACATTTTTAAATGAAAAATACTTCAATGTTAAATATTAAAGTACAACTGAATTCATGAAAAGTCACCAAAGATCTACTCTGCTCAATACACACTGAATGACAAGTCTAAGCTTATACTCTGTCTTTAAACATACATCTTCGTTTTCAAGTAAATGCAAAATAGTACTAAATAGCATCCCTCAAGATTATAGCCATATGCTAGGAAGAATAATCCAGATAACCATATTATTCTCTTGAGAGACTTGATTCTAAATAGAATCCTAACAGGTAGCATTTCAAATACAATTTTGGGCAAGAGACCACTGTGGTTCTTCTGCCATCACACCACTTACCTAACTCTTCCCACAGAGTAACTATCTTCAAATAGGAAGCTGCCAAGTGAACATTAATTTAACATATTGCTAGGAGGTGCAGTTCTAGGAACAAGTTCCAGGAAGGACTTCTATCTGGGAGGGCTTTCTAATATTCTCCTCTGGTTAGCCGTTCCACTGTCCTTCCATGAAGAGCCATTCCTGGCATTGATGCATTTGAGCAGAATGCCCATCAGGGGCATTGTAATGTGGATTGTGAGAGGTTGGACTAAGAGGTTTTTTGTATGGCGGAAGAAGATGAAATAAAAGACTTAGAAATTTCCACTTAATGTTAGGATGCAATTCAATTACTTAAATATCCATTTACTGAGTACAAAATATAAATTAGGAATACAAGGTTTTCCTTGGAAGTCCTGTTTATCCTATTGTCTTGGTGAAATTATTAACAGAGCCCCCTTTCTATCTCAAAAATGCCCATAGTAGGCACTAGAGAATATGATTTTTTAATAAGGGCAGGCCTCAAGGAGTCTGTGATCCAGCTCCACAGAGATGGACAACCTGGATTCTATGGCTGGCAAGAATAATTTCTGGTTTTCCAACTAAAGTGGGGTTTTACCCTACTAAAAGCTAGTGTTATCTATTGCTCCTCAAATTCCAACCCTAAACTTCACAGGCCTGGCCTACTTCATACACTCTGTGTAGGTTAAAGTGAGAATATAATTAAGGAAAGGGAATTATTCGTAAAGCCAAGGAAAATCCAAGGATTTCAGCATCTGCATGAACATCGGTTGTTAAAAATTATAATTGAGGCTGGGCACAGTGGCTCACTCTTGCAATCCCAGCACTTTGGGAGAAAGAGGCCGGTGGATCACCTGAGGTCAGGAGTTTGAGATTAGCCTGGCCAATATGGTGAAACCCCGTCTCTACTAAAAATACAAAACCTAGCTCGGTGTGGTGGCAGTCGCCTATAATCCCAGTTACTTAGGAGGCTGAGATAAGAGAATTGCTTGAACCCAGGAGGCCGAGGTTGCAGTGAGCAGCAACTATGCCATTGCACTCCAGCCTGGGCAACAAGCTCCATCTCAAAAAAAAAAATTATAATCGAGAAATATACAAATTCAATCCCTTACTCTCCTGCTCCACCAGTACTACCTTAAGTTAGGACTTCCTTCCCTCTTGCTTGGGCTATAAGTACAATGATGAAATGCTAATCTTCATTCATGTCATATTCAACATCTTGCTTGGCTGAAGATTTAGAACACAGGTTTGTCAAGTGTGCAGATAAGCAAAGTTGTGATTAAAATTTTAAAATAACTAAAAGAGTGGTTTAGAATGTTCCAAACACAAGGAAATGATAAGGTGATAGATACCCCAATTACCTTTATCGATCATTACATATTAAATCCCTCTATCAAAAGATCACATGACCTCATAAATAGTTGTACATAGTGGTACAACTATTAAGTACCTATAATGATTTAACATTTTATTTATTCATATATATATATATATAAACTGTTGGAAAAGAGGCTCAAGATTCTTACAGTTCTCAATGGGCTTGAACAATGAGCCCACCAAAACGTACAATTTAATATAGATAAATTGAAAGATCTACCTTTAGCTTAAAATAAAACAAAACAAAAGAGTATGGATAAGAAAGAACAGGTATAAAAGTCGTTCACCTGAAGAAACCTGGGGACTTAATTGGGATTTTATGATCCAGTGGTATGATAAAGCTACTAAGAATAAAGTCTAGGTTGAAATAAAAGAAGTAGAATGTCCTTGGGACAAAACAGACCTGGTTTTCTGCATTGTTAGGAACACGTGATCTGTGTTCAGTCCTGAAGATACTGAGCTTAGCTCTACGGTTTAAGGTAAAATTGACCACACAATGGCAATTAAGAACAGATAAAAAAGAAAAGAATGCATAGCTGGGCAAAAAGGAAATGTTAAGGAGGTAAAATAGTCATCCTAAAGTGCTACAACAACAATAATGATATAATAGCAAGCCATTGATAAATCAGTACTTTCTATGTGCTCAAGTGTGCTAGTACTTTAAACAGGTCTGCTTTGACTCTTGCCTAAAGCCTAGATGTTAGACAGCATTAAATCCCTTTTATCAGATGAGAAATCTGATGCTCGGAAAGAGCAAGTTACCTAAAGCTACTTTTATACCACATGTTTGAAGGCATTTGTGTAGAGGAGAGAAAGACCTATTCTTTCCAGAGGGAAATGAATGGAATCTACAACTTGATACAGAAGATAATTTCCTAGAATTATAACTGCAATAGAGTGGAGTTGTCTGCCTCACCTAATAATCAGTTCTCCTTTGTTGTGCATGATCAAGCCAAGGTGAACTGTTACGAACAGAATCTACAGAAATAAAGTATTCTGTGCTCATTGGGAGGTGGGGCTAAGTAAACTTTAGGTTTCCATTCAACATTTGGGGTTATGATTCTGACACTGAGAAATGGGGTACTTTCGTTGCCTTGCATTATACACTATTTAGGTCAAGTAAAAATCAATCAAATAATAAATACATTAAATTAAATTAAAAAGTCAGATCAAACCAGTTGTTAGGCTGAACAGACAGGTCTCTTCAATCAAAATAGTCATTCAAATTATCCTTTGTAGTCATATCCTTTAATCTACTTCTGTGATTGGTTACATTTCATTTGGATTTCTTATTTTTTAAGGCAATTTTATATCATCTACATATAATATTAATAGCCAGATTAATAACAGAGCTTTTAACCACAAGGTTATAGAGTATAGTTACTTAAAAATCTGAATGGGCATCTATTATTTCTGAAAATATATTCATACCACAACTGAAAGAAAATTTTATACAAAGTATGGCAATAGAAAATAAGATCCCTCTTGAACATGCATCTCTCTGGAATATAAATTCCTCAAATATTACAGGAGGCCTGTTGTAAGTGGAGGGAATCCTCCTGATTGAGATCAAATCACATAGAGTTCACAAGAGAAAGTTACCTGTCCAATTGGTATATTTGAGCTATGTGTACACAACCAGTTTTCCTCCCCTGTTCTTGTTAATTGTTTGAGAATCAAATCCAATGGTAAAAAAGAGAATAGTAACTATAGTTGCATGCTTGAAGCAAGAATAGTGAAATTGGGAGAACCTAGACAAAGTACTTATTAGTTGGTGAGGAAAAACCATAAAACTACAGGGTTTTCTTTATATAGACACAAAGACAGATATAGGCTATAGCAATACAAATTTAACTCATTCATTTAGTACTTTTTCTTTGTTTGCAAATATTTATAGTGTCTACCATGTGTCATAGGTGCTAGTGGCAGGCATGAATGACTTCCAAGGACCAGTCTCTAGTATCTAGGGTTCACATTTAAGGGAATGCAAAGTACATTTTTAGTACCTGAAGAGTTTATATCTTGACCAAATCCAATCTTTTATTTTGTATTCTCATTGTCCTGTGTATCTCTTCTCTGCTGTGTTAACATAAAATGATTTGTGTGACCACTTGATTGATATTCAGTTCCTCACTGGAGTATACATCCATTAGGGTAGAAATGATGTTTGTTTGTGCTCACCTTTGTCTCTAGTGCTTTACCACAATGCTTGGGGGGTACACATGATACCACTCAATAAATATTCAGTGAATGAATAAATTAATAAATGCAACCTTGGAGAACAAATTGTTATGAACCACAGCCTTTATAAGCCATATGCACCAGCTCTATGACAGGCTTTGTTATATACAAAGAAAGCATTTGCAGAAAAGTCCATGCCAAAACCATTCTCACACTGTTGGAGAAAAATATCATTAATTATGTCATCTTTGAAAAGAAAGAATAGCAATAAACCCAGACTACACATCCGCCTTAAATTGGCCAAAATCTCAAATGTTTTTCCATCCCTACTTTATGCAATTTTATCACTGCAATACATGCTTTTTTTGTAAAGTTAAGCTAGATTTCTGGCTTTTAAAATTGTACTTCATAAGCTCCTAACACACAACAGGTTTGTCATGAGTTACCAAGCAATAAGAATTGACATCAGACAATATGGATAACACCATCATACCACATCTTAAAAATACCTTTTCACAAGGCATACAAAAAGATAACGTGATGCAGATTTTGCAGGCTTGCTTGAGTGTTGCCTTTAACCACTCTATGTAGGTTTAAAATGAGTAGACAATATTCCACAATTGATCTGTGTACAATCTGTAAAATGTTCCTTATAACTGTTATAGAATAGAGGCATCAAAACCATATCCATATTCACAAAACAAAATGCTTTACAGATCTGATGTAATATTTTTAAAGTTTGAGAATATTTTGTTTTACAATAAATATTCAATAAAATGATATAGTTCTGATTTCTTGTTATAGTACAATATGTAGCCCTTTTAATGATTGACAAAGGAAATTAATATGTTTTTGAAAGAAAAATTCTATATATCCTAAGCTTTCTTACTCAATTTTGAAGACTTTAGTTTCAAGGGCTTGAAACAAAGACATTTATAGAGGTTGTAATTATTATGTTAAGTATGTGCTGTTGGCAAACTTACTAATTTTTTATTTGCATTACTGCAGGAGGATAATAGAATACATCAGATTATAGCTAATGCATCCTCAGTGACCTGGCAAATTCATTTTTCTATGTTCACAAAGGTCTGGTTTTTACAAGCATAAACTTTCTTTGTAGATTCTAGATATTAGCCCTTTGTCAGATGGATAGATTGCAAAACTTTTCTCCCATTCAGTAGGTTGCCTGTTCACTCTGATGATAATTTCTTTTGCTGTGCAGAAGCTCTTTAGTTTAATTAGATCCCATTTGTCAATTTTGGCTTTTGTTGCCATTTCTTTTGGTGTTTTAGAAATTTACAAGAAAAAAACAAACAACCCCATCAAAAAGTGGGCAAAGGATATGAACAGACACTTCTCAAAAGAAGACATTTATCCAGCCAACAAACATATGAAAAAAAGCTCATCATCACTGGTCATTAGAGAAATGCAAATCAAAACCACCATGAGATACCATCTCGTACCAGTTAGAATGGCAATCATAAAAAGTCAGGAAACAACAGATGCTGGAGAGGATGTGGAGAAGTAGGAACACTTTTACACTGTTGGTGGGAGTGTAAATTAGTTCAACCATTGTGGAAGACAGTGTGGCAATTCCTCAAGGATCTAGAATCAGAAATACTATTTGACCCAGCAATTCTATTACTGGGTAGATACCCAAAGATTATAAATCATTCTACTATAAAGACACATGCCCACGTATGTTTATTGTGGCACTGTTTGCAATAGCAAAGACCTGGAACCAACCCAAATGCCCATCAATGATAGACTGGATAAAGAAAATGTGGCACATATACACCATGGAATACTATGCAACCATAAGAAAGAATGAGCTCATGTCCTTTGCAGGGACATGGATGAAGCTGGAAACCATCATTCTCAGCTTTCTGTGCAAACTAACACAGAAGCAGAAAACCAAACAGTGCATGTTCTCACTCGTAAGTTGGAGTTGAACAATGAGAACACATGGACACAGGGAGGGGAACATCACACACTGGGGCCTGTCAGGCTGTGGGGGGACTAGGGGAGGGATAGCATTAGAAGAAATACCTAATGTAGATGACAGATAGATGGGTGCAGAAAACCACCATAGCACATGTATACCTATGTAACAAACCTGCACGTTCTGCACATGTACCCCAGAACTTAAAGCTAAAAAAACAAAAATCATAAACTTTCCTGCATATCACTGTCCTGTCACCCATAAACATTAGAAAGTGTCACATATTTCAGTATGATTTTAAAGCATTCTTCAGATTGGCGACGTTTGAATGTATTTTTTTGCAGGCCTTTTACTTTTCAAGTGACTCACTGTAAGGAGCAAGCACTGCTTAGCTTAGCTATTCTCAGATTTTTAATGAGAAAATATTCATGTTACAATAGAATTATCTGATTTATCATCTTAAGGTCTGTAGAAATCCATTGCATACCACAACCATACTTGTCTATCAAATTCAGAGCAGCAAACATAGGATTTGTTTGTGTGTTTGCTTATTTATTTATTTCCTCAATTTATTAACTAATAGCTATACTTTTCAGATTTCCTGATGTTATTTTTTGGTCCATAATCCCATCCAGAATACCACACTACATTTACTTATTATGTCTCTTTAG
The DNA here is from genome assembly GCF_000001405.40 of Homo sapiens. NCBI lineage: Eukaryota > Metazoa > Chordata > Mammalia > Primates > Hominidae > Homo > Homo sapiens. The sequence goes on from NC_000008.11 coordinate 107,472,011, forward strand.
GCTCCTCTTGCTTTTTTGATGACCTAAACATTTTAGAGGAATACTTTATAGGTATTTTGTAGAAATAATGTCCCTAAATTGAGAGTTTTCTAATATTTTTCTCATGATTAGATTAAAGTTATGGGTTTTGAAAAAGAGAACACAGAATAAAAGTGCCATTCTGTAGTATTGTCATAACATTGGCAAGCAGACATACTATCAACATGACTTATCTCTGTTGACATTGACTTTGATTACTTGGCTTGAGGTCATGTTTGTCAAGTTTCTCCAGTGCAAAGTTACTCTTTTTCTGTCTTCCATTACAGTGCTCTTTAGAAGAACCACTATGAGCCATCCACACTTAATGAGTGAGGAGTTATGCTCACCTCCTTGGCGATAGAGAAGCTACATAAACTATTTTAAATTCTTCTGCATAGGAGGTTTTTTCACTGTATTTGAAGAAGGGAATCTTAAAGCAATCATCTGACTATCAACAAACCTTATAGGCTAAGAAAGGTACTTAACGTTTGTTGGGTACCGTTCTTAAGAAAAATATTTAAAAATAAGAAATGGCTATAATTTGTTAAACATATTCTATATACCAAGCTTTGTTATTAGGCATGCTGTGATTCTCATCTCATAAAACCACTATAGGAACCTTAGGAGGAAACCATTATTATTCTCATTTCATAGACACAGAAATTTGAAGTTAAACAGGTAAAGCAGCCTGCTCAATAAACACCTATAATCCATCACTTGCTGAAAGGAAAACTACTCACACATACACACACTCACACACACATACATATAAGAACATTATGTCTTATAAAATAACACCTTCCCATACAACAAAAGCAGGAAGCATGGCAGAGTGTGATTTATCTTTTTGTTAAAGAAGAAAAGTGTTGGCTAATTGGAGGTTTGTAATTTTGCCCCATTTATTTCCCATCATAAAGAATGTAAATGACTCCCCCATCTCCACTACCACCAGTACTGGATATCCCTGGTTTGAGCTCTTCAATTCTCCAGGGGTTGTGGTCATTTAAGTGAATAAGACTTCATGACATAAAATCATGAGAATGCAAGAAGAGTATGGGTTTTTAAGAGAATGTAAATTTCCCATTGAGCCTACTTTATTTCTAGGCATAAATATGTGTTTGCTTAAATATCCACATGGTTGATGTAACAAAACCATTATTCTTTCTCAGCAAACATGGAATTTCTGTTTTCACAGAACCAGGTTTCTATTCAAACATTTTATCATAAACTGGCAGAACTACCAAAGCATGCACAGTCTTAATATTAATCAGGAATTTCTTTTTCCTATACAAGTCACAAAAAGCTTTATAAAGCATGATCCGCTTGCTATATGATGAAAAGCATTTCACAGTTTGCTATTACAGAATTCACATGCCTGCAAACATGTAATGACCCAATTGAAAACACAAGGTCAGAGTCAGGTTGTCTAAAAAAAAAGCTCATATGAGACATCTTGGTGAGCAAATAAATATCACTTAATGTACCTTAATGCCTCTCAGACAGACTCTTAGTACTTAAATTATTCTTCACTGAATTTGTTAATAATTTTATTTTCAAAATGGAACCATAGAGCTTTACTTTTTCAGTAGGATTCACTCAATTCTGAAGGATCAAACAGACTTAAAAGAATAAAATCATGCCTTTAGGTAAATATGTATGTAACACTAATGGAACAGTGCAGTGTATATCCTGCCCGATAGTATTGTACTGTACAAGTGTGTCTGTTTAAGTGGACACAAGTCACAATGTAAGGCTCATTACCCTTAGACTTAGTAAGTAATTTAACTCAAGTCCTGAACATTCTCTGCTGTAAAACCTGCAAATGCATAGGGATTTGCAAAGGGAACGGGAATGGAATGTGAGACAAATGAAACTTAATTGACCAATAACAAGTTCTGAAATTGAGGCAATAATTAATAGCCTACCAACCAAAAAAAGTCCAGGACCAGATGGATTTACAGCCAAATTCTACCAGAGGTACAAGGAGGAGCTGGGACCATTCCTTCTGAAACTATTCTAAACAACAGAAAAAGAGGGAATCCAAAGTAACTCATTTCATGACGCCAGCATCATCCTGATACCAAAGCCTGACAGAGACACAACAAAAAAAGAGAATTTTAGATGAATATCCCTGAAGAACATTGATGCAAAAATCCTCAATAAAATACTGGCAAACCGAATCCAGCAACATCAAAAAGCTTATCCACCATGATCAAGTGGGCTTCATCCTGGGATGCAAGTCTGGTTCAACATATGCAAATCAATAAATGTAATCCAGCATATAAACAGAACCAAAGACAAAAACCACATGATTACCTCAATAGATGCAGAAAAGGCCTTTGACAAAATTCAACAGCCCTTCATTCTAAAAACGCTCAATAAATTAGGTATTGATGGGACATATCTCAAAATAACAAGAGCTATTTATGACAAACCCACAGCCAATATCATACTGAATGGACAAAAACTGGAAGCATTCCCTTTGAAAACTGGCACAAGACAGGGATGACCTCTCTCACCACTCCTATCCAACATAGTGTTGGAAGTTCTGGCCAGGGCAATTAGGCAGGAGAAAGAAATAAAGGGTATTCAATTGGGAAAAGAGAAGTCAAATTGTCCGTGTTTGCAGATGACATGATTGGATATCTAGAAAACCCCATTGTCTCAGCCCAAAATCTCCTTAAGCTGATAAGCAACTTCAGCAAAGTCTGAGGATACAAAATCAATGTACAAAAATCACAAGCATTCTTATACACCAATGGTAGACAAACAGAGAGCCAAATCATGAGTGAACTCCCATTCACAATTGCTTCAAAGAGAATAAAATACCTAGGAATTCAACTTACAAGGGATGTGAAGGACCTCTTTAAGGAGAGCTACAACCCACTGCTCAATGAAATAAAAGAGGACACAAACAAATGGAAGAACATTCCATGCTCATGGATAGGAAGAATCAATATTGTGAAAATGGCCATACTGCCCAAGGTAATTTCTAGATTCAATGCTATCCCCATCAAGCTACCAATGACTTTCTTGACAGAATTAGACAAAAGTACTTTAAAGTTCATATGGAACTAAAAAAGGGCCTGCATGGCCAAGACAATCCTAAGCCAAAAGAACAAAGCTGGAGGCATCACGCTACCTGACTTCAAACTATACTACAAGGCTACAGTAACCAAAACAGCATGGTACTGGTACCAAAACAGAGATATAGGCCAATGGAACAGAACAGAGCCCACAGAAATAATACCACATTTCTACAACTATCTGATCTTTGATAAACCTGACAAAAACAAGAAATAGGGGAAAGCATTCCCTATTTAATAAATGGTGCTGGGAAAACTGGCTAGCCATATGTAGAAAGCTGAAACAGGACCCCTTCCTTACACCTTATACAAAAATTAATTCAAGATGGATTAAAGACTTAACCATTAGACCTAAAACCATAAAAACCCTAGAAGAAAACCTAGGCAATACCATTCAGGACATAGGCATGGGCAAGGACTTCATGTCTAAAACACCAAAAGCAATGGCAACAAAAGCCAAAATTGACAAATGGGATCTAATTAAACAAACAGCTTCTGCACAGCAAAAGAAACTACCATCAGAGTGAACAGGCAACCTACAGAATGGGAGAAAATTTTTGCAATTTACTCATCTGACAAAGGGTTAATATCCAGAATCTACAAAGAACTCAAACAAATTGAGAAGAAAAAAGCAAACAATCCCATCAAAAAGTGGGTGAAGGATATGAACAGACACTTCTCAAAAGAAGGCATTTATGCAGGCAACAGACACATGAAAAAATGCTCACCATCACTGGCCATCAGAGAAATGCAAATCGAAACCACAATGAGATACCATCTCACACCAGTTAGAATTCGATCATTAAAAAGTCAGTAAACAACAGGTGCTGGAGAGGATGTGGAGAAATAAGAACAATTTTACTCTGTTTGTGGTACTGTAAACTAGTTCAACCATTGTGGAAGACAGTGTGGCAATTCCTCAAGGATCTAGAACTAGAAATACCATTTGACCCAGCTATCCCATTACTGGGTATATACTCAAAGGATTATAAATCATGCTGCTATAAAGACACATCCACATGTATGTTTATTGTGGCACTATTCACAATAGCAAAGACTTAGAACCAACCCAAATGCCCATCAATGATAGACTGGATTAAGAAAATGTGGAACATATACACCATGGAATACTATGCAGCCATAAAAAAGGATGAGTTCATGTCCTTTGTAAGGACATGGATGAAGCTGGAAACCATCATTCTCAGCAAACTATTGCAAGGACAAAAAACCAAACACCGCATATTCTCACTCATAGGTGGGAAATGAACAATGAGAACACTTGGGCACAGGAAGGGGAACATCACACACCAGGGCCTGTCATGGGGTGGGGGGGAGCAGGGAGGGATAGCATTAGGAGATATACCTAATGTAAATGATGAGTTAATGGGTGCAGCACACCAACATGGCACATGTGTATACATATGTAACAAACCTGCACGTTGTGCACACGTACCCTAGAACTTAAAGTATAATAATAAATAAATAAATAAATAAATTTGAAAGCACCTTAGGATCGTCGTTTCCTCCTCACATTTAGAAAAATGAGAATGGAATCAATCTCATGTTATGTAATATTAAGAATTCCTTGTAAAGTCATCTGAAATTAAACAGCTCCATATGACACAAATGCAGAAATATTTGCTTTTTTAAAATTTAGTACGTATTGCCTGAGCAAAGCACTCTTGTGATGACCCCAGTTCTAAAATCCTAGTATTATCTTTGATGAAGACTTCTGGTTTATTTTTATTTACTTATGTTCATTATGATTTTCCCCTCAGAATTCAACCTTTTCCCTAGTTCTCTAGCTGCTTCTCCATCCTTTTATCTGCTTGCTTATTTCTGTATTACTTTAAGGAAGTGTCAGGGCTGTGTGGGCCACTCTCCATAGCACCCCAGCTTCCAATTATCCACCCTTGCATAATGCAACCACAGAATCCAAACCCGTTGTTTCACTACTACTACTGTTTATGCCTATGTCCTTTAAAAGTTTGACAGTAAGTTTCTATCATTTTATTTGTCACCTTACCTGTAAAATTCCATTCCCTAAAACTGAATTGCCTGACCTATCACACCTACTCATTCATTTATCCCTGCAGTCATATGTCCATTCACCTCTCCATCCATTCGTTTATTAACTACAATATGGAGGATGGAGCGGGAGAGAGTTAGGGAATTTGTTGGGTCACAGTTTGCACAAAGTTAAGGAAGAGAAATAAATCATGATATTGTAACAGAACTGCTACATTTAGACGTGGCTGGAACATAAAGAACAATGGAGAAATTGTGAAAGATGAGACTGGAGTAGTAAGCCAGGGCCAGCTTATAAAGATAGATTTAAGAGTTTGAACTTCATTCTGAGGATACCATGGGTCCGTGTGTTTTCACTACGGCAATGTCATGATTGGTTCTAAATTTTTGAAAAGCTCTGGCTGTCAATATAATTTGCACTGGGATAGATATTAAGATCTTGTGAAGTAATTTCATACTTATCATCTCACATAATCATAACTTCATTAATCTCTCTCTCAAGTATTTATTCCTGCTTTCTTTGCCACATTAAGTCTTGGAGAAATTAATCTTGATTTTATATTCTATAAAACTAGCTCATTCACTTTCCTTCTGTTTTATAACTTACTTCTGTTCATCTCAAACAAAATTTCTTATATGTATTTCTTCCTTTGAAAAAAAAGAATAAAATTAGCCAAGGATTTTGGACTACCCCGACCCAATTTCTTTCTCTGTAATTCACCGTTTTGGGTGCTTTCAACATAAGTCTTTACATGAAAGTAAAGACAAGGGAAAGTAAGAAATAAAAATTGGTATAAAATGAATAAATGACCATGACATGAGTAAAGTAAATTGAGAGCTGGTCTTACAGGAAGAAAGCTGCTTCGGTAGTAAAAAATGAAGTTACCAATGGAAAAACCCTGTTCCAAAATATTTCTCCTGTTTTTTTTTTTTCTACAAGATTCTGCTACTATTTCTAAAGATCTTTTTATATTTGTTTTCTCTGCAACAGTTATTTTGAAAAATAATGAAAATTTTAATATGGTCAAAATTTCATGGAGTCAAGATCCCATCTGTTTTACATCACTCCTGCTTCTTTTATTTGGCCTCAGTCTAAATATACCTATTCAAAAAAAAAAAAAATCTGCCGGGCGTGGTGGCTCATGCCTGTAATCCCAGCACTTTGGGAGGCTGAAGTGGGCAGATCACCTGAGGTCAGGAGCTCGAGACCAGCCTGGCTAACATGGGAAAACCCCACTCTACTAAAAATACAAAAAGTAGCTGGGTGTGGTGGTGCACGCCTGTAGTCCCAGCTACTTGGGGAGGCTGAGGCAGGAGAATAGATTCAACCTGGGAGGCAGAGGTTGCAGTAAACTGAGATCGCACGGCTGCACTCCAGTCTGGGCAACAGAGCGAGACTCCATCTCAAAATAAATAAATAAATAAAGATTGCTTTGATTATAAAAGTGTCAATGCTTATATTGTACAATACACATAATCTTCATAAAAGAGAAAATGTTTAAAACTCTTCAATTTTTCCATTAAAAATTATTCATTGTGAATGTTTTGGGTATGTTCCTTGTCAATAGTTTTATGTGCATGCCTACAAATGCACAGTGATCTTCCACCCACCCCACACACAAACTCAGTGCTATTACATACATACAGCTTTTATAAATTGAGGACAATAACAGTATGTGTGTATAGAGTTGTGAGAATGAAATAAAATAATATCCTAAAGTATCTGTCCCAGAGTTTGGTTCATACTAAGTGCCCAAAATATTAGCTATTATTTCAGTTATTCAGGTATATAACCTACTTGTTCACACAACATCTGGTGGGCATCTTCTCTTTTTAAAACGTGATTTTAACAGTTGCAGTCATGGGGTCACTGAAGACATGATCTTTCGTCAGAGGGTCCCGGATTGGAGTGTCTTAACGGTTCTGCCACTTACTGCTTGTGGGAGCTTGTATGTGATTTCCTTATTCAAAGATTGTGGGTAATGTTTATCTTCCAGATTTTTTTTTTGTTTTGGGGATTAGAGATCATGTGTGCAAGGTATTGAAACAAATACCAAATAAATAATACCTATTGTTTCCTGTGTTCCTGCTATGGTGGCTGCAATGAGCATGTTCATATATGTTGCTTTTTCCTTCTGTTAAATTATTTCCTTGGGAATGATTCCCAGAAATTGGATTACTGAGTTAAAAGATTTGAAAATAGCTATGTTCTTTGTATTTACTGTTATGCTCTTTTCCAAAAAGTTTCAACCAATATGTAATGTAATAAGCAAAGCACCTCATATATTTAAAGAATGTTCCTATACCTGTTTCATTCAAGTCCAGATTCTATGCTCATCACTTAAGAAGGGGAAAATCTGGGATAGATTTTACTGCAGGAATTTCAAACCACTGGGAACTGAACAGATGGTGCTAACTCATTTTACGTTTGAGAGATCACCAGTCAGCCATGCTCAGTAACAGCTTTCAGAAACATCTGGATTCAAACTTACAGCCTAAACATGACAGGTTAAGTAGCATAGAGTTATAAAATAACTTCATGACTAGATTCTCAAAAATCCAAATTCCCAGAGATTTTTATGATTTTTAATGATCAGAAAAATTTCAAACAATGTAAGCATTAAGAATCACATAAACTATATAGCACTTCAATTTGATATTGTGGAATTCAGAGTGTGGATGGTCTATGAAGCTTTTAAAAATACTATTCTGTAGATATAAAAATACTAACAACAATTTTACTCAAAGGAGCACAAAAATATATGCAGTCTTCCAGTTATATTTATTAAATCTTACTAAACTTATGTGAAACTGAAATAGTTAACTTTTTGAGAATAGACAGAGGCAATAAAAAAATTTGCCTAAAAACAAACCTTATGACATTTTTATCCATGTCATAAGTCTTACTGGAATGCAATCTTCTGGAAGGCAGACCTCAGGTCTAATACATTGTTTTTCAATGCCTGTTATAGTGATAGGCACTGCATGTATGCCTAAGTAAATGGTGACTGTTCCAGTCACTGCTATTGATTTAATATAAAGGGGAGTCTTCAAAAAGCTCATGGAAAGTGCATAATATGAAAAAACTATGCATGGGTTTAAAAATGTTTGCCCAAAATACATTTGTACTAACTTGTAACCTATCTGAACAGGATCTAGTTTGAGGCACTAAGAAGAATAAGGTATCTATTTAAAAGAGCCCTTATTAAAACAACATAAATTCTGCTAAAATTGAAGCAAGAACAAACATCAAATTCATGGTGAAGTTTGGTTGGAAGAATGGTGAAATCATTAATGCTTTACAAAAATTTTATGGGGACAATGCTCCAAAGTAATCAGCAGTTTACAAATGGATAACTCATTTTAAGGGACAAGAAAATGTTGAAGATGAAGCCTGCAGCAGCAGACTATCCACACACATAGAATTTTTTCTTTGTTTATGCCCTAATTGAAGGGGATCGATGACTAACAGCATGAACAATAGCCAACATCACAATCATTTCAATTTATTTGGCTTACACATCTGACTGAAAAATTAAAATTGAGCAAATTTTCCACTCAACTTCATGGGTACAAAACCATATAACCTAGATCAACTATAGACAAGAGCAGAGTTTTCAATGGAAATTTTAATTTAAACAAGTGGGATTGAGATCCTAAAGCTTTCTTTGAAGAATTGTAACAGGAGATAGAACATGGCTTCACCAATATGATCCTGAAGATAAAGCACAATCAAAGCAATGGCTACTGAGAGGTGGAAGTGGTCCAGTCAAAGAAAGAGTGGACCAGTCAAAAGCAAAGGCCATGGCAATAGTTTTTTTGGATCTTCAAGGCATTTTATTTGTTGACTTTCTGGAGGACCAAAGAACCATAACATCTGCTTATTATGAGAGTGTTTTGAGAAAGTTTGCCAATGCTTAGCATGGAAACATCCAGAGAAACTTCAGCAGAGTCCTTCTTCACAACCACAATGCTCGTGCTAATTCATCTCATCAAACAAGGGCAATTTTTCAAGACTTTCCATGAAAAAGCATTAGGCATCCACCTTACAGTCCTGATTTGGCTCTTTCTGACTTTTTTGTTTCTTACTCTTTAAAAATCTGTAAAAGGGGCCAGGTGAGGTGGCTCATGCCTGTAATCCCAGCACTTTGGGAGGCTGAGGCAGGTGGATCACGAGGTCAAGAGATCGAAACCATCCTGGCCAACATGGTGAAAGCCCATCTCTACTAAAAATACAAAAAATTAGCCAGGCGCGGTGGCGGGCTCCTGTAGTCCCAGCTACTTGGGAGGCTGAGGCAGGAGTATCACTTGAACCTGGGAGGCAGAGGTTGCAGTGAGCCAAGATTACACCACTACACTCCAGCCTGGCAACAAAGCAAGACTCTGTCTCAAAAAAAAAAAAAAAAAAAAAAAAGGAAGAAGAAAAGAAAATCTGTAAAAGGTACTATATTAGTCCAATCTCATGCTGCTATGAAGAAATACCCGAAACTGGGTAATTTATAAAGAAAAGAGGTTTAACTGACCCGCAGTTCCCAGTGTCTGGGGGGAGGCCTCAGGAAACTTACAATCTTGGCAGAAGGCATCTCTTCACAGGGCTGCAGGAAAGAGAATGAGTCCCGAGCGAAGGGGGAAGCCCCTTATAAAACCATCAGATTCCGTGAGAACTCACTCACTATCGTGAGAACTCACCCACTCTCATGAGAACAGCATGGGAAAACTGCCCCCATAATCGAATTCACCTCCTATGAGGTCTCTCCCACAACACGTGGGGATTATAGGAACTACAATTCAAGATGATATTTGGGTGGGGGCACAGCCAAACCATATCAGGTACTTATTTCCCTTCAGTTAATAATGAAAAAAAGACTGCATTGATAATGATTAAATTCCCGGACCTTCAGTTCTTTAGGGATGGACTAAGATGGCTGGTATCACGGCTTATATGAGTGAGTTGAACCTGATGTAGCTTATGTTAAGAAATAAAGTTTACATTTTCATTTTTATCTTTCAATTATTTTCTTCCATGAATTTTTTGAAGTTCCGTCATATTACCCTCCAAATTTAGTAGTTTGTAACAACTATTTGATTATGTTCATTGGGCTGTCAGACTCTATGAGTCAGGATTTCAGAAAAGGAACTGTAGGGATGGGTTGTTTCTACTCCATGATGTTCTGAACCTTTTCCGAATCTAGAGATAGTGCAATGGGTGGGGACCAGAAAGCTTTGAAGGCTCATTTGCTCCCATGTCTAGAGCCTGAGTTGAGGTGACTCAAATATGGAGACTCACTAACCACAGCACCTACACATGCCTTCTCCATGTGGCTTGACTTCTTCACAACACCATGGCCTTGGGGTATATGGACTTCTAACACAGTAGCTCAGGGCATGAGTATTGTAGTGCACAAGATGGGAATTCAATTCCCTTTTATGGCCCAGCCAGATTCAAGGGGAGGGGAACTCTTCATGAGAGGGTGGCATATAAGACAGGAAGTGCTATTATAATCATTTACCATCCAGTCCTGTTCTCTACCTATTACTTGTACTTTTTCTACCTTGTTAAATTAAAAAAGAAATAACTGTATGTCTTTACATAGCTTTATTACTCAAATATGGTGAGGTGGGTGTGTTTTGTTCTAACTTTTAAAAACTATATATAATTTTTTAAACTCGATCTTCCTTAAAGATTCCAGAACACCTCCACTGAATGAATGGGTTGGAATGATGTGTCCTTCTGATGAAAATCACCACTTCGCCATTGATTTCTCAAATGCCCAGTAATCAGAGGAGGAACAAACATACATTAATCTCATTTTTCACAAGAGGATATTTTGTATCTGACCAGAAAAGGAGCTTTCCAAATATTTGGTGAATTATTTGAAACATTAAAAAAAAACTTTAAAATAGGCTTATAGAGTTTATTTGAATTCTTTAGTTGTTTATGATATCTTTTTGGCCATAATCTTCAAAATTAGATCCAATGGAAGACATTTCAAAATAGTAGGATACTATATAGAGATAATTTATGTTCAGGGTAATTCATTTCCCTAATGACCTTTTCCTTGCAAATTGCACAAGTTTGATTTGTGAACTCAAAGTATGTAAGCTTTAGTCTCATATGAAACATAACAGTCATAAAATAAAAATTTCTTTTTCCTCTTTGACAGGAAGACTTCTTAGTTTCTCTCTATATTCAATTCTCAGTTAAGAGCTTTCCTTGTTGAAGGCTGAGTATGAGTTTTCCACTGCTATTGTCAGCTTTTATCATTTATTTGAACCAAGGTCTCCTTAGTACATTAGTTTATCTTGACTGTCAGTAAGAGATACTGACAGTTTCACCTTCACAAGTGTTTATTAATTTTCTTTTCTTTTTTTCTAAGCATAGACTGGAGATCAGTGACTACTTTTTTCATATTCTTATCATACTGATGAACTTTTAAAAAAATTCAAAACATATATGGCATAAGGTCTTTTAAGTGATGACTCTTCCCCAGAATATTACAAATAGTACCCAATTTATTAATGTTGAAGATGTTAAATGATTCTCCTCTATTGACTATATTTTATTTTTTATTTGTTTTTTAGCTGAAAGAAATATAAGAAATACAACCTAATACTGTAATGAAGTGTTCCTGAACAAAAATACAGATAAGCTGTTTTAAAATATTATCTTTATTTGTATGCTCATATCAGGATAACTCCAACTAAGGCAATTTGTCTAAGTAGCTCATTTATTTAAAAAGAAAAGTAAAAATAGCAATGAATTATTTGCCTCTGACATATTTGTGAAAGTTTTTTAAGAATTGTGCTGGGATGGGAAAGATGCCTAGGAAGCATTTTCCCTAAGAACATCAGGCTTCTTACAGCAATTTATACACATGTATGGTAAATTATTCTCATTGCCAAAGATGGTTATTTAGTATGGATAGATTCTCCAAAAACTTACAAGACATCATCATTCATCTGAATCTCTTCCCTGCTCCCCACCATTCAGAATTTGTTGTAATTTGTGAAAGAAAAGTGAAAGAGGCAAGAAGAGTGAAGAGCTTCAGATTTAACCACTCAGAGTATGGGTTCAAATTCTGCAATCTGCCTCAAAGTAAATATGTAAACTCTTAAAAATCATTTGACTTTAGTGGCCCTCAGTTTCCTTATCTGTAAAGTGGGTTTGATAATACCTGCTATGTATTAAAATATTTGTTTGGGTGATGACACTGTTTACCAAGGTAGATTTATTAATACCTTATTTTAAAAAATCATTATTTTTTTCTTTTTGTTTTTGGAGATAGTCTCACTCTGTCACCCAGACTGGAGTGCAGTGCCACGATCCCAGCTCACTGCAGCCTCGACCTCCCGGGCTCAAATGATCCTCCTACCTCAGCCTCTAGAGTCACTGGGACTACAGGCATGTGCCAGCCACCATGCCAGGCTAATTCTTGTATATTATTTTGTTAGAGACAGGGTTTCACCATGTTGCCCAGGCTGGTCTTGAACTTTTGGGCTCAATCCACCAGTCTTGGCCTCCGAAAGTGATGGATTACAGACATGAGCTACTGTGTCTGGCAGAAAAGTCATTTTCACACTTGCTATGTGGCAGAACATCCAGTATCTATTGCTCTCTTTGCAGATAAATTATTTTGTGCCGAAAGCAACAGCAATTTCTTTGGCAGAAAATGTGATTATGTTATATCAGTAGATAATCATGTATCTCATGTAATGCAAGCTGTACAACTAAACATGAGAGGTCACTTCCCAGCTTCCTTTAATATGTATTTGCTGTATTGTCAGCTATCTCCTGAGAGATGATAAATATCACACACAATAGATGGAAGATGACAAACATGGAGACAATGAAGTGAGAAACCCTTAAAATCAAGAAAATTGTACTCTATAACTTAATAGTTTCCTGCACATTGGGGAAAGGTCTCTGTTATTCAGCATTAGCACAAGTATCCTTTAGACAACTTCACTGACCAAACAGTGGCCCCCAAACAGCTTGAGCAATACAGCGTGTGTTGATTGATGAACACATCCCAACAGTATCTACTGGGCACCTGCAATGCCCGCACACCACACATTGCTTGTGCTCAGCTTTCAATAGACAGCGCAGGTCAAGCAAGTGAATATGCGCTGAGTTGTTTGTTGTTGTGCTGTTTTAATAGGTTTTGGTTTACCTCGCCATGCAAAGGTGGGTGAAAAGAATGACTGAAATCTATTTTGTCCCCACCCTGCTTTGTCCTCTTTGGGTCTCTATGGAGAAGAATGGACAGGGAGAATTTAGGGTAGCTTAGAGCCTCCCTGTCTCATGCAACTGATACTCAGCAAGGGAAGCAGTGACCCTCAAAACCCAAATTTTGAGTGGCCAGGCCTCCAAGATCAGACAAAACGAGAGGAAGAACTATCACAATTGTCTACAAGTAGCAGTGTTCTTGGCTTGGGCCCAAAATACCAGGAATATTTTCATTAATAGGGACAATGATAAATAAAATAGGAAGTGAGATAAGAGGTCATTGCCTAAGGAAACAAGGTTTTTCTTCTCATTTTTACAACTCTCCAAATGACCCACAAAAGGAAGTGCAGGCAAATAATATTTTAAGTTCCAGAATGCACTTTCACTTTTCCAAGCAGGATTGCCTACAGATAAATCCAAGAGGGAGGTCATTACATTGAATGGAAGATATTTAGAATAGGCGGCTTCGCCCCATGTAAAGCAATTGTAAGCCTTTCTTTGTGTTTTAGAAGTTTTTAGATAAATAGTCAGACTCAATTAAGCTCTATAACTTCAAGAGATGGTGCTTCTAAGGAGTTACACAGTAGGGACTGCAGACGTGGGATTCTGCGGTCTGTTAACAGGCCTGTGGGAGGGCTGAGAGAATCAGCTATTGTGCTTCAATCAGCAACAGAGCCTACAGTGCCACCGTCAATTTAACCATGGAGCTTTAGAGTGTGGATGGGGACAAATGGCTGTGTGAAACAGAACTTGAGAAAGGGGCAACACATTTAGTATGAAAGAATTAAGGGTTTAGACACAAAGACAACTACAGAAAAATTTTTTAGAAATAGGCTTAAGGTTTGAGGATTGACAAGAGGAGACATGGCAAACGTTGCTGCAGCTAATCTCATATTTGGTTAAGAGCATAGGTCATAGAGCCAGACTGCCTGGGATTGAGTGCTGGCCCATAAATTTAACTACTGCGTAATCCTGGGCAAGTTACTTCCACTCTCTGTACCTGCCTCAGTTTCCTCATTTGCCACGTGAGGCAATTATAACACTATCTACCTCACATTGGCTTTTGAGGTATTCAATGAATTAACACATGTAAAGTTTTTCCAATGGTCTCAACAGTTTTGAAAAAGTGCTCAATATTTAACTAACACTGTACCCAGAACTTCCCCTAGTAATAAGTAGTATTTACGTAACACCTACTAGGTGACAGGACTTATGCAAAGTAATTTATGTGTATTATGCTTGCACTTAATAACTCTATGGCATAGATACTATTATCACCTCAATTTCACCCATAATGAAATTGCAGCACAGAGCAGTGAAGAAGCTTGCCCAAGGTTACACAGCAAGTCAGTGGTGCTATCAGCATTCAAATCCAAGCAGTTTGACTCTAGGCATGACACACTTCATCACTGGGCTGTACTACCGTTAAACTTGCCATAGGAAATAGTGGACACAAACAATGTCCTTGCTTTTAAGTCTGTTTCAGTGGGTTTAGGCTTCTCAACAACAGGGGTTTTAGTGAATTTCTTACATCTTCCTAGTACCTTGCAGACCACCTTGGCTGAAGTGCATATTTGATTAGGTAACTGGCTAACTGGTTTCCTGCCCTTTGTTAATTGCAGGTGCTAAGCTCTATGACTCCTGCCTGTATCCTAAAAGCGCATGACAAAACTCATGCCATCCCTCATGGAGCAGTCCTCCTGACACTGCTATAGTCCCCCGTCCCTCACTGTGTCACCCCTCCCCCATGTCCCAATAAAGGGACAGTCACTGGTCTCTCTGTTCATTCACCTTCCCTGTCGTCCATCCTCTTTGCAGCACTCCCACTCCATGGCCAGCATGGGGAGGATCACAGGAGACTTTATTAAAAACAATAATGGAGGAGACAAGAGAAATAAAAAGGAGAGACAGGCCGGGAGGTCCCTTTGAATCTTTTTGTCTTGCCTGGTCTGAGGGCTGCCTTGCCACCTCTGCTTTCCTGCTTTTAATCTCAGAAGTCTCTAACGTGCAGAATGAGCAAAGTGGGGGTTGAAAAAAGCAAACCATTTGGAAGCCAGAAAAAATATTAGAACTTTCATTTCTAAAACAATAAGAAAGTTAATAATAAATTCATATAAGGCCTAACATTGGAGCCTTCACACCATCAGTATATTAAGCGGCCGTGCGTCATTCATCTGCTAAAAAAAAAAGAAAGAAAAAGAAAAAGCTCCAGAGAGCTAAAGAAATTGATGGGGCTGCCTCACTTGATTGTCCTCTTTCAGCACATTATGATATAGCACAGCTTCAGTGTATTTGGGAAAACGGACTCATGGATTATTTTATATAGTTTAAACTAAATTAATATTTACAACATGGACAAGTGTCTTAAAAAACACAAAAATACTGGCACATGTGTACAAGAAAATAGCAGTTCTTGAGATTTCTATTCTTGGTAAGTGCCATGTATTAGAAGTAAAAAAACAAGGTTAGCTAAGTAGATCTAACAAATCATCAGAGAATTTTGAAAATATCAAAATTCCTCCTTGAAATTCAGATTTTCTTTCACTATTCTTGACAATGAATTCTGCTTGAAGTGAATAGTATCCTTTACAATATGAGGCAATCATCAAATACTACATTCTTAAGGTAAAAGTAGATAAGTGTACACTATCATACAATTGTATAATTAAAGGATTAGATAAATTATAGAATTTGCCGCTAATTAACCAAGAGTACTCTATTATCTTATCAAATTTGTGTCATGTGAAATATGGGTGGGCCTCAGTATTTTAAGAGTCTAAAACAATCTGCATTTGTTTTTGAAATTTACAATTGGTACCCTTAAACTGCTTTCTGTAAGGCAGATTTGGATGTTCTTACAACAGCTTGGCAACAAATTCAAACTATCGAATGTAATGTTTCTTTGTGCCCACCAGTAGCTAGGTTTGGGCAGCTTTACCTAACTAATATTTGATTATTTGAAAGTTTTCTTGCAGCTATTTTGAAACTATGTTCCTTTGGACATATGGGATGCCCTGCGGAATGCTCTTGGAGGGCCAAGGGAAGAGGGTTTAGAAGGAGGCCTCACTCCACTTCTTCTGTAACCTCTCCATTTGTTTCTAGATATTAAACTTCTGCGGAATAATTCATTTGAAAATCAGGTTCGATTGCCAAGAATTATTTAAAATTCATCAGTTCATTGATTCAAAAATATTGTCTTTATTATTGACATTTTAAGTTATTAAATATTCAACTTATTCAATAAACCCATTCATTTATTCTACAAGCATTAGAACAACTATAACCTTATACCTTTGTTCTTATTATTTAAAAACTGAGTAGAATTAGAAAATAATAAGAAGACTGATAATACTGGTAATAAGGTTACAATTCTCACCCCTTATATCTGTGCAATTAAAATAAGGTGGATGTCAAGACCTGCTGGGTGGGGCAAACCTTGAGCTACAATAAAAACCTACTGAACTTTAATCTAGTCAGCTCTATATCAAGAGTGAAGACAAGAACATTGTTAAAATGTTTTATGAAATCCTGGGGCTATCTTTCATCTTTAAGGGTTTAGAGAAGAACTATAATTTGGGATTTTAAAATATTTATTGGTTCTCTGGGAATGGAAAGTCTCCAATAATCTTGAAGGGTCAAGCATTGTAATTTAACTTATTTAACCTTCAGAAACAAAGTGGAGACTACCAATAAAGCATACTCCTTCCTAATGAATAGAGCTACACACGTCACTAAATTTTACAATATGCCATCCTTCAAAATTATCATAAGCCATTTCGTTGAAATTTATAGTAAGTTTACCTATCTGATGCCAGTGAGTTTGGTCGCTTATAGGTACATATTACTAGTGATTTAAGATATTCAGATTTTTTTCACTTGCATTTTATTCATATTTCAGCTGCTGATTTACTTCAGACACACCTCAATGCCTGTGCTAATTTGCATGTTTTTTCAAGAGTTCAACACAAACTTAGGAAACACATTCCTAGATAGACCTCTAATAAGTGACCTGCACAGTCATGTAGTATAGTATAAACAAGTAACAACAGTTATCTTACTCTATATTTTTCAGTACTTACTGACAAAAGAAAAGATCTTCATAGGCCTAAATGCATTCTGGATGAAATTATTAGCTACTTTCTCTGTTCAAAATCACCTTTTCATTTGCTTGAAGGAAAAAATTCAGATTATTTGAGCAGACAACTAAGACCAAATGAATCTAAAGCTCTCTCACTTCTAATTATTTCGAATTAGATAACAGTATTCAGGTATAGATCCTACATGGAAATAGCCTCCAAATGTAAAGAGAAGATAATCCATGGAGGGCGTCATTCTTTAAAAACCTCTTTGATAAGAGAGGGGGCACATCTTTTGTACACATTGTAAGAAGATTTAAACATGGAGATGCCCTCCCTCCCTCAGACCATGGGGCCAAAACCAAAGGGGGTTTGGAATTTCCCAACTCCACCGCCAAAGATAATCTTGTATTGGGACAAAAGTCGAGGATGACTCAGAATGTAATTAGGGTTGTGCATCTAAGCAAATGACACAATATAGCTTGCGGTATTAAAAAAAAAAAAAGAAGAAAAGAAAAGAACACAAGGCCCAGGAAAAGGCTGCTAATGTATCCACACAGAGACAAGGCTGTGGCAGAATGAAAACAAAACCTCCTTAATTAGCAAATTATAGCACAGGGGCTGATAAAACTCTGTGTTTTGTAGCTGAGCTACCCACTTATCGCTCCTCCCCTCTCATCATCTGCACAAGTGAGAGCACTTCTAATGTTTATACTTAAAACAAATGACAGGGGGGAAAGGTTTCTAATAAGAGGCTGAGCTGAAGCCCCATTTCTAAGAAAATAGAATGGCTCTAGTGTTTTGTCAGCATTCTTGCTAATGCCACAACCAACAGGATGAAACAGGCACATAGCACAGAAGATCCTGTAGCCCAGACTTGTTTATCCACAGGCTGCTGGTCTGTATTGTTATTCAGGTGCTTTTTTTTTCTTTTCTGATATGTATCTGCTTTAGGAATATTTCCCTGTTCTTGTGATGATGGGCAGGAGAAAGAAAAGACATGAAATTCCCTTGTTTGTGTGCCTCTAAAATGTCACCTCACAGCATGTCCAGACACCCAGCCAAGAAATGGCTTAGTCAGGCTCTCTGCCAACTGGCATGAACCTGAAGATTACTGGGCCTCCTGGAGGGCGATCTTTTTCCCACACAACAAACCTTACAATCTACCTTGCAATGGTCCCAATACTAATACTAATTCCTCTTGCAATATAGGGCAGGGGTCAGCTAACTTTTTCTCAAAAGGGCTGGATATTAAGTATTTTAGGCTCTGTTGCAACTCCTCAATTCTGCTTTTGTAGTATGAAAGCAGCCATAGACAACACATAAATGAATTAGTGTGGCTCTGTTCCAATAAAACTTTATTTACAAATGCACGGACAACATATAAAGGAAGGAAAGTGGTTGTTCTTCAATAAAGCTTTATTTACAAACAGAGGTGGCAGGAAGGATTTGGCCCAAGGGCCATCGCTTGTTGACCCTTGATAGAGAGGATGGAAACTCAGAATATTAATAAAATTTCTGCCATTATGTAGTTAAAAAGGTAATATGTAAAATATAGTTGCATCAAATTTCACCCATCAATTTGATTATAGTCCAAATCTGCTCATGGACTTCATTTATTTCCCTATTTATTAAAAAATAATAAATAGAGCCAACTATGCTGTAAGCATTGTGCTAGAAAAGTCAATCTGCTACCAGAAATGATTAAAAAAAAAAGAAGAAGAAATAAAAACTAGTGAACAAGACAGGTGCATCATGTACCTCATAGAGCATAGTGTCTATGAAAATAGAGAGTCGCTCATTCTGCAAATATTTATTAAGGTTCTACCATGTGTCATCCACTCTTCTAGGTAGAAGGTATACTGCATCAACGAGATAGACAAGGATGCTGCTCTAATGGAGTTTGCATTCTTAGTAGGCGGAGATAGAATAAATAATCTGACAGACAATAAGTAACACAGCATTATGCAGTAGCAAGTACCATGAAGAAATAAAACAGTATAATAAGGTAGAAAGTCTCTTAGTAAAGTGGGGAAGGTGGTAGGTAATGGTGCTCAGAGACTTTCTGAGAAGACTGCTGAGTGAAGACCTGAATGAAGAGAAGTAGCCAACCATGCAAAGATCAGGGGGAAGAATTTTCTGAGCTGAGTAAACAGCTTGTAAAGTCCCTGAGGCAGGAATGAGCCTGTCTGTTGGAGAAATAACAAGAAGGCCAATGTCACTTGAGTGTCTGGAATGTCGTTTGAAGGTAGTAAATGATGGGGCCAGTGAGAGGTGTGGGGCAGATCATATAAGACCTCCTGGTAAGAATTCAGATTTTATTCCTATGTAATGAGAAGTTGTAGGAGGATTTTAAGGGGGGAAATGACATTCTTATTCATTTAAATTACATTAAGCCAATACCTTTATATGAGAGGAGTGCTATTAAAAGAAAGCTCAATGTGAAATGGTACAGTCAGGGGTAAGGAAGAACTGTAATTGCCCATAGAAACTCATAGAAAAGGACCTACTTGTCATAGCCCTAAAACCTGAGCTCTCTCAATGGAGACAGTTTACCAAAAGGCTGTTATAACACTAACTGCCTAACTTCTGGGTCTGAAAGGGTTTTTTTTGGATCTTTTGATTCTAAAATGTAACAAGCAACCAATAATACCGAACTATTTGTTGAAAAGTTAATACAGATTCTGAAGGGCTCTTACTTGGCTTGAAAATCAGAGGTCTATTCTTCAAATGAAGTTGATGGGGACATTTCTACAACTCGATTTAAAAGATCATTATTTCTATTAATCTTTCTCAGCAACTGTTACTTTTCCCAATCTCTAGGCATAAATTGTGCATGTATCTTATTTTCACGTTTAGTGACAAATTATTAAAATCATACTTACTAAATATCTACTTTATTTTTTTTGAGATGGAGTCCCGCTCTGTCATTCAGGCTGGAGTGCAGTGGTGCGATATCAGCTCACTGCAACCTCCGCCTCCTGGGTTCAAGCCATTCTCCTTCCTCAGCCTCCCTAGTAGCTGGGATTACAGGCACACACCACCAGGCCCAGCTAAGTTTTTGTATTTTTAGTAGAGACAGGGTTTCGCCATGTTGGCCAGGCTGGTCTCGAACTCTTCACCTCAGGTGATCTGCCCGCCTTGGCGTCCCAAAGTGCTGGGATTACAGGTGTGAGCCACCACGCCCGGCCAATATGTACCCATTTCACACATTTAGGAAGTTCCCACAAATGTGAAAATAAAACATAAGAGCATTCTCTCTGACTGTTGCACAGCCACCACCGGCCACCAAAACAATAATATACCAGTGAGAATTAAGTTCTCATGTGCACATATTATACAGATGTATATTAATATAATTAAGTTCTCATGTGCACATATTATACAGATGCATATTATTATAATTAAGTTCTCATGTGCATATAGTATACAGATATATACATATTATACAGATGTATGCAGTAAATGGCTCCCTACTGTACTGAACAAGAAATACTAAGTTCTTGTGCTTATAGAAGTACAAAACATTATTGTACAAAGGAATATCTAGCTGACCCTCAAGTAGCCTAGTGCTAACATTTAAGCAGACTTTAGCATCTTAAAGTAGTTACAAGGTCCCTTAATTTTCACTATTTTATAGTTACCACTATACACTTGAGCACTTGATTTCTTAAAAACTGATTATTACAATAACAAAAAATTAATCCAGACCCTTAATGAACATGTTCAGAGGTATAAAAATGGATAAGCGACATTTACTACACTTGAGGAACTCACAGTCTAGGTGGGAAAACAAGCCTAGAAACAAACAATTAAAACAACCACCACAACAACTTTGAACTACAGCATTAACATGATACAGTCAATGTACTGTGATGACATTTGAGAACTCAGCCTGGGAGGGTAAGTGGAGTGTGGGTAGATTTCCTGGAGAAACTGGCAACAGAGCTGACCCTTAAAGAATAATTAAGAAGATGAATTGGAGTGACTAGAGAAGTTTTTGAGATTCTAGATTACTGGTTAAATATAATTTGAATAATTAATAACCACCTACTCTGGACCCAATATTGTTTTAACTAGTATTAGGACAAAAATAACCATAGGTTATAGTCCTTGCCTATAGGACAACTTACAATCTATTGAAGAGGTAAGGTGTATACCTCGAATAAAATGCTGACAGTAGACAGTAAAGTGCAGAATGCAATAGATAATGCATTCATTTTTTCATTTAACACATATTTATTGCATATCTGTTATAAATATGTTATATACTCTTCTGGGAACTGAGGTTATGACATTGGACAAACACACATGGTCACTGGCCTCATGGAGGTCACATTCTAATGGATATTAATAGGGATTAATATATATGTAATATATGGGTTTAAAAAAATCGTCATCATCAATGTGTTTTGGGTAATAGCATTTCAAATCTTAACTCTGAAGAAAAGAATACAATATGCAAATAGGGGACATCCTTAACCAAAAAATGTTGTCAATAGAAAAACAGCTAAATAGTCCAGTAAAATCTTTGTATTTCTTAAAATATTCTGGATGGCAATTCATAACTATATTTTCCATTAATAGTCATCAATTTTAGCTAGTGTAAAATATGTATAGCAAATAGACTATTGTTTTCTGTTACAAGGCATTATTGACTCAATTTATTTAAACTTTTAACAAAAAAAGACATCATTTGGCAAAAGCAAAACAGATCTTCTAAGGATTCCCCAAATCTTAGAACATTATACATATTTAAATCTAAATATTTTAAATGTACATCTTTGTGAACTTTTTGAGATGTGGGAGACAGAAAACAATAGTTCACAAAGTACAGGATGTGGGCTAAATGTTTCACTGTCATAGAGAGGTAGGGAGAGATCATAAGAAAGTGACAAAGACACAGAGGCCAGCTGTATTTATCATTACTTATCTAAGAGCTGGTCACTCTCAGGTATTTACTATGACTTGCTAATAATTCCAAAAAGAGCTGTATTACAGAAGAGATCAAACCAGAAACACACCCAGGTGTTTCACAAAATAAAACTATGATGTTAGGCATATTATTCACACCACCCTTCCTGGTCTGAGATGTCACAATAATGCTATCAACCTACCTCATTTTAATCGACAAGTGATTATGGAAAGTTGATTTCTTTGAATTAAATCCATCACATCAAGAAAGCAGTGCCATAACAGTTCCAGTATTTATGGTGACCCACAAATCATTTGCCCCCTTGCATGCCTTGCTTCTCATCCTGTTCAGTTGCAAGACCAGAAAAGTTGAGGAAGGAGGTTTCCCTTCATGGAAGGTGATGGATTAACATAATTATCATATAGCTTCATTTAGAGTTGATAACACATCTATTCTGCCTCAAAACCTTTCCTGATAGCGATGCCATGAGCTGCATAATAATCACTATGCTTTGATTAATTATTTTGCCAAATAAATGGATAAATTAATTTCACCTACATACACTGATAGCCTCAGTTTCTGCAGGGTGTTGCTTCTTCCTATGGCAACTACTTGGAATCAAAATAGAAGTAATACAAATTGCAGTACTGAGCATACCAAATGGTTACAGTAAAAAGATTTCCATTTCAATTATCAGAATAAAAATATCACATGAAGTTTAGAACTTGGAGTGAAGAAAACTCCTAATTAAGGGAAACTTATGAAAGCCTTTAGCAAGTTCTTTGCTGAATGCATTTTTTGGTTTCTTGATCCTCCAACCAATCACATTGACAATGACAAAAGATATGCAAATTTAAACTGACAATAGTCAAGCCACATTGCTCTGACTCATACCAATAGGGACGTTTTCAGCATATATTCAGCTTGATTTTTACACTTGAAAGGGTGAATGTAACCAAAGAACATTTTAATAGTTATTCTTGGCTATAATCTGAAAGCTATCCCATAATCATTGACCAAGAACAATGCAAACAAGAATCAAATTTATTTTGCAAAATAAATTAACATATGAAACACGTGCATGATTTAAGCCCAGCAGAATTATGTGTTTACCCTGTCACTGCTGAATAATTGCATAGCAACAAGAAATATGCATTACTATGTTTGAATCACTATTGTGATTATACGCTTTAAGCAAACAAAACATTACGTTTTTGGTAGAATAGATCATTCAGGATAACTTGGGACTAAATTTTCCTTCCCGTTCCCTCAAAGAATCCAGACTAATATGTAATGATTGAATTCTCACTAAAAACTATACGGATGGTGTACTGAAGAATAATAACAAGCTGTTCAACCAAAATCATTTGTTTACAATGGAAATAAATTTTACCAAAGAAAAATACAAACATCCTATTATAAACTACTACTGAAAGTAATGCATAAAATTTCAGCTACAATTGTAAAAAACCTGAGAGTTCTGTTTGCTTTTTATTCTTCTGCCTACCTACTGATTGCCTATTACAGTCCTATAGTCTGTAATAGAAAGATTACAATATCAGCTTTGGAAACTGTAGAACTACTAAGTTCCAGTTAATGTGTCAAATAAAATAACAGTGATCTTAGTTCAGTCCCTAGTGGACAAAAGTAGAATAACTATTACTTGGCATGATTCAGCAGGCAATGACCTAAGTGAGTGTGACCACACAGGAACAAAATAGAGCATTTGTCCTTTCCCTATCTTTTATCTTTTTAAAGGGATTGCCCGGTTAACAGACTAACTTAAAGAAGCCTGATTGCATACCTATCTACATGTACCAAGTGAATCCATTAACAAGGGAGAGAAGCTTTTCACAAATTGAGACATTGCCTCCCTTCTAGTAGCATAGTCAGTTGAATATACTTATTCTCGGCTGCCTATTATTAAACAGAGTGCAAAGACAGAATGAATTGCAGAAGTGTGTTCATAATTTAATAGGCTTATCTTCAACAAAAACTTAAATGGTTTGTAGATAAATAACTGGATAAACTATTCGATTTGATTTCTATAAATTGAGATTACATTCATACTCAACATTAACATTCATCAAATAACATGGATACTTAAACTCGCCAGGTACTGTCTCTAACTACAATGCCCTGAGAAGGGAGGTATTTCAGGAATATAGTAGACTACATGCTGCGTTCAGCCCATATCTGCAGGTGCATGTCTTCCTCAACAGCCAGCATGCCCTCATCGTGAGCGAGCAACCCCTTTCCGACAGTTAACATTACAATGTATCTTTTTAATTTTTTTTCTCAAGGACAGAAGAAAAAAATATTTAACAGAAATCAGTCTACTATTCTACCACTTGCTGAAACTAACAGTTCCCTTTACATAAATATACAATTTCTCCAACCAAATATCATATTTTATATTTACTCTCACTTCATGTTAATTTTTATAAAGGTTAAAAAAACAAATACTTTGTGATGATTTGCCACCCCAGCGGCACAAAATTTTCTGGTGCAAAATCGATTTGATCTTATTAATTAATATTGTCATTATTATTTATTTTTCACCAACTTGCTTAAGAGGTACATACTTTCTTTCTTAAGGTAGTGTTTTGACAGAGAGAACCTTAATGCTGAACTTTAGAAAAGAGAAACCAAAAATGTCATAAAATTTGCCAGGGCTAGACACACAAACGGGGTGCCCCCACACATTCATAGGTTTGGGCAAGCCCCCAAACCTTGGCTTACCCAGGAAGCCAAACCCAGACAGCCGTCTTGCAATTGCAAACACTGCCCCCCTGGAGCAAAAGGTAAATACACAAATGCTCCCCTAAGGAACTTTAAGTTAGCTGCAGTGCAAGAAAGGAAAAAGGTCCGTGCTATTAGAAACTGAAAGCAATCACTTACTTTTTGCAGCCACTGAGTATAATTTTCCATCACATGTTCCAGATGTTGAAGTTTCTGGGAAGAGAAATCCGGTTCCACGTGTGGAGCATCTCTCTGCAGAGCGTTTGTGTTGTACTGGTCTGTCGTACTCTCACGACAGTTGCCATCGTGTTCTGGAAGAATGAAAGTGTAGGCACATTGCCCATGTTGAATCCGGTTATATCTTCTCCCACTGTTTTCTGGACTTCGGCGCTGATTGCTGCACCCTATGTGAGTCAGAATGGCAGCGAGGAAAGCAAAGGAAAGGAAAACTGTCATTGTACTGCCAGCACACTCCTTCCGTGCCTCTCGCAAAACTTGCTCCTTTCTTCTGACCTCTAAAACTAGTTCTTTATTTCAGGTAAAACTGCTTGTTTGTTTGACTCTTTCCCCCTCAAAGAAAGCGTTTGAAGAAGAATCATAGAAAACTAGCCATTTGTTAGCTTTGTTCTAAAATTTTAAAATTTTTTATTTCACTGCAATGATGTTTTTCTTCGTTAAAACTTGAGATATTTATTGCATAGTAGCTGAGATTTATTGTTTCCTCTCTGTGTGACCGTTCAGCATGGAGCCTGCCTGAGTCAGCTGCGTGTACATATTCTAGACCCTTTCCTCTACCCTATCTGCTGCAGATCTGCTATTTTCTCCCAGACCTCAGTGAGTTTTATTAAGGTTGCACATCCAAGCCAAGCTGGAAGCAGGCAGCCTTTCACAAGATGACTTGACAGGAATGCATGAGTGTGCCCCTATACTAAGGATTGCTGATGGCTTAGGGCGGCGGGATCGTCTTACAAATTGGCTAGATGCGCATGACCTCGATCATGTATGGCCCTCCCGCCCCTTTCCACAGACAATTGCCTTGAGCCTTTAGCAGATTCATGGCAAATCAATAAATAGAGCAGTCCACCTTAATACACTTTTGGTGTGCATGCTGACCTACTAAAATATAGCAAACTAGCAGTATGTTTTTAAAGTTACTATTTAGTCGAGGGACCCTAAGAAGAAAATTGGCATAATGTCCAATGGAATTATTTTTGATAGAGAATGATAAACCCATATCATTATTAAATGTCTTTAAAAAACATGTATTCTTGACTCTGAGGAAAAATATGTTAAAAAACAGTTTTTACAGATGGTATTCTTTCATTGTATTCACTTAGACTTTTAGGAGTTGAAGAAAATAATCAGAGAGGATCAAATTAGCAAGAAAATTAGCATCATTTGTTGCTCAAAGCAATATGTTGCACAAAGCAATATAGTATGTGCATATTAAAGAGGGTTATCTAAGTACCTTTTGGTATAGGGTTCTTAAATGAAACTGGTGTCCTGATCAGAATGCAACCCTTCATGTTCTGTGTATATAAATTGAGCAACTTCCCTACAAAAACAATGTGGCTACAATTTAAAGCAGTGGCTTGAGAATTATTAATTCCTGTGGTATATCCTAATCCTGTATTTTACAAGGATCTCTTTGGTGGCTATGGCTGTCTTTAACACTGGTGTGGAAGTTCCACATAAAAACCTCCTGTGGCTGCACAGACATACTATGTGAGAACAAGCATATATCAGGTGTGCTAACAGCCAGCAATGGGCTGTACAGGAGACATCTCTGTGCTTCTGTGAAGGAAGAAAGAAAAATTATCAGAAGATGATTTCCCACAGGCAGCGTATAAACATTTGAACAAAGGGACCCATAAACATAAACAGGCAATAATTGTAGAATTTAGGGAACGGCTTTGAGATCTTTACTAGATGCAGAAAACCTGAATTATGAGTTGGGATTTTCATTAGGAACTGGGAGGGCTTTTAGACAACTGCAGTCATGGTGTGAAAACAGAAGCCACAGCTGTCATCTCCCATGTCTTGGAAGGAGAACAGGGCAGTGGGTGAAGGTCCGTAGTGGTTAGAGATGGGCATTTAGGGAGAAGTTAGAGGAGAGGTCAAAACAAATTCCAGAACAAATGCGATTTACTTGGGGAAAGAAACCTTGCCGAGATTCATCAGTCCTTTCCACACCAAATAACAAATTTCTGATTGGACAGATATGGAAGCAAGTTATGCCAAACACAGCAATAAAATATTTGAACCACTTTTGCAGCCTCTTGAACTTTTGCGTGTCTCCTCATTGAGTCATGTATCACTCCTGTGCAACAATAATAATGGCATGCATTAAGACCTTACTGTTTTCCAGGCGAAGCACTCCTTACACACTATCTCACTTAATCATTCCAACAAACCTAAGATCACGGATATCATCCGTTTAACCCCATTTTATCAATGGGAAGACTGAGTCACAGAAAGGCTAACAGGATGTAATTCACAGAGCTGGCAAGTGATGGCGCCAGTATGTGAACTCAGGCAAACTGACTCAGAGCCTGTTTCAAACCACCAGGCCAGCCTGCTTTTGGAAATCTCTGCAAGGAATGAAAGCAATTTCAAAAGCGCTCCAGCTGCATTGATTTACAGTCCTAAACCAGGAGAAGTGACGTACCTAGAAGAAAAAGCACTGTTAAAACCAGAGTATCTCTCCAAAGTGATTCAGGCCTTTTCCAGCACACGCGTGCGCGCGCACACGCACACACGCACACACGCACACACACAGTGACAGGTAACCTATGCACAGCCACAAAGATGAAGTGCACTGGCAAAATGCAGGTTGTCTAAGAACACTTTCCAATAATGCTTGATTTGAAAATTATCCATGGAAAGAAGAGAGTCCAAACCCGACACCTAGAAGTGTTTTGCGAAGAACTAAATACAGCAGAAAATTGGCAGAAGACTAATGGATGAGTGGTGAGGTTTCTATTAAAGTGCTCCTGTGTTTTTAAATAGCCGAGACTGTTAAAAATCTGTTCCTCCACGTGTGTGTCTGTGTACGTCTCTGTGTCCTTATCCATGTGAATTTTCGCAATTAGAATAAATGAAAAGCAGGAATGCACAATTTCCTGAGGGAAAAGTAGACACTAAGAAAGAGAAGCCTGAAATGCAAATAAAAAAGGAGGGGTCGAGGGACAAAGAGACAGAGAAAAATGTAGAGACTGATTTATTTCTTTTGCAGAAAAACAAAATCAACCTTAAACCATAACACTGGAAGTACTAGTGTCATTCTGAAAAAAAATGTCTGAAGATGAATTTTAAGTAATTAGAAAACACAAGGATGTGCAGAATTGACTCCGGTGTTTTTGGAACTCCAGTTAAGGAGACTGTAGGTACATTTAAGGATCCTGACACACTAAAGATAATATGTCTTTGGGATCATGCATCTAAGCAACAGCAACACTGTTGTGTGTTGCTGATTATTCAGAAATGGGGCAGAATTCAGGATGCATTAAAATTTAGGGAGTAGGGCTGGGTTCAGTGGCTCATGCCTGTAATCCCAGCACTTTGGGAGGCCGAAGTGGGAGGATCGTTGGAGACTAGGATTTTGAGTACAGCCTGGGCAGCATAGGGTGACCCTCCCTGTCTCTACCCAAGATAAAATAAAATAAAAATTAGCCAGGTGTGGTGGCACGCCCAGGACCTGTGGTCCCAGCTACTCAGGAAGCTGAGGTGAGAGAATCGCTTGAGTCCAGGGGGTTGAGGCTGCAGTGAGCCATGATTGCCACTGCACTCCAGCCTGGATGACAGAGTGAGACCCTTTCTAAATAATAATAATAATAATAAGCGAGTAATAAGAACAAGCCAATTAAAATTCATCTACCACACCTCCATGAAGGATAAAATATTTATAAAGAACTAAACAATTCTGTTCAATTGAATTCTGTGGTAGCTTGAACCCAAAAGCTTTGTGTTTTATTAGAGATCTGGAATAAGGAAGTGTAGGCTTTAAGGTTTTGATCTCATATTTACAAAGAGTCCTAGTAAATGTCCCACTTAGTCTGAAATTTCCAAAGGGACCAAGAGCCATTTATACCAGAACTTAATGTGCCTAAATCTATCCTAAGAAACAGTCTTTGATAATTCTTTGGTAAAGCTTTCTTAATTTCTCCAGGTCCAATAAATGCTCTCTGTGTTAAATTTCAATAACCTTCTCCTCATGTCTCCAAAACTGCACTGCTCACGTTGCTTGCTAATTGTTGCCTTTTTTTTTATCTGTCTCTTGCTTTTGCTGTGAGCTGCTAAAGTGATCTTCTCTTTGTCATCATTGATTCCTCAACATTCACTATGCACTTTGTCTGAAGGAATGAAAGAATAAGCAAATAAATGAATGAGCTGATTAATGACTCAGTTGATGCAACTTCCTGACTCTCTATCTGGTTACTACATGACTGGCCACATTCATTGCATTTGTTGGGTGAGTTTGCCTAGAATCCCTAGGCATGAAGAACTGAGGATAAAGCCAAACTTATTCTAAAGAATGAGTTAGACGCAAGAGCAAAGTACAATAATAATTCATAGTATTTTTTAACACTTAACAAATAATTTTCTCATCTAATGTTTACAGAACCCCCATAATTATGTAATATTATATATTATTATTCCCATTTTGCTGATGAGAAATGTGGAGCCATAGAGATTAATCGCCCAGGATCTATGATCTCTTAGGAGGCAGAACAGGAATTTGATCCTCAATCCATCTAACTGTGAGGCTCACATTCATTTCCCACTGAGCTATATTGTTTATGACAATACTTCAGTATTGAGAAAATATTTCTTATAATTTAGGGAACAAGAACAACATGGTGACTTCCCCCTTCAGAGGTCCCTTTCCTCTGAAACCCAGGGCTTTCACAGATTCATGTTATGATCTTCCAAAACAGGGATAATATTAAATCAGGATGCACCAGTATGGTAAGATATGCTTACCAACAGCCAATCTGATTAATCGGATTATACTTTAGAAATATTCTAAATGGTTGGTCCTATGCCATGTCATCTGTTAGATATCTTGATCATCACTCCTGCTCTACAATAAAATCAAAATATATGAAAAAAAATAGTATTTATTTCTCAAAAATACCACCAGGCAATGAGATTCAAGGAAATAGTCCTCTGGTATTTATACAACCACTTATAGGGGAAAAAGGGGTGGGAAAGTATTCTCCTACTTTGTGTTCTGAACACAATGTGATTCACCACACCAAGGGTGCCATATTCTGTGACTCTGCTCAGGCACTTTTAGGGATCAAGACTATCATCAGGCCTATAGAAGTGGCAGCTCTATCTAAAAGGAGGGAGGGCACTTGGCTGTAGCTCCTGGAAGCAGAGCCAAGACACCTTCACTCAACTATGTAGGCAGCAAAGGTATCCACAACAGTTGGAAATATCACAGGGGACAAAACCAAAAACAGAAGAAGATGGAGGATATCATCTGGTAACTGAAGGCACTTCATGAGTACATGCAAAATATCCATTTAGAACTCCCAGAATAACTGGGAGGATGCTACAAAAAGCTGGAAACACTGCAGCAAGTGGGATGAGGACTGGAGGCATATAGATAAGTGAGGAAAATAAAAATTATCATATAAATATTCCTCTGTCTTTTGATGACAGAAATTTCTGGTAATTGTTAGGTATCTTGTTTGTTAAGTAGGTTTAATTTAATTTTATTTTTGAGACAGGGTCTCGCTTTGTCACCCAGGCTGGAGTGCGGTGGCATGATCTCAGCTCACTGTAGCCTCTGCCTCTGAGGCTCAAGTGATCCTTCCACCTCAGCCTCCCTAGTAGCTGGGACTACAGGCATGCACCATCGTACCCGGCTAATTTTTGTATTATTTTGTAGAGATGGAGTTTCACCATGTTCCCCAGGCTGGTCTCGAATTCCTGGACTCAAGCAAACCACCAGCCTCGGCCTCCCCAACTGCTGGGATTACAGGCGTAAGCCACCAGGCTCAGCCTGTTAAGTTGGTTTTAAACTATAGATATACAAGGTGGAAACCGCTGAGACTGAATTAATTTGCTCTACCTAAGAAAGGAGAGAAGGGATTAAGAGACTCAGGAAAAGATCTAGAAGTGGAGGACTGGAGCTAGAGAGGTTTAGAGATTCTGTGTCAGGCAGAGCTGCTGAAAGAGAGAGGAGGCTTGTGGCTGTGTGGCCATGAGAGACTTGGGAAGATATATCAAGTAAGGAGATTTGGAGTGAAATAATGTTTCCAGTGAGATCAAATTTGTCTTATCTGTTTCAGTAAAATATATACTTTGGGGCAAATGACTTCTTAAAGGTGAATAAGAGGAATTGAAGAATTGGTCTTTGCTTCAAGCATGGGAACAGCTAACATATGGATTACACAGACTATTAATGTGAATGCAATTGAAGTCATTTGTTTCAGGTTTGTTTTTCACACTAGATCAGAGTCCCAAATGCTAGAACTGTGTCTGTCTTATTGATCTGTCTGTCCCCTTTTCCTGGCACAGAGGATGAACTTTATAAATATCCAGCTGACTGTCTGATTCATTCACCTTAAATCTCAATGATGAGATGTGAAGACACAGAGCCAGTCCCTTACAAGTTTTCAGGTGCTAGACTTGCATAGGCCCTAGAGATCTCACTTTGTGGTGAGTCATAGAAGGCACCCAGAGTCCATAGATTCCAAAAGTCAATCCCAGCAGTGGTAGTGGAATAATACCTAATACTTCCAGCCACCTATGAACATTGCCACGGTTGAAAAACCATTCAAGAAACATCTCAGAAATACCTCTCAATGTGAGATTAGTTGTTAATTCTACAATGAAGGTAACTTCTACAAATACGCAAGCCAGAAAAGAAAACAAACAGCTGAGGACTGTACCATGCAGAAATACAGATGCCAACATTCCCCTCATACGAGAATGAAGAAGGATTTCCATTGGAGACCCAGTGAGATTTTATTATAAAAAGCATATAAACTACTTTGCATTTACTAACTGCCTCCTTCTTTCTTCTCTTTTTCCCTACAGAAGTCTTGATTCCTAGATGAGAGCAGAATGCAAAGGCCTCTCTGTCTCAACTTTTCCAACTTCAGAAAGCACATGTATTTTACATGTTCTAAGAAACTCTCAAAAAAGAACAAGTAATTTCAAGAAATGCCTGGAATTACCATTTCATGGGTTATGGTAACCCAGTGGGACTTGGATAGTTCTTGTAACCAGTTCTTGTAGCCAAAGTACCCTCCGCTGAGAGTAACTCAATGATGTAGGACTTTCTGTTCAGAGGAAAAACTATGTTGTGGTCACAGAGTTGTTACAACCTCCACTCATGAGTTAAAAAAAGAATCATTCACAAGCATTGTAAACTCAGATTTTAAAAAATACGAGGGAAATAAGATCCTTAATGTTTTCTAAAATTGCTTGTTTTTCCTCTTTTAGTCTTATTTTTATACTCTCTCTTAATCTAATCTTACTTCTGATGTAATACTGTCTTATCTCTCTTTCCTCCTGCCAGATTGGATGAACTGTTTCATAGTGGTTAAGGTGGGAGGATACAGACTGCTTTGTTTTTGTTTTGTTTCTTAATTTCTTGTCTATGCTAGTCCATGTTAGATGATATTAGACAAGACATTTAATTTTCCTAAGCTCAGCTTCCTTATCTGTAAAATGAAGACAGTAATAACAGTACCAATTTTATAAGAACGTTGTGAAGATTAAATAAGATAGTGGATATAAAGTACTGAGCACAGTGTCCAGACCATATCCAAGTGCTCTCAATGTTAGTTCTTCTTTCTAAATGTGAGTTCTTTTTTCTGTGCTCAGAAATTGTGCTACTTTTTGCCTTGTTTAGTTGAATTTTATAAGTACATTTACCTAATTTCATTCCCTATCATTTTGCCCTCCTAAATGTTTAAAATTATTTCTGAACATCTTAAAAAATCACAAATTTAAGAAGCACATTTTAAAATGAGAGGATGCTCATGTTCACAATGATACACATGTAAATAGCTCTGGTTTCTTGAGGGCAATGTTGTTCCTTACTGCTGCATCCCCCTAGCACCTGAAACAGTGAATGCCTGTCACATAATCGGTGCTGGATAGGTATTTGTTGAATGAAT
The DNA here is from genome assembly GCF_000001405.40 of Homo sapiens. Classification (NCBI taxonomy): domain Eukaryota; kingdom Metazoa; phylum Chordata; class Mammalia; order Primates; family Hominidae; genus Homo; species Homo sapiens. The sequence continues at coordinate 107,505,244 of NC_000008.11, forward strand.
GAAATGAGTTGGGGACAATTTAGTAACAATGTAATACTCTGGCTACTGAAACCAGAGAAACATCAAGTAGGGCAAACAGACATGTAAACCAATCACATTTGATAGTGAAAATTTTATGCCCTGGGAGCTATGGGGGCAATGTGGATACCATTTATGGCTTCATCACCATGCCTTGTTATCCAACTCATTTCTGGCCAATTCAACTGGATGACCTTATTTTCAAGAACTTCTTTTATGACTAGACTTGTGGCATATATCATTCCATTCTGTTTCCTCAGAGATAATGTGTTTGCCTCTGATACACTGAAAATGAACTGGAACACTCTATTATTAATCTTACATGAAATATGCAGTTTGGTGTGAACTGTGCATAAGGAAAAGATCTTATTTTATCTATATATTTTTTCCAAACAAAATTTCACTCCCCTTCAGGCTATAATTCAGATTAGAAATTTGGCAATTAAATTAGAAAATAAATTCTGGTGGTACATAAAACACTTAAAAAATATGATTGCTTAAACCAGGTTCTTAGTTCATAAACTGACCCATAAAGACTAGTCCTTTAATGATAACCATAAACAAAGAACCTATTTGGTCTCTGAAAAGTTTATACTTTCTTTTCCATTGATTACTCGTCTTTGTTCTTTCCTCTTGATCTTTCTCTTCTAAATAGCACAAATCTTTAAAGGGAGGATTGTGGCAATTAAAGAAAGGCTAGAATAGAAGAATAGAAGACAACCATGACTCAAACACGGGAAAGGATTGTCATAGCCACGTTGTTACTCATAGTTAAATATTCCTTCCACTTGTGATATGTATAAATGGATCACTTTTAGCTCCAGAAACACTGAACAGGCTGAATATTTTGCAAAATGTTTCCCAAATTTCTGTTACGTTTATACCACCTTCATGGTATTTGCCATGCCCTGTGTACTACTATGTACCTAGATAGTTTCCTTAACTCAATTTTAAACTGTCTACATATCTTAGGTTTAACCTAAACAATAGTATTGGGAAGAACAAGCACTTGTTTTTATATATTATATTATATGTTATAATTTATATTAAAATAAGTACACAATATGAAAATGAGTATCTGTCCATGTGCTACCACCCAAATATTTCACTTCCCAGGGGAACATGTACCATACTTTAGGAAATATTACTTAGTGCTATCAAGAGTAGAGTCATCCTCTCCTGCAAAATGAATAAAACGATGTTTCCTGTCAATATATCCATGGAAAAAACTGTTGTAGTTACAGTTCCTCAAGATTTGTTTGCCTCATGTTCAGAATGTTTGGTGATTGTTTCCATTCTGTAGTCTAATCAGAAATACAAAGGATGCTTTTGAATCCGAAGCTTCTGCATTTATGCTGCCAGTGAGCACACGAAGAACCTCCCTCGGTCCCACCCAGGGAAGTCATAGCTCCGATTTGCAATAGCCCTATTTACAGTGCTGTCCACTAACAGAAATGCCCAACTGAAGGCCTGAGCTTGCAACTAATGATTGACCAGGAATTTCAATAGCTCTTTTCTTGATTCTGGCATTGGAAAGAATAATACAGTTATTTAGTATCTGGAGAGTAAATCTTCACTCCTTTTCAGTCTTGCGTTTGGAAGAGTGTTGGGGAAATAGTAAACAACTTTCTTCTCAAGAGTTGCATTCCCCTTGGAGAATTTACATTCCTTCCTGACATCCTTCAAAAAGCCATAAAAGTATATCAGTTCAAAGAGGAAAGGAGAGTTAATATTTAAAAGACCTGTTAGGAATCAATTGCTCTCAGTTTAATAAAAGCTACCATTTCTTGAGTGTCTATGATATATCCAGATATATATAGCAAGCTATGCTAATCACTGTGCTTGCATTATCTCATCTATAACAATGGTCACAACAACAAAATATAGGGCCTTTTATTACCATCGTTTTACAGAGGGAAAAACAAACTTAGAGAAGCTGCAGGAAGGACTCAAACCCAGTGTTTTCTGAACCCAGACCAGAAGTTTTTAACCATTACATATATATAAACCCTCAGTCAGTCTTTTTAAAGCATTTGCTTGTTTAAATCCCCAACTTAATTATCTTCCTGATTTTAGGATACATTTCCTTATTTGTTAATCCAATAAGAAGATAGAACTTGATAGCCAATTAGACTAAAGAAGTCATAAGAATTGAAAAAGGAAGCCATCCCCCAAAAGTTAATAATTACAGTATATTTACTGTATGTCAAGTGCTTTACATACATTATCAAATTTAACCCTTAAAACAATCATATCATACCAATTTCACAGATGAAGAGACTGAAGCATTCGAAATGAACTTGCCTAAGATTATACAGAAGGGACATTTTAACCAGGCCATTTGACTTAAGGGCCCAGACATCTTAATTAATGTGCTAAGGAAAGGTCTCTAAAATCGGTGGGGAGAAAAAAAGCATGTTTAAGGTACTTACATATAGGACTGTAACCAGCTGTATCCTCATCTTCACTGGGTGCACAGGACAAGATTCATTATTCTCAGGGTATGATTCCGGGAGGGCAGCTTAGCATCACCTGGGATCTTGTTTGTAATGCAAAATCTGGGCCCCACCCAGATCTACTGAATCAGAAACCTGAGTTTGGGTCATAGCTCCCTTTGAGAGGCCTTGCAGGAAATTCTGATGCAGGCTCAAGTTAGAGAATTACTGGTTTAATTCATGACTCCCTAACCCTAGCAGCACCTTAGGATCACTTGGGAGTTCTAGATAAAAGATGCCTGGGCTTGCCTCTAGAGATTCTAATTCAGTTGCTCTGAGATGTAGCCTAAACACTGGTAGTTGTAAAGATGGATCAGGTGATTCTAATGTGTTGCCATGGTTGAGAATCAGTGGCTTAATTGAAAGAGCTAACCAAGAAGAAATGCTGTAAAAAGAGCTGAGTTGGTTTAGTACCAAGAAATAAGGAGTAAACTTACTTGGATATGCCTGATATATTTCCAGAAAGTTCTTTACTTCTAGGATTATAAAACAATTCCCTTAGTGCCTTTAAAGTTTTGTATATTTAATTTCTGGAGCATTTAAGGACACAAAGATCACTGCATATTAAATAAACTGGACTCAAGAAACCTAATAAACTGGACCTCCATAGCTCGTATTGCTTTGTTGTTCTTGAAGAAATTTATCTACTAAATTTATATTTGTAAAGCCTTTAAAGAATAAAATATTTGTGTATTGATCACACGTGAGCACAATGTTGACTTTCATGTAATAGTTAACAATTGCTGTTATGACATTTTGTCTCTGTTCTCATGAAGTGTTTTTATTCGTTTCTTCCAAAATAAGCAGTCACTTATTTTGCCTGTGTTCTTAACCCCCAATACTCTACGATCTGAAGTTTACCTAGGGAAAACAACAGTAACGAATCGTCACTCTTCTCATATGACTCACAGAGGCTTTGGAGGTACTGATTATACCCTTTGATTATATCACGTACATGGATTCTATATCTTTCACAAAGAAACCATGAAGTTTTAAAACAATTTCTTCTTATATCAAATTGGCACCACATGTTTATAGCAACGCTATTTACAGCAGCCCAAACATGGAAACAACCCACATGTCCATTAACAGATGAATGGATAAACAACATATGTTAAATCCATACAAATGGAATATTATTCAGCCAAAAAAAGAATGAAGTACTGATACGTACTACAACACGGATGAACCTTGAAAACATTATGCTAATAAGTAAAAGAAGCCAGACACAAAAGGTCTTATATGATTCCATTTACATGAAACATCTAGAATAGGTAAATCCATAGGGACAGAAAGGAGATTAGTGGTTGCCAGGGGTTGTGGGTAGGAAGGAATGCAGAGTGACTGCTTATGAGTACAAGGTGTCCTTTTGGTCTGATGAAAATGTTTTGTAACTAGAGAGGGGTAATGTTTACACAACATTGTGAGTGTTCTAAATGCCACTGAGTTTTGGCTTTAAAATGGTTAACTATAATGTGTGATTTCACCTCCATAAAAAAAATCTTAAATAATTGACACCACATGTCTACACACTTGGCATCTGTGTTTTCTTTAGATTCTTATGGTATGTATTTAAATACGCATTTAAAAAAAAAAACTTTTATTTTGAAATAGAAAGCTGCAAAGGTAAATAAAGGGAGGACTTATGTACCCTTCACCTGATTTCCCCCACTGGTCACACCTTACATAATTATAGTATAGCATCACAATCAGGACTTGGACATTACTATACTATGAATGTATTGTTTTATGTCATTTTATAGAACATAGATTTGTGTACCACCACCAGATCCAAGATACAGAAATATCCTACCATCACAAAGATCTCTCTCTGGCTATTCTTTTATAGTTATAACCAATCTCTCCTTGACACCATTCCTAACTCCTGGCAGCCACTAATCTGGTTTTTCATTTCTATAATTTTGCCATTTCAATAATGTCATATAAATGGAATTATGTAATCTCTTGGAATTGAGGGTTTTTTTTTTTTAAATCTATCATACTGTCCTTGAGATCTGTCCAAGTTGTATGTATCAGCAGTTCATTCCTTTATTGCTAAGTAATAATCCATGGCATGTATGCACCACAGTTTGTTTAACCATCACCTACCAAGGGACAGTTTGTTGTTTCTACCTTGGGGCTATTACAAATGAAGCTGCAATGACCAGTTGTGAACAGATTTTTGTGCAGGCATAAATTTTCATATCACTGCAATAAATGCCCAAGAATGTGCCTGCTGGATTGTATGGTAAATGTATATTTAGGGTTTTTTGTTTGTTTGTTTGTTTTGTTTTTTGGGTTTTTTTTTTTTTTTTTTTTTTTTTTAGCCACGGGGGTCTTGGTATGTTGCTCAGGCTGGCTGAGAACAACCAGGATTAAGCAGTTCTCCCAGCTGAGCCTCACCCTAAGTAGATGGGACTATAGGCACATGCCTCTATGCCTTGCTTAGTTTTTTTTTTTTTTAGATGGAGTCTCGCCCTGTCACCCAGGCTGGAGTGCAGTGGTGCAGTCTCAGCTCACTGCAAGCTCTGCCTCCCGGGTTCACGCCATTCTCCTGCCTCAGCCTCCCGAGTAGCTGGGATTACAGGCGCCCACCACCATGCCCGGCTAAATTTTTTGTATTTTTAGTAGAGACGGGGTTTCACTGTGTTAGCCAGGATGGTCGCGATCTCCTGACCTCGTGATCCACCCGCCTCAGCCTCCAAAGTGCTGGGATTACAGGCATGAGCCACCAAGCCTGGAAGCCTTGCTTAGTTTTTAAGAAATTGCCAAGGTGTTTTCAAGAGTGGCCATACCATTTTTACACTCCCCCCAGCAGTGTATGAGCGATCTACTTTCTTCATATCTTTGCCAGCATTTGATATTGTTACTATTTTTTTTTTTAGTTTTTCTAATAGTTGCATAGTAATATCTCATCATGGTCTTAATTTGCATTTCCCTAATGACTAGTGATTTTAAACACTTTCTCATATGCTTTATTTGCCATGGTATCCTCTCATCAATAAAATCTCTCTTCAAGTTTTTTCCACTTTTTAAATCAGATTATTTGTGGGTTTTAAGAGTTCTCTATTGATATGGTTTGACTGTGTTCCTACCCAAATCTCATCTTGAATGGTAGCTCCCATAATTCCCACATGTCATGGGAGGTACCCAGTGGGAGGGCAGCTCCTCCCATCACAGGCCTGGAAGCCTCGGAGGGAAAAATAGTTTAATGGGCCAGGTCTAGGGCCTCTCTGCTCTATGCAGCCTCCAAACATGGTCCCCTGCATTCCAGCTGTTTCAACTCCAGCCATGGCTAAAAGAGGCAAATGTACAGCTCAGGCTGTTGCTTCAGAGGGTGCAAGCCCCAACTCTTGGTGGCTTACATGAGGTTTTGGGTCTCCGGGAGCACAGAAGTCCAGAATTGAGGTTTGAGAACCTCTGCCTAGATTTCAGAAGATATATGGAAATGCCTGGATGTCCAGGCAGAAATTTGCTGCAGCAGCAGAGCCCTCATTGAGAACCTCTGCCAGGGCAGTGTGGAAGGGAAATGTGGGATTGGAGCCCCCACATAGAGTCCCCGCTGGGACACTGCCTAGTGGAGCTGTGAGAAGGTCACCATCCTCCAGACCCTAGAATGGTAAATCTACCAACAGCTTGCACTGTGAGCCTGGAAAAGCCGCAGACACTCAATGCTAGCCCATGAAAGCCGTCAGGAGGCTGTACTCTGCAAAGGGAGAGGGGTGAAGCTGCCCAAGGCCATGGACACCCACCTCTGGCATCAGTGTGTCCTGGATGTGAGACATAGAGTCAAAGGAGATCATTTTGGAACTTTAAGGTTTAATGACTGCCCTATTGGATTTAGGACTTGCTTAGAGCCTGTAGCCCCTTTTTTTGGGCCAATTTCTCCCATTTGGGACAGGTATATTTACCCAATGCCTGTACCTCCGTTGTATCTGGGAAGTAACTAAGTTGCTTTTGATTTTACAGGCTCCTAGGCGGAAGGGACTTGCCTTGTCTCAGATGAGAGTTTTGACTGTGGACTTTTGAGTTAATGCTGAATGAGTTAAGACTTTGGGGGATTGTTGGGAAGGCATGATTGGTTTGGAAATGTGAGGACATCAGATTTGGCGGGGGTAGGGGGTGGCAGAGGCAGAATGATATGGTTTGGTTGTGTCCCCACCCAAATCTAATCTTGAATTGTAGCTCCCATAATTCCCATGTGTCTTGGTAGGGACCTGATGGGAGGTAATTGCATCATGGGGGCAGGTCTTTCCCATGCTGTTCTCATGACAGTGAATAAGTCTCACAAGATCTGACAGCTTTACAAAGAGGAGTTCCCTGCACATGCTCTCTTTGCCTGCCACCAGACATGACTTTCTTCTCCTTTGCCTTCTGCCATGATTGTGAAGCCTCTCCAGGCATGTGGAACAGTGAGTCCATTAAATCTCTTTCTTTTTTTTTTTTTTTTTTTTGAGACGGAGTCTCGCTCTGTCACCCAGGCTGGAGTGCAGTGGCGTGGTCTCGGCTCACTGCAAGCTCCGCCTCCCGGGTTCACGCCATTCTCCTGCCTCAGCCTCCTGAGTAGCTGGGACTAGAGGCGCCCACTACCACACCCGGCTAATTTTTTGTATTTTTAGTAGAGACGGGGTTTCACCATGTTAGCCAGGATGGTCTCGATCTCCTGACCTCGTGATCCACCCGCCTCGGCCTCCCAAAGTGCTGGGATTACAGGCGTGAGCCACCGTGCTTGGCCAATCTCTTTCTTTATAAATTACCCAGTCTCGGATATGTCTTTATTTGCAGCATAAGAATGGACTAATACATTTATATATTCTATGTATGAGGTTTTTTTTGTCAGATACATCGTTTAGAAATATTTTCATCAGTCTGTAGGTTTTTTTAATTTTCTTAATTATTTAATTACTTAATTATTAATTTCTTTTCTTAATTATTACCCAGATAACTAAACAAAACAAAGAGAGTACACAAAAAGCAAACTACAAAGAAATACCCCTCATTATTATACAAGCAAACATTTTAAACATAATATTAAGTAGAATTCAAAAATATATAAAAGAAATTATAGGAGCAAGTTGGTTTGTCTTAAGGATATAATACTCATTTAATATCTGAAAATCAACCAGTGTAAACCATTATAGTGATAGGCTAAAGAAGAAAAATTATCTGATCATATCAGCTGATGCAGGAAAGCCATTTGACAAAATGTGACATTCATCCTTTATAAAAACTAAAAGTAATAGGAATATACAAAAAGTAGTGGGGCTCTAGATCTACAAAAAACCCTATAACTAATATTCTAGTTTAGTGATGAAAGGCTGAATGAATGCTTTCCCCTTAATATTGGAAAAGGGGCAAGGATGTCTGCTCTCACCAATGCTTTCAATAAAACATGTATTTTTCTACTTGTCCCTCTCTTTTATTATTCCCTGCAAAGGAAGGAAAAAAATGTCAAATGTATCTACCAAGTCAGTTTATCTTAATCCATCCTCTGATCAATATAATTTATCACAAATGTAGCCAAAGTAGTCAGGATGGTACAGTGGAAAGGCATGGATTTTGGAATCTGAGAACCTGGGTTCTGCTCACAGCTCTGCCACTCACTTGCTGAGGGATGTTGATCCAGTTCTTTGAGCACAAGTTTCCTAATAGTAAATACACATCCTGCATACTGACAGGTTGTAGTATGAATAAAATGTGATATATGGTGGGAGAGAGTAATAAAAGTAATAACTTGTAGTTCAAATTAGGTCAAATGAAACTTATCATCTATTGACTGTTATGAATCAGGCCTATTATGAGTGCTGAGGATCCAGTATGTCCCTCTACACATGTTAATAACCAGTAGATTTCATTACACGATGTACAGTGAGTCAGGACCATGAGAAAAAAAATAAGTACAAATTCTTCAATGAATCCATGCGGGTAATGGATCAAAACTTATTTTATCCTATGATTTGGAAAGTCTACCTTGGGAACAAATTAAGTTCATAGTATTTGTCTTCTCCATTCATTCATCCATTCATTCAAAAATTCAAAAAATTGAGGCTCTACTACTCTAAGATAGGCACTGCTCTAGATGTTAGAGATTCAATCGTGAATCAAAAAGACAAAGTTTCTTGAAACTACACATCTTACATTCCAAAAACGGGAGACAGAAAGATAAACTAAATTATCAATATTTACCATGCTGTATGTTATATGGTGATTAATGTTATTTAAAAATTAAGCAGAAAGTATTGCAATGAATATCATGATGGTGGTGGATTTAAATAGGATTGTCAGTAAAGTGCTGAGAAGGTGACATTTGAGCAAGTATTTAAGGATGTGAGTCTGTGAAGCAGAATAATACCTTCTCCTCCCTGCCAAAAATATCCACATCCTAATCCCCAGAACCTGCGAATATGTTACATTGCATGGCAAAAGGAAATTTGCAGTTACTAATTTCAAGATGGGAAGATTATCCAGGTGGACTTAATCTAATTACACTGGTCCTTAAAATCAACACATCTTTCCCAACTAGGGTAAATGAGAGATGTTTGTATGGAAAAGGAGTCAGACGGATGCAGTTTTTTCACTTTGAAGACAGAGGAAGAGTTCCATAAGGGATCCACAATGATGTCACCTGTCTAGTATCTTAAAAGGATACCTCTATTTGCTCTGTCACGGGAAAAGGATGAAAGGCCAGAGGCCAGTGAGGAGGTTCTTCAAGGACCCAGATGAAAGATGGTGATGGCTTTCACAAGGACAAGTAAAGAGAAGAAGTGGTCAAGTGAATATTTTGAAGGTGAGGCCAAGAGGATTTCCTGGCGGCTTGTACACAAGGTGTGAGAGATGTCTCAAGGTTTTGGCTTAACTAAATGACAAGATGAGTTTCGCTGAGATGGAAAACACTGGGAGGACTAGATTTGGGAAAAGGGAGAGACCAGAAGCTTTGATTCAGACATGTTAAGTTTGAGATACTTATTGAAGAGCTAGCTAGTAAGCAGTTGGATATATGATCTAGAATTCAGGAGAATGGTTCATAATAGAGATATAAATCTGGGGATTATTGCTGGGTATATAGATGGTATTGGAAGTCATGAGAGTGCAGACCACATCAAGGGAGTAAGGGTAGACAGGGAGGAGGAAAAGTCGACAACTGGGCTTTGAGAGCCCCTAGTGTTAAGATATTAGGAAAACGTAGATAAATCAGCAAAGAAGCCTACAAAGGAGTAGTCAGTGAGGTAGGAAAAAACCAGAAAGGTGTGTGTCCTGGAAGCCAAGTGAAGTGTATGTTTCAAGAAGGAGGATGTTCACTATAGCAAATGTGTATCTTTTAGATCAAATAAGAGGAGGACTGAGAATTGACCAATGGTTTCAGCAACACAGAAGCGGAAGACATCCTCACAAAGATCAGTTTCAGAAGAATAATAAGGGTTGGAGGTGCTGATTCTGATTAGAGTTGATTTAAGAAGGACTGGAAGGCAAGGAGCTGGCATTTTTCAATGAATAATGAATGACCACCTTCTCAAAGAGATTCGCCTTAAATAACAATACCAGTCTCAGAGAAGGAAACCTGCATAAAAAGCATTTAAATTTTATTTTATTTTATTTATTTATTTTTATTTTATTATTATTATTTTTTTTGAGATGGAGTTTCACTCTGTTGCCCAGGCTGGACTGCAGTGGTGTGATCTTGGCTCACTGCAACCTTTGCCTCCCAGGTTCAAGTGATTCTCCTGCCTCAGCCTCCCAAGTAGCTGGTACTATAGGCATGTGCCACCATGTCCAGCTAATTTTTCTATTTTTAGTAGAAATGAAGTTTTATTATGTTGGCCAGGCTGGTCTTGAACTCCTGACCTCAGGTGATCCACCTGCCTCGGTCACCCAAAGTCCTGGGATTACAGGCGCAGCTGGCCTAAAAATGTTTTGCACTGCATTTTCTGCTAAGTTTATGGGTCAATGAGAACACAAAATTTAAACCCTTAGTTCTGGCATGAAAAATGCTAACCTGGACACATTGACCTCTTGAATATTAGCTAGAGTCTTATTTGTATACCTTGCTATGCCAGTAGAGTTACTGAAACAGTATCTTCGAATTTGCCAATAAATTATCCTAAACTCTCTTGCACAAATAAGCAAGCTTTACTCTAAGAAGCAGTGCTGCCAGAAAATAAGTCTAACTGTGGACACATGAATGCAATATAACCCTTTTACTTGGCTTTACAATTTTTTAAAAAAGTGAATTACTTTTTTATGGCAAAAACTTTGTAGTTTCCTATTGAAGGGGGCAGTGACTAGCAGCAGGAGATTTATGCTTGGAGATAAATACATTCATATATAAGTAGTTTTACATCTTAAAAAATAAATTACCAGAAGAAAACATAGATGAATTTCTTTATATCCTTAAATTAAGAAAGATTTTTTTAAGTCTAGAATCAATTTTAAAAATTAATCATTTTGATTACCAACAAATATGAAAAGTCTAAATACCAAATCAAAAAGACTTCTATGAGCAAAATAAAATGACAGAGAAAAAAATTGGAATTCATAGCATAAAAGAAAAATGGAAATTAAAACTATACCAAGCAATCATCACTCTAAACAATCATGATGGCAAAAATTCAAAAGTTAGACAATGTCAATTTGTTGACAAGTTTATGAGGAAACTGACAGTCATACATTGCAGATGACAGTGACAGTACAACTCCTACTAAAAATTTGGTAATTTTCATTTAATTACAAATTCATTTATACTATGACCCAAGATTTTGCTTCAGAGAATTATCCTAAAGAAGCATATACACAAAATAATGAATGTTCAAGGCTGTTCACTAAAACCTTGTTTGTAATAGCAAAACAACCCAACTATCATCAACTGTGAACTTTTAGATGATAGGTGGAACTGTGCAACATCCACTCAGAAAACACTATGCAGTTACAAAAATTAAGGAGGTTGCTCTCTAAGTGTGGACACAGAAAGATCTCCAGGATATATTACTAACTGAATTTAAAAAAAAAACAAAGTCATAAAATAGGATCCACAGTATGATATCTTTTATTTATGAAGGAGGTGACTAGAGTGGACAGGGACAGAGACTGGAAATGGAAATTCTTAATTTTATGGCTTTTATTTTTGAATTATATGAATGCATACACTATTCAAATTTTCAAAATTGAATAAAATAGAAACAAAGAAGACCTGGAGTGAAATTCTGATTCACTTATAAACTATGGAACCTTGAACAGTTAACCAACTTGGTTTCTTAGTCTCTAAAATTGAAAACAAACCTCGCTTATGTCATTTTTTTTAACAAATGATATATTTGAAAATGTTTTTGAACCATGAAACGGCATAAATGGAAAGCATATTATCTTTTATTTTTATTTTTCTTAAAATGACTTGCTGGCAAACATATATACAAAAGTAGGTAATAATCTCATCAAGCAAGTATATGGGCACAGAAATATCCAATATTCAGCATAAATGTTTTCTTCATTCTTCTCATTTTTCATTAATTCTTCAGCCATTTTTTTCAAAAAAATGTTTTCATCCATAAAAACATTTAATCAGGCCCGGAAATTGTTAGAGAACAGACAGTGGAAAAAAAACCGTTGAATCACTGGAACTATAGCCCGTCCAAATTCATCCTTCCAGTACAGCTGCTTTCTTCCTTCTGTTGGCTGCTAGGTGGCTGTGTTAGAGTAGGTAGTTAGTCACACTGTGCAGGGCAGGAGAAGACCCCTCCTTATCCTACCAGGAATGTCAGACGACCATCAAGTGATGGTCAGGCAGTAGTTAAATTGCCTTTCTAAAATAATAATTGGTCACAGCCAGCACCAGGGAAAGGCAGTCTCCTAACAGATAGAAAAAAAAAAAACAAAACTGCAACTGGCAATGTGCGGCTTCTCAATAAGATCTCAGGAGTTGAGTGAGTGGGCTCAAGCATGTGCACTAAGAGACAAAGTGGCAGAGTTTAACTAGTATATGACCTTCCTCTGGGAATACTCGCCTGGTAAGGGAAAACACCTCAAGTGAGCATGTGCACAACTTCAGTAAACACACTGCGCATGTGACCCCTCCCAGGTGCTGGCAGGCCACTGTGCGTGTGGACGGCTCACCACAAGGAGAGATCAGGGGAGAAGTAATGGAACCCTGGAAGTATGCCAATATATAAACCCCAAGTTAAAGGCCCAACAGCACACTTGAATCTCTCAAATCTCCTGCTTGGCCCTCCTCCACGTGTACTTTACTTCCTTTTGTTTCTGCTCTAAAACTTTTTAATAAACTTTCACACCTGCTCTAAAACCTGCCTTGGTCTCTCACTCTGCCTTATGCCCCTTGGTCAAATTCTTTCTTCTGAGGAGGCAAGAATTGAGGATGCTGCAGACGCCTATGGATTCAATGCTGCTAACAGCTGTGTGGATGCCTTTGGCCTCTCCCCTTGCTGCCAACCAGAGAATTCACTGCTACCCAGTGTGGCAGAACACTCTTATTTCTGCCCACAACTTTTGTCATCTCTGCTGTCCTCTTTGCCACTAAATCTCCTATTTCTGGGCTCTCCAGTCTGAGGAATGGCAGTCGGGAGCAGGGGTCAGCAACAAGCCACAGGAGCGGCTCTTCAGATTCACTTCTCACCACCTCTTCTTACACAGCACGGAGCTTCGGCTTCTCCTGCTCCCATTTATCCCCCTTGTACAGAGTGCAAACTCCTCCTAGGAAGCCTGGGACTGCTAGGCCCAGCCACTGCTCTAACCACTTTTTGTTCTAGCCTAATAGTGTGACTTTTTTCTTCAGGCCTCTTGTACCTGCTGTCATAAGACAGCAATTTCTATGATTCCTGTACCCTTATCTTGGGTCAGCAGTGAGGGGCCTTAGTATCCCATCTCATCACCCACTCTGATCCCACTTCCTCCTTTCCCTTCCACATTTAGGCACTCCGATTTCCCTGCAGATGGACCCACAGCTCCCTGTTCTCATTCCACATGTGTCACCAGCCTATAAAGTTTTCTCTACACACATACCTCTCAATTCAGGCCCATTCTTCATTTAAAAAGAGTGACTCAGGGGCAGCTGCAAACACTGTAGACCTTCCCTGAGATTGCTGCTAAGCAACATTGCAATTCCAGAAGAGTAAGCTCCAGCCTCACTTGATGAGTATTAGATTTTCCAAAAGAATGAAATTTGAAATTTTTTTGACTTAATTTAAGTATGATTATCATATGACACTCTGAGACACTATAAACAGAGTAGAAAGTTCCCTCAAATTTTATCACACACACCACTACATCACTTATCCAGTCATGGGATCAATCAGAGAGGAAGAAAAAAAAGTCAATTAAAAAAAATCAAACTAAGAGTATGAAGTTTTAACATCAAAATTACTCAAGTCAATCTCCAAAAGGAAAGTTCATAAAAACCATAAAATAAACCTATTTCTAAATTGCAGAATTGAAAGAAATCTGTATATTTATTTTGATGAATCCTGTATTAAAAAGAGAAAAAGGTCAGGTGCAGTGGCTCATGCCTATAATCCCAGCACTTTAGGAGGCTGAGGCGGGTGGATCACTTGAGGCCAAGAGTGTGAGACCAGCTTGACCAACATGGTGAAACCCTGTCTCTACTAAAATGCAAAGACTAGCTGGGTGTGGTGGCAGGTACCTGTAATCCTAGCTACTCAGGAGGCTGAGGCATGAGAATTGCTTTAGCCTGGGAGGCGGAGGTTTCAGTGCGCCAAGACTACACCACTGCACTCCAGCCTGTGTGACGGAGTGAGACACTGTCTCAAAAAAAAAAAAAAAAAAAAAAGAGGAAAACCATCAATATACATCTTGCCAGACTGCCATAGGAAAGATAAAGCATGCATCTCTAATACCAGTATCAATATAAGCCTTCCAGGTTCAACAATAGTTGGAAGTTAATAAGTGTACCACAATCTGCTGAATTATTTTTTCCTGATCTTGGAGCTCAATTTGTTAGAAATGTTGTATGTTTCTTACGTATACTCAAGGTTCCCACAAAGGCCTGAGGCCATAGAATCACTGTGGTTTCACTACCAATTTTCAACAACTTCCATGGAATATTTCTAGATTACACTGGAAGCTGTTTGTTATAAACACTTCCTTATGCTTCTGTCTTCCACTGAGCTGAAAAGATCTCTTTTCTTTCTGATCTTCAGCCATTGCTAAAGTGCTAACCTATCTGTCCTTGTCCCGCTTCCTGGATGCCATGTCCTGTAACTTTGTGCTTCGACCTCAGTGTGACAGCTGTTCCCATGGTTTTGGCTGGAGCTGTTGCATTTACCCAGCAAAAGCTGTTGGCTCCTCTCACTTACTGCAGTCCTGCTGCTCTTGGCTGCAAGCCTCCTGACAGATTGCTCTAGCAATTTTATTAGGTAAAAGACCCTGAGGGAAGCTTGTCCCATGTAACGGGACTACACAATGTTACTGACATCTTCTCACCAAGAGAGCAAATATTTCTGCCCAGACCACCAAGTCTCATGCTTATGACTTCCAAATGGGTCCATTGTCTATAAACAGCCGTGATGCAGTGAGAATAATTAATTCCATGCCATTGTAGGTGAATTAGGAACCCAAAATACAGGTTAGTGGCTCACCATTTTTTTTACAGTTAGTCTAGTAGTTGGATAAATATTAAATAAATTATAAATAAAAATTGTGTCCTGGAGTCATTTTGGAGGTTCAAAAAATACATGATCAATTGTAAAGAAGGTAAATTTAATAATCTTGATATTCTGAAGTGTATGATCGACATAAACCCCTTCATTTTGCAGAGAAGAAAGCTGAGGCTCAAGGATTTGCCCCGGATCATTTTGGCATTTAACTGGAAGCTGCTTGACTCACTCCCATAATACATTCAACCATATTTTTTATAATTTGTATCCTGAAAAACTGGATCCAAATTAGAATTTCAATATCGACCACAAAAGGCAAATTTTATTTTTTTAACTTTGAATCTTCATTTCTGAAATTGACTTGGCAGAATGTTTTCTCCCTTCCCTTTTTCACATTCTTGCCTGATTTTTATATTAAAAAATACCTTCCAATCCCATGATAGGGTTATCCAACACCTGTAAGGGAATTGGAGATCTTCAGAATAAATCCCTACCTGGCAAACCAAATAAAACATGGCTATAAATAATCATGGCCATAAAAACTGGACTCACTTGCCTAGGGCGTAAGAGAAATCAGATCAGTAAAAGAAATTAGAGAGAAGATACAGATGGGGTCATATAAGGGCAAAAGGCAGCATGATCTGTTGTTCTTTTCATATCCCTCCACTTCTGGGGCGTGTGGGTGAGGGGGGTGGGAGCTTTGTGGTAGGGAGAATGGTGATTCTACTTTCCACCATCAGTATTATATTTGTAATCTCTCACCTGAACAATTTGAAATCTATTAAAGTACAGAAAGAATTCATGGGCTAGGCATGGTGGCTCACGCCTATAATCTCAGCACTTTGGGAGGCTGAGGCGGGTGGATAGCCTGAGGTCAGCAGTTCGAGATCAGCCTGGCCAACATAGCCAAACCCCATCTCTACTAAAAATACAAAAATTAACCAGGCATTGTGGTGAGTGTCTATAATCTCAGCTACTCAGGAGGCTGAGGCAGGAGAATACCTTGAACCTGGGGCAAAAGTTGCAGTGAGCTGAGATCGCACCACCTCACTCCAGCCTGGCGAAAGAGTGAAACTACGTCTCAAAAAAAAAAAAAAAAAAAAGAATTCATGGACTCCAGCTGTGTTCCCAGAGACCTGAGTTCAAATCCTGCCCTGACATTTAGCTGTTGTGTGGTCTAAACAAAGGTTCTTGTTTGCTACAAACTCAAGTTTCTTTCTTTGTGACAGGGCAGTAACCATACCATCCTCCCAGGGGTTGTCGTGAGGTTGAAATGAGATAGCACAAGCAGAACACCTGGTATTCATAGAGGCCCAATTAGTGCAGTTTTCATTTGTTTTTATAAAGTAAGACTGTATTAATAAATAGGAAGGAAAATGCAAACAGTACAGAGTAAATCAGATTGTTGATTTTGTTTCTTTGCAGACTAGTGATGTTTAAAAAACCCTTCCAAGGATACTATAAATTTCCCCAAACTCCAAGCACAGTGAAATTCTTCCTAATGCCATTTGAAAGTTCACTGGGTTTGAGAAACTATATCTGGGGACACCATGTTTGATACAAGAGACTGGAGAAAAAAATTTTGGCCTGGCTCACTGTTGACCCCTCAAGATTTATCTTCTTTCCTTTTTCCTCTTCCCTCTTCTCCCACTCTTTTTTTTTTCTTCTTCTTTTTCCTAGCACTGCCAGGATAACTTCCTGGGCAAAAATCCAGTTTTTCTTTTAAATAGCAAATGTGCCCTCCTGAAATAGGTTTAGTAAGAACTGAAGCAGGATGAAGCCTAAATGGAGGAGAGAACTTAATCTGCACACACACACTCCCACCCCTCCCAAAAAACGAGCCCTTCTGTAACCTTTGCTGTGACCCTCCTTTCCTTTGTGGCTTGACCTATTCATCTGTTCAGGGAGAGGGTGGAAGGTCACTGGGTGGAACCAACTAATTGCACTAGGAAATCTCCCAGTAATGCAAGAACATTGGGGAAAACCAGGAAAGAAAAAAAATAGATTCACGAAGGAGAAACTGCTGCCAAAAGTTGCGATTGAATCTTGTTGGATTTATTTAGAGCATCTTGCTTTGCATATAAATATGAAACCAAACAAATCTCTAAGCCAGCCTGTTTAGACAAAGTTGACATTTCAATGGAAACCAAAGCTGCGCCTCTATGATGCCAAGATATCTGGATAAAAAAATTAAAAACTGCATCAATAAATAATTATCTGTTAAACCTATTGCCCAAGTCCAGCCCTGTGCCCAGGCACTGATGAGAGGATGAGAAGCAGAACAATAGTCTTTCTCATCAAGGAGCTTGCAGTATGGAGCAGAGATTAATAACAATAGCATCCTGACTAAAATAGCCCACCATCTTCATTTATCTATATCTATGTCCATATCTACATCTCTATCTCTGTCTTTACCTCTGTCCCTACCTATCTGTATCTATCCCTCAAGAAAGAGAGAATTTACTTTCTAAGTCATTTTCTTCCCTCTAGAATGTATGTCCACGAGAAAAGGGGCTTGGTTTTATTTATTGCCATATTCCCCACCTAAGAATTGAGTCTAACATTACACTCAATAAATGTTTATTCATTGAAATAATGATATAGACCAATAAGATGTTAACAGGAGACATCAGAAAATTCTCATGGAGAAAAGATATCTTCAGCTGAACCACGAAGGACAGATAGAATTTGGATGGATAAGAGGAAGAGAGCATTCCAGGTATGGGCATATAGGAAATGTGGGGGAAATATTCCCACTCTCTCAAAGAATGTGTAGGACACCAATGTCTGCCTGCTTGGATTTAGGAAGATAAAATATTAGAATTGTTTCCTCAATTCACAGATGTTAACATTAGTCAAACATGGCCTTCAAGTACTTAGGTTTTTAGAAGTCTATAATCCAAGACCTTCATTCCAAGAATGAATGCTCCTTGTTTATCAGAAAACCTAAAAGTCACATTTTAGGAAGCTTAGAAGAGACACAGCTACTGGAGATGCCTACCTTGTCCTCTAAGGTCCAGTTTGGTCTCTGGTCCCTTTTGTCCTTCCTGCTTTATGGGCCACCTGGAGTGGAACTCAGTGTGAACTTCTTTCCTCTTTATACACTAAAACCATTCTTGTGTTCAGTTAATTAACAATAAACAAACTCTGAAGCTAGAAACTCTGTCTCCTATGTATTCGACTGTCCACATGACCTCCCCCACATACAAGGTCACGCACCCATTCTTTGTTCATCACCCAAGATTCTAGGCACAAGGTCTTGACCCAGGAGAAGCCATATCAGAGAGGGTTAATTCTGAAGCCTGCTTATCATGGCTGAAGAAATCCATGAGTATATTAAAGAGCCCAAAATTAGAAGCCAAGAATCAAAGTCATTTCATATTTAAGGAAGGGATCTTGGAAACAAAATACTCATATTATTTCCATCTTGAAACATGTTAGCTGCTATTAGTTATAGATGTGTGAAGTGTCTAGCTATGTGCACTCATCGCTATTATAGGAAGGAAGATCTAGGTTTAATTTGAGCTATGTTAAAAACCTATAATAGCAATGGGTAACATGGGTAATGGTGGACTATAGATAGAAATAAAGTTCAGTTAATCCTGACCTTGGACCATTTAAGCACATTACAAAACAAATACACCTTCCCAGCCATCTTTGCAGCTGAAATACTCTGGTATTAATGCTTCTGTTGAGGCAGTCATTTTTATATAAATAAATATTTGTTTGGCAGTATAAATTATCAGGCTGGTAAAAACATGGTGGCATTCTCTAGCCTTTCATTTCTCCTTTTGAGCTTCTCTTTCCCCCGCCATCTCTTAATTCAAAGGTTCATCTCTGCCCTGAATTCCCACAGTGTACACTTTTCCTGGTGGCTTCCAGTCAATTTGCCTACAAACAATTTTCCAATGCACAGTTAGCCAAAAGGTAATTTCCTAAATGGCTACTTCTCTGAAAGCAGTTCTGTGAAAGGGATAGTTTTTTGCAAATTGCCGTTTGGGAAAATGGTCCATGTTTCTCCCTTGATGAGTGACCTTATCCATTCAGAGTGAACTACCACTACATTCTTATGTCTCCCACATCTGTATCACTTAAATATTCAACTTGTAAGTTCCATAGATAAGTTAAAATTAATAGGTCTAAAAATCTTCTCAGTTCTTTGTTCCAAATTATTTCTCCAGTATTTTAGAGATCATTTGTCATTATAGATTCATTCATCTTCTCACCTTCCACATGCAATCAATTGTCTACCTGCTGATTTAAACCTCTTAATTAAGTAGGAGAATGAAATCCATGAAATTTGCATTTTCCATGGGTTCCTAAGTGCTTCTCAATCAATCACCTTCTCTTCATAACTGCTATCTACCGATAGAGGTCAAATCCATTCCTTCTCTCACTACACTAAGCCGGGCCTATTACAATGAGCTTATGTTTAATCCACTTTCATCTAATTTTTCACCTCTTACATTCCTCCTCTCCTCTGCTACTAGAATGAACTACTCTCCCACACTTCAAATTATTCAGAGACTCCCTGCTGTCTATAGCAGAGATTCCCGAAAGTATGTTCCATGAAACCTAAATCCTGAGAGACATTGTGTTCAAATATGTAGAGAAAGCGCTGCATGCGATATATATATATCCTCCCCTTGCAAAATCACAGTGGCCACTGACATAGCAAAAGTCCCGAAAACACTTAAGGTAAAGAAACCTGCCTACCACTGCTGTGATAGACTGAGTGTTTGTATTCTCCCAAACTCATGTGGTAAAACCTTAAGCTCTATGGGATGGTATTTGGAGGTGGGGCCTTTGGGAAGTGATTAAGTCATGAAGATGGAATACTTAAGAGTGGGGTTAGGGCCTTAAGAAGATAACTAGCGTTCCCTCTTTCTGCCATATGAGTATAAAACAAGAAGTCAGCAGTCTAAACCCAGAATTGGACCCCATCAAACCCTAACTATGCTGGCAGTCTGATCTCAAGCTTATAGCCTCCACAACTATAAGAAACAAATTTCTGTCTTTTATAAGCCACTCAGTCTATGGTTCTTTGTTATAGAAGCCCTAACTGACGAAGATAATTGTCTAATCCAGCATATCCCTTAAGCATTTGACCAATAATCTCTTCTTTTCCAAGTATCAATTATTAACAATCAGTGGAACATATTTCGAAAATGCAGGCATCTGGGGATCTGAACATGCTCCGGAGTGAAGTAAAATGACTGCCCAGCCCACTGCTGCTGCTTTGATTCATGCCCCCTTTCACTCCAGAGTTTGCATTCCGGGAATCCTGTGGCACTTGCAGTTCCTCACAAGCAGCATGGCCCTCCTTGTGTGTCTTTGGCATGTTGCTCCATTTACCTGAAATGCCCTATTCTAAACTCACCCCCTACTTCTACCTTCTGACTCATTCCCACTTATCTTTCAAAACATGTCTCAAGTTTCATCTCTTCTAGGAAACTTTTTCTGACCTTTCTGATCTGGCTTTGGTTTTCCTCATAATGTCCTCATATTCATCATAGCACTTATTTACTTACTTTTAACTAAAACGAATTTCCCTCATTTATGCAATCTCTTCAGAGACCAAATCATTAGTACTTAGTAAGTGCTCAAGAAATAGTTGTTGAACTGAAATAAACAGGACCACAGTGAAGGCAATAAACGATAAAACAATGAAGTTTTTAAGAATGTATAAAATATAATCCCTCAATATTTCAAAAATCCATTTGGAAAACTGTTTTCTTTTCGAAAAAGTAGTTTATAGTATGCATCGTATTCTTTAATTAATGCCATTCCATTTATTAATGTTGTTAGTTATTTTTCATGCAATTACCCTCTCTCATTTGCATTTATATATTTCAATCATTCATATCAGATATTCAAATATTTACTCTTTATTAAGAATGAGGAAGAAAAAAAAACTGCTGAAAATATTCACTGTAGCAACTTCCTACTGTGGAAATTAGCAACACCACTTTGCATCTTGAAATATAAATACTACCTAAAATCAATGTAAGGACGCTGAGTCTGTGTCTTTGCTTGACTTGATTTAAACAACAGCTGTTCTTCATTTTATTTGTCTCAAACCCACCAAACCTGTTTGGGCCATGAAGCAGGTCTCAGCCAAGCCTCCTATGTTTAGCTGTATATGAAAGATGACAGCTTTTCTTCTGGGTAAAATTAACTCATGCCACATGTTTCCCCTTAAACCTCAAACCCCTTGTATTCAAGATCTAGGTTTCCAAGATCGAGCAGAGACCATTAACAAAGTTTGACATTCTTATCAATTTATTTATGGATACAGGTTGTGCCTGTAGGTATATTTATAATAAAGGTTTGAGCGAAATATTCACATTTCCAAAGTTACTTACCTCATATTAAAGAAGCTATCCCTCTCATTTACTCATTTATCATTCACCCAGTTAACAAATATATGCTGAACACCTACTATGTGCCAGGACTCTGCTGTCAGAAAGGCCACAGTGGGATAATAATAGTAATAATACTACAAATAATAGCTCTATCTTGGGCATATATAATGTGTAAAGCTCCACGCTAAGTTATGTATGTGTATTATCTCATTTGATCTTTTCAATAAGCATGTGTGCTAAGTGCATTGCTATCCCTTTTCATATATTAGGACATCAACACTTAGAGACATCGGTTCAGTACCCAAGGTCACAGAGCTAGCAAATGGCAGAGTCACGGTTTGAATCTAGACAGTCTGTCTCCCGAGAAGCCCCTGTGCTTAGTTTCCAGGCAAAACCGCCAGGCAGTGACCACACAATGCCACTCTACCATCAAACTTCCCACAGACATCTTCGCCTAACCACTGTCACACTGCCTTCTAAACAGCATTGATTAGGAGCCATTTCAGGAGGCTTTGAGGTGACAAAGTCTTAGAGATTCAAATTAAAATATTTTTATTTTTTCATCAAACAACTTTGGAGCATATGGTGCTGGTGAGTGTTCGATGAATATTAACTGATTGTAGTTAATGGTAAACTGTAGTTAATGTAGTTGTACTGTGTGACCTTTGAGGTACCTTTCAACCCAGGAGATTCTGTGATTAAAGAGGTGGCTTAATCTAGTTGTGTCTAGATTCCATCTCCAGACTGTCTCTTGAAAAATCACATTTAATTCAGGCTATTTTCAAAGGCATGGACTGGACTAAGCAACACACTTATTTATATTTATATTAACCTAAAGAGGTTACTTTTAGATGAGAGTCCAGTTCGGTACATATTGGTCTCAACTGGTATCCTATGAGAAAATTGAAATCAAGATTAACTATTACAGCTAACATGAGCCATCGTGGTGGTGTACATCTATAGTCCCAGCTACTTGAAAGGCTGAGGCCGAAAAATTGCTTGAACCCAGGAGTTTGAGCTCAACTTGGACAATGTAGCAAAACAGTCTCTAAAAATTTTTTTTAAAAATAAATCTCATGTATTAGATTGTATGGTATCATGAAAGAACAGTCAGGAAAAAGTACTAATTTATCCCATTGTATACTATATGACTTTTCTAGATAAGTAAGCTATTCCAAAATGGTGATAATAGGTTGTTTTTTGTTTTTTGTTTTGTTTTTTTTTTTTTTTTTAGAAAGAGATTCTGTGTCTCTTTCTGTTGCCCAGGCTGGAGTGCAGTGGCATGATCTCAGCTCACTGCATCCTCTGCCTCCTCGATTCAAGAGATTCTCCTGCCTCAGCCTCCCAAGTAGCTGGGACTACAGGTGTGTGCCACAACACCCAGCTAATTTTTTGTATTTTTAGTAGAGACAGGGTTTCACCATGTTGGCCAGGGTGGTCTCAAACCCATGGCCTCAAGTGATCTGTCTACTCCGGCCTCCCAAATATAAATGGTTTTTATAGACCCAACATACTAGAAGTTGCTTCATAAGAATGTGATCAGTGACAAAAAATGAAAGGAATTTGGTGCAATGAATTGTGGTGGATTGTGAATGTACAAAAATTGCAATTCCCTGATGTTCATCATGCATATTTCCTGCCCCATTTTATCCCCCCTGGCCCATTTAGCCATATGGTCTCCCCATAGGCCAAACAACAAGAGTGCTCAAGCAGTGTATTTCCTGGCTAATTTATTAAGATGGTTTCTTGGGTTATACAATATTCCCAAACCAAAGGCTACTCACTGGCAAGAGAAAATTATCCCTTTTTTAATTGACAAGGAAAAAATATCTGAATGAATTCCAAGCTATTTGACCACTTTGACCTGGTCTTAGACCTTATTCACATTTCCATGAGCTCAGAGGTGAACTCCAAATCCCACTTTGGGTTTAAGTTTTGTTTAAAATACTGTTTGGTGGAAAAGAGTCATTCTTCTAGCTGTCTTGGAGTTTGAATGTCAGTAAGCTGATAACAAGGTGCCAAGGTGATAGGTTGCTATAACACATATAATCCATGTCCATTTATGCACAGAAAAGGCTAGCTCTGAGCTTCATGGCAAGAATGGAAATGTTATGCACCAATTTCTAGGTTCTAAATGTATCTTTTCCCCTGTGGGAAATAACATTTTTGCAAGAATTTTGGAGCTGGGTCAACCAGTGACCTGAAATTACATTAAAGTCCAGGGTCCTTATGTTCCTTAAGGAGGCATTTACAGCAAACCAAATAAAATACAGAAGCCAGAGAAACTTGGAGCAACAATATAGCCATGCTATAATTACTGCCATTTAAGAAAAATAAAGTTTGTGTGACTAGAATCAGAGAGTACACCAACTGTTTACGCTCCTGATGGAAATGTTCCAACTCAAATCTGCCTCGTGATTGAAAGCACTATCCCTGAGAAACATAGATTTTGCTTCAGTCCTGCCTCTGCCACTCACTAGGTGACCTCGGGTGTGTTACAGAAGTCTCAGTTTTCACAATTGTACCTCATAGAATTATAATGTGGTTTAAATGTGGTAATGTATTTAGAAGTTCTTGTTAACACTTGTTGGCACACAGAAAGCACTCAGAAAATATAGGCTGCTGGGTTTTACTCATTCAACTAAACAATTGTGAAAGGTCTACAATTATCAGGGACTAAGCTATGGGAAACAAACAAACAAAAGATGACAATATAGTGAAAACATTGTTTTTAAGTTTTGTTCTTTAAATGTTTGTGTTCCCGGGTGTTTTTCCACAGGCCCTCCTTCCATTAATGGTTTGTAAGGTCTTCTAAAACTGAATGTTCTATCTGTAGTTTCTTCTGAATGGCTTGTAAGGCACAATGATTACTAGGTGGTTGGCTAATTTTTCTCTGCCACAGGCCAGTTCTGACATTTATGAGGCATATGCTCAACCAAAAGCAAAGGGAGGGCTCAGTAAAACTTTCTTGCACGTGAATTCTACCCTTGCTGAAATCACATCATGAACATATGAAAAGATTAATAGGATTAGGTGACCCTTCTGAAAGCCTGACCTCTAAAAAGTAACCTGTCTACCCACTAAGATGCCTTCATCCCGGCTGAGACTTGACTTTCAAACCTGCTCTTGCCATCAGGAGTCAGGATCTCATCAGCACTTTATTTCTGGCCTGTCCCCACTTAGGAACTTTGTTCTGTGACTGTAAACACAGGGCAAGAGTGTCTTAGATTGCTTTAAATCTGTTTGCGTGCGTGCATGTGTGCACTTGGGTATGTGTGTGTTGAAACTTACATCCAGAAACAGTCCATCTGCAAACAACAGAAAGGAGCCTTTAAAAGTCATATGTAGAGAATTAATTAAAATGTGCCATATACATACAAAAACACAGCTACAATTAGTGGTCTTCTGTGGTAAACCAATGACATAATCATATTGTCTTCTGAACTTGATATTCTAATATTCACTGTATGTTTCAACTTGCTGTTTTACCCAAATAAAAGCTCTAAAATCTTTACTGTCTTTGGCTTATGAGTTTGTTCTCAAAAGTATTTTGAAACAAATTTTATTAAATTTTCAGTTGTGAAACAATTTTCTTTTTTAACTCTGGTTAAAATTTATCATAATTTTAATTTTCATACCATTGATAAAATCCAGCTTTGGTCTCATGAAAATGACTTTAGCTTGCTAAAGTCAACATCAGGTTACGACCTAAGGTGACTTAGGTATCAGATTTGTTTATAAAACAATTTGTCTTAAGTTCTTTTTGAAACAGGGCAAGGAAATTCTGCTTTCTTGGGTTAGAATGGCAGCTCTGTGTTACCACTAACTAATGATGGGAACCTGAACAAGTCACAATTTCTCTGGATCTCAGTTTTCTCATTCATAAAATAAGAGAATCAGACTAAATGAGTAGTAAGGCCCATTCTAGTTTTTAAGTTCTATTTTTTTTTTTTTTTTTTTTTTTGAGATGGAGTCTCACTCCGTCGCCAGGCTGGAATGCTGTGGCACGATCTCAGCTCACTGCAACCTCTGACTCCCTGGTTGGTTCAAATGATTCTCCTGCCTCAGCCTCCTGAGTAGCTGGGATTAAGGCACGTGCCATCACGTCCAGCTAATCTTTGTATTTTTAGTAGAGACGGGGTTTCACCATGTTGACCAGGATGGTCTCGATCTCCTGACCTCATGATCTGCCTGTCTCAGCCTCCCAAAGTGCTGGGATTACAGGCATGAGCCACTGCGCCTGGCCAAATTCTATGATTCTTTGTTTCAACTAATAATATTTGAATTTTCTGAGGAATAGAAAACAAACCACATTTTTACTTAAAAATTAATATAAGCATATATATACCTCAAGAAACTTAACCATGAATGAATATTTGAGTTTAGGTTGAGAAAAATTTTTTACAAATACTTCTCACTGTGAGCTAAGTCCAAATAACTACCTGAGAAACTTTTTAATTTTTAAGGAACTGATTAGAAGAAATAATTCAGTAGGAAGAGGCAGCATGACAATGAAGATTTTAAAATCAGAAAGATCTAGATTCACATCCTGGGTTCATGGTATCATCTTGGGTAAATCATATAATCTCCTGGGCCTTAGTTTCTTTATCTGTAAAGTGGGAATAAAATGCATCTCCTATGGCTGCTCAAAGGTTTCATGAGACACATGAAGCATATAGCATGGTGCTGACTCATGGTTAAGTATGCAGATATTATCCACTTGATTTTCTTTTCTTATCTAGAAGTCTCTGCACTAAGAGCAAGAAATCCTGGTTTTAGTAAAAGCAAGAGTGAAATCAATAGACTGTGAACTCTTCGAGCCTAGGAAGGCAATATTTCACAGTGGTTATCAGCATGCACTTTAGGGTCTTACAGACTTACATGTAAATTCAAGCTCCATCACTTATTACCTTTGGGACCATAGGCAATTTATTTAAGTTCCCTCAGATGCAGTTTTTCATCCATAAATTAGTCATTGTAAGGTTTAGAAGGGAGAATGTAGCCCAGTATCCATCACATGATAAGAACATGCTTATGTTCTTCAAACTTGATGATGACTGGACTTCCATGAATATTTCTGAAGCATACATGAGCAAATGATTATTCCTAGGTTGATGAACTAAGTCTCACCAAGTTATTAGGAACTAAGGAATTATCTTCTGGGAGCAAGGCAGGTCCTGGAATCCCACAGCTTCCTACAACAGGCATGTCATCTCAAAGACGTCTTTCTTGACATGAAGATAATGCCGTGTAAACTACTTATGTTCTTTTTTTATGAAACCAGCTAGGGACTCCTCAGGATTTTTGTGTTCAGTTAAAAAACTGCTCCTCAGTGCTTTTCATGGGTGTGCATTGTTTGTCTTCAGTCAAAGATTTTGAAAGCGGGGAGGGAGGAGGATCTGGCTAAAAACTTTGGGAAATCTGAAATAAAGGTTATATTAGTCCCATTGGGTATTCTTGAACTGGTTGCACAAAATAGACTTTAAAAGTGTTTATTTAGATAAACATAAAAATGTTGGCAGTTCATTAGATTAAAACAGCAGGAACCATCACAAACTGACATTAGAATACTTATACTTTTCTGGGTAGCTAATCCCTAGAATAAAAAATACCAGGAGTTCTATTATCAGAAAATTTAAAATAAAATTATATCATTTTAGACTGTTATTTAAAAAACAACAATAATGTGTGGGCTCCCTCTGCTGGATCTTCAGACTGTGGCTACCAGAAAGGGGTTTAGTACATTATAGTTACCTAAATGATTGTATAACTCATAGTGATGAAATTAACACGAAGAAGTGGATAATTGATTTCAAATCTACATTTTAAAAGTTGCCAAATAAAGAAGCTGAAATCAGCTGGAGCTATATTTTTCTTCAGCTTTAAAAACAGAGACTTTTTTTTGTTTTAAGTAGAAGATAGTAAATTTTTTTTAATTTTT
The DNA here is from genome assembly GCF_000001405.40 of Homo sapiens. Taxonomy (NCBI): domain Eukaryota; kingdom Metazoa; phylum Chordata; class Mammalia; order Primates; family Hominidae; genus Homo; species Homo sapiens. Next base: position 107,532,680 of record NC_000008.11, read on the forward strand.
GTAAAAGGAGGCACTGACACTCTTCAGAGAGGGGTCACTTGTGGTCCATGGTGCCTGTTGCCAGGGTAACTATATCCTCTGTCTGTACATGTCAAGGCCAGTGGCTTCTTTTGGAGACAATCAGACTATCAGATGGAAGGAAACGGAGAAAATGCAAATTATGATGTTCATGTTGCTTCAGAAAAACTATAATGTGATTATCCTGCAAAGCAACTCAGAGAAATTTTCATCTTAACAATGAATTTCTTTTATTGTTATGTATCTCCCTAAAATAAGTATGTTCTGGTGAGTATGTAAGCACTTCATTCCCTTGCATAGTGGGCTTTTTCTACTTATTGAACTTGGAAGCAGATGTGCAGACAAAATGTTCTTTAATAAAATTAGAAATTTTCTCTTCCTAGAGTCATAAAATATTTATCCAAAACTGTATAAAAATATAACCCCTTTTAGCTTATGTAGCATTTCTGAATAATGTTCTCTTTTTAAAAAATGCCTAATGATGCCGAATTTAGATTCTATGTTTAAAATTTGTTTGCCGAAGGAAAGCTGTGATTAGTATAAGGAATACTGAGATCCATTTTGAGAACAGCAAGGTAATGGCTGGCTTTGTTTATATAAAGAACAGAAATAGAACTTGTTGCAGAAGATTGAAATTGCATCCATTCCTTAGCTGAGTGTAGATTTTTACAGTGAGCTGTACAAAATTAAATGTATGAGTGCTCATCAATTCATGAAAAAACACAATTTAATTGTTTGAGTTTTATGGACATTATGGTTTTATTTATTTTATTGTAAAATTTCCAAGCCCATTTAAAAAACTTTATAGGTATTGATAGTGATCCCTATATTAAACATAGTCACAAATACATCAATATATCTAAAATTAACCTCTCATAATATATCTGGAAAGGTAACCAAAGCAATTTCTTAGAGAAAAAAGTCTCACCAAGTTATTAGCTTCCCCCATCAGTTATTAGCTTCAGAAACTAACGATAGTTCCTTATCTTGCTTTAAAAAGTCAAGCACGTATTTCCTCAAAGCTTTCATTTTCAGTTTTCTTTCTTATGATACATTATGTTACTGAAGATATAAAGAGCTCTCATCAAAAAGGAATGCATAGCTATTACTTCCTCTCATGTAGGTTTCCCCTTGTACCTATCTTCCAAGGAAGCTGAAGAAACTAAGAAGAAAATGTAGTAGGGGAAGATAGGAATGCACAAGGGCTGTAAACAGAGTGTCTTGTAAATAGAGAGACTATACGCTACAGTTTCCCAAGGACAAGCTTGGTTTATGCCTATTTTCCTGGCATAATTATTAACAGTGCCCCATTTCATTGTAAAAAATATCTGCTTCGAGTAAGAAATTACATGACCATCCTATTTAAAGTCTAAGCACTTCTGCCTACATTGCCATTTGTTCTCTAGATCATCATTTCCAAATGTGCATCTACCTCAATTCTAACCCCTCCAAATATTAGTGTAAATGGAGTGATGTGGTAAACTAAATATGACAAATGCTGGATGTTATATGTAGTAGTCTTCTTGAAGAGTCTAACACATATTTACATATTTAAGGTTGCTTGACTTTGCTTACTCCAAAAATTCCAAATTTTGGGGGTACCAGCTCCCCATATTTTTTATATATTTATTAATATAACATAACATAATATAAAAAATCTACCCATAGTTACATGGGCTCTCAGTTCCAATTAGCATAGGATTCCTACCCGATTTCTTTATTTATTTCACTATATTCCACCTGCATAACTAAAATTGTGTGGAGACAATATCCAGGAAAATGGCAACTCCTAAGAATTTTGCTAAAGAAAATCAAGGATGCTCCAATCAAAATAAACAGTGTTGGCTGGGAACGGTGGCTCACACCTGTAATCCCAGCACTTTGGAAGGCCGACGCGGGCAGATCACCTGAGGTCAGGAGTTCGAGACCAGCCTAGCCAACATGGTGAAACCCCGTATCTACTAAAAATACAAAAATTAGCCAGGCGTGGTGGCGCGTGCCTGTAATCCCAGCTACTCGGGAGGCTGAGGCAAGAGAATCGCTTGAATCCAGGAGGCAGAGGTTGCAGTGAGCTGAGATCACCCCACTGCACTCCAGCCTGGGGGACAAAAGAGAGACTTCATCTCAAAAAAAAAAAGTTAAATAAAATAAAGTGTTTATAAAACTCACATGTAAATCATTTATTCAGAAATTAAATCTTGTTTTTCCTCTCATTTCCATTGAGTTCAGCTCTTCTTTATTGAGTGCTTATTATGTTAAAAGTACTTGCTACGAGCTATTTTAGGATGCGTAAGATAAGTTGCTGTATCCAGGGACTTACAGTGGGTAAGCAGCTCCCTCCTCTCCACTCTTAATCTCATTTTCTCTGTTCTATTTTTTCCCCCACAGCACTTATTGGCTTCTACCATGCTATATAATTTTCTGATTAATTATATTTACTTTTTATTTTCTGCCTTCCCAATTAAAATGTAAATTCCTCAAGCAAATATATCTTCTGTTCTGTTCGGTAATTTATCTCAAGCACCCAAAAAGTAGTTAGCACATAGTATATGCTTAATCAATTTTTCTTTAATGAATGAATAAATAAATGAATAAATGAACTCATTAAGGGCAGATTAGTCATGGAGCCTAGCTCAGAGTAGGTAAGTATTTTGAAAAATGAAGAAATGAAGGCATAGATGCATGAAAGTACAAGGATGTGCCTGGATCTCAGAACAGGAAATAAGACTTGGAAGTCAAGTTAGGAGCAGGTCATAGAGAACTTTGAGTGTCATGATAATGACCTAGTTACTTTTTTGTACAATTACTATGGGCCATGCACTGTGTAAGGAATAATAGCATCTTCCTTACAACAAACTTGCCAAAAGACAAACATTATGTATCCTCTGTTTTAGATGAAAAAAAAGAATCTCATGAAGGTGAAATAATTTGTTCCATGTCATATGGAAGTTAGCAATAAAACTATGTCTTAGTTTGGGCTGCTGGAACAAAGTAGTATAGACTGGGGCCTTATAAACAACTGAAAATCTTTTCTCATAGTTCTGGAGGCTGGAAGTCTGAGAATCAGAGTGCCAGCATGATCAGGTTCTGGTGCAGGCCCTCTTTTAAATTTGCAAACTGCTGACTTCTTGTTATATCCTTATACGGAGGGGAGAGGGTGAGAGAGTCTTTAGGGTCCCTTTTAGAAGGGCACTAATTCCATTCATGAGGGCTCCGCACGTATGATCTAATCACCTCCCTAGGCCCTACCTCCTAGTAGCATCACATTGGAGGATAGAATTTCAACATATAAATTTGAGGGGGACACAAACATTCAGACCATAATAAGTTAGGATTCAAACTTAGTCCCCTGTGACTTACTGTTTATGTCCACCATGTTGCCTTTCTATAGGAACATCCACAAATGTATATGAGCAATGGAGTAAATTCTTTGCTGTATCTTCACAGATCATCACCACCACTCTGACTGATAGATTGTACAAGTAATAGGTTGGATGTGAGATAATGGTAGGAGTTGCAGTTTCAGCTCCAGAACTCAGAACTGAGGTCAGGGATATAGATTCCAGAGAAATGCTGTTCAAGATAGTAGCTAGTAGCCTCATGAGACTATTGAGCACTTGAAATGAAACTTGTCCAAATCAAGGTGGGCTCTAAGTATAAAGTACACACTGGATTTTAAAGACATCATATTTAAAAAAGGTTGTCAAATACTTTATATATAATGTTTTAGTTAATTACATGTTACAATGATAGTACTGTGGGTATGTTGAGTTAAAGAAAGTATACTAAAGTTAATATCATCTGTTTCTTTTACTTTTTGTAAAGTGGTTAATAGGAAATCTAGAACTACATATGTGGCTTGCATTATCTCTTTGTTGGGCAGGGCTATTCTGGTTATTCTCATTAAAAAACTCTTTAAAGTCTCAGATGCATCACAGAACTGTCAGCTTAGAGTAAGATGGCCATGTAAAGGATGTTGAGAGAAGCCTACCTTTAGAGGCTGGGTAAAAAAAGTACAGAAAGAGACTCGGGAGCAATCTGAGATGACAGTGTCAAGGAATAAATTTGGCTGCATGTGGCAGAGAGCCAGGGAAAATGAGGACAGAGAAGAGGTTGTTAGATTTACTATTAATAAGTAGGAGGCTATTTGCTCTTAATACTTTTCAGAATAGTTGTGATGGAAGCTAGTTGGGAAAAGTGGGTAGGGACAGGGTTCCACATAAAATCATTTTTAAGAAAATGCAAGATGTGAAGGTGTTTGTAAGTTTATGAAAGAAGCTAGTGGAGGGAAAGAAATTCAAGATACAACAGAAAGAAGAGATTATTGATATAGGAAGGTCTCATCACCAGTTCTTGGAAAGTAACTCACCAAGGAAAGGATTCAAAATACCTTTTCTCTGAGGCCACAGGGAAGAAAAATAATTCCAAGGATTTTACTTAATTGTGTTTCTTATCATCTCTAAGATGGAAGAAATACAGTGATAGTCTGAGAGTCAAAAGGTTGAGGCCTATTGTGAGACCCTGAAAAGTGTGAGAAAGGCTTGGAAAAGGCATAGTATCTTGTCATCACTATGGAAAAATAAAAGACTGAGGAGTGAGCAGTGAAGAGCCAGTGGGGTTTGGATAGCATAAATATTCAGGAGCATATGCTGACAAAGTGATGTTGCTTTCTCCAGCAGAGTTAAGCTTTCTGAGGCTTACCCAAGATTAGAAATGGACAAAGTAGTGTGATTGAAGCGTAAGGGGTCTTTTTGGTTGCTTGCGTGAATATAAATAAAATTGCAAAAGCTATGGACTGAATGTTTGTATCCCCCCAAAATTCAAATGTTGAAGCCTTAACTCTCAGTGTGGTTACATTTGGAGATGGGCTCTGAGAAAGTAATTAAGGTTAAATGAGTTCACAAGGGTAGGACCCTCATCCAATAGAATTAGCGTCCTTATAAGAGGAGACAACAGAGTGTGTGCTCTCTCTTTCTCTCCTCTGTCTCTCTCTCTCCTTCTCTTCTCCTCTCTCTCTCTCTCACGTTCTCACTCTCTCTCTCCCTCTCTATGCATGCACTGAGGAAAGGCCATGTGAGCACGCAGGGCAAAGGCAGCCATCTATAACCAAAGGGGAGAGCCCACACTAAATATCAACTTTACTGGCACCTTGATCTTGAACTTTCTGTCTCCAAAACTGTGAGAAAATGAATGTCTTTTGTTTAAGCCACACGATCTATGGTATTTTATATGACAGCCTGAACAGACTAATAAAAACATGATGCTGAGATCAGATAAAAAGGCTTTCAAAGCCAGGAGGAGAGATTTTGGAGGATAGAAGGGAGGCAGCAGCCATTGTGTAACATACACACTTTACTGGTGTGCTGATTCCCCTCAGTAGATGAAGCAGCAGCTGGCTTGGGCATGTGTGTTTAGCTCTGTGAGAAAGAGGCTCAACTTCTGCAGGGTTCCTTCATTACCAAGTCAGAGGCAACAAGAGCAAACATGGATTTCAGTCCAGCCTTACTGGGTTCCTGCCTGCTGGCGATATTCCCTCCGTGACTGCCTACCCTGTGGACTTCAAGCCAGCATAAGACACAAAGACAGTCTTACAGGGACTGCTTAACCAGACCCCACAATTGTGTAAGCCAGTTTCCTGTAATTAACCCTTTAATACATGTGGCACATATGTTTATATTATATTATATACCTCCTACTGTGTCTGTTTCTCTGTTTGAACCCTGACTGATACAGAATTAAAAGCCTGGGGAAATGAAGCAAACACTAGAGTTCAGGAAGAATAAATTTCATTTATTCATGCACTTATGTATTTATGTTAGGTACCAAAATCATACATCATATGAGATATGGGTCTTACAAATTTTCATTAAAATAAACAACTGATATAAAACTGTCAGAGTGGAGTGATGGGGCTCAAGGCAGGAATTGCCATTTGCCTAGCTTGGATTCCAAAGGGATGCTGACTTGAGACTGCGTTCTATTGTCTAGCAGGTACACTAGAGAACAAGAAGAAAAGCAATCTCTCCTTTAGGTCCCAAGATATTGAACAAGCAAAATAAGAGACTGATACTTGGAAGAGATTTGCAGGAAATGATGCCAGCTCTTGGGTCTTTAATTCCAACTGTAATTCCACTTCAAACATCACCTATTCATTATCCATTACTCCAAATCAGCCCATTATTTTATATTTCATGAGCAATAATTTTCAAAGCTCCTCAAGCAAAATCTCTGCAGCATTTTCTAGTCTTCTTTTTCCATTTCTTCCAGCACCCAGCTGCCATCTGCCACTGTCTCTCTGATTGGCCATGAAATTGTTGCTTCTGCTTCAAGAATGACTCTTGAATGAACATCCCTCTTTGTAACTCTGCTGCTGCAGCCATAAAGAAGACCATCATTATCTTCCACTTGTGCATTTTCATGAATCTTCTAATGGATCTTTCTTCCCCTAGAATTTTTACAAATCAAATGGGATTGAGTCATACTCCTGAATATATATTGCCAAATCCCTTCTAGCAACATTGCAAACTCCTTAGTATGGTACCTTTTCAATCAAGACTCTGACAAGCATTTTCTACTTCTCCTATCACTTCTCATTATCTAACTTCACTGAACTTCTTCTGGTCGTTCCTAAATGACACTATCCCTTCCCAAACTTTGTGGCTTTGCATGTGCTGTTCCTAAGTGGAGGCTTAGAATGCCCTCTACGCCCTTTTACTTGTGATAAATGCCTACCAATTCCTTAAGAGAGGTTCAAGTTCTCCATAAGGCAGACCATCTCTTTGGTGTCCTAGAGCACTGAATGTTAATGTTGCTTTTAAAACAAATTCCACATTGAATAATAATTATCAATTTACGAGATGGCTCTCATTTTAGGACTGTCATCTCCTTGAGGCTATGACAGCAACTTACTGGTGGTGTTCTGGCTGTCACATAGGAATAGCTTAAGAACAGTTTATTAAATAAATGAATTAATAAATATCATCAAGAAGTAGACTTCAGATTGAAGTTTACAATGTTATAATTATTATTTGGACCCCCAAATAAACCCATAGAAATCTATTTCATCTATAATGCAGAATACAGCTAGAATACAGTACTATAAGTATAGTTGCCAAACATTGCATTGTAAAACTTTGCAAAAAGAGTATTTCAGCCATTTTATGAGAGAAACCTACATTGTGGGCTGGCTCAGGAAGCCAAACAAAATTTACCTTACTAGAAACTATTTTAATACTCATTAGAAATTTTAAACAATATTTTAAAAATTCACTTTCTATAATTTGGTTCAGTTGATGTAGACTTCAGTGGACTTGTGATAGGTTTATATCAAATTTCTTTTCCTCAATTTCCCTTTTCTTCCCCACCTTCCTACCATACACTTGCCTTAACCAAATAACCTTGTAACTTTTCTTGAATAAAGAAGAGCCAACTCTTCATGGACAGCACTGAGCCTGAGTTTAGCTCTGACATAGACTTTGGTACTATGGGATGCATACCAGGAATAATAACAATGATTTTCTTTAATGTACCCCCAAGGTGATTGCTTTGGCTAGAGACTAAGGACAGAGGACCGCTGAGAATACACATTTCAATGTTATACTTTCAGAAAGAATTTACTTTACAGAGAAACAGATCTGTATAGTAGAAAGAACACTAGAGTAAAAATTAGGATTGAGTTAGAATTATATGAATATTAAAAAGCCAACACTGGGAGGGAGGTAATGGGGATAGAGAAGAAAAGAGAAATACTTCGTATGAAAAGGTGGCAGAATTTTGTAACACTCTTGGTGGAGAGTGAGGGTGGGAAAAGAATAAAAAGAGCTCCTTGAATATTTCACAGTCTATGTGTTATAATAAGGCTGATATAATTACTGAATTGGGATGAGGCAGCAGAAGGAAAAGTCAACTTTCTGAAAAAGTCTAAGATGGCTTTATAAATTGTTCAAGGTAGTGGTGACATCTATGATAGAGATGAATTGTATATACCAGAGACACAGAGCAAGTGGTTAGATGAGAAGGTAGAAAAAGTGAAAGATGTGAGATGTACCTTGAGAGAGGGATGGAGCCCTTAGATCAAAAACACCTTCTGCATTAGAAAAGCAGAGACCAATTTGGAAGCTAAAACAAGAAATCAAGGAAAAAGAAAATGTAATCTTCAAGGATGTAGGAGGAGAATTGGGATTATATAGTTAGATAAAAATATTTATTCATCCTTTTGTGACCCAGTATCTGTTTTCTGACAAAACAGACATGATTTTGAGGAGATGTCTCGTTGTTCATTTCACAGGGAAAAGTGGTTATTTCGGCTCACCAGAGGACACAGAACACAAATGTAGCTCCAATAAGAGAGGTGATGATAGACTTGAACATGGATTCCCACATGTTAGGAGTAAATCTCCTTTTGAGTCCAAATTATGGTGTCTGGTTACTGGAGAAGATTTACTGGCCGCCAGGTAAACCTTAGAAAGGTTACTATCTCACCAACTAATAGCGAAGAAGGCAAGGACTGTATTCCCGTTAGGCATGCTGGATTTTAAAACCACGAAAATTAATCCCCAAGTTCCTCAAACTAAGCCAGACATTTACTATGTGACTGTTAGCAAAAGAGAATAGACTTAGCTAATTAAGCTCAAATCATTTTACTTGTGAAATAACTTCATTGTAATTGTAATGAATGTAAAACTTCAAATTATAATGAAGAGCTTTATTGGAAAGGTGACTCTTTAGAATAGCATGCTTTAATTAGATCAGAAAAAAATATAAAATTGTGTATATGTTTTATTTTAACATTTTTCAGAACAAAAGGTAATTAGCAATTGATGTCCCAGATTGCATCAGTGAAACAAAGTTTGACTTCAGTGCCCCAAGAGTCTCTAAGCCTCTGGTTCATTCTCTGTCCCTCCACCCTGGTGGACTGAGCCATCTTGGTAAAGCACCTCTACTCTTAAAAATATGTCATTTCACCAAGATGGTTCCTATAATGAATGATGAAAAAATTATTTTATCTTATTTTTAATACTTGCCACAAAAATACCATGTCTTTTAAAAAGTGTTTGTAATTCAGTGCCTAAGAAATCAATTTAAAGTATGAGATTGTCTACTAATATTAATGCTTAAATGGAATTGGGAAATTGTTATGGTCTCAATGTTACATTTGCTTAATCAAAATATAGATTCCTCATCCAATGTGACAAATAACCTATTAGGACTCAGGATAATAATTAAATAATAGAATTTCAAAAATTTCTGTGCGATCACGACTAATCTAATCTTTATAATGTTTTAATGGTCAGATAAATCTTGCCATTATAAGAAACTGTTAGTAACCCTTAATTAAGTAGTTCGGTCAAAATGGGTGTCCCTTTACCACTCTTTTAGCACACTGTGATACTCCACAACAGCTCGTGAATATAGACACTAGCAGGGCTTCAAGTTAGTCCTTTTAAAAATCTGTATGTTACTGGAGTTATGATGTCCCTATAATGTTTAGGAAGGCTTCTTGCCTATAGTAGCAAGTATTCACAAAATGTTTGGTGAAAGCATCAATTAATTAGGGAATTTATATTTACTTAGATGTATCCTGAGTGTCAAACACTGTAACTATGCATTCTACACAGTTAGTAAAGATTGAAGATTGGGTTAATAAATAAATAGGCGTTGATACCCTTAAAGAACATAAACTATGTCATTCAAGTTTGACCTTAACTATGACCATATCATTTTTGATATGATGGCTTTCAGATTTTTTCCATCTACTATTCCCTTCAACACTTTATTGTTAGATATAATAATCAATGCAATACACATGAGAGCCAGTGATTCTTGAGTTGTGCCAAAACTAGACTATTCTACAAATTTAAATATTTGAAAAAGAGAACACATATTTTCATGAGAGTGAAAGCTTAAAATTTTAAACATTTAGAAATGTGAGCATCAAAGCAAAGTTTTGAGAAGATGCTCTTCATTAGGAAAAACACCATGATCGTAAAATAGCTGTTTTGTTAAAGCTCTGATGATGGGGTTTTTTTTTTTTTTTTTTGCTTTAACAGAATATATTCAGTCCTAGTAGACCACTTATAGTCACTCCCCAAAAATGGCTCTCTTTACAGACAATTGAATTATTCATTCTAAGAAAAATTGTAGGCAGACTCTCAATGCAGTACTCTTAGGCCAACATTTGTGCATGTATATATATATATATATATATATGTATTATATATACGTATATATGTATATATGTGTATATACATATATGTATATATGTGTATATACATATATGTATATATGTGTATATACATATATGCATATATGTGTATATATACATATATACATGTATACGTATATATACGTATATGTGTATATGTATATATACATATACGTATATGTGTATATATACGTATATGTATATGTATATATACGTATATGTATATATACACATATAGGTATATATATGTATATATATTCTTAGTTTGGGATTTATAAACAATTAAGGGAAATCACTGAATTACATATAAAACATCAAGTTAATTATTTTTACCTTTTCAATCTTCAGGTAGTCTTGAATTTTCTTTTCCAAAAGGAGTTATTAATATGAAAGGAAGGCAGACATTTGCATACTTATACATCTTTTTACAAAGATATTTTAATTATATTTGTCCATATGCCAAAAATATCATTCATAATTTATGTAAATTTATTTCACAGCAAAGGTGTAATTCAATTTGATGAGCTATGGTTAAGAATGAATTATAATTCTCAAATCTTTATAATAGACGTAATATAATGCCAGTTGTGATGTTATAATGGAACACACAAGAAAACTATGTCAAAATTACATTAAATTTCAAACGGCACCCTAGTATTTAAGGAATTTAAGTAGTATGTGTCTTTAAGGGGGTAAAAATTTAGACTGACTAAAAAAAGGACATAACAAATTCTCAAGTCTAAGCTCTCAAATATAAAATGTTTCAGAGAAAGTTGACAAGATATCTATAATCCAAAGGGCAACAAAAATTGGGACTTTATCCTCATTTTTTCATAATTAAGTAAATTCAAGAAAACGTTTATAAAAGATTTATAATATTTTGGTGGGACTCAAAAGCCATCAAAACTGAATTTAATTTTAAATATAAGCAAGCTAAGACATGAATCAGGAGAATCATAGTTTTTTTCATTTAAGGTGTTCACATGAAGATAGTTTAAAATTCTATTATTCTTGGAGAAGTCTTTTATCAAAACAAGCTGGATAACTGCTATATCTCATTCTCACAATCATGCTGAAATAGGATTTATCATGAAATTAAATGCAGTCTGCTAATTGTATAGCATTAAAATATTTCTACCATAAATTTTTTAAATGGATGAAAAATAATTAATGATTTTGGATTTTAAAAAATATTTATACTAAAACTACCATGAGCCTTGCTTATGTAAAGTGACCGTAATATATATGCATGATCATCATTATAAAGCCACAAAAGCTAATAGTCAGATTTGCAGTAACTTGGTTTTTCCATGCACAACCTAATAGAAAAAAGTCACATTTGAAAAGAAAGAGAAAGAAAGGGAAGCAAGGATGGGAGGGAAGGAGGAAGTAAGGGAGGGAGGAAAGGGGAGAGGAGGGGAGGGGAGGGGAGGGGAAGGGAGGGGAAGGGAGGGCAGGGGAGGGGAGGGGAGGGGAAAGATGAATGGTGGGAAAAGTGAGGCTTTTACCAAAACCTTGAATGTGAACTAAAAGAGACCATGAAAAAGGAGCATCAGTTATTTTTAATAAAAAAGAACACCAATACTTCATAAACACAAATTATCAATTTTAGTAGATCAGTCACCTCTTTGAATTTAACTGACTCATAGATACACAACTAGTCAAATCCTATGTGTATATGTGTTTAGAAGTTGTTCCTGTTATATGTTGTTAACTCCCTCAAAACTTAGTGGCTTAACTGTAAGCATTGTGTGATACTTCATATTTGTGGGTCAGGAATTCAATCAGATTCCATGGAGTAATTCTTCTTTCCCTGTGCTCTTGAAAGATTGGGCTAGTCTAAAGGGTGCTAGTCAGCTTCACTCACAACTCTGGTGCCGTGGGAGAGAAGGTCAGCTGGGACCCGAGCACCAATACATGGTCTCTTCACGATGGAGTCGAAAGGGGGGTCAGGAGTCTTATATATGGCAGCTTGGGGCTCTCAGAGAGAGGTTGCCAAGGAAGCCCAGGTAGAAGCTGCCAGCCTTCTTATGGCCTAACCTTGGTGGTCCCAGTACATCGCTTCTAATATTCTATTAGTTATGCGAGAATGAAGGCCAGCCCAGACACAGGAGAGGGAACTTAGACTTCTTATCTCAACCTTTGTGGCAACATTTAATCCTGCACACCAGTTTACATTGGAAGACGTTCTAGAAAGCTCCGTAGCTCAAAGATAGTCACTCTGTTGATGCTTCACCAATATTATTTTTGGAAAAGATATAGTTGATTCTTGTTACATCTTGTTTAAAATTGCTTAGGTTTAGATTATTATAACCAATTGTTATGATATGAAGCTTTTAATGTCTTAAGCTTTTTGTTTTTGTATGTGTTTTTGTTTGTTTTGTTTTGTTTACTTTGGTTCTTGGTTATTTTTTAAGAGAGATTTCTTTTCTCTTTCCAATGGTCTTACTTTAAACAAATACTATATTGATGTGAGACAGCTGTCTATTCAGACATATGGCCTTGGTAGGACACTAAATTGTTGGTTAACTGTTAAGAATATGACTGCAGGCTTGGCATGGTGGCTCATGCCTGTAATCCCAGCACTTTGGCAGGCAGAGTTGGGCGAACCACTTCGAGACCAGCCTGGCCAACATGGCAAAACCCCACCTCTACTAAAAATACAAAAATTGGCCAGGCATGGTGGCATGCACCTGTAATCCCAGCTACTGGGAAGGCTGAGGCAGGAAAATCACTTGAACCCACGAGGCGGAGGTTGCAGTGAGCTAAGATCGCACCACTGCACCCCAGCCTGGGCGACAGTAAAAATCTGTCTGGAAAAAAAAAAAGAATATGAGAATATGACTATAGAAATACCTGGTAACATAAAGTAGTCAATTCCTGGTATTTCTTAGAAACCATAACTACCACCACACAGCCCCTCATGACACAGTAAAGATCAGTTGAAACAAGTATTAGTGATGGCAAACTCCAGAGATGATGCAGTACTTGCGTTCCTGCAGTCCTAATTTGCACTGGGATTCATCCAAACAAGCAGAGTTTAGCATCTTATTGTCAACTACCACTGAAATTCTTCACAGAATTAGAGAAAACTACTTTAAAAATCATATGGAACCAAAAAAGAAGCCATATAGCCAAGACAATCCTAAGCAAAAAGAACAAAGCCGGAGACATCACGCTACCCAACTTCAAACTATACTACAAGGTTACAGTAACCAAAAAAGCACGGAACTGATACAAAAATAGAAACACAGACCAATGGAACAGAATAGAGATTTCAGAAATAAGACTGCACATCTACAACCATCTGATCTTTGACAAACCTGACAAAAACAAGCAATGGGGAAAGATTTCGTGTTTAATAAATGGTGCTGGAAGAACTGGCTAGCCATATGCAGAAAATTAAAACTAGACACCTTCCTTACACCATATACAAAAATTAACTCAAGATGCATTAAAGACTTAAATATAAAACCAAAAACGATAAAAACCCCAGAAGAAAACCTAGGCAATGCCATTCAGGACATAGGCATGGGCAAAGATTCCATGACAAAAACATCAAAAGCAATTGCAACAAAAGTGAAAATTGACAAATGGGATCTAATTAAACTAAAGGGCTTCTGTACGGTTAAACTATCATCAGAGTGAACAAGCAACCTACAGAATGAGAGAAAATTTTTGCAATCTATCCATTTAACAAAGGTCTAATATCAAGAATATACAAGAAACTTAAACAAATTTACAAGAAAAAAACAAACAACCCCTTTAAAAAGGGGCAAAGGACACGAAGAGACACTTCTCAAAAGAAGATATATTTAGATATATTTAGATATATTTATGTTGGCCACATATATTTAGAAATATATGTGGCCAACAATGAAAAAAAGCACATCACTGATCATTAGAGAGATGCAAATCAAAACCACAATGAGATGCCATCTCATGCCTGTCAGAATAGCTATTATTAAAAAGGCAAGAAACAACAGATGCTGGTGAGGCAGTGGAAAAATAGGAGCACTCTGACATTGTTGGTGGGAATGTAAATTAGTCCAACCATTGTAGAAGACAGTGTAGTGATTCCTCAAAGACCTAGAACCAGAAATACAATTTGACCCAGCACTCCCATTACTGGGTGTATACCCAAAGGAATATAAATCATTCTATTATAAAAATGCATGCACACATATGTTCATTGCAGCACTATTCACAATGGCAATGACATGGAATCAACCCAAATGCCCACCAATGTTAGATTGGATAAAGAAAATGTGGCATATATACACCATGGAATACTATGCAGCCATAAAAAAGGAATGAGATCATGTCCTTTGCAGGGACATGGATGGAGCTGGAAACCATTATCCTCAGCAAACTAACACAGGAACAGAAAACTAAACACCACATGTTCTCACTTATAAGTGGGAGCTGAACAAGGAGAACACATGAACACATAGAGGGGAACAACACACACTGGGGCCTGTCAGGTTGGGGGTGGGGGAGAAAGAGCATCAGGAAGAATAGCTAATGGATGCTGTGCTCAATATCTAGGTGATGGGTTGATCTGTGCAGCAAATCACCATGGCATGCGTTTACCTATGTAACAAACCTACACATTCTGCACATCCTGCACATGTATCCCAGAATTTAAATAAAATTAAATTAAGAAAAAAAAGTTTAACCTTTATTCCAGTTTCCAACAAGTTCCTCATCTCCATCTTAGACCACCTCAGCTTGGACTTTATTGTCCATATTATTATCAGCATTTTGGTCAAAACCATTCAACAAGTCTCTAGGAAGTTCCAAACTTTCCTACATCTTCCTGTCTTCTGAGCTCTCCAAGTCTCTAGGAAGTTCCAAAGTTTTCCACATTTTCCTATCTTCTTCTGAGCCCTCCAAACTGTTCCAATCTCTGCCTGCTACCCAGTTCCAAAGTTTCTTCCTCTTTTTTGGGTATCTTTACAGCAGTGCCCCACTCTCCGTGGTACCAATTTACCGTATTAGTCTGTTCTCACACTGCTAATAAAGACATACCCGAGACTGGGTAATTTATAAAGGAAAAAGGTTTAACTGACTTACAGTTCAGCATGGCTGGGGAGGCCTCAGGAAACTTAACAATCATGGCGGAAGGGGAAGCAGGTACCTACATCCTTCTTCACATGGTGGCAGCAAGAAGTGCAGAGCAAAGGAGGGCAAAAGTGCCCTCAAATCTCTTGAGAACTTACTATCATGAGGACAGCATGCAGATGACCACCCCCATGATTCAATTACCTTCCACCGGGCCCCTCCCACGATATGTGGGGATTGTGGGAACTACAATTCAAGGTGAGATTTGGGTGGGAGCACAGCCAAACCATACCACCTACCTTAATTTTTTTTTGGAAAACAACAAACAATAAATAATCAAATAAAAATAAATATCCAAAAAATGTCCATTGAGGATTCACTATGTGCTATAAGGACCTTATAATACTCGGCTTTCATATGCAGGTTTTTCAGCTTTGGAAAGCATAAAATGTATTTAATGGGTCATCTCAGAGTTGAGCCTAAACAGTTATAGGGTGTATGAGACTTGATCTATACCTCCTTGTATTTGTTTATATTGAGGTGCTGGAAAAACAATTCAGAGTGTTAATAGATGGGATTCAGAAATTTTGAAGCATGTATGGTAACCAAGGTGAAGACAAAAGGAATGGTATTCCCAGGAAAAAAATAGTCACCCTTAAGAAAGACTCTGGCCTATGTATTTGGATTAAGCATTTACTAATATTTATTTAAAATAATAATAAAAACTATTTAAGTTTATCTAAAATAATTCTAAATAGTAAATTATGTATTTTAGTTCTCTATACATACCCATTATAAGTGTCTCATTCTAGGAGGCCCAATGTCCTTTAATTCAAAATATGAGACTTGGCTCAAACTATCCTGAGGATTTTTGTTATTGCTTTTGTTTTGTTTTGTCTTAGGATAAATATATTAACACTTGCTCTAAAATTTTTGCAGTTTAAAGCAATGGTTCTCAATGCGGGACAGGGTGATATCTGGAGAACTTTTGTATATCAAAACTGGGGATAGTGATAGTACTAGCATCTAATGGGAAGAGGCCAAAGATGCTGCTAAACATCTCACAATGCACAGGACAGCACTCTGCAACAAAAAATTTATCTAACCCGGGATGTCATTAGTGCTGAGATTGAGAAACCCTAGGTTAAAGCCATATGCTGTGAAGTGAAACTCTCAGTTCTTAACCAATAACTAGTGTAAGAATTTAAAACAATTTAAATCTTTTGGGGAAAATTATGGTTGGCTTTCAGTAATATGAGAAGCTCTTTGCAATTGTGCTATTTATGTCTGTGCATCCACCATGTAACATAAAGCCTAGCCTAGAAAGACTTGCTGAAAGAAGAGAATGAATGACCAGCAGCTATTAAGAAAGGATGCTGCTGATTTCCATAATGGAGGGATTGGTCATTTCTCTCTTCATCAGGTGATAGTCCAGCTGTTCTATTTCCCCAGAGAAGGCCTTTTGGCCTCTCTCACCTGGTTTTCGTGGTAGTCAGCAATGTAGAATATCTGAGTTGCTTATGAGAGGATATACTTGAAAATTCCGTAAAGATTGCACCTGTGCAATCTTCAGACATCTGATATTTAAGAGACACCATCTAAGGAATATATTTCCTACCTCATCAACTAAATTGCCTGGTACTATGTTTGTATTATGTAAACTCAGGGAGTTAAGCATGTGGATGTGAGGTCCTCTACTCGTTTGAAGTGTTGATATAAGAACTGTTTGGTTAAACAGCATTTCCGTGTCTACTATGGTATTAGAGTTAAAGCCACTGCCCAGTGTGTCTTACAACATGCTTTTAAGCAAACCCCATGCTGTTAATTCAGTATTGAGATTAGTTCCAGAAAACAAAACAAAACAAAACAATGATTCAGTGTACTATATCTCTTGTCAAAAACACAAAAATATTTATATAACTGTTTTCCTTTTTTGCCTTAGCTACAAGAAGAATAAGCTGCCTGAAGTAATTAGCTCTTTTTGAGGCTGAATACTGAAGTGGTTAAAATGACACATGCTGGAGCCAGGCTGCTGGACTCCAGTCCCAGAGCCACAACTTACTAACTCCGTGATGGCTCTGTGATTTGACTGACTCCTCTGTGCCTCAGTTTCCTCACAGACAAAATGAAGTTAATAACCACTTCTGATTGTTAAGATTAAAACTGTTAACTGTTAAATACTTAAAACAGTGCCTAGTACATAGTAAAACCTTCAGATAAGCATCACTTATTATTTCTGTTTTCTTCAGGACATTTCCAAGACTATTGTGTTTTTTTAGTAGCTCCCTTGACTTATAAGCCAGAGCCCTTATCTAACTTGCTCACCAATGAACTGCCAATTTCTAGATTTTCAAACCTATTATAGTATGCCTTTAAAAAGTGACATGAATAAAGAAAAAATGGAGGCCTGAAATTTACCAATACATAAACAAAATATATGAAACTTGACCTTCAAATGTGGACTATGTTTAGAGAACAAAGGTGAACCTTACACTAGATTGAAAAAGTCTAGACCATAAATACCAGTGAAAGAGCATTATACCGTAATCAACATTTAAATGTTATTTTCAGTTTAGAATTAGATCACAGGGAATTAAATGAGAAGATTTCACTTAACATTCAACTAAAAAAATTAATACTTAAAAACAATTTTCACTGCAGGTGATGCAGACTCCAATGCTAGAACAAAAATGTTTGGACTCGACATAATGTATGCAAAGAAATGGACCAGAAACCCTTTCCTCAAGGAGTTGATAGTCTAGTGTTTATAAGGAATGCAGAATCCAGTTACTGGTTATGGTTTAGGTGCTTTTTTGAAATTATGTGATAGACAAACAATGTTGTACATGTTCTTTTTCTTTAAGAAATTGCTAGTTTCCATTTAAAAGCATTTTTATTTTAACATAAGGGTGTATGTGTATATGCATATATAGGTTGAGTATCCCTTATCCAAAATGTTTGGGACCAGAAGTATTTCCAATTTCAGCTTTTTCAGATTTGGGAATTTTTGCATTATCTTACTGGTTAAGCATTCCTAACCCAAAAACCTAAAATCTGAAATATCTCAGTGAGCATTTCCTTTGACTCCCCATTTCAGCATTCAAAAAGTTTCTGATTTTGGAGCATTTCCAATTTTTGATTTTCTAATTTGGGATGCTCAGCTCTGTGTGTGTGTGTGTGTGTGTGTGTGTGTGTGTATACACACACTAGAGATAGAGATAGAGAGAGACACATGTACAGGATATAGATATATATTAGTATACAATATTTATAATATGTAAGTATATATATATCATATATATCCTTTATATATCTCTCCTGTATGTATGCACACCTGTGTAAATAAGTGTATATATGTACACACATATGTATATATACATATATACACACATATGTATATATACGTATATACGCACATATGTATATATACGTATATACGCACATATGTATATATACGTATATACGCACATATGTATATATACGTATATACGCACATATGTATATATACGTATATATACGCACATATGTATATATACGTATATATACGCACATATGTATATATACGTATATATACACACTTATATATGTGTATATGTACATATATACACACACTTATATATAAGTGTATGTGTGTATATACATACACACTCAGTATATATAAGTGTGTATGTATATCCTGTGTGTTTGTATATATATCCCATATATGTGTGTGTTTATATGTACACACACATTGTATATATAAGAATATACAGTATATATGCTGTATATATAAGTATATTTATCCTGTGTGTATATATATATATATCCCATGTGTGTGTGTGTATATATATATATCCTTTAAATATATATATTTAAATATCCTATAAATATATATGTATATATATTTAAATATCCTATAAATATATATGTATATATATTTATATATCCTTTTCCATTTTTTTTTAATGTAATCATATCAGCAAGCACCAAAGAAAATCAATAAGATTCTGGGGTGCAAAGAAATAACTCACTACCTTAAACTGTACATTCTCTTGAGATTTGACATGAGAATTGTCCAAAAACATCTAATTTTTTATATTAGCAAACTGTATCTGACAAAGGTCTAATATCCAGAATCTATAAGGAACTTAAACAATTCAACAAGCAAAAAAAACAAATTACCCCATTAAAATATGGGCAAAGGACATGAACACACACTTCTCAAAAGGAGACATACGAGCGTCCAACAAATATATGAAAAAATGCTCAACATCACGAATCATTAGAGAAATCCAAATCAAAACCTCAATGAGATACCATCTCACACTAGTCAGAATGGCCATTATAAAGACTCAAAAAATAACTGAGGGCAACTTTGTGGAGAAAAGGGAATGCTTATACACAGTTGGTGAGAATGTAAATTTGTTTACCTGCTGTGGAAACCAGTTTGGATATTTCTCAAAGAATTTAAAACAGAACTATCATTTGACACAGCTGTCCCATTACTAGGTATATACACAAAGGAAAATATTCCACCAAAAAGACATATGCACTTGTATGTTCATCGCAACACTACTCACAACACTACTCACACTACTCACAACACTACTCACATAGCAAAAACATGGAATCAGCCTATGTGGCCATCAATGATGGATATGATAAACAAATGTGGTACTTATGCACCATGGAATACTATGCAGCCATAAAAAAAACAGTGAAATCATGTTCTTTACAGCAACACAAATTCAGCCAGAAGCTATTATCCTAAGCAAATTAACACAGGAACAGAAAAGCAAATACCACATGTTCTCACTTATAAGTGGAAGCTAAACACTGAGTACATATGGACATAAAGGGAACAACACATTCTGGGCACTACTGGATGGGGAAGAAGGAGAATCGGGTATGGGCTGAAAAACCACCCATTGGGTACTGTGCTCACTACCTGGGTAACAAGATCATTTGTACCCCAAACCTCAGCAACACACAATTTACCCGTGTAACAAACCTGCACATGTACCCCCTGAACCTAAAATAAAAGTTGAAAATATTTATAATAATAAAGAAAGCATGATTTCAAAGAAAAAAACAACATAAAACAAAACATCTAATTTTTCGTAAGCGATTATTTTAAAATTATCTATATAACATCTTGCCAAACTTTGAAAATAATGTTTGTGATGCTATTATAAATATGTTTAAGGAGCTAGTATTTTTAAACATGAATTAATTGAAAAAATCACCTGCTGCTCACCATTTAATCAGACAATGAGGGGAGCAGCATGCTTCATTGCACTTATTAGCAGAGGCAAAACCCTGCTCAGTGGAAATGAGATGGCAAGTAAAATAATCATGGCAAAGCCATCTGGAAGGGTTTGCATTAATAAGGTTAGCAATATAAAGGAAGCCACATTTGAAGGAAGCCATCTAGACAACAGAACGGACACTTTCAGGTCCGTTGTAAGAAGGCACTGCAGAAATCTAAATAGTTCTATTAATGTCTTCCTAATATTTGACTTTATGAAACTTGGTTATTCGCTGTGTTATGTTACCATGACCATGTCATATATTAATTCAATTTCTCTCCATTTCTCTGTCCTGATCATTTCACAAATTATAGGGCTGGAAGAGAAGTTTATTTTCCGCCATTCAGCTTGACTCTGTTAGCATTACCAACTATGATGTGACATTAAGGGTCATTCCAAAGTGATACATCCATCATCTGACAGCTTTAGATATATAAAGTTTACAAAATGTACAGTGTTTATGGTCATTTAACATGAAATAAGAATAATTGATAGTCCTTTGTGAATTGTTTTTTGATGAGCTTCCATTTCATCTTTCCTCAAATGATTCAGAATTTCCCCCCACTTCCCACTTAGCCCTTTCTTGGCTTTATTTTTTCATCTCTAAAGAACTTGAAGATTAATATATCTTGAGACTTAAGTGATATAGGAAGAAGGGGGAGATCAGGGATATATATGAAGCTTTGGTTGAATATCAAGCACTGTGCTAGGTGCTATATTATGTCATCTAATTTCTACAACTTCTGAGGCTTGTATTACTGTCCCTATTGTATAGATCAACAAGCGGAGGCTCAAAAATATTAGGTAATGTATCCAAGTCTTGCAACTAGCAGGTGGCAGAAACAGACTTCCCCTTCAAACTTAGGTCTTCCCACTTCACATCTAGTGCTTTTCCCACTAATCACAAACAGGTCATCAGAATTTCCTCACTCTGGCCTTCACTTTGCTAATCTAGCATTTACCACCCAGGAAATGTCCAGGATTTGTCTCACTATAAAATGGTCATCACTTTTGAGAAGTGTCTGTTCATATCCTTTGTCCACTGTTTGATGGGGTTGTTTGATATTTTCTTGTAAATTTGTTTAAGTTCTTTGTAGATTCTGGATATTAGCCCTTTGTCAGATGGGTAGATTGCAAAATTTTTCTCCCATTCTGTAGGTTTCCTGATCACTCTGATGGTAGTTTCTTTTGCTGTGCAGAAGCTCTTTAGTTTAATTAAATCCCATTTGTGTACTTTGGCTTTTGTTGCCATTGCTTTTGGTGTTTTAGACATGAAGTCCTTGCCCATGCCTATGTCCTGAATGGTATTGCCTAGGTTTTCTTCTAAGGTTTTTATGGTTTTGGGTCTAACATTTAAGTCTTTAATCCATCTTGAATTAATTTTTTATAAGGTGTAAGGAAGGGATCCATTTCTGCTTTCTACATACGGCTAGCCAATTTTCCCAGCACCATTTATTAAATAGGGAATCCTTTCCCCATTTCTTGTTTTTGTCAGGTTTGTCAAAGATCAGATGGTGTTCTCAAAAGAAGACATTTATGCAGCCAACAGACACATAAAAAATGCTCATCATCTCTGGCCATCAGAGAAATGCAAATCAAAACCACAATGACATACCATCTCACACCAGTTAGAATGGTGATCATTTAAAAGTCAGGAAACAACAGGTGCTGGAGAGGATGTGGAGAAGTAAGAACACTTTTACACTGTTGGTGGGAGTGTAAACTAGTCCAGCCATTGTGGAAGACAGTGTGGCAATTCCTCAAGGATCTAGAACTAGAAATACCATTTGACCCAGCTATCCCATTACTGGGTATATACCCAAAGGATTATAAATCATGCTACTATAAAGACACACACACACGTATGTTTATTGTGGCACTATTCACAACAGCAAAGACTTGGAACCAACCCAAATGTCCATCAATGACAGACTGGATTAAGAAAATGTGGCACATATACACCATGGAATACTATGCAGCCATAAAAAAGGATGAGTTCGTGTCCTTTGTAGGGACATGGATGAAGCTGGAAACCATCATTCTAAGCAAACTATCGCAAGGACAGAAAACCAAACACCGCATATTCTCACTCATAGGTGGGAACTGAACAATGAGAACACATGGACACAGGGTGGGGAACATCACACACTGGGGCCTGTCGTGGAATGGGGGGAAGGGGGAAAGGATAGCATTAGGAGAAATACCTAATGTAAATGATGAGTTAATGGGTGCAGCACACCAACATGGCACATGTATACATATGTAACAAACCTGCACGTTGTGCACATGTACCCTAGAACTTAAAATATAATAATAGTAATAGTAATAATAAATGGTCACACTTACTTGATGACTTTATTCTTGAGAGTTTCCATTGAGCTGACTAAAGGAGGTTTAAATTTAAAAAATGCTCCCAGAAAAAAAAGGCATATGGAGAATTACTACACATAAAAATTCTCTGGTTAAGAGCTGTGATTATGAAAGAATTGTAGTAGCACCACTAAACTAAGTCTAGAACCTAGAAGAATTCAATACCTCATTGAACATCTCATCTCCCTGTTCAAACTGATTTGTATGCAGAGTGAGTAAACATTATTTAATTTAATCCTTACTATGGACAGATGAGGGAAGTACCATGATTATCTACATTTATAAGATGATCTCAAAAACCAAGGCTTAAAATAATTAAGTGCAGCCAGGCGCGGTGGCTCACGCCTGTAATCCCAGCACTTTGGGAGACTGAGGCGGACGGACTGCCTGAGCTCAGGAGTTCCAGGTCAGCCTGGGCAAAACAGTGAAACCCTGTCTCTACTTTAAAAAATACAATAAAATTAGCCGGGCGTAGCGGCGTGCGCCTGTAGTCCCAGCTACTTGGGAGGCTGAGGGAAGAGAATCGCTTCAACCTGGAAGCAGAGTTTGCAGTGAGCTGAGATTTCGCCACTACATTCCAGTCTGGGCGACAGAGCGAGACTCCATCTCCAAAAAAAATTAATTAATTAATGTAATTAACTAAGTGCCTTGTCCAAGGTTGCACAGCTAAATCTCACATGTGCTGAACTATAACATTATAATCTTTCTGTTCAAGTTCTAGTCCTTTTCCCGGAATTCTTTGAACATTTCTTTTTCCATCAGCTCATTTTCTTTTTCTTTTTTTTTTTTTTAATTTTTTATTTTTAATAAACATGGAATATTTATTAAAAGTTAAATTAAAATGTTAGGCTTCATTTTTTTGTTTTAATTGTCAACAGCTCTACTAATATTGTGATTGACAGTATTGTCTCAGTCCTTTCCTGGGCATGTGCACAGTCCTGAGTATGTGTGTAGCCTCCTAGATTTCTTGGTTATGTTTAGCTTTGCAAAGTTCCTTATGATCATGTCAGTCCTCAGTATTTTCTTTTGTATTTTGGTCAAGTTCTTGTTCCTCCCAACAAATAAAGCCACATTAGGCAGCTGTGATGTTAAACAATTGCTGTTGATTATTTTTGGCAAAATCCTGAGAAGAGGGCTCTTCACAAACAGCGAGAGCTCCAACTAAGGTCAGATAAAGACAAAACCTGAGAATAGTGCTTTCTAACAAGCTGCCAGACACGTAAAGTAGTGACAAATCTCTGCAGACAGGACTTCTAGGGAGTTCCTACCTTATTCTGCCTCACTTAGTGGCTGCCAAACTGCTGGTTTTAATAGCTATTGCATTTGGAAGACTAGATTTCTTTTTTTAAAAAAAATTATTTAAATATCTTTTGGGGTACAAATGATTTTTCGTTACATGGATGAATTATATAGTGGTCAGTTCTGAGATTTTAGTGCACTGGAGAGGAGTTAAGGATAAAAAAACTACACATTACATTACTACATTACTACACAATGTATGCTACTCGGGTGTCCATCAGCTCATTTTCACACTGTCGTTCCCTGGCAGTCCCTCACCACACTTTGCTTAATGGCAATAAACCCTTTTACCAACTCCATTTACTTAATTTCTGTCTCCTGTTCTTAGATCTTCCCTTGGACTGCTCAGTGATTCCACAGAATGTTTTCTCCGGCAGTACTGTCTAATTGAAGAGCTCCTTAAATCCTTCCCTTCCATAAACATTTTCCAGGCACATGATAGGAAAAGAAACATTTTACCTATTTAATGTAATGTACACATTTTTATTCATAAACATTCTCATACAAATAGCCAGACAAAACGACAGTTAGGTCTTTGTATATTAATCTAAGACTCTTTCATATTTGAACACTTTATTAACTTTGTTACTTTTGAGTTAAAATCTTCTCAAAGCTGGTAATTGTGTCTGATAAGGCAAATTTGGTAGAAAGCCCATCACAGGGCCCCTCATATGTGGATAATTGATGAATAAATATGCCAAATGGCAAACTACAGCACATAAATCTGAGAGGTGGAGTCCTAATGACATTGATTTATTCATTAAACAAGCATCATTTGGCACTTATTATGTTTAAGAGCTTGTGCTAAGTGTTCATGTGCTCAAAGTGGAGAATTAATTAATATCACCCGATTTATTTGCTCTAGTTCTTCTCTAAGTTGAGTGTGATTGCAGATATCAGGTACCTTCTCTATTCCTCAGTTTCTTATTTTATAATGAGGGATTTGGTGATTCCCAAGGTCCCTTGCAGTTCTGTAGGCTCATGATTCAATGTGGTTATGTCATTTCCTAAATTGAGAAGTCATATCTCTTAACTTTCCAAATTAGATATGGCTTAATTAACATAGTTACATAACTGAAAGAAAATTTTAAAAATGATACATGAATGACAATTACTATCTTGGATGTACTATGGGTTTCTCTCAGCAATATTTTAAGTATAGATGAATCATAAACATGAGGATTATATTTCTCCTAAAATAAACATGGCTAAAATCTCAGATGATATTTTCTTGGCAAAATGCACTTCAGATTTTATTGAACTAAATACATTTGAAAATCAGATGCTACACTAAGAATACGATATTCATTCAATATTCATACCTTTGAAATGAAGTAAATTAAGACAATTTGTTGGGTATTTCAGGCTGAAAAGCTTACTGCTTTTATTCCCGTGATATTAAAATAAAAGTAAATTGGGGACTTAGTCCATTTTAAGGCCCAAACCACAAAGGCCTTACTACTCCTCACATCTATTGCATGGGTTTCTTTGCCCACAGTTAAACAAATTCCTCTATACCTTTTGCCTCTCTACTGACCATTTCTTTCAGACTGGCTTCACTGAACACTGACTCTTTCCATAAATTCTCAAGGTCCTCTGAAGAGTAGGTGTTCTTTCTCCCACACATCATATAGTTCAGAGTTTCCAAATTATATTCAGCTCATGACTCCTTATCTTCATATAAATGAATGAATGAATGAATGAATGAATAAATAAATAAATAAATAAATAAATAAATAAGTTTCCTTGAAGCTTCTTGCCAGTTGGCTAAACATTCTTTTACCTATTCTTGACACTATCTCCTATCATCCTCCTGGTCACTTCTCCCAATTCAGTATAACTTTTGGCACCTGCTTCAAATCATTTATTTCCTGCTACTCCAAGTAATATCAACTATTATTGTGTTCCTCTAACCCTGAACACAATAATATTGAACTTGTTATCTTCTCCTTTCCTTTACTTATTATCCTTCTCATGTATCTACCCAGAAATCTTCCACTTCTGAAATTAAAAATTCCTTCAGTGTACTGTGGAACCACAGCTTTCTACTCTTCCCACAAATTTCTCCAATTTCCTTAGACTCCAAATCACAGATCTTTCTACTTTCTACTCTATTAATCACTGCTTTCTTTTTTCTCCATTACATCTATGATACATTGCTTCAAAACTTCTTCCTTGACACTGTCCTTGGAAACACCTCTATCCTGAATGAAGTCAACTAGCCTGTGAATACTGTTTAGGAAATCACACAGCTGGTCATTGAACCAATGGTTAAGCTCTCTCTTCCATTCTTGAACTGTTAACAAAAAGAGAAGCAATTGAGTCTCATGGTAATATCAACCACTCGTTCTTCAAGTCATTCTTCCCTTATAACTCAACTCTCAATCTGTTTTCTCAACAGATAAAATATGTCAGAGAGGCACTTTGTTAACTTTTATACAAAGGGTGGAAAATGAGACCAGATGATCCTTTTAAACTTCATATCCTTAGAGTAGAAACTCTCTCTCTTCTATAGAGAGTTGAAGAGTAGCATTTATTAATTATCACTCATCAATTTCCTCAGGAACCCATAAACCCTAAGAGGTGCAGGGTAAAACTCTTTTGTTCTCCTTTGTAAACTTAGAACCCAGCACAATGACTAACACATAGTAGAAATTCAAACAATATTCAATGAAAGCATGAATCAATGCCTGGGTGATGATCAGGGAATTTCTGACAAATATGTTTGTGAGTTGAAACTTGTAGCTAATTGTTTCAGTTGCATGCTTGTTATATGATTTTATTTCAGCAAACTATCTCAAACCATTTTTATGAGTCTTTGGTTTTAATATAACTCAAAATACACTCTGTCAAGTACGTTTCTCCATAGACTTTAAACATAGGTTCTTTCAGGTGAAATTTAATCCTAATGTTTACAATTCATCCACACTTAAATCATCAAAATACCACTGTAGCAATCTCAGTTGGGTATTCAACTTGTGATTCCCTAATTAGATAATTGTTTGTATATTTAAAACAAAATTATTACTTGCCCTTAATTATTTAGATAATTGTTTAAATTATATACTTTTTGTCTTGTGTGTTGAAAAGCCATAATCACACTAAAATACATCCTAATTTTAGGATACTTCAGTCTTTATATTGGGGAATACAGTTTTTGATATAACAAATGAGAATTTTAAATGTGGTCTTTTCAATAGAGGCCTATTTAATGATTAATGTATAATCCATATAAGTCATTCTTAATATAGAAAAATATTTTGATCAGTTTAGCAGTTTTCACTATTTCTGGTCATTTTAAAATAATTCAGTTGTCAGTCTCAAGAAAAAATGATTCTCATATTGCAAACAGAAAATCAAGTTGGAACACTGAAAGCAGCTTAGATCTGAAATACATGGAAAATTACAGTAAGAAATTAAAGTTTCCTGGAATTTTGTTTTTCTTGTCTTTTTACAGGACTTTTCCATGTCACTCAAACCTTGTGTCTTTCCTTTCCCCTTCTCACTCTCTCTGCTCTAAACATACTGGCCTTGACAAGTCAAACTGAAATTTTTTCTATGAGACCTATGCCTCTTCGATATCCTGAGAAGTATTCCTCCAGATAGTCACATGGCTTCTTTCAATTAAGTTTCTATTCCAAAGTCGTCTCTTAAGAGAGTCTTCCCTAATCACCCTAGACAAAGTAGTCATTTCCTCCCACTTGACCATTCTCTTCTTACTGTGCTTTATTCTTATCTTAGTATGTGTTGCTAACTTCACTACCTGGATTTGTAGAATACATTTTTTTTTTTTTTTGAGATGGAGTTTCTTGTTGTTCAGGCTGGGGTGCAATGGCGCAATCTCGGCTCACCGCAACCTCCGCTTCCCAGGTTCAAGTGATTCTCCTGCCTCAGCCTCCCAAATAGCGGGGATTATAGGCATGTGCCACCATGCCCGGCTAATTTTGTATTTTTAGTAGAGACAGGGTTTCTCCATGTTGGTCAGGCTGGTCTCGAACTCCCAACCTCAGGTGATCTGCCCACCTTGCCCTCCCAAACTGCTGGGATTACAGATGTTAGCTACCACACCCGGCCTAGAATACACTTATTAATTTAGTTGTATACTGTCAGCTTCTCCTGGCAGGACATGGGCTGTGGCTTCTCAACTACTCTATCACCCAGTATTTGTGGAATGAATGAATGAATGAATGAATCTTCAATGTTAGTATTTAAATAGTCCTTTTGCCATTTCACCTTACTGAGTTTTACAAAGGCCAAGGGGAAAACAAAGTGTGCAAACATTTCTGAGAAAAAAGGTAAGATAATGCTATAGCATTTACTATGGTTCAAATGTGTAGCTAATGTTCAATTCTGTTTCATGTGTGTTCTCAAAATACTTAAAAGCTTGAGATAAGGCACAGCAAAAGAAGTACTTTTTCACTGATAGAGAAACAAAGAGAGTCAATATTTGGACCCTTCTCTGTGTAAAGAATGGAATGATCTAGTCTGGATAAATACTAAATATAAATAAAAGTTGGCTTCTTGCTAATTACATTCCACAATATAAATTTTGTTTTCACCAAACAGTATTTTAACATTTTAGAATACAAAATACTGTTTCACCAAACAGTATTTTAACATTTTAGAACATTTTAGAATATAACATTTTAGAATACTGTTTCACCAAACAGTATTTTAATACTTTAGAATTATAACATTTTAGAATAAAAAATGTTATTCACTTCTAAATGATGCTCTTATTTTTCCAAAATTCTAGGAAAATGATGCTAGAAATTGGCTGGGAGAGGATTAAGAGGATACAGAGGCTATTTTAACCATTTTACTTAAAATTGTATCCAATTGTTATCCAATTTTTGATTACCATCTGAATACTTAGAATAACAATATGCATCTATCTTTAACATTTACTAGGTTCTATAAATTTTATGTACCAAGTGCCTTCTATATCTACATAACTATATCTGTATCTGTCTGTCTATCTATCTATCTATCTATCTATCATCTATATGTACGTATGTACATATTTCTGATTTGATCCTAACATACAAAAAGAAAACTATAGCCCAGAGGCCAGGCATTGTGGCTTTTGCCTGTAATCTCAACACTTTGGGAGGCTGAGGCCGGCAGATGGCTTGAGGCTAGGAGTTTGAGACCAGCCTGGCCAACATGGCGAAACCCCATCTCCACCAAAAATACAAAATTTAGCACTGGTCAGTGGTGGCACACACCTGTAGTCCCAGCTACTCAGGAGGCTGAAGAACAAGAAGTGCTTGAGTCTGGGAGGCGGAAGTTGCGGTGAGCTGAGATGGCCTGCTGATTACCCTGACTTATGCTGAGACTGGCTTCTTGACCATTCTTCAGTAATGAACAATTTACCAAGAGACTATTTCTTTAGGCATCAATGCTTCATCTCAACTCACAAAACAAGGTACTAATGTGCTCAGTGGCAATGTTGTCCAATCTCTTAACTCTTCAAAAACTAATTTTTAAATGAAAGATGTACATTTTATTAGTGTATATAACTAACCTAAAAATTATTAAATTATATTTCTGACTAAAGACTGGGAGATTCTTTTGAAAACCAGAAAGAGAAATTTATTTTAAACAGGCCAATTATCCTTCCTTCTCACAGGTTGAGATAGAGCAGGAAGCACAGGGAGTAGGGTGGGGCGTTGCTGGAGCCAGCTCTATAGAGTGAGATCCTCAATCTCATGGTCAGACCACAGTCTACATTCTCAATGTGGCTGTGATAGTTTCTGTAGAGACCTATAAACCACTTTTGATGATTACCACATCTGTATCACATATACACCAAGGCTTGGCCTTTGTTATTCTGAATATACAGACAGGTATGTCTAGCTTGTGCTTTGGCTCAGTAGGTGGCCTTTGTTTCCAAAGATATGACCCCTCTTTCCAGCCTGAGAGATAAGGATCAGGTATTTTAACAGACAATAAAGAACTGAGATGTTTTGTTCTCCTATATACCCTATTCCTTGGATACTTCCTGTGATCTGAACAAGAGATCAAATTGCAATATCCCCTATGCTAGACTGTTGTGACAACTAAGGTTGCACTGGAAGCAACCAGTCCCACATTTTTCATAATAACTGATATTAAACCAATCATTGAACTCCTTATCTGCTCCTGGACAGTTAGGAAAAAAAGTTATTAAGTCATCTGGTCATACTATCAATGGGTAAAGGACCTGGGGTCACTTTGAATAGCAGCAAGCCCAGTCCTGCCAAAACTACAAAAATGACCTACACAAATAAGTCACTAGTATCAAGACTATAAAACTCTCTCTATATAAATGGTCTCTGATAATTGTGGTATTGGCTACATTATAGAGAGATCCACACAATCTCAAATAGTAGCTGATAACTTATCTTATACCATTTCTCTTGTTACACCATCCTTTTGTTTAGACATCACACATTTTGTTGCTGTTGTTGTTTAATTAGTAGGCAGTTGGCAATATTGCTTTTGATTTCAGAATATCCACAAGGAAAAGCATACTTAGTCCATACGGCACAAACAAGAGAAGGATGAAATCAAATATTAAGATCAATTCCTTAACTTCAGGCAGTACTCAGAAGGGACCTGCGTTTGTAATTCACCATTGCTTTCTCCCTTCGTAGCTATAGTCACCTTGAGGAAGAGACCAAAATTCACAAAGTGGCTTGAATTCTTAGATCCAGAGGGTTAGTTTTCTTGGCACATTTTTCTTCAAAAAAATGTTATAATATGTGTAGTTAAGAAAAAAAACCAATCTTCTCTTTTCTTCAAAGCTGAGCCAATTAATTTAGCACAATGCCACACACACTCAGGCAGGAAGCTCTGTTTTCAAGTATCACTTATATATCACATTATGAGTAGAGTGGTTGAAATTGGAGCTTTAAAAACAGACCTTGCTAGTTATGATTTCACAATTCATCCCCTTTTTCTATTGCTTATTTAACTGAAATATCATACATTTCCCCCAGTTTAATAAAATTAGTATCAAGAGAATTATCTATCTATAAAACTATTTCATTACACAAGTATTTCTACTTCAGCAATCTAAGAATTTCACAACTTCAGTTTCAAAATCTTTCTCTTAATGAGTAAAAGCCAAATATATCATTTTTGCTTAGTTATTTTAGAAATCATTTAGCACTTTCCAATTATTTGAACTCAAACCAATGCTCGGTATCTAGCTAACATGCTCACCTGAATTTTAAGCAATTATTTTATTCGACTTTTATATCAACAGTGATGATCTGCATGCATGAGTATAAGACCTGAAAACTTTCTAAAAATTTTAGATACTGACTGCGATTTTAATTTAACCAAACTGCTGCTATCTTTCATCACAAAGATAAAATTTTTATTGGTGTGCACCCCCCTATGATATTGTTTGTAATATCCAGGAGGATAGAGGATGATGTTACTCTTCATATCACAGGGGTGTACAGTCCTATGCGATATGGTCTGTAATATTTAGAGGGTGAGAGGATGATGTTAATCTTCATATCACAAAGGGTGTACACACCCCTGCTATATTGTCTGTAATATCCAGAAAGGGAGAGGATAATGTTACTCCCCATATTGCAGGGAGTGTACACCTTCCTGTGATATTGTCCATAATATACAGGGAGGGAGAGGATGACGTTACTCTTCATATCGCAGGCGGTGAACATTTCCCTGCAATATCGTTGGTAATATCCAGAAGGAAAGAAGGTGATGTTACTCACCATATGGCAGAGGTGTATACCCTTCTGCGTTATTGTCCATGATAACCAGAGAGGAGAGGATAATTTTACTCTACATATGGCAGGGAATATTCATGCCACTGTGATACTGTTCATAATATCCAAGGGGGGAGAGGATGATGTTACTCCCCATATCGAAGGGAGTGTACAATCCCTGCGATATTGTTCACAATATCCACGGGGGGAGGAGATGATGTTACTCCTCATATCGCCAGGTGTGTACCCCCCCCCGCGATATTGTTTGTAATATTCAAGGAGAGAAAAAATGATATTAGTCCCCATATTGCAGGAGGTGTACACACCCTTGCCATATTGTTGATAATATCAAGTGGAGGGAGATGATGATATTGTTCCCTATATCGCAGGGAGTGTACACCCCCCTGTAATATTGTTTGTAATATCCAGGAGGGAGTTGATATTACTCCCAATATCATAACACATCCTGTGTGTACATCCTCGGTGATATTGTTCATAATATCCAGGGTGGCAGATGATATTACTTACTCCCAATATCACAGGATGTATACACCATCCTATGATATTGTTCGTAATATCCAGGGAAGGAGAGGATGATATGATTCCCAATATAGCAAAGGGTGTACGCCTTCTTGTGATAATTTTCATAATATTCAGAGGGGGAGAGGATGATATTACTTATAATTTTCAGTGGGATAGCACAAAATTATTCCTAATATTGCAGAGGGTGTACATCCTCCTGTGATATTGCTTGTAATATCCACTGGGGGAGAAAATGATATTAATCCCAATATCGCAGACATTGTACACCCCTCTGTGATATTGTTCATAATATCCATTTGGGGAGAGGATGATATTACTCCTCATATCGCAGGAAGTGTAGAGCTTCCTGTGATATTATTCGTAATATCCAAAAGAAGAGCGGATGCTATTACTGCTAGTATCGCAAGGGGTGTACACCCTTCTGTGATATTGTTCATAATGTCCAGAAAATGAGAAGATAGTATTACTCCCCATATCGCAGATGGTGTACACCCATATGTTATTGTTCATAATATCCAGTGGGAAAGAGGATGATAATACTCCCCATATTGCAGGAAGTGTACACTCCCCTGTGATATTGTTTGTAATATTCAGGGAGAAGGATAATATTACACCCCATTTTGCAAAGGGTGTACACCCGCTGTGATATTGTTCATAATATCCAGGAGGGGAAAAGATGATATTACTCCCCATATTGCAAACGTGTACACCCACCTGTGATAGTCTCAAAAATATTTAATGGGGGAAAAGATAACGTTACTACTCCTCATATTGCAGAGGATGTACACCTTCCCTGTGATAATGTTCATAATTTCCAGTGGGGGAGAGGATAATATTACTCTGCATATCGCAGGTGTGTACACCCCCCTGTGATATTGTTTGTAATATCCAGGGTTTGAGAGGATGACATTATTCCCCATGTCACAGGGGATACATGTCCCCCTGTGATATTGTTCATAATATCCAGGGACGCAGAGGATGATATTACTTCGTGTATCTCAGGGGATGTACATTCCCCTGTGATATTGTTCATCATATCTAGGGGAGAGAGGCTGATAATACTCCCCATATCGCAAAGGGGGTTCATCTTCCTGTAATGCTGTTCGTAATATATAGGGAGGAGAGGATGATATTACTCCCCATATCACAGGGGGTGTACACCCCTCTGTGATATTGTTTGAAATATCCGAAGGGGAAGT
Organism: Homo sapiens; assembly: GCF_000001405.40. Classification (NCBI taxonomy): domain Eukaryota; kingdom Metazoa; phylum Chordata; class Mammalia; order Primates; family Hominidae; genus Homo; species Homo sapiens. The sequence continues at coordinate 107,566,392 of NC_000008.11, forward strand.
GGATGATATTACTTCCCTGTGATATTGTTCGTAGTATCCAAAAAGGAAGAGGGTAATAATACTCCCAATATGGCAGAAGGGCTTACACCCTTCTGTGATATTTTTTGTAATATCCGGGGGGGGAGAGGATAATATTACTCCCAATATCGCAGGGGGTGTACATCACCCGCGATATCGTTCATAATATCCAAAAAGGAAGAGGATGTTATTACTCCCAGTATTGCATGCGTTGTACACTCCCCTGTGATATTGTTTCTAATATCCAAGGGAAAGAGGATAATATTACTCCCAATATCACAGGTGGTGTAAACCACCCTGTGATATTGGTCATAATATCCAGGTGGGGAGAGGATGATACTACTCCTCATATCGCAGTGGGTGTTCACCCCCCTGTGATATTGTTCCTAATATTTCCGGGAAGGTGAAATTATATTACTTCTGACATCACAGAGGGTGTAGACCTTCCTGTGATATTGTTCGTAATATCCAGGAGAGGACATTATTCCTCATGTCGCAGAAGATGTACACCCATCTGTGATATTATCATACTATCTAGGGAGGGAGAATATAATATTACTCCCCATATAGCAAAGGAGGTACACCCTCCTGTGATATTTTCATAATATCCGGGGTTAGGAGAGGATGATATTACTTCCTATATCACAGAAAGTGTAGACCCCCCTGTCAAACTGTTCATAATATCCAGGGTGGGGAAAGGATAATTTTGCTCCTCATATGGCAGGTGGTGTACTCCCCCTTGTGATGTTGTTTGCAATATCCAGGGGTGGAGAGGATAATATTACTCACCATATCGCAGGAGGTGTACACCCCCTGTGATATTGTTCGTAATTTCCAGGGGGTGAGAGGGTAATATTACTTCCCATATTGCAGGGTGTGTACACCCTGTCATATTGTTTGTAATATTTAGGGGAGGAGAAGATGACAGTACTCCCCATATGGCAGGGGGTGCACAAATCCCTGTGATACTTTTTGTAATATCCAGGGAGGGAGAGGATGATATTACTCTCCACATCGCATGGGGTGTAACCCCCCCTTTGATATTGTTCATAATTTCCAGGGGGTGAGAGGATAATATTACTTCCCATATTGCAGGGAGTGTACAGCCCCTGTGATATTGTTCTTAATATCTGGAGGGGAGGGGGGAGACGATATTGCTCCCCATATCACAGGTGGTCTACACCATTTTGTGATGTTGTTCACAATATCCAGTGAGAGGATGATATTTCTCCCCATATCACGGGGGTGTGCATCCCCTTGTGATATTGTTCGTAATATCCAGAAGGGAAGAGAATGATATTACTCTCCAGATCACAGGGAGTATATATTCCCTTGTGATATTGTTCCTAATATCCGGGAGGAGAGGATGACATTACCTCCCTCTGATGCTGTTCATAATATCCAGAAGAGGCTGGGCATGGTGGCTCACGCCTGTAATCCTAGCACTTTGGGAGGCCAAGGCGGACGGATTACCTGAGGTCAGAAGTTCAAGACCAGCCTGGCCAACATGGTGAAACCTCGTCTCTACTAAAAATACAAAAATTAGCTGGATGTGGTGGCACACATCTGTAATCTCAGCTACTTGGGAAGCTGAGGCAGGATAATTTATTAAACCCGTGAGGCTGACGTTGCAGTGAGCTGAGATCGTGCCACTGCACTCCAGCCTGGCCCACAGAGTGAGACTCTCTCTCTCTCCATATATATATATATATATATATATATATATATATATATATATATATGAACAGAAGGTGATATTACTCCCCATATCGCAGGGGACGTACACCCTCCTGTGATATTGTTCGCAATATCCAGGGGAAGAGAGGATGATATCAATCCCAATATCATAAACACCCTGTGTGTACACCCCCCTGGAACATTGTTCGTAATATCCAGGAAGGGAGAGGATTATATTACTCACAATACCGCAGGGGTGTTCACAACCTTGTGATATTGTTTGTAATATCAAGAGTGAAAGAGTATGATACAACTTACAATATCGCAGGGAGTGTACACCTTCCTGTGACATTGTTTGTAATATCCAGGGGGGAAGAGGATAATTTACTCCCGATGTTGCAGCAGGTGTACACTCTCCTGTGATATTGTTCGTAATATCAAGGTGGTGAACGATGATATTACTCCCAATATCGCAGAGGGTGCACACACCCCCGTGATATTTTTTCTAATATACAGGGGCAAAAATGATGATATTACTACCAATAGTGCAGGGGATGTATAACCCCCTTGTGATATTGTTCCTAATATCTTGGAGGAAAGATCATGATATTACTGTCAATAGAGCAGGGGGTGTACACCCCCCCCCCGTGATATTGCTTCCAATATCCAGGGGGCAGAAGATTATATTAATCTCAATATCACAGGGGTATCCACCGAGCCTGTGATATTGTTCCTAATATTAAGAAAGTATGAGGATGATATTACTCCCAATATCGCAGGGGGTTATTTCCCCTGCAATATTATTCGTAATATCCGGGAGGGAGGAAATGATATTTCTCCCGATATCGCTGGTTGTGTAAATCCCCCCCGTGATATTGTGTTAACATCCAAAGCGGGAGAAGATGATGTTACTCCTAATAGCGCAGAGGGTGTACACCCCCACTGTGATATTGTTTCTAATATCCGGGAGGGAGATATTACTCCAAATATCGCAGGATGGGTAAACCCCCTCTGTGATATTGTACCTTATATTCAGGAATGGAGAGGATAATATTACTCTCAATATCGCAGCAGGTGTACACCCCCCACCGTGATATTGTTCCTAGTATCTATGGTGGGAAGGATGATATTACCCCCAGTATTGGACAAGATGTACACCTTCTCTGTGATATTGTTCCTAATATTCAGTTGGGAAGAGAATGATATTTCTCTCAGTATCGCAGGGGGTGTACACCACTTCTGTTATATTGTTTCTAATATCCAGTGGAGGAGAGGATGTTACTGCAATATCGCAGGACTTGTACACCCCATTTTTGATATTGTTTTTAATACCCATTGGCAAAGAGGATGATATTACTTTCAATGTCACAGGGGGTTACACCCTTTCTGTGATATTGTTTCTAGTATCCAGGGACAGAGAGGATGATATTATTCCCAATATCGTAGAGGTTGTACAACCCCTCTGTGATATTGTTCCTAATATTCAGGAAGGGAGAGGATGATATTATTCCCAATATCACAGGGAGTGTACACCCCCTTTGTGATATTGTTCCTAATATTAAGAAAGGGAGAGAATAATGTTACACCCAATATTACAGAGGGTGTACACCGCCCCCCCGCCCCGTGATATTGTTTCTAATATTCAGGCAGAGAGTTGATATTACTTTCAATATCACAGGGTTGTACACCCCCACTGTAATATTGTTCCTAATATACGGGGATGGGGGGAGAGAATATTACTCCAGAGGTCACAGGGGGTGTACACCCCCCTTGTGATATTGTTCCTAATATCCAGTGGAAAAGAGGATGATATTACTCCCAATATCGCAGAGGGTGTGTACTCCCCCTGTGATACTGCTCCTAATATCATGAAAAGGAGAGGAGATTATCACTCCCAATATCGCAGAAGGTGTACACTCCCACTGTGATATTGTTCCTAATATCCAAGTGGGGAGAGAAAAATATTACTCCCGATATCAAAGGGAATGTACACACCCCCCGTCATATTGTTTCTAATATCAAGGGAAGGAAAGGATGATATTACCCTCAATATTGCAGGTGGTGTACAACCCCCCCTTGTGATAATGTTCCTAATATCCAAAAAGTGAGAGGCTGACATTACTCCCAATATCACAGGGGGTGTACATCATTGCAAGGGTAATGGTGTACAATATCAAGGGTGGGAGACGATATTACTCCCAATGTCGCAGAGAGTGTACACCCCCCGTGATGTTTTTATTTAATATCCAGGAAGGGAGAAGTTGGCATTACTTCCAATATCGCAGGAGTTGTACACCCCTTCTGTGATATTTTTCCTAATATCTAGGGGCGGAGAAAATATTACCTTCAATATCGCAGAACTTGTACACCCTTCCTCTGATATTGTTCCTTCTCTCCAGGGAGGGACAGAATCATATTATTTTCAATATCACAGGGGGTGTACACTCCCTTTGTGATAATGTTTCTAATATCCAGGAGAAGAGAGAATAATATTACTTCCAATATCGCAGGTGATATACACCCACCCTGCGTTATTGTTTTTAATATTTAAGAAAGGAGAGGATAATATTACTTTAAATATTGCAGAGGGTGTACAACCCGCTGTGATATTGTTCCCAATATCCAGGGGCGGAAAGGATGATATTACTCCCAATATCACAGGGGGTGTACACCCATTCTGTGATACTGATATCCAGGGAGGAAGAGGATAATATTACTCCCAATATTACAGGGGGTGTACACCTTCCCTGTGATGTGGTTCCTAATATCCAGGGGGCAGAGGATGATATTACTACTAATATTGCTAGGGTTGTACACTTCTTCTGTGATATTTCCCCAAATATTCATAGGGGAAGATGATGATATTACTCCCAATATTGCAGGAAATTTACACCCACCCTGTGATATTGTTCCTAATATCCGGGAGGAAGAGGATGATATTACTTCCAATATCGCATAGCGTGTACACCTCCCTGTAATATTGTTCCTAATACCCAGCAGGGGGAGAAGGTAATATTACCACAAATATCGCAGGGTGTGTACTCCTGTCCTGTGATATTGTTCCTAATGTCCTGAAAGAAACAGGATTATATTACTCCAGATATCGCAGGGGGGGTTCACCCCCCGTCATATTTTTCCTAATATCCAGGGGAGGGGAGGATGATATTGCTTTCAATATCGCAAAAGCTGTACATCCACCTTTTTGATATTGTATTTAATATCCAGGAGAGAGGATCATATTACTTTCCCCACCCCGTGATGTTCTTCCTAACATTTATGGGGAAAGAGGATGATATTACTTTCAGTATCCAGGGGATGTATACATCCCTGTGATACTTTTCCTAATATCCACCGTGGGAGAGGATGATATTACTCTTAATATCACACAGGGTGTACAACATTTCTGTGATATTGTTCCTAATATCCAGGGGAAGAGAAGATAATATTATTCCCTATATTGCAGAGAATGTACAAACCCCCTGTGATACCTTTTAAATATTTGGTGGCAGAAAGGATGATATTACCCTTAAAACTGCAAGGGGTGTACACCCCCCCGTGATAATGTTCCTTGTATCCAAATTAGGGGAGAATGATATTACTCCCAATATCGCAGAAGATGTACACTCCCCCTGTGATATTGTTCCTTATAACCAGGGGGAGAGAGGATAATATTACTCCCAATATTGCAGGTGGTGTATACCCCCCTGTGATACAGTTTTTAATATCCAGCGGGGGTAGGATAATATTACTCCAATATCTCAGAGGGTGTACACTCCCCCCTTGATATTCTTCCTTATATCCAGTGGGGGAGTGGATGATATTACTTTCAATATCGCAGCGGATGTACACATCCCTGTGATACTGTTTCTAATATCCAGAAGGGGAGAAGATGATATTGTTTGCAATACCACAGAAAGGGTTCACACCTCCTGTGATATTGTTTCTCATATCCAGTGGGGGAGAGGATGACATTATTCCCAATATTGCAAAGGGTGAACACCACCACTCTGTGATATTGTTCCTAATATCCAGAGAAGGAGAAGATGATATTACTCTTAAAATAGCAGGGGGTGAACACCTCCTTTGTGATATTATTTCTAATATTTAGGGTGGGAGAAGATGATATTACTCCCAATATCGCAGAAGATATACACCACCCCTGTGATATTCTTTCTAATATCCAGGGAGAGAGAATATGATATTACTCCCAATATCGCAGGGTGTGTACACACCCCTTGTGATATTGTGCCTAATATCCAGGGGGTAGAGGATGATCCTAATATCCAAGAAGGAGACGATGATATTACTGTTAATATCGCAGAGGGTGTACACCCCCCTGTGATATTGTTCCTAATATTCAAATGGGGAGAGGAGATATTACTCCCAATATCGCAGGGGGTGTACAAACCTTCTGTGATATTCTAATATCCTGGGGGAAGAGGATGATATTACTGCCAATATCTCAGAGGGGGTATATACCCCCTCTGTGGTATTGTTTCTAATATCCTGGGGGGAGAGGATGATAATACTACCAATATTGCAGGGGCGTTACACACCCCTGTGATAGTGTTCCTAATATCCAGGGGAATAGAGAATAATATTACTTTTAATGTTGCAGGGTGTGTTCACCCCCCTTGTGATATTGTTTCTAACATGCAGGGGGGAGGGAATGATTTTACTCCCAATATGGCAGGGGCTGCACACCCCCTTGTGATATTGTTTCTAATATCCAGAGATGGAGAGGATGATATTACAACCAATATCGAAGGGACTGTACACTCCCCGCCGTGATACTGTTTTTAATATCCAGGTGAGGAGAGAATAATATTACTCCCAATGTCACAGGATGTGTACATCCTTCCTTTAATATTGTTTCTAATATTTGGGGGGGGAGGTTGATATTACTTACAGTATTGCAGGGGGTGTACAGACGCCCTGTGGTATTCTTCCTAATATCAAAAAAAAAGAGAGAACGACATTACTCCCAATATCGCAGGGGGTGTACACCCTCTTTGTGGTATTGTTCCTAACATTTAAGAGGGAGAAAATGATATTACTCGCAGTAATATCGCAGAAGGTGTACACCCCCCTGTGATATTGTTCCTAATATCCAAGAAGGAGATGATGATATTACTGTCAATATCGCAGAGGCTGTACACACATCATGTGATATTGTTCCTAATATTCAGGAAAGGAGAGGATGATATTACTTTCAATATTGCCAGGGGTGTACACTCCCCCTCTGATATTGTTCCTAATATTCAGAGAGGGAGGGGTAATATTACTCTCAATATTGCATGAGGAGTAGACCTCCCCGGGTGATATTGTTCCTAATATCCAGGTGAGGAGAGGATGACATTAATCTAATATCACATGAGGTGTACACCCCCCAGTGATATTGTTCTTAATATAAAGAGGGGGAGAGGATGATATTACTCCCAATATCGCTGGGTGTGTAAAACCCCGGGTGATATTGTTTCTAATATCTAGGGGGGGAGAGAATAATATTACACTCAATATCGAAGGGAGTGTACACCCCCCTGTGATATTCTTCCTAATATCCAGTTGGGGAAAGGATGATATTACTCTGATATCATAGGGAGTGTACAGCGTCCTCGTGATATTGTTCCTAATATCCGGAGGGGAGAGAAGTATATTACTCCCAATATTTCAGGAGGTGTACATTCCCCATGTGATATTACTTCTAACACCTGGGGGGTGTAGGAAGATATCACTCCCAATATCGCAGAGGATGTACACCCCTTCTGTGATATTGTTCCTACTGTTCAGAAGGAGAGATGATGATATTACTCCCAATATCGCAGAGAGTCTACACCCCCTGTGGTATTGTTCTTAATATCCAGGTTGGGGGAGGGTAATATTACTCCCAATATCACAAGTGGCATACACTTTCCCTGTGATATTGTCTCTAATATTTAGGAGTGGAGAGGATGATATTATTCCCCATATTGCAGGGGTTGTAAACCCCTTCTAATATATTGTTTTTAATTTCCAGGGCGTGAGAGGGTAATATTAGTTTCAATAGTGCAGGCGGTGTACACTCCCATGTTATATTCATCCTAATATTCAGGTGTATACTCTTGTTGTAATATTGTTTTTACTATCCAGGACGGGAGACAAAAATATTACTCCCAACAGCCCAGGGTGTGTACACTCCTCCATTGGATGTTGTTCTCAATATCCAGGGGTGCAGAGGATGATATTACTCTCAATATTGCAGGAGGTGTATGACCCGTGTGATATTGTTCCAAATATCCAGGGAAGAAGAGGATGTTATCACTTCTAATATCACAGGTAGTGTACACCCTCCCTGTGATATTGTTTCTAGTATACAAAGGGAAGGGGATGATATTACTCCCTATATTACAGGGGCGGTAAACACCCGTTATGATATTGTTAATAATATTTAGAGGGAGAGATGATGATATTACTGTCAATATCACAAAGGGTGTACACCAACTCTGTGCTATTGTTCCTAAAATCCAGTGGAAGAGAGGATGAAAATAATTCCAATATCGAAGACTGTGTACACCCCTTCTGTGATATTGTTCCTAATATTCAGGGTGGGAGAGGATGATATTGCTCCCAGTATTGGGAGGGGTGCACACACACCCCCGTGAAATTGTTTTAAATATCCAGGAAGAGAGAGGTTGATATTACTCCCAATAATGCGGAAAGTGTACACACACCCTGTGGTATTGTCCATAATATCTAGGGGGGAGAAAATAATATTACTCCCAATATCATAAGAGGTGTAAAACCCCTTTGTTATATTCTTCCTAATATTTAGAGGAAAGAGGATGACACTACTCCCAATATCGCAGGGGGTGTACACGCCCCCTGTGATATTGTTTCTAATATCCAAGAAGAAGATGATATTACTCCCAATATCGCAGGGGGTGTAACCCCTTTTGTAATATTGTTCCTAATATGCAATGAGAAAGACGATGATATTACTGTCAATATCGCAGGGGGTGTACAGTCCCCTTGTGATACTGTTCCTAATATCCACAGGGGAACAGGATGACATCACTCCCAATATCGAAGGGGGTGTACACCTCCCCTGTGACGTTGTTACTATTTCCAGAAGGGAAGAGAATGATATTACTTCCAACACTGCAGCGGGGTGTACACCTCCTCCGTGATATTGTTTCTAATACTCAGGAGGAAAGAAGATGATATTACGCTCAATATCGCAGGGACTCTACACCCCCTCCTGTCATGTTGTCTCTAAAATCCAGGTGGGGAGAGGATCATATCACTCCCAATATCGCAGGACGTGTACACCCTCCCGTGATATTGTTCCTCATAATCATCAGGAGAGAGGATGATATTACTCTCAGTGTCGAAGGGGCTGTACACCCCCTCTGTGATATTGTTCCTAATATCCAGGAGGGAAGAGGGTAATAATACTCTCAATATCGCAGGCGGTTTACACCCCCCTTGTGATATTGTTCCTAATATCCAAGGGGAAAGACGATGATATTACTGCCAATACCACAGGGAGTGTACACCACCCCTGTAATATTGTTCCTAATATCCAGGTTGGGAGAGGTTGATATGATGCCCAGTATTGCAGAGGGGTCCACCTTCTTCGTGATATTGTTCCTAATATCCAGCGTGGGAGAGGATGATTTTTCTCCCAATAATGCAGGGGGTGTACACCCCCTCTGAGACATTGTTTACAATATTATTGACGAGAGAGGATGATATTACCCCCTATAGCACATGGGGTAAACACCCTCACTGTAGTATTGTTCCTAATATGTGGCGGGGAGAGGATGATATTACTCCCAGTAGCGCAGGGGATGTACACCCCCCCCTTTGATATTGTTCCTAATATCGAGCAGAGGAGAGGATGATATTACTCCCAATACCGCAGTAGGTGTACACACAACCCCCCCGGTGATATAGTTTCTTATATTCAGGGGGGAGAGGATGATATTACTTCCAGTATTGCAGGAGGTGTACAACTCCCTGTGATATTGTTCCTAATATCCATGGGCGGAGAAGGTGATATTACTCCCAATATCGCAGAGGGTGTATACTCTCCTTGTGATATTGTTCTTAATATCCAGAGCGGGAGATGACAATATACTAAAATAGTGCAGGGGGTGTACACCTCCCTGTGATATTGTTCCAAATATCCAGGAAAGGAGAGGAAGATATTACTCCCAATATCACAGAGATTGTACACCCCCCACCTTGTGATATTATTCCTAATATCCACAGGGAAGAGGCTGATATTACTGCCCATATTGCAGGGGGCGTACACCCCTGAGATATTGTTAATATTTTCCAAAGGGAGAGATTATTATATTACTATCAATATCGCAGGGGGGGGAGTACATCACCCCCGTAATATTGTTACTAATATTCAGTAGAAAAGAAAATGATATTAATTCCAATATTGAAGGGAGTGTACACCCCTTCTGTGATATTGTTCCTAATATTCAGGGTTGGGGATAGAAAATGATATTACTCTCAGTATCACAGGGGGGTGTACTATCTCTGCAATATTGTTTCTACTATCCAGGGGAGAGAGGTTGATAATACTTTCAGTGTTGAAGGGGCTGTACATACACGCTGTTGTATTGTCCCTAGTATTCAGCGGGGAGAGGATGATATTACTCCCAATATCGCAGGCGGTGCACACCCCCTTTGTGATATTGTTCCTAATATTTAGTGGAAAGAGGATAAAATTACTCCCAATATCGCGGGGGGTGTACACCCCCCCGTGATATTGTTTCTTATATCCAGAGAGAAAAGGATGATATTATTCCCAATATCGCAGGGATTGTATACCCCTTTTGTGATACTGTTCCTAATATCCAATGGGGGAGAAGATGTTGACTGTCAATATCGCAGGCGGTGTACCCACTCCTTGTGATATTCTTCCTAATATCAAGAGGGTGAGAGAATGACATTACTCCCAATATCGCAGGGGTGTACACCACCCCATGATACGGTTTCTAATATTCGGGGGAAAGAAGATGATATTACTCTCAATATCGAAGGGAATGTACATCCCCCTTGTGATAATATCCTTACTATTCAGGTGGGGAGAGGATGATGTTACTCCTGATATTGCAAATGGTTTACACTACCCCGTAATATTGTTCCCAATAACCATGGGGGAAAAGGTTGACATTACTTCCAATGCCATAGGGAACGTACGCCCCTCCCCGTGATATTCTTCCTAATATCTGGGAAGGGAGGGGATGATATTCCTTTCAATATCGCAGACGGTGTACACCCCACTTGTGATATTGTTTCTAATATTTGAGGGGGGAAACGATGATATTACTGTCAATATCACAGAAAATGAATCTGGACCCTCCTTCCTGTGATATTGTTCCTAATATCTAGGTTGGGAGACTGTAATATTATGCCCAATATCGCAGAGGGGTACACCCCCTTTGTGATATTGTTCCTAATATCCAGGATGAGAGAAAATGTTATTTCTCCCAATATTACAGAGGGTTTACATCAACTCTCAGATATTGTTCCTAATATTCAGAAGGAAAGAGGATGATATTACTTTCAATAGCCCTGGGGTGTACACTTCCCCTGAGATATTGTTTTTATTATGCAGAAGGAAAGAGGATAGTATTACACGGAATAGCACAGGGGGTAAACACCCCCTCTGTAATATTGTTCCTAATATCCAAGTGAGGAGAGGATATTACTCCCAATATCGCAGGGGGTGTCCACCCCCTCTGTAGATATAGTTCCTAACACCGAAGGGAAAAGAGGATGATATTATTTTCAATAATGCAGGGGGTGTACTGCTCCCCTGTGATATTCTTCCTGATACCCAGGTTGGGAGAGGATAATATTACTTCCAATATCGCAGAATGTGTACACCTTGCCTGTGATATTGTTCCTGATATCCACCAAGGGAGATGAAGAACATATTACTCTCAATATTGCAGAGAGTACACAAGCCCCTGTGACACTGTTTTTAATATCCAAGGAAGGAGAAGATGATACTACTCCCAATAGAGCAAGGAGTGTACACACCGCTATGATATTGTTCCTAATATCCGGGGGGGAGAAGATTACATTACTCCCAATATCACAGTTCTTGTACACACCCCCCGTAATACTGTTCCTAATATCCAGGGGGTAGAGGATGATATTACTTTCAATATCACAGTTCTTGTACACACCCCCCCGTAATACAGTTCCTAATATCAAGATGAGGAAAGGATAATATTACTCTCAATATCGCAGGGGGTGTACACCCTCCCCGTTATATTGTTCCTAATATTCAGAGGGGAAGAGAATGATATTACTCCCAACATCGTGGAGGTTTACATTCTCCCGGTGATATTGTTTCTAATATCCAGTGGGAAAAATGATGATATTACCCCCCAATATCGCAGGGGGTGTACAAGAAACCCCTGTAATACAGTTTTTAATACCCAAGAAAAAGAGGATTATACTATTCCCAATATCGCAGAGGGTGTACACCTCCCCCCCATGATATTCTTTCTAATATCCAGAAGAGGAGAGAATGATATTACTTTCAATATCGCAGGGGGTGCACACATCCCTGTGATAGTGTTTTTTCTATCCTGAGGGGGAGAAAATGATATTACTCCCAAAATCGCAAGGGGTGTACAACCATCCTGTGATATTGTTCTTAATATCCACGGAGGGAAAGGATGACATTACTCCCAATATTGCAGGGGGTGTACATCCCATTTGTGATATTGTTCCTAATAACCAGGGAAGGAGAGGATGTTATTATTCTTAATATCTCAGGGAGTGGACACCTTCCCTGTGATATTGTTTATAATATCCAGTTTGGGAGAGGAAGATATTGGTTCCAATACTGCAGAAGGTTTACACCACCCCTAATATCCAAGGAGAAAGATAAAAATATTGCTCCCAATATTGCAGGACGTGTACAGCCTCACAGTTATATTGTTCCTAATATCCAGAGAGAGAGAAGATGACATTACTCCCAATATTGCATGGGGTACATACTCCCCTGTGATGTTGTTCCTAATATCCAGGGGAGGACAGGATGATATTATTCCCAATATTGCAGAGGGTGTACACCCCCCTTGATATTGTTCATAATATCAAGGTGGGAGAAGACAATATTATTTCCAATGTCGCAGAGGGTGTACACCTCCTCTGTGATATGGTTCCTAACATCCAGGTTGAGAGAGGATATTACTTTCAATATCACAGAATGTGTACACCCCACTGTAATATTGTTCATAATATTTAAAGAGGAAGAAAACAGTATTACTCCCAATATGTACAAGGGGCGTACATCCCCCCTGTGATATTGTTTTTAATGTTCAGGAGAGAAGAGGACAATATCACTTATTGTTCGTAATGTTTATAGGGAAGAGTATGATATTATTCCAAAAATCCCAGAGGGTGTACACCAACCCTGCGATATTGTTTCTAATATCCTGAAGGGGAGAAGATAATATTACTTCCAATATCGCAAGGAGTATCCACCCCCCCCCGCCATGATATTGTTCCTAATATCCAGAAAGGGAAAAAATGATATTATTCCCAATATCGCATGAGGTATATACCCCCTTGTGATATTGTTCCTAATATCCAGCGGGGGAGAGGATGATATTACTCTTAATATTGCAGGGGGTGTACACCCTCCCCTGTGATATTGTTTTTTATATCCAGGAGGAGAGGGGATAATATTACTTCAAATATCACAGGGAGTGTACAATTCCCTGTGATGGTGTTCCTAATATCCAGAATAAGAGAAGAGGATATTACTCCCAATATCGCAGAAGCTGTACACCTCATCCATGATATTGTCCCTAATATCCAGGCGGACAGAGGTTGCTATTACTCCCAATACTGCAGGAAGTATACACATCTAATGTGATATTATTCCTAATATCCAGGGGGGAGAGGATGATATTACTTTCAATATCACAAAAGGTGTACACCCTGTTTGTGATATTGTTCCTAATATTAGGGGGGAAGAGAATGATGTTACTGCCAATATCGCAGAAGGTGTAAACACCCCGTGATATTGTTTCTAATATCCAAAAAGAAAGAAGATGGTATCACTCCAAATGTCGCAGGAGGTGTTCACTGCCCTTGTGATATTTTTCCTAATATCTAAGAGAAGAGAAGATGATATTAGTGTCAATATCGCAAGGATGTACACACCCCCGTGATATTGTTCCTAATATCCAGGTGGGGAGAGGATGATATTACTCTAAATATCGTAAGGGATTTACATCCCACCCCCGTTATATTGTCCTAAATATCCATGTTAAGAGAGGGTGATATGTCCAATATCGCAGAAGCTGTACACAACCCTGTGATATTGTTCCTAATATTTTAGGGAAAAAGAGGACGATTTTACTCCCATAATCGCAGGGCGTGTAAACCCCCCTTGAGATATTGTTGTTAATATCCGGGGGAGGAGAGGATGATATTACTCGTAATATCACAGGGGGTATAAACCCATTCTGCAATACTGTTCCTAATATGAAGGGGGAGAGAAGATAATGTTACTCCCAATATCGCAGGGCATGTACATCACACCTGCGACATTGTTCCTAATATCCACTGCAGGAAAGAATGATACTACTCCCAATTTCGCAGGAAGTGTATAGACTCCTTGTGATATTATTCCTAATATCCAGGTGGGAGAGATGGAAATATTACTCCCAATATCGCAGGAAGTGTACACTGCCCCTGTGAAATTTTTCCTAATAACCACGGTGGGAGAGGAAGAAATTATTTGCCATATCGCAGGGGGTGTACACCGTCCGTATGACATTGGTGTTAATATCTAGGGAGAGAGAAAATGATATTACTCCCAATAGTGCAGCAGATGTACAGACCCCCTGTGATATTGTTCCTAATATACAGAGGGAGAGAGGATGATATTACTCCCAACATCGCGGGGCGGGGGTGTACACCTTCTCTGTGATATTGTTTCTAATATTCAGGGAATGGAGGATGATATTACTCCCAGTATTGCAGTGGGTATACACAACCCCTGTGATATTGTTCCTAATATTTAAAGTAAGACAGGATGATATTATTCCTAATATCATAGGGGGTGTACACTCTCCCTGTGACAGTCTTCCTAATATCCAAAAGGGGAGAGGATGATATTACTTTAAATATCGCAGGGGGTGAACACATCCCTGTGATATTGTTTCTAATACCCGGACGGTAAAGAGATGATAAAACTCCCTAAATATGCAGAAGGTGTACAACATTCCTATAATATTATTCTTGGTATCTGGGGGGAGAGAATGACATTACTCAAAATATTACAAGGGGTGTACACCCTGGCCTCGTTATATAATTCTTCTTATACAGGGGGTGCAGAGAGGATGATATTACTCTCAATATCGTATGAGTGTACACTTCCCCTGCGATATTGTTCCTAATATCCAGGATGAAAGAGGATGATATTACTCCCAACATCGCAGAAAAAGTACATCACACCTGTGATATTGTTCCTAATATCCAGAACGGAAGAAGATGATATTACTCCCAATATCGCAGGGTGTGTACACCAGCCCTGTGATATTGTTCCTAATATCCAGAGGAAAAGAGGATATTACTTTCAGTATCTCACGGGAGTGACCATATGTAAAGTAATATCACCCCCTTCTCTCCCCCTGGATATTACGAGCGACATGGGAGGGGGGAGGACACACTCCGCCACATCGGGAGTAACATCACCCCTCCTTCCTTTTTATGAGCCACTTGGCAGGGGGATGTCAACACAGCGTGTTTATATTATTGAGAGTAAAATCATGTCCCTCTTTGGAAATACGAGCAACGTCACAGGGGTGTGTACAGCACCTGCGATATTGGGAGTAATATCACCCTCTCCTCCTCTGGATATTAGAAACAATATCACTGGGGTGTGTACACCTTCTGCGATATTGGGAGTAATATCATATTCTTTTCCTCTGGATATTAAGAACAACAGCACAGGGAAGGTGTACACCTCCCACCATATTGGGAGCAATATCCTATTTCACCCTAGATATTACAGGGGGGTGTACAGTCCCTGCGGTATTGGGAATAATATCATTTTATCTCTCCACCCTTGATATTAGGAACAATATCACAGGGGTGTTTACATTCCCTGCGATATTGAGAGTAATATCATCTTCTCTCCTTTTGGATATTAGGAAAGATATCACAGGGGGTGTGTACACCCTCTGCGATTTTGAAAGTAATATCCTCTTCTTCCCTGTATATTAGAAACGATATCACAAAAGGAATGTACACTTTCTTTGATATTGGGAGTAATATTATCTTCTCCCCTTCTTGGTATTAGGAAAGATATCACGGGGGTGTGTATACCTTCCGTGATATTGAGAGTAATATCATCCTCCTTTTTCCTGGATATTAGGAAAAACATGTGAGGGTGGGTGTACACTTCCTGCAATATTGGGAGTAATATCATCCTCCATCCTCATATATTAGAAACAATATCCCAAAGGACGTGCACATTCCCTGCGATATTTGGAATAATATTGTCTTCTCCCTTCCGGATATTAGGAACAATATCACTTAGGGGTGTACACCTCTTGCGATATTGGGAGTAATCCTCTTTCCCCTTGGATATTAAAAACAATATCACAGAGGGGGTGTACACCCCCTTAGAAATTGGTAGTAATAACATACTGTCCTTCCCCGGATATTAGAAACAATATTACAGGGTGGGTGTTCACCCACTGCAATTTTTGGAGTAATATCATCCGCTCCCTTCATAGATATTAGGAACAATATCACAGGCAGGGTGTTTCCCCCACCTGCGATATTGGGAGTAATATCATGCTCTCTTCACCTGAATATTGGAATTATTCCCAATATACCCCCTGTGATATTGGGAGTAATACCATCTCTCCTGGATATAATAAATGTTGTCACAGTGGGGGTGTACAACCCCTGCGATTTTGAAAGTAATATCATCTTCTCCATCACTGAATATTAGAAACATTGTCACACAGATGCGTATACCCCTGTGATATTAAAAGTAATAGCATCCTCTCCCCTCCTGAATATTAGGAAGAATATCATGGGGAGGAATTGTATACCCCCTGCAATATTGGGAGTAATATCTTCTCCCCCCCTGGATATTAAAAACAGTATCACAGAGGGGTGTACACTCTTTGTGAAATTGGGAGTAATATCATCTTCTCACCCCTGGATATTAGGAACAAAATCACAGGCAAGGTGTGTTCACCCTGCGATATTGAAAGTAATATCATCCTCTCCGAACCTGGATCACTCCCACCGTGATATTGAGAGAATCATCATTTCTCCCATGAGAACAATTTCACCCAGGCGGTGTTCCCCCCACCTGCGATATTGGGAGTAATATCATCCTCTCCCCCACTGAATATTAGAAATAATATCATGGGGGGGGGTGTACACCCTTTAAAATATTGAGAGTAATATCATCCTCTTTCCTTCTGCAAATTAAAAACAATATCACGGGGGGTGTACGCCCCCGCGATATTGGAAATAATATCATACTCTCCCCTCCTGGATATTAGGAACAATATCATAGAGGGGGTGTACACCCCCTGCGATATTGAAAGTAATATAATCACCTCCCCCCTCTGGATATTCACAACAATATCACGATGGGGGTTTACATCACCTTCGATATTGGGATTAATATCCTCTTTTCCACTGGATATTGGAAACAATATCACAGGGGGTGTACACCCCCTACGATATTGGCAGTAATATTATTGTCTTTCTCCTGTATGTTATTAACAACATCAAAAGGGTGGTGTATACCCCCTGAATATAGGAAGTAATATCATCTTCTGCTTCCTGGATATTAGTTACAATATCACAGGGGATGTGTAGACTCCCCGCGATATCGGAAGTAATATCATCTTCTCCCGTCTGGATATTAGGAAAAATATCACAAGGGGTTGTACACCCCCTGTGATATTGTGAGTAATATCATCCTCTTGTTCTCTAGAAAGTAGGAGCAATGTAACAGGGGGTGTAAACCTCCTGCGATATTGGGAGTAATATTGTCGTCTCGTTTTCTAGAGATGAGGAACAATATCACAAGGAGAGTATACACTCCCTGAGATATTCGGAGTAGTATCATCCTCTTCCCCTTTGGATGTTAGAAACGGTATCACAGGAGGGGTGTGCACACCCTGCGATATTGAAAGTAATATTATTCTCTGTTCTCTGCGACATTAGAAACAATATCACAGGTGGAGTGTACACACCCCACGATATTGTGTGTAATATCATCCTCTCTTCTCTTCAATATGAGAAACTATATCACATCGGTGTGTACACCCGCTGCGTTATTGGGAATAATATTATTTCTCCCCGCCTGGATATTAGGAGCAATATCACAGGGAAGGTGTACAACCCCTGCGCTATTGGGAGTAATATCACCCTCTCCCCCACTGGATACTAGAAACAACATTTCAGGGAGGAGTGTAAACTTTTTGCGATTTTGGTAGTAATATTATTCTCTCCGCCTTGGATATTAAAAAAGAATAAGAATATTACATAGGGGTGTACACCCCCTGCGATTCAGGGTAATATCACCCTTTCCCCACCTGAATATTAGGAACAATATCACAGGGGTACACACCCTATGATCTTAACAGTAATATCCTCTTTCCTTCTGAACAATATAAACAACATCACAGTGGGGGTTTACACCCTTTGCTACATTGGGAGTAATATTATCCTTCTTCCCCTGGATATTAGGAATAATATCACATGGAGGGTGTACACCCCCTGCGATATTGGAAGGAATATCATCTTCTCCCCTTATAATTATTAGGAACAATATCACAGGGGGCGTGTACACCTCCTGCGATATTGGGAGTAACATCATCCTCTCCCCACCTGAATATTAAAAACAGTATCACAGGGGTGTGTGTGTACACCCCCTGTGTGTGTACATCCTCTCTTCCCCTGAATATTAGGAATAATATCACTAGGGTGGTGTACATCCCCTGCAATATTAGGAGTAATATCATCCTCTCCTCCACTGGGGATTAGGAAAAATATCACAGGAAAGGTGCACAACCCCTGCGATGTTGAGAGTAATATCATCGTCTCCCCCCTTAGATGTTAAGAACAATATCACACGAGAAATGTGCATCCCCTGCGATATTGGGAGTAATATTATCCTCTCCGACCCTGGATATGAAAAACAATATCACAGGAAGCGTGTACGTTCTCTGAGATATTGGGAGTATTATAATTTTCTCTCCTTTAAATATTAGGAACAATATTTTTAAAAAGGTGTACACCCCCTGCGACATTGGGAGTAATGTCATCATCTCCCTTCTGGATATGAGGAACAATACCACAGGGGGTGTGTTTACCCCCTGCATTATTGGGAGGAATATCAGCCTCTCCCTCCCTGGATATTAGAAACAATATCACAGTGGGGGGTTTACACACTCTGCGATATTGGGAGTAATATCATCCTCTCCCCACATGGATATTAAAGAAACAATATCACAGAAGGGGTGAATACCTTCTTCAATATTGGATGTAATATCATCCTCTTCCCCCCACACCCCGCCGGATATTAGGAACAATAACACAGGGGGTTGCACATCCCCTGCGTTATTGGGAGTAATATCATTCCCTCCCCCATTGGATATTAGGAACAATATCACAGGAGTGGTGTGCACCTCCTGCGATATTGGGAGTTAATATCATCTTCTCCCCACCTGGATATTAGAAACAATATTATGGGGGGGTGTACACCCTCTGCGATATTGGGAGTAATATCATCCTCTCCCCCTCTGATTATTAGAAACAATATCACAGTGGGGTGTACACTTCTTGCAATATCGGAAGTAATATCATCCTCTCCCCCCTGGTATTAGAAACAATATCACAAAGGGGATGTACACACCCTGCGATATTGACAGTAATATCATCATCTTTTTTCTTGGATATTAGGAACAATATCCCATGGGGGTTCACACCCTTGCGATATTAGAAGTAATATCCTCCTCTCCCCTTTAGGATATTAGAAACAATATCACGGGGCGTGTACACCCTCTGCGATATTGAGAGTAATATCATTTTCTCCTCACGATACATTAAGAACAATATAAAAAAGGGGGTGTACATCTGTTGCGATATTGGGAGTATTGTCATCTTTTTTCTTCTGGATATTAGGAACAATACCACAGTGGATGTGTACACCCCTGCAATATTGAAAGCAATATCAACCTCTCCCCCCCCCCCAGATATTAGGAAAAATATCAAGGGGGGCTGTACACCCCTTGCGATACAAGGAGTAATATTATCCTCTCCTCACCTGGCTTTCAAAAACAATATCACAGGGGGTTGTACACCCCTTCGATTTTGGGAGTAATATCCTCTCCCTCTCTGGATATCAGAAACAATATCACAGGGTGAATGTACATTCCCTAGGATATTGGGAGTAATATCTTTCTCTTTACCTTTGGATATTAGGAACAATATCACAAGGGGTTGTAAAACCCCTGCGATATGTATACTAATAGTATCCTCTTCTTTCCTGGATATCAAAAACAATATCACAAGGTGGATGTACACACCCTGCGATATTGGGAGTAATATTATGCTCTCTTCCTCTGGATATTAGAAACATCACAGAAAGGGTGTACACCCCTACGACATTGGGAATAATATCATCCTCTGCGACCCTGAATATTAGGAACATTATCACAGGAAGGGTGTGATAACCCCCTGCAATATTGGGAGGAATGTCATCCTCTCCCACCTTGAATATTAGGAACAGTATCACAGGAAGGGTGTACACCGTACATCCCCTGGGATATTGGGAGGAATATCATCCTCTCCCACCCTGAATATTAGAAATAATATCACAGGAGATTGTTCACCCTCTGTAATATTGTAAGTAATATCATCCTCTCTCTCTCTCTAAATATTGGGAACAATATCACAAGAGAGGTGTACACCCCTGGTGATGTTGGGTGTAATATTATCATCTCTCGCTTTGGATATTAGAAACAATGTGACAGAAGGTGTGTACAACCGCTGCGGTATTGGGAGTAATATGATCCTCTCTCCACTTGAATATTAGAAACATTGTCACCTGGGGAGTGTAAACCCCCTTGCGATTTTGGACATAATATCATTATTTTCCTTCCTGGATATTATGAACATTATCACAGAATGCGTGTACACCCCCTGTGATATTGGGAGTAATATCATCCTCTCCCTTTTTGGATATTAGTAACAATATTACAGAGGAGGTGTACACCTCTGCGATCTTTGGAGTAATATTATCTTCTCCCCCTTTGGATATTCAGAAAATATAACATGGGGGTGTACACTCCCTGCGATGTTGGAAGTAATATCATCCTCTCCCTCCTGAATATTAGGAACAATATCAAGGTGGGGGTGTACAGCCCCTGCAATATTGGGAGTAATGTCCTATTCTCCCCCTTATGATTTTAGGAACATTATCACAGGGGAAGTGTACACCTTCTGCGACACTGGGAGTAATATCATCTTGTTTCTTTCTGGATATTAGGAACAATATCCCAGGATGGGTGTAAACCTCCTGCGACATTGGGAGTAATATCCTTCTCTCCTTCTTTGGATATTAGGAACAATGTCACAGTGGTGGTGTACACCCCCTGCGATATTGGGAGTAATATCTTCCTCTCCTCCACCCCTCCGAATATTGGGAACAATATCACAGAAGGTGTTTACACCCTGTGCGACACTGGAAGTAAAATCATCCTCTCCGCCTCCGGATATTAGCAACAGTATCACAGGAGGGTGTACACCCCCTGCGATATTGGAAGAAATATCATCCTCTCTAAAACTGGATATTAGGAACAATATCACAGGGAAGGTGTACACCTGCTGCGATATTGGGAGTAATATCATCCTTCCCCACCCTGGATATTAGGAACAGTATCACAAGGAGAATGTACACCTGCCGCAATATTGGGAGTAATATCATCCTCTCCCTTCCTGGATATTAGGTACAACATCACCGGGAGATGTACTCTCCCTGGGATATTGGGAGTAATATCATCCTCTTCCCCCATGGATATTGGGAGTGTACACTCTCCTGTGATATTGTTTCTAATATCCAGGGGGGGAGTTGATATTAATCCCAATATCGTAAACACCCTGTGTGTATATCCTCTGTGATATTGTTCATAATATCCAGGGTGGCAGAGGATGATATTATTCCCAATGTCACAGGATGCATACACCATCCTATGATATTGTTCATAATAAAGGGGAGGAGAGGATGATATTACTCTGAATATCGCAAAGGGTGTACACCTTCCTATGATATTGTTCATAATATTCAGAGGGGGAGAGGATGACATTACTTCCAATATCGCAGGAAGTGTACACTCCCCTGTCATATTGCTTATAATTTTCAGGGGGGGGGAGCATAAAATTATTCCCAATATCGCAGAGGGTGTACATTCCCCTCTGATATTGTTTGTAATACCCACTGGGGGAGAAAATGATATTACTCCCAATATCGCAAAGATTGTACACCCCCCGTGATATTGTTCATAATATCCAGGGGGAAAGAGGATGATATTACTCTTAATATTGCAGGGGTGTACACCTATTTGTAATATTGTTCATGATATCCGGGGGGGAGAGAAGGATATTACTCTTAATAGGGCAGGGGATGTACACCCCTTGTGATATTGTTTGTAATATCAAGGTGGGGAGAGAATGATATTACTCCCAATTTTGCAGGGGATGTACGCCCACCTGTGATGTATCCCCAATATTGCAGGGGGTGTACGGTCTTCTGTTATATTGTTCGTAGTATTCAGGTGGAAAGAAAATGATATTAACCTCAATATTGCAGGGGGTGTACACCCTCCCATGATATTGTTCATAATATCCAGTGAGGAAGAGGATGATATTACTTTCTATATTGCAGCAGATGTAAAACCCTCTGTGATATTATTTGTAATATCCAGGAAGGGAGAGGATGATATTACTTCCCATATCACAGAGGGTATACACCCTTCTGTGATATTGCCCGTAATATGTAGAGGGGTGGTGGTGAGAATGACATTAATCCCGATATCGCTAGAGATGTACACCCCTCTAGTGATATTGTTCGTAATATCCAGGTGGGGAGAGGATGATATTACTGCTTATATCGTAGGAAGCATAGAATGTCCTGTGATATTATTCAAAATATCCAAAAGAAGACCGGATGATATTACTTCCAATATTGCAAGGGGTGTACACCCTTCTGTGATATTGTTCACAACTTCCAGGGAATGAGAAGACAATATTACTCCCCATATGACAGGTAGTGTCCACCCCCGTATGATATTGTTCATTATATCCGGTGGGAAAGAGGATGATATTACTAGCCATATTGCAGGAGTTGTGATATTGTTTGTAATATTCAGGGCGAGGGAGGATAGTATTACCCTCCATATCACAAAGTGTGTACACATCCTTGTGATATTGTTCGTAATATCTGGGGGGGTAGGAAGATAATATTACTGCCTATATCGCAAAACGTGTACACCCACGTGTGATAGTCTCCAAAATATTTAATGGGGGAAAGGATAATATCACTCCCCATATCGCAGAGTGTATACACGTTCCCCGTGATAATGTTCCTAATATCGGGGAGGGGGAAGAAGATGACATCACTCCCCATATCGCAGGGTGTACGTGTCCCTCTGTGATATTGTTCATAATATCCATGGAGGGAGAGGATGATATTACTTCTTATATCGCAGGGGGTGTGCATTCCCCTGTGATACTGTTCGTCACAGCCAGGGAGAGAGGCTGATATTAATCCCCATATCACAAAGGGTGTACACCTTCCTGTAATATTGTCCATAATATCTAGGAAGGGAGAGGAAGCTATTACTCCCCATATCAAAGGTGATGCACACTCCTCTGTGATATTTTTCATAATATCCAAGGGGGAAGTGGATGATATTATTTCCCTGTGAGATTGTTTGTAATATCCAAAAAGGGGGGAGGGTGATTACTCCCACTATCACAGAAATTGTACACCCTTCTGTGATATTGTTTGTAATATCCAGGGCTGGAGAGGATAATATTACTCTCAATATCACAGGGAGTGTACATCACCTGCAATATGGTTTGTAATATCCAAAAAGGAAAAGGATGTTATTTCTCCCAGTATTACAGGGATTGTACACTGCCCTGTGATATTGTTTTTAATATCCAGGGGAAAGAGGATAATATTACTCCCAATATCGCATCTGTTATATTGTTGGTAATATCCAAGGGGGGAAGAGGATGATACTACTCCTCATATGGCAGTGGGTGTACACACCTCTGTGATATTGTTCATAATATTTCAGGGAAGGTGAAATGATATTACTCCTCATATCACAAAGTGTGTAGACCTTCCAGTGATATTGTTTGTAATACCCAGGAGGAGAGAGGATGATATTACTCCCCCCGTCACAGAAGGTGTACACCCATCTGTGATATTTTCCTAATATCCAGGAAGGGAGAAGGTAATATTACTCCCCATATCGCAAAGGATGTACACCCTTCTGTGATATTTTCATAACATCCGGGGTTGGGAGAGGATGATACTACTTCCTATATCACAGAAAGTGTAGACCCCCCTGTGATACTGTTCATAATATCCAGGACGGGGAAAGGATAATATTAATCCTCATATGGCAAGTGGTGTACTCCCCCTTGTGATGTTGTTCATAATATCCAGGGGTGGAGAGGATGATATTACTTACCATATCACAGGAGGTCTACATCTCCCTTTGTTATCGTTCATAATTTCCAGCGGTTGAGAGGATAATATTACTTCCCATATTGCAGGGTGTGTACACCTCCTGTGATAAATGTTTGTAATATTTAGGGGAGGAGAGGATGACATTACTCCCCATATCGCAAGGGGTGCACACTTCCCTGTGATATCATTCGTAATATCCAGGGAGGGAGAGGATAATATTACTCCCCATATCGCATGGGGTTTACACCCATCATATGATATTGTTCCTAACACCCAGGAAGGAAGAAAATGATATTACTCTTAATATTGCAGGCGGGTTACACTCTCCTTGTGATATTGTTCCTAATATCCAAGGAGAAAGACGATGATATTACCGTCAATACCACAGGGAGTGTACACCACCCCTGTAATATTGTTCCCTAATATCCAGGTTGGGAGATGGTGATATTACACCCATCACAGAGAGATACACCTTCTTTGTGATATTGTTCCTAATATCCAGCGTGGGAGAGGATGTTATTTCTCCCAATATTGTATTGGGTAGACACCTCCTCTGAGCTACTCTTTATAATATTATTGGTGGGAGAGGGTGATATTACCCCAAATAGCACAGGGGTAAACACTCCCGCTGTGGTATTGTACCTAATATGCAGGCGGGGAGAGGATGATACTACTCCCAATAGCGCAGGGGGTGTACACCCCCCCTTTGATATTGTTCCTAATATTGAGAGGGGAAGAGGAAGATATTACTCCCAATAGCACAGTAGGTGCATGCACACCCCACCTGTGATATTGTTCCTAATATCCAGAAGGAAAGAGAATAATATTACTCCCAATATTGCAGGGTTGTACATCACTTCGTGATATTGTTTCTAACATTCAGGGGGAAAGAAGATGATATTACTCTCAGTATCAAACGGGGTGTACACTCCCCTGTGATATTGGCCTTAATATTCAGGTGGGGAGAGGGTGATATTACTCCTAATATCGCAAATGGTGTACACCCCCCATAGTATTATTCCCAATAACATTTTGGGGAAAGGATGATATTACTCCTAATGGCACAGGGAATGTACACCCTCCTTAAGATAGTCTTCCTAATATCTAGGGGATGATATTACTTTCAATATTGCAGATGGTGTACACCCCCTTGTGATATTGTTTCTAAATTTCGAGGGAGGGAGACGATGATATTACTGTCAATACCACAGAAAATGGACACTCCCCTTGTGATATTGTTCCTAATGTCTAGATTGGGAGATGGTAATATTACACCCAATATCACAGAGGGGGTACATCCTCTTTGTGATAGTATTCCTAATATCCAGGATAAGAGAGGATGTTATTTCTCCCAATATCACAGTGGGTGTACATCCCCTCTCAGATATTGTTCCTAATATTCAGAAGGAAAGAGAATAATGTTACTTCCAATAGCGCAGGGGGTGTACACTTCACCTGTGATATTGTTTTTAATATGCAGAAGGAAAAAGGATAATGTTACACTGAATAGCGCTGAATGAAAATACTCCCTCTTTGATATTGTTCCTAATATCCAGGTGAGGAGAGGATGATCTGTAGATACTGAGTTAATTTTTGTGTAAGGTGTAAGGAAGGGATCCAGTTTCAGCTTTCTACCTATGACTAGACAATTTTCCCAGCACCATTTATTAAATAGGGAATCCTTTCCCCATTGCTTTTTTTTTTGGTCAGGTTTGTCAAGATCAGATGGTTGTAGATGTGTGGTGTTATTTCTGAGGCCTCTGTTCTGTTCCATTGGCCTATATGTCTGTTTTGGTACCAGTACCATGCTGTTTTGGTTACTGTTGCCTTGTAGTATAGTTTGAAGTCAGGTAGTGTGATGTCTCCAGCTTTGTTCTTTTTGCTTAGCATTGCCTTGGTTATGTGAGCTCTATTTTGCTTCCAAATGAAATTTAAAGTAGTATTTTCCAATTCTGTGAAGTAAGTCAGTGGTAGCTGAATGGGGATAGCATTGAATCTATAAATTACTTTGGGCAGTATGGCCATTTTCACAATATTGATTCTTCCTATCCATGAGCACGAAATGTTCTTCCATTTGTTTGTGTCCTCTTTCATTTCCTTGAGCAGCAGTTTGTAGTTCTCCTTGAAGAGGTCCTTCACATCCCTTGTAAGTTGGAGTCCTAGGTATTTTATTCTCTGTAATTGTGAATGGGAGTTCACTCATGATTTGGCTCTCTGTCTCTTCTTGGTGTATAGGAATGCTTGTGATTTTTGCACATTGATTTTGTATCCTGAGACTTTGCTGAAGTTGTTTATCAGCTTAAGGAGATTTTGGGCTGAGATGATGGAGTTTTCTAAATATAGGATCATGTCATGGGGCAAACAGAGACAATTTTACTGCCTCATTTCCTAATTGAATACCCTTTATTTCTTTCTCTTGCCTGATTGCCCTGGCCAGAACTTCCAATAATATGTTGAATAAGAGTGGTGAGAAAGAGCATCCTTGTTTTGTGCTGGTTTTCAAAGGGAATGCTTCCAGTTTTTGCACATTCAGTATGATATTGGCTGTGAGATTATCATAAATAGCTTTTATTATTTTGAGATACGTTCCATCAATACCAGCTCATTGAGAGTTTTTACCATGAAAGGCTGTTGAATTTTGTTGAAGGCCTTTTCTACATCTATTGAGATAATCATGTGGTTTTTGTCATTGGTTCTATTTATGTGATCGATTACATTTATTGATTTGCATATGTTGAACCAGCCTTGCATCCCAGAGATGAAGCTCACTTGATCATGGTGGATAAGCTTTTTGATATGCTGCTGTATTTGGTTTGCCAGTATTTTATTGAGGATTTTCGCATCAATGTTCATCAGGGATATTGGTCTAAAATTCTATTTTTTTGTTGTGTCTCTGCCAGGCGTTGGTATCAGGATGATGCTGGCTGGCCTCAAGAAATGAGTTAGGGAGGATTCCCTCTTTTTCTATTGATTGGAATAATTTCAGAAGGAATGGTACCAGCTCTTCTTTGTAACTCTGGTAGAATTTAGCTGTGAATCCATCTGTTCCTGGACTTTTTTTGGTTGGTAGGCTATTAATTATTGCCTCGGTTTCAGAACCTGTTATTGGTCTACTCAGAGATTCAACTTCTTCCTGGTTTAGTCTTTGGAGGGTGTTTATGTCCAGGAATTTATCCATTTCTCCCAGATTTTCTAGTTTATTTGCATGGTGGTGTTTATAGTATTCTCTGATGGTAGTTTGTATTTCTGTGGGATCAGTGGTGATATCCCCTTTATCATTTTTTATTGCGTCTATTTGATTCTTCTCTCTTTTCTTCTTTATTAGTCTTGCTAGCGGTCTATCAATTTTGTTGATCTTTTCAAAAAACCAGCTCATGAATTCAATGATTTTTTGAAGGGTTTTTTATGTCTCTATCTCCTTCAGTTCTGCTCTGAACTTAGTTATTTCTTGTCTTCTGCTAGCTTTTGAATTTGTTTCCTCTTGCTTCTCTAGTTCTTTTAATTGTGATGTTAGTGTGTCAATTTTAGATCTTTCCTGCTTTCTCTTGTGGGCATTTAGTGCTATAAATTTCCCTCTACACACTGCTTTAAATGTGTCCCAGAGATTCTGGAATGATGTGTATTTGTTCTCATTGGTTTGAAAGAACATCTTTGTTTCTGCCTTCATCTCGTTATTTACCCAGCAGTCATTCAGGAACAGGTTGTTCAATTTCCATGTAGTTGTGCGGTTTTGAGTGAGTTTCTTAATCCTGAGTTCTAATTTGATTTCTCTGTGGTCTGAGAGATAGTTTGTTGTGATTTCTGCTCTTTTACTTTTGCTGAGGAGTGTTTTACTTCCAATTATGTGGTCAATTTTAAAATGAGTGTGATGTGGTGCTGAGAAGAATGTATATTCTGTTGATTTGGGGTGGAGAGTTCTGTAGATGTCTATTAGGTCTGCTTGGTGCAGAGCTGAGTTCAAGTCCTGGATATCCTTGTTAATTTTCTATCTCATTTATCTGTCTAATATTGACACTGGGGTGTTAAAATCTCCCATTATTATTGTGTGGGAGTCTAAGTCTCTTTGTATGTCTCAAAGAACTTGCTTTATGAATCTGAGTGCTCCTGCATTGGGTGTATATATATTTAGGAGAGTTAGCCCTTCTTGTTGAATTGATCCCTTTACCATTATGTAATGGCCTTCTTTGTCTCTTTTGATCTTTGTCGGTTTAAAGTCTGTTTTATCAGAGACTAGGATTACAACCCCCACCTTTTTTTGTTTTCCATTTGCTTGGTAGGTCTTCCTCCATCCCTTTATTTTGAGCCTATGTATGTCTTTATATGTGAGATGGGTCTCCTGAATACAGCACACCTACAGGTCTTGACTCTACCCAATTTGCCAGTCTGTGTCTTTTAACTGGGGCATTTAGGCCACTTACATTTAAGATTAATATTGTTATGTGTGAATTTGATCCTCTCATGATGCTAGCTGGTTATTTTGCCCATTAATTGATGCAGTTTCTTCATAGTATTGTTGGTCTTTACCATTTGGCATGTTTTTGCAGTGGCTGGTACTGGTTGTTCCTTTCCATGTTTAGTGCTTCCTTCAGGAGCTCTTTTAAGGCAGGCCTCGTAGTGACAAAATCTGTCAGCATTTGCTTGCCTGTAAAGGTTTTTATTTCTCCTCCACTTATAAAGCTTAGTTTAGCTGGATATGAAATTCTGGGTTGAAAACTCATTTCTTTAAGAATGTTGAATATTGGCCCCCACTCTCTTCTGGCTTGTAGGGCTTCTGCTGAGAGATCCGCTGTTAGTCTGATGGGCTTCCCTTTGAGGGTAACCTGACCTTTCTGTGGCTGCCCTTAACATTTTTTCCTTCATTTCAACCTTGGTGAATCTGACAATTATGTGTCTTGGGGTTGCTCTTCTTGAGGAGTATCTTCGTGGTGTTCTCTGTATTTCCTGTATGTGAATGTTGGCCTGCCTTGCTAGGTTGGGGAAGTTCTGCTGCATAATATCCTGAAGAGTGTTTTCTAACTTGGTTCAATTCTCCCCATCACTTTCAGGTACACCAATCAAATGTAAATGTGGTATTTTCATATAGTCCCATATTTCTTGGAGGCTTTGTTCTTTTCTTTTTACTCTTTTTTCTCTAATCTTGTCTTCTCACGTTATTTCATTAATTTGACCTTCAATTACTGATATCCTTTCTTCTGCTTGATCGAATCGGCTATTGACACTTGTGTATGCTTCATGCAGTTCTCATACTGTGATTTGCAGCTCCATCAGGTCATTTAAGCTCTTCTGTACACTGGTTATTCTACTTAGCCATTCATCTAATCTTTTTTCAAGGTTTTTAGCTTCCTTGCAATGGGTTAGAACATGCTCCTTTAGCTCGGAGAAGTTTGTTATTGCTGACCTTCTGATGCCTACTTCCATCAACTTGTCAAACTCATTCTCCATCCAGTTTTGTTCCCTTGCTGGCAAGGAGTTGTGCTCCTTTGGAGGAGGAGAGGTGTTCTGGCTTTTGGAATTTTCAGCCTTTCTGCTCTGGTTTCTCCCCATCTTACAGGTTTTATCTACCTTTTGTCTTTGAGGTTGGTGACCTATGAATGGGGTTTTCATGTGGATGTCCTTTTTGTTGGTGTTGATGCTATTCCTTTCTGTTTGTTAGTTTTCCTTCTAACAGAGAGGTCCCTCAGCTGCAGATCTGTTCGAGATTGCTGCAGGTCCACTCCAGACCCTGTTTTCCTGGGTATCACCACAGAGGCTGCAGAACAGCAAATATTGCTGCCTGATCCTTCCTCTGGATGCTTTGTCTCAGTGGGGCACCCAACTGTATGAGGTGCCTGTCAGCCCTAGGAGTTGTCTCCCAGTGAGGCTACTTGGGGGTCAGGGACCCACTTGAGGAGGCAGTCTGTCTGTTAGCAGATTTCGAATGCCATGTTGAGAGAACCACTGCTCTCTTCAGAGCTGTCAGGCAGGGATGTTTAAGTCTGTAGAAACTGTCTCCTGCCTTTTGTTCAGATATGCCCTGCCCCCAGAGGTGGATTCTAGAGAGGCAGTAGGCCTTGTTGAGCCATTGTGGGCTCTGCCCAGTTTGAGCTTCCCTGCCTCTTTGTTTACACTGTGAGCATAGAACTGCCTACTCAAGCTTCAGCAATGACGGATGCCCCTCTTCCCACCATGTTCCAGCATCCCAGGTCAATCTCAGACTGCTTTGCTAGCAGTGAGCAAGGCTCCATGGTCGTGGGACCCACTGAGCCAGGCACATGAGGGAATCTCCTTGTCTGCCAGTTGCAAAGACTGTGGGAAAAGCACAGTATTGGGCAGAAGTGTACAGTTCCTCCAGGTACAGTCACTCACGGCTTCCGTTGGTTAGGAAAGGAAAATCCCCCGACCACTTGTGCTTCCTAGGTAAGATGGTGTACGTCAGTCGGAAATGCAGAAATCACCCCTCTTCTGTGCTGATCTTGCTGGGAGTTGTAGGCCAGAGCTGTCCCTATTCAGCCATCTTGAAGGCACCCTTTGACATGATTTTTTTTTAAGGTTGTCTAATGCTTGAGGTTCTTGCCTAGCCACATCAGAATTGGAGTGGTGGATGACCATGGCGAGTGATAGAGAAACGGACCGATAGAGAGAAAAAGCTGTAGGCTTTATTGAGCAGAGTGAAAGTATAAAGCTTCCACAGCATGGAAGGGGTCCTGCACGGGCCAGAGTTAAATTACACAATTGCCTTTTAAACTCTTTAAGGCAGGAAATATGTGCAGCAGGAAGATGTTACCAGAGCAGGAAACAAAGACAATTAAACATTTGTGACATGTCTTAGATCTTGAGGAAAACTGGAATTGCAACTTCGGTTTTATCTATTTTATGACCTTGCAGCAGCATGGCAAAGGAGACAGGATCTTACAGGACTTTACAAAGTATGTTTATAAGGAATTGGAATTGGGAGCATAGATAAGGTCTTCTGGTCACAGAAAAATGGGCAGTTAACATTCCTTTTACTTTAGTTTTGGGGTAGAGGAAAGGGAGAGAGGCAGACAGGGCACAGGGAAACTTACAGCAAAATTTTCATTGTTTATAGCTTTCTTGGGGAAGACAACACATGCACAAATCCTGATGTTAGGAATAGTTTAAGCATATATCTTCAATATTATTCATCCAGGACTGAAGCAAGTCCTGATGTAGGAAATGAGTGAGTTTCACAGCTTTCTAAGCCCCTACTCAACCCAGGAAGCCCAGCTAGCCTCTCCTCTCAGTCCCCCCTCTAAACAGACACCCCAACTGCTGTTGGGAACTGGGCAGTGGTGGTTCTGGCTACTTCCTGCTGGTTAGGGGCAAAGAAGGGGCCCTGCAATTGTGGTGTCCTCCAGAGGGGAACTTTCTAGGCTAGATGAGGGACCAGCGGGTCAATCCAGGGGTCCTCAGTAGAAGCCATGGGTTGAGCTCATTTGAGGTTCCATTTGTAAGACCAGTTGTAGCTTGATGGCCTCGATCCTGGAGGAAAGAAATTTGACAAGGAGGTTAAAAATCAAGGCCCAAAGGTGAGTAATAGTAGGATGGCTGTCCCAGGGCCTAGAAAGGGGAAGAGCCAAGGTATCCATTGGTTAAACATATTCCAGGGTCCTGAGTGTTCAAGCTCCTTTTTCCTACTTTATATCCATTCTGTTATTTTTTTTTGACCTTTTCAATAATGATTCCTGAATGGTTAATGAAATAGCAACATTCTTCTCCTAAGAAGAGGCAGGTTCCTCCTTTTTCAGCTGTTAATAGGACTAGGGCTCTTCGGTTTTGGAGGACTACTGAAGCTAGAGAATTAAGTCGGCATTGAAGGGCCACTAGGGAGTTGGCAACTTGTTCCATGACATCATTTAATTCTCATGATCATTTATAATAGAATTAGGTGGAGGAGGTTATGCCTCCAATTCCAGTTCCAAGACTGCCCAGTGTTCCAGCTCCCACAATAAAAGGGACAACAAGGGCTTGTGTGTGGCAGGATTGGGGTGTAAGGAGACTTTGTAACTCTTGTTCAGTATATATGGACATGGGAGGCGCTAGAAAGGAGGGAAAGCATAGTTCTTTTGGAGTGCCATTTAGGCATTGATAGGCTGTGTTATCAAAGATGAAAAAGATGCCTGAAGTTAGACAGGTGAAACCTGAGGTTACTGATACCCAGGACTGACATTGGAGGTGCACTTATTGAGAGTCATGCTGAAGTTTATGCATGTGAGATTTGAGGCCTGTGTGACTGGTAAATCGGTGACTATGGGACCGATTAATTTGGTGGTGTTTAGGAATGGGGCGGATAAGTTCCACTCTCTGGGGACAGGGACTGGGACATATGGTTGAATACACAAGGGGAGACACATCCAACAGTTGGTTGGATTACTAGGAAAGGCCTCTAGTATTCCTGAAAGAGATACCGTTAAACAGCCTCCAGAGACAAGAATGAGAGTTAAGTGTTTCTTGTAGCCTGGAAAGGTCTACCTTCTTGTATGGACTGGGAGTACAGGAGAGCTGGACTAAGTTTTTAATTACTTGTTGAGTATGCCATTCTTTAGCCTCATCTTGGATGCCTCTTCTGTCAGACATACCTATATGGGTATAACATGTCCAACAAGCATTGGCCCCCCATTTCTCAGGGTAGTCACCTCGGATCATTTTTCCTTGGTGATGTGTATGGCCTTTGTGAGAGCAGAGAGAAGCAGTTTTATAACATTCTTTTCTCATGTAAGTATATGTGGCAAAAGATGCGGGTGCTCGGAAGGGGCTACCTAATCCCCAAGAGTTTCTGAGAGAATGCCAGCTGACTCCTCCAAGGGAGGCACACTGACATGGGGGTTGCGTGGTAGTTGGAGAAAGGGGCATGAGTATGAAGAGGATGGCAGGAAGCCGGAGGATGGCAGGAAGCCTAAGAGGAGTCATGACCTGTTGTAGGTGGAATGGTCATAGGAAAGAGGAGGGAAAAAGGAGTAAATTGCTGTTAGAAGGAAGGACAATAGAAGAAAGGTTGATGTGATTAAGATTTTTGTCCCAGCTGGAGCTACAGTGTATAATCCTACTGCAAAGAGTATAGTTAGTATACTGCTTAAAAATGTAACAAAACAGTAGAAGGATTCCATTAAAGAGAGCAAGGAGAGATGTCAAAGATCATGTAGGTTTTTTTACTTATCCTCTTTTATGTAGGGAGAAGTTCCTCTTCAGGATTAACTGCAGGAGTTTTTCTGGTCTGAGATGTTTCCTTCCGAAATAGGAGTTGCAGGTCCTCTAGTGGCTGACAGGTGTATCGAGGCTGGTCTGGCTGACCTTGTGACTCCTGAGATGATGATCCTCTAAGTTCCTCAGGAGGTGTCTAAGGTTTAACTCAGGTGTGGTGAATCCAGGATTCCAGTCCTGCCACTTTAACTGTAGTAGGGGTAGAGAGGATTACTGAGTATAGTCCCTCCCATAAGGGATCTATAGATGGAGAGGTAGAGGGGAGAGACTTGACCAATACTAGATCTCCTGGTGGAAACAACACTGTTCCTTTTTCCCTGTCACAACTTTTCGGTAAAGTTTTAAGGTTTTGTTGATATTTTGCCAGAGAAGTTCTATCTTTGACTAAATTGGCCATTTCCTGATTGAGCAGGAAGTCATTTGTGAGAAAAGTCTGTCCATACAGCATTTCATACGGACTGAGCCCCATTCTGTGAGGGGATTTTTCAATTCTTAATAAGGCAATGGGCAAGAGAGTGGGCCATGGGAGATGAGTTTCTTGTGCTAGCTTTCTCAAATGCCTCTTGAGTGTTTCATTCGTCTTTTTGGCTTTCACTGAGGATTGTGGCCTCCAGGCACAGTGAAGGTGATATTGTATTCCTAGTGCCTTGGAAATTCCTTGAGTTATTATAGCTTTAAAAGCTGGACCGTTGTCACTTTGTAAGCTTTGGGGAAGTCAAAGTCTAGGAATT
This sequence comes from Homo sapiens, assembly GCF_000001405.40. NCBI lineage: Eukaryota > Metazoa > Chordata > Mammalia > Primates > Hominidae > Homo > Homo sapiens. The sequence goes on from NC_000008.11 coordinate 107,600,790, forward strand.
ATTTCATGAACTAAGACTTTAACCACTTCTTGGGCCTTCTCTGTTCTACAAGGTAAGGCTTCCACCCAATTTGTAAAGGTACCAACACAGACCAATAAGTATTAACATCCTTTTGACTTTGCCATATGGGTAAAATCTAACTGCCAGTCCTCTCCAGGATAATGTCCTGTTCTTTGTCCTCCTGGAGAGGCCTTACAGTAGGCCAAGGGGTTATTCTTTTGGCACACTTCACAGGCTTTGACTACTTGCCAGATGGTTTTGAGGAGGTTTGGCCCTGTAAATAGGGATGTGGCCATCTTATGGGTTCTTTCAATACCCATATGAAAAATTTGGTGGAGGATTCTAAGTATTTTCCACTGGCTGGCTTCGGGTATGAGCACCTTTCCTTCCTCTGTTGTTAGCCACTCCGAGGGGAGAAAACGATGTCCTTGTGAAAGTCCCTTTCTGTTTCAGTTGGGAAATACTGGGGCTTAACCTCCTGGAGGGGGTTGCTCCATACCAGGGGCCCTTCCATGGGCATTTCTGAAGGAAAGTCCTACCTGGCAGCAATTTTGTCCTAAGTGTCTGCTTGGCGGTTTCCTTCTGCTTCTTCTCCTTCACCTTTCTAATGTCCTCGGCAGTATAAGACTGCCACCTCCTTAGGTTTTTGCACTGTGTGCAATAACTCCGTGATTTCTCTGTGGTACTTAATGGGTGTTCCTCCAGAGGTTAGGAACTCCCTTTCTTTCCATATTGTAGCATATGCCTGTAGGACTAGATAAGCATACTTGCTATCTGTGTACACATTTATTCTTTTCCCTTCTCCCAGTTCTAAGGCTCGGGTAAGCGCCATTGGTTCTGCTAACTGAGCACTGGTCCCTGGGGAAAGAGGCTTACTTTCAAGTACTGCTGCATCACTAACTATGGCATAGCCTGCCTTTCGTACCCCATTTTCTACAAATGAACTTCCATCGGAGTACAGGTTAAGGTCAGGGTTAGTTAAGGGTACTTCTAAAAGATCTTTTTGGGTGGCATAAGGCTGAGCTATAATTTGTTGGCAGTCATGCTCAATTGGTTCCTCATCCTCTGGGAGAAAAGTGGCAGGGTTGAGGGCTGCACACGTGCGTATTTGAAATACTGGTTCCTCAAGGAGTAGTGCTGGTATTTAAGTAGGTAGTTATCTGAGAGCCATAAACTTCCTTTAGCATTTAATATGCCACTTAAATCATGAGTAGTCCAGACAGTGAGATCCTTTCCTTGTATTATTTTAATAGCCTCTGACACTAAGATGACTACTGCTGCAACCACTCATAAACAGTGAGGCCAGCCTTTGGCTACTATATCAACTTCCTTACTTAGGTATGCCACTGGTTGTGGGGCTGTCCCACGAGTCTGAGTAAGAACTCCAAGAGCTATTCCTGCTCTCTCGGTGACATAAAAGGATAAATTTTGTCCTGTGGGAAGGCTCAGGGCTGAAGCTTGTACCAGGGCCTGCTTTAAAGTTTTGAAGGCTGTTTCCACCTCTGACTCCCATTCTACTAGATGGGTATTTGCCTTCTAAGTCTCCTTTATCAGCGTATAGAGTGGTCTCACCATTTCACTGTATCCAGGAATCCACAGTCAGCAAAAGCCAGTGATTCCAAGGAATCCCCACAACTGTTTCAATGTTTTGGGGTGAGGATACGACAGTATAGGCTGAATAGCTCTTTGCTAAGGGCTCTAGTTCCTTTGGCAAGGACTAGGCCTAGATATTTAACTTGTTGTAGACAGACCTGGGCCTTTGTCCTAGACACTTTGTACTCTCGATTAGCTAGAAAGTTTAAGAGATCTAGAGTAGCCTGCTGACATGAGGCTTCCAAACTGATAGCCAGAAATACATCACCCATGTATTGGAGGACTAGAGTGCCTGGACTTGAGAATTGGCCTAGGTCTTGGGCCAATGCCTGACCAAACAGATGAGGGCTATCTCTAAACCCTTGGGGCAAGACCGTCCATGTAAGCTGGAACATGTGGTCTGTAGGATCCTCAAAGTCAAAGAGGAACTGGGAGTCAGCGTGCAGGGGAATGCAGAAGAAGGCATCTTTGAGGTCCAGAACAGTGAACCATTCTGCTTCCTCTGATATCTCAGAGAGCAGTGTATAGGGGTTGGGTACAGCAGGATATAAAGGAATTACTGCCTCATTGATGATTCTGATGTCTTGCACTAATCTCCACTGACCATTTGGTTTTTGTATTCCTAGGATTGGGGTGTTGCAAAGACTGCTGCATTTTCTTACCAAGACTTGAGCTTTTAAATGTCTAACAATATCCTGTAATTCTTTATGAGCTTCAGGCCTTAAGGGATATTGCCTTTGCTAAGGAAAAGTGGTGGGGTCTTTTAGCCTGATTTGAACTGGATGGGCATTTTTTTGCCCTTCCGAATTGTTCTTCCAAAACGACAATTCAGGGTTGATTCCTTCTTCAAGTAGGGGACAACAAATGGGTAATTTTTCCCCATATTCATGTAGATAATAGCCCCAGCTTGAGCTAATATGTCCCTCCCTAACAAGGGTGTGGGACTTTCGGCATAACAAGAAAGGCATGTGAAAAGAGCAACGTCTCCCAATTGCAGCTGAAAAGGTGAGAGAAATACCTGGTTACAGGCTGTCCTAAGATTCCTTGGATAGTAACAGACTTTGAGGACAGTCATCCAGGGCAGAAGGTTAAAACTGAGAAGGCCACACCAGTGTCCAGGAGGAAGTCCACTTCTTGGCCATCAGTGGTCAAACTTACCTGGGGCTCTTGAGGGTGATGGCATGAGCTGGCGCTTACCCCGGGCACCTTCAGTCCTGTTGCTGAATCATCTGGTTGGGTGCTTCTGGTCCAGAGGGCCTTCATCCTCTGGGGCAGTGCACCTTCCAGTGATTGCCTTGACATATTGGACATGGATGAGGGGGTGGTTTGTTTCTTGTTGGACAATCTTTCTTAAAGTGTCCTTGCAAACTGCACTGATAACAAGCCCTACTAGGCAATTGGCCTGTTCCTCTTTTGATTCCCTCTGAGCCACCAAGGTCTGCCTGTCTGAGGACCATGACTAAGGCTGCAGCCTTTCTCTTATCTCGCTTTTCCCTTTCGGCCTGTTCCTCTTGGTCCCTGTTAAAGAACACTGAGGTTGCCAGGTTGAATAATGCCTCCAAATTTTGTTCTGGGCCTAAGGCAGACTTTTGGAGTTTTCCTCTAATGTCAGCCACTGATTGGGTGATAAATTTATCCTTTAAATAAAATTGGCTTTCTACAGAACCTCGAGTTAGGGCAGTGTGCTTTCTTAGATCCTCCTTTAGCCTTTCTAGAAAAGCAGAGGGGTTTTCCTTTTTTCCCTGCATAATTGTGGATAGCATTGAGTAGTTCATAGGCTTTTTCTTAGTCTTCCTCAACCCTTCCAAAATGCAAGTTAGCAAATGCCTGTGGCTCCAATCTCCATGATCTGAGTCAGTATCCCAGTGAGGGTCTACAGTGGGGACTGCCTGCTGCCCTGTGGGGAATTTTTCCCTCTCCTCCAGGGCCATTCGATCGTTTACCTGGTTAAGGTACCACAGATCCCCACATTGACAAGCTGCTGTTAAAGCTGCTTCTTTTTCAGTAGGACTTAAGGTCTAATTAAGAAATAACATGATATCTCTCCATGTTAGATCAAAGAACCGCCCTAATCCTTGCAGGACATCTATATAGTTATCAGGATCATCCAAGAATTTCCCTAAATCTGACTTTATGTGTTTTAAATATGAGAGTGAGAAAGAGACATGTACACGGGTGGGCACAAATTCTCCTCCTACTGCTTGTAAGGGACATAGTTTGGGTGCCTAGCTCATGGAGTTTACGTTCTCTTTCCAGTGTGCCTTTAACACTTTAGTGGGGCCGGATGGAGGAGAGTCAGCAAGGGAGAAGAGTAGGGCTGAAAGAGAGGTCCTGAATATGGAAACAATTGTGGGCCTCTGTCATTTGGGCAAAGCTTTCAGGCTTGGCGCAGGACAGTATGGTCAAGAAGGGCAAAGAAAGCCTGTACATAAGGGACTTCACTCCATTTACCTTCCTGTTTACAGAAAAGATCTAGTTGTAGAAGGGCGTTATAATTAATACTTCCCTCAGGGGGCCAAGTTTCTCTGTTTTGTAAGGAATACTGTGGCCAGGCAGTGGTACAGAAGAAAATCAGCCACTTCTTTTTTAAGTTTTCAGGGTCGAATTTGTCCCAGTTATTCAGAATACATCTTAAGGGAGTGTCTGGTTTTGAAGGTGTGGTGCCAATCTGAAATTTTAAACACAAGGATGCCCACAGCCCTGGTTAGTTCTGTGCCTTGTTTTCCCTTAGGGCGTCCCCTAAGAGTCAGGTCCAATTATGCTCAAATCTCATGGCCGCTTTTCCTGAGCTCTCCATCTACCAGATTCAACCATGCTTACTGGCAGAATGGAAACTTCCCTTGCCCCTGCCATGCAGTCATTGACCACTAAATAGGGCACAAGGACTGTTGGATTTATTGTGGTCCTTCTGCCAATGTGTCCTGCCTGTTCCAGGATGGCAAGGCCTGGGTCAGGGGCACCACTGATGCTTGCATGCTAAGGCCCAATTTACGTGGCCCTGGCCGTAAAACTGTCCTTCAAGGAGAAATCTCTGAATTAGCAACAGGAGGCTTAGTAAGCTTAAAGGGGGTGGTGGAGGTCCTCTAGGCCAGGGCCAAGAGAACAGCTGCTGTACTTTAGCCTTCTGTCCCCACTTGCCATCAAAAGAGTAAGCCCTCATTTCAAGGTGGTACCAGTATCCTTTGTCCCAACTGACTATATTTTCTTCCTTCCAATACCAATTATTGAATGGTTGAAACAACAATTCAATGTCTCTAAGACCCGTGCCTATGCACCACAGATTGTACCTGAGAGGTCCCAAGGAAGGTGAAAGTCTATCTGGGAGCAATGGATGAAATGCCCTAAGGCTTTTACTATCCACATGAAAATTACAGACCTGTCTTTAAATTGTCCTGATGCGGGGGACCATACACTATGGTGGTGGACTCGCCCTTCCAAGTGGCCATCAAATGGTGACATCTGCCTAAACCCCGGAGGGCACCATGAACAGGGATCTTCTGGGCATCACCCCAAGAATTTAAGACTTCTAAATAGGGAATCTTGATCCTGCCTAGCAGGAATCACCTTGATTGCAAGATGAGGAAAGAAGTCTAGCTGGTGGACATTAGGACCCAGGAAGAAGGAGTCAGAAGATGTGGCTGTCTCACGCTCAGTAACCCGTGCAGGGGGAGCCTCTGGCGGGGTCATTGTCTCAACCAGGATATCTGGGAGACTAAGAAGGCTGCTGAGCACTCCCAGGTGTACTTCAAGACCACCGTGGAAAGCAAAAGAATTGGAACTGGTTCCAGGCCAACCAATGCTCCCAGCCTTGAAGGGTCAGGGATTGTTAGACAGCCCTTTTCCAGACAGCCTGACACCCATGTCTTCAGTCTGGCGGCCATGCTAATTGCCTTTAAGTGGCCTACAGGTGCCCAGTATTTAGCCTCCTAATTCTAAGGAAGGATAGGACATAATAGCAAGCGAAAGAGGTCCAATCATACTCACCATGTGACAATCTAGATGCATTTCCTGGAGTCTCCTGGCTGGCTCACCAAAATGTAATGCTTAAGGTTCTTGCCTAGCCATGCCAAAGAATTGGAGTGGCGATGACCATGGCAAGTGATAGAGACACGGACCGATAGAGAGAAAAGGCTGTAGGCCTTATTGAGCAGAGTGGAAGTACAAAGTTTCCACAGCATGGAAGGGGTCCCAAACAGGTAGCCAGAGTTAGATTATACAATTGACTTTTAAACTCTTTAAGGAGGGAAATACGTGTGGTGGGAAGATGTTACCAGAGTGAGAAACAAAGACAATTAATCATTTATGACATGTCTTAGATCTTGAGGAAAACCAGAATTGCAACTTAGGTTTTATCTATTTTATGAACTTGCAGCAGCATGGCAAAGGAGACAGGATCTTACAGGACTTTACAAAGTATGTTTACAAAGAATTGGAATTGGGAGCATAGATAAGGTCTGCTGGTCACAGGAAAACAGGCAGTTAACATTCCTTTTACTTCAATTTGGGCGGAGGGGAAAGGAGAGAGGCAGAGAGTACACAGGGTAACTTACAGCAAAATTTTCATTGTTTATAGCTTTCTTGGGGAAGACAATACATGCACAAATCCTGATGTTAGGAATAGTTTAAGCATATATCTTCAGTATTATTCATCCAAGACTGAAGGAAGTCCTAATGAAGGAAATGAGTGAGTTTCACAGCTTTCTGAGCCCCTACTCGACCCGGGAAGCCCAGCTGGCCCATCCTCTCAGTTGCATAGTATTCCATGGTGTATAAGTACCACATTTTCTTTTTTTCTTTTTTTTTTCTTTTTGAGATGGAGTCTTGCTCTGTCACCCATGCTGGAGGGCAGTGGCACGATCTCTGCTCACTGCAAGCTCCGCCTCCCAGGTTCTCGCCATTCTCCTGCCTCAGCCTCCTGAGTAGCTGGGACTACAGGCGCCTGCCACCACATCCAGCTAATTTTTTGTATTTTTAGTAAAGATGAGGTTTCACCATGTTAGCCAGGATGGCCTTGATCTCCTGACCTTGTGATCTGCCTGCCTCGGCCTCCCAAAGTGCTGGGATACAGGCGTGAGCCACTGCGCCTGGCCCAAGTACCACATTTTCTTTATCCAGTCCACCACTGATGGACATCTAGGTTGATTCCATGTCTTTGCTATTGTGAATAGTGCTGTGATGAACATACGAGTGCATGTGTCTTTTTAGTAAAATGATTTTTTTCTTTTGGATGTATAATCAGTAATAGGATTGTTGGGCTGGATGGTAGTTCTAAGTTCTTTGAGAAATCTCCAAACTTGTTTCCACAGTGGCTAAGTTAATTTATATTCTCACCAAGAATGTATAAGCATTCCATATTCTCTACAGCCTCAACAGCATCTGTTGCTTTTTGACTTTTTAATAATAGCCATTCTGACTGGTGTGAGATGGTATTTCATTGCAGCTTTTATTTGCTTTTCTCTGATGCTTAGTGATGTTAATCATTTTGTCTATATTTGTTGGCTGCTTGTGTGCCTTCATTTGAGAAATATCTATTCATGACTTTTGCCAGTTTTTAATGGGGTTATCTGAAGAAATCTTTGCCTACTCTTAAGGTTGCAAAAACATTCTCCTCTGCTTTCTTCTACAAACTTAATGGTTTTGCTTTTTTGTTTAAATCTATGATCCATTTAAAATTTTTGTTTGTTTCTGGATTGAGTTAAGAAACAAAGTTAATTTCTTTCATATAGATATCAAGTTGTGTCACCTTCTTTTATGGAAAACTTGCTTTCCTCATTGAAACACTATGGGGACTTTGCCAAGTATATATAAATTGACAGTATAAGTGTGAATTAATTGCTATACCATTAATCTATTAGTCTATTATTATGCTGTCTGGATTACTGTAATTTTATAGTAAGTTTTGAAATCAAGGTGCCATGAGTCCTACAGTTTATTTCCTTTTATTATTATTTTATGGGGTACAATGTGATATTTTGATAAATGTTTACATTGTGCAGTGATTAAATCAAGCAAAGCCACTAGTAAATGCCCTTGGTTGATTTGACCAAAGACATGGAAAAGCAGAAAGAAAGCATGAGTTAAGTCAAATGCTTTTTCACAAATACATCTGGACGTCAGCTTTACGCAAGGCCTAGATATCATCAATACTTGCTATCTGATGTCAGAAATGAATATTAATCTGGGTTTTGGTGAGCCATTGCCCTTGCCCTCCTGCAAATTCAAATACTTAAATACATTACGTGGGCCAATTATTATGTAAAATATTCTCATATATGCTATCTGACTTGAGAGTATTTCCTTTTATTAAATATTACTTTAGCTTTTCCAGAGACTTTATATTCCATAGAAATTTCAAATTAATTTCTCAAGTTTTTACACAATCTCAGCCAGGTTTTTCATTTGGATTGCATTAACTCAATACATGAATTGGCATGGGATTTTTTTTGAAATATATTAAGGAAAATACAAATAAAAGACATTATTGTTGATGTTAGTACAAGAAATAGGGGAATAAATTGACATTGAAATTTTTAGTATAAATCTGCAAAACTTTACCTAAGTAAAATCTGTATGAACACACTAAAGATATATGATATACAAACCAAATGCTATGAAATGTTCTAAACTAGAGGCAAAGAAGATTCACTGATTCACTTGAGACTTTTATTGAGTACCTACATTATAGCTGACTAGGATCTCCAAATATACATGAGACAGTGCCTGCCACGCAGACAAAACTCAATGTTTGTTGAATGAGGAAATAACTGAGATATACTCCACAAAGAGTTTGTGATCTCTTAAAGGAGGCACCCATACAAACAAGTAATTAAAAGGCAATATTGAAATACTTGTGGGAGACCTTGGGGAAGAGCTGCTAAATCTGATAAGCTATCTGATTTCAGTAAAATGCAGTATAAAATTGGTTTTGTGTAAATGAAGTTTACAATCCTAAAATACTCTAAGATCCTAATTGGCACCTAGGGAAGTCTAGTTACATGTTTTTCTCTTTATACTCATTCCTTCTGTGTTATTTTAAGATAAAAGAAATTTAAAGTGCCATAGCTTTATAAGTCAATATTTATGTTTTTTAAAAATTATTTACAATGGATTTATCTAAACATAAATATGTCACTTTATTTTCCTGTAAAACTTGTGGTGTATAAAGACCAATAAATTATTTTATTTTTCTGTTTAAAGATCTTACTCATAGACGGGAATTGAACAATGAGAACACATGGACACAGGAAGGGGAACATCACACTCTGGGGACTGTTGTGGGGTGGACGGAGCGGGGAGGGATAGCATTAGGAGATATACCTAATGCTAAATGACGAATTAATGGGTGCAGCACACCAGCATGGCACGTGTATACATATGTAACTAACCTGCACATTGTGCACATGTACCCTAAAACTTAAAGTATAATAATAAGAAGAAAAAAAAAAGATCTTAATGTATTTGAAAAAAGGCATTGGGCTGTGTTGCTTTTGCATGTGATTCTGGTTCATTTAAACCCTCTGGTTTCTCTGACCTTGTGTGAAAACTCTTTTATATGCATTCCTTCAACTGTGAACAAACATTATCATCTACTGTGTGCCAGATTTAAAAAAAAACATGAAACCTATAGTTTTATGTACAAGTTAAAATAAAGATATTCTCTGACAAGTTTATTACACATAGACACTGCTTGAAATAATTTTTAGAGAATTTATTACATTAGTAAGAAAGAGTAGTCCAGGAAGAAGACATTTGAGAAAGGAAGCGAAAACAGAATTTAATATGTTTTCTATTTTAAATGATACTCTAAACATTTATATTCTTAAAAGACTCAGGCTAAAATAGCACATGATACCATGTACTATGGTTTAATGTGTCCCCCAAAAGTGTGTATGTTAAAAACTAATCTCCAACCCAATGGTATTGAGAGGTGGGGCCTAATAAAAGCCGTAATGAGTGGGTTCATCTTATTCTCTAGGTGAAGGGTTAATAACCATAATAGTGGCTTTGTTATAAAAGCAAGCTCTCTCTGGCTGTCTTGCTCTTGCTTTCTCACCATGTGATGATCTTTGTTATGTTTTAATGCAGCAAGAACGCTTCTACCAGATGTTGATGCCATGCTCTTGGACTTCTCAGCCTCCAGAACTATGAGAAATAATGTCTTTTATTATTATTATTAATTACCTAGTCTATGGTGTTTTGTTGTAGCAACAGAAGGCAAACTAAGATACCATGGATATCAACTTGGGAGGAAGGTTTAATTTGTTGTGTGTTCAGGATAGAAGCAACTAGGAGTTAAAAGTGTGCTGTGATACACATTTTGTTTTAAGAAGTACATACATTTGATAAATTTCAAACAAATAGGGAAATATAGCCTAAATAAAAGATTTTTATACAGGTAAACCCCACAAGACATAAAATGGGAAAAAATGTGTCCAGTATAAAACAATAAGGAAGAAAAAATAAAATTATGTATAAAAAATAGAAACCACATAATATTAAATAAATGTAAATAAGCCCTCTTTAACACAAGTAATAATAATTGCTAATGGCATAAGTTTCTTGATCAAGACATGAATATCCACAATGAATTTAAAAATCAATTCGATAATGTAATAAAAAAGATGAGAACGTTTGAAAGGATATATTTCCGCTCAATCCTCCACTTTCCATTCAATTAGGCTGTAATAAGGACAAAGCCTCACTTTTGAGATTTGATTGATGGCAGTTTTTCAAGGCCTCAGCTTTTCTTTTCCTCTTTGCCCCACATCTCAACAACAAGATTCTGAACCTCAGTTCTGGCTCCATCCACTAATCACAATAAAAGCCCCAAACCACCAATGTTTCCTTTTTGTTTAACTCCCAACTGTATCTGAAATATTCTCTTTGAAAACCATTTTGCTATTTACTCTGTGAGCAATACAGCTTATTTCTCATTCCATTGGTGCTAATGTATCATTCCTCTCATTATCCATAAATCATTGAGGAGAGGGATTGTGGATGGCAACTGCTCAACCTCCAGCAGGGGATTCTAGGTACCCAAATAAAATAGAGGCTTTTTCCATCACAGTGTCTAAAATTTCAGCCTACTACTAACAACTCTGTTTCTTCTGGATGCTTTCATTTTTCAGTAGCACTTGTCACGATCTGACATATAATATGGTTTTACTTCATTAGTTCAATCTATTATTACATGTTTTTCCTACTAAAATATAAGCTTCAGATAAGCAGGATTGTAACCTATTTCTTTATATCTAGAACCTAAAGCAGTGTCTCACATTAAACATTCAAAATTTGTTAAATGCAATAATAAAAAAGATATACCAGGTCAATATAAACCAAAAGAAAACTTTGGAAGCAATTTTAATATTAGGAAAAATAAATATTTAAGGCCAAAAAATTATAAGGAACAAAATAGAGGCTTATAAACAGAGAGAAGAAATGATAAGAAGATATAACAGTCATGATGCAATTATGCATCAGTAAGTATATTATGTTGAAATATATCACTCAACAATAAAATAAATTGTCGAGATGAGTGGATATCAGTATTTTTAGTTAAAGATGATAATATACTTTTCTTTAAAATTAATATATGAAGTAGAAAAAACAAAAATATTGTAGGTTTGAATAATGTAATAATTGATCTGTAGAGATCAGAGGGAGAAAAAAACATTTTAAAGCCCAACAAATACAGAACACAAAAATTTTTAAAGCAGATTTGAATAAATTTATAAAGAAAAACTGATGAAGAAAGTCACAATAGGTTCTAAACAACAACACTCACTCTATGGTTTTGGTACATGTTGTAAATTCATAATAATTCCAAAATTGTAGAAAAATAATTCCATATATGTGGAAAAACTAAAACATGCTACAAAACAGACCATGGATTAAAAGTAAAATTATAGCTGAATACTTAAAGCTTAAATAAAATAATAAAAAAATATAGAATGCAATAGAGTAGTGCTTAAAGGAAAATAGCTTTGTATGTATTTACTGAAAAACAAGAAATAGTAAAAATAAATGAAAAAAGTCTTCAAATCAACAAGTTAGGAAAAAGGAAACAGATCAAGTCTTCAAAAGTAAGAATAAATAAAGTAATAAAAATAAAGAATAAGTAAAATAACTAGAGGAAAAGCAAAAATAACACAGAAACGCAAATAATTGAAACCTAAGATAGTTATTTGAAAGTGTTGATAAGTTAGACAGACAACTGGTACTGTTGTTAAGAATAAAAAGGCAACCACGAAATATACAGTGTAAAAGGGAGAATAGCTGTGGAAAAACATAAACACTCAAAAGATAATATACTACTATTGTAAAAATTATATGACAATTTTTAAATATAGATTGAATAGTTTGGGAAATTATTGACACAGAAAAAATAAACTACTGGAATAGATCAGTAATCACTATGGAAATTAAAATGATAAAATAAAACCTGTCCTTTTACTCATCTTTAAGCACACTAAAATGATTTTACTGGTGAATCCTACCAAACTCTTATGGAATAGATCATTTTTATCTCATATAAAATATTTCAGATAATAACACAAGAAAAGGGAATGTTGTCAGGGTTATGTTAGTAGATCAGCCTTATCTTGTATTTAACTCAGTTGAAGGCAATAGAAAAATTAAATATTATATGCCAATTGCATTTATTGACATAAATGCAAATTTTCTAGATATATAATCAGGTAACTGAAGCCTCCTACATTGTCGTCAGGTATGACTTAAACCAGAAACATCAAAGTTCTTCAATAGCAGCATATTTATCAATGAGGCCATTTAGTTCATGAATGAACTTAAAAAAAAGTTACAGATTTTGTTATCTGTCAATTTGCCATATATATATTTTTAAAGTTACAGATTTTTAAAAGTGACATTGAACATCCAATTATGTCAAAATCTCCTAGAAAATGGCAATTTCCTTAAACTAACAAAAGACAGGTCCCAAATCTTGTAGCAAATGTGGTACCTAATGAAGAAATTTTAGAAGCATTCTTTTTTAACTTTAGAAACAAGGATGATTACTATTACCACTGTGGAGCAATATAATACAGTGTCATGGGGCAAAGCAACCAAGCAAAAAAAAAAAAAAACAGTTCAAAAAAAAATTGATATTTGCAGAAGCTATCTTTTTTTTTTTTTTTTTTTTTGAGATGGAGTCTCACTCTGTCACCCAGGCTAGAGTGCAGTGGCACTATCTCAGCTCACTGCAACCTCTGCCTCCTGGGTTCAACTGATTCTCCTGCCTCAGCCTCCCGAGTAGTTAGGACTTACAGGCGCCCGCCACCATGCCCAGCTAATTTTTGTATTTTTAGTAGAGACGGGGTTTTGCCATATTGGCCAGGCTGGTCTCGAACTCCTGACCTTGTGATCTGCCCGCCTTGGCCTCCCAAAGTGCTGGGATTATAGGCGTGAGCCACCGTGCCTGGCCAGAAGCTATCATTTTCAATGGAAGATTCATTTTATATAGAGAACCAATAGACAAACTATTAAAACTACTATAAGATGTCAGGCAATTATCTAATTCAAGATCAACATACAAATATCTATATTTTTCTGTCACCACAATAAGTCAGAAATATAATCAAAGATGTAAGTACAGTTTGTAATTGCAGAAAAATAGCCTCAGAAATAGCCAATTTTATTACAGGACAAAAAAAAGAATGCTTGATTAAATGAAAAAGAGATATCATGTTTATGGATAGTCCATCCTTCATTACAAAGCTGCCAATTCTCTTCAAATAAATCTATATATCTAAGTGTAATTTCAATTAAAATTCAAGCAGAATTTTAGAAGAAACTTGGCAATTGATTCTAAAAATTTATGAAAAAATAAACTCAGAAATATCTAGGACAATTTGAGAAAGATTAAGATCCTACTCTGCTCTATGTTTCCTATTAGTTTCACTTAGTTTGATGTTGGTTTACCCATATGGGCCTAGATTTTATTTCAATTTCTACATTGCTCAGACTTCTATCAGCTGCCCAACTCTTTTCGTATCTCCAGGATTAGATGCAGGTGAGGCAGCATGCAGTCTATGCTTAGTTTACTATGTGATCCTCCCTTTTGTAACATTGCTTATAGTACTTATTAATTCTCATACATCTGCATAGTTCCCATTTTATTGGGTGGTTTGTCACTCTCAAACTTTTTTCTTCCTTATAAAGCAGGAAATTTAAAAACATTCTCAATTATTTTTAGTGATTCGTACATAGACAAAGTGGATCCAGCTGACAAGTTCTTGGCTTCCACTGGCAACAAACTCTTTCCTGAACAAAAGGGCTATCTGAGAGCTGAGAGCACAGCACACAGTGTTCTATTCTTTGGAACTTGAGTCCTCTGTGTGCCCTTTGAAGTGTCACAAAAAAAAAAAAAAATCCTTAACAAACAAAGCTTCCCATTACAGGATCCCTACCTACTCCTCTCGTCTCAGCTTTTCACTTCCTGAATTTCACTTTGTGTCATATATATATATATATATACACACACACACATATATACACAACAACATATATATATATATATGATGTTGATAGTTCCTGAATTTCATCTGTAAAATGAAATTTTATTATTTTATATCACAGTTTTAAACTTCTATAATTCTATATCATAGCTGCATATGAAGAGCACATGAAATTCATGAGACTGAGATTTATATTTGATCTTCACACCATGGTTGTTAGGCATATATGTATAAAAATGGCAAAATGGTGAATAAAAATTATTTTATTGTAAGTATACATTTATATCTGATAATTCTTTCTATATTTTGTCTCCCATCCCAACTAATTTCAGAGTTTTTGCAATGCCTTTGTTTTAGGACCAGAACATAATATTAACACATAAACTATTTTACCACAGAATTAACCTATAAATACACTCAGCATGTATTGGATACTGTAGCAGCTTCAATATAGTTTGTAAACATTTGGTCCAGGTTTTTACAAAAGGCTTTTATTCTGTAATAGTCTATCACCCAGGTTTCTTTGATTCAAATTGTTATCACATCTCGATGTTTTTTCTAGTTCTCTTAAAGCATACATCCCATTTAAAGACTTTGGTCTATGAAGACAGTCACAATTAGTTGAGCTGTAAATATGATTTTGTTTGGTTTTATTGTTTATACATTTTAGTATTTAAATTTTGACAGATATAGTTTTTGAAATACTCTATGCATAACTACAAGATTTTTTAAAATCTAGAGAAACAAGCAGAACCTCTCTTTCAGTTATAATTCCGGGTCTCATATATATATTTTTATTTAAAATGTAAAGCCATTAGATGGAGAAATTGGATCATCCACTACGCTTTGAAAGGTGATTACAGACCATCACAGAACTGAAAACACTCAGCCTCTTTAAATCCTTCACAGCAGTATAATTTAAATAATAATATAAATTGTCTTATAAAGAAATAAATGTTAAACTTACAATTAAAAATTCAGGGAAGAAAACAAAAGCAATGCGGACTAATGCTTAAATTGTTCCTTCTTTAGTTGTTAAATCTATAGTTTTTGTATCGATAATGAAGTTTTTAAAAGGCATATAATTTTTAATTGCTAATTACTGTTAATTTGGGTTTCTTAGTAGTTTTGTGCTAATTTATTTGCATACAGGTCTGAAAGCTTTCGATGAATTAGATATTCAGTTTTTTAGTTATTTTCCTATTGCTATGTGTTTTTAATTAGAGAAGCTGTGTTTTGTTCTGTTCTATTAAAAATAATAGCTGCTCTAATATTCACATCAAGTTCTCAAATATAATGTAAATAACTTATTGATTGGTAGATTTCTCGCTTTATTTTATGGCTGCATAAAGATATGATATTATTCCCCTCTTGTTCTTTCTAATAATTATTATTTTCTTGGAGGAAAAGAGAAATTCAAGACTGAATGATTAGTTTATTTTAAAAGTAACTTGTTAATTAAAGAGAAATTAAATATGAAAATATGACAAAGAACTAAAAATTATCTGATTTTCCCTATCAACTGTGTTAAATCTGTATGTCTTTATTTCTTTTAATGTATTGAAAGAGCCTCAAAGATCAGCAATGTCATAATATTTGCCTATACTTTTAGGCATAAGAAAATGAAAACTGTATGTCTATTTCACAATATTTTATTCCTCCTTTTCTCTCTCATTCTTTGACCTACTTTCACAACTCAGTTTTAGCTAACCATTTTGTGATTTTGAAATATTTACATGTTTTCTTGAATTTTCATTTTGATGCATATTTTTAAGCAGGAGTAAATTATAATAATGTGAAAGGATAACCTAATCAGTGAGACCCATTTTGAAGAAATTTAATTCAGAAGTAGTTTTCTTTAATAAAAATGTTAGTGTATATAAAATGTGATTAAATTTGGCCCTATGAATTATATACAAATCTTAAATACAATTTTTGCTGTAAAAATATATCATGAATTGAGAAGAAAAAATTCTTCAGTAAAGAAAGCAAATTAGTGAAGTTCAAATAAATAAATCTTTGTTTTTTAAAGATTAGGTTTTAAATTCACAGTGTGAATGGAATTTTATGTGATAATTGTCCTTTTCTATCTATGCATTTGTTGTTATAAATTTTAACTATCTTGACAAGATACTGATAATTAATTCTTGATGACATAATTCTTTTCTAATCTAGACTAAATAACAAAGGGATTCAGAGACTTCCTATATTTCTTGGGAAAAAAATTTGTTTTAAGGTGATTGAAAGTGTAGTTTTCAAAATTTCTAGTCCTTATGGCATTTATAATGAAGGAAATATTACCATAAGTTATATTGAGAACCTAGTATTGTAATCCACCGTACCCTACTGCAGTAACCGTAACAATGAGTCTTCCCAAACAGTAACTGAAAAAAAGGCATTTACTTAATTGGTATGTATCTACATAACATTTAATACTCAGAAAATTTGCAGCATGCATATATATTTAAACTTTTTGATGATGAAAATGTCTATGAAAGCAACCAAAGTGGACATTTTATTTCATTTGCTTCTTTTCATGATAACTATGCACATAAGAATACAGGTTGAGCATTCCTCATCCAAAAATCCAAAATCCAAATGCTTTAAAATCGGAAACTTTTTGAGTGCTGACGTGATACCACAAGTGAAAAAGTTCACAACTAACTTCATGTGATGAATCACAGTCAAAACACAGTCAAAACTTTGTTTCATGCACAAAATTATTTAAAATGTTGTATAAAATTACTTTCAGGTTATGTGTTTGAGGTGTATATGAAACATAAATGAATTTCATGTTTAGACTTGGGTCCTATCCCCCAGGATATCTCATTAAGTATATGCAGATATTCCAAAATGCAAAAAAATCTGAAATCCAAGACACTTCTGGTTCCAAGCATTTTGGATAAGGAAAATTCAACCTGTACTACTTACAAGTAGCCTATTAAAAAATACTGTATATATTACCAAAAAGTTAGAAAACGAAATGGAAGAAAATTATCTTTTAACATATAAACAAGAAGATAAAAATAAATGTGTGAATAAACTTAACAAGAAATATTCATCTGCTACATAAAATTAATTTCTAAATATTGAGAGAAAATTCCATATTGTAAATGTGCTAATTTTTTCTAAATTAATCTATAAACTCAATTTAATTTTAATAAAAGTACTAACTGCAATGTTTTCCAAATATGATAACCTTATTTTAAAATGCATATTAAATATAATCTTAAGGTTATCTAAGAGTAGATAAGAAATTCTAAAAATGTAATAAGGGGTGGGGCACTCACTGTGCTAGACAATAATATTTATTATGAAGCTCTAGTATTTTAAGCAGTTTGGTACTGGATATAAATAATTAGTAGAATAGTTCAAAATCCAGACATACATGTATGTGGAAAGGAATTATAGGATAAAGGTACTGCTTCAGACCTGTGGAGACAAGATAGATTAAATATCATTTTTTTATTGTTTGAATTATTTAGCTGACTGTGCATATTAATTTTTAAAAAACATCATGTATATGTAATTATTAGAGAATTTATATGTATAACATAGACATTTACATATATGAATATAAGATAACATGTAATATATTAATATATACATATACAAAACTGAATAAAATACATGTTTATATATGTGTCTGCATATATACATGTGTATATAAATATATACATATATAGTTATGTGTGTGCATACATTATGTATAGATATGTATGTGTTTCAAAGAAAAATAAAAATGCTTAAACATACATTAGATACATTGTTTTATGGTAATATGTTCCTAATTTTCATTTCATGGGTTTTGGGTTTTTTTGGCTTTTTTTGCTTCAAGAAAATGGTACATCATAAAAGTATAATTTTAAACTCAGGATGTGGACAAAATAAAAGCTTTAGGAAAAATAACATTTGATCCTTTTTCATTTTTCACAGAAATTAAGTCAACATAACGCACGGGATAAAATTTCTGAAAAGATACCAATGAGAAAACTCTATATAAATTTTATTTAGAAATTTAGATGGTATTATTTAAATACTATAGTTAATTTAATCGTTACATTTAATATTTTAAAACCAAAATTTAAATTTAAATATAAATTTAAAATACCATTTCTGCGATGATGAGGTATGTATTCTGGTATTAAAAAGAAAATAAAAATAAAATTATTCTTATAGTGATTTCAGTAAGGAGCACATCTAACAGATTCTGATTGGATAATAATGTAATAACTCAACTAAATAAATATAGATGGAGAATCCCAATCCAAAATTGAAACATTAATAAAATTCATTTAAAAAATCAAGTAAATATCCACAATTATTACCCGCCAACTAAAAAGGAAAAAGAAAGAGAGAAGTAATTAATAAATGTATTGGGGAAAAAAGTAAGCAAGGAGATTGACAGCTCTGACATAAAAAATATAAACAGAGAAAGAACCCGCCCTAATTTCATGGAGTTCAATTTTCAAACAAGAGTTAGATCATTGGTCTCCAAGTTCATTTACTCTTGGAAAAGAAAAGCTTTCTGTTTTAAGAGTAAAGGGCTTATTTTAATGACAGATTCTTCTTACACTACAATATTATTTAAGTATAAACAAATCAGAACTATATGGATTGAGTTTCCTTCCAACAGCACATGGCTTGTATGTTACAGGGAAACCCCTCCAGGCTACATGTTTTATCAAACCTAGAGCATACTGAAATAGTTTTAAGATGTTAAAAATATACAAACTGTGGCCAAAAGTACCCATTCCTGAATCAAATAAAACACCATGATCATAAAATTCTATATATACTGTTTAGAATAGAATAGCGTGGGAAACACCAACATTTGCTAGAAGGTGTAATATATTTCTGCAGAAAATTCTAAGGCTATCTACTCTCTCTTCCAAAAATACATCATATCTATAACATTAAAGAAAACATTTAATCAAAGCATCAATGAATAATGTGTACCCAGGCACACAAAGAGGAATCACTTCACAATGTGATATTCCAATATGAAGGATAGGCATAACTTACTCTGTTTCATTAAGATGTATTTTTCCTTCATTAACACCCATATCCTATTCCTCCTATGGTAGATTCACACTACCACTTCCTTCTTAACACACACGCACACACACAATGTTCATTTTTAGCTTCTTTGGAATATAATTCATTTTAGTGATTTTGGTGTTGCGGTGATGCTGTAATGCATCAACTTAATTAGATTGACCTACATATTTTAGAATTTGCTTCCCTCTGTGTTTTGTTAGAGGGTCCGCATGTGAGGTTCTTATGGGAGATTTTGAAGGTGGAAATAAAACCACAATCATTGTGTTGCTCACCTATGTTGTTCCTAAGCTTCTGGCTTAACTCATGGGTGTGAGGCTGTAGCCATGCCTGAAACTTCCCCAAGGATATAATTTGGATATTTGGCCCTGCCCAAATCTCATGTTGAAATAGAATCTCCAGTATTGGACGTGGGGCCTGGTGGGAGGTGTTTGGGTCACGGAGGCAGATTCCTCAAGGCCTGAGAGATCCTATCCTGTCCCCAAAACAGTAAGTAAGTTCTCACCATATCTGGCTGTTAAAAAGTGTGGCACCGTCCCGCATCCTTGCCCTTGCTCCTGCCAGGTGAGATGCCTGATCCCCCTTTGCCTGCTGCATGATTGTAGGCTTCCTGAGACCTCCCCAGAAACAGATGCAGGTGCCATGCTTCCTGTACAGCCTACAGAACCATGAGCCAGTTAAACCTCTTATAAATTACCCAGTCTCAGGTATTTCTTTATCACAATGCAAGAATGACCTACTACACCCACCTTCCTCATACTGTCCTTCAGCGTTTCCAGCTCCTGGGGGAGGAGCCTGTGTTTAGATCCATGAGAAAGGACCCTGAGTTTTAGAGGATACCTACACCATCCATGAACTGACAAGGATTTCAGTCCAAATTCATGGGTTTGTTCTTGTTCTCCATCAGTGTGATTTGAGTTTCCAGGTTATTCTTGCCCTCCTGCACTTTCCTTACTGGTTGCCTTTCCTTAGGACTCATGAACATGACAGTCTCACAGAGGCTGCCTGACCAGCTCTCACAATTGCATTAGGTCAATCTCTGTAACAAAATGGTTAATACAAACATACACGCAAACAGACACACACATATATGCATATGCACTTCTGCTTCTGTAATTGAATCTTTACTAGTATAAATACTTGGAACTTAAGGCTCACTGGCAGCAGATGGATAATATATTTGGAAATCAGGAAGTTCTTCGAAAGAGCCTATCATTTACATAGCTATATACACTGCTGATTTTCAAGTTTCGGCTTTGAAAATACCTATGCAACAAGTATTAGATGTGGATGTTGATTGATGTGTTCTTGAATTTCTGGTCAGTGTTTTTTGGTTGCAAGTGACAGAAACCTAGCTTATACTAGCTTAGATTAAAATAAAATCCATTGAGCTATGTAAGCAAATAATAAGAATGGTAGAAAAACTAGAAACAGGAATTGAAATGCCATCGGAACTTTCAGTGATTTCTAAATTGCTTTTCAACTTCTTTTTCAACTTCTTTTTCAATTGTGTTTCAACTTCTTTGTCTTTCAAACCAATCTTTTGACAAAAGGCTAAAAAAAAATACTAGTACCTCCAGACTCTATTCACCTAACTGTAACTCCAGAAAAGACAAGAGCTCATTTCTTCAGCTCCTGTTCAAGAATATCCTAGTCGAGACCTCTAATCAGCTTATATGACTAAGACTCAGGTGGGGAAGAGGAAAGGAGCTAAGTATGAGTTGGCAGGTCCCAGCAGAACTACATGATTCAAGAAAGAGGTGTATTTCCTCAAATAAGCAAAGGTATGGCTATCGGGAAAAAGAGGGAAGGGGCACAGAATTAAAAAATAAAACTACAGATAGCTATAATACTGGGATAGTCCTGATCATGATGTGCAAATTTTCCTCCAGTTTTTGCTTATGTTCTCACATACAGGAATGCAGCATAAAAAATGCCTTATCTGCAATGACAGGATTATACATGATAATGCAAACATAAAAAGGGTTATGGCTAATGAATTAACATCAGTTTGGTGGAAGGTCTGTGCTAATGGCTATTGAGCTCTCTTTATAGACACATCTGGTTCAATATATTTATTAATCACTTGAATCAGGCCAAAGTTTTGTGCTTATTAAATTTGTGGTCAACATGAATCTGAGAGGGAGAGAAAATATACCTGATGACAAAAGCTAGATCTAAAAACACATCAAAAGTCCAAATAATTGACCACAGGTAACCAGTTAGAAGCTAGAAGTGATATAGTATATAAGAGGATGTTAATTTGTATCAAAACTAACCAACCAATAAAAATAACACAATTATAAAATAAAGAAGTTCTTGCTTAATGTGAGTACTATAAGAAATATATAGAAAGCTTATTATTACATGTTTTTCTCTCTTTCTGTCTATAATCAACTTTCTCTCTTTATTCAAACAGTGTGGTTTTTGGTTGAGTTTAAGATTAAAAATGAGCCATAGACAAATCTGAGTTGCAGCAATAGAAAGAGAGAATCAAAATGGGAAGGAAGGTTCTTCACAATCCTGTAATTTTATAACTCTCATAGCTTTTAAATTAATAAATAATTTTTATAATTTCATTTCCATATATATTTGAAGAAATTGATGGAATATAATAATGAGTCAATTGTTAAATCATTTCTAAAATTGTAATTTATACTGGTTTTCTGATTTTAATATACTGTATATAATATATATTTTATGTGTAAGAATATATAAATTATTCACACACACACATTTACAGAGTTGAATATCAGACTTATTTCTAGTCCTATGCTAGATCCACCAGTCCAATGATCAGGGTGATTATAATTTGATAACTAATCTTAAGCTATAAATTTTATTGTAACTTTCTTAAATGACCCTTAGAATCAAAGCTTGTGGCCCAACGTGGAAAGAACATAAATATATATAAGCGAGAATACGGTACTCCAAGTATGTTGCGAAATGGAACTAAAATCATGTAAATTCTGTGACACAAAGTTGAGGAACAACCCCTAGAAGGCAACAACGTTTGTGTTCCTGATATATGCTCTAGTTTATAGTGACTTTTACAGCCTGAAACATTACCTCATTGCCATCTGCTCACAACTTTCAATTCTCACCTCTGACGTTGTTCAGTGAGGCAATGGGAACATGCACGAACTGTCCAGATCCTGTGAAACTATGATAGAATTAAATCTTGTCTGCAGTCATCTATTCCAGGCTAAAATCTCATCAGGAAAAGGCATCAATTCAGTGTAGATCTTTGGCAGAGTTTAAAGAAAAATCTGGGTGAACATAAGGTCAAAGAGATAGCAGCATATGTTAAGTAATAGAGCTTGAAAATGAATATGAAATTAAATATTACAATGAAACATGGGAAACATACTTGAGGAATGATAATAAATAGAATAAATTGAGAAAGCAAACTGAAGACAGCGTAATAAGGTTCAAGTGCTAACTGAAGTAATGGGCGATCAACAGTTCCAGTACTATTGGGCATTGTTGTTAATTAATAGAGTTGACAAGAAAGATAACATTAGATTGTAGAATGACATTATCTGCTCTGAAGTTCTCTGTTACGTTCCTTGTTAAATCTGAATATAATTTACTCATTGCTCATTGATCCATTTCCGTATAAGTGTTTCATATGTATCTACTTGGTACGTGGAATTATTCCAGAAACTTAATAGGAAATGAAAGAAATACAAGACATAGTTCACATATCCTACAGTATCCTACAATCTGCCATATGCATGAGATAAATAGTAGTGTAAGATAGTATTTGTGCAAATGCCAAAAGGAGAAAACAGACAATGGGTGCTCTGGGAGTTCAAAGGAAGGGCATCACTGTGAGCTTGAGCAGTAGAGGAAGGTATCTGGGGTAATTAAGATGTGAGCTTGTTCTTAAAGAATGAATAGGATTTGAATTTGTGGTGAAATGGGGGTCAAATCTTCCACAAGAAGGCCTCTAAAAGGGAATAAGTAATATTTGTTTGCTGAAGGAGAGATGCTCCCTGACTCCTTTCTTCCTCACATCCCTACATCTAGTCAGCCGCAAAGTCTCATTGAGTCTATACCATGAACACAGCGTGCTCACTTGTCTCCACTCAATCCAAGCCACTATCTTCTCTTGTATGGGTCATTGAACCATCCCCCTAATGTTTCATTCTTCCTGTCTTCTCTCCACCATTGTCACTATAGCTACAGTAATCATCCAACAATGAGTATCTGGAAAGAGCATTTTCACTTAAAACTCTGATGATTTTCTTAATGGTATACAACACCTTGTATCATCTGACCCTCATCCAGGTCCCAGATTCTCCTCTCACATATGTCTCCTACAGCCGTAAATGTGCTCCAGTTGCCCAGTTTCCATTCTCATTTTTCTTTGTTTGTTTTTGTGTGTTTTTTTGTTTGTTTATTTTCGTTTTTGTTTGAGACAGAGTCTTGCTCTCTTGCCCAGGCCAGAGTGCAGTGGCGCCATCTCGGCTCATTGCAACCTCTGCCTCCCGGGTTCAACCGATTCTCCTGCCTCAGCCTCCTGAGCAGCTGGGACTACAGGCATGCACAACCATGCCTGGCTAATGTTTTTGTATTTTTGGTAGAGATGGGGTTTCACCATGTTGGTCACGCTGGTCTCAAACTCCTGACCTGAAGTCATCTGCCCACGTCGGCCTCCCAAGTGCTGGGATTACAGGCATGAGCCACCATGCCCAGCCCCGTTATCATTTTTCTACTAGGCATTTCAGACAGGATCTTCCTCTGCCCCCACCACCTCCACTCCTCCCAAATCGAAATACCTACTCACCCTTCCAGTTTCAGCTTAAACATTACTTTCAAGGGAAGATCACTTTGAAATATAAGCTGTGTTAGGTCACTCAGCTAAATAAACTCACAGTTTATCACATTCATCACAATATTTTCTTATTAATTAATGGTCTGTCTTCCCTAAAAGGTCATAAGATACATGAAGGCCAACTTTGTATTTTTCACCACTGTCACCAATATCTTGCATAATACTTAGCATATAGTAGGTTCTCAATAAGAACTTATACAATGAATGAATAAGCAATATTACTCTGGCAACAGGGGCTTAATATCATAAAAGTCATTGATATCATAAAACATTAATAATGTTCTATCATTAACTCAGCATTAATTGATTTTGATCCTCTGGTCAAATGGGATATGGATTTGAAGGTACAGAATTAAAATATTACAATAAAGGTGCAATCTGTGGTGGGAATCAGCAAATTAATGCTCACAGAACAAATATGGCCAAGCCACTGTCTGCTTTTGTAAAGCAAGTTTTATTGAAACACTGTCTGTAGTTATTTTCTCGCTACTATGGGAGAGGTGAGCAGTGCGTAGAGGTAAATGTTTCTATAGAGGTGGGTAGTTGCTGTAGAGACTGTCTGGGATGCAAGCCCAAACTCTTTGCTATCTGGCCCTTTTCCGAAAAAATTTGCTGACCCCTGATCTGTAATAATGAACCAACTGCATAAATGATGGTAATAAGCTTAGCTATAAATACATGAATCACTTTTACATATTTTAGACATATGTATCTAGGTCTAATGTATACATATATTAAGCTAACTTATTTGTCCAAATGTTATGGGAACCTATAAACATCTAAGAAATCATAGGAGACAGAGCGAAAGCAAGACAAGTAAAGTACTGATGACTTTTTACGAAAAGAGGTGAAAATAAGACTCACGGGATATCATAATTGGTATGTGCATTAAACAAAAGCAAATTCCATTTTTCTCTGTTTAAGAAATTCATAGTTTGCAGGCCAGGTGAAGTGGCTCACGCCTGTAATCCCAGCACTTTGGGAGGCTGAGGCGGGAGGATCACGAGGTCAGGAGTTCGAGACCAGCCTGGCCAATATGGTGAAACCCTGTCTCTACTAAAAATACAAAAATTAGCCAAATGTGGTGGCACACACCTGTAATTTCAGCTACTCGGGAGGCTGAGGCAGGAGAATTGCTTGAAACCGGAAGGCGGAGGTTGCAGTGAGCCGAGATCGTGCCACTGCACTCTAGCCTGGGCAACAAGAGTGAAACTCCATCTCAAAAAAAATAAAAATAAAAAAGAAAGAAGGAAATTCATAGTTGCAAAAACAATAACAGCCTGGGAGCTGAGCCACCTCTAACTATAATGGTGTGGGTAATTTTTGTCTGTTTCACAGTTTATGGCAGCAAAGACTTTCAGCGGAGCAGCAAATCCATGAAATGTATCTCATCATCTGAGTTTTGCATGATGAATGACCACGTACCCAATAAAGCTAGTATTTGACCATGATGGAACTCGAGCTGTCATTACAAATCCACCATGACAGAAAATTAAGTCTGGCACTTAGCCTTTGAAAAACACCAGCTGTGCCAAATGGCCTAGATAAGGAAAAATGGGAAGTAGAAACCGTAGTGCTTCTTGAACATATTCTTTATGTTCTTGGAGCAATTCATTTGGATATGTCTGTTACGCACACGTTCAGGTGAGGTGCAGGGATACATTCAATCACATATCAGCAGCAGTAGTGGTCAGGACGCTTCGATTGCAAATGACAGATATGTAAGTTGAACTAGGGTGTGCCTAAAAGGGAGTTTGTTGACAAACATAACATTTCACGGATACAGCTGTGGGTTCCGCCTCAGAGAGGATAAACCTAGGAGCTAAGGGCCCTTGCTCTCTCTTTTTCTCTTTCCATTATTTTATCTTTTGGACTTCATTTTGTAAAGTACTCTCCCCAAAAGGAAATTTCATGTCTTGATAATGTGTATTATAAAATAAAAGTGTGTTCACCTCTAGCCAGTTCCAGCTTGGAAAATCGTGCAGTCTTGATTGGTCTATTTCTTGGACCAGTACAAGTGTCTCTGCTAGACTGGAGCCAAGGGTGAAAAATGGGGATTTGATACACTACCTCATAAGGAGAGAAGTAGAAGTGTTCACCATGCTCACACAAAAATCAAAAGCTACTTCAGCTACCAAAGCTTTCTTTACTTGTGATTACCTATGACTAAATTATTTGATAATTTACTACTATTATGGGCTGAATCATGTTCCCTTTTACCTACCAAAAATGCAAGCAGACACTAGAAGCTGGAAGATACGAATAACAAATTCAATGTTGAAGTCCTAACTTGCAGTACATCAGAACATGGCTGTATTTGGAGATAGAGGTTTAAAAGAAGCACTATGGTTAATTGAATTCATTGAGGTGGACCCTAATTTGATACTACCAGTGTCCTTATGAGAAGGGATTAAGACACAGATATGCACAGAGAAAAGAAGATTTGAAACAAAGGGAAGGAGGCAACCATCTACATGCCAAAGAGACAGACCAACTCTGCCAACACCCTGATCTTAGACTTCTAGCCTCCAGAGTGGCAAGAAAACAAATTTCCATTGTTTAATCCACCCAGTCTGTGATATTTTATCATGTATGGCAGGCTTATCAAACTAATATATCATTTAATGGGATATTAAGATTAATGTGTCTATAATGATAGCAGAACCCATGGTACTTTTCCTGTTGTCCAAGAATTTGTCTAAAGATTCAGATGAAACTAAACGTGGCACATCTTCTGCCTATAGATCTTCCGATGATTGGGGCCAGGCACCTCCCTTCATGACCTCCTGAGACGTGCCAGTTCAGAGATCTTGGCCAAAAGTTAACCCTCCCCTAGTTAGTTTCACCTACAAGTTAATGTAAGAATGAGACTACAAAAGAGGACGTCAACTTTCAGGGGCAAGTAGTTGTCAGCAGGAGTGGCTTTCCCACTCTGCACCTGATGTGAATGCTATACTTCCTGGTTATCAAGGATGTGAGACCTTCAAATGAATTACTTCTAAAGATAGGAGATGTTATGAGAAGAGGACACCAGAGTTCAACTCCCTAGCAAGCTTCTCAGCCAGCAGAAACAAGCTAACTTGCCAGAAATTTGTAAAAGTTTTTGATTGTTAGGTATTTTCTCTAATACTATCTATCTAATTCCTTATAAAATGTAAATTCAGTTTCCACTTTGACAAACTTTAGATTTGAGTTTCTTAGGCCAATGATCTCCATGTGGACCAGCAGTTTAAGCAGAGCTACTGCTTTTGACCATCATTACACTCTTTATTGCCAGGCAGATTAATTTATAGAAAATTACTTGCAGCTTTTATTGGTGTTTCCTTATCCTTTGACCCTGAAAACAGAGATAGGTCTGAAGATAAACTCTTTGAACCCAGAATAGTTACCTACTGCTTATTATCAAAATGAAAACTAGAACTGCCAGAACAGATTTTCCTTTCATGGTGGTAAAATGTGAATATACTATGAACTCTCCTAATTTTCCTTGTATATTGAAAAGTATCAGAGAGCTGCGTACATAGACATTTTTATCACCCAATCATCTGCCTACATTAAGGCATGTGTGCTAGGCTGAATAACTACCCCGCAATGAAGGCCATATCCTCATTCCTGGAATATGCTATTTTATGCAGCAAAAGGGACTTACAAAACCGGAGATGGGGAAATATCCTGGATCATCCTGGCGGGCCCAGTGTAACTACCATGGTCTTTGCAAAACAAAGACAGAGGGTTAGAATCAGAGAGAGAAAGAGTTCTCTAATAACTGAACCAGAGGTCAGGGTGATGGGCCAGTAAGCAAGAAATGCAACCAGACTCTAGAAGCTGGAAATTTAAGAAATGGATTCTCCTCTAAAGCCTCCAAAAGGATCACAGCTCTGCCAACACCTTGATTTTAGCACCCTAACACTCATTTCAGACTTTCTATCTCTAGAATTGTTAGATAATAAATATGTGTTGTTTAAAGCCACTACATTTGAATTAATTTGTTATAGTAGCAATGTTGTTCTATCAACAAGAAACTAATATAGCATGCCAAAATAAAATGTATAACATTTTCTATTTTTCTTATTGAACTAATATTGTTGAGTATGTTGTTTATGCCATCACACTATGTCTTCTTTTTAGACTTGCACAACAGAAACCCTCTTTGGATGTCAGTACACAAACAACTGTGTCTCCTGAGCTCCCAGAATCTGTGGATTACATTCCTGATTATTCTCTCACATGGGGTCTTCCCTACTAGTATACTTGAATCCAATCCATTCTTAGGAACACTACCTTTATCCCTGGTTCAACTTTGTTTCCTGTTTTGTTTGCTCTTTACCCTTTTTTCATTTATTTATCTTTACTTTCTTATTTTATGCTCTTTTAAGTCATCTCAAATAATTTTTAAAAGATGAGTATAAATGAATAAATCATGAAGCAAATTCTTATGAATCTTTTATTAAGAAAGATCTTCTTTCTGCTTAATTGAAGTCTTTCCCATTGCAAATTAATCTCAGTGAAGCCTGAGCAACATAGAGAGGCCCTGTCTCTACAAAAACTTTAAATAATGATTATGGTGGAATGCACCTATAATCTCAGCTGCTCAGGAGGCTGAGCCGGAGAATCACTTGAGCCTAGGAGTTCGAGGCTGCAGTGAGCGATGAGTGTGTCACTGAACTCCAGCCTTGGTGTCAGAGTGAGACCCTGTCTCTAAAAAATCAATGAAAAGAAAATATAGAGATAAACGGAGGAATTTGGAAGGATGCCATTTTGAAAAAAAGAAGAGTCTAGAGGTTTATTTTACTTTATTTTCAGCTTAGACTAACAAATAACATTTCCATTTTAATGGAGTTCAGAATATGTTTTCCCAAAATATGGCACTTTGGCATTTGAAAAACAGCAGAAGCAGGATGGACATCTCTTTGGCCTTCTCCTGCCATTGTGCCCTGAAGCAGACCATAAAATAATTATCTGACCTTCCTCTAAAGTAGGTCATCATTCTCATTCCAGAGGAGCCCTCCCTCTACCCAGAAAAAAGGAATGAAGACACAGAGAAGAATCTGAACAAACAGGTCTTGCTAAGTTTTACCCAGTTTATTACCGTTGGGTCAGAACTTTTTGTCCTCTAATCATACTTCTGCACAATTGTCCACAAAACTGCACAATTTTCCCTGTTTTTTTTTTTTTTTTTTTTTTTTTTTGGCAGGGGTCTTCATCTCTGAAGGCTTCTATGTCAAGTAAAACTTATACTACATAGATTTGTGTGCTTTTCTCTTGTTAATCTAATTTTTTAT
Organism: Homo sapiens; assembly: GCF_000001405.40. Lineage (NCBI taxonomy): Eukaryota > Metazoa > Chordata > Mammalia > Primates > Hominidae > Homo > Homo sapiens. The sequence goes on from NC_000008.11 coordinate 107,630,036, forward strand.
TACCAGGGTCTCAGTCATGAATTGAACAATGAATGGATGAGAAAAAAAAAATCTCTTCTCCCCTACAATTTTACAATTATCTTTTTGAGACTAAGTCTCCCTCTGTCACCCAGGCTGGAGTGCAGTGGCACCATCTCAGCTCACTGTGACCTCCACCTCCCAGGTTCAAGTGATTCTGCTGCCTCAGCTTCCCGAGTAGCTGGGACAACAGGCACACACGCCACCACTCCTGGCTAATTTTTTGTATTTTTAGTAGAAACGGGTTTTTGCCATGTTGGCCAGGCTGGTCTCAAACTCCTGACCTCAGGTGATCTACAATATTTTTTTTAATAAAGATTCATCCTGTAAAATCCATTTATTTACACAGCCTCCATTCTGGAAGCAAACTCACTGATAATATGATTTCCCTAATAATGTACATAACAATTCTATTTGTTTTCTACGTAGATGCGTTTATAATTTATAGTTTCCTTTGTGCATGATGATGACAGACTGATATTGGTCCTGTATCCCAAACAGGGATTTAACTAAGATCAAAAATTGGGTTTCAAAAAAAATCCTTTGATTTTTGGCAACAACTGTTCATTCTTTGGCTAAACCCTCGTCTGTAACATTGGCTTCCCATGTTTGAAGGGCTCTTGTATAAGCATGAAGAACTGGCTTTCTCTGCTCTTCACCCAGTGACCCATGACATTGAAACAACCTTTGTCTTCATTGTGACAGAAATGTTCTCATTCAATAGTTGTCACAGAGCACTGTTCATTCAAGGAGTTCCGCTTAGCTGTTACTCTGCAAATACATTTCCTATAGTTGATGCTGATATTGGGGAATTAACCTTTCACACCTCTTTTCCATTTGATCCTACCTGTTGACATTTGTATGCCAAAAAAAGAATATGTCAGTGTCATGAGAAAGAGTAGATATGAAGTTCCAAAGTGCTTGTCTGCCAAGTAGACAGGTTTAGCTGAGGAAGGTGACTGGGAAATGTGTGAAGATCACACCAGACATTGAGATGTATGTTTAGAAACAGGGAAAAAAAAAAAAACCTGATTAGCAAGAAAGCTGGTAGGAGCAAAATCTGGGAAGTGAGCAGATAATAGCAGGTGACAAAGTGGGCCATAAAGTGGTGAATAAAGAAGAACAATTTGCAGAGATGCATGCACCATTCAGCATGAAAACTTAGTAGTCGGTCAAGGAGACAATAGCCTTGACTGGTCGAAGTGGAGTTTGATTTGACTTTTTAGGACTTGTTGTAGAATGAGAATTCCCTTGATCATGTGGGAAAGTAGGGAAGACCAGTGCCCAAGTCACTCATGGAACCTTATAGAGAGAATGAGGGGGCCAGCAAAACAGTAAATTATAACACTGCAGGGCCAGATTACAAAATGTTTGCTCTAGGTAACAAATATCTGTGTTTTCTTATAGAAGGAATAGAGGGTAATGCTTCTAAATCTACGTGTGTATGATGACAGATGTTTATGCTTCCAAATTTATCTACGTATGATGGCATATGTTTTTATTCATCAATATATTGCTCTTTTATTTCTCAGCCCTCTGTGACAATATTTTATTTCTTTCGTTTTGTTTCATATCTGTTTTCCTCAACAGGCTGTTTTCTTGCCCTGGGGGGCAGGAATCAGATTTATTCTGTTGACTATTCAGTATCCAGGCAGCAAGGACAATGCCTGTCACATAATAGGCGTTAAATATATACTTATTAAATAAGTTGATGAATAAATAAATTAGTACATGAATGATAAACTCAATTTTCATGGATGCTTATTGGTGAGTGACTAACTTGTAAAACTATGACCACCCAAAACTAGATTTGGTTTCTATGTTGGCAAAACATCAGTCTATTTGAAACATTCAAATGAGTAATCATGTGTTTGGCTAAATATTTATCACTCTCCAGGAATTAGAGAAATAGGACTTATAGATGCTTTCAGTCTTTTCTGTCTTTGAGTGAGAAAAACCATAAATAGAACTAGAGCCCTGTTTTCACGTTGGGGCTTTTGTTTTATAATTCCTAGAATGCATGGAAACAGTAAAAATACTAAATATTTAAAAAATTAAGAATGTGGATTAATTTTAGGGTTAACTAATAGGTTCAGTCTTTCCTCTATTTGGTTGTTAAGTCTCCGTACTCATACTTTGAGGATGTTTGAATCTATTTGTCACCCCCATCTGTTTACATTTAGATTTGAAAACTAGATAGCACTTGTGTAATACAATGATTCAATTTGGACAGTGCCATATTTTAAGGAAGCAGTTTTAAGAAACTTTTTTTTTCTCCACGAAGCTAGGACAACCTCAGTATGTCTAATCTCTAACTTCTTTTCCTGAAAGAGAATCTAAACAAACCCTCTTTTATGGTATATTAGAAAGCAGCACGTTCCTCGTTCACCAAGGATACTTGCTAACATCTCAGGAAAAACAGGTGCCTACGTATAAGGGTCTCCGAGCTCCCAAAGTCCTGCTGAATACATATAATTCCTCTTTCAGAAGGAAAATAACAATACATATAGTTCCTCTTTCAGAAGGAAAATAACAATACATATATTTCCTCTTTCAGAAGGAAAATAACAATACATATAGTTCCTCTTTCAGAAGGAAAATAACAATACATATAGTTCCTCTTTCAGAAGGAAAGTTTTGTGAAAGAATAGCCATTTTGAAACCCAGGAGTAATCAAATATCAGTGGCATGAATAAACATAATTATACCCCCATGAAGAGAAGTTAAGGAAAATAGGGAAAAAGGAAGAATCCTGTAACCATGGAACACTCTACAGTTTTTTTTCTTATTGTTTTGTTTTTTTTTTTTTTTTTTTGGCAATCTAATGCCGATAATTCTCACTATCATTTATTTTCAAGACCATGAAGCTAAACGTCAACTCATTAAATGCTGCATGCATATCTTCTTTTCAGAAATCTTCAATTGATTACAATCAATACATCTTGAAAAGAGCCTTTGGCCAAATCCAAGATTCCTCTGCATAGATTATTGCCTTCAGTGATGGGAACAAAGGGAAAGAAGCCTGCAGAAAAATGTGTCTTCCCTGGAGAAGCAGGCCCTGGAGGGCAATAACCAAGTCAGGAATCAAGGCTGTAATTTTGCAGGCACATGTCTTATTAGATAAATGTGCCTGCTTTTTGTGAATTCTGGAAACTGTTCTCCACTTCATTTATTCTTGGTTTTTCCTTTCTCCCCTAAGAACTTGCCCAAGGGCATGAGTGCCCCCCTCCTGTATCAGCATGACCTGGATGTGAAACATGGAGCCAAAGGAGATTATGTCAGAGCTTTAAGATTTAATTATTGCCTTGTTGGATTTTGGACTTGCATGGGGCCTGCAGCCCCTTTGTTTTGGCCAATTTCTCCCATTTGGAATGGGTGTATTTACCCTATTCCTGTACCTCAATTGTATCTAGGAAGTAACTAACTTGCTTTTGATTTTATAGGCTCATACATGGAAGGAACTTGCCTTGTCTCAGATGAGACTATGAACTTGGACTTCTGGGTTAATGCTGAAATGAGTTAAGACTTTGAGGAACTGTTGGGAAGGCATAATGTGAGAAAGACAAAATTTGGGAGGGGTCAGGGTTGAATAATATACTCTGTGTCCCCACCCTAATCTCATCTTGATTTGTAATCTGAAATGTAATCCCCACATGTTGGGGGAGGGACCTCATGGGAAGTGATTAGATCATGGGGGCAGTTCCCCCATGCTGTTCTCATGATGGTGAGTGAGTTTTCACGAGATCTAATGGTTTTATTAGGGGCTTTTACCCCCTTCACTCCTCTCTCCTGCTGCCATGTGAAGAAAGACATGTTTACTTCCCCTTTTGCCACGATTGTAAGTTTCCTGAGGCCTCCCCAGCCATGCAGAACTGTGAGTCAGAACTGGTTATAAATTACCCAGTCTTGAGTATCTCTTCAAAGCAATGTGAGAACAGACTAATACAGAACTCATATGTATAAATAGTCAAAAAATTAAATATATAAATGAAGCAGCAGCAATGTGGAAAAAAAAAGTGCCAAAAATTGGTATAGTGCTGTCACATCTATTTGTAAATACTCTGGAAATACATAAATATGAGATTACCCTCAGCGAAATAAGTGTTAATATTATTTTGTTCTATTGCCTGGGATACACAGGAACTTTAAACCAAAGGCAAAGATATATTTTCCTACCTTCTCATCTTCAACTCCCGTTAGCTTCAGTTTGGAAGAAAAATGTCTTAAAACTACTTAGCAGCAGGGTATAAAGGAAGAGGTATGTATGTAAATGCATTTTTTGTTTGTTTGTTTTGTTTTTAAAATATGCTTTATTTTTTAGAGCAGGTTTAGTTTCACAGCAAAATTGAGCACAATGTTACAGAAATTTCGCATATACTCCCTGGCTCCACACATGCATAGCCTCCCCAACTACCAAAATTCCACACCAGAATTGTTCATTTCTTACAACCAATAAACCTACATTGACACATCATTATCCCCCAAAGTCCATTACAGTAAGGTTCTCTTGTTGTTGTGGATTCTATGGGTTTGGATGTAAATGGTTTCTTATTTCCTAAAATGCTGAAGAATAATCCATTACCAATATATTTAATAATTCAGTAACTATTAATGAAACCATCATTATTTCATTAAAATGAAGTTGACTGTGATGCAAGAAAAGAGTACTGAATGATATATCTTTGACCGCAAAGATTTTACAACATATTTTAATAAAACAGGAAGTGACAATATAAAATAAAAAATTCTTAACCAAGTGCTTTTTTGAGTGACTTTTACCTGCAAGATGATATCTTAGAATCATTACTATAAACTAGTGGTTGGGAATAGCGGGAGGGATAAATATAATTCAGATGTGCATTCTGCCCAAAGAGCTTAAAGTTTAGTCAAAAAAATATGACATGCATCTAAACAGTTATAATTGAAAGATAAAAGTGACAAAAATATGTGACTGAGAATTGTGAGAATATAAAGAATTATTGGAACTAACAGAAGGGAGAGATTTACTTCAGCTAATCTGATATTGCCTAAATGGGAGAGGTGGTTTATTAACAGGTTCTGAACAAAGGCTGAATATTTATTCATGAAGAGAAGAAGTAAGCAAAGTCACAGAGTCTGGGAAATGTGGAAAATGGCCGTTTATTCATTCCATCAATTCAGCCTCTATTTATGTGTCTATCCAGCACCTACAAGAAGCCAGCCACTGTTGTTGGTGTCGGAGACACAACAGTAAATATAACAGACAAAAATCCTGTCCTTGAGGAACTTACTATTGTGTGGAAGCAAAGTTTAAGTTTGGTCTAAGTGAAGTGGACTTTTTAAAAATGCAGGGGCAGGGAGGGGAGGCAGAAAATGTTCGGGTGGGTAGAATAAGGCTAAGTCATAGAAAGTCTTGAAGGTTAAGCCAGAAAGTCCAAGTTTTGTTGTTTACATAAAGCTAAGCCACTAAAGCTTTTTGAGTAGCAAAATATCGTCATCAAATCTGTACTTCTGGAAGACTAATTAGGCAGCTAATTTGTAAGATGAAGCCAAGATGATTCAGGTAGATAGACAGTGCAGCAGCTCTGCAAAGAAATAACACAGACAAGCAAGTCAGGGGAGAGAGATCAGGTGCTGGAGAGGATATATGTGTCTCTAGCTGTGAAGTTAAGGACACAAAAAGCCTGTTTTCCAAAGAAGGCAAGAAAGTGCCTGGCCAGCACTTCATAATGCGGTTTTGCCCAGGAAAGATTAAGTTTGCAAAACATTCACCCTTTCCTCTGGCAGGTTAATTCTCTTTGAAGTGGTCAGTTAACGGATCTTTACCCCTTTACAGGCATTTCCTTTTGCCGAAAGCAGTGACTACTGAGGTAGAAATGCATTGGCTCCAGAGAATTGAAATGGACCTCCCATCATTAAAGTCTTTATTCTCGAAGGAACACTGAGGATTGAGGAGAAAGGGGCCTTTTTGTTCGGGTTTAATTCTATTGCCTCCCTTGCTACTCATCTGTTTAGCAAATGAAGAGAGAAATTAATGATGATGATGAATGAATAGCGGAGGGAAATGGGTAGGCATTGTAAAGTTAGGCCAATTCACAATCGTCACCAAAATGAGCTTGATGCTTATTTTCCTAGTCTTTAGACCTCTGCCTTTATCCTTGGTTTTTCTTTATTTTTCTGTTATTCCCAAACACACCAATGTACAAAGTGAGTCTGCGGCCAGCTCACAATGAAAGGAGTAAAGAGCTGTCTATTAAATTCCCAGCTGTGATCTGCAGAAACTGAGACTTTCAAATATTACCCACAAGATAGATGACAAAAGTGACAGATAAATATAAGCATCTCAAAATCCCAGGATAAAACACAGATTAACAGTACTCACAACAAAATTTTGAGCACACAAAAAAGTTGGAAAATGGAAAACACACCTATACACACAAATGTACTCATGCAAACATGCAATACACACCACACACACATATAATACAAGATATATCCCCTGGGTGATACTGAAAAATAAAGAATTTAATTAACACCTAAATACTTTTTATGATCTCTCCCACTCCTGTCCCTACCCAGCTACACACACACACACACACACACACACACACACACACACATTTTTTAATCCCTCCTTTTAAAGCCTTAGTCTTCTAAAAATAAGAAAAAAATGAGTAATAGGCTCTGAAGATCTGCAATCCTGTGTACGAATTCAATTTCACCACTTGCATTCTATTTCACTGGACTTTCTACTTAAATTTTCTGAGCCTCAGTGTTCTCATCTGTGAACAGGACAAATAAGAGTACCTACTTCAAGGTTCTAGCATGTATTCAATGAGATCATGCAGATAATTGATTACAGTGCTCAGTAATTAATAAACAATAAATGGTATTTATCAATGTTTATTTTATATTCATTGTTATTATTATTAAACCTTTTAAATTAAGGAAACCATATGAATAAAACACAATTTTTTGGGACATATAATGCAGTTGAAAACTCAATGAGTGCTAGCAGGTCTTGAAAGTGCAAACTCACTTAAAACCCAGGTGTCCTGGGTCAGCTACTATCACCTCTAAGAAGAGAGAGAGCCTTACAACTCCCAAACTTAAAATAGCTCTGAAGTGTTGGCAAAGATATCCTTGTTGTGAAAGTTCATAAAGTCCCCTTTGTGAATTTCACTCCCCAAGTGTTAACTGACAAACAGCATGCAACACTTGACAGTCCCCTTCAAAAGCAGCTTAGAAGAAAGCGCCTGAAATACGGAGAATTTGGCTGCTCATTATAGACACCACTTTGGCAAACATCATGTTGAGGCATCAAAGCTTTTCAAACATTGGAGGACCTAACTCAGACTCGGATAAGCAAAGCTGATAAACAAATTGTCCCCGATTCCGGAGTACATCTGTGTAATACAATTGTTCCTACCAGCTGAAACTATAGGTTTTATATAATTTAATTTAAATTGTCCAAACAGAAAACTATCTTTTAAAGTTCTATGTGGTTTCTTTTACTCCTGGCTTTTGTGGAGTAGCAAACGCGAGGATGATTGTCACTGGCAGATCCTCATCCCTCCCTCATGTGGAAGCCCTTTTTTCACTGAGGATTCACGGATGCTTCATTGATGCTTTCTTAGAAGTTTCTGAACTTCCCAGCCTATTTAAGTAGTCACCTCTAATACTGTGATAGAGTAAAGGCTTTCTATCTCCTTGTGACTATACGAGCTTTGTCTATACTACTAAAATAAAAACAAATCTTTAAAAGAAATTTAAAACTGTAGGTGAGAAATGTCCTACAGTTGCTTGTAGATATTGCAAACATGGATACATCAGTTGTGACGTATTCATATTTCAGATATAAAAGGCTGTAGAATGTGAATCTTTCATGGATCAATATGTTTATACCTCCCCCTTCATAAAAGCGTCATAATTGTGTCTATCAAGAGCATAAATGTTGTGCTAGGAAAGAGATAGCTGTACAGGCTATCAATCAAACAAATCATTTACTGATGGCTGCTTTTCTCAAAACTGATTTTAAGGAGGACTTTCCTCCTTTGTAAATAGCCCAATTGCCACTAGAATGCAAATTTCTCAGGCATATGAATGTAACAAACATTTCTTGAGCATTTACTACAAAGGGCCAGCACCGTGTTGGGCCTCAGGACAAAACCGTGGGCCCATCCAGTCCCTGCTCTTGTGGAGTTCATGCTTCAGCCAACATGATGAAAGTATTAATAGATTGCTTCATGCAGTGTGATAAATGCTACCATAGTGATAAATTGGGGTCAAGGTGGAATTAAAAGGGTGTAGAAGAGAGATGTTTAGTTTGGGAATAAGTATGGTATTGGGAAGGCTTCCTACAGGATGGAAACCTGAGCTGAGTATGAGCATTAATTTGCCTGGTTGTGGTATGGGTAGAATAGGGTAAAGGAGAGTAAGTGGTGATATAGGAGGGAATGTAATCACATTTACAAAAAAGTACAGCCTGAGGCAGAGAAAAGCAAGACTAGAAGCCAGAGAAAGCAAGATTTATGCAAGACAATTTCAAGTAGTTTAGTGTTGCTGGGTAGCAGAGTATATACAGCATGGAGTTCTATTTCCTCAGGCATTCTACTTAAAATTTTGGGTTGGAGGTAGGAGAGTTGGACAACGCATTCTTTTTTTTTTTTTTTTTTCCTTCATTTTGAGATGGAGTTTCACTCTGTCAGGCAGGCTGGAGTGCAGTGGCACAATCTCGGCTCACTGCAACCTCTGCCTCTCGAGTTCAAGCGATTCTCATGCCTCAGCCTCCCGAGTAGCTGGGACTACAGGCATGCGCTACCACTCCCAGCTAATTTTTGTATTTTTAGTAGAGACAGGGTTTCACCATATTGGCCAGCCTAGTCTCGAACTCCTGATCTCAGGTGATCTGCCTGCCTCAGCCTCCCAAAGTGCTGGGATTACAGTCATGAGCCACCACACCCAGCCCACAAGGCCCAGTCTTGAAGGACCTTAGAGGAAGGGGTGAGTCACAAAAGTGGGAAGCTGTATTAGTTTCCCATTGCTGCTGTAACACATTAGCACAAATGTAGTGGCTTACAACAACATAAATTTGTTATCTTATAGTTTTCAAGTTCCAAAGTCTAAAATGGTGCATCAGCATTGTCTTCCTCCTGGAAGTTCAAGGGGAAACTCTGTTTCCTTATTTTTTCCAACTTCTAGAGGTGGCCCGCATTTCTTAGCACGATTCCTTCGTAAAAATCCCACCACCCCACCCTCACATCTCCTCTCACTCTGACCCTTGTACCTCCCTCTTTTACTTAGAAAGACCCCAGCAATTTCACTGGCTCCATGTAGATAATCCAGGATAATCCCCTCATCTCAATATCCTTAATTTAATCACATCTGTAAAGTCCCATCTGCTACATAAGGTAAAAAATTCACAGGATCCTGGGTTTAGAATGTGGACACTTTTGTATGGGGCAGGGGTCCTTATTCTGCCTGCAACAGAGGCTATTTCAGGTTTTAAGCTGGCAGAAGAAAGATCTGAGTTAGCGTAAAGTTATCTGAGAATAAATGACATTTTATAATTCACGAGTTTCTATGTTTTAGCAACATCAGGTAATCATGTTATAAAATATTCTTTCTTAGGTATCTAATTGTCATATATCCAGTATTTCTCCTTTATTCTTTTTTCCCCAGTCAGCGTGTGTGTGTGTGTGTGTGTGTGTGTGTGTGTGTGTGTGTAATTTACAGGGTCAATAACAAGCACATAGAGCTTCCATATATCAAAATGGATATGAGCTTCCATATATCAAAAATAATCAAAGAATTAAGGGTAAAAAATAGCTAGAAGGAATAAGTTTTACTATTTGATAGTACAGTAGGAAAATCATAGCTAACAATAATTTATTGTGTATTTCAACATAGCTCGAAGAATTGTTTGGGGATTCCCAACACAAAGAAAAAATAAATGTTTGAGGAAATGGATACCCCAAGTACCCTGATATGATGATTACACATTGTATACATGTATCAAAATATCAGATGTACCCTCAAAATATGTACAGTTATTATGTATCAGTAAAAATGTTAAAAATCATGTAGCAAAGGCATACATAAATAATAAAAAATTGTGTATTCTTAGTCTAAATTCATAACCACATGGCAATCAACACTTTCTGACTAGGAGAAATCAAAAGCAGATCAGATCTGGATGAGTTTTGGGTTAGCCACTCAACAGGTGTGTATTCCTTGGACAAGCTGCCTAAACATTTTGTGCCCCATGTTCCTCATCTGCTGCATGGGCACAACAAATGCCTGCTCAGCAGTTTTGTTCTGAGAATTAAATAACATAATATTGGCAGTAACATTTTGATACTGATGGCACTTGGCTTTTATAACTAAAAAAAGGTAAAGCTGCCCTATACTTACATATGTATTCTGTAGAACCCTCTCAATACAGAAATGAGGGCATGAATCATACAAGCTAGATATTGCAATGTGTAAAAATATACTGGATAGAATTTCTCACATTTACTCTAACCTGACAAAACAATGTTTAAAAAAAATCAGCAGTCAATATTACTATTATAATAATTGTTCATCTATTCAAACACACACAAAAAATTGTGAAGTGTTTTCAGTATGGTTATTTTACTACGTTGCCTCCAAATTAACATCTTTGTTGGAGCCACTAGCTTGGAGCTCTCCAGTGCATGCCTCGGGTCCAAGTTGGCAGGCTTATTCTTTTTCTCTATTATCCTTACTCACAGCAGCCAAAGAATAGAAACAGTAGCATTCATGCTCCTAGTGCTCCAAAGTAGTTTCCAAATCTCTTTTTCTTCTTCCAAACTATAGTCACCCTAAGGGTGAGTATATAAAATGTTCAGAAATCTGAAAAGGCTTAAAATCACATTCTCTTTGAGATAGGGAAATGGTCCTCAGGCCATTCAACATCCAATCCATTACAGGATGTGTATATAAACTTTGCTAGGACAAGCAAAGTAAAGCTCAAATCAATGATATGTGTTTGTAGAGGCTCATCTCAGCCAATACCAGGGTACAGATATAAATGAAATAGCCTTCAGATGGCAGACATGGTAAAAAAAGGAAACATACTGGGCCTGAAGTCACAGAGCTTTAGTTCTAGTCCTGCAGCTGGAAGGGCATGTACAAATAATTGATTCCAACTCCCTATGTCATTGATTGTTCACTCAGAAAATACTTGTCCAGTCTGGGCATAGTGACTCATGCCTGTAATCCCAGCACTTTTGGAGGCCGAGGTGGGTGGATCACCTGAGGTCTGGAGTTCCGGACCAGCCTGGCCAACATGGTGAAACCCCGTCTCTACTAAAAATAAAAAATAGCCGGGTGTGGTGGTGGGCGCCTGTAGTCCCAGCTACTCGGAGGCTGAGGCAGGAGAATGGCTTGAACTCGGGAGGCGGAGGTTGCAGTGCGCCGAGAGTGTGCCACTCCACTCCAGCCTGGATGACAAAAGTGAGAGTGTGTCTTAAAAAAAAAAAGAAAGAAAGAAAGAAAAGAAAAAAGAAAATACTTGTCCAGGCCCTGCCATGTGCCAGACACTGCTCTAGGCACCATGGATAAAACGAACAAAAGAGACAGCGGGTACAAAACTAGGAAGATGCAGAAAGTATAGGCCCTATGAAGATATTTGTGACATATGTAAATGCCTTTTTCCCTTTTCAATAAAATGCTGCATTTCAAGGTTTTTGAAATAATATACTTTTGAAAAAATATACTTTTGAAAAATGATTTAAGAGAAACATACATGTGTAAAAAAATAACCAGCAAACATTACTTTAAAGCTTCTCTTTTTCTTTTATGCTTTAAAATTCCTTGATGATACTAAAAATTAAATATTCACCTATAACGTTTTAATTTTTTAACATTTAATTTTTGACATTAACTATTTAATCCAACTAAATAAATTCTGCTTAATGGGGAAAAAAGCCCAATATTGCACTACTCAACAAATAATCTGTAAGTTAATGTGATCCTTGATCACTTTTTAAAAATTGCTGTTTAGTCTCTTTTAGCCTTTTCTGTTGAGTCCTAGTCTCATTGAGTCAAGTACCTTACCACATTATATAAATATGTAAATTTTTAAATAACTTTTAACTTGGTAAGATGAAGTCCTTTTTCACCTATGTTCCTGTGTTTTGTTAGCATTTAGGAGATATATTGACCTTCCTAAGTAATTTTGATTACATGTAGTTTTTATTTTAAATGCTGATCTCATAATCAAACTGCCAATGGTTTTTATAACTGGTTGTTTCTAGTCTATATAAAAGATATTGAGCAGTGTTTCTGGAGAAATGGCTGACATCAAGGCTGGAACAGGGTAGTGGCACAATGTGGGGAGCATGCGGGTGGTAAATCCTTACTTTGCAACTATTGCAGTAAAGATTGAACCAGGAAAGAACTGACAATTGATGCTAAATACCATGGGCATATGTTGCTGATAGGAAGGATGTTTGAATGGTCTTAAAACGTCTTCCTGTAGACTGCTTATTAGTTATAAGGGGAAAAACAGTTAATACAAAGTAGAGAAATTGTTCAACATCTCCACCAAGTGAACAAAACTAACATCACCAATGAGGGGCAGGTGTACATTGCCTACTTCTGGTGGAGAGAGCTTATCAAGTAACGGTCTCCAACCATTTGGACACCAGGGACTGGTTTCATGGAAGACAAGTTTTCTATGGATGGGGGGGATTAGATTCTTATAAGGAGTGTGCAACCTAGATCCCTCGCATGCATGCACAGTTCACAATAGGGTTCATGCTCCTATGAGAATCTAATGCTGCTACTGATCTGACAGGAGGCAGAGCGCAGACAGTAATGCTTGCTCACCCACCACCTACCTCCTACTGTGTGGTAACAGGCCACCCACTAATACTGGTCAGCGGCCTGGGTCCTGGGAACCCCTGCTATAGTGGATAGAACATCACCTGTGCAATATTCTGGTAGAGACGCATAACGTGAATCCAATCATGAAGAATCATCAAATTCAAAGCGAGCAATGTTCTGTTTTATAAAAAGGAGGGATAGGACTGTATTCTGTAGAAATATTCTGGGTTAAAGGATGCTAAAGAGACCTGACAACTAAATGCAAGACCTGGGCCCAGGCTCAATCCTGTACTGGAAAAAGCGGAGAAGTGTTATTTGGGACATTATTAAATCAATTGACAAAAAAAAAAAAAAAAAAAGAATACAAAATGGCAGTTTAGGTAAAACTGTTTCATCAATATTCATTTTACTCAAGCTGAAACTACTGTGAGGCTGGGTGCAGTGGCTCACACCTGTAATCCCAGCACTTTGAGAGGCCGAGGTGGGAAAATAGCTTGAGCCCAGGAGTTTGAGACCAGCCTGGGTAACATGGCGAAACCCCATCTCTACAAAAAATACCAAATTAGCCAGGTGTGGTGGCGTGCCTGTAGTCCCAGCTACTCAGGAGGCTAATGTGGGAGGATCACCTGAGTCCAGGGAGGTTGAGGCTGCATCGAGCTGTGATTGTACCACTATACTCCAGGCTGGGTAACAGAGTGAGACCCTGTCTCAAAAAAAAAATTATTTTTATTGGGAAATACACACTAAATTATATAAAGTTAAAGGCCCACAGTGAATGCACCTTTAAATGACTCAGAAAAACAAATTATAGTCGTGTGTCACTTAACAGAGATACATTCTGGGAAAAGTATGATACATGATTTCATCATTGTGCAAACACCATAGAGTGTACTTACAGAAACCTAGATGGCATAGCCTGCTATACACCTAGGCTATGTGGGATAGCCTATTGCTCCTAGGCTACGAATCTGTATGGCATATAACTGTACTGAATACTGTAGGTAACTGTAACACAATGGTAAGTATTTGTGTATCTAAAAATATCTAAACATAAAAAAGTGCAGTAAAAATACTGTATTATATTTTTATGGGACCACTGTTGTATATGTGGCCCATTATTGACTGAAACTTCCTGATGTGGCACCTGATGGTATTTAGAAGATAGGTGATATGATTTGGCTGAGACCTCACCCAAATCTCACCTTGAATTGTAATAATCTCCACATGTCAAGGGCAGGGCCAGGTGGAGATAATTGAATCATGGTGGCAGTTCCCCCTATACTATTCTCGTGGTAGTGAGTAAGTCTCACAAGATCTGATAGTTTTATAAATGGGAGGTCCCCTGCACAAGCTCTCCTGCCTGCTGCCATGTAAGATGGATTTTGCTTCTCCTTTGCCTTCCTACCATGATTATGAGGGCTCCCCGGCCATGTGGAATTGTAAGTCCATTAAACCTCTTTCCTTTATAAATTACCCAGTCTTGGGTATGTCTTTATTAGCAGCGTGAAAACAGACTAATGCAATAGGTAAAGATAGATAGCTAGATATAGAAAGACAGATACATTTAGAAAACACACAATAAGGAGAATGGTGTAAAATATTAGTATTATGCAAATCTGAGAAAATGTATACAAGTGTTCTTTGTACTATTATCATTTTTGCAATTTTCTCTATAAACAGGGATTATTCCAAGTAAAACTTTTAAATAATAAAAAATAAATGTACAATAGTGAAACAGTGGGGACAACAGCAAAAAAAATCTTTCCTATAGAACATCCAGTTGAAGTAGGTTTTCCTATTATTTTCTGTGGCTTCACACTGCTACTTGCTTCGTGGTATTTAAATGGTTTGTAATTGTTTATTTATTCATTATTTGCTGATTGTCTATCTCCCTGTGAAACAATCCCTGAGTCTGGGAATAATGCTTATTATATTCACCACCATCCCAGCATTTAGTGTAGTGCAAAGCAGAGTGTAGGAACTAAATAAATGCCTGTTGATTGGATGAGGAAAATAGTTTTAATTTTTATATATTTAAAATAGTATTCAAGCACTTTCAACCTTACCTATTTCTAATTTTTCATATTGGGCCATGTGGTATTTTCCACTATAGGGTTGAGTGGGGGCAAAGAATACATAGATTTAATTTACTGCATATAATGCATTGTGCAAAGGACTATTAGAGTATTACTAAAAGAATATAATATCTGCATTCAAAGTGCTTATAGTTTAATCAAGGATGAAGCAAATTATTTATTATGATGTCTAGAACTAAAAACCTTGGCCTAAAGATTGTATAATATTGTTCAATTTCAGTGAATGAAAGTAAAATAAAACTTGTATAAATAGTTCTGGCTTAGTATCTGTATCCATATATGTGGATTTTGGGAGACAGTCATATAATGAATCAATTATATAGTTAAGAACCTGGAAATCCTCATTTTTAGAATAAATATTGAAATTATGACAGTGGAATAACATCCAAGTGGAATAACAAATTTGAAACTTTGGAAAAAGAAATATATCATTTCATAATGCCAGCGGAATTAGTAATGACCTCACCTAATTTATAATGAGTGACTGTAGCATGTGGTTACTTTTGGTTATTCATCAGTTACTTTTGTCCTTCAACTATTACACATATATCCATGAAATAAAATACATTTTTGCAGTGATTTAATTTAATAAAAATAGTAAAATATATAACCACCTCTTTCCTATAAAAAGTTCTAAACAAAAAGTGCATGAAAGAGTTGCTAAGTATAAAATAGCAAATCTTTAAATATTGAAATTAATTTAGAGGAAAAAAGTACAAAAATAGTCCCCAACTTTTATTCTGACAAAAAACCAACTATAAAGTTGGACAAAACTGTCAAAAACAATCATTTAGCTTTGCTGATGACACCAGAACGGGCTCCCTTCACGTGAAGTGTTGACAGTTAAAGTGGTCTGTGTGGCAAGTGCAGAATGAGAGTCAGCACCTCTGCTAGTCTGAGGTCTTGGCCCTGTTTGAAGCAAGTGATGGACTGGCAAACTAGTCAGAAATTTGACTGGGAGTTCCAGAAGGTGAGCAAGTCATAGGGGGCCTGAGTAATCAAAATTAACATTGCCAATGAACAATATGAAAAATGAAACTGAGAAAACACTTCCTTACTGTATTAGGGTTCTCTAGAGGGACAGAACTAATAGGATAAATGTATATATGAAGGGGCATTTATTAAAGAGTATTGACTCACATGATCACAAGGTAAGGTCCCACGATAGGCCGACTACAAGTGTAGGAGCAAGGAAGCCAGTGGTGGATCAGTCCGAGTTCCAAAACCTCGAAGGTACAGAAGCTGACGATGCAGCCTTCAGTCTGTGGCCAAAGGCCCGACAGCCTCTGGCAAACCACTGGTGTAAGTCCAAAAGTGCAAAAGCTGAAGAACTTGGAGTCCAATGTTCAAGGGCAGGAAGCACCCAGCACTGGAGAAAGATCAAGGCCGGAAGACTCAGCAAGTCAAGTCCTTCCACGTTCTTCTACCTGCTTTTATTCTAGTCCTGCTGGCAGCTGCTTAGATGGTGCCCACCCGGACTGAGGATGGGTCTGCACCTCCCAGTCCACTGACTCAAATATTAATCACCCTTGGCAACACCCTCACAGACACACCCAGGAACAATACTTTGCATGCTTCAATCCAATCAAGTTGACCCTCAATATTAACTGTCACACATATATAATATTACCAAAAAAGAAAAAGACAGGAATAAACATAACAAAAAAATTGAAGATTTGTAAACAGAACTAGAAAATATTGTTGAGATAATTAGAATGGTTAAAATAGAAATTCAATGTTCATGAATTGGAAGACTCAATATTGTTAAAATTTTTATCCTCCCCAAATCAATCCATAGACCATAGCCCCTATCAAAATCCCAGTCTTTTGTGTAGAAATTGGTAAGTTGATTTTAAAATTGATATGGGAATGCAAAGGACCTATAATAGCTAGAATAATTTTGAAAAAGAAGAATGAAGTTGGAGGATTTGCATGATCTGATTTCAAACCCTACTATAAAGCTATAATAATTAAGTTAGTGTGGTACTGGTGTAATTACAGGCAGTTGGAATAGATCAATGAAACAAAATTGATAGTCTAGAAATTTTGCCTTGTATTTATGCTCAACTGGTTTTCCACAAAGATGCCAACTCATTTCAAGGGGAAAAGGATAGTGTTTTTTAAAACACTATTTTTTTTAGCCTATCTCACAACATACACAGAAATTAAATGAAGATGGATCCTAGGAACAATGGGGAAAAGGGCACATGCAGGACTGGGGAAGGAAATGGAAGGAGTAGGCTGAGACCCTAGAATCTCAGTGGGTCCCTAGTTGGTGCAGCACCCCCAGTAAGATGCCATGGCCACCTGCAAGCTGGTGCTGATCCAGCATTGCCAGAGCACCAGGAGCCTGGAGAACCACTTCAGCAGTTATAGGACAATAACCTGAGCCCAGTGGGGCATGAAGCAAAGGGCATCATGCAGGCTCTGTGAGATTCTGCCTATAAGGTTGATATGTGCTTCTCCTCAGTGCAGAAGAGAGAGCAATCCTGACCCACTAGATAGTGCTGGATGCCATTAACCATATGTAGCATCCTGTAGTAAAGATTTGATGTCTCAGTGAATGACGCTATGGGGGTCTGACTGGCCTCAATAAAGCAGAAACTACTGCCAAGCATGGTGAGGCCCAGGTAAAATCTGGAGGCCTCCTATGCCATCCCAACACCTCCAGTAAAGCCCAACTATCCCTTCTACAGCAACTTCAGTAAGGATCACAAGGATGGAGACCTCACTGATGATCAACTACTCTCCTGAGAGGGTTTGAAAGGCAATAGTGTCTTTCAGACAGTGCCCTTTTGAAATTAATAGCTCCCCAGATGAAGGAGGAAAAATAGGTATGGATTGCAGCCCATGGCATCAGCCTTCTGGACATTAAGTATCTGGAAGGTCCCTCTGAAGAAGCTGTTGTGGAGCACAGCCTGTCAACTGGTATTCCTATTGTCTATGAGTTAGACAAGAACTTGAAATCCATCAAGCCTATGCAGTTCCTAGGGAACGAAGAGACCATGAATAAAGCTGTGGACTCTGTGACTACCCAAGACAAGGCCAAGAAGTGAAGGCCAGCAGGCAGATCACTATCCCAAGGAACATCTTCCCTGTCTGTCCCATTCCTCTGCACCTCTCCGCTGCACGTGTCACACTAACCACGTCTGCAGCTACAACTTAAGAAGCCTAAAGATACGGTCAGTGTACACATGTGCAGGGGAGAGTGCAAAGGAATGGGATGGACAAGGAAGGTGCAGAGGAGTGGAACAGACAGGGGACTAGTGACTGTCATTTTCATTTGAGCGATTTCATCTCCTGCACCCACTCCATACAATCTAGTCAGAATGACACCCCTGGGGCGTGGGTCCTCAGTCCAAGCCACAGGAAAGCTCTTCTTATCCAAAAGGATCTTAAGAAGTAGTAACTTGGGGCCAGGCACGATGGCTCATGCCTGTAATCCCAGCACACTGGGAGGCTGAGGCAGGCAGATCATAAGGTCAGGAGATCTAAATTATCCTGGCTAACACAGTGAAACCCCGTCTCTACTAAAAATACAAAAAAAAAAAAAATTAGCCTGGCGTGGTGGCGGGCACCTGTAGTCCCAGCTACTTGGGAGGCTGAGGAAGGAGAATGGCATGAACCTGGAGGCAGAGCTTGCAGTGAGCCAAGATGGCACTACTGCACTCCAGCCTGGGTGACAGAGTGAGACTCCGTCTCAAAAAAATATAGATAGATAGATAGATAGATAGATAGATAGATAGATAGATAGATAGAGTGAACTAAAAGCTCAGAAAGAAATTTTTAATATAATAACACAAGAAAGCACAGAAATAAGTCTATTTCATAATGCCTTTTCAGTATAAAAGCATTCCTACTACGCCACATCCTCTCCTGCATCTGTTGTTTCCTGACTTTTTAATGATTGCCATTCTAACTGGCATGAGATGGTATCTCATTGTGGTTTTGATTTGCATGTCTCTGATGACCAGTTATGATGAGCATTTTTTCATATGTCTGTTGGCTGCATAAATGTCTTCTGTAGAGAAGTGTCTGCTCATATCCTTTGCCCACTTTTTGATGGGGTTGTTTGTTTTTTTCTTGTAAATTTGTTTAAGTTCTTTGTAGATTCTGGATATTAGCCCTTTGTCAGATGGATAGATTGCAAAAATTTTCTTCCATTCTGTAGGTTGCCTGTTCACTCTGATGATAGTTTCCTTGGCAGTGCAGAAGCTCTTTAGTTTAATTAGATCCCATTTGTCAATTTTGGCTTTTGTTGCCATAGCTTTTGGTGTTTTAGTCATAAAGTCTTTGCCCATGCCTATATCGTGAATGGTATTGCCTAGGTTTTCTTCTAGGGTGTTTACGGCTTTAGGCCTTACATTTAAGTCTTTATTACATCTTGAGTTAATTTTTGTGTAAGGTGTAAGGAAGGGATCCAGTTTCAGCTTTCTACATATGGCTAGCCAGTTTTCCCAGCACCATTTATTGAATGAGGAATCCTTTCCCCATTGCTTGTTTTTGTCAGGTTTGTCAGAAATCAGATGGTTGTAGATGTGTGGTGTTATTTCTGAGGCCTCTGTTCTGTTCCATTGGTCTATATATCTGTTTTGGTACCAGTACCACGCTGTTTTGGTTACTGTAGCCTTGTAGTACAGTTTGAAATTAGGTAGCCTCCAGCTTTGTTCTTTTTGCCTAGGATTGTCTTGGCTATGTGGGCTCTTTTTTGGTTCCATATGAAATTTAAAGTAGTTTTTTCCAATTCTGGGAAGAAAGTCAGTGGTAGCTTGATGGGATAGCATTGAATCTATAAATTACTTTGGGCAGCATGGCCATTTTCATGATATTGACTCTTCCTATCCATGAGCATGGAATGTTCTTCCATTTGTCTGTGTCCTCTCATTTCCTTGAGCAGTGGTTTGCAGTTCTCCTTGAAGAGGTCCTTCACATCCCTTGTAAGTTGGATTCCTAGGTATTTTATTCTCTTTGTAGTAATTGTGAATGGGAGTTCACTCAGGATTTAGCTCTCTGTTTGTCTGTTCTTGGTGTATATGAATGCTTGTGATATTTGCACATTGACTTTGTATCCTGAGACTTTGCTGAAGTTGCTTATCAGCTTAAGGAGATTTTGGACTGAGATGATGGGGTTTTCTAAATATACAATCATGTTGTCTACAAACAGAGACAATTTGACTTCCTCTTTTCCTAATTGAATACCCTTTATTTCTTTCTCTTGCCTGATTGCCCTGGCCAGAGCTTCCAATACTATGCTGAATAGGAGTGGTCAGAGAGAGCATCCTTGTTTTTTGTCGGTTTTCAAAGGGAATGCTTCCAGTTTTTGCCCATTCAGTATGATATTGGCTGTGGGTTTGTCATAAATAGATCTTACTATTTTGAGATATGTTCCATCAATACCTAGTTTGTTGAGAGTTTTTAGCATGAAAGGCTCTTGAATTTTGTTGAATGCCTTTTCTGCATGTATGGAGATAATCATGTGGTTTTTGTCATTGGTTCTGTTTATGTGACAGATTACATTTATTGATTTGTGTATGTTGAACCAGCCTTGCATCCTAGGGATGAAGCTGAATTGATTGTGGTGGATAAACTTTTTGAAGTGCTGCTGGATTTGATTTGCCAGTATTTTATTGAGGATTTTTGCATCAATGTTCATCAGGGATATTGGCCTAAAATTCTCTTTTTTTTGTTGTGTCTCTGCCAGGCTTTGGTATCAGGATGATGCTGGACTCATGAAATGAGTTAGGGAGGATTCCTTTTTTCTACTGATGTGAATAGTTTCAGAAGGAATTGTAACAGCTCCTCTTTGTACCTCTGGTAGAATTTGGCTGTGAATGCATCTGGTCCTGGGCTTTTTTTGGTTGGTAAGCTATTAATTATTGGCTCAATTTCATAATCTGTTATTGGTCTATTGAGAGATTCAACTTCTTCCTGGTTTCGTCTTGGGAGGGGGTATATGTCCAGTAATTTATCCATTTCTTCTAGATTTTCTAGTTTATTTGCATAGAGGTGTTTATAGTATTCTCTAATGGTAGTTTGTATTTCTGTGGGATTGGTGGTGATATCCCCTTTATCATTTTTTATTGCATCTATTTGATTCTTCTCTCTTTTCTTCTTTATTAGTCTTGCTAGCAGTCTATCAATTTTGTTGATCTTTTGAAAAAAACAGCTCCTGGATTCACTGATTTTTTGAAGGTTTTTTTTGTGTCTCTATATCCTTCAGGTCTGCTCTGATCTTAGTTATTTCCTGTCTTCTGCTAGCTTTTGGATTTGTTTGCTCTTGCTTCTCTAGTTCTTTTAATTGTGATGTTAGTGTGTCAATTTTAGATCTTTCCTGCTTTCTCTTGTGGGCATTTAGTGCTATAAATTCCCCTCTACATACTGCTTTAAATGTGTCCCAGAAATTCTGGTATATTGTGTCTTTGTTCTCACTGGTTTCAAAGAACATCTTTATTTCTTTGAAATAACAAAATGTCTTCATTTTGTTATTTACCCAGTAGTCATTCAAGAGCAGGTTGTTCAGTTTCCATGTAGTTTTGCTGTTTTAAGTGAGTTTCTAAATCCTGAGTTCTAATTTGGTTGCACTGTGGTCTGAGAGACAGGTTATTGTGATTTCTGTTCTTTTACATTCACTGAGGAGTGTTTTGCTTCCAATTATGTGGTCAATTTTAGAATAAGTGTGATGTGGTTCTGAGAAGAATGGATATTCTGTTGACTTGGGGTGGAGACTTCTGTAGATGTCTATTAGGTCTGCTTGGTCCAGACCTGAGTTCAAGTCCTGGATATCCTTGTTAACTTTCTGTCTTGTTGATCTGTCTGATGTTGACAGTGGGGTGTTAAAGTCTTCCATTATCATTGTGTGGGAGTCTAAGTCTCTTGGTAGGTCTCTAGGAACTTTCTTTATGAATCTGGGTGCTCCTGTATTGGGTGCATATATATTTAGGATAGTTAGCTCTTCTTGTTGAATTAATCCCTTTACTATTATGTAATGGTCTTCTTTGTCTCTTTTGATCTTTGTTGGTTTAAAGTCTGTTTTATCAGAGATCAGGATTACAACACCTGCTTTTTTTTTTTTTTTTTTTGCTTTCCATTTGCTTGGTAGATCTTCCTCCCTCCCTTTATTTTGAGCCTATTTGTGTCTTTGCCTGTGAGATAGGTCTCCTGCATACAGCACATTGATGGGTCTTGACTCTTTATCCAATTTGTTAGTCTGTGTCTTTTAATTGGGGTGTTTAGCCCATTTACATTTAAGGTTAATATTGTTATGTGTAAATTTGATCCATCATTATGATGCTAGCTGGTTATATCACCCATTAATTGATGCAGTTTCTTCATAGTTTTGATGGTCTTTACAATTTGGCATGTTTTTGTAGTGGCTGGTACTGGTTGTTCCTTTCCATGTTTAGTACTTCCCTCAGGAGCTCTTGTAAGGCAGGCCTGATGGTGACAAAATCTCTCAGCATTTACTTGTATGTAAAGGATTTTACTTCTCCTTCACTTATGGAGCTTAGTTTGGCTGGATATGAAATTCTGGGTTAAAAATTCTTTTCTTTAAGAATGTTGAATATTTGCCCCCACTCTCTTTTGTCTTGCAGGGTTTCTGCTGAGAGACCTGCTGTTAGTCTGATGGGCTTCCCTTGGTAAGTAACCCGACCTTTTTCTGTGGCTGCCCTTAACATTTTTTCCTTCATTTCAACCTTGGTGAATCTGACAATTATGTGTCTTGGTGTTGCTCTTCTCAAGGAATCTCTTTTTGATGTTCACTGTATTTCCTGAATTTGAATGTTGGCCTGCCTTGCTAGATTGGGGAAGTTCTCCTGAATAATATCCTGAAGAGTATTTTCTAACTTGGTTCCATTCTCCCCATGACTTTCAGGTACACCAATCAAATGTAGATTTGGTCTTTTCACATAGTCCCATATTTCTTGGAGGCTTTGTTTGTTTCTTTTCACTCTTTTTTTCTCTAATCTTGTCTTCTCACTCTATGTCATTAATTTGATCTTCAATTGCTGATATCCTTTCTTCCACTTGATCGAATTGGCTATTGAAGCTTGTGTATGCTTCACGAAGTTCTTGTACTATGGTTTTCAGCTCCATCAAGTCATTTAAGCTCTTCTCTACGCTGGTTATTCTAGTTAGTCATTTGTGTAACCTTTTTTCAAGGTTTTTAGCTTCCTTTCATTGGGTTAGAACATGCTCCTTTAGCTTGGTGAAGTTTGTTATTTTCGACCTTTTGAAGCCTACTTCTGTCAACTTGTCAAAATCATTCTCCGTCCAGCTTTGTTCCATTGCTGGCAAGGAGTTGTGTTCCTTTGGAAGATAAGAGGCTTTCTGGCTTTTGGAATTTTCAGCCTTTCTGCTCTGGTTTCTCCCCATCTTTTTGGTTTTATCTACCTTTGGTTTTTGTTGTTGGTGACCTACAGATGGGGTTTTGGTGTGGAAGTCCTTTTTGTTGATGTTGATACTATTACTTTCTGTTTGTTAGTTTTCCTTCTAACAGACAGGACCCTCAGCTGCAG
Source organism: Homo sapiens (assembly GCF_000001405.40). NCBI lineage: Eukaryota > Metazoa > Chordata > Mammalia > Primates > Hominidae > Homo > Homo sapiens. The sequence goes on from NC_000008.11 coordinate 107,653,497, forward strand.
GTCTGTTGCAGTTTGTTGGAGGTCCACTCCAGACCCCATTTCCCTGGGTATCACCAGTGGAGGCTGCAGAACAGCAGAAATTGCTGTCTGATCCTTCCTCTGGATGCTTTGTCCCAGAGGGGCACCCTCATGTATGAGTTGTCTGTTGGCCCCTACTGGGAGGTGTCTCCCAGTCAGGCTACACGGGGGTCAGGGACCCACTTGAGGAGGCAGTCTGTTAGCAGATATTGAACACCGTGCTGGCAAAACCACTGCTCTCTTCAGAGCTGTCAGGCAGGAACATTTAAGTCTGCAGAAGCTGTCTGCTGCCTTTTGTTCAAATATGCCCTGCCCCCAGAAGTGGAATCTAGAGAGGCAGTAGACCTTGCTGAGCTGCAGTGGGCTTTGCCCAGTTTAAGCTTCCCTGCCTCTTTGTTTACACTGTGAGCACAGAACCACCTACTCAAGCCTCAGCAATGGCTGACGCCCCTCCCTCCACCACGCTCCAGCATCCCAGGTTGATCTGAGACTGCTGCACTAGCAGTGGGCAAGTCTCCATGGGCGTAGGACCTGCCAAGCCAGTTATGGGGGGGAATCTCCAGGTCTGCCAGTTGCAAAGACCATGGGAAAAGTGAAGTATTTGGGGAGATTGTTCTGTTCCTCCAGGTACAGTCACTCATGTCTTCCCTTGGCTAGGAAGGGGAAATCCCCTGATCCCTTGCACTTCCTGGGTGAAGCAATGTCCCACCCTACTTTGGCTCACCCTCTGTGGGCTGCACCCACTGTCTAACGAATCCCAGTGAGATGAACCAGTTACCTCAGTTGGAAATGCTGAAATCACCCATCTTCTGCATCGATCTTGATGGGAGCTATAGACTAGAGCTGTTCCTATTTGTCCATCTTGGATGTGACTCTGAATTAACTTTAAAGGAGTTTAATTGAGCAATGAATTGTTTGCAAATTGGGCAGCCCCCAGAATCACAGCAGATTCAGAGAGGCTGCAGGGGTGCCTCATGGTCAGAACAAATTTATAGACAAAAAAAGTGAAGTGAGGTAAGAAATGAGACACGAGGTACAGAAATAGCTTGACTGGTTACAACCCGGTGTTTGCCTTATTTGAACATTCAGCAGTGTATGACTGGTTGAAGTATGGCTGATGGGATTGGCCAAGACTCAGCGATTGTTACAGGTGCATACTCCTAAGTTAGGTTTTCAATCTTGTCTGCCTATTAAGTTAGGTTGCAGGTCATCCACAAGGACTCAAATATAGAGGTATAGAGTCCTTCTCAGGCCATATTTAGTTTGCTTTAACATAAGTAATACACAATAAAAACTCTTCTGGAGTTTCTAGTGGCAGTTGAAATAGTTTCAGATATGGACATCAGAAAATAAGCCATTCCTCATACCAATATGGCATGAGCTCCTTGACATCTAAGGGGTGGGAGCTCATCCTGCTGTGCACTTTAGAGCCCCTCCCCTGCCTTGTTTTGTGGCAGTGAAATGCTTCTTGACCATGTCTAAGTGTGTCTTTCACTATGTACAACTTCTGAATCATATTCCAATTGCTTGCCCTTCCAGAGACCCAGTACTCATTCTGGTCACAGCTAAAGTAAATCTTTTTTCAGGTAACTATAAGAAAGGAGTGATGTGTAATAACAAATGGATCATAAACTGAAATATAATTAAGTCATAAAACTTTCAAAAGAAAAAAATGAGAAAATTTTTCTGACCTTGGGTTAGGCAAAGTGGCAATTTCAAGCAAAGTAGTCTTAGATATGACAACAAATGCACAAGCCATAAAAATAAAAAAACCCTGGTAAATTAGACTTCATTGAAATTAAAATCTTCTGTGCTTCCAAAGACACCATTATGAAATTGAAAAGATTTGAATACTGGAGGTTAGCAAAAAAAGAAGAAGAAATCCAAAAGATAAGTCACAAACTGGGAAATATTATTTTGAGAGGTGACAACATGTTAGCAGCCCTCGCTCACTCTCAGCGCCTCCTTGGCCTCAGCGTCTGCTCTGGCCACGCTTGAGGAGCCCTTCAGCCTGCCACTGCACTGTGGGAGCTCCTCTCTGGGCTGGCTGAGGCCGGACCCAGCTCCCTGTGCTTCCTGGGAGGTGTGGAGGGAGAAGCAAGGGCAGGAGCTGGGGCTGCACGCAGCCCTTGTGGGCCAGCACGAGTTCTGGGTGGGCACGGGCTTGGCGGGCCCTGCATTCGGAGCGGCTGGCTGGCACTGTTGGCCTCAGGAAGTGAAGGGCTTAGCACCCAGGCCAGCAGCTGCAGAGGGTGCACTGGGTCTCCCAGCACTGCCGGCCCACCCGCGCCGCACTTGAATTCTCGCGGGGCCTCAGCCACTTCCCCGCGGGGCAGGTTCAGGACTTGCAGCCTGCCATGCCTGAGCCCTGCCCAGTGGGCTCCTGAGTGGCTGGAGCCTCCCCCATGGGCACCACCCCCTGCTCCGTGGCGCCCAGTCCCATCAACCACCCAAGGGCTGAGGAGTGCAGGCACGCGGTGCGGGACTGGCAGGCACCTCCACTCACGGACCCAGCACGGGAGCCCCTAGGCAAAGCCAGCTAGGCTCCTGAGTCGGGTGGGGTCTTGGAGAACTTTTATGTCTAGCTGGAGGATGGTATATGCACCAATCAGCACTCTGTGTCTAGCTCAGGGTTTGGTGATGCACCCATCAGCACTCTGTATCTAGCTAATCTGGTGGGGACTTGGAGAACTTTTATGTCTAGCTAGAGGATTGTAAATGCACCAATCAGCACCCTGTGTCTATCTCTGGGTTTTGGATGCACCAATCAGCACTCTGTATCTAGCTAATCTGGTGGGGACTTGGAGACCTTTTATGTCTAGCTAGAGGATTGTAAATGCACCAATCTGCACTCTGTGTCTAGCTCAGGGATTGTAAATGCACCAATCAGCACTCTGTCAAAAAGGACCAATCAGCTCTCTGTAAAACGGACCAATCAGCAGGATGTGGGTGGGGCCAGATAAAGGAATAAAAGCAGGCTGCCTGAGCCAGCAGCAGCAACCCGCCTGGGTACCCTTCCAGACTGTGGAAGCTTTGTTCTTTCCTTCTTTGCAATAAATCTTGCTGCTGCTTAGTCTTTGGGTCTGCACTGCCTTTATGAGCTGTAACACTCACTGTGAAGGTCTGCAGCTTCACTCCTGAAGTCAGCGAGACCACGAACCCATCAGCAGGAATGAACAACTCTGGACGTGCTGCCTTTATGAGCTGTAACACTCACCGTGAAGGTCTGCAGCTTCACTCCTGAAGTCAGCAAGACCACGAACCCACCAGAAGGAAGAAACTCCGGACACATCTCAACATCAGAAGGAACAAACTCCGGACACGCCATCTTTAGGAACTGTAACATTCACTGTGAGGGTCCACGGCTTCATTCTTTAAGTTAGCGAGACCAAGAACCCACCAATTCTGGACACAATTTGAAAACCATATACCTGATAAAACTTATACTCAGAATACATAAAGAAATCGTGCAGCTCAATGACAAAAAGACATACAACCCAATTTTTAAAATAAGCAAGAGATTAGTAGATATTTCACCAAAGAAGATATGTCAATGGCTAATAAACATATGAAACATGTTCAACATCATTAGTTGTTAGGGAAACGCAAATTAAAACCACAATGACATATGACAACATATACTACACTGACTATAATGAAAAGACAGACAATATCAATTATTGAAGCTGGTGTGAAAAAACTATGCAGATGAGAAAGTAAACTAGTATAGCCTCTTTGCAAACCAGTTTGGCACGTTCTTAAAATGTTAACCATAAATTTACCACATAAGCCAGCAAATCCCTTCCTAGAAATCTACCCAAGAGAAATGAAAACACACGTCCACAAAAATACGTCCAATATTCATCAGAGTTTTGTAGCCAAAAACTGGATATAATTCAAACGTCTGTCAACTGGTAAACAGATAAACAAAATACAGTATATCCACAAAATGGAACACCAGCAACAAAATGGAATGAAGTACAGACATAGGCAACAGCACGGATGAACTTTATTCAAAAACATTAACCTAAGTCAAAGAAAGTAGATACAAATCCTACATATTATATTATTTTCACAGCTAGTTAGACAGGCATGAGTGGAGCAGGAGAGGGCTCTCCCTGCACCCAGTAGGAATATCAGGTTATGGTTCGATAATTATCATACTACCTCTCTAAAGCCAGGGAAGAACAATCTCCTGATGATCCACAGCTATTAACACTAAAGATAGTGTCAGGGAGAAGAAACTTCCTGGGCATGTGGTTTAAGAGACAAAATGGGGAAATATGACCCTCCAGGTGCACTCTATGGGAAAAAGGAACAAAGCCTCAGATGGGCATGAGTACAACTTCCTAAACACATTGCACCTCATCAGTTCCCAAGGGTAAGGAGGGAACTATGCATGCAGGAAGCCCACCCTAAGAGAAGAATCTTGGGAAAGAGGTGAGCCTATGAAGCCCTAGGATCTAGGTTACATGCTCTTTTTAACCTTCCCTTGCGTGCTTGGGTCTCTTCCAAGCATACCTTTCTTTCTTTCCATTCTAAAGCCTTTTTAAATAAACTTCCACTCCTACTCTGAACTTGCCTTGGTCTCTTCTTCTTCTTTATACCTCTCAGTCAAATTCTTTCTTTTGAGGAGGCAAGGGCTGAAGTTGCTGCACACGCATACAGATATGCTGCCAGTAACCTGGGGTAACTCGGGTCTCTTCCACCGGTAACATTATTTCATTCATATGAAATATCCGGAAAAAGCAATTTTATAGAAACAGAAAACAGATCAGTGTTTGCCTTGGGCTGGGATGGGAGCTGAGATTGAGTGCAAACAAGCTTTTGAGAATTTTTGGAGCATGATGGAAATGTTTTAATACTAGATTGTAGCTGTGATTGCATAACACTATAAATTTGCTAAAAATTATTCGATTGTAAACTTACAGTGGATAACTTGTATGTATGTAAGCTATATCTCAGTAAGGATGTTGAAAAGAAAGAATAAGCTGTTCTACGACAAATTCACAAAGTGAGAAAAATATCCTGAACTAACTTTTAAATAAATTCCCCCTGCATACACTCATCATCCCCGACCCCCTACTCGTATACTTCCACATTATATGGTGATTCTTCCTCCATTAAATTATAAGCCAGCCACTTCCTCAGGGTAGGTTTATTCCAAGGAAGCGTTGATCTAAAGAAATAGGTTTTTGTTAAGTTTCAAAATACACTTCTAAAACACCTGGAAGGGATAATAGTTATGAGAATATTATTCCAAAAGGATCTTAGGCTATTCATATCCCACTCCACCCTCTACCTGTAGGCTGAACCATGGGGCGGGGTAGCCGGTAACATAAAGAAACCAGAGATAGCATTGACGAATTTAAATACTTAGGAATACTCGGCTTCTATATTTGGAGAGAGCCCAGAATGTGGGCACAATTCCTGAGTTTCTCATATCCAAAAAAGTGAACAGAGCAGAACCTTCTGGAGTGAGGATCTAGGCAGGCCTTGGAGAGCTCTACCAAGATTCCTGCAGCTCTAGTGTAGCAAGGAAGCAGCCACTTCTGACTTGTGCACTAAAAAGAGGTGAGGAAGCACCTGAAGTGATTTTCTTCCTCAGAAATCTTAGAATTCAAACGATAGGCAGTTCCCCCAAACCTCCTAAGCTACCAAGAACACACGTGTGATTCTGGAAATGGGCAAAGGCAGATGTGTGATTCCCTGAATTGACTCAGATTACATGTCTCCCTTCTGGCAGAATGGGGGCATGAAATAAAAAAACAGGTTTGCTTACAGAAGAACAAGAAACAAGAAAATTACATTTCATCCACACTTAATGTATAGGCTGAGACTCACACCTGCTGTATAGCATTATAATGCAGTATTTTGCAACTTTTTTTTTTGCATTATTACCTCCCTAAGGAGCCTTTTTAAACATTTTTTTCTAATTGCTCTCCTCATAAAATTTTAATATCATAGTTATACTGTATGTGTGTATGTGTATGTGTATATGTGTGTGTGTGTGTGTGTGTGTGTGTGTGTGTGTATACTTTTTTTTTTGAGACAGAGTTTCACTCTTGTTGCCCAAGCTGGACTGCCACGGTGCGATCTCGGCTCACTGCAACCTCTGCCTCCTGGGTTCAAGCGATTCCCGTCTCAGCCTCCTGAGTAGCTGGGATTACAGGCACCCACCACTACGCCCGGCTAATTTTTGGTATTTTTAGTAGAGACGGGGTTTCACCATGTTGGGCAGGCTGGTCTCAAACTCCTGACCTCAGGTGATCCGCCTGCCTCAGCCTCCCAAAGTGCTGGGATTACAGGCATGAACCACTGCACCCGGCATACTGTATATATTTTTATATGCTGTATTTATATCTGTGTCTAGTATGTATAAAACATAAGGGATTTTTTTGCCTCCCCTAAGACCCAATTTTAAACATTCTCAACAAGGGTGATATTGCTCTGGAGTGAAATAAAAGTCTACTTAATGGGGAACACAAAAGAAGTAAACTAAATGATTGATTATATTAATTTATGGCTAGAACTTTGCCAAATATTTTCTTCTGCAACATCTCATTTGGCCCCTGCTAAGAACTTGCGAAGTATGCTTACCATTCTTATTTTCACAGATAATTAAATGACTGCTCTGCTAGTACTAGTTGAGCTGGAACTGGGACCTAGATGTTCCAGCTCAAATTCTATGTTTTTTCCACTTGACACTCTGCACCAGAAAACATTTTCTTTTGGGAAATGCTAGCAACTCTGTCCTTTAAATCATGGAACTCTAGTAAGATAAAACAGTAGAAAATATAAAGAACACCTTCCCATATGGAAAGAAACTGACCAATTTGATGGTTTATTCACCTGTAATTATTGGCATTTTGCTGGAATAGCTGAAAAGATGCAAAATTCAATATAAAATATGTAACGTGCAAAGCTCTAGGAATTGGGATGGCTTTGTTTTCCCTATTACTGACATTTTCATATATCTAGATAAATATATAGGCATTTTAAATGGTGAGAGGATGACAACTGGCATAAAACACATACAAAAGACTAATTTGAAAATTATTGCTTAAAGAATATTGAAAATACATATACAAACACAGAGAGATTAACATATATTCAATAGCAGATAAAAAGAGTTTTTATTGTCATTAATGAGCAATACTCTAGCCCAAAGAACTGATTCCGAAACTAAATCCACAGTTTATTTACAGATATTTAAGTTTTACATGGTAAAATCTATAAGCACTATTTAATTATAACTATATTTACAGCTCACATTCAGACTCTAGGTATGTATACCAAGTGTTTTGTCATAGATATGGTTTAGATGTTTCATGCCAAATTCTCGTGTCTATATTTATAAAGGAATCACTGCTGCACTGTTTCCCTAATCCTGAGAATTACAAAAGGATGTTACTCCCTGAACTTTAATATATGATGTGAATTTCAGACTGGTGGTTTTGAGGAGCTTTTCCTGGCATTACCATTTGAGGAGCAACTCTTTCAACTGTCTGTATTTCCACTGAACACATTAGCCTCATCTTCTGGCATTACAATAAGTAAGCTAAATAATTAAAAACCCTCTGGAAGAGGGTTTTTATGCCACCCATTTTAGAAAACAGTATTGAGGAGCAAACAGCAGATAGTCTGAAAAAAATTCTACGTAAAACTGATCTAGAGGTTTGTACTACAAAGCAGGAAAGGACATGCCAATGGCTCCAACTCTAGCATTCTGAAACCTCTAGATATGGATTGGGGTGAATCTAGTCCAAGTAATCACAGACTGTAGATTACACTTCCCATGAAAAATGAGAGAATTGGTGAGGCAAAGAGTTGGTGAAAGAACATCCCAGGAGAATGTCAGCAAAGGCCCCCATGGAAGGAAAAGTTTTGGCATATTTGCAGAACTGAAAAAACTCTAATATGGTATTACTCCTCTGGAGTTGGCAGGAATATTCATCATGGAAATCATTTGATGTATTTCAGCATGTTTTAATTATTATGTTCCTGTTTCTATTTGGCATAATAAATGTCATAAAAGAATAGTATAATCAATAGATACATGACAGGGATTAGAATAATTCAAGTAGTAACAAGAAGCAAAGAAAAGCATATGGGTTGTGCTATACCAATTTTAAGAGTATTTGAATTGTTATGTACATGAAGCTGACATAGCAAAACACCTCTAAATCCTAACTCCTTTCATACGGAAAAGGGCATAATCCATCATGACCCTTCAAATTCAGGAAATTCTGATATAACTGTGGTTTTAATAAAAGCATTTAAAACTCACTTGATTTTTAAAATAATATTTTTCTTTAATATCCTGAAGAAAACATTTACATTAGATGCCTGTGACTCAACTCTTTCTGAAAATATATAGTGAAACACGCTGAATTTAAGGTAACGGTGTTGAAATATAGCAGTAAGTCCATCAGGGGACAATCTAATATTATTATATGTCACACTTTTCTTGGATAAAGAAATCTTTCTGTCCACATCTATATCTATGTATGTATATACAAACATTGATATTTTTGAGTGAATTGAGAAATCAACTTAAGGCAAATGGCAAACAATTCATTCAAATAAATATTTTTTGAAAAATATACAATTGTTTACTAAATATAGCTGGACAACACCTGAATCAAATGTGGGAAATCAATTTGATGATTTAATGTGGACTTCGCATACTCTTTTTTATTTTTCCCAAGAGACTATGTAAATTAAATAAAAGAGCTGCATGGAGGCGGGGCGCGGTGGCTCACGCCTGTAATCCCAGCACTTTGGGAGGCCGAGGTGGGCGGATCATGAGGTCAGGAGACCTAGACCATCCTGGCTAATACAGTGAAACCCTGTCTCTACTAAAAATACAAAAAATTAGCCAGGCTTGGTGGCGGGCGCCTGTAGTCCCAGCTACTCCGGAGACTGAGGCAGGAGAATGGCGTGAACCCGGGAGGCGGAGCTTGCAATGAGCCGAGATCGAGCCACTGCACTCCAGCCTGGGCGACAGAACGAGACTCCGTCTCAAAAAAAAAAAAAAAAAAAAAAGCTCCATGGACTTGTATAGTAAGAAAGGGACGTCGAAAGTTAATGAACAGGGCCGGGTCCAGTGGCTCACGCCTGTAATCCCAGCACTCTGGGAGGCCAAGGTAGGTGGATCACCTGAGGTCAGGAGTGGTGAAACCCCATCTCCACTAAAAATACAAAAATTAGCAGAGCATGCTGGTGCGTGCCTGTAGTCCCAGCTACTTGGAGGGCTGAGGCAGAACTGCTTGAAACTGGGAGGCTGAGGTTGCAGTGAGCCGAGATCACCCACTGCACTCCAGCCTGGGTGACAGAGCAAGACTCAGTCTCAGAAAAAAAAAAAAGAAAAAGAAAAAAGAAAAGCCTGGCTACAGTGGCTCATGCCTGTAATCCCAGCAATTTGGGAGGCCAAGACAGGCAGATAACCTGAAGTCAGGAGTTCGAGACCGGCCTGGCCGACATGGTGAAATGCCATCTCTACTAAAAATACAAAATTAGCCGGGCATGGTGGCGTGCGCCTGTAATCTCAGCTACGTGGGAGGCTGAAGCAGGAGAATTGCTTGCACCCGGGAGGTGGAAGTTGCAATGAGCCAAGGTTGTGCCATCGCACTCCAGCGTGGGCAACAAAAGAGCAAAACTCTGTCTCAAAAATAAAAGGAAAAAATAAATAAAAGTTAGTGAATAGCCTGGGTGCAGTGGCTCATGCCTGTAATACTAACACTTTGGGAGGCTGAGGTGGGTGAATCACTTGAGGTTAGGAGTTCGAGACCAGCCTGGCCAACATGGTGAAACCGCCATCTCTACTAAAAATACAAAAAGTTCGCTGGGTGTGGTGGTGCACGCCTGTAGTCCCAGCTACTCCAGAGGCGGAGGCAGGAGAATCGCTGGAACCTGGGAAGCGGATGTTACAGTGAGCTTAGATAGGGCCACTTCACTGCAGACTGGACAACAGAACAAGATTTTGTCTAAAAAAAAAAAAGTTAATGAACAGATTATGAGAATCACAGAAAAAGTATTGAAAATTAGATAAAATGTCTCCAGATGTTAAAGACGGTCATATCAGTAACAAAAATAACAAAATAATAAATATAAAGGAATGATTAAAAATACAAATGAAAATACCCTATTCCAGTAACAATGCCGTCAGTGAGTAGGTGGTAGGTTTTGTTAAGGCAGGGGTCTGCAAAATTCTTCTGCAAAGGTCATGACAGTAAATATTTCAGACTTTATGAGCCACAAACAGTCTCTGCCACCTGTCCTTTGCCTTTTGTATTACAGCTTTTAAAAAAATGTAAAAACCATCCCTCAAGGCAAGTACCAGGTTCTCTTTTCATATCCCCACAGTTAGTGGCTTACTGAATATAGACAGGTGGACTGAAAAGATGGGCTTCATTTTTCAGTTATCTGAGTTATGAAACTGTTCAAGAGTAGCTCTGCAAAAGATGAAAAGAGGAATACAATTTCCAAAACTGTCTTTCAAGAATGCACAATTGCATGGGTTGTTTCCTCAGTTCTATATTTTGGTCAGAGAAGTACTTCATCAAATGAAAATCTTCACTTTATTAATTTGACCACTATCCAGTGTCAATATGCTTTGAAAAAGGACTCATAAAATCTCAAAACTAAAGCTGTCTTTGATAACTGCATGTAACTGGTTGATAATTGTGGCTTCTATTTGAGCCATATAGTGACTACATCTTTATAATTCTCTCTAATCCCCCTGTACAGACCACCAATAAATGAGGTGGCTTCAACTACCTGGTTTGAAGACAACTCACCAAGTGTAAGAACTGGGAAAAATATTCAAGCCTGAAAAGCTGGTCTCTTTCCCCAGCCATAAAGTGAGGTGAATAGAGACTGAAGACGAATCGATAGAGCAGTTTGTATCATCCTACCTGTTCCCTCAGTAATCACTGGGGGAAAGAGATGACACCACAAAAATAGCCCTCCCAGCAAATTGAGGGAAGGGCTTAGAATCTAGACAACTATAAGCCCCTGTTTAACTAGAGTTACTTGACAGCAGACTCTTCAAATTCATTGGGGGTAGATTGTAAGTGATATAGGCAAAGTTATGTCTAGGCTGGAAAGGGTTAGAACCATCCACAGCACTCTTTGAAATTAAATTTGGTACAGAAGATAATTCTACATTTTCTATGGGCTTATAAGAAGATACAAACGTAGCTGGGTACGTCAATCAATCCATCAGTCCCTGAGAGAAACTTGGCATGAGTTATCTGGAAGCCTCTCTGAGGTGAAGTTTGAAGGATCACTCGTGCCATGAAATTTCATGGAGACCTAGCTGGGCACTCCAACCACCCCATGTGACACACTACAGTGCCAGCACTTCAGTCACTGCTGCTGTGAGGGCATTAACAACTGGTCACTAAACGCTTTGAGATCAGTAGCAGATAGAACCAGCCTAAAAGCCCTCCTGGAATGTTGGATTACCTCCCAGTACTAAGTGGGCCAGTACATAGACCACACTCTTCCTCCTTCCACCAACCCCATATGGGATTCCCAGCATCTTAAGAAATGAGAACCAGGAAAAAGAAATGGGAAAACCGTTGAAGGAAAAAGAAGCTTGAAATGCAAAGTTTTCAACTGAAGGACAATAACTACATTTGTTTGAAGAAACTTTAGTGTAAGTCTAACCTGGTCTAGAATAAGTTGTCTGAGCTATCTAAGACAGGAAGTTTCTCTTTAAGAAAGTTTATTTAGTTATAAGATTAGAGTTGTATTTTTGCTTCACCAACTTTTATGAATTATTAGAGCCATGAAGCATCCTATCAGATATATAAAAAAATAAAATAATATTTTCCTTAAGTTGCACAAAGTTGGAATACAGAAAGCTTCAGAAATCCATAGGAAATTACTGACATTTAGAAATGCAGGTACCTGAAGGCAGTTAAGAAATATGAAGAAGAAATGGGAAAATAATTATCTATTTAAAAATTGCAGTGAAACAAATATCAAGTTTGAGGTTGCCTCCAAATATCTTATAAATTCTAGTTTATTCTGAAAGAATAAACAAAAAGGTTTCCAGGGAGACGAAATCAACTTTCCCCTCAGATAAAATCTGCAAAAACTGCAAGTTGTTAAGTACTGAGATGTAGGAAAGCTTTAGAAATACTTCAGACTGCCAGATGAAGGATTAATACATTAAGTTGAAAAAACATATGGCAAATATTGGCGGTACTTACCAGAAAGATCTGTGATATATGGTTGACAACAAATTTGTCAACCGTATATTTCAACTGATGTAATATCTTGATGAGGATGGTCTAAAGCAAATGCAAAATTATAATAAAAATAGGCTATTAAGAATATACCTAGAAACTAATGGAGTGCTTCTAGAAGAGCCAGTCAAGATTATGACGGCATAATAAATATATGTAACAGTTGAAAGAACTGAGGGTGTTTAGTTTAGAAAAATTAAGATTTAGTAGTGCACATGACATCTGACATCTATCTTCCAGTAACTAAAGGGCTGTTACATAAACACATGGAAGAGAAATCCTGTGTAAACTCCTAGTCATTTGAGAACAGAATTCGTTAAAGTCAGTGATAGGTATTAGTGACATATTTTATCTAAAATGATAAAGGAAAATCTAACAATGACTGTTCAATAAAGTTGTCTTGTGTGGTTAGGAGTTCTCCATCACTGCAAGTACTTAAAAAGAAATGAGACCTAAATATAAAAACTGAGAGAATTCACACATTGGTGTAGAGGGTAAGGTTGGATGGCTCTACACTTCCTTGAACTCTAAGAATCCTTAATTTTGTTGTACTTTGTTTATACTTTATAGTCTTCATAGATAAATTTATGAATATGGAATTTTTAAAAATAATTTCTCAAGCCATTTTCCTTTTGTTTAAAATTTTAGAGCTTTATTTTCAGCTTTCTGAATTTCATGACTAAATTTACTCTGGCAATAGAGTTGCTAGTTGCTTGATCCAAAACAAAATTATAGGAAAACCAATGATCTGTTTCATTAAGGAAGGAGTTTCAAATTCCTACAGGTGTCAGGTAGGTACTATAAACTATGGCTTTGGGCAGGTGATTCTTCTTCTTTTGAAACATTTCAGTCTCTTGAATAATCATTAGTGTTTCCAATTTTGGCAAAAGACACGACATCTTACCTAAATTAATGTTAAACCCCAGTGTAATCATCCACTGCATATGCTTTTGCTGAAGGAGTGCCTTTCTTCCATATGGAACCCAGGGACCCAGGCTGCTTTCATCCTGTGGTCCTGAGAGTCTAAGATATTCCAATCCCAACTTCAAAGCAGGAAAAGAGGGTGGAGAGTCTTTTTTTTTTCTCTTAAAAACCTTGTCAAGATTGAAATCCATTACTTCTGCTTACATTCCATTAGTGAAAATTTGTTACGTGGCTTGTATAAAAAGAGGGCTGTGAAATGCAGTATGTGGTTAAGAAGCCACTTTCCAATGGCAACTCCAAATAATTATTAGACGGCTTGCCATCTCTGCCACATGTTGAAATAAGTATTCTTTTCTCCATTATGAGTAAATCAACCATGCAAGGGTTATGATAAACAGCTACTGAGAACAAGCCTTACTGCAGTGTCTTGGACCATGGAACACAGGAGAACATACACAGTTACCACCCCTCCCCTAAGAGGAGATGGCTGCTGCAGGGCTCTACGTAACTGACTGATGTAGTACCTGGCACATAGGAGGTACTCAGGAAATATTTTTTGGCTTAATTGAACAGTCTTAGATTATCAGACCTTCTAAATTTTTTTCAAGAAGGGTAAGACATTTACATTTTTATGTAAAATCTGCTGGATTATAAATTTGGGACCAAAATTTAAAAAAAAAAAACACCTTTGCAGAGCAACAAGACACTTCTGTGCCAAATGTGCATCACAGGCAACTAATTTTCAAGTTTTGTATAACAGTTACCAAGGAGCTTTCCAAAAATGCTCCAAATATTTTCAAGTTAGTTAGTTTATTCAAGGGATAAATAATAAATTATAAAGAGTAGTAATAATATTGGTTCATTTAAAACATTTTTCCTAAGAATGTACAATCATAATCATGGTTAGAAGAGTTTAGAACATGGTTAGAAGAGTTTCTTCTAGATGTGAATACTTGCTTAGGTATAAATTTAGATTCTGATGAGGATGAAAAAAATAGAAACCAGAAAATATTGCTTCCCAGTTTAATTTTATGCTTGATTAAAGACGATGGAGTATTGGAAAGACAGGAATAACCAAATGAAATAGAAATGAGCACAGGACTGCAAAATGTCCAGGGGCAATTGACTTTGGCAGTGTTCCTTGGTCTAGTTCACCAGCTTTTGCTTGTTTATTTTACCAACGGGGAAGATTGCTGGTTTATCTCTGAACATTCTGCACAAGTTAAATGTGACATTTTCTCTCTCCTCTAATGCTGTCTCATCATATTGTTTCTGAATCAGTGCTATCCCTAATGCTTTTTCCAAAAATGGAAGCTGTGAAACTAATTATGTTAAAAATCAGCCACGAGAATTACTTCTCTTCACTTTTTCACAAGATGGCTGGCTCTGTGCACCACATCAAACTTCATACAATTCTAACTTACTGAGCATTCAAGTTTGTCCCCAAATGGCCTAAACATATAGTTTAGCCACTTCAAAAATATTGACCAGGTTCTTGCTTTCCACAGGGAGAAAAAAAAAAAAAAGGTCAAGTTGGAACTTTTCAGTTGCAAAAAAAAAAAATTAACAAAAATTGGAGTTTATTACAGCATAAAAAATTCATTTGTATCATCTAGTTTTGAAGGACCCAAGCTACTTTTGGCAAAATACTTACCAACCATTTATCAACCATTCCATTTTCCTAAATGATTCAGTTTAGCTGGTCATCCAAGTAAGGTGTTAGTAGGTTCAGATAATAAATGTATTACCCTTTAATATTGATTCAGCTAGTACCTGTGAGGGCTTAATGATGTGCCAAAAACTGTTCTTCATATGTGGGCATAAATAACTTGACACCCAACAAACACAGCCCCTATACCACGGAGTTTACTGTCTTGTGGCAATGACAGACATGGGTAGTTGCCTGGCATAGCCTGAGAAACAGTTATAATGCGAGTCTGAAAGGTCCAAGAGCACCTAGAAGCACCATGAGAGTCCCACAGCAAATTGACTCTCCTTACTGGCAGACCAGATAAACCTCTGCAGAAGGAACAGGTGGACAGGGAATATAGCAGCTGCAAGAAGCTTCCAGAGCTACCACATAAGACTTCAAACTACTAATAGAGCGACTTGTAATCTAGTCTAATCCATTCATTTCAGAGAGAAGAAAACCAAGGACACTTTCTAATGTTGACTAATATGTCTGCTATTTTTGTCACTTTCTATATATTTCCTCATTCCCCCACAGTCCCGAGCTAGAGATAACTACCCTCTCCTTTTGATTCCCATGGAAGTGTATTGGTATTTCTCTAGTGAAATTTATCTTATTCCATCAAATCTGAGATGTCATCTATTAAACCAATCCTGGTTTTAGACGTATTGAAGTCAGAGAGCAGGGGTGGGATCGGGTAGGGAATATGCATTTTAGAGTAAATAAAATGTAGTATTACTTTCTGACTTATGTTTTAGCTATCTGCATGCTTGTCTTATCTCCTCCAATAGATTTCAAGTTCTCAGAGGCAGATAAGTTCTAGTTACTTTGTATTGTCTGTTGCAAGAGTTCAGCACCTTGTACTTTACAGACACTCAAAACATGTTTGAAAAAACTTAAAGCACAATTTATCAGGTAAACCTGACATGAGGCAAGTTTTCCAAATCCCAATCTAGTGTTTTTTATATCAAATAATAACATCATTAATCCTTATTAACTGGAGGTCAGTAGAAACATTAATACAAAATGGCTAATATAATACTTATGGAACACTACCAATGTGCCAGATACTACTGATAAATGTTATATTTATCATTTAATGTTCACGATTGCTGGATGTCGTGGACACCTTTTATGCTTCTGGTTCTCATTCTCACAGCCCACCTTTTTTTTTTTTTTTTTTTTGAGACAGAATTTTGTTCTTGTTGCTCAGGCTGGAGTGCAATGGTGCAGTCTTGGCTAACTGCAACCTCCGCCTCCCAGGTTCCAGAGATTGTCCTGCCTGAGCCTCCCAAGTACCTGCGATTACAGGCATCCACCACCATGCCTGGCTAATTTTTAGTAGAGTCAAGGTTTTACCTTGTTGGCCAAGCTGGTCTCGAAATCCTGACCTCAGGTGATCCGCCCACCTCAGCCTCCCAAAGTGCTAGGATACAGTCCAGGCCCCTGCCCTCTTAGAACTTATATCCTGATAGAAGATCTGCACAATAATTCAAACAAATACCAAGAATTACTGGATAGATAAGAAACTAAAACACAGAAAGATGACAGAGTGACTAGATTTGAGAAGAGCACCCAGGCTAAGGGAACACCCAGAAATTTCTCAGTCTTGGCAATACTGATACTTTGGGACAGATAATTCTTTGTTGTGGTGGATCGTCTTATGCACTGTAGAACATTTAGTAGCATCAGCATTTATCCAGTCATTGCTAAATATCCCTAGGGCTGTGGGGGGCAAAACTGCCCTGATTGAGAACCACTAATCTAGAGCAAAGTAGTTCTTTTTTTTTTTTTCTTTTTGAGAAGGAGTCTCACTCTGTCGCCCAGGCTGGAGTGCAGTGGCACAATCTCAGCTTGCTGCAACCTCCGCCTCCTGGGTTCAAGCCATTCTCCTGCCCCAGCTTCCCAAGTAGCTGGGATTACAGGCGCGTGCCATCATGGCTGTCTAATTTTTGTATTTTTAGTACAGACAGGGTCTCACCATGTTGGCCAGGCTGGTCTTGAACTCCTGACCTCAAGTGATACACCTGCCTCAGCCTCCCAAAGTGCTGGGATTACAGTAGAGCAAAGTTCTTCAAGTGGGATCAGTCTTGATATGTGTGAAAAGCAAAAGAATTTCATACTGAGTAAGGAGGAGAAGGGCAGGAAGTGAGATAATAAAGGTAGGTGAAGACCTCACCATGCAAGTTTTAGGCCCGAAGAAAGACTTCTGATTTTATCCTAAACTTCTGGAGGGCCAGTGTAAGATGCAGCATCACTGTGAGGTGATATGAACTACATTTTGAAGGGTCACCCTAACTTCTATGGGGAGAACAATTTGGAGAGGTAGGTATACAGTAGAAAGGGTGAGATCAGGTAGAAGCTGCAGCAGGAGTCCAGGCAAGAGAAGAGGGTGGCTTAGAAGAAAACAACAGTACTGGAGGAAGAGGGCAACATAAATTCAGAATGAGTATTGGGGAAAAGTCGGCAGGATTTGCTCACAAATTGTTACCAAAATACCAGGGGCTCTTTCTATGTCCTGCTGCTCACCCCACAGAAAGCCAATCACCTAGACAATGATTATTGCCAATCAAGAAGGCTTTAATCTGGTGCTGCAGCTGAGGAGATAGGAGATCAGTCTCAAATACATCTCCTAGACCTGCTAAAATTGGGGGTTTATGTAGCAGGGAAGAAATGTAACTATGTGTGAGGAAACAGGAACTCAGGAGGGTAAGGAAGCAATCATGATGAATGAGGGGCCTGGCATCTCCTTGTCTAGATGTGATGATCTCCTGAGTTTCAGTTCTTTGTTACTTTTTGAGAGGCCTGGGGGTCCTTTCCTGAGGAAGGAACTCAGATAAAACCAATGCAAGTTTCAAGCTTTAAAATTGAAAGAGTCAATTTCTGTTTATCAAAAGAAAAAAATCTGCCTATGGGATTATTGTGTCAGTTTCAAAGTTAGATGTGGGGGATAAGGAAAAAAGGAGGGTCCAGGGTCCAGGAGGAGCCAAAAGTGAGGGTTGGGTTGGAGGATGGGGGGCGTGGCATTTACTGGGATGAAGAAATTGGCAGAAGCAGGTGGCAAAGGTGGGACAGAAATCCAGTCATCTGGCACTTCCTCAGCCCATGTTCTATTTTACAGTCTTGTCTCCCTGGAATGACAACTGCTTTCCTCTTGGCTCCTTGATAGTTCAGTCACAGAAGTAGCATTATTTCTCAGTAGTGAGGTGGGAGCATTTGTTCTTTCTTTAATTGTTGAAACTGAAAGTAAGGAAAGAGGAGAGAGCATGGGTCCCACCTCAGTGTGGCAACGAGTTTGAATGTGTAGGCAGACTCACTGTACCGTGTCAATGTCCATACACTGGAGCCACCTTCTCAGAGTTCCCTTCCCTGGAGAGATCTAGGTTAGGATCAGCCACCAGAGGAATTTGTAGGCAATCTGGAAGGCCACAGTGAGATAACAGCCATCTTTACACTCTGAAGTTTGCTGCAGGCAGATGTGTGACAGCTCACACACATTCTTTCTGAACTGCTGCTCCCTTGTGGCAATGGCCATGCCCTGACCTGCACGTCCAGTAGTTCCTTCTGATCTCCTTCTTTATCTTCTCTGCATCCTGAGCCAGGAGCAAGTGCAGCTCTGTAAAGAAGGGCACCAGCTTCTGCATGTCACCTAAATCATGAAAAACGAGACATGAAGGCATGAGATACTGATACAACTTCCAGGCTTCCCATTGCCTCCCTGACTTCATGTCATCCATCTATCTGCTCAAGTGTTCACCCTGCCAACTTTTGGCCCCACTTCAAATATAGAGGTAGCAGAACTACATATAATGCTTAACCAGTACCTGTGTAAGGTGTATAAGATCATCATATAATAAATCCTTTGCTCTTTATCAGCTATAGTGGTTCACTTCCCCAATCACACACAGCCTTACTGATACAGTGGGTGTCATGTCATTCATCTGGTCCTCTTGTGCACATGTCAATGATGTAAACCTCCATCTTTAACCACATTTCAATAGCACATATCATGTCAACACTGGTCCATGTGCATGTACATTAACTCATACAATTCTCACAGTATCAACCTCATACTTTTGTTGTCATCCGTCTTCCTTTGGTGATGAGTAAACTGAAACCCAGAGAGTTAAGTAACTTGCCCAAGGTCCCACAGGGAGTAAGTGATATATCAATGATGCAAACCAGGCAATCTGGCTCCACAGACTCTGTTTATAACTGCCCTGCAAGGCTGCCCCTGACTAGGCTGGTTTGGAAACGCTGTCCTTGCTGTTGAATAGCCACTGATAATTTCTCCCTCTTTATTTGTCAAGAGCTGTAAATCCTCAAGTCCTTCCAGTCTCCAGCTGGTGTCTTACACTGTCCAAGTCTCTGAACCATCCTGATCTGTCCTGTGCTGCTTTCTCTTACAGGCTCCTGGGGTTTGGCAATTTGGTTGCATGTGTGTGTTTTTCCTCCATGGTATCTTGTCCCTGTGGTTATTTTCCTGGAACATAATGTCCTGTCATTTCTGCCTAGAAAACCCCTAGTCATGCTTCAACCACCAGTTCAAGTATCTTCCTCAACTCCTTCCTGCAGGTAACTACCACAGCATATGTGCTAGTGCATTATTTTTCTTTACACCTGAGTCAAGTTCTTTAACCCCTCCCTACCCCCCACAACTTCCCAGAGGTGTGAGCCAAATCTTAATTCATCTTTGATTTTCCAATGACTACCCAGTGCCTGACGTGGATATAGAAGGTACTTAATAAATGTCTTTGTTCCTCAGCCAAAATCTATTTTACTGTGTTGAAACGTCTTTCAATGATAAGATCATTGCCTAAGAAAAGCTCTTTCTGTGTTTTTATCATTTTTGCTCTTAAAAATTTGCATTCTTGAACTTTTCTTTGGTAGATATTGATTGGTTCATTTTTATGAATAAGATGTACAGATCTTGAATGTACACACACACACACACACATTCACTCAAGTATAGCTACACAGAAAATAAACCTTTAAAGATATAGTTTTTGCAGGCTACTCCTCCAAGAGAGCTGTCTAGCATGTAAGCACTTTTAACTTTATGCTGAGTGGACCTAGAAAAAAAAAAAAACAAAGGTAATAAATGTGAGGGTCATAGTCATCGAAAAGGAACTGTGCACCCTGTTGCAATTGATTAGTTTAAAACTTCTCTCATCTTACCTATAAGCATTAGGGCCTGTCTTTGCTGCAAACATTAGGATCCAATCATCTGGATTAAATAGATCAAGGACTTCATAAGCCACAGATCTCATAAAATTTCTTCTTACAAATGCATCGTTTTAATAAATGTCTTTGAAGCCAATGGTGCTGATTTCATGGTGTGTATTCAGACAGTCAATGAAAAGCCTGGGAAAAGAGAAAGCAATAATAAAAACCTTCCAGTCGATGAGTCAAATTGTAAGCAATGTGCAGCTTTGTAAACTTAACTGAATGAAAGTGAATACTGGACCAACAAGAAAGATCAACTCTTGTATCCAAGTTTGATCTAAATCAGAACAAGCTTCTTATATCACTTGATACTGTTTTGCACATTGTAAGCATTTAATAAATATTTGCTTAATGCATGAATATGTTAACAGTGCTTTGCCACTCACCTGTTTTCCTAATATTAAAGTTTCTTATACATTTAATTATATCCTTTTTACATGATTCATACAATTTGAACTTTGACAAAAACAACAAATCTAGGCAGCCATGAGAATATTTCATTCTAGGAAAAATATGCAGCTAGAGTGTTTGACAAACTTAGGCTTGCAACAAAACCACCGAAAAGGATTTTTCAATTCTCCTTCCCTTTATTCTTCTGCTGTATGAGACTTTGTGAACCAAGAACTCACATGGACAAGGCAGAGCTGGGTGTGAGCCCCTCTTTTGGGGTGATTGCCAATGGGGATAAATGAGCCAAAAGGAACCTAGAACACTGTTCTATCTACATTTTCTTAGCTACCACTCATCATAGTCATTATCATCACATTATATTCATTGCAGCTAACCCTGGGACTGCCACAGTAAGCTTACTTTTCAAATGGACTCTGGTGGTCATTTCTTTTTAAAAAATATTTAATAAATTTACTTAAGACAGAGAGCTGATTCCACAGGGCCCATTTTGTATTCTCAAACATGGAAGCCTATAATTGGAAATGGATCAGAGTTAAGTCAGGAAATTCTCTGTATTATCTTTTAAAATAATAATAGTGAGTTGGAATGATTGGCTTCCTATTTTCTTTAAAAAGAAAATCATGGGCTTTTCCTTTTAAAAACAAAGTCATCAGGTTTCAGTAATTGGTTTTATATTTGTTTTTCGGTTTTATTTTTTTTTTTTTACTAACTTTACCAGGTGTTTGAGTTGATGTGTACATTTAGCCAAAAAATTTAATCGGTTGAATGTGTAAGAATAGCCTAAGTATTAAAGGTCTCTGAAAACTTTTAGAAAACTATCATCACCCTTCCAAAGCATTATCCATTGTTAATGTACAATCCAGGTGCTGAACAAAGCAAATGAAATGAAGTACACCCTAGGGTTTAGGAACATATAATACAAACAATATTTCCCCACAGCCCTAGTTAATAACAGTATTACTTTTGGAGGATAATAACCCTAGTAAGCATACAATTTGAGATTGTATGTAATCCTAAAAAGCAATTTAAGATTGTTTTTGCTTAAATTACTTTTGCTCTTCCTTCTTCACTTTTCATTGTCCTCTTCCAATCAGTTCCCAACATGGTGGTAGACTGTAGTGTCTTAAGATGGCCACCACATCTCCTAGCCTATATTTCTTCTCAAACCTTCCTGCTGTGTCTATTAAGATGTGGAATCGATGCCCCTTTTTCTTGAATCTAAGTTGGCCTTTCTACTGCCTCAACCAAAATACTAGAAACAATGTTAAGTTGACTTCTGAGTTAAGTTATAAAAATGCAATTCACTTCCCCTTTGTTCTTTTGAAATGCTTGCTGTTGAAACTAGCCACCATACTGTGAGGAAACCCAAGCAACCTATGGAGAAGCCCATTTTAAGGAAATCAAAGCTCTCAGAACCACAGCCTTAGCCAAGCTGCAAAGTGACAGCCAGTAGGAATTATCGGCCATGTGAGTGAACCATCTTAAAATCAGACTCTTCAGATCCACTGAGCCACATGAGGTGATATCACACAGAGCAGAAACAGGACATTCCCACTGAGACCTAGCCAAACTGCAAATTTATTAGGAAAAAACTGCTGTCTTTTTAAGCCAGCAATTATTTTGAGCCACTAAATTTTGAGGTAGTTTGTCATACAGCAATATTTTATTGAAAACTCCTCCCTAGTGTCTGTATAATCTGTTATCTTTCCACCTTTATCACCAGTGTTCTAAATTCAGGTTCTCATCACTTGCAAAAACTGACTTTTCCTCCAGTCTCTCCCGTTGATATTCTTTGGTACAATCCATTCTCTACTCTGCCAACTTACACCTCATTTATATTATCCTCTGCCTCAAAAATACAGAAAATGTTCAATCTGTGATCTGAGAGGTTTTAAACATCCATCAGTGGTTCTCAATTCTGGCTACCCATTAGAATTACCCAAGGAGTTTTTGAAACGAATGTTTGAACTTCAACCCAGAGCTTCTTATTCAAATGGTGAACTAGTCATTGCTACTTTTGAAGACTCTCTAGATATTCTAAAGAGCAACCAAAGTGAAAACCATTGAAGTTACTGGGGACAGAAAAGAACATTCAAGAATATGTATAATTAGGCCAGGCTTGGTGGCTTACACCTGTAATCCCAGCACTTTGGGAGGCTGAGGATGGTAGATCACTTGGGCTCATGAGTTTGAGACCAGCCTGGGCAACATGGTGAAACCCTGTCTCCACTAAAAACACAAAAATTAGTTGGGCATGGTGGTGTACACCTGTAGTCCCAACTACTGGGGAGGCTAAGGTAGGAGAATCACTTGAGCCTGGGAGGCAGAGACTGCAGTGACCCAGGATTACGCTGTGCACACTCCAGCCTGGGTATAATGAGGACAGGGCCAATAACAATATTCGAGGTATGAGTAAAAAATGAAGATAAAGAATTATGATCTGGAGTTTTTAGAGTAAAAGGACAAGCAGAAAATTAAAATATTAAGCAAAGGAAATGACTGAGAAATAGAAAGAGAAATGTCAGGAAGACACTGAAGGTTTAAACATATTCAGAATATGCATGAATTTCTCTTGTTCTTTTATTTTGTTTTGTTTTGTCAAAGTAAGTTAAAATAGAGACCGGGCCTGAAGAATCCCAAAGTAGACAAAGCCAGTTAGGCCTCATAAGTGGTCTTAACTTTGTTTGATTTGCAAACATAAGTCAAACTTAACTTGGGCTGTTTCTTGTAAGTGCCTATATTTTTTAAAAAATAAATAAAACAAGCTCAACCAATCAGAAGTTGCCCATTAACTTATGATCATTATGGAAAATTAATCCTGTAACAGTTCATATAACTGGGAACTTTTGAGTAGGATAGACCAAATATGGCTAATATATAACCATAACCAATCAAATATTTTAGTTGCTTTACATTCATGTTCATCCTATAGAAGCCTTGCCTTTGTGTTCACTTGTTGGAGCCCCCAAACTACTTCTGCTTGGAGCTGCCCTATTTGTGGATCATTGTTTGCTCAGATAAACTCTTTAAAATTGTATTTTGCTTCAGTTTACCTTTTATCAGTTTATTGTAATAAAATGATCAGGACAGCCGTGATAGGAGAAGTTAACTCCAAAATTGAATAAACATGGAATTAAGTCCTTCTAGCAAAGTTGTAAATAGACAAAAGCCCATCTTTTTCAGAAAAATACCCAAATATTTCCTTAATATACTTATTTATTTATAACACATTTTGGAATTAGTTTAATATCACTAAACAAAAATTTAGAGGCACTCATCAATTTTAGTTATTTATTTGGCCACTTTTCCTTCAATTAATGTATATGCAATACAAACCCACAAGGACATAATTTCATTTCACGAGTCAGAATATCCCCCAATCCTACCTCAATTCATTTATTGGTTCAACAAATAAATATTGAATGACTATTCTGTCACTCATTATGCTGGGGATATAGCAGTGAACAACAACACCAAGTCCTTGCCCTCAGGGGGCTTACATTCAAGTTGGATGTGGCAGATAATTAAAAAATAAATAAGTGAAATAATAGTTCAGAGGTTGTTAAATGTATGAAGAAAAATAAAACAGACTAGAAGGAAAAGAAGCATGAGGGCAGCAGTGTGTAAGGGTTGGGATAGGGGGAGTATTTTATTAAAAGGGTCAAAAAAAGGCCTTTCTGATAAGCTTTCCTTTGAGCAGAGACCTGAGAGAAGTGAGGGAGCCAGTCAGGTGGTTGGATAGCTGTGAGAGTGGTGAGATAACAAACAGCACGTGAGAACATGCATGAACAAGCTTGAAAAGGCTGCAAAAGGCTGGGTGTGGTGGCTCATGCCTGTAATCTCAGCACTTTGGGAGGCCAAGGCAGGTGGATCAGGAGGTCAGGAGTTCAAGACCAGCCTGGCCAACATGGTGAAACCTCATCTCTACTAATAGTACAAAAAGTAGCCTGGCGTGGTGGTGTGTGCCTGTAGTCCCACTACTCGGGAGGCTGAGGCAGGAGAATTGCTTGAACCCAGGAGGCCGAGGTTGCAGTGAGCCGAGATCATGCCACTGCACTCCAACCTGGGCAACAGAGTGAGACTCCATCTCAAAAGACAAGAAAAGTCCACAAGAAGGCTAGTGTGGCTGAGGTGGAGTAAGTGAGGTGGAAGGCCATAAAAGATATGATCAAAAAGATAACAGGGGCAAAAAGAAGGGGTTTCAGGAATGGGGAGCAGAGATTATGATAGGCAATGTTTCTTCACCTTGGAGTACATTAGAATCCCCAGGAAGATTCTCAGAATACCTGTGCCCAGGCTGCAGTCTCAGAGATTCTGTCGGAATTTATCTAGGATAGAGCCCAGACATCAGAAGTTTTCAGACAGCCCCAGGTTATTGAGAACTCTTGCTGTCATGATTTATATGGATCATAGGTCCATATAATCCTATGGACTTTGCTGTGAGAGAGATGGTAGATATTAAAGCTTCCAATCAGAGAATAGGCAAGATCAGTATTTTAACCAGTTCCCTCTAAATGCTTTGACTGTACCAACTTCTTTATGAAAGCAAAAAT
Source organism: Homo sapiens (assembly GCF_000001405.40). Taxonomy (NCBI): domain Eukaryota; kingdom Metazoa; phylum Chordata; class Mammalia; order Primates; family Hominidae; genus Homo; species Homo sapiens. The sequence continues at coordinate 107,678,579 of NC_000008.11, forward strand.
TTACAGAGAAGGAAATAGAGCTTCTCCCAAAATGTTAATAAAATTCTTAAAGGATGATTGCCTTGGTATGTTTTGGAGAAGAGACTATATGGAGCAAGAACCAATTCAGATCACTTTTCTCTATTTTTAACATTTTCCATAATGAATATGTGTAGCTTTTGTATTAATAATAGAAATTTATCATTTAAAACATTAAAAAATAGATTGAAAGAATATATATTAATGACAAACAGCATTATATTCTATCACTTATCTATTCTTCCAGATGTGTTTTCATGAAGGACAATGAATTGTATATTATTTTGCTTAGGGCTACCATAGAAAAGTATGTGATATTAGATGGTTTAAAAAAGAAAATACATGTTGTCTCACAATTCTGGAGGCTAAAAGTCCCAAATTCAGGAGTCAGCAGGGCCATGCTCCCTCTGAGACTTTCAGCAGAATCCTTCCTTGCCTCTTCCTAGCTTCTAGATGTAGGCAGCAGCCGTGGGCATTCCTTGCTTGCAGCTGCATCGTCCAATCCATGCTTCCATCATCACACAGCCATATTCACATCACCTTCTCTGTATATCTTTGTTCAAATTTCCCTTTTATAAGGATGGCAGTCATTGGATGACAGCCCACCCTAATCCCTTCATCTTAACTTGGTTAAATCTCCAAAGACTCTATTTCCAAATAAAGTCACATTCTGAGCTACAGGAGGTTAGGACTTCAACATATCATTTTTAGGGTGACACAATTTAACTCATAAAGGATTGATTGGTTCTCATAGCACCTTTAAAAACAGAATTGTTATCATATGTCAACATCTTTATGAGAGCAAAAATCTACAAAGAATAAAGCTATTCCCAAAAAGTTAATACAATTCTCAAATAAAGGATGACTGCCTTGAGAAGGATAATCTATGGTAGTTTTTTTTATTCTCTCACTTTTCCTACTCCATGAGCATGTTCCAGAGAATGTGTAAAACTCTACAAACTACCTTCGTAATTTTTGGTGACTTTCATTCACGGAATATGAATTTTCAATGCTTCAGTGGGCTTGCATTTAGGTCTGGATCCTTTCACCTTTATGGCCACATAAATCCTAACACAGGTTTATTGAAACTACACAGAGTCCTTCAAATTGGTTTCACAAATTCCAAGAGAGTGGGGATTAGAATCTTAATTGTGAGGCCTGAGAAGGAATGGATATCAGCTCATAAACATGTTTAAAACATGTCTAACTTGCTAAACAACTTGATTTTTCCTACAAAGGCTTTTGTTTTCAGCACCAGAATGAAAATTCTTAGGCTGACAGATTAACTTCATTGGATAGCTGATTTTTGTTGAATGCTGGGTTTGAGAGCCAGTAACAAGCCTCATAAGAAAAATCCAAGCAACACATAATGCTTGGCCTCAAGACAACCCACAGGCAAAGCAAATCCTTATCAAGAGGCCACTGGTGATCCAAGTAATCAAGTTGAGTTTAAATTAATGTGCGGATGCACGTGCTGTTCAAGGAACATGAACGTCGTGTCATGGGACAGAGAGTGAAAGAAGATGAAGAACAAACACCTACTTCTCAATATATTATCAAACATCATGTTTGGAATTACTCTAAAAGTACACACAGTGAAGCATAAACTGCATTTGACCCATCTATTATCTGGAAGTTAAATATATCTAATTCATTTATTTCCACTAATCAGCTGCTACACATTTTTCTCCGGCTTCTGCCATCTGCTTTTAATTACCAAAACAATTCACAATCCAAACTGAAATGATAAATAGTTAATCATCACAGGCTTTTACAGGTGCGGGTCAAAACTTGAAGAAATAAGCAGCTTTATTTCATTTCAAAGAGAGTCAAAACTTACATAAATTTAGAACATTGTCAGTTACCTTTTTTATCGGCCATTTTGAGAGTTCATAAAATCAATTTGAAAAGTAATCTTTGCTAACAAGATTAACAGTGTTATTTTCGGCAGTATGTTTGAAATTAAGTTTTAAAGACCCAGACTAACAGATTCATGGAAGGAAGGAAGCCTATGAAGAAAAATAACTAACACTGCCTCCAACCACAACAACGAAATCCTGGGCAGCTGAAGTTAGACAGCATGACTGTTTCAACAACTAAGTTTAAATTAAGTTTACCTTCATATCAGATTAACATCAATTTTGTGGAAAAGAAAACCCAATTCTTAATTTTCCTTTTCAGACAAGAGAAATTAAGAAAGAGAAATGAAATTAACATTGCAGAATGTCTGCTATATATTTAGTATGTTACAAATTCAATCCTGTAAACAGCCCTGTACAGATTATTTCTCCCACTTTAAGAAAACTGAGCCAAAGAGATAAATTCAAGTTGAGAGTCAAACCCAGGGCAGTTTGTGATTGATGAGTACCTTCCACAGCTTGATTTAACACATGATGAATAGCAAAAAAGTTGATAAGAGAAAGTTTCACTGTATTTCCTTTAAAGGACACTACTGGATTGACAAGTACTGGTGTTAAAAAAAAAAAAAAAAAAAAAGTTCATTTTCCATCAGTACATGTCTCATCAAAGATAAAGTCCAGACAATTTTACACACATAGACACACACAGGCCCACAAATATGGTCTGAAATATTTAAGACAATGATAATGAAGTGTTATATTTTTAACTTTTTGGTGTTTTACAATTTTAACAATGTGCTGAACCCTGAGTGATTAAAGGTGGTGTTTTGAGGTTCCCGAAGAGATGCAAAAGTTACACAAATTGTTAGAATCAATATTCTTAACTATAGTAAGATATTTTTTATAATTGTTATGGAAATGTGTACATCTTACAAAAGAAAGAGTTGGTTGTTTTATTTTTTATTTATGTTTACTTTTTAATTCAATTTTTATTTTAGGTTCAAGGGGGTACATGTGCAGGATGGTATATTATGTGACACTGAGGTTTGGGGTTTGAATGGTCCCATCACCCAGGTAGTGAAAGCATAGTACTTCATAGGGAGTTTTTCAGCCCTTGCCCCCTCCTTCCCTTCCCTCTTTTGCAGTCTGTATTAGTCAGGTTTCTCTAGAGGCAGAGAACTAATAAAAGGGGAGTTTATTAAATATTATATGATCACAAGGTCCCACAATAGGCTGCCTGAAAGCTGAGGAGCCAGTCCAGTTCCCAAAACTAAAGAACTTGGAGTGCAATGTTCAAGGGCAGGAAGAATCCATGGGAGAAAGATGTAGGCTGGGAGGCTAGGCCAGCCTCCCCTTTTCATATTTTTCTGCCTGCTTTATATTCGCCGGCAGCTGATTATATTGTGCCCACCAGATTAAGGGTGGATCTGCCTTCCCAGTCCACTGGCTCAAATGTTAATCTCTTTTGGCAACACCCTCACAGACACACCCAGGATCAACACTTTGTATCATTCAATCCAATCAAGTTGACACTCAGTATTAACCATCACACAGTCCTTAGTGACTACTGTTCCCATTTTATGTCCACATGTACCCAGTGTTTAGCTCCCACTTATAAGTGAGAACATGGGGTATTTGGTTATCTGTTCCTGTGTTAATTTGCTTAGAATAACGGCCTCCAGTTACATCCATGTTGTTGCAAAGAACATGATCTTCTTTTTTCTTATGGCTGCCTAGTATACCATGGTGTATATGTATCATATTTTCTTTATCCAGTCCACTTTTGATGGGCATCTAGGTTGAGTCCATGCCTTTGCTATCCTGAACAGTGCTGCTATGAACAAACAAGTGTGTGTGTCTTTTTGGTAGAATAATTTATTTTCTATTGGGTATTTACCCAGTAATGGGATTGCTGGGTCAAATGGTAGTTCCGTTTTAAGTTCTTTGAGAAATCTCCAAACTGCTTTCCACAGTGGCTGAACTAATTTACATTCCCAACAGTGTATAAGCATTCCATTTTCTCCACAGCCTTGCCAGCATTTGTTATTTTTTGTCTTTTTAGTAATAGCTATTCTAACTGGTGTAAGATGATAGCTCATTATGGTTTTGATTTGCATTTCTCTGGTGATTAGTGATGTTGAGCATTTTTTTATGTTCGTGGCCACCTGTGTGTCACCTTCTAAGAGGTGTCTGTTCATGGTCCTTGTCCATTTTTAATGAGGTTATTTGCTTTTTATTGTTGAGTTGTTTAAGTTCCTTATAGATTCTGAGTATGAGACCTTTGTCAGATGCATAGTTTGTAAATATTTTCTCCCATTCTGTGGGTTGTCTGCTTACTCTGTTGATAGTTTATTTTGCTGTGCAGAAGCTTTTTCATTTAATAGATTCCACTTGCCAATTTTTATTTTTGTTGCAATTGCTTTTGAGGACTTAGTCATAAAATCTTAGGCAAGGCCAATGTCCAGAATGATATTTCCTGGTTTTCTTCTGGGATTTTTATAGTTTGAGGTCTTAGATTTAAATATTTAATTCATTTTGAATTATATTTTGTATATAGTGAAATGTAGAGGTTCAGTTTTATTCTTCTCTATACAGCTATCTAGTTATCCCAGTACCATTTATTGAATGGGGAGTCTTTATATTTTTATATCTGCTTAGATCCAGTACTTCTTAGGCATAGTGCATGGAGCACTCAATGTTGAAATAATGCTGAGTATTCCCAAATTCAGATTCTGAGGCATGACTCCAGAAATTCATATTTTCAATAACCTCAAGGTAATATAGTAGCTGCATTGCACAGTCTTAATTTTTTAAGTGTCAAAATGCTGACTCCTCAAAACATCAGCAAAACAACCCATTGATAACACAAACTTGGTTAATTGTTGACTGCAGTAAGAGAGAACTTACCTCAACAAAGTCTTACTGGTCGTCACAGGCCAAAGTTGGGAAAATTGGGATTATAACGTTAGGTTTAAGGTGGGCCTTATAATGTGAAGGCTTCATTAAGACTGAGTAAGTATCATTATATAATAGTTTAGGATTGGTGGGCATTGCAAGATTAGAATACTGATGAGGCTAGAGGGTCAAAGAGTCTTATAGTATAAACTGTCCACTCATGTATTCTACTGAAGAGTTGATAACTCTTTCAGGAAATTCCTGAAATGAACAACAGAGATATTTACCTCTTTCTTTCAACTGATTGCAATGAAAAAAAGGAATATATTTGGAATTTTGGAAGTAAAGGCTGCAATAATAAAGAGTTTTAGTTACCTGAAAGAACTGTAAAACACCTATGATAATATTGGTCTTTGAGAAGGTTGCAAATTGCAGATGGTCAATGCACCACTTCATGGTAAAATTCTTCCCTGACAAAGCCAATGAGAGGTCTTAGAGTTTTTCAATTGACTCTTGTCAATTCTAGCACACAAGACAGGAGAGACAAAAGAGGTTTCATACAGGTTCTCAAAGAAAAATTCAAAAATGGCTGGTTTTTATACTAAGAGGAAAAGCTGTATATTAAATTATAGATTTATGTAGTTCTTTCTTTTCATCCATTTAAGGAAGGTGAACCCTTCATATTTCTGGGCTCTATGACTATTAAGGATACCTTTTTGGAGAACACAAAAGAAAAATAAATAGAACTGATAAAAAAATGGGAGGCAGAGAGGTTTAAGTGAAGAGGAAAGTAGGGAAGGGAAGATGAAAGACGCTAAAGGAAAGGAGAGAAAAAAGAGCTATAAAAGATGACATATAAGCAAAGTGCTTACAGAAAGAGCAAGAATGCTTAAAGTTATATTTTAGAAAGATCTTGGCTGGGCGGGTTGGCTCACGCCTGTAATCCCAGCACTTCGGGAGACCGAAGTGGGCAGATTGCCTGAGGTCAGGAGTTTGAGACCAGCCAGGCCAACAAGGTGAAACCCTGTCTCTATTAAAAATACAAAAAATTAGCCAGGTATGGTGGCAGGCGCCTGTAATCCCAGCTACCTTGGAGGCTGAGGCAAGAGAATCGCTTGAACCCGGGAGGCGGAGGTTGCAGTGAGCTGAGATCACACCATTGCACTCCAGCCTGGGGGACAAGAGCGAGACTTCATCTCAAAAAAAAAAAAAAAAAAGATCTTTATGTAACGTCTAATAAAATCCTTTCCTCAGTTTCCCTGTGACATCATCAGTAAAAGTCCTTACTTGTAAATGCATTATTACAAACCTCCGCCAATGACCCCATGTCAGTAGTTTTTCTATTTCAAGTAGCCTATAAGGGGTTATTTGGCCACACATAACAGCTGAGAGTGACATCTGCAGTTGCAGCTTAGCAACTCATGTTCAGCTATCATGCAGAAATGTTCCTACAGGGAAGGCAAAAAACCCCCTCAGTATTCTAAGTATCAGGTAGAACACTAAGAAATCAGTCTTCTTTGGAGGTGATGTGAAAAGGTTTGTTGATTTGAGATAGAATTTCTATGTACTTTAGTAGGATGCACTCTTGACTTTTCTTTCTAATACATACCCTTAAGAGGTACCTGTGAAATAAACCAGAAGAGAACAAAACAATCCTTCCCCAGTCTCACTCCACTTTACATGGTACATACCCATTACAGCAGTTTATTAAGAAATTGTTTCTAAAAAATGTAATTGGGAGGCCATTAGGCTGAGAGGTATCCAGTACCTTTGATTCCTACATAAGCAAACTAAAGCCAAATGTAAATAGTAAAACAAAATTTAGGCTAAACCAACCAGAAACTGCCAACTAACTTCTAACTAGGGACTTTCCAGCAGATTATACCTAAATAAGCATCTAGCAGTAGCCAATCTAGTAATTTCTTTCCTTGATTTCCCCATTCAGCTATAAAAGCTCACTGCCCATGCTGCTGAAGCAGAGCTCTCTGAACCTCTTCTAGTTTAGGCAACTGCCCCACTCGTTAATTCTTTAATGCCCAAATAAACTCTGTTAAATTTATTTTGTCTAAAGTTTTTAACAAAACCAAAACACCAGGAAACAAGGGAAGGGAAAAGAGGGGCAAATGACCATTCATTGCCTGGTATCATTCTTGTTCAACAAACTTGGACACATCCCCTCCAGAATGAATTCAATGGTGTTCCTTGGTTGGAAACACATTTGCTCAAATACCCGGAGGCATGCAATTTAGAAGTATGATAGGACTCTGACATCTACTGAGTCAGCCAACAACTTGAGTGAGGCCTTGGAATTCGCTGAACTTGAGTCCCTTGGAGTCCCTGAATTTGTCAGGGTCTTAGGGCCTCATATATCCTATACCCTCAAATTTGGATTATGTAATATCAAAATTAACCATCTCAAGTATTGACTTCAGAGAACATAACCAAGGACAGGGTAAACCAGCCAGGATATTACAGTCAGAGAGGTCTTGATGATTCAAGAATAAAATGAAGCAATTTTATTTGTTTAATAGAGAGAAGGGAGGTGGCTGTTTCCTCAATCTCCTCTCCTAAGGGTATCTCCTAAAAAGCATTACAAGTCTAAGAAGAGGTCCAACCTTTTGATTATACAAGGCAAATTCACAGATTTTCTGACCCTTGGAACTGCAAACACATGATTCCAAAATAATCACTGGAATCTATCAGGGAGTATATAGAAAACAATAACAAAGTACATCCATTTATTTCTTGAGGAGATAGAGAAGTGAATTGTTTTTTTCTTCTACCTTACTATATAAATCTGTGTAAAATTGTGTCCAGACTTCGTAGTAATTTTCATGTGAACTTCAATGCAAGTAAATCTGTTAATAGGTTTTTGATAATAAATTGTTCTCTTTTTTTACATTGGTAAGGAGGAGACTTCTGTGGACAGGATTGTTTTATTTCTTCAACAGTGACAAGTAGAAAACAGTAATATGCGTACTCATGAGGCAAAAAAGACAAATAGCCGAGTGGGATGAGGCTTGGATTAGCAGCATTTACTGTGAACAGTCATGAAAGAAGAAAGTCCTTTCACAGCAAGCAGAACCTTAGTATCAGAGGAGAAATTAACTATCAAATCTCCAGCCATATTTTAATCTCTTCTGACATATCCTGGGTTTCTTCCTCACCCTTATATCCAATCAGTCGAATACCTGAGTATTCATATACCCAAAATCTCTTTCAAATCCTTCTGCTTGTCTCCATTCACATAGACACTACCTCAGACCCTGCAGTCATACTCTTCCCCCAACAAGTTTTATTATCTCCAATTTTGCTGCCTCTCAAAGCACTTTTTCACACATTTATGAATCATATTGCTAAAATACCAGTGCTCTGTTTAAAAACATGATCTACAAGAACCTTCTTCATCGAGCCCCTGATTATTCCATCAGCTAGATTTCTTATGACTCCAGAATTATTTCCCCAACTCTTAAATTTGTGATCCTGCCATACTGAATTATTTGGTGTCACTTGAACATCCTGACTCTGCCCCCTAGAATTCTGAACAGGCTATTTTCTTGGTCAGGACCATTCATCCGCATCTCTTCCTCTTTCTCCCAAATAGTCACTACTTTCTTCTTTTCATTTACGACTCAACTAGAATGGATCACCTCCTTCTAAATTTCTTGTCTGACCATTCCACAGTACCCCCAATTTTCCCTAGATCACTTTACTTTGACCTAGTCTAAGATTTATCACACTATACCATATTTGCCAATTTGTACTCTTTTATACTATATGTCATGCCTGTAATCCCAGCACTTTGGGAGGCTGAGGCAGTTGGATCACCTGAGGTCATGAGTTCGAGACCAGCCTGGCCAACATGGTGAAACCCTGCCTCTACTAAAAATATATATATATAAAAAAATAGCCAGGCGTGGTGGTGGGGGCCTGTAATCCCAGCTACTTGGGAGGCTGAGGCAGGAGAATCGCTTGAAACTGGGAGGCGGAGGTTACAGTGAGCCAAGATTGCGCCATTGCACTCCAGCCTGGGCAACAAGAGCGAAACTCCGTCTCAAACAAACAAACAAACAAACAGAGTTACTGGTACCAAAAGAAAAATGAATGCAAACTGAGAATCAAACCCCTCCAAAAAAAAATAATAAAACCAAAATGACTGTCCACCATAGTAAATAAATGACATAGCTATATAAATCAATACATTCTGTCAGGTTAAGAAATTACAGCTTTGCAGTTCATTCCAAATTTGAACACCTTAAATCTCATTTATATGACAGTTTAACTAATTTTTCTCTGCAAATCAGGTTTCTTTGGGGGCTAAATTAAAATTTATTCAGGTTTTCAGGAATCTGCATAATAAATGGAAACATTTCCAACTGTATGCTGCAGCTTCCAGAGAGGATTTATCATTATATAGATGTTGACTTCAACTTTTAATTCAAATGTAATATTTTTAACTTGTTGATTGAATTTCCTCCATAAGTTGGAAACACAGAACATTTTAGGAAACAATGGCTAAATATGAGAAATAGAGCAAAAAACAGCACTTTTTTTGTAATTGCAATTCTAAATGATTAATAATGATTTAAACCTGTAAGATAATTTGTTTATCATGTAAGATTCAGTTGAAAGATCAACTTATAGTAAAAGGTTAGGTTAACATGACAAACCAGGACAGGAAAAATGGAAAGAGTTAATTTATGTTCGGGTAGGAGGTTCCAGTTACACCTTAGCAAACAAGAAAAGCTTGGAACACACTTTTCGCTCCTCTGGGAGTTTCAGTACAACTTGGCTGCACAGAGAAAAATCTCCCTCTCACAACACCTTTCTGTGATGAGAGCAGGCTGCCAAGAACACTTCCACCAGTTTGAAAAAAGTCTTGAAGAGTGTCTGCTTTGAGTCAGGTGTCGTAATTATTTTTTACACCATTTTCACAGCAAACCTCCTTAATCCTCCTGAAATTTTATAGAGGAATAAATCAAGCACCTGCTACATTATATATATTATTTGAGTGATCTCTTTAATCTCTTCTGTTCATAGTTTAGGAGATAGAGATATTTCATTTATGGACATGTGACCTGCCCTAGAAGCATTCAATAGATTTTTTGATGTTTAAAATAAACACTTTCCTAAATAAAAAAAGTTTACAGAGCTATCTGATACAAGAGATTCTGGGTATAGAATCTGTTCCCAAAGACATCCTGATACATCAGTAGAAGCATTGAATTTGGAAGTCAGACCCTTTTAGCTGAAGTTGCAAGTTTTTGCCCTAAAACTTTTGTGATTTCTAAGAGTTTGCTCATCTCCATAGGGAAGAAATATCTTTTATCACAGAGTTATTGTGTGAATCAAAAAGAAATCAATAATGTATGTGACGGCACTCTGCCAATTACACAGTTGTGCAGTTTCTGCCTTGATACTTCCCTGAAATTAAATTCTTGAAAGTTGTGGGAACCAAATATGTTATGATTTACTCCAGACAGACTTGAGAGATACATATATATATTATTATATATATTATATATATATATGTATCACACATATTTATATGGAACTCTACCAAATTTCAGTGAAATAATGATAGCTAATATTGATTTGTAACAATTCTACGAGGTAAGTACTGTCATTATTCTTATTTTGTATATTGGAAAACCAAGGCTAATAAAGACTAAACAACTTCCCTGAGTCCACACAACTTGAAAATGTGGATCTGAGACTCAACACAGGACACTTCACTCAAGGCCAATATTTGTAGCTATTATGCTCTACATAGCTTCTCTTTCCATACAAGTCCATGTGACAGAAGACATGCTCCTGAATTACTCCCTTGAATACATATAAAATTGATTCATGAATTTAAAAAAAAAAGCCTCACCAACTTTGGGGAAGTGATTGTTCATTTAATAAACAATTTCAGGAAAATTGACATTTTTGTTGTATCATACCCTTGACGCTAGAACATTTAAAAAATAAAATAAGCTAGTCAATAAAATAAGCTAGTCAATAAGTTTCTTAAATAAGCCTGTTTAGGCTAAATAATATTACATTGTATATATATACCACATTTTGCTTATCCATTTATCCATGGATAGACAGTAGGATTGCTTCCACTTTTTGGCTATTATGCAAAATGCCGCTATGAACATACATGTACAGACATATGTTTGAGTTCCCGCTTTCAATTTCTTTGGGTATATTCCCAGATTCCTGGATCACATGGTGATGCTATTTTTTAATTTTCTGAGGAAACATCAAGCCATACTGTTTTCCATAACTGCACCATTTTACATTCCTACCAGCATTGTACAAGATTTCCAAATTCTCCACATCCTCACCAACTGTTATTAATTCTGGGTATTTAAAAAATAATAAACATACTGAGTTTTCTAATTTAAAAAATATGTATTTTTCTTCAAATTTCAAGAGGAAAGACCTTTGAAATATGTAAAAGAGAATCAAGAAAAATATAGTGAGATTATGTTGAATGTGAAAATGTTGAAAATCGTATTATTATTATTATTATTTTGAGACAGAGTCTCACTCTGTCATCCAGGCTGGAGTGCAGTGGCGTGATCTCGGCTCACTGCAACCTCTGCCTCCTGGGTTCAGGTGATTCTCCTGCTTCAGCCTCCGGAGCAGCTAGGATTACAGGCGCCTGCTACCATACCCAGCAAATTTTTGTATTTTTAGTAGAGACGGAGTTTCGCCATGTTGGCCAGGCTGGTCTCGAACTCCTGACCTCAGGTGATCCACTCGCCTTGGCCTCCCAAAGTGCTGGGATTACAGGCGTGAGCCACCGCACCTGGCCTGAGATTTGTATGTTCTTGACTTTCATGGATGTAGGGTCTCTGTACTGAGTCTTCCTTATAATGAAGTTCTTGAAAGGTGTAGGAAAGCCCTTCTTCCTATATTCTCCATCTCAGCTGATGAGATTACACTATCCTTAATTGACATATAGCCTTGGTTTGTTTTTTCCATTATCCCTCACATTCATTTGATAACTAACTATCCCATGCTAATTATCCTAACATATGTTTCTAAAATCACTTCTCTCTTCTTCATCACCACTGCCACTGCCTTGGTGCGGCCCTCATCAGCTTTAGTCTGGTCTAGAGGATTTTCCTGTTCTCTCTGTCCCTCCAAAAGTATCAAAGAAACAAATATGATTATATTGTTGCCTTGCTTTTTGCCCTACCAACATCTTCAGCTGAGCTTCCCAAACACAGGATATGTCAAAAGGTACTTTTTCACAAATGAAGCATGCAAGTCTCTTAGAACATTGATTTTCTTGAGTGAGAAATAATTTAAACATTTACATATTAAAATAGGCTGAGTGCAGTGCTCATACCTGTAATCCCATCACTTTGGGAGGGTGATGTGGGCAGGTCACTTCAGCCCAAGAGTTCAAGACCAGTCTGGGCAACTAGCAAAACCCCATCTCTACCAAACAAAAACAAAACAAATATTAGCTGGGCATGGTGGTACATGCCTGTAGTCCCAGCTACTGGGGAGGCTGAGGCAGGAGGATTGCTTGAGCCTGAGACATCGAGGCTGCAGTGAGCTGTGATTGCATCACTGCACTCCAGCCTGGATGACAGAGAGACAATGTCATAAAATAAAATAAAATAAAATAAAAATAAAATAAAATAAAATAAAATAAAAGTATTATGTAATTGAAAGCAAATGCATAAATTTAAACAAAACCATAAGCTTCAAAACTTTTTTCTATGTGAGGACTTTTGACTATGTGGGCTACACTATCTCAGCCTAAGGGTTTATTTCTCTTTCTATCTATACAGGCACATTGAAAAGAAACCTTAAGAAACATTGGTTTACAGGATAAAACATAGTCTCCTTAGCATGTCGCATAAGTTTCCCTATGAACTGACACTCGCTTATATCTGTAGACTCATTTCCTGCCACCTCCCTCCATGGGGATGCTTGGTGTTTCAGAAATGCTACATCAATTATGGTTTCCAGGACATCACCCTGCTATGCCATGTCTCCATGTATTTGACATGCTATTTCTCTCATGGCAGGAGCTTCTTCGTCCTATTCCTCTTCTCTGTTCAAAGTTGTTCTATGAGGTAAACTGCATTCCCACCTTTCTATCTCCACTTAAATATCACATTTTTTTGAAGTCTCCCTTGACTCTCTCCTCTACCCTCCACTCCATCAGAATGCTACTTTCTACCTCAATTATACTTTATTGTTCATATCATATTGTATTGTGCTATTGGTTTGTACATTGGTCTTCTACCTTATAATGTCAATATTTTAAGGAAATATAGGATTTAAAACATAGTTTCTAAAGGTAGATGACAGGGGTTTGAATCCCAGTGCTACTATTTTCTGCCTGTGTGGCTATACGCAAGTTGATTAACTTCTCTGCAGCCAAATGATCCCTGTAAAATAGGGTCAACACGTGTGCTTACCTTGCAGGGTTGTTGATAGACTTCCGCGGAATAATATATATAAGGGGCCTAGAGAATCACATAGAAAACAGTAAGCTTTCACCAATATCAGCTACTTTTGTCTTATTTATTTAAAAATCCTCAGAACCTGCCACAGAGTAGGTGCTTGAGAAATATTTATTGAAACAAACTTAATTTCCTTTTTACCATGTACATGTTTTTGGCCTTCAGTTGCTACTCTTTACCCAAAATAAAACCATGCTTTTAAAAAAATTGAAAGAAAATATTGGTAACTGAGAAACTCCAAATGTACTACTCATGCCCACAGTGTTTCAAATCATTGTGCATCCCCTGCCCTAGTGTTGGCAGTGACGGTGTCATCTCACGATAAATAAACTGAAAGAGGAAGGAATTAAAATGCGGATGGTTTGAAAGGGAGTTTGTTTTCCATTCTGCGATTAGGAAGTGATCCAAACCTCCACACAGAACATGAAAAGAGAACCTATACTTGGAGACCCATCTTTCATAGTTATGAAAACCCATTACATATTTGTTGAAAGGAAAATGTTTGTCTATTTGGACAATAACTCTACATAGAAGAAGACTGCCAGAACACATGTAAAATTGCCTTGTCTGCTATGGGTTTTGTTCAAGGTCTTGAGACTAGTGATAGATGAGCCTGAAAGGATTGCTTTAAATAAACCAAACCTCTTGGATTAGCACTGCTGGGCTTAGAGCCCCATGGGAAAGGCCTGTCTCCCGTGATTTCCAGTATACTCCACTTCCAATGAGCTGGAAATACCACAAGAAAACTGCTGTTCTCACGGTATTTTTGCCTTTTCCATTTCTGGTTTTAGCTAAGGAAAAAAAAAATGGTACATGCTGATCAAAAATGGCATGTGCATATGACAGAAAAAGAGTATCCAAATGTTTGATCTTTAAATTAAGATGAATTCACTGTAAGTTTCAAATAAATTCAAGTAATTGAATATTCTCATAAGTTTCAAGGAAGCAGATTTATGCTCACAAGAGATCTAGATTGATTACACATTGACTATTCTAAAATTGTATTACATATACATTAATTGAAGGCAAAGTGGCCAAATGAAATAACTAAAATTGATGAGTGCCTCTAAATTTTTATTTAGGGATATTTAATTCCAAAAATGTGTTATAAATAAATAAGCATATTAAGGAAATATTTGGGTATTTTTCTGAAAAAGATGGGCTTTTGTCTATTTACAACTTTGCTAGAAGGACTTAATTCCATGTTTAGCTTTTGCTTCAATAAAATGTAACAAGCACTTAAGGATCATTAACTATGTGCCAGGCAGAGTCCTAAGAGTTAAGACCTGGAGACATACTTAAGGGTACTGTCGACATATGCTAATTCTTTTCAGATATGTGCAATTAAGAATATTTAGATAAGATAATGAAAGGAATGTGAAGGGAGACAAGAATGGGAAAAAATACATTGGAAATCTTTAAAGAACAGTTTAAGGTTATAATTTTCTTCAATGGTGTGCTTAATGTTTTATCTATTATTAGTAGTAGAAAAAATTACTAAAAATTAAGTGAAAATTAATAGCTTCTTTTAGACTAAAAATCTTGACTTTTGCATGCAGTTAGTGTTTACATTTACCTATAAGGTAAAAGAAAAGACAAATTGTTGTTTCAATTTTCTGAGTGGCAAATATAGCAACTATTCATAAATCAATTCAGCAGATCCTGGAATCTAGATGAAAATAGATGTTATTATTCATATATGTACATATTAACAGATACACTTAACTAAATCTATTAATTTTTATATACATAATATGTACATGAAAATGCAGGTGCCACCTAATGGTTTAAGAGCTCAGGATTTGGAGTTGGTCAGATATACTTGGGTCGGAGATTTTGTTCTATTTCTTTATAGCTTTGTGACCATAATTGCTTAACTTCTCTGAGCCTCAGAATCCAGACCTGCAGAATAAGAATCATAACAGTACGTACATAAATTATTGTGGGAATTAAGCGATGAGCACACAAAGTGGTTAGCTCAGTGCATAATGAGAATCCAATAAAGTTTCGCTTGAATTAGTGGTTGTAGTACTAGCAAGGTTAACAAAATGCTATTAGTAAATGTAAATGGTAGTAATACTCATATTATTACTCATAATGAGTAATACTCATATTATTAACAAGGTTAACAGGAAATAATGTTAATAAACTTCAAATTTTGAAGAAAAACTGAATTGGAGGAAGTTAATGATGTTAAAATAAATAACTTTAATGAGACCAGAGATCGTAACAACTATGGCTAAGCAATAAAACCATCTGAGTATGTAATAGTTGTAACCCAAACATAATACACACTTGTATCTGAATTTAATTTTTTCCACTGAATCCAGAGTATATTCAAATCCAGGATTTTCAATTATCCAAAGAATATTTCTCTGCAATTCAGTGAATGTGCCTAAAAATGATCAATATATAAGCATATCTAGATTACCATCTCTCTGTTTCTCCACTGTAAGTTCTGTGAGTCAAAAATAGCATGGCAATATTTGAGCTGCTACTGGAACTCCTCCTATAAGTATAGGACAGCGTCCCATTTTCAAACAACCCTCATGAGCAAAGTAGTAAATATAGTCTTCCTGTTACTCAAGATCATTGGGAAGATATGATGACTTTTCTTTAGAGAATCAATGACATCTCTGTTAGAGAAATTGTCCTCTCTTTGATGGAGTAAATATATTGCTTCAAAGAGGGATAATGAACTTAAATCAAAACAGCTGCCTAAACCCTGGGGCAGTATCCAAATAAAGGAAAGAGGGAAAATAGCCATTTTCAAGGGGCTTCTAGATCCTACCACTGGTAAGTAGGAAGAGCAGAGTGATTGTTCAAGGATGTGGCTCAA
Source organism: Homo sapiens (assembly GCF_000001405.40). Taxonomy (NCBI): domain Eukaryota; kingdom Metazoa; phylum Chordata; class Mammalia; order Primates; family Hominidae; genus Homo; species Homo sapiens. Next base: position 107,694,670 of record NC_000008.11, read on the forward strand.
GTCTCATCTGAGCCAAGCAGGTTTACTTATCCAGGGTCTCCCTCTATTGGCTGCAGGAAGAGAAAGAACCTGCACCTGCCTAGGTAAAATGAAAGATGAGGAAGCTGTCTTGGCTGCATTCTTGAGCGTGTTATTGCACTAAAGGCATGGAGGCAGTACCATGGCCAAGAGCTCTTATCTTCAGGCAAAAGCAAGAGCGCCATAAGTAGAAATAAGGAGAAGGAAGCTTTCCAGCTCTGCAAGAGTATTCTCTTTAATAACCATATGGTTTAAGAAGCTGTTTGGATTGTGTCATGTGGTCTCTTTGGGCACAAGTTGGAAACCAAGATTAATTAGGATCATCTGGTAATAAAAAGCAAAGAAGACCCTAGAGAAGATGAAGCAGCACCACAGAAAAATAGATTTCTTATTTTGTATTCCAACTAAATTCCCAGGCTTAACTGGCCTGGGGAAGTATCCATGACATAAGTGACTCTGAATTCTCCAAATCAATGTTTTCTTATAGTTAAAACAATTAGTGAGGACAGAAAACATTAAAACAGATCATATTACTTTTTCTGGGGAAAACCTGAGATTTGTTTGCTTTTGAATCATGAAAAAGATCAGAATTTTTTTTCTACTTCTAGTAAGTCATTAATGCCTGTCATCTGAGATGTCTCTTTTGCCAAAGACTGTTTATAAATGGGCAATTAGAACTTACTGAAGCATTTTAGATGAAGGTTGTTTAATTGATGAATGAACTAACACTATATATCAAGTTGTGATTTTTTTCTTCCTTAGCAAAAGCATAATGTGGCATTAGGAGACATAGTGCAGAGCTTCTTTATATTTGTATGAATGTCAGGGCCTGGACTGAGACTGTGTACCATGGAAACAAAGTGGAGAATATTTTGGTAGATACAAATAAGATAAAATCCATTCTATACTCACAGCAACAATTTACCTATTTTTTGGGGGGGGCTGTGTGTATGTGTGTGTGTTAGAGAAAGAATCAAGCAGAAAAATTGATGATACTTATTTTAGAAAAGAGTTGGCCCTAATCTAATTCCTAAAAGCTGTTATCATAAACATGAAAATCACGTTTCTTTATTTAATAAGATTCAGGAACTTAGCAGAAAACAATCTCTGGGCCAGGTGTGGTGGCTGACACCTGTAATCCCAGCACTTTGGGAAGCCAAGGAGGGCAGAAAACCTGAGATTGGGAGTTCAAGACAGGCCTGACCAACATGGAGAAACCCCGTGTCTACTAAAAATACAAAATTACCCAGGCTCGGTGGCGCATGCCTGTAATTCCAGCTACTCAGGAGGCTGAGGCAGGAGAATCTCTTGAAACCTGGAGGCGGAGGTTGCAGTGAGCTGAGATTGCGCCATTGCACTCCAGCCTGGAAAACAAGAGTGAAACTCCATCTCAAAAATAAAAAAGAAGAAAATAAAAGATAAAAATACAACAATCTATGCAATCTCTGTATGGGTTCAGTCATTATGCAAGAAAATTGGAAGAAAAAAATGAAGCTAAAAAAGCTGCTTTCTAGGTCAAAATGATCAGGTTTTCTCTTTCTGCCTACAAAACATGTAATATGGATTGTAATTGTGATACAAAGATTGCAATTTAACTTCTCTTCCACACTCCCATTCTTCAATTTGATACACATTGATTTATCACAGTAATAATTTATTTTTTTTCATTTTATCGTAGGGAATAGAAATAATCCATGTTTACCCTTGCATGATAGTTATTGCCAAAATCTTGAAACTTACAAATCATATCTTCATAAAGGAAAATTCCTAGTAACCCTCAATCAAAACATGGAATTTTTTCCTGTTTCTTATCAAAGCACTTTATAGGATTATAATTTTCCCTATAGAATATCAATGTTGGAAAATGACTAAGATAAAGCTGAAGTTAGATAGCACAACCAACACACAGAAACAATGTCTTAACAGGCAAGCCTCCTTTCTCCAGAATGGAACCAGCTTGCAATCCATCGATATCAACCACTTCAGCAGAGCGAACTGCATGGAAGCTTCAAACGTTGAAATTGGCAGGTTTTAAACCTTTATATCTTCTTGTATCCTTTTTAAGAGTCCTGTGAAACTGAAAGGCTTTCTTCACGTGCAGAGACAAGAGAAACATGCTTTCCCTTAAAAGTTATCAATGAATATAAAAGTAAGTGAGAGGTCTCCTCCAAAGCCAAGAGAAAGCCTTGAAAGTAGAGGAATGTTTTGTTAAGATTAGCTCTTTCCCTCCTGGCGAGAGAAGCAAGGGCAAATTCCTCTATCTCTCTTCTTTGCCATATCCTTTAATTCAGGCATAAAATCACATTAAAGTCAGTCTCACTCTATAGTGTTGAGTACTCAGCCCAGAGCTGAGGGAAAAGGAGAATGAACCAGGACCCTGACTCCAAGGAACGTAGATAGTGGGACACAAGAGCATGTGACAGGAACTCATCCCTCCCTGATTCTGAGAGGTGATGCACCCCATGAGCTCCAGGATACTCTCACTGAGGGGAAGGAGGGATATTTATTCCAACCTCCTCCTGTTTCCATGAGGAAGGATTCCACCTAGACTAACATTTGCTTTCTCCACTTCCTACTCACTCTTTCCACTGAGGGAAGGAAAAACAAAAAATCTGCCTGGAGAGTTACAAAAATGAATCCAGATCTGCGCATACTCCCTCCAACCTGCTTCTCCTGGGACTTGCTAGGTGGCTGAGAGAGTGTTTTCTGTACTGCTCCCATCTGTGTTGTTAGAAATCTGCTTCTGTAGGGGAAACTTGTGATTGTCCATCTTGCCAGTACTGAGGATGGGGGTAAGTTTAATTGTAGAATAAAGGATTAACAACCTGTTCCCCTGCAGACTTAAAGGCATTTTCTAGAATCAGCTATAGCAGTTTACCAAAACAAGTGATACTTTGAGCTGCATCTTTCCGACTCCTGCACTTAACTCCAAATGTGTTCTATGCTTGATCGGGAGAGAGGCAGTTTACTTAGTGACACTCCTGAAACCCTAACACCTTCCAGCTGTGTAAATAAATTAATGCTCATCAATGAATGGCTGGATTTCAAAGACATTTTCTTCTGTTACTATTAAAGTTCTTTTTTATTAAGCAATTGAAAACAAGAAAACAATGACTGAGAGAAATGGAGGGAAATATGACATCAATGAAAGGTGAAAAAGTTGTGAATGTGACTGTATCTACAGCTTCAGAAGCCACCTCAGTGTTTAGGGACCCATGAGTGTAAAGCCCTTTCCATCCATCCATCAGAAGGGCATAATTGGCATGGTAAGCTAAAAGGAAATTCTAGTGACAATCCAGTGACAGCTCGGAGAAGTTTGTACTACTTCATAGACATGAGGATGGAGTATCATTTTTTGGTGGGAAGGGGTTCATGGGATGTGAGAAGAAATATTAAACATCCCACCTGCATTATTTCATTTAATCCTCACAACCAGGTAAAAGAGGCACTATAATTTTCTCCTTTTACAAATGAAGAAACAAGGATTAGACGCATAAAGCTGCTTGCCCAAGACCCCAAAGACTGGGAATAACTGATCCAGGGTTCAGTTTCAAATCTGTTAGCCTCAAAGCCCTTACTGTAACCACTCTGTAGATGCACCTTACTCATCTTGCTACTGCCCATGTCAACTGCCTTGAAACCAATCAGTAAATGCTTGTTGAATAGAATTAACAGTGGGATTAAAAATAAAAATGTGTATATGAGGAAGCATTAAAAACCACACTGTCTTCACATTGTTTTCATGTTAATGGACTTCGCAATTGACAAGTCACTTAAAACTAGAATAAGCTAAATGGCAGAGAATAAGAATATTCATGAGATTTAAAAAGTGAAAAGACTGACTCATCCCCCACCTGAAAAAAATAATCAAGAATCCTGATCATGAGGTATTTTAGCAAAGTGGAGACTACAGGCATGATGAGAGCCCACAGACATTTGTCAAGTATAAACACAAATGGTGAAAGGATGAATTTAATTATGTGAATCAATTTGAGAAAAAGCAAAGTTAGATGTAATTTAATGGAAAGCATTTTCACCATGAGAACTCTTGTAATCTCAATTGAAACAGAAGATCTGCTACTTTGGACGTTTAAAAATAGATTGAATTTACCCAAGAGCAAAGAGAGAATATGTCCATACGAAGACTGGTACATGAATATTTATAGCAGCTTTATTTGTAATAGCCCAAAGCTGGAAACAATCTAGATGTCCATCAACAGCTAAATGAGTAAACAAATTGTGGTGCATATATACAATGGAATACTATTTATAAACAAAAAGGTGTAAGCTATTAATATTTTTAATAACATGGATGAATCTCAATTATGCTGAGTGAAAGAAGACCAAAAAAACTACATATGCTCTGATTCCATTTATATTAAAGCCTACAAAGTGATCAGTGGTGTAGGTAGAGGGGTGAGGATATAGGAGAGAATAGGCACCAATGAACATAAGAAAACTTTTGAGGCTGATGTATATGTTCATGAGGTGATTGTGGTGACTATTACATGGGAATAGACATACTTCAAAACAGCAAGTTATATACTGTAAATTTATTTTATATCAATTGTATCAGTAAAGTTGTTTTAAAAACAACAATAAGCAAACATTTAAAAAAATAGGTTGTGGAACATACTAGAAGGTATTGTACTGATAACCAAAAAGTCAGAATGGCTACATCTTATCCATTCTTCCTCCACAACATAGCCACTTGCTTTTCTCTTGGTTGACTACTTTTCCTACATTCTTGATCCATGTAGTATATTGCTATTTGGAACAAAGAATAGAAACAAAAATTACTCATAATTCCACCACATAGAATTTATTTCCAGTTTTTAAATATCAGATCATACTCTCTGCTTTTGAATTTAGTTTTAGTATTAGCCTTATACAATTTGTATTCTGTTTTATTGAAGTTTCTAGTCTTTCAACTTTTCTAATACACAGAAAATTGTAAAAAGTGAGACACTTAGGTAATCATCCCTTGACTTTAGGATTTTGCTTCATATTTCTTTAAAAAAACAAACATTATAAAGTTCCACATTCCATTCCTTCCCTTTCTCTCCAGAAGTAAGCAAAGCCCTAAAACTGTTATATATCATTATCATATATGGTTTTATACTTTATTATATATGTATATGCATATAACAAATATGTACCATTGCTTTGTGTTTTTAAAAGTTCCATAAATGATACCATGAGGAACATGATACAGCTTGCTTTTTCTCTTCACTATGTCTTTGAGCTTTATCCATGTTGACACATATCAATCCAATTCATTTCTTTTGTCCGTGTCCTACTGCATTAATAAATTCAATTTAGCATTGCTGTTTCACTTAAAATTATGTCACAGTTGTTCTCCAAGCCCTGTGGTTTTCTGGGTTTGGAAGTTTCTTCCCCCATCTCTTCCTGCCTGGCTCTGTCTCCTCTCTCAAGGCACAATTCAGGGAAACTTCCCAGACAAACCTACCTGAAGTATTTCTCATCTTCGCCACCACCCAACAAATAATTACTCTTTTTGACATCATCCTGCTAATTTCTTTTATAGCATTTACTGTTTATTTTGTCTGTTTATTGCATGGTTCTTCTGGTAGACTGTAAATTCTCCAAGGTCAGAGACTTTGCCTTTCTGGTTCACCTTTGTATTTTAAAGAGGCGTGTCACATTAGTAAAGCGCATGTCACATTATGGGTACTCTACTAATACATAGAGAAAGAATGAATAAATGGATCAACAGATGGATGATGGGTGAAAGGTCACTTCTCGTATTAATTCTGTGAGGCTGTGTTCTATTGTCAACAAAGCAAAAGAGTTAAAAAAAAAAAAAAAAAGAGGAGATCTTAAATTTTATATCTTATTCCTTAGCCACACATGGGCCAATCTACTCTGGATGGCCAATAACTAAGTCTTCTATAAAAATAATAAACTTTCTAAATGTTCTAGTTTTCGAGTTTGAAAGCTACAGTTCAGTCCCCTAAATTTCTTTTTATGAATTATCAACTAAAACAGAAAATAAAATTCTGGCCATTCAGGCACATAAACAGAACATAGTCTTTATTTTATTATCCTGGGAAGTATTCAATGAGACCATAAATATTTCATTGTGGGGTTCATGAATTATTTGTAATTTATGCAGGACACAGGTAATTTGTTTTTAACATCTAAATGAATAGTTTCTAAAGTTTGGGAAATCTGAGAAGATCTTTATACCTACAGGTGTGAATACTACTCTTTTAATTTTATAGAAATGACTTTTCAATATCATAATGAAAAATTGAAATTTCTAGACAGTAATTTAACTTTCTGTAATATCTAGTGATAAGAAACACACATATACACAAACATATATGCTTCTAAAATAGTATAAACATTGATATAGTAGTTTTATAAAATTGGCCTAGAATAATTTAAAAATATATGTAATTTTCTTGAATTAAAGTAGGTAATTTTATTGTGTAGATAGCACATATATTTAAAACTATCCTTTGTATTTGGGTATCCTTTAAAGTAGTGCATCTTTATTTTGCAGATGTTTTAATAAAATGCATAATACTAATAGCTACCATTTATTGTGCACATACCATTTGGAAGGCACAGTACTAAGAATTACTATGTGTATCTCGTTGAGGCATCACAAGAATCTTATAAGGTAAATATTATTTTTTCCATTTTACATGCAAGAAAAGACACTCAGGAGAGGTTATTTAACTCATCCAAGTGAGTGGTAGAACTAAGACATAACTCTAAGCCTATATGCTTAACCACTACATGCTATTGCGAGTGAGGTACAGTATAAATGAGAAAAGAAAAACACTCTTCTTCCTATAACCTCAAAATCATAATTGTTAAAATTTTAATCTTTCTCTTCAGTTTTTAGAAGTTGGGATTGTATTATGTACATTCTCTATTCACCTTTCACTTAAGTTTATATCATAAATATTGCCCATCTCACTAAATATTTTACTTTAAAAATGACTTTTGACAGTTGAATATTCCTTGGCATTTATATCTAATGATTTAACCATTCCCCTTCCCAAAACTGTTTACACTCTGCAATTCCTAACCACTCACACACCTACTAATTAAGTGTGCTTGCTTTAAATAATTCTGTCTTCTAAGTCATGCATTTTAATTAAGAAAATAAAATATTGGAAAGCCCCAAGATTAGTTACCCGGAAAGTATTAATTAGCTAACAGAAAGGAAAATTATTTTATCACTGCTTTTAAAAGCTCACTGCTCTTCTCCAATATTAAAATGTTTTGAATAGATCTCAACATAGTAGGATGAATATGTTGGTTAATGATATTAAAGATTCTCCCCAAAAATAGACCTTGGTACATATTTCATAAGGGTGAGGCTAATACTATAGAAATGTATTTTGCTGATGACTTGATGGGCCTGCAAAGCATTAATAGCATAGAATCAAGAGCAACCAAGCCACAAAATACATGACCTAAAACTACAGGTTGGTCATATGCATCACAGAAGATCATCAGCCTGGTGGATCAGGCTGTCTCCCTGTCCCAAGATTGCCTGTACTGTAAATTTGATACATGCTAATGATGCATCAAGCCCAGATTTACAAAGCCATTCAGCAAAAAGATAAGGTATCAGTATCATGCTCATTTTAAGAAAAGGCACTTATAAAATTATCCTGAAACATTTTACTGATGTGTTAAATGACACTACATAAGTGAGATGTTTTAGATTGACATAACTCAAGTCCCCAGATTAAATAAAAAATATCCAGCTATCTGTTCTTCAATTCAAAGATTTTGAAATGGTACCAGCATAAGAGGTACAAATTAAAATTCTTAGGGATAAATTCATTAGCAACAATTACTAATCAGCATATCCTATAATCAAATCTGTAAAAATGGTTTTCAATTTAAATAGATACTTACACATTTGCTCTAACATCAAAGAACTCATCTGCATGCATAACATAGAAGATTTTTTTATTTCTCTGCTAGACGCTTCTGTGTTGTGATTATGTGATGTGAGGAAAATGAAAGAAATTAGTCTGGGAATTTTTATATCCTATCTTTTGAAGCTATTCATACTCAAAAACAAGTGTTTATGATTATTATCTAAAGACTATTTGGATTTAATTATTGTCTGATCTTACAAAATAAAGTCTTTACAGCCTGCTAAATGTGTGGAGCTTTTAGTTTATTGTCTTAATTTTTCATTAAAATGGAATTTTATTATTATTTTACATATAAATGATTTTTATAGCCATTCTTGTGCTGGTACAAAAGAACTTTAAAAAGTAAATACCACTATTTAGATAAATAAATATAAATCTAGCCAGGCATTGTGGCTCACACCTGTAATCTCAGCATTTTGGGAGGCTGAGGCTGGCGGATCACTTGAGATCAGGAGTTCAAGACCAGCCTGTCCAACACGGAAAAACCCCATCTCTACTAAAAATATAAAAATTAGCCAGGCATGGTGGCATAAGCCTGTAATCCCAGGTACTCAGGAGGGTGAGGCACAAGAGTCACTTGAACCCAGGAGGTGGAGGTTGCAGTGAGCCAAAATTGTGCCATTGCACTCCAGCCTGGACAACAGAGAGAGACTCTGTCTAAAAAATAAGTAAATAAATAAATAAATAAAAATCTGTTTGATATTATCTTTCTCTTATACTTATTTTTGAAAGTGGTAATAAGTATATAAATATCTTTTGTTTCTAGGATATAATTTATATTGTAAGAAAAGCCAGAAACATGTGATTAACCTATTCAGTAAAATAACAATGTGCTGCATTTACTCTATGTATACGGTCAAATGAACTACAACTGCTTCTGCAAGAAGCAGAAATTCAGTCAAAAAGCTAACTTCCTGCCACTGATGATTCACTATTGAGCAACCTTTTGACTGGTGTTATTTTTATATCACTAACAGAGGAAGTACTCTCATCTTGACTATACAAATTGGAGCTAGCTTTTTAAAATGTAACTTGCAGGCACTCAACTCAAGCCTTCAGTCATTAGAATGAAGAATCAATATATTACCAAGATTTTATAATTACTGGAACAAATTTTTTTGTTTTATTCAACATGGTATCCAACTCTCATTTATCCCTTATTTGCCTTAGATTCAAAGTATTCTTGATTAATCTAGAACATGCTTACTGTCCCTGCTTAATCTTCAGACATGAAAACTCATTTGGCTTTATAATGCCTTTGATTTTAAGAGTGGATTTCTGCTTAGTGCAGAGTAAAATTTGCTAGACGACTTGGAGTGATCCAGTGACAGTTTTCATTTGGTTATAACAATCTAATTTTGTTACTTAACTATATTGTGTAAACCTGAAATAAACAGGGAGGGGAAAATTTGTACTTTGTTAAAATGCTACCTTAGTATGCATCCCAAGTCCTTAGGAAAGCTTTTCCTTTTGGAGGGATCAACAGCAATTTAAAAGATATTCACCATTATGATAGGAGACTGCTGGTTTCTGTGTGGAGGTCATTTCAATGGCAAAATCTGAATTAGAGAAAGGAAACTTTGATCAAAGATAAGCGTCTCTGTAATTGTTTACAGAAAACTCCCTCAAAGCAATTAAGGAAAAAGGGCTGGCAGTACAGGCTTTGGAAATGGACATGACTAATAATTTCTATGCCAGAATCTTTATTTCTCCCTCCTTTTTATGAGACAGAGAGAGAGAGAGAGAGAAAGAGAAAGAACTCAGTAAGGGTTGAATTTTGGATTGCTGAATTTAGAGTTTGGGGTCATGTTTTCCCATCACGTTTGTCTTTTTTGCTTCTCCTGAGTTTAAACAGGTGTGCCCTAGGAATCTAGGTACCTCCTTATCTGATAATGCCTGAAATCATGTAAGAAATGAGACTTTAGTTCAGTTGTATGCATAACAAGCCAAGGCAATGTTAATACTGGGTTTCAGTAAATGCATAGGTTGGAAATGCACACTTGTTACACAGTTGGGTGCTTTCTTTACCACTGACCTAAATCCAGATGCTCCTTGAATAAGGAAATACAATTCCTTTCCCAACTCAATTTATCCTTGTCAATTAAATAAAACAAATGAAGTGTCAAAGGTCTCAAGAAAGAAGCATTAAGTAAGGCAAAAATTGTTGTTTTGATTAAGAGCATGGGTCATTTAAACTGCACAACTGAAACATGCTAGAAAGCTATAAAATCATAATACTTTTCTGGACAAGAGGAGGTATTTTTGCATCCCAGCAATGGATTAACCTAACAAATTTCTAGTTTGTTTCAAGTAACAGCTCTTCTTTTTATAGCATCTGTCCAGTACTATGAACACCGAATGGCCAGAAAGTATATGTTTAATTTCTGTTTTCACTTGTTATCATTTGAAATGAGATTTACTCTATGCTAGAGACATATCTGTTCTTGAAGTATGCCCTTGGGAAATTTAGTTGCATGCCAGGGATTGGCTTTCAGGACTAGCAGAATCAGAGTGTCAGCTACTCCATAAAGGCACTGTGACAAATGACACTCTAGTATCTGAAGGTCAGAAGTAGAGTCACTGAGGTCTAAACAAGTGCCCTTTATGCCTCTCCTCTAAGGATGACAGAGGTGGCTGGAGAAGTAAAGGAGGCTCTCCTTCATGCTGTGTTGCCCCAAACTCTAGAAATTTAAAAATAATAAGCTTGACTGATGATACTTATATCAAGGAATTACATTCCATGAGTGTTTGTCTGTTTTATTCAAAGCTGTATCCTCTGAGCCTAGGATAGTACCTACCTCAAAGTAGATGTCTAATAAATATTTGTTGAAAGAATCTTTCCAAAAGCTGATGTCCCAGTATAAAAGCTGACCCTTCCTTATCTGCATAAGCAGATAAGATCCACTACCTAATGAGAGTATTCTGTTATCCATTTTATATCTATCATCTAAATTAATCTTATTAAAAGCCCTTAGAAAAAAATTTTTATTATCCTAATTTAAGAAGAAAATAACAACAACAATTTTTTTTTAGGGAGAATGCTAGGAAACTTACCCAAGATTCCTGCACTAAGGGGCAGTCAAAATGGTAAGCGATAAAGAGGCTAGAGGAAAAGATTCATGTCCTGCTCACAGCTTTGCTGTTTTCTTCATAGTGCATTTCTCCTCTATAAATTGAGGGCAATAATTCAGGATCTAGAATGGAACATATCTAAAGTCAACTGAACCAATCAAGATCTGCACAAATGCAGAGCTCTCCCTTCATCAATATTATCAGCAAAAATATGCTAGATGCATAAAATATTCATGTTTAAAAAAACGCAAGGTTGATTCTAATTTCTTCTTTTATGGGAAGGAGAATTTTAAAAATTTTATTGTTTAATAACTAATCCATTCACTTGATTCACACTTCACAAAGTATGCAATAATACACCACTGTCCCCCAACCATCCAGTTATTTTCCCCACAGAAAATATATCCTTCTGAAACAGGAGAGATCCCTGATTCCCCACACAGGACGTGCAATAGGGGTGTGATTCGCCTGCTTGGTCACCCACAGCTCAAACCCCTAGGGGGAGCATGCAGATGGGCAGGTGAAGAGCGCTTTTGGGCTCCAGCCCAGCATCTAGGGGAGGGTGACTGCAACTCCCCAAGCTCAAGTAGGCGTGTGTTACAAAGCTCTTTTAGATTTGCCATCTGCAAATGGCTTGTGTGTTAATCAGCTCGAGACCCTCTGCCTTACCACAAGGGCAGAGTGCCAATGTGACAGCCTTCTGTATCCCGAGCTCTTGCCCAGTGTCCTGAAAGAATTGGATCACACATGGGCTTGAAGGATGAGTGCAAGGTTTTATTGAGTGGTGGAGGTGACCCTCAGCAAGATGGATGGGGAGCTGGAAGGCGAGATGGAGTGGGAAGTAGTCTTCCCCTGGAGTTGAGCCACCCAGTGGCCAGACTATTCTCCAATCGCCCCCCAGTCCAACTCCCCTTGGCGTGCAGATGTCCCTCCTCTTCTGTCTTTCTCTGCTGCATTGTTCTGCCATCAGTGGTCTGCTGGTATGCTTGTTTCCATGTTCAGCCACTTGTGTCTGTGCCTGCTAAGGTCTTGGGTTTATATAGGCACAGAATAGGAAGCATGGTGGGCCAGAGTGGTCTTGGAAAATGCAACATTCAGGCTTGAAAACAGGAGTGCCTGTTCTCACATAGTTCCGTGGGCAGAGGCCCAAGGGTGGAACCCTCACCAGGGACCCCCACTTCTCTACCCAGCACTCCCCTGCCACCCTACCATATCACTTCTAGAGATTTTATATGTAAATTAATACATTGCTGCATTCTCTTTGTTAATATTTTGCATCAGTATTCATAATACAGTTTAATTTGTAGTTTTCTACTTATGCAGTTTTGTTCTTTATTAGGATTAATAAGATGCCTGTCATAAAAAAAGATTTGGAAGATTTATTTTTTATTTTGTATAGTATAGAACTTTTAAAATACTACTGGATTTATTTATTCATTGAAAGTTAGGTCAATTTACCCTGTGAAAATGTCTATGCTTAGTATTTTACTGGTTGGGAGCTCTGTGATAAATTTCTAAATGTATGGTAATGGAATATTTTAGAGTTTTTTTTTCCTCTCTTTTAAAGTCAGTTTGTTAAATTATGTTTATTTAGAAGAAATTTTAAATACATTTGTATAAATTTGAAATGGTTATCTTTATATCATTTTAATTTTCCCTATAATTTCCCCTTATCACTGCTTATAATGTATATTTGCATCGATTTGACATTTTTAGCTAATAAACAGATTTTGTGTATACTTATTAATATTATTTTTCTGCTTTTTAAGTAATTTCTGCCTCTATAATGAATTCACTCTAATTTTCTTAAGTTTATTATTATTGTTATAATATCTTGGGTTGGATACTTATTTCATTTATATTCTTACTTACTGCCTATTAACATATTTAAAGCCATGACTCTTCACCTAAGCATAAAACTCATATAAAGTATGAGCTTTAGCTTATTTAATAGGTCTGATATGTAGTATTGTCAATATCATTATTTTTTGGTATTCCACAATTTCTGTTTGGAAATTCTCTTGACCCAAGGGTTGTTAAGATAAAGTTTTTGTATTTTCTTTCTTAGTTGTTTTTCCACTCCTCTTTCTAAGTTTTCTCCATTTGTTACAATTTTTAGTTTTATTATCTGGTGGTCACAGAGATTGTATGTGCTATTTTCATTTTTTAGGATTTATTTATGCTTTCCTGATATATGGTTAATTTTTGTTAGTATTACAGGAGTATTTGGAAATATAAAATTTCTATTGATAGTAATTGTATGTGTGTGTGTGTGAATGTCATAACTTACATGTTCTAAATGATTTCCTTTTCTTATTTCCAGTCAGTTGTCATGAATTATGAAATGTTGATGAAAATTTCCCACTATAAATCTCTTTTAATGTTGTTATATTTCATAATGTAAGAAAATATATCTATTTTTTAGACTTTATGCTATTTTTTTACTTTGTGAATATTAATGTTGTATTATTTGATGCCTAGGTGGTTATAACTACTATGAACTACACATTTTACAATTAAAATATTCACTTCTTTATTTAATGCTTCAGGGTCTGAGTTCAATTTGCAAGATAGTAAGGTTACAATTTCTGCTTTCTTTTATTTTCACTGGCCTGGTGTATGTTTATCCATTCTTTTATATTCAGCCTTCATTACTCATTTGTTTTACGTGCAGTTCTTATATACAATATTAATTTGGGTTTTAATGTGATCTGGTCTAAAACCCTTTTTCTTCTAATAAGTAAATTTAGCCCTCTATTGATATGACAATATCATTAATTATAGTCTGTTGTTATTTATTCATTTATTTACCTTGTTACTATTAATTTCTAACCGTACACAATTCCCTTTCTTCTTATTTCCTATTCTCTCTTCCATCATTTAAGTCAATTATATTTTCTTTTAGTATTTAAATTTGTGGTTTCAAGTACATTTGACACTTCATTAATTGATTTATCACCCTGATACCCCCACCACAATTATTTTAAATGAAGAGGAATAATTTACTCAACTTCTTTTTGCCTTCTACTTCTAATTTTTGTTGCTATAATTTTTTCTATTCTGTCAGGATATGTAACACTAACTTTCCTATCATCCTAATCCCCACTCTTATTTTAGTGTTTCAAATAGATCTACAGTTAAAGATTCAGTACTCATGAATGGTACTTTGTATCCATTTTTCATTTCGCATTTGTCTGCTTCAAGTTCTTTTTTTTTTTTTTTTCTTTTTTTGAGACGGAGTCTGGTTCTGTCACCCAGTCTGGAGTGCAGTGGCACGATCTTGGCTCACTGCAACCTCCACCTCACAGTTTCAAGCGATTCGTCTGCCTCAGCCTCCTGAGCAGCTAGGACTACAGGTGTGCACCACCATGCCCAGCTAATTTTTGTAATTTTAGTAGCGACGGGGTTTCACCATATTGGCCAGGCTGGTGTTGAATTCCTGACCTCATGATCCGCCTGCCTCGGCCTTCCAAAGTGCTGGGATTACAAGCGTGAGCCATCGCGCCCAGCCTGCTTCAAGTTCTTCAGGAGAATCTTCAAAAAGTTCTCATGTAAACAACATTCTCTAAGAATTTGATGTTTAACGTGTCAGAATGGACAGCATTTACTCTGAGTAGGTATTAAGTCCTTGGCTATAGTTTTTTTCATTGACTCTTTTTGAAGAGGTTTCTTCGAGTACTGACTTTTGCTGTAAAGTCTGAGGACAGCCTGATATTTTCCTCCTTGAGAGGGGATTATGTTTTTGTGCCGTTTTGTCTATTTGTTTTTTGTTTTTTTGAGATGGAGTCTCGCTCTGTCGCCCAGAATGGAGTGCAGTGGTGTGCGGCTCACTGCAACCTCTGTCACCCGGGTTCAAGCTATTCTCCTGCCTCAGCCTCCCGAGTAGTTGGGATTACAGGCGTGAGCCACCACGCCTGGCCTATGTTTTGTTTTTTTCTTCAAAGATTTCTTCATTTCTCTTTGACGTTTATTATGCTTACTTGGTTATGACTCTAAAGTATCTTTTTGGGCCCATTTTTTCCTGGAATATGATGTGTTCTTATGTAGATTCAAAGTTGTTTCATTTCAATTTCTTTTTTAATTTACTGACACATAATATTTACATGTTTACAGGGTACATGTGAGTTTTTGTTACATGCATAGAATGTATGATGATCACGTCAGGGTATTTGGGGTATCCATGACCTTGAGTGTTATTTTAATGTCTTGGTGTCATTTCAATTCCTCTCTTCCAGTTACTTTGAAATATACAAAATAGTGTTGCTAAGTAGAGTCACCCTAGTGTACTATCAAACATTAGAACTTATTTCTTCTATCTAACTGTATGTTTGTGGCTGTTTACCAATCCCCCTCCATCTCCCCCACTCCCAACCACCATTCCCAGTCTCTGGTATCTATTGTTCTACTCTCTATGTCCATGCAATCAAGCTTTTTAGCTCTCACATATGAGTGAGAATATTTGGTATTTGTCTTTCTGTGCCTGACTGATTTAACTTAGTATAATGGTCTCCCATTCCATCCATGTTGCTGCAAATGGCATGATTTCATTAGAGATACTTATTCAGTTGTATTATTTTTGTTTTCTTCACTGGGGATTGCAAAGTATGTCTTTGTCCTCTATATCTATCCTCTTCTTTCTGATGTGTCCTTATTTTTTTGCTTTATCATCTTTTTTTGTGACCATCTTACACTTTGCTGTATTCTTGACAACATATAGTCTCCCTTGCCTAATCTGCCTTGTTTTTTTCTATTGTCACTATCATTTCTCCAATGTTTTAATTTTTTCCTCAGGGTTGTAAGCTTTGCCAGCCCACATTTTATTTATTCCTGTTGTCTCACTAACTCTTCTCTGAGCTCTTGCATTTCGGCCCAGTGCTTTTGTTTCATGAAAGCAATTTCTTCATTATAATGAAACAAGAAAGGTTCCCTTGTCCCCCTCGCAGTGTGTGTGATGAGGGTGTGGCTCTCTTCTTCAGTGCCCCACTGCTCAAACCTCTAGGGGAGCATACAGATGGGCAGGCTGTGGGGCTCCGGTCCCACAGCAGTGTCCAGGGGTGAATGTTTGCAGCTCCTGAAGCCCCAGTGGGCGTGTGTTATAGTGTGCTCTCTTAGTTTGCCATCTATAGGCTGCTGGTGTTAACCAGCTCAATTAGATCCCCTTCGTTATCACAAGGACAGAGGAATTTCTGTATCTTGTGGTTTCTTGCCTTGGTGTATCAGAAGAATCATATCACACGTGGGCTTGGAGAATGAGGGCAAGGCTTTATTGTGTAGAAGTTGCTCTCAGCAGATGGGGGAGTCAGAAGGGAGATGGTTTTCCTGACCATCTCTGGACCAACTCTTCTCCAACTGCTCTGGCCAAACTCTGTGTCATTCCATTGGTCGATGGCCTGCCGTCTGCTGGCTGCCAGCCTACAGGTGCCTGTCAGCATGCTCTTCCACCCATGTGCTTCTGGTGAGAGATTTCAATCTGCTATTTATTTGTCCTTCTTCTTTCTTTTCTCCTCTCTCTCTCCCACTTCTCTTACCTCTTTGTAGCTCCTTTTTAATCTTTTTAAATTTTACTTCTGATTTTTTGGTAAGGGTAACAAAATTGTGTTGATTAACACACTGTAATCATTAACTCATAAGCGGACATCCTTTTTTCGTTGTCGTCATTTTTCACATTCATAATAGAATAACCACTCACAAAACCACCAGTCAATGTGAGGACTAGAATATTGAATACATCAACTGTAACATCTCCCTCATTCTGCCTACCTTCTTCACTGAAACTAATTACAATTTCGAAATTTGACTTTTTTATGCTAGTGACTTGCATAAATATATATATATGTTTTGTAATTATAAATATATTCATACACACACCTATTCCTAAAACATATGTTGTTTGGCCTTACTTCTTTGTAGCCTTATAAAAGCCCATTAAACATATGACATAGGAAGAGATTTTCAGATTTATTATTGGTCAGAAAAATAAAGGTCAAGACTTAATAACATTGTTTTATACTTGCTCTATTGGCAAAAATTAAGTGTGATAGTGTTATGTCTTTGAGATCTCTTGTACAGAGACATTCCTGATGCTTTTTTTCCTCTGTTGTAGCAAATTTTTATAAATTTCCAGGCTATTCGTTTTTCTCATACACTTTTAAAGGAGATGAGTTTCAATTCCAGAGGCCAATTATTTAAATAAAAAATTTATGTAGAGTGCAAGCTGTGTTCTTTTTTTTTAACCATGTTAAGACTCTTATCATTTATTTGTTTTTTACTTTTTTATTTTATTATTATTATACTTTAAGTTTTAGGGTACATGTGCACAATGTGCAGGTGAGTTACATATGTATACATGTGCCATATTGGTGTGCTGCACCCATCAACTAGTCATTTAGCATTAGGTATATCTCCAAATGCTATCCCTCCCCTCTCCCCCCACCCCACAACAGTCCCCGGAGTGTGATGTTCCCCTTCCTGTGTCCATGTGTTCTCATTGTTCAATTCCCACCTATGAGTAAGAACATGCAGTGTTTGGTTTTTTTCCTTGCGATAGTTTGCTGAGAATGATGGTTTCCAGTTTCATCCATGTCCCTACAAAGGACATGAACTCATCATTTTTTATGGCTGCATAGTATTCCATGGTGTATATGTGCTACATTTTCTTAATCTTTGCTATTGTGAATAGTGTCGCAATAAACATACGTGTGCATGTGTCTTTATAGCAGCATGATTTATAATCCTTTGGGTATATACCCAGTAATTGGATGGCTGGGTCAAATGGTATTTCTAGTTCTAGATCCCTGAGGAATCGCCACACTGACTTCCACAAGGGTTGAACTAGTTTACAGTCCCACCAACAGTGTAAAAGTGTTCCTATTTCTCCACATCCTCTCCAGCACCTGTTGTTTACTGACTTTTTAATGATCGCCATTCTAACTGGTGTGAGATGGTATCTCATTGCGGTTTTGATTTGCATTTCTCTGATGGCCAGTGATGATGAGCATTTTTTCATGTATTTTTTGGCTACATAAATGTCTTCTTTTGAGAAGTGTCTGTTCGTATCCTTCACCCACTTTTTGATGGGGTTGTTTGTTTTTTTCTTGTAAATTTGTTGGAGTTCATTGTAGATTCTGGATATTAGCCCTTTGTCAGATGAGTAGGTTGAGAACATTTTCTCCCATTTTGTAGGTTGCCTGTTCACTCTGATGGTAGTTTCTTTTGCTGTGCAGAAGCTCTTGAGTTTAATTAGATCCCATTTGTCAATTTTGTCTTTTGTTGCCATTGGTTTTGGTGTTTTAGACATGAAGTCCTTGCCCATGCCTATGTCCTGAATAGTATTGCCTAGGTTTTCTTCTAGGGCTTTTATGGTTTTAGGTCTAACATTTAAGTCTTTAATCAATCTTGAATTAATTTTTGTATAAGGTGTAAGGAACGGATCCAGTTTCAGCTTTCTACATATGGCTAGCCAGTTTTCCCAGCACCATTTATTAAATAGGGAATCTTTTCCCCGTTGCTTGTTTTTGTCAGGTTTGTCAAAGATCAGATGGTTGTAGATAAGCGGCATTATTTCTGAGGGCTCTGTTCTGTTCCATTGATCTATATCTCTGTTTTGGTACCAGTACCATGCTGTTTTGGTTACTGTAGCCTTGTAGTATAGTTTGAAGTCAGGTAGCGTGATGCCTCCAGCTTTGTTCTTTTGGCTTACGATTGACTTGGCAATGCGGGCTCTTTTTTGGTTCCATATGAACTTTAAAGTAGTTTTTTTCCAATTCTGTGAAGAAAGTCATTGGTAGCTTGATGGGGATGGCATTGAATCTATAAATTACCTTGGGCAGTATGGCCATTTTCATGATATTGATTCTTCCTACCCATGAGCATGGAATGTTCTTCCATTTGTTTGTATCCTCTTTTATTTCATTGAGCAGTGGTTTGTAGTTCTCCTTGAAGAGGTCCTTCACATTCCTTATAAGTTGGATTCCTAGGTATTTTATTCTCTTTGAAGCAATTGTGAATGGGAGTTCACTCATGATTTGGCTCTCTGTTTGTCTGTTATTGGTATATAAGAATGCTTGTGATTTTTGCACATTGATTTTGTATCCTGAGACTTTGCTGAAGTTGCTTATCAGCTAAAGGAGATTTTGGGCTGAGATGATGGGGTTTTCTAGATATACAATCATGTCGTCTGCAAACAGGGACAATTTGACTTCCTCTTTTCCTAATTGAATACCCTTTATTTCCTTCTCCTGCCTAATTGCCCTGGCCAGAACTTCCAACACTATGTTGAATAGGAGTGGTGAGAGAGGGCATCCCTGTCTTGTGCCAGTTTTCAAAGGGAATGCTTCCAGTTTTTGCCCATTCAGTATGATATTGGCTGTGGGTTTGTCATAGATAGCTCTTATTATTTTGAGATACGTCCCATCAATACGTAATTTATTGAGAGTTTTTAGCATGAAGGGTTGTTGAATTTTGTCAAAGGCCTTTTCTGCATCTATTGAGATAATTATGTGGTTTTTGTCTTTGGTTCTGTTTATATGCTGGATTACATTTATTGATTTGCGTATGTTGAACCAGCCTTGCATCCCAGGGATGAAGCCCACTCGATCATAGTGGATAAGCTTTTTCATGTGCTGCTGGATTCGGTTTGCCAGTATTTTATTGAGGGTTTTTGCATCGATGTTCATCAAGGATATTGGTCTAAAATTCTCTTTTTTGGTTGTGTCTCTGCCTGGCTTTGGTATCAGGATGATGCTGGCCTCATAAAATGAGTTAGGGAGGATTTCCTCTTTTTCTATTGATTGGAATAGTTTCAGAAGGAATGGTACCAGCTCCTCCTTGTACCTCTGGTAGAATTCGGCTGTGAATCCATCTGGTCCTGGACTTTTTTTGGTTGGTAAGCTATTGATTCTTGCCACAATTTCAGATCCTGTTATTGGTCTATTCAGAGATTCAACTTCTTCCTAGTTTAGTCTTGGGAGAGTGTATGTGTCGAGGAATTTATCCATTTCTTCTAGATTTTCTAGTTTATTTGCATAGAGGTGTTTGTAGTATTCTCTGACAGTAGTTTGTATTTCTGTGGGATTGGTGGTGATAGCCCCTTTATCATTTCTTATTGCATCTGTTTGATTCTTCTCTCTTTTCTTCTTTATTAGTCTTGCTAGCGGTCTATCAATTTTGTTGATCTTTTCAAAAAACCAGCTCCTGGATTCATTAATTTTTTGAAGGGTTTTTTCTGTCTCTATTTCCTCAGTTCTGCTCTGATTTTAGTTATTTCTTGCCTTCTGCTAGCTTTTGAATGTGTTTGCTCTTGCTTTTCTAGCTCTTTTAATTGTGATGTTAGGGTGTCAATTTTGGATCTTTCCTGCTTTCTCTTGTGGGCATTTAGTGCTATCAATTTCCCTCTGCACACTACTTTGAATGTGTCCCAGAGATTCTGGTATATTTTGTCTTTATTCTTGTTGGTTTCAAAGAACATGTTTATTTCTGCCTTCATTTCATTATGTACCCAGTAGTCATTCAGGAGCAGGTTGTTCAGTTTCCATGTAGTTGAGTGGTTTTGAGTGTTTCTTAATCCTGAGTTCTAGTTTGATTGCACTGTGGTCTGAGAGACAGTTTGTTATAATTTCTGTTCTTTTACATTTGCTGAGGAGTGCTTTACTTCCAACTATGTGGTCGATTTTGGAATAGGTGTGGTGTGGTGCTGAAAAGAATGTATATTCTGTTGATTTGGGGTGGAGAGTTCTGTAGATGTCTACTAGGTCCGCCTGGTGCAGAGCTGAGTTCAATTCCTGGGTATCCTTGTTAACTTTCTGTCTCGTTGATCTATCTAATGTTGACAGTGGGGTGTTAAAGGCTCCCATTATTATTGTGTGGGAGTCTAAGTCTCTTTGTAGGTCACTCAGGACTTGCTTTATGAATCTGGGTGCTCCTGTATTGGGTGCATATATATTTAGGATAATTAGCTCTTCTTGTTGAATTGATCCCTTTACCATTATGTAATGGCCTTCTTTGTCTCTTTTGATCTTTGTTAGTTTAAAGTCTGTTTTTTCAGAGACTAGGATTGCAACCCCTGCCTTTTTTTGTTTTCCATTTGCTTGGTAGATCTTCCTCCATCCCTTTATTTTGAGCCTATGTGTGTCTCTGCATGTGAGATGGGTTTCCTGAATACAGGACACTGATGGGTCTTGACTCTTTATCCAATTTGCCAGTCTGTGTCTTTTAATTGGAGCATTTAGCCCATTTACATTTAAAGTTAATATTGTTATGTGTGAATTTGGTCTTGTCATTATGATATTAGCTGGTTATTTTGCTCGTTAGTTGATGCAGTTTCTTCCTAGCCTTGATGGTCTTTACATTTTGGCATGTTTTTGCAGTGGCTGGTACCGGTTGTTCCTTCCCATGTTTAGTGCTTCCTTTAGGAGCTCTTTTAGGGCAGGCCTGGTGGTGACAAAATCTCTCAGCATTTGCTTGTCTGTCAAGTATTTTATTTCTCCTTCACTTATGAAGCTTAGTTTGGCTGGATATGAAATTCTGGGCTGAAAATTCTTTTCTTTAAGAATGTTGAATATTGGGCCCCACTTTCTTCTGGCTTGTAGAGTTTCTGCTGAGAGATCCGCTGTTAGTCTGATGGGCTTCCCTTTGTGGGTAACCCGACCTTTCTCTCTGGCTGCCCTTAACATTTTTTCCTTCATTTCAACTTTGGTGTATCTGACAATTATGTGTCTTGGAGTTGCTCTTCTCGAGGAGTATCTTTGTGGCATTCTCTGTATTTCCTGAATCTGAATGTTGGCCTGCCTTGCTAGATTGGGGAAGTTCTCCTGGATAATATCCTACAGAGTGTTTTCCAACTTGGTTCCATTCTCCCCATCACTTTCAGGTGCACCAATCAGATGTAGATTTGGTCTTTTCACATAATCCCATATTTCTTGGAGGCTTTGTTCATTTCTTTTTATTCTTTTTTCTCTAAACTTCCCTTCTCACTTCATTTCCTTCATTTCATCTTCCATCACTGATACCCTTTCTTCCAGTTGATCGCATCAGCTCCTGAGGCTTCTGCATTCTTCACATAGTTCTCGAGCCTTGGCTTTCTGCTCCATCACCTCCTTTAAGGACTTCTCTGCATTGGTTATTCTAGGTATCCATTCATCTAATTTTTTTTCAAAGTTTTTAACTTCTTTGCCATTGGTGTGAATTTCCTCCTGTAGCTCGGAGTAGTTTGATTGTCTGAGGCCTTCTTCTCTCAACTGGTCAAAGTCATTCTCCATCCAGCTTTGTTCCATTGCTGGTGAGGAGCTGCATTCCTTTGGGGGAGGAGAGGCGCTCTGCTTTTTAGAGTTTCCAGTTTTTCTGCTCTGTTTTTTCCCCATCTTTGTGGTTTTATCTACTTTTGGTCTTTGATGATGGTAACGTACAGATGGGTTTTTGGTGTGGATGTCCTTTCTGTTTGTTAGTTTTCCTTCTAACAGACAGGACCCTCAGCTGCAGGTCTGTTGGAGTTTGCTGGAGGTCCACTCCAGACCCTGTTTGCCTGGGTATCAGCAGCAGTGGCTGCAGAACAGCGGTGGCTGTAGAACAGCAGATATTGGTGAACTGCAAATGCTGCTGCCTGATGGTTCCTCTGGAAGTTTTGTCTCAGAGGAGTACCCAGCTGTGTGAGGTGTCAGACTGCCCCTACTAGGGGGTGCCTCCCAGTTAGGCTGCTTGGGGGTCAGGGACCCACTTGAGGAGGCAGTTTGCCCGTTCTCAGATCTCCAGCTGTGTGCTGGAAGAACCACTACTCTCTTCAAAGCTGTCAGACAGGTACATTTAAGTCTGCAGAGGTTACTGCTGTCTTTTTGTTTGTCTGTGCCCTGCCCCCAGAGGTGGAGCCTACAGAGGCAGGAAGACCTCCTTGAGCTGTGGTGGGCTTCACCCAGTTGTAGCTTCCCAGCTGCTTTGTTTACCTAATCAAGCCTGGGCAATGGCAGGCACCCCTCCCCCAGCCTCACTGCTGCCTTGCAGTTTGATCTCAGACTGCTGTGCTAGCAATCAGCGAGACTCCGTGGGCTTAGGACCCTCTGAGCCATGTGTGGGATATAATCTCCTGGTGTGCTGTTTTTTAAGCCCGTTGGAAAAGTGCAGTATTAGGGTGGGAGTGACCCGATTTTCCAGGTGCCATCTGTCACCCCTTTCTTTGACTAGGAAAGGGAACTCCCTGACCCCTTGTACTTCCCGAGTAAGGCAATGCCTCACCCTGCTTCAGCTCGCGCACAGTGCGCTGCACCCACTGTCCTGCACCCACTGTCTGGCACTCCCTAGTGAGATGAACAGGTACCTCAGATGGAAATGCAGAAATCACCCATCTTCTGCATCGCTCTCGCTGGGAGCTGTAGACAGGAGCTGTTCCTATTCGGCCATCTTGGCTCCACTCCCTCTGTGTTCTTAAATATCTGATTTTTTTTTGTAATCCAAGATTTTGGATATGAGTTAGATCAGCTCTTAGATATATCTCCTATGTTTGTCACAATGAAGCTAGGTCCAGGAAACTCCATAAACTCCAGCTCACATATCTTGTTTATGTTTTCTCACAATAATAAAGTAGGATGTTATAGGGTATATATTTAAAGGTTATATATTTCAGGTTATTTCTCTCATCTTCATAGACTATATTCTCACCTTGAAAATCTATATGTGGGGGGCACTAATGGAGCAATATGGACTGTATTTACCTTACATCTGAAATCACTAAAGATCTAGACAAAATATACCAAATAATAGTTTTCAGATGCTGATGTATGAAAGAGAAGAAACAGAAGTATGAGGCCTACAGTTGTGCCAAATTAATTCCTGAAGAGGGCTTCCAGCTTTCTTATCAGAAAAAAGAAACCCAAGAAGAGTCCAATAGTCTACCTGAGCTGACGAGATGAAAGTGGGCATCCAAGGTTGCCATATAGCTAGAGTTTGTTGAGCAGAATACCTTATAGAGAAGAAGGAACTGGAAGGAGAAAAAAAAAGAAGAAAGAAAGCTCTTGGTACTCTGAATATTCTGCTGAGCACAGGTAAGTGTTTACTTGGAGAAAACTGTCAGAGACCATGAGGGAAGGGAAAGTACCAAATGGAAGAGGCAGAATAATCCCTGGAGCTCAAAGAAGGATGGGAATAGTTCATGTCTCCACTAGCTAAAGTAGAAAAATCTTGCAGCACGTGGGATATCAGGCAGAATACTATGAAGATTATCATCTCGGTGGCAGGAAAAATTAGCTCTAAACTAGTTGTTCTACTGCTGTATAATAAAGCTTGAAAGCAGGACTCAAAAGAGTCAAACATTTCCAACATACCTACATTCATGAGCAAAGTTCACTAACACATTAAAGAATGTGAGCAATCAGCAAAGTAAAATTTACAATGCCTGGCATCCAATAGGTAATTATCAGGCACACAGGGAGGCAAAATCTAAAGTTAATGAATAGAGAAAAAAATGTAATCAGGTAAGACCAACCTAGAATTGGCAGATGATTAATATACAAAGGTATCAATGCAGTTTTATAACTCTTTTCCTCATGTTTCAGAAGATAGAACAAAATATGATTATTTTAAGGGCATAGTAGATATAAGAGAGATCAAAAATAAAATTTTAGAGTTAGAGAATACAATGTTTGAGATTTAAAAATGTACTTGAAATTAACTGTAAATTAGACACTGTATAACAACAGATTAATTGAAGACATAGTATTAAAAATTATCTAAATTAAAACACAGAAAAAAAAGTCACATTATAAACTAGTGATAAAGAGAATATCTTCTTAAAAGCCTCCAGAGTAAAATAACACATTTCAAACAGAAGAGCAAAGAAGAATAATAAGAGACATCTCTTCAGATACAATATAAGCCCAAAGACAGTGGGACATCTCTACAGAAAATAAAAATATTGCCAAACTAAAATTTTATCGCCAGTCAAATATCTCTTTTAAAGATATAGAAAAAAAAATAGCCAGGCATGGTAGAGGGCACCTGTAATCCCAGCTACTCGGGAGGCTGAGGCAGGAGAATCACTTGATCTCAGGAGGCAGAGTTTGTAGTTTGTCAAGATCACGCCATTGCAGTCCAGCCTGGGCAACAAGAGTGAAACTCCATCTCAAAAAAAAAAAAAAAAGTAGAAAAAAAATATTTTCCAGATATTCTAAAGCTGAAGGGACTCATTACCAGCAGACATTTAATACAAAAAAGGTTAATTGAAGTGGTTTATGATGAAAGAAAATGATATCAGGTCAAAGTCTGGATCTTTACAAAGCAATTAAAGACACCAGAAATAATAGTTATAAAATAATTGTCTTTCAAATTTTATTAAAAGATACTTGACTGTTTAAAGCAAAAATATTGCAATGAATTTTGGGATTTATTATCTACAGAGAGAAGTAAAATATATAACAATAGTGCAAAAGCCAGCTTTACCCTGATACCAAAATGAGAAAAAGATATTAGAACAGCAAGAAAATCTACAGACGAATATTGCTCATAAATATAGACACAAAACTCCTTAACAGTATTTCTAATATTTAAATCCAACAATATATGGAAGAGTAATATATCATGACCAAGTGAGATTTGTCCCACGATGCAAATTATATTAATATTAATACATTAAAATATTTATATTAATATCTTCAAAAGTCAATCAATAGAATTTACAGTATTAAACTACTAAAAAATGAAAAGCCATAAAATCATTCTTAATACATGCAGAAAAAATATTTTATAATAGCCAACATTCATTCATGATTAAAACTCTCAGCAAGCTAGAATAGTAAAGAAAATCTATCTCTACTAAAAATACAAAAAAAAAATTAGCCGGGTGTGGTGGCAGGCGCCTGTAGTCCCAGCTACTCAGGAGGCTGAGGCAGGAGAATGACGTGAACCCAGGAGGCGGAGCTTGCAGTGAGCGGAGATCATGCCACTGTACTCCAGCCTGGGCGACAAAGCAAGACTCCATCTCAAAAAAAGAAAAAAAAAGAAAAGAAAAAAAGGAAAGTCTAATGTATAAAATTCTAAGTACTCTATGAAGAAGAAAGTCTTTGGAACTAATAATGAGTTTAGCAAGGTTGTAGGATATAAAGTCATTATAAAAATTTCAGCTGAGTCTATATATAAGCAATAATGAATCTGAAACTGAATTTTTTAAAAACATCATTTATAATAGCATCAAAAATATACTATTTAGACATAAATTTGGTGAAAGATGTGCAAAAACTGTACACTAAAAAGCAAAAAATATTTCTGAGAGAAATTTAAAAAGACAAGTGAAAATAATATACCATTTTTATTTGAAGACTCAATATTGTCAACATGTGAATTCTTCCTAGATTGTGCTTCACTGAAATCCTAATCAAAAGCTAAGCAAGCTTGTTTGTAAAAAATGACAATTTAATTTTAAAATTTATATGGAAATGCAGAGGACCTTGAAAGCTAAAATAACTTTAAAAAGGAAAAGTTGAATTTATACTAACTGAAATGAAGACTTATAAAGCTACAGCAGTAAAACCAGTGTAGTATGTGACACCAATAACCTCTTTCCATTTACAAAGAGTAACTCAAAGTGGATTAGAAATCTAAATATAAGAGTTAATACTGACTAGGCGCGGTGGCTCATGCCTGTAATCCCAGCACTTTGGGAGGCCAAGGTGGGTGGATCACCTGAGGTCAGGAGTTTGAGACCAGCCTCGTCAACATAGTGAAACTCCATCTTTACTAAAAATACAAAAATTAGACGGGCATGGTCGTGGGCGCCTGTAATCCCAGCTACTTTGGAGACTAAGGCAGGAGAATTGCTTGAACCCGGGAGGCAGAGGTTGCAGTGAGCCGAGATCACATGATTGCACTCCAGCCTGGGCAACAAAAGCGAAACTCTGTCTCAAAAAAAAAAAAATAAATAAATAAATAAATAAATAAATAAATAAATAAATAAAGTCAATACTAAAAACTCCCTAGGAGAAAATCTTAGTTTCTTTGAGTTTGTCCAAGATTTCTTTAATAGAACACAAAACATAAACTACAAAAGAAAAAAAATTAACAAACTTAACTTTATCAAAAGTGAATTCCTTTTATCTTTTTAAAAGATACTTACAAAAGAAAAAAGCCAAACACAGACCTGGAGGAAGTATTTACAAAATATATGTCTCACAAGTGACTTAAATGTGGTATATGTAATGAATGTTTACATCCCATTCATAATACAAACATTCCAATAAAAATCAGGCAAAAGATCTGAACTAACAGTTTACCACATACAGATGTCAAATAAAGACATAAAAAAATGCTAAACATCCTTAGTCATTAGGGAAACTCAATTTATAACACAATAATATTTTACTATACTAAAGGAATAGCTAAAATTAAAAAGACTACCATATCGAGTTGGCAGAAATGTGGAACAAATGGAACTCTCATATATTGCTGGTTAGAATGTAAAATAATACAACCACCTTGTTAAATAGTTTGGCAATGTCTTAAAATATTAAACATACACTTAGTATTTTACTCAGCCCTTCTACTCCAAGGTATTCTCCCAAAAGAAATAAAAGTGTATGTCCATATAAAGAGTTGTACATGAATGTTCATAGCTTTAATTTATATATATTATATATAATTATTTTAAATATATATGTTATGTGCATAATTATACATATCATATATAAATTATATATAATTTATATTCACACACACACACACGCACACACACTAGGCATAGACAAACTGTTTTTGTAAAGGGCCAAACAATTCATATTTTCAACCTTCTTCGTCAAATAGTTTCCACTAAGCTCTGCCATTCTATGAAACAAGTATGTACAATATATAAGCAGATGGGATGGTCATATGTGGCGAACAACAGGATGCATTTTGTCAGTTGAATTTGGCCTGCTGAATTTGCCAAACTCTACATACAGTGAACTATTACTATTCAGCAATAAAAAGAAATAAGCTGATATATGTAATAATATGGATGAATCTTCACATAGTTATGCTGAATTTAAAAAGCCAGATTAAGAAAAGGAAGCATACTGTATAATTCCAGTTATAAAATTCTAGAACTTACAAACCAACCTATAGTGGTGAAAGGTTTATAAGTAATATCTTGGGAATGGCTAAATAATTATTTAGATCTATTTCTTTTAGTTTCTTGAACATATTTATAATATTCAATTTAAAGTATTTGTCTAGTAAATCCAACATCTGGGATTCCTCAAAGACAGTTTCTATTGACTGCTTTTTTTTTTTCCTGTATACTAGCCATACTTCCCTGTTTATTTGTGTGACTGATGACTTTTTTGTTGAAAAGTAGATATTTTAAATATAGAACGTGGCAACTCCAGAAATTTAGTTCCTTCCCCTAAAGTTGTTGTTGTAGTTGTTGCTGCTGCTGCTGTCACTGCTGTTTATATGTTATTGACTTTCTTGGGCTAGTTCTGCATGACCTGTATTCTTTTCCTGGTGCAGCCACCAAAGCTTCTGCTTAGTTAGCTTAGTGGTCAACTAATGATTGGACAAATATTTCCTTAAATTCCTTGAACCAATAAGTTGCTCGTCCTTTATTGGAGCAAAGAGAATCCTTCAATTCTCTAGCAGTTCTACCTTAGCCTTTATTATCTAGTTGTGCAGAGTCTTGAGATCAACCAAAGATTAGTTGTTAGGACATTCTCAGGTCATTCTTGTATATGCCTACCACTTAACATGGGTGCAATACCTTGTAGATCTCCAAGAATATGTTGGAGCTTTTCAAAGACCCCTATAGAAATCAAATTCTTCAGGTTTTCTTTTAAAGTTTTGTCCAGATTCTTGTTTTCTCTAGGAACATCACTGCCTCAAGCAGCCGAGATGTTAAACAATTACCACTGATTGTTTCTGACAAACTTCCCTGGGAATAAAACTTTCCTCATTGAGTGAACTTTAAATCAAGTCAAATAAAGAAAATCTTTGTGAATGGGGCTTCTAGGAAGTTTCTAGATGGGTCAAATAGTGGCAATTCTCTGAGGATGGAGCTTTTTGGGGAGCTCCAGAATTGTTCTGTCCCCCTCCAATGGCAGCCAGTCTCTTGGTTTTTGTAACTTCTGTGGTTCCAAGGCTGCTAATTTTCAAGGTTTCTGTGGAACTAGGGAGTAATAGGTGGAAATAGGTCAAGTTAAAATTCCAGAAAACTCACTGATCTTACTGAGATTCAATTATATTTTTGTGTAAGTGCTTCTCAATTGTTGTAAGCTTTTGATTAGTTTCTAGAGTTATTTAAAACTTGATTATGACAGTTAAGGCAGTGTTTTCATTTATCTTATGGAGGAGTGGATTTTTGGAGATCATTAACTCTGCCATTGCAGGAGTTTTTCTCTGGGTTCTTGGATTTTGCTATCCCCCATATTTGGCAAATATAGCTTATGTTTCAGTATCTCATTTTTCTTGTTAATTTTTTGGATTACTTCCAGAAAACTAGTGAAAAAAATCTGGCTTTAACTTGCATTTCATACCAAAGGTGCTACTCGTTTTATACTTTAATGAAGATGAAGAGAAGAAAATAGTTTTGAAATTATATTGAAAATTTAAAGCATGCAGTAGTCTAAGAACTGTGCTATGCTGAAAGGGGAACACCTGGCAATATGAAACTCAGCAGACAATTGTTGCTACTCTAAAGGGATTTTCCTGTATATTTTGTTGGCCTTTTAAATTCTTTATCTTGATTTGTCCTAGCATATTCAAGAGTCCCAAATAAACCATCCATAAATATACAAGATTACTTTAATCTGAAATCTGGTGAATTTATGGAATTATCTTACATACCATTAATTTACTTCCATTACCCATTTAGCAAGATTGAAATATAGGAAGACTATATGAAGATAAAATGAGGCAAGGATCACATTTGATAGTCTATTTCAGATGTGCCAACCTAGGAATGTGTCTCATTTAGCCACTGTATATGCAAATCTCCAAAACGTAAATCCTTTGCAAAATATCTGAGTACCAGCATTTTAATTTTTTTTCTTTTTAACATATGAAACTTTATGTCTATATATGTATGCATCAACTCATGATCTTATGTAGGAAAAGGAAGGTCCTCTGTTTAATGTAGTTTTTAAAAATTTTTCTTTGGAAAGTAAAATTAATGGTGATACAAAACCAAAGCCTTCCAGTGATGTGATAGCTGCAGTGCCATTGGATAGCTAGGCACCAAATCCAGCAAAGTTAGAAGAGGCACTGAAGCATTTAAAGGTACATGGTTTTTGAATCACAAAAAAACCTGAGGCTGAATTTTTACTTCTATTGCCTCCTCTATAAAATGAAAGTAACAGTAACTCCTGCCCCCAAAGGGCTGTAATGAGGACTAAGTGTTGTAATCTGTTTCAAACCCTTAGCACAGTGTCTGACACTGGTAAATCTTGATTAAGTTATGTCACTTATTATTAACTATTCATTTATGGTTAGCATGTCTCCCTTATGTTAACCTCAATGAAATAAGATGTGATGAAAAGAACACCAAGTCTGACTTTAAATATAAGATTCAAGAAATGTGTTTATTCATTTAAAAAAATCAGCTTAATGGAAAGGTAAAAGGCTACCTCATTTCTTCTAAATGTTTTTAACCTGAAGTTTGCTTGCTTTCTAATTCTGACTGCCATTGTTCAGTATTATCATCTCTTGCCTGCATTGCTATGGAAACCACCAAACTATGTCATGTGCTTTTCCTCTTACTCAATTTTTTATCCAATTCCATTGTATTTTCCCCACACCTGCCAGAGTAACCTAAGAGAAAAAACTACATTATAGAGAATTCTCAGATCCCTTAAGCTGACTCTTTTTATACCTGCCATTCTACCAACATTCCTCTCTATACCTAGAATATCCTCTTTCCCTCTTTTGGCCTTTTTTTTTTTTTTTTTTTTTGGTCAGGAGATGGTGGTGCTTTGTTTACTCCTACTTACCTAATAAGATTTACCTTAATGATAAAATTCTCTAAGACTTCCTTGGGTCTTCAGTTTATATTAGATGTTTGTCTAATAGTAAAAATAAACAATGTTTTTGCTACTTTCACACACTCTACAATACTTCACTTTTGACACCAGACGTGTGGGATTTTTCTTCACATACACTAAATATTCTCCAGCAGAAACCATCTGGGTGCTCTATAATTCAATTACATTCTAACCTGGAGATAAGAGCAGATCCCATACATGAATGGCTCAGTCTCACAAGACATCCCCCTACTTCAGATGCCAGTTGCAAGATGCAGATTGTGATTGGTACTGCTGACCAACCGTCTATAAACTGGGAGTCCTCATGACCACCTCCTTAGGTTCGATTAAGTAGCGAGGTTGGCTCAGATAACTCAGGGAAACACTTATATTTACTGGCTTACTATATTAATAAAGGATATGATAAAGGATGCAGATGAATAGCCAGATGGAAGAGATGCATAGGACAAGTTATGGAGGAAGAGGTGAAGACCAGCCATGCCCTCTCCAGTAGTACCATCCTCCAGGAACCACGATGTGTTCATCAACCCAGAAACTCTCCAATACCCATCCTTTGGGATTTGTTTGGAGCCTTTGTTAGATAGGCATGATTGATTACATTGTAGGCCATTAGTGACCAAACCAACTTTCAGCATCTCTCCCTTTATCAGAGGTGGGGAGGGGATGTTGAAAGTTCCAACTCTTGCCGGGCACGGTGGCTCACACCTGTAATCTCAGCACTTTGGGAGGCCGAGGCGGGCAGATCACGAGGTCAGGAGATCGAGACCATCCTAACTAACATGATGAAACCCCGTCTCTACTAAAAATACAAAAAACTTAGCCAGGTGTGGTGGTGGGTTCCTGTAGTCCCAGCTAATTGAGAGGCTGAGGCAGGAAAATGGTGTGAACCTGGGAGGTGGAGCTTGCAGTGAGCAGAGATAGTGCCAGTGCACGCCAGCCTGGGCTACAGAGTGAGACTCCGTCTCAAAACAAACAAACAAACAAACAAACAAAAAAAGAAAGTTCCAACTCACTAATCATATGGTTGATTCCTGACAACGAGCTCTCATCCTGAGAAGCTCACCAAGCGTCACTTCATTAGAATAAAAGATGCTTCTGTAATTCAAGAAATTCCAAGGGATTCAGGAACTGTGTCAAAAACTGAGGTCAAAGACAAAATATCAGAAGATTCTTCTAGCACGCCTATCTACAGGGATTTTAGGAGATCTATCTGAGGAACCAGGGACAAATATTCTGTTCTAATATTTCCTCTGTGACCCTGATTCCTGACACAGAGCTCCTAGACCTTTGTAATTTCCTGAGTGCTAGGAATGTCTGGCACAGAGTTCCTAAATCCCTTGGAATTTCCTGGGTGATAGAAGCATTTTTGTTTTAATGAGGTGACTTCTAGTGGGCTCTTGGATAGCTTCAATATGGAGGCTTGTTGTCAGGGAAACCAACAGAGTGATTAGAGGGTTGGAAATTTCAGCCCCACCCACCAACCTCTGGAGACAGGAGAGGGGCTGAAGGTTGAGTTGATCTCCAACAGCCAATGGTGTAATCAATAATGCCTACCTAATGAAGCCTCCATAAAAACCCAAAAGGACAATGTTTGGAGAGATTTTGGGTTATGAGCAGTTGAATGTTCCTGGAGGGTAGCTCAACTTGACCAAAGACAGCATGGAGGATCCACACCTCTTCCTCCATACCTTGCCCTATGCATCTCTTCCATCTAGCTGTTCATCTGAATTCTTCTTCATTTCCTTTATTAGTATAATAAACCAGTTATATTAGTCCATTTTCATGCTGCTAATAAAGACATACCTGAGACTTGGGAATTTACAAAAGAAAGAGGTTTAATGAACTTACAGTTCCACATGGCTGGAGAGGCCTCATAATCATGGTGGAAGCCAAGGAGTAGCAAGTCACATCTTTACATGGATGGCAGCAAGCAGAGAGAAAGCTTGTGCATCTCTTTAAAAAAATCACCATTTTAAGACCATCAAATCCTGTGGGACCCATTCACTATCACAAGAACAGCATGGGAAAGACCTGTCCCCATGATTCTATCATCTCCCACCAGGTGCCTCTCACAACATGTGGGAATTATGGGAGCTACAAGATGAGATTTGGGTGGGGACACAGAGCCAACCCGTATCATTCTGCCCCTGGCCCATCCCAAATCTCATATCTTCACATTTCAAAACTAATCATGACTTCCCAACAGTCCCCCAAAGTTTCAACTCATTTCAGCTTTAACTCAAAAGTCCACAGTCCAAAGTTTCATCTGAGACAAGGCAAGTCCCTTCCACCTATGAGCCTGTGAACTCAAAAGCAAGTTAGTTACTTCCTAGATACAATGGGGTACAGGTATTGGATAAATACAGCTGTTCCAAATGGGAGAAATTGGCCAAAACAAAGGGGTTACAGGGCCCATGCAAGTCTTAAATCCAGTGGGGTAGTCAAATTTTAAAGCTCCAGAATGATCTCCTTTGACTCCAGGTCTCACATGTGGTCATGCTGATGCAAGAGGTGGGTTCCCATGGTCTTGGGCAGCTCCACCCCTGTGGTTTTGCAGGATACAACCTCCCTCCCAGCTGCTTTCATGGGCTAGCATTGAGTGTCTGAGGCTTTTCCAGGCACACGATGCAAGCTGTCAGTGGATCTACCATTCTGGGGTCTAGATGATGGGGGCTCTCTTCTCACAGCTTCACAAGGCAGTGCCCCAGTAGGGACTCTGTGGGGATTCCAACCCCACATTTCCCTTCCGCACTAACCTAGAAGAGGTACTCCATGAGGGCCCCACCCCTACAGCAAACTTTTGCCTGGGCATCCAGGTGTTTCCATATATCTTCTGAAATCTAGATGGAGGTTCCCAAACCTCAATTCTTGACTTCTGTGCACCCACAGGCTCAACACCACATGGAAGCTGCCAAGGTTTGGGGCTTCCACCCTCTGAAATCATAGGCTGGCCCCTTTCAGCCATGGCTTGAGCGGCTGGGTCACAGGGCACCAAGTCCCTAGGCTACACACAGCATGGGTACCCTGGGCCTGGCCCATTAAACCACTTTTTCCTCCCGGGCTTCTGGGCCTGTGATGGGAGGGGCTGCCAAGAAGGTCTCTGATATGGCCTGGAGACACCTACCCCATGGTCTTGGGAATTAACATTAGGCTCCTTGCTACATACACAAATTTCTGCATCCAGCTTGAATTTCTCATCAAAAAATGGGTTTTTCTTTTCTACTCCTCATCAGGCTGCAAATTTTCTGAACTTTTATGCTGTTTCCCTTTTAAAATGAAATGCTTTTAACAGCACCCAAGTCACCTTTTGAATGTTTTTTTTTAAATTTTATTATTATTATACTTTAAGTTTTAGGGTACATGTGCACAATGTACAGGTTAGTTACATATGTATACATGTGCCATGCTGGTGTGCTGCACCCATTAACTCGTCATTTAGCATTAGGTATATCTCCTAATGCTATCCCTCCCCTCTCCCCCCACCCCACAACAGTCCCCACAGTGTGATGTTCCCCTTCCTGTGTCCATGTATTCTCATTGTTCAGTTCCCACCTATGAGTTTTACTGCTGAGAAATTTCTTCTGCCAGATACCCTAAATCATCTCTCTTGAGTTCAAAGTTCCACAGATCTCTAGGGCAGGGGCAAAATCCACCAGTCTCTTTGCTAAAACATAACAAGAGTCATCTTTGCTCCAGTTCCCAACAAGTTCCTCATCTCCATCTGAGACCACCTCAGCCTGGACCTTATTGTTTATATCACTGTCACCATTTTTGTCAAAGCCATTCAACAAGTCTCTAGGAATTTCTACTTTCCAACATTTTCCTGTCTTCTTCTGAGCCCTCCACACTGTTGCAATCACTACCTGTTACCCAGTTCCAAAGTTGCTTCCACATTTTCGGGTATCTTTTCAGCAGTACCCCACTCTACTGATACCAATTTACTGTATTAGTCCATTTTCATGCTGCTGATAAAGACATACCTGAGACTGGGGAATTTACAAAAGAAAGAGGTTTATTGGACTTACAGTTCCACATGGCTGGGGAAGCAAGTCACATCTTACATGGATGGGGGCAAGCAAAGAGAGAGAGCTTGTGCAGAGAAACTCCCATTTTTAAAACCACCAGATCTTGTGAGACGCATTCACTATCACAAGAATAGTGAGGGAAAGACCCAACCCCATGATTCAATCATCTCCCACTAGGTCCCTCCCTCAACACATGGGAATTATGGGAGCTACAAGATGAGATTTGGGTGGGAACACAGAGCCAAACCATATCACTGGTAAATGTAAGCTCACCCTGAATTTGGTGAGCCATCATAGCAAATTAATGGAACCCAAAGAGAGGGTCATGGGGACTCCCATTTATACCAGGAGTCAGAAGTATAAGTGACAACCTACTTCTGGTGAAGCCAATAGGTGATTGGCTTCTGAAGTTGGGGGCAGTCTTGTGGGACTGAGCTCTTAACCTGTGGGATTTTATGCTGTCTCTAGATAGATAGTGACAGAATTGAATTAAATTAGATGACACCTACTTGGGGTCTCCTAGAGAATTGATTGTTGGTGGAAAGAAATCTACATACATTTTGGTAACCAGATGTGAAGTGTTCTGTGTTGTATTGAATATAAGACCAGGAAAAACTGTTTGCTTGTTTTTTTAATCTCTTACACACTAGTCTAGGCCTAAATGTCTCATTTCAGTCTAAATTTGTCTGACTTCTGGGTTTGATGAACCAGTCTTTGTTCAGTTCTCTTACCTCAGGGGGAGTCGTATGAATAATTATACTTATGTAAAAACTTTTACCTTCATTGCTAACTAGGAAAAAGAAAAATTCAAAGACAGAACACCAGCTTAGAAAGAAGATAACAATGCTACTTGTTGATTGATTTCCATATGGAAAGGAAAGAGTTATTGGCCTCAACCAACATATTCATTTGAAAGAGAAACATGGGTAGACATGTTACAAGTTAGCAGGTTTGTGTCTTTGGCTCTGGTGCCTGTAAAATAAAATTGTAGGACCAGATTTGAGTTACAGATATTAATGGAGTCATTTAATTGAACATAATTTTCATTAATAGATGTTCAGAACTCATGTTGACATAAAGCAATAAACTAAATCAATGGAACCCTCTGTTAAATAGCTCTCGTGACATAAAGAAAATGAGCTAGTCTGTGGTACATTTTCTATATTTACAACTGTTTAATGAGTAGAAGTCCTTGGATGTAAAAAATCTGTTTTCCAGAAGATACTGGGAAACATTCCAAAGAGAACCGGATTCTCAAACAAGAAAAAAAAAAGAAAAGAAGTGTCATGGTGTATCATATATTCACTACATTAAGATATTTAAACTTCAGGAAATTAAACCCTAGTTGAAAAAACACAATTTTCTAAATAATAGCAGGATAATTATGATGAAAAACTTTATCCAAACATACCTACTCCAAAGAAATTACAGTAAGTGCCTCTTGTCGTAAGTTAAATTTTAAGTGGCGAAGAGTCTTTTAACTTGTACTATTTTAGTCACATCTATTCCCATCAGTCACATTAAATCTACATTAAACAAAACTAATTGCACACACATCTTTGTGCTGAAAGCACAACCCTTTCTTATGTAGACTCTTATATCTTGAATTCTGCCTGATTTGTCTAGGAACCAAAGTATATCAGTTTTCTGCATATAAATTTTAAAAGAAGATACAACCCAGCACTGTAATATACAAGTTAAACCTTCTTTCATCCTCAACATTGGTGGAAGACATTTTATTTTCTTTAAGAACTCTGATTAATACTCTTAGAAACTAGTATGTAACTCATCATAGAGCCCAACATTTAAGAGTAAGAAGCATATATTTCTTCTTTGAAAACCTAAACCCATTCCTTGGTCTTTCATGTTTTATGGACAACTGCAGAGGAACAATTAATGGTCATTGGTCAAATCTAATGGATGTTTTTTTGTTACACATGAGGTACTACATGTAAAAAATTAAACCCTTGTGGGCATTTTGTAATTTTAAAATTCTAGGAATTTAAAACCACTATTATAAAGGTTTAGAACCACTCTACTGTTTCATAAACAGTTATATATAGTCATAATGCCAATACACCACATCAGTTTAAAATAAACATATTTCCCTATGCCATTTTTATAGCAGTAATTTGGCAATAGCAGAAATAAAACGTGTGTGTGTGTGTGTGTATGTACATATTAGTAACAGAAATTATAATGTATATTTGTAAGTCTGTATTGAGTGCTTACAACTCTGTTTTTGGAGTTTTACATGACACATTTAGCTTGTTTTATACAGAAAAGTCTCAAAAACATGAAATTTTTCGAGCAACAGGAATTCATTCAAATATGCAGTTGGAAACTAATCCTGCTCTGTTTTAGACATGCAGATTAGTGCTCCTCATGATTCCCACACCCAGGTTGAGCTGTAACCACAGCATTGAAAGATAAGTCATCAAAACACTTGTTAATTATCCATAATTGAGAACACATGGACACATGGCAGAGAACAACACACACTGGGGCCTGTCGAGGGGCTCGGGGAGGGAGAGCATCAACAAGAATAGCTAATGCATGCTGGGCTTAATACCTAGGTGATGGGTCGATACATGCAGCACACCACCATTGCACACGTTTACCTATGTAACAAACCTGCACATGTACCCTGGAACTTAAATAAAAGTTGAAGAAAAAAGAAATGAATAAATAAAATGTTTAAACAGACTTTCTCAAATTAAAACTTTTGGTCTGAGAGAGACCTTAGTAAGAGAATAAATGGGCAAAAATATGAAAAGCCATTTTACTGAAGCAGGTACACTGAACAAATAGCCAAATGAAAAGATTTTCAACATTACCATCCATCAAGTCAGACCTCAGCCTCTTCTGCTTCCTCCATGTGAACTCCTGTTTGCTTGCCTGAAATATTAATGTTATTAATGAATTTTCATACCAATAAGGGAAAACAACAGGTGCTTCAATATATCCAACCTTCAAATATATTGTGATATTTTTCTTTTTCATTAATTTTTTTTTTTGCTTGGGGAATTCATAGAGTTGTTTCAAAAGAAAACTGTAGGGATGATTCCACAACTCTGTAAATGTACTAAAAAGTTTATTAAATTGTATACTGAATATGAAAAAAAATGATCCATAACCTTCTTCTAGAGCCTACTCAGGCTTCTAAGTCAGAATTCAGGCCACTGTACCTGGTCTACAGTTCCAGAAAACTTGTAAGGTGTGTTTCTCTTTTCTTCAGAGTTCAAAAAATGAATATAAAGCAAAGTCTTTCATATCCTGGCCAAGAAAACATTTGTGTCTCACTTGTCTACACAAACTCAAAATCAGCAGTTCCCAGTACTCAACACTTCTTTGCACCCCCCGGGAGAATCTATTTGCACCAAATACATTTCTGAGAGAGACTAATTTTAATAAAGATTTTATAAAAGAGGAAATAAGGATTTTATATCAATCTCTGCCACATACCCTGTGACATATAGTTTCATAAGTACCTATCTGAGAAGGCCGGGTGCAATGGCTCACGCCTGTAATCCTAGCACTTTCGGAGGCCAAGGCGGGGAGATCACGAGGTTAGGAGTTCGAGACCAGCCTGACCAACATGGTGAAACCCATCTTTACTAAAAATACAAAAATTAGCTGTGCACGGTGGTGTGCACCTGTAATCCCAGCTACTCAGGAGGCTAAGGCAGGAGAATCACTTGAACCCAGGAGGTGGAGGTTGCAGTGAGCCAAGATCACACCACTGCACTCCAGCCTGGGTGACAGAGTGAGACTCTGTCTCAAAAAAAAAAAAAAAAATTACCTATCCCACTTACATTTTCTTGCTAGTTCCTCTGGCAGCTCTCCTAGCTCTCAACTCAGAAAGAAGGCAATTTTCCTATTCCTGTCTCCTTCTACCACTTGAAACCTGCGCTTTGGTGCCATAATGCAAAAAGTTCATCATAACTTCATTGCAACCAAACTGGCTTTCTGTGTAACGAAAGTGTCTTAGCAACTGAGAACAAACAGGCCCTTTGCAAAATCTGCAGTAATTAATGATAGGTATCATTGGTTTTTTTTATTAAAGAGCACCCATTTTTTTGTCCTTCTATTCACCTAGATCTCAAACAGCTACTCATAAAAAATTTTAGAAGCACCCTCTTGGTTAGCTGAGCTTACCAAATTCCTCAAAAATGAAAAGGGCATTCAGTCACTTGGCTCTCATATTGTAGTAACCAACATGAAGTAACCAACCAATATAAAATGTCCCTAATGTATTTAGCAAAGATGGATGAAGGCAAAGAGGACATCTAGTGTCATCCAGCTATGAACTCACGTAGGTTTGGCAATGTCTGCACTAGAAGTATTTATCATGTTTTTTGTATTTTTTAAGGGGCCTACCAGAGAAAGATCTTGTTTTTGAGAGATGTATGAGCATCCCAGATTCTGTTTAGTGCATTCTTTGAGTGTAGAATCACCCAAGCATATTCAGCCTCAAAGACACTTGGTGATTTGGAATGCTCCCCAAGCCATTTATCTCCAAGGGCCAAACCACACCTTCAAACTCGTATTTAAAGCTCTATAAATTTTTGGTCAGGTCATATGTCAATGGGAGAATATTTCTTTCTTTTTAATTCATTCAGCAGTACTTATTTTATAAATATTTATGGAGCACCTGTGATGTTCAGATGCTATACTAGATGCTGGACCACAGAAATGATCCCCACCTGCTCTGGTTAGTTTGTGTTTGCACATTGAAATTCATCTCTGCCCCTCCCCACCCTTCCTTGAGCCCTAAGAGGCTGACCTCTTAGGACCATGTCAGCAGGGCTGTGTTTGTTTTCTGGTTTCCTGTTGGGTTTGTCCAGTGAGAGATGCTGACGGAAAAAAGAGGACAAGTCAGGGTATTTATTCTCTCTGATCCTTATGTCATAGGCTGCGAATTGGCTGAGGCTAAATTCCAACCCAGAACCATAGCTCCTGCTTCTTCAGGTCTCACTGGTTTTGTTAGAAGTTGACTTTCTTGCCTCTTTAGGCATAGAGGTAGTAATTACCTGTCTCTGTTGGTAATCGCTGGGTGTTTTATCATCTCTGGTTAGTTCCCATAATCTTGTCCACACCTGTATTAGTCTGTTCTCATGCTGCTGATAAAGAAATACCTGAGACTGGGCCATTTACAAAGGAAAGAGGTTTAATGGAGAACTCACAGTTCCATGTGACTGGGGAAGCCTCACAATCATAGTGGAAGGCAAGGAGGAGTAAGTCACATCCTATGTGGATGGCAGCAGGCAAAGAGAGAGCTTGTGCAGAGAAACTTCCATTCTTAAAAACCATCAGATCTTTCGAGACTCATTTACTACCATGAGAACAGCACAGGAAAGACCCACCCCCATAATGTAATTACCTCCCACTGAGTTCCTCCCCGGACATGTGGGAATTGTGGGAGTTACAATTCAAGATGAGATTTAGGTGGGGACATAGCCAAACCATATCAACACCTTAGTAAATAATTCTTTTTTTACACTCCCTTCATATACCCCTTTTGTATGCCATCCTTTTTCTACTGAGGCCATGTCTAATATACCTCTCTTGAGAACTAGTCTTTTTTTTTTTTTTTTTTTTTGAGATGGACTCTCACTCTGTCACCCAGGCTGGAGTGCAGTGGTGCAATCTCAGCTCACCGCAACCTCTGCCTCTTGGGTTCAAGCAATTCTTCTGTCTCAGCCTCCTGAGGAGCTGGGATTACAGGCACACACAACCATGCCCAGCTAATTTTTGTATTTTTAGTTGAGACGGGGTTTCACCATGTTGGCCAGGCTGGTCTCAAACTCCTGACCTTGTGATCCACCTACCTCAGCCTCCCACAGTGCTGGGATAACAGGTGAGAGCCACCGTGCTTGGCGGAGAACTAGTCTCATAGAGAACCAGATATAGAAGCAAACAATGTTTTATACCTAATGCTGCAGTTAAATAAAAGTCCCGGTGGGTCATGCCTGTAATCCCAACACTTTGGGAGGCCGAGGTGGGCAGATCACGAGGTCAAGAGATGGAGACCATCCTGGCCAACATGGCGAAACCACATCTCTACTAAGAATACAAAAATTAGTTGGGTGTGGTGGCACGCACCTGTAGTCCCAGCTACTCAGGAGGCTAGGCAGGAGAATTGCTTGAACCTGGGAGGCGGAGTTTGCAGTGAGCCAAGATCACACCACTGCACTCTACATTCCAGCCTGGCAACAGAGCGAGACTCCATCTCAAAAAACAAAAACAAAAACAAAAACAACAACAAAAACAACAACAAAAAAAACTGATAAAAACTGACAAACTTAGCTAGTAAACAAACTCTTCTGTTACTTTTTGTTCCTTCCTGCCTGGAATGCAGATTCAATGTCTGGAAGTACAGCAGTCATCCCAAGACAATGAGAACTAAAGTCGTTTCACAAGATGCAACGTATGGAATGAAATGGAATGGGAACGTAGAAGGACATCTGGGCTTTGATAACTTCCACAAACAGATAGTCTGGACAGAAACTGCTTATGTCTCAGCATCTTATGTGAAGAAAACAAACCCTGTCTGCTTAACTTATTGCAGCCTGGTTTCTGATACATGGAGTTGATGAAACTCCATCTGGTTTGCTGAGTTTCTTAGGGCAGCAACAGGAATTTGTCATGCAGACTAGGTAAGGAGTCATGTATAAAGACATGACCTAGCATTGTAAACAAAGAAAAGAAGTTCTGAATGGCAATGGCTGGACCCAGCAATAGCATTTATGTGGCAGGGAAGGAGGAGGGTGGGAGAAGAAATGAGGTTGAGGTTGAAAGATAGGGAAAAAGCATCTTACCTACTGTGTCAAAGGAGTTTAGGTTTTATTATGCTAGTAAGAAAGCGTATCAATTTCAATGCTTTCAGCAGCAAGTAACAGAATACCCAGTAAAGACAGCTTAAGTGATACAGACGTTTATTTGCACACATTTAGTAAGAGGTCCATATGTAGGGAGTTACAAGGTAGATTCAGAGACTCACTAATATAATCATCTATGGTGGTTTCCTCTGTGATTCTCTTAGCTTTCCATTCCTGGAAGCATTTGGCAGTCATACTTCAGACAGGCATCACATCCAAAAGGCAAGAAACGGGGACTACAAACTAAGCATCTTTCTTCTCTCCCTGTTTTATTTTTATCAAGGAGGAACCTCTTTGCCAGAAACTCTCATCATACTTTCCCACAGGTTTGACTAGCAGAACTAGATCACATTCCTCTAAACTGACCATTGGCAAATGGGAGTGTTGTTAACGAAAGTAACAGCATATGTTAATGTTTGCTCAATATCTTTTCTTACCTTTCTGTTCATCTTCTCAGTGAGAAAACTTTTGGCGGAGTACATGATGACCTAGAATAAAGAGTATGTTTCCCAGACTCCCCTTGCAACAAGTTTTGACCCTGTGACTAAGTTCTAGCCAATGGGTTGTAAAAGACAAATTAAGTGGAACCTTCTAGAAGCTTTTCTTAAAAGATTGGAATGCTTCCTTTTTTTAATTCCTTGTTCTTTCTTGCTGTCTGGAAGGCAGGTGTGATTTTGACAGCTTGAACAGACACTCGGGTCCATGAAATGACTTAAAGGATGGAACCAAGGTAGACCTCCAAGATAGAAGGAGCTTTGGTTCCTGAGGACTTTGTAAACATAGATTTGCCATGCCAGCTTCAAACCGTCCACTTTTGGAAATTACCATAAAAATGAAATAACATTCCATTGTACAGTATTTAAGTTGCTATTATTTTTGTTCTCTGTTATTTGCAGCCAAATCTAATACCAACTAATGACTTAAACTGTTTGTGGTTTATTTTCCTGGTCAGAAAGTGGGAACCACTTCCCCTAAGCACATTGGTGACTCAGAATGCCTCTACAAAAGAATGATTCTTTTAGCAAAAAGAAGAGAGTGTAAAATGGAGCATTACTATTCTTAAATGTCTGAAAGGCCATTCTGCAATGTGTATGGAACAAACAGAAACTAAGAGGAACAGATGTAGAAGGTTGAGAGCAGGGTTTTGAGAACAGCCTTGGACAGTATAAACAGGAATGGAGGAACAGGAATAGCCATGAGCTATTGATTGGATAACAGGGGGGTTGGAGAGAGAGGGAAAAGAAAAGATGATATCAAAATTGCAATCACAGTAAAGTAAAGTAGATATAAAAACACAGCATTCTGCACTCTAGTGGTTTCTTGTTGGAAGAAAAAATTCAATTGATCAAAACTTTCACTAAGTATTTACTACATGCCAAACATAGATGTTTGCTTTTTTTAACCATATATTGGAGTTGGGTAAGGAAATCTGTTTATAAATAAAAGCTAATCAGGACTTTTGATAATTAGACCAGGCGCTAAGTGGAGAACAGGTAACTACATACAGAATGAGTCCTGCCTTCAAGGAGCTCACTATTCAGTGAGATAGATGAGATACACATGCCTGGCACAGACGAGATGTTCAATGTTGCTCTCTAGAATGAATGACATGTTCACACAGAGTTATAAAATGGAATAGTAATGCATGGTTTGTGGTTCAAATATTTTGGAGAGCACAAAGGAGAAATGTGATAGTTCTATCTAGATGAACAGAGAAGTCTTTAAAGGGAGGTGACTGTTGACTTTTTGTGACTTAGTTCATCTCTTGCCTTTATTATTTTTTCTCTGCTTCTTTGTTCCACTTCCTTAATCATTTCAAGCAGTCTCAAGATAGATTATTTTTTAAAAATGTAGATCTGAACAGCCAGTGAGCTATATATTGATGATAATCTAAATTCATGTTAAAATGTTATTGCTTAACATGGATTAATTTAATCGGCTATGATTTATTATGCTCCCATTATGTGCCAGAATTTTGATAGTACATTAGTCCCCCTTATCTGTGGTTTTGCTTTCCAAGGTTTCAGTTACTGGTGGTCAACCTCAGTCCAAAAATATTAAATAGAAAATTCCAGAAAGAAACAATACATAATTTTAAATTGAGCACC
The DNA here is from genome assembly GCF_000001405.40 of Homo sapiens. Classification (NCBI taxonomy): domain Eukaryota; kingdom Metazoa; phylum Chordata; class Mammalia; order Primates; family Hominidae; genus Homo; species Homo sapiens. Next base: position 107,738,687 of record NC_000008.11, read on the forward strand.
TTCTGAGTAGCATGATGAAATCTCGCTTTGTCCACCCAGGGCATGAATCCTCCCTGTGTCCAGCTTATCCACGCTGTGTATGCTACCCACTCATTAGCCACTTAGCTCCACCTAGGCTATCAGATCAACTGTTCTGGTATTGAAGTGAACCCTCATTTTACTTAATAATGGCCCCAAAGTGCAAGAGTAGTGATGCTGGAATATTGTTATGATTGTCCTTTTTTTATTAGTTATCGTTGTTAATTTCTTACTATACTTAATTTATAAATTGAACTTTTTCATGGGCATATGTAAGAAAAAAGTAGCATATGTAGGTTTTGGTACTGATTGTGGTTTCAGACATCCACTAGGGTGGTTGGAACATATCCCCTGGGGACAAGGGGGTCTACTGTAGTTTTTGTACCCAGGCTTTTTTTTTTTTAATTATACTTTAAGTTTTAGGGTACATGTGCACATTGTGCAGGTTAGTTACATATGTATACATGTGCCATGCTGGTGCACTGCACCCACTAACTCGTCATCTAGCATTAGGTATATCTCCCAATGCCATCCCTCCCCCCTCCCCCGACCCCACAACAGTCCCCAGAGTGTGATATTCCCCTTCCTGTGTCCATGTGATCTCATTGTTCAGTTCCCACCTATGAGTGAGAATATGCGGTGTTTGGTTTGTACCCAGGCTTTTATTTAACATTTCTAATAAACTATAAAGTAAACATATTATCAGGATTAAGTTCAGCTACAAACAACAGAGTTTAATAAGATAGAAATGTATTTTCTAGTAAATAAAATTCTGAAGGCTGATATATTGATTCTGCTTCACTAAGTCCTGAAAAAAACAGGCTCCTTCCAACACAATATTCTGCCATTCTTTTATTATTTTTTTTTTTTCTTGAGACGGAGTCTTGCTCTGTCCCCCAGGCTGGAGCGCAGTGGCGCAATCTCAGCTCACCGCAAACTTCACTTCCTGGGTTCAAATGATTCTCCGGCAGCAACCTCCCAAGTAGCTGGGATTACAGGCGCCCACCATCACCCCTGGCTAATTTTTGTATTTTTAGTAGAGATGAAGTTTCACCATGTTGGCCAGGCTGGTCTCAAACTGACCTCCGGTGATCCACCAGCCTTGACCTCCCAAAGTGCTGAGATTACAGGCACGAGCCAAGGAGCCCAGCCGTATGTTCTGCCATAATTAACATGTGACCATGTCCTCTTTGTCTAAGAGAGCCACTGAACTTTTAGCCTTCCTATTTGCATTTCAGACAGCAGGATGGGGAAAAGTTTAAAGAAAAGAAGGCAATGGACTTGCATCAGTCCTCTTTTATGGAAGGTTCCTCCAAGCTGCTGCATGGCAGCTCTAATTATGTCCAGAACTTAATCACATGGCTGCATCTATCTACAAAGGGAGAATGGAAAATGCAGTCTTTATCTGGGACAACATAATTGCCAGCTAAAAATTGTAAGTTTGATTCCTACGGAAGAAAGAGGGAATGAATATTGATGGATGTGGTCGTCTCTAGTGCAATTATAACTCTCATTTTTACAGATGAGGAAATGAACACTCACAGAGTGACTTATTCCTGATAACACATCTGGTTTGTGTCAGACCCAGGATATGAATTCCTTTCTTCTTGATCCAAATTCACCACTGATTTCACTACATAACATCAGCTTCCATCAGTTGAAATGTGAAATGGCTCCTTTTTTACAATTTTTCCTTCTCAGATCTGACACAGTTATAAGTTAGAAAAAAAAATTTTTAACAAGTAAATACAGTGAATATGTCACATCAACCATTATTCTAGTCGTTGATTTTCTTATTTTTGTGTAATGTATTAAAATCTGAATAACAATTTCTAGGTTAGTCCTATTTTCTTCATTATTTTTTATCTTGCTTCATTATTCTGATTGATACCAATGTAAATTTTTTGGGTTTCCTTTATCCCCAATACTATATACCTAATACCTGATGGTTCTGGTATAAAATTACACAGTGTCCTGAAGCGTGCCTTACCATTTCCTCCTGCGTCGTATCCTATAGACAAATCCATCCACCATGGCAGTTTTACATGAGTCACATTTGCCTTTTTTCATCCCCCTCACCCCTGCTAAACGTTTTGAAAGACTCTTAAATGACTTCAGTGATCCTCTCATAGAACTCTTAAATCCAGGAGCCTAAAGGCCTCTGAATCCTTATGAAAAATGTTGGTTGCATTTTTCAGATTATAAAGACCTGGTGTTCCAATAATTCTAAAATCCATTTTAAAGTAATTTCCCTTCTTTTCAATATTCTTTATACTAACCATCTCATCTATCTGCTGTATCAAAGCCATAATATTTGTCAACATTCTCAGACTATCCAAGACCTGAACTCCTAATGCCATCACATATTCTGCTATTCTCCTTGTCACAGTCATCTTCCCTGCAGCTCCTGACATCTGGAACCATCTCCTACAACTCCTGGACACTTCATCAATCTTCCAATCTCATAATATAAAAAAAGAAATCTTGCCAGCCAAATGACTACAATTTCTTTCCCTTTATATTTGAAATGTTTTCTTATCTAACTCCCAGGAATATTGTGTAATACAAAACTTCCATTGTTTGGTGAACTAGCAAGTACGTAATTTAATTTGTAAAATAACAAAATAACAAGTACTTAAATCTGAAAGCAAGCATTTCTCAATGAATTTGGAGGTTTTTGGGTTTGTTTTTTGTTGTTGTTTTTTTTTTTTTTTTTGGCAGGGGATGGGAAGGGGAGGTCAAGTATGGGCCCTTTCTTGAATCATTCCTGTTAACAAAGTGATGTAAACTGATACCTACATACTTTGCTATTGTTAAAAGAGAGGAATGAATACATCATGGATTTTGTCATTTACTAAACTCAAAATGGACAATAATGGAGCACCTCCAAGCAAGTAGGAAACTGTAATATAAAAGAGGTGTTCTGCCGAAAATGTAAAATACGAGACCACAGATCAAATGGTTTAGGAACAGCATCAGGTCTCAGGAGAATGTTTCCCCTATGGACATACATTAGTGACTTAATGACAGTGCTTTTTGACAGTTTAAACCGTATAAATGATTTCACACTATTCTTCTCCCTGGAAAAAAATACTTTCCGAGCCTGAAGACTGGATGAAAACATCTATTAGCAAGAAAATAACCAAATGACCCAGTCATTTATTATTTTTTTATTAAACCTATTGGTGCAAAATTTGTTTTATTTTGACAGGGTCACTGAAAATACTTCAACAGAAAATGATTGGAAAGAAGTTGTTGTGTTTTTTCCTCCAAACATTTTAATCTAAGATGGTCGCTTTACATTGTGGGAAAATATCAAGATTATGTTTGGAGGATCGTTTAAAGAATCTAGCCTTTAAAAGTTGACTCTCAAAGCCACGGGTATAATTAAGGTGATCCTGAAACTAACTCTCTCCTTTGTTTATTTTAAATATTTATTATATCCAACAACTTAATTCTCTTCCTATTTCATCTCTTCATGGAATTCTTTAAATTACTAGGTACTCGTGATAAATATAAGAATATTCTATCACAATTTCTTTACAAAAGTTTAAATGTTTTATGATATCTTTGTTTTGTCTATCAAATGACTTGCATAAAAGGCAATAACTTTTTCTTTTAAATAAGTTTTTCCTCCTATTTATTTAAATTAGTTAACAAAAAAAACCTGAATATAATTGTCAAAATGATATTCTTAATCACATTCTCATTTTAAGTAAACAGAATATGCAACAATCGGGACTTACAAAACTATTATTTTCATAACTAATTAGATCTCTAGTTTCATTTTAATATGATCTGAATTTATAGGCCTTCAATATATCTGTACTTTTAGTAATACAAAGAAAAATGCAAATGTTTTGAATGAAAAATTGCCTGTTTTTTAAGCCAAGATGTAATTCATAGCATTTGAGAATTTACACTAGAAATATTCTTTGCTCAGTCTTAAAATAATGTCAAAGAGTGATTAGCGCTGTTCACCAAATGTTTCTAATTCTCTGCCTTCTGACTCATAATAGGATTGCACTTCCTACTTTACTTGTTTTAGGACCATGTGACTAGTTTTGACCAAGGAGCTGTGAGTCGAAATCATCTTCTAGTCTGAGTATTTAATTGCTGGTGAGAGAGACCCTCCTTGAGGTCTTCTCTTTCAGCAAGGTGACCCATAAAGTTGGAGATGGTGGCTTCTCTGTCAACCCAGGCCTCTAAGTGACTATGTTGTGTTGAGTTCCCTTCTGACCAAAGATGGAGATGTAATGTGAGCCAGAAATAATCTTTACTGCCTTAAAACACAGAGTTATGGGGGTAGGTTTTTTTTACTTTTTACCATAGCAGAATCTATCCTGATTAAAATAGAATGCTTGGACTATTAAAATGTTACTGTCTCTATTTTTTCAGCCCCTATACCTATTTACTTAACCGTGACACTTGGTCTACTTTAAGAAAAGTTTGTAAAGATATAATAAAAATATATACAGATGGCTGGGCGCAGTGGCTCATGCCTGTAATACCAGCACTTTGGGAGGCCGAGGAGGACGGATCATGAGGTCAGGAGATCGAGACCATCCTGGCTAACACGGTGAAACCCTGTCTCTACTAAAAAACACAAAAAATTAGCCAGGCATGGTGGCAGGTGCCTGTAGTCTCAGCTACTTGGGAGGCTGAGGCAGAATGGCATGAACCTGGGAGGCGGAGCTTGCAGTGAGCTGAGATTGCGCCATGCACTCCAGCCTGGGCAACAGAATGAGACTCCATCTCAAAAAATAAAAAAGATAGATAGATAGATAGATAGATAGATAGATAGATAGATAGATAGACAGACAGACAGACAGACATAGATACAGAGAGAACAGTGAACTAAAAGCTCAGAAAGAAATTTTTAACATAATAACACAAGAAAGCACAGAAATAAGTCTATTTCAGAATGCCTTTTCTTAGTTACTTCTTAGCAATGGCACATTAAAAAATAAAATCATATACAGCAATGTAGAAAGAAAACAAAATAATTACTCCTTAGACCTGATCACATAATCATATTGACATTTTGATGTTTCTTGTCCATCTTTTCCTATGCATAGTCACTATGTGCATGCATTTACAAATTTAATAATGTACTGTTTGAATTAAAGAATTTATTTAATAAAACATAAAAACCAAGCGGAAATGTATTTAAATATTCAACTGAGTTTATGGAAATGAAGGCTTTTCTTAGCATAAATATAAAGTGAAAACCACTGACAAAATTAATTACATTAAACTTTAAACTCATGAATGTCAAAAACATCCTAAAAAGGCTATGACAAAATGTACTTGTATAGCCTAAAATTAAAATGTGTTTATAAAAAGCATAAATAACATGCCAGAAAAAAAATGGGTATTTTTACATTTTTACTTTCTTTCTTTTTTTTTTTTTTTTTTTTTTGAGAGGGAGTCTCACTCTGTCGCCCAGGCTGGGGTGCAGTAGTGCAATCTTGGCTCATTGCAAGCTCTGCCTCCCAGGTTCACGCCATTCTCCTGCCTCAGCCTCCCAAGTAGCTGGGACTACAGGTGCCCACCACCACGCCCAGCTGATTTTTTGTATTTTTAGTAGAGACAGGGTTTCACCATGTTAGCCAGGATGGTCTCGATCTCCTGACCTCATGATCCACCCACCTCGGCCTCCCAAAGTGCTGGGAGTACAGGTGTGAGCCACTGCGCCTGGCCATCTATATATATTTTTATTATATCTTTACAAACTTTTTTTTACTTTTAAAACTCATTTAAAGCTTTATATTTTGTTATGCTCAGAATATATACTCAGTAAAAGTGTACTATTGCAACTTCATAATCTATTTGTCAAAAGAAAATCATAGGAAATTATTCACAAAAAGAATATAAAAAGATCAATTACATAATTAAGGGCTCAGTGTTGTAATATGGACTGAAAATACTTTAGGAGTTCAAAGAAAGAAAATATTTATGAGAGAGTAAACAATTCTTAGAGAAAATAGAAACTGAGTTCAGCTTTGATTTTCTATAGTAAGAAGATTCCTTTATTTTTGCATAGGACCATATATGAGCTTAGCCTTGAAGTAAGTTGTGATGGAGCTCACTATTAGAGCAATACAGGAAGTACACAAGGCAGAACAGGCACAAAATGGCCTAAGCTATCTGTGGGGCTATCCCTAGAGGGGTGGAATCAAGGTCTAAATCATGTCTGGGAGGACTGGCAAGGCTGGTACTCAGACAGAGGGCATCTACTCTTATGGATGGCAAGTGTCATCAAAAGGCAGTAGCATGTCAAGAGGCTGTCATGATCTTGGGGACAAATGCTCCAGTCTAAAGCAGAGCCGCAGTATTTGACGAGTGTCCAAGGATAAGATTTAACTCTGTGACAGAGGGGTTAGAAAGTGCTTAGTAGGTTCCAGGGAGTGTCCTACACCTATGAAAAGGGTATTGTTTGGAGCAGTGTCTGATTTCCAGCAATAACTTTGAATACCAACCAAGAAATAGGGCTGAAGCCAAACAATATGGATAATGGCATCATCACTGGGAATTCTAAAGAGAAGACACAGGTGCCCAAGGAGCTTATCCCAAACCCATTAGATAGACATCTTCAGTCATCAAAGCTGAGTTCAGATTCTACCTGCTGGTATAAATAGGGCTTCTAAAACATAGTCACATTTGGGCTCCAGATTAGGGTGGAGCTGAGCTTGTAACATCAAAGTTCTTTGTGACCTGCAGTTGAACAGAGTTTGGAAAGTCAGAAGCTGACATTTTCCAGTTTTCCAAATGCTTCCATATGTGCCATCTTATTTGAAAGCCTACAGACCTTTGGATCAGGAAAAGCAAGTATATTTTCCATATTTTGGACAGAAGACATGATATTCCTAGGTCCTGTGGTCAGTAAAAAGGTGTTCTATCTCTTAGTGTTCCTCCCTTGAATTGTAGACAGTCCTGGTTTTTATTTAGCTAGATGATTAAAATTCAAGTTATCATTAGAGAAATAAGGTTGTAAAGCCATGAAGGCTTTCATATTGTGAATGATGTATTAGTCTGTTAGGGCCACCATAACAAAATACCATTGTCAAGGCAGCTTAAAGAACAGAAATCATTTTCTAGAGGCTAGAACTCCAAGATCAAATGTGAGTAGAGTTGGTTTCTCCTGAGGCCTCTCTCCTTGGCTTGTACATGGCCTTCTCCCTATGTCTTCAAAGGGTCTCCTCTTTGTGCCTGTGTACAAATTTCCTCTTGTAATAAGGACACCAGTCATATTGGATTAGAGCCCACACTAATTCACTCATTTTACCATAATTACCTCTTTAAATATCCTATTTCAGGCTGGGTGTGGTGGCTCACGCCTGTAATCCCAGCACTTTGGGAGGCCGAGGTGGGCAGATCACAAGGTCAGGAGTTCATGACCAGCCTGGCCAATATGGCGAAACCCCGTCCCTACTAAAAATACAAAAATTAGCCAGGTTTAGTGACGGGCGCCTGTAATCCCAGCTACTTGGGAAGCTGAGGCAGGAGAATCGCTTGAACTTGGGAGGCAGAGGTTGCAGGGAGGCAGAGGTTGCAGTGAGCCAAGATCATGCCACCACACTCCAGCCTGGGCGACAGCTCAAGACTCTGTCTCTAAATAAATAAATAAATAAATATCCTATTTTTAAAGATGTTCACATTTGAGGTACAAGGTGTTAAGAACACAACATATGATGGTCGGGGGCACAATTCAGCTTATCCTTTTAAAACACATCAGATTTTAAAATTTTAGTTTTGAAGATAGGAGTGACACAATAGGAAATAGGGAGACACTGAAAGCTTTTGAAACAAGTGTCATCATGAAAGCCATATTTAAGAAAGATTAGTTTGGCAACTGATTGTAAAATGGCTCTGGGAAAAGATCAGAAATAGGGATACCAACTGGAAGGCTGTTAAAACAGTCTAGAAAGGATGTCATGGAAGTATAGTGATGTTTCCAAAGGAGTGCAAGTTTGAAAGTGTGATGGAACTCCCCCTTTTTGTTCTTAAAGCTTTGAGTAAAAGTATGTCATACAATACATTTCTACATTTCTGTAAACAGTACCACAAAGAATTCTGGTTAATGCTATAATAGAGCAAGAAAACCACATAAAGGACTACATAGAAGGTAACAAAAATGTATTCTAGATGCTGCACTAATGTTGTATAATAATCATCTAACATGCTACTGGTATAGTAATTTTTGCCCATCCATCATGCATTTCTTTAGCAAGCATGTATTAGGTAACAACTATGTCTTCTGAACAGAAAGTAAAAAGCTTAATCCTCCCCTAGAGGAGCCTAAGTTATTATTTATGTTGCCTAAAAGTGTATGTATTATTTTTTTCAAATAATTTGAACATTTTTTCTTATCTTTGCCAAAAATCTGCTCTAGGCCTTAAGCTCCATGAGCAATCATTAATTTACCCACCCATAAACCACTGAGAAGCCATCAAGCTCCTTTTCCACTGAGAGGCAGGGCACTTTCTTTATAAGAATAGTCCTACTATAAACATGCCAGAAAATACACTCTCATACCTGAAGCCTCTGCTAAGTGCCTTCAATCACCCTAATTCCCATTGACTTCAAAGGGAGCTCAGAAAAGATATGGTGGAGAAACAAGAAGTTGGCAGGAGTTGTACCAACACATCCTCAAGCCACAGTGTGTTAAAAACACAAACCTTTCATGAAGCTAAGTGCCAACAAATGATACTTAGCATTTTCAAAGAGCTTCCCAATAGTCTAATTAAATGCTGTGAGGTCAATCAGTATTATTAGCCTCATTGTGTAGATAAGAAAATGGAAACACAGAAAGGTTAAGTGATGTGCCCAGGCATTCATAGTTCAACAGCATTCATGTTAGTGTCTGAGCTCACAGGGTCTGACAATGACAACCATGGAGTGCTTCATCCTGTCTTCCAGTTCCCCTCAGAAATATTCTCGCTCACTATAATTCCTCAGTCACCATTTATGAACATTCTTTACGTCTGTTAAAGGTTTGATTTAACTTCTGAAGGTGAAAATACTTATCCCACATCAGAAAATAACCAAAGTGTCTCCTCAAATAGCTCCAAATCCAAAGAAGTATATTAGAGATAGATAAGATTCTTCTGAACATGAAATTTTATTGATGGAGAATGCTATAAAATTATCATTTATATATATGCTCATGTGTGGGGCTTTTTTTGTACATCTTACTGATAAATATAGAGGTAATGAATTCCCCATGATGATTAACTCAGTGAAAATCCTCGAAGTTCCATAAACTCTCATAAATTTTCTTGAACCTTATCATTGCAAGAGATTATTCAAAATGATGTTGAATCAAAGTCTGACACATTAAAACGATACAACCAAAAGTTATAGCCTTAGTATAAATTGTTACTCCCATCACATTGAACGTTAGTATTGGCTTAAATGTCATCCTCTTGATAAAAAGGTTGCAATTTAAGTTAGTTCTTTACCTACTCCTAATAATTTTATTGCAAGTTCATACAAGTACCACCATTAGTAGATGTAACTAATACCTGTACATACTAAACTTCATGTTCCTAACAGTTTGCTTAAAGGCAAAGTATTGCCTAATTTCTGTTTTTGATAAATACGAAAAAAATCAATCTTTCATTACTGGGCTTATATTTCAGTAATAATAATAATTGTAAAAGTAAGCTTTTAATATGCACGATTCTGGTTATTTCCGGGAGATTTGATCTTGAAAGGTGAAACATATTAAAATTAGAGGGCTCTACCCTAAGCCCCTTCAATGTGTTGCAGAAGTCCTTTAATGTTGGATTAGAAGAGATATCCAATATTAGTGAATATAATGGCTATACTTTCTTTAGCCCCGGGATCAGCTTTCCTTTTCTAAGGAAAATTATTCCAGATCTATCGATTTTTCTCTTTCTATTACAGTCTGTTCAAGTAATCCTTAAAGTAGACATGGAAGCAATATAAAATAGTGGTTAAATTCTGAAGTTTGCTCCACTTAGGTTCGAATCCTAATTTAGCCAACATGCAAATGTGTAATCTAGAGCAAGCTGCTTAAGACCTCTAAGCCTCTATTTTCTCATATGTACAATTGGAGAAATAGACATGTCTACTTCATTATTCCTGTATGAATTAAATGAAATAAAACACATAAAGCACTTAATATACTACCTGGAATAAAGGTCAGTATTGTTGTTAGAATGAATACAATAGAACTTGCAAATTGATCAATTTACCTTTATTGACTTATTTTAAAATATGCAATCTCTAAGCATTTTTTAATGACTACCTTGTGTATAGAACAGATATTCTACATAAAATTCCAATTAGTTTATTGGATGAGAAAAAAAATGGTTTCTGTTTTGTGGCATTAAAAGTCTAGTGGAAAAGGGAAACCAACTAACCATGAAGGGACTGAAGAAAATATGAGTTTGTAAAATATTTTATACTAAAAAGTAAATTTTCTTTTTATATATTGAAAAGGTTAGCAATATCAGAAACAAAATAATAAGAGAGTGGTATTTACAGGGGAGGTTATTGTGATGGACGATTGACATGTTAGTAGACAACCAGCATTTTTTGAGCACCTTTCAGAGAAGCCTGACTTCCCTTCCCTGTCCTCCTCTGCACATTGAGGTCATGTGGCCTCAGCTCCACCCATGAGTTGCACCCACACAATACTTTTGCTTAGAACTCACTTTCTGGCAAGACTGTAGCTGTAGTACTTATTCCGGGGAGGCAAAAATGACGAAGATGCTAGTGTCCACACCCAAGCATCAGCAAGGGCAGCTATGGACCTGACTCCTGTCCTGGTAGGGGCGACCATGCTGTTCTTGAGCCAACTCATACTATGGTTTGGCATTGCTCCTGTCTTAAGATCTTCCAAGCTTGACTCTCTGGCCTTCCCAGGAAGTCTGTAAGCTACTTAATGTCACCCAATAAAGTATTTGACTATTTAAACCATATAGACTTTGCCCCATTGTCTGAATCTCAAACTTTAAGATTCCCTACATGATGTATCTCTTTAGACAAAAGTTTAAGAGATGGGAAAGGCTTGAGGCACTCTAGCTGATATGACTACTATTCTATTCACTAATATGCTGCTTTCCTCTCTAGCACAGACACAATAGAAATGCTATATTTTCCTGTTCCCTTCAACTTAGCCACAGCTTGTGACTTGCTTTGCCTGATGAGTAAGAAGTGATGCATATTGTTTCCAGACAAAGCCATTTAATTCCCAGTTCTCTAGTCTCTGCCTCTATCTTCCCCGCTGAGGCAGTCATGTATGTTTGTGCTGATGTAGGAGGAACAGTACTGAGCCTCGTGGGGAGTATAGTGTCCCCACAGAGTGGGGACAAAAATAATTCCATAATAAAATTAAAATTTCTGATTACTCCTGCTAAGACATCTGATGCCATTACTACTGGGCCATGTCTCAAGTACATTTCACTATGTATTATATTGCTTTTAAAATTATATCCTAGTAGGTTAGAGATTCTCCTCAGCCTTGTTCCTCTATAAGACTGTGAATTATCTGAAAGTAAGATCCACAGCTAATTCACTTTTATGTCACCAGAACCAGTTCAGACTTTGACATATGCTACAACTTGAATAAATGAGTGGTGATTATAAACCCTATAAATGGAATTGATGGCATGACAAAGGCTTTGCTCTTTACGTAGCAGAACTGTAGGATGTCTTCCAATGCAGTAGTTTTATATATGTAATAGCTGGCCACATGTTGACCGTCTTCTCAGAGCAGATGGCAAAGTTCTCCAAGGGCACCTCCAAATCAAATTGGGAATTTCTAATGAAACATGGGAGTGGTCTCAGCTGGTAGAAATGCTTGGGATTGGGAAAACAAAGTTAAGTAATTAAATGAGTTGTCATTATCGATGCAACTACAACTATGAGGTCAAGGCCTAGGCCATCAAAAGTGGCTGTACCTCATCAACTTTGGTCTTAGATTTAACTCTGAACATTTCATTCTTGTCACTCCTCTTTCATCCTGGCCTGCCACTGACTGTCCCCACATTCTCCCCAAAGAGCAGAGCGCAGGCTGGCTGGTGGAGATGTGTTTGTTAATGGGACAGGAGTAGAGAAGTGATGGAGGGCCTGTCAAGGCACTTGCTCCAGTCTGTGCTACTGCTGTTTTACATGCAGCAGTGTCTGAGGGTGAGGCAAGCTCAGAGTTGCCTTTGAAGCAACAAAGGACTATTTCATTGAAGGCTAGCTTCTCTCCTGCCTATTTTGCTGCTACCCAACTCAATAATTTACTGGAAAGGAATGCTGTATACTAACAGTTTTCTCACATAAAATATCCATTGGATCTAACTTCTTGTATACCAGTGTCTCTGGAAATGTGAGGGAAAATATATTGCTCTAGCTAAAGCAGACTGTTTATGTTTCACCAAAGTTTAGTTTCTAAGCAGATTTTCACTGCAGTCTCCAATATATTTAGGAAAACAAAGTTCCCAGAAAATACCCTCTATTCTTTTAACCAGGCTCAAAGCCTGAGAAAACCTTAGCACAAAACAATAACTCAGTTATATTTATCATCTGAAACACCATCCAGAAGAGTATTTCAAAAATTACATACTAGGAAAGATAAGACACTACCCTATAATTTTCAGGAACAACTGTATGTCAGGCTGCCAGAAAATTTTTACAACACATTCAAATTTAGCTGAACTTATATGACTTCAATCAGTGAAACTGTTTCCAGACCCAGGGGCCACAAAAGCTGTTATCAGGTTTCCCCAGCCTGCTGCCACATGTGTGTCGGAAACCAAACGCCACACACTCTAGGCTTCCTCAAGTCCTCAAAAGCTGATAGGAAGATAGTCCTCTCCCTCGTCTTCTTGTCCATGGAAACCACCTTTTCAGCCCTCCTTTTCCGAGTAACCAAATCTTCCTTCTTCAAACAGGTGAAAGGGCCGGCCAGCTCTCTGATGCAGCCACATCTTTCTTTCCTGGAATCTAATTTGCAAAATGTTTAGGCTGGAACTTCAAGGGTATGAACTGATGTGACCATTGAGGGCAGATGTAAAGAAATCCCACAGTAGCAGGCTCCCAGCCAAATTTACAGTGTCAAGTTATCTGCCTAAAAAATGTTACAAGGGCCATAGAGGTGCCCAGAGTGAGGGCCTGCCAATTAGAAGGAGTGTGAATGAGACTTATGGGGCTGGCCAGGGTGACAGGGCCACAGTCATCATTTGGCAGGAGGCAATTTAAAGATAGGTGTCTGACAGCATAGCCAGGGTTCCAAGAGCTTTTGCGCAGTTCTTGGAACTGCACTCTCTGTTGTAATTGTTTTACTCAGATTAAAAGTACCTACTGTTCACTCCAGTTGCTGAATTTTAACAAGCACTTTTTTCTCTTAGGAAGCCAGCACTTGCAATTTAGTCAATGTTCCAGAGGTGTGGGATAGAGAAGCAGGAGAAAAAAGCACCATATTTCCATTTTTTTTTTAACCTATTAGTGGGGGAAAAAAAGGATAAGAATTGAAAGCAAATCACAAAATGAGCATCAAAATCAATGCTATACTTCACCAAGGGTAACATTTCTAGCATTATGAATGTTACATTTTATTAACTCAAGGATTTACATAGTAACATAGAATCATTTGAAACCATCTTAGCAGAATTAGATTTTCTAAAGAGGATGGTGAGATCCATAGAACAGGGTGAGAAATATTACAATTAAAAGAGAAATTAGACTGTTTTATGCAGTGCTCCTTGTGTTTAATTATCACATATACATGAAATACTGAACTAGTCAACCCCAAGTAATGAATTTTCAGAGTGTGTTTAGACTGCGTATAATAACTTGGTTGCAAACTGTCACAAGATTGAGATGAATCTGTATGGAATATGATACTTTCAGGGTTCTTGGGACATGTATCTTTCAAGGGAACATTAGAAGTAATTGGCATTAGGACAGCTAGAGGAAAACTTGCAGGTCGTAAATTATCCATAAGGTAAAAGAGGTGAAGTTAAACAAATTTCAAGATCAACTTCAGCAGTATTCACTTCACTTTTTGGTTTCCTCACTGGTAAAATAACACATTTAGCTAAAATCAAGAACTAAAAGTTTAGTGTTCACTATGCCAGTTTCAATATGTTCTAGGTGCCCTCTGTGTATTTTCTCATTTACTCCTCAAAACCAACCCTATGAGGTGGGAACTGTAATTACCCCCATTTTACAGATGAGAAAATGGAGGCCACAGAAGTTAATTGGCCCAAGGATCTACTGCATATCTAGCTTAGTACCTGAAGCAGGACTCAAGTCAGGTAGCCTGGCTCTGAAGCTTGTGCTGAAGACATCTCCAGCTATAAAATTACAAGATTAGCATTGTGATTGGTTATGCACACACGCAAAAGTTTGAATTCTCTTTGGTTTAGATGTGTCTGAGGAGTAGAAGTGGAAAATTGAAAAATATAGAGATACCGTTGAGGCACCTTCTCTTCTCTATGTATTACTTGCAGGAATAGAGTTGAGAAACTCAAATCAGGCTATATTTATGTCAAAAAATGTTTTCTAACATCAGAAATGAAATATATATGCAATAATTATTTACTATGTATTTTGTTTAAACATTTTAATCATTTAACTTCCAATGTTTTAGATGTTAGTATTTTTAATATTTCAATGTTTATCTACTATTGCAAAATAGCTACCACAACAGCATCTTAATGTGGAAAGTTAAGTTTTTAGTTGTCAGGTCCCAGAAGGGCAATTGATAAAACAGGTCTGTTCTTATCTCAGGGGACTTCTCCACAGAGAAGAAGTGATTGCAGCATATTACTTCTGGGTGGCCCAAGCAATCCAGAGTGTTGTTAACAAAATGATAGCAGCTTCTTTAATAAAACAGAAAGATAATTCTTGTTCCTAGATGCTAGGTATATTTTTAACACAGACAGAGTATATTGAAGCTCGACCTTAGCATCTAGGTAACTTATTAGTTTTTAATAAGAGATTCGCTTCTCGGACATCCATCCAGCTTAGTACTTGAGATAATTTCAAAAAGCAAAGTTTCTATTGCTATTTGCACATTTTCCCCTTTTTTCTTAAGATTCATTCGATATTTGGCAACATAAAAGCACAGCCACAATTCTATTAATTCTCAGTGATATCTGGTGCTCTCATTAGAACCCAGGGCCCTTGCTCCTTGATAAACAAGCTAAAAATTCAAATTCAATTCAAGAATTAAGCAGAAGCTCACTGAGAAGAAGAGAGCTAGAAATCTCATTCTTTTTGATCTCTTAAAAGCCCACCCAATTTCCTGTATCTCTACTTTAAATTTTGAAAATTAATCACTATTCTTCTTTTCTTGATAAATATAGAAAGCCTGTAATTGCAGGACAGTCTCAATGTATGTATGCCTGCCTTTCCTCCAAACCACAGGAAGACCACCCTAGGCTTCTCCTTTTTGTGCCTCAGATGGGCCGATGCCAGCAAGCTGCTCTGAACTGCAAAAGGATATCAAAAATAAAGCATAAATCATTAAGGAAGGAAAATCCACTGCTTTCTTATCCTTCTGGTTCCTAGGCTATTCCAAATGTCAGGGCACATCAGAAATTTAAAGTTCAAGGATGATGTATTAGTTTTGATTCAGTACTTAGGAAAACTGGCAGCTCTGAAGCAGGGAAAGCTGCACAAAATCTGCTTTGGCAGAAGCTTTATTTGGGAGGGGGAGAGCTGGAACAGCTATGGGAATCTGGCTTTCTCCCTTGCCATAGAGAAAAATAGAAGTAAATAACCAGTGCTGACTAGCTTTGGCTTCAGATGTCCAGCAATTATTAAATGCACTTTCAGTAAATTAAGAGAGTGATGACCCACAGGACCATGCAAACCATTTATGGTGCTGAAATACTTGAGAGGAAAGCTTGATTTTTGTATTAAGGTTTATGTATCATGATTGAGAGCATGTGTAAGAATAGAGACAGGGATTCAGAATGTGTACTTCCTGGAAACCATGTTTCTG
Organism: Homo sapiens; assembly: GCF_000001405.40. Classification (NCBI taxonomy): domain Eukaryota; kingdom Metazoa; phylum Chordata; class Mammalia; order Primates; family Hominidae; genus Homo; species Homo sapiens. Next base: position 107,754,678 of record NC_000008.11, read on the forward strand.
ACTTATGGAAACTCCAGTACTTATAAAAATGATAATTAAACATTACAGTCAATAAAAAGCAATTGATGAACAGATTTTTTTTCTCCTTTGAAGGTAGCAAACAGAACATAGCCTTTCACAAGTCTTCCTGGCCAGTGCCAGCTTTCCCAGAGCTGGGAAACTCCACTTCCCATCCCCAGCCCCACCCTCACAGCCTGAGCAGACACTGTGTTGATTAATCACATTATGTCTCAAGAAATCCCAGTGAAAAACCCCAGTTACAGTGAGAAGGTTTTGCACCTGAAACTTCATTTAGTCAGCCATATTGACTTGAATATGGTTCTGATACAGGAAGGGGGCAGGGAAGTGCTGGGAAGAGAAGGGCATAGCCCCTGGTTAGGGCTGCACCCCCGGGCCTGTGCCCATGGACCTAGGTGAGGACAGGAACTCCTGTTTTCTTGCCCAAATGTTGCATTTTCCAAGACCACCCTGGCCCACCACACCCCCATCCTGTGCCTATAAAAACCCCAAGACCCTAGTGGAAGAAGACACAAGCGGCTGGACCTCGAGAGGAACACACCAGTAGAAGACACAAGTGGCTGGACGTTGAGAGGAACACACCAGCAAAAGAACACAGCAGCAGATGCCGGCAGGCCATCAACCAGCGGAATGACGCAGAAGCCGAAGGGAATGTGGCCAGGGCGGCTGGAGGGGAGTCTGGCCGCTGAGTGACCTGACTCCAGAGAGAAACCACCTTCCCACTCCATCTCCCTTCTGGCTTCCCATCCATCTGCTGAGAGCTACTTCCACTCAATAAAACCTTGCCCTCATTCTCCAAGCACACGGGTGATCTGATTTTTCCCGTACACCAAGGCAAAGACCCTCGGATACAGAAATCCCTCTGTCCTTGAGATAAGGCAGAGGATCTAACTGAGCTGATTAACGCAAGCTGCCTACAAACGACAAAACTAAAAGAGCGCGCTATAACACATGCCCACTGGGGCTTCAAAAGAGCTGTAAGCATTCACCCCTAGGCACTGCCGTGGGGTCGGAGCCCACGCTCTCCACGACCTGCCAGTCTGCCTGCTCCCCCTAGGGGTTTTGAGCAGCGGCGCACCAAAAAAGCGAGCCACACCCCCATAGCACGGCCTGCAAGGGGGATACGGGAACTTTTCCCGTTTTAGCTCTATTTTGAATTCAATCTGATAGTCTACCCCTTTCTAGCTAGAGCAAAACAAAACATTCTGAGCAAAATTGTTATCCCCTATGTGTTGCAAAATGATCGATTTTTTCAACATGGATGCCTAAAGATCCAGAGCAGATAATTGGCAGCAATTTTTTATTTGCTCAGTCTCTAGTTTTTTGGCTCATTCATTGTCTTTATTTACTTTCTTCCAATGAAGACAGGAGACCTGTAAGGTGAAATCCTCAAAAACCTAAATAACTCATTTTCAGCAAGTTGGGATTTTATGGTGATAGAGGACAGAGGCTGCTAGCCACTTCTCCGCCCAATGGACTCAGAATGATTCTTTCAGAACGCGAAGTGGGCCCCTTGTGGTAAGGCGAATGTGAGGTGAGTCATGCTTTGCTCCCTCAGGAACATTTTGGGATCTTTCCCTAAAACCTTGGTGACAGATGGAGAAATTTTTCTAAGGGACCAGAGGCACCGAGTTGATTTGGGAACAAGAACCAAATCAATGTGTGAGGGTACATCTACTGCAGTCTGTGCAGAAAGACAAATCAACAAGCACTTCAGGACAGCAGAGGACAAGAGCAGGAATTGAAGCCCCTCCTGTTATTTCAGCTGCTGGAGTTCGTAGACCTTCCCTCTAGAATCGTGCTGCTGACGTGATTCAGTATCCACTTCCCAGTTTCTATGTCTCACTCAGTTTGAATTGTGGAGAGGGAAATAATTTTTTGTACAAAATGGGGAGATGTCCATATCTAGACCACTCAGCTATGGCCAGGGAGCTACGCCAACTTCCAGGAGGCTGTGAGGATTAAGTCAGACAGTATTCTATAGAAGGTGGAGAGGGCCAGGAGCCGTGGCTCACGCCTGTTAATCCTAGCACTTTGGGAGGCAGAGGCAGGAGGATTACTTGAGCCTAGGAGTTTGAGACCAGCCTGGGCAACGTGGCAAAGCCCTGTCTCTACAAAACATACAAAAATTAGCCAAGTGTGGTGGCACAGGTCTGTAGTCCCAGCCACTCCGGAGGCTGAGGTGGGAGAATCACTTGAGCCTGCGAGGTGGCGGTTTCAGTGAGGCAAAACTGCACCACTGCACTCCAGGCTGGGCGACAGAGAGAGACTGTCTCTAAATAAATAAGTAAGTAAGTAAGTAAGTAAGTAAGTAAGTAAGCAAGCAACCTGGAGAAACACCTCAGTGTGAGTCCACTATGCCAATCAGCACTTCTCAACTTTCCTGGGCATAAAGATATTCTGGTATCTTGTTAAAATGCAGATTGTGATTCCCAATAGACCTGAGATGGAGCTGGGGATTCCTCACTGCTAACAAGCTTCCAGGTGATGTCAATGCTATTTATTCACAGCCCACACATTCTTTGAGTAGCAAGGCGTTACACTCTGATATAATTTGGTTCTGTATCCCCACCCAAATTTCATCTCGAATTATAATCCCCATGTGTGGAAGGAGGGACTTGTAATCTCCACATACAAATGAAGGGAGATGATTGGATCATGGGGGTGGCTTCCCTCCTGTTGTGCTTGTGACACTGAATGAGTTCTCACAAGATCTGATGGTTTTATAAGAGGCTCTTCCCCCTTCACTTTCTCTTCTCCCTCCTGTGCCATGTGAAGACAGTCCTTGCTTCCCCCTTTGTCTTCCACCATAATTGTAAGTTTCCTGAGGCCTCCCCGGGCATGTGGAACTGAGTCAATTAAACCTCTTTCCTTTATAAATTACGGGTATTTCTTTATAGCCCTGTGGAAACGGACGAATACACACTCCTGTATGCTACAAGTTTGTTCCTTAATGACAATAACAATAACAGCTTTTGTAGAACATTTAACATGGTTTATTTATTATTTTAAGTCCATTACAGGTTTACCTCATTTTAAGCTGTATGGCAACCATAGAAGCCGATACTCTAATCTCTGTTTTACCAGTAAGAAAACTGAGTCAGAAATAATAAGTAACCTCTCCAAGGTTTGAGCATTTTATGCAAAAATCTCTTGCTGCTCTGACCAAATGATTGGAACAGCCTCTGTTGTTTTTCTCTAAACTCCAAGGAGTTGTGTAGTATCTGGATATAGACCACCTCATAAGAGTTATGTCTAGCCAAATAACATCAAGATTTTTCCAGATGGGATCAGCTTAGTCATGGTTCTTCAGAATTCTCAGAATCATACTGCTTACGTATGTCAAGCTCAGTAGTACATAGTAAAATCCAAAGGGTAAAATAAGGAGCTCACTTTTCTAGATATTCTTCCCTGCTGCAAACTAACTATGGTTCCTTCTTATTCAGCCATAGCACTATGCCTCACCATAAAATAGATACACTATAATTTATTTTTAACAATTGGTCTAACTCCAAATTATTTTGTCAGCACCTTATAGATGTTACAGTGAGCAAAGGAACGTAAAATACTCATGAAATGTTTCTACAGTTCTATACATGAGCCATATGAGGTAGCAGTTCCATCTTGTTAGGACCTAATTCTAGTAAATGAATTCCTCCTCTGCTCTTAAAACTGCCTCTCTTCAATACAATTTCCCACAAATGCCTCCTGGAGAAAATGCCAGCAACGACTTTCACATATTCCATTCTCTCAGGTGGATGTGTAATTTTATACAGTCCCTATCTGCCGCAGGTTCAGGTTTCATTATTTTTTAGGGTTTCCATTATTTATTCTTCCTGACAGTTTGCTTTGTTAGACTACATTGCTGAAGATCTCTGGAATTAAAATACAAGTTAGCAGCACACATTTTATGCTACGGTAGTATAGTAAGTCACTTTATGGTGTCTTGTTCTTTGGTGGTTCCATATGATATTTGTCCTTCCGTCTCACAGTCTGTGGCTAACACAAACTGATTGTAAGTACATAAGGAATTGCCATATTCTTTTCCAGAATGGCTGTACCATTTTATATTCTTACAAACAATGAATAAGGATCTACTTTCTTCACATTCTCACCAGGATTAGATGTTATTACATTTTTTTAAAAATTTTAGCCATTCTGATAGGTGTGTTGTGATATCACATTGTAGTTTCAATTTGCATTTCTTTAATGGCTAATGATACTGAACAGTTTTTCATGTATGTTCATATTTATATCAATGAACTCCTCAGAATGTCCCTTTAAGAAGAATTGAAGTCATAGCCAGTGTTTTCCAATTGAAAGTTAACTTGCATTGCCTTAAAGAAATGTTTAGACATGATCAGTAAATTCTGTGCTTATTGAAGTATTGGTAAACTAGGATTTGAGGTTTTGGCCAGTTACTGTGGGTAACATGTACCTATGAAAATCCTGAGTTCCAAAAATCATCTTGCAACCTATGTTTATTTACTATTTTTTAAAAAATCTTCTAATCATTCCTCAAAGAATTTCAGGCAGCAGGCAGTTCCATTTCTTTGCATATTAGGAATTGCCTATATGTTTGTTTGCTTAGTTCTAAGTATTTTTTAAAGTTATTTATTCAATCATTCAATGAGTATACTTTTTCTATGCTAAGACCCAGGATAAAAAGCCACATAAGGCTCACAAAATCGCTGTTCAAAGAGTTTACAGTCAGTAAGGATTTTAAATAGACAAGGTCATCATTTACCAGTATGTTTCTTAAATGTATTTGTTTTTTCTGTGTTTCAAGTTTAATTTTAGGTTGTTATGTTAAATTTGTGACTAGCTGAAAAAATCAAATTTGGATGCTCATAGATTTCATGACACCCCTTTCTGACACCTTTCTAGTTTCCTTCCTTCTTCTCCACTTTTGCAGCGAGGCATGGAGAGGAGAAGAGAGGCCACAGTGCTCCTCTCTTCCTTCCCCTTCCTACTTCTGGCCAGCTACCAGACAGCAACGAGCAGGAGGCTCATTGTTCCTAGGCTGTCCTCCTCAATCCTATCACAGAGGACTTAAAGTCTGGGCCTCCAAAAACTTTTGAAATTAACAGAAGAAATGTCACTCCTGAAGTATACATTTTTAAAAATCATAGAAATAACCAGTTCATTTTCTAAATTGAGCTGTCAGGAAAAGTACCCTTTCATCATAAGGAAATGTTGCTCACTATATGGTACAATGTAAAGCAAGCTCTAGAATGGATTTGGGTCTCTTTAAACCATTCAGTGAACTTTGGTGTGTGTGTGTACTCTTAAGTTCTGCATTCTGTTCAAGGTGCAGGAGATGTGAAGTCTTTCACACACTGTCCTTTGCTTCAAGGAGCTCACCCTTTAGTGGGAAACAGAAATATAAATTGAGAATTAAAATACAATGTCCAAAGGGTAGTTGTGGGGGGAGAGGATGTGGGAATGGTTACTGAGTACACAAAAATAGATAGAATGAATAAGATCTAGTATTCAATAGCACAGCAGGGAGACTATAGTCAATATAAATTTAATATACATTTAAAAATAAGGATATAATTGGATTGTTTGTAATACAAAGGATAAATGCCTGAGGGGATGAATACCCACCCCATTTACCCTGAAGTGATTATTATTCATGGTATGCCTGTATCAAAATATCTCATGTACCCAATAAATATATACACCTAATATATATGCACAACAAATTAAAAAATCATAATAAAATTAAAATATCCAAAGTGCTTCTGACTTATCATGGGGACATAGAAAGAAGAAAATAGCTCTGTAGCTGGTGACAGAGTGATAAATTAGTGAAGAGAGACTTCCATCATGCCAAATTTTAAGCTATAAATATTTAGAATATGGATAAAACAACATACAGTTGTTTTCCTGATGCTCCCTTTCACAGGTATTTGGGGGTATTTTTGATTGCTGTTTGGCTTATATTTCAGTAAATTCCCTTCAATTTAATTCCATTTGTCTTTATTATACCCCATGAGAGACATTTAAGGGGCATGCTTACATATAGGCATTCCCCATTATTTCTAATTTTGACTCACATCTTTCAGCCAGTTCTACATTTAAAACAAACATTTCCTTAAATCAGTGGCAACTTGACTTTGTTTTGTTTAGGTACATTGATTTCTGTAGTCCAAATGCATATCTACCTAATCAAAGAGCTTGGTTTAGAAAATATTGGCAAGTGTTATGCTTCATTGCATAGCATATTCCATCATTGGCCTGTCTTCTTTCTATTCTTAGACTGGGAGGGGGAAAAGTCCCAAAGCTTTTCTTGGTTTATTTGTATCTTTCTTAATGGTGTATTATTTTAATGAGATAAAATCAAAAGCATAATTATTTTTAACATCTCAATTTTTTTTCAGCAAAGCATGTAATAGAATTTTGATGATGGTCTTAAATTACTATCTTCTTTCCAAAATATGTTAATCCAACTATATAAAAATATGTTTGTAGGTTTTGCATTTGCAAATCAACATGCAGATTATGTGAAGGCATGCTTAGGTATTTAATATTTATTCCTACATTTTAATCCAAAATTATGAACATAAACAACTCATGTTAAAGGTATAATTTTAATTTTTAAAATATTTAAAAAATTAATTTAGATATGCAGTCATTTTATTATCCACACATCACATCACTGATGTTCCTGAGAATTATATATATAAACTGAGACATTCCAGTTCTTATTTAAAAAAAAACACATTTGTGTTTATGAGTGATTCCTTATTTTGGTTGTACTATTTTTAATGCTGCATTTTTATTACGATAGGAAAAAGGCAAGCCTTGGGGGTTTTTTGAGCAATATGTTTGTTATTACTTATGAAAAAAGTTTTATGCCTTGCTCTTTGGCTGTATTCTGCTTTCTGAGCATAAGTAGATTTATAAAAAAAAAATCACATGTTCAACTCTTTTGTATTTCTTTTAATGAAACATTCTTTCCTATCTATGTGCTTCAATGTTTATCTGAAGTCACATCCCATTATGTAAAAGAGGGATGTATTTGGCTTATTTTCACAGAATTGTTTGACACTTAAAGGATTACAGAAAATTTGATTTATGATCTGTAATATGAACCCAAAGTACAGAATTGAACAATATTCCTAGATCTAAATTCAACTACTGATATAAGGATTCAGTTAATCTCCTTTGGTGATTGGAAATTCCTCCTCATCAAAAACAATCTAAAACTATTCTTAGTTGTGTGATTTATAGATTATGACATCAATATTTCAAAGGTAAATAATATGTGTTATCATTTAACAAATATGTATCAAATGCCCATTATGTTCCATTACCATGATGTTTAAATCATTAGCTTCATGTTTTGCTTATTCAAAAAAAAAAAAAGGTGGTATTTCTAACATAAAGAAACTAATGAAGATCCAAAGACTGAAAATTGCATTTTTCTTTTGGCGAAAAAAAAAAAAGGAATGGATGTAATATAATGAATATTTTCTTTAAAATAAATAAAGAAATGTCTGATGCCAAAAATCTGATAGCAAAGATTATATATCTTCTTAATTGATATGTTTATACATGATATGTATAATAATATTTGGGAATAATTCCAAGAGCAAATTATAAAATACTAGTAGATAGGGGACACTTAAATGATAGTGTTATTAGGCTTTTCCCTAAATATAAGCTCTCTTATCCTCTAAATCATGTTTGAGCATGCAGTGGGGCTGGCAGTTTGCTTATTTGCCCTAGATGATATGTTAATAACGATTCTGTCAAAAAGAGCTAAGAGAAAGTCAATGTAAAATTAAGATGACAAGATGGTAAGTATGAATATCCATAATCCTAACACTTAACCTCTATAACCTCAGACACTCTTCATAGCTTTCTGTAATTTTCAAGAAAGACAACTAAAGTGTTTTTTTATTTTGCTCCCTCTTGGTGATTATTTGTTTATACCATTCAGGAAAAAAGTATAATCTATTACTTTCTCTAAAAAATGTATTAATTCTCTTTTTAGTCAACAATCATTCAGTACACTAGTATGTATTGTTTACCTTGCATCAAGTTTAAACATTGCAAGGTGAAACATTAGGCTAAAATGAAACCCATGCAGTCAGATTCCAGAGACAATGGTCCAAATCCCATTATATTCACTAGAAAGATGATTAACTGATTACTAGGAAACTGTCTCTTCTTTGAGGGATTCTCAAGAAAGAGAGAGAGACAGATAGAAAAACAAATAATTACAGCAACCTCATAAATTGTGGAATAGAGGTGGCAGAAGTCTCAAGGGGAAACAGAAAAAAAGCATCTATGATACATGGGATGGTAACATCAGAACAAAGTCATATGGATAAAAGTTTACTAAGTCAATATGATTGGAAGAATTAGGGAAGAGAAAGTCACTTTGGTAAAAGATAAAAGCATAGCCAGAGCTAAAAAAAAAAAAAAAAAAAAAAAAAAGGTAACAGCATATTTAGGGAGAACATGTTCTATCTGGAGTTGATGTGTTTGAGGGTCAAGATAGAGAGAGGTTTGTAGGAATAGATAGAGGTCCTGTGAACCACCTTAATAGGGCTGAATTTTGGCAATTGGAGCCATTGAAGAAGTTAAAGGACAGAATTAAATGGCCAGGCTTACATTTTAGGGAAAGATTTTTTGACAGCTGTGTATAGAGGATGGAGTGGATGGGTTGGAAGTCAAAGGGATGTTATTGCAGCAATCAAGACAAATTAAGATAAGATGCCTAACAAAAGCAATGAAATGATAATTAATAGGGAAAGAGATTATGAAGGTAGAGTTAACCAAATTTATGATAAGGAAGGAAGTGATGAAGACAGAAGAATCAATAGGATAAGATCCAGGCTTGGGTGAATAAATAGAGGCTGGCATCAAGTAAAAATAGAAATCACAAGAGACGGTACAAATTTGGGAGAGTCATTAATGATCCACATTGAGGATATGTTGAGTTGGAAGTGACTGAGGAATATCCTAGTATCCTTGAGAAAATGGATATTCAAGAGTGTGGCTTCAAGGAAATTTGGACAACCTAGTTTATCCCAATAAGAAAATGTGGAAAGTCAATTTATAAAGATGAGGTCATTTGTAAGCATGAAATGAAGCAGGTCTATATATAATAATAAGTCTCTTATGAGCTAAATTGCATCCCCTCAAAATTCATAGGCTGAAGTCCTAACTCCCAGTACCTCAAAATGCATTTATATTTGTAGATAGGGCCTTTAAAGAAGTGATCAAGTTAAAATGAGGGCATGAGAGTGGGTGCTTATCCAGTCTGACTGGTGGTCTTACAAGAAGAGGAAATTTGGACACACAGAGAGACACTAGAGACGTGTGAGAGGAAAGACAATGTGAGGATACAGTGAGAGGGCAACCATCGGCAAGCCAAGGAGAGGCTTCAGGAGAAACCAAGCCTGCAGATACCTTGATCTTGAACTTCTAGGCTCCAGAACTATGAGAAAATAAAATGTTATTTTGTTAGACAGGCCTAGCAAACAAATGCAGACATTATTCTAGCCTAATGCAGCACCTCCATCATATGGTGTGCTTGCCAGAAGGATCAACTCTTGTTCCTGGAGCATGCTAAAGACACATGTCAACATTCTTTCAGTTTCATTTTTCCAAGCCCTTTTCTGTCCACTCCATAATTTCTACAGAAAAAAAAATCAAGTAAAAATTAGCTTTCTTAGTTACATTCGCATTCTAGATTTCTTCCTGAAGACTATACCGAAGATGCATTTACTGAACTTGAATGTCCATAAAGTGGCTGAGGCTTCTATTTTTATTTTCTCTGAGGATGTGGTGCTCCTACACCGGACTAACCCCATTGCTATTGCATAATTCCTTGTCAGAGGGTAACCTTATCTTCACAGAATTACATATAATTACCTACATACCAACCACAGTCACATCTATCTCTTTACAATGAGCTGGAGCACTGATTTCCACTTAGAAAAGTCACATAGCTGTTCAAGTCATCAGTGAGAAGAATTTTAGAGGCATAATTTACCAGGATTAAAATAAATCTGTCCAAAATTAATTACTTTTTAACTTCTGTAGATTTAAACTTTGTATCAGTTGATATCATTTAAACATGAATATTATATGGGTAAGCTTAAATAAAAAACCTGGCTGAGCGTCGTGGCTCACCCCTGTAATCCCAGCACTTTGGGAGGCTGAGGCAGGCGGACCGTGAGGTCAGGAGATTGAGACCATCCTGGCTAACATGGTGAAACACCGTCTCTACTTGAAAAAAAAAAAAAAAAAAACAAAAAATTAGCCAGGCATGGTGGCACATGCCTATAGTCCCAGCTACTCGGGAGGCTAAGGCAGGAGAGAATCACTTGAACCTGGGAGGCGGAGGTTGCAGTGAACTGAGATTGTGCCACTGCACTCCAACCTGGATGACAGAGCGAGACTCTGTCTCAAAAAAAAACCAAAACCAAAAACAAACAAACAAAAACCCTTCTGCCGTAGACCATATTTACAATAACTTAGCCACTTTTGAAAAACATTCTATCCTTGTTTTATGATTTATAATTACACATTATTAGAAAAATCATTAATTTGTTCATTCTATAAATGCATACTTATTAATTACCTACTGTGTCTGGTAATGTGCTAGTACTGCAGATATAGGCAAAACTGGACCCTTAAACCCTTACAGACAAGCTGGGGATAAAGGGTTCATTAAAATATTATAAGGACATACTTGGCCTGATCTGCCTTAGTTCCATTTACTCTTGGCAACCTTAGTTCTGTTTACTCTTGGCAAAACAAACAAACAAACAAACAAAAACTATTTCTGGCATCTTTAACTTCAAACACACAATGCAGGAAAAGCAGCTGTTTGAAGGTAAAACTGCTGTAGTTTAAGATGCTAATGGTATGCTGGTGATTAGATTTGGAAAATCTATATTATATTGTGGCTTTTATCACTAGAGATTCAAAATATTAGTATTGGGAAATGAATATCGTGGTGTTATTGGCTAAAGTTTGCCTCCCAATATTCATTCATAGTTTGAAGTGCTAACCTCCAGTATTTCAGAATGTGACTTTACTTGGAGATAAAAACTTTAAAGAGGTCACTAAGTTAAAAGGAGCCCATTAGGATGGACCCTAATCCAGTCTAACTGGTGTCCTTATAAGATGAGGAAATTTGGACACACAGAGAGATACCAGGGACACACAAACACCGAGAAAGAGCCATGAGAAGAGACAACAAGACAGCCATCTGCAAGCCAAGCAGCAAGGCTTCCCAAGAAACCAACCCTGCCAGCACCTTGATCTTGGACTTCTACGCTGCAGAACAGTGAGAAAATACATTTTTGTTGTTCAAGTCACTCAGTCTATGGTATTGTACTATGGCAGCCTGAGCTGACTAATGCAACTCCCATCTGAAGGGAAGGCAAGTTCCATAAAATGAAAACCAATTTGGTAGCCCAGCCATTATGTAATTAATTTGGGCATTGCCATATGTGAGATATCCAGATAATTCAAACCAATACATGGAGTTTTTCTACTCCATTAAAAACAAATGAGCCCAGCACACTTTCTTATAGTTATGTCCTGCTGTTTAAACCATAATAACTTGCAAAGAGTGTAAAAATGTTTTTGCTCGATGCTGTTATCAGTACAAAATCTGTGACATTTAAAGTATCAGTTCCTATCACTGTGGCCCTTCATTTTAATACTTAATAAAGGTTTATTCAGCAAAGTTCCCTTCAGTCTTCTCAATGAACCATGATCATTTCTGGCACATACGGAAAACAGAGCAAACTTTCTTGAATTAATAAAATTAAGTCTGTCAGATTTAGGCCAGTTGGGTATTAAATTTAAACTAGACCAAATACAGGCTGAACATAGTTGCAGCTTGTATGGATCAGATTTGGCATAAAATTCAGTTTGTGATGTAATGTAAATTGTCAAAATGATACTGCTTCAAATTTCATGTGGTTTATTTTTAAAATGATATATATCATACAGAAAAATAAAGCTTAATGTGAAAATAACAACTTAGAAGAACAATAGAATGAGGATGTAAGTTGAGCATTCACTAAGAACTGGCATATGGTTCTGCATAATAATCCAGGACTTCATTGTTTCCATTTGGATTGTACAGAAAATGAGACAAGGCCTAGTAAAATGCTACTTTCACTTTTCCTTTATGTGCAAATTAAAATTATATTCTTTTTTTGCACTTTAGTAATAGACACCTTTTACTTATGAATAAAATTTTAACTGCATTTTTAATGAAATAAATGTTTGACACAATTGCCACAACTGTGACTATGTTAGAATAAACTCAATTAACTTACATTGTTAAAATGTATATGCCTGCTTGTGACAAATTCAATGAGTTTGAAATACCAATTCCATATTATAGCCACCATTTCAATGAATTAAGATTCCTGTCAAAGTACCGTTTGCCAAAAACAAAATTCTACATGTTCCATAGGATAATTTTGAAATACATATTATAAAGGGACAACTGAATAAGACATTCATGTCATAAACCTTCAAATGAAAAAGGCATAGAGAAAATTTAGACTAACATTTAACAAAAATAGCTGCTTGTCTAATTACATCAGAAAGCTAGCTATTTACATTTTTGCCATTTTTAATTAAATGCAAAATTTCCAAGTTTTTCCACAGTTATTTTCCTAGTTTCATACATTTTCTTTAAACATGGCAGCAGACAATAAAAAGCACCAATTCTAGGCATAATTAAAATAATTAAAATGTTTTTATAGTCAAACATGTTAAGCTCTTTCAAATTATCATAGTATTAGTTCATTCAACAAATGTTTCAGCATGCCTATTATCTCTGGGTGCTGTGGTTCATAGGCATGGTCTCTACCCACATGGAGCTTATAGTCTAATGAGAAAGATGTACATTCAATAACTAAACACAAAAAATAAATAAATAAAAATGTGGTTGTTCATTATGTGCCAGTGCACTGTGCAAAGCACTTAAATATATTCTGTCATTTAATATTTATAATATCATGAGGTTGTTTTTAGCCCCCTTTTACTCAAGAAGAAATTGAAAAACAAAGAAGTTCATTAGCAGCCCGTGGTCATACAGCCTATAAGTAGCAAAGCTGGGATTTAAACCCAGGCATTCTGGCTCCAGAGCTTGTAACCTTAAATACTGTAAACACCTCTCAAATCATTGTAAATTCTGATGAATGATATAAGAAAAAAATACCGTCTACAAAAATATGTGTACACAAAGCCAAATTTAAGTGGAGGCTGTCAACAGAAGCCTCTCAAAAGTACTGACTTCTACCCTGAGACTTAAAGGACAACTGAAGGTAGTGAGAAGACAGAGCTAGGGTTGGGGTGGTAGTGTTTCTAGCAGAATAAATAGCCTGTCACAAGTCCCTGATTTTTTAAAAAAGAAGAGGTTACCTGGTTGAGCAATTTTTTTCTAAACTGTGCATTACAAAAAGCCAAGATATATTTTATATTTTATATTTCATTCAAAAAATCTTAAATTTTTTATGCAGAATAAAAACTGCATTTTTTGAAAAATAACAGTAAAAAACACTTTATGAACCAAAAGATTGCAAAATTGCTTTGCAGTTTACCAAGAGTGCTGATAAAAAAAAAAAAAAAAAAAAAAAACCTCATGACAGAAGATACCATTTTCAAATGTATTTCCACCAAAAAGTTATCTTAAACCAAATTTTTTCCCACCATACTATATGTTTTCAATTTTGTCCTTGCAGTCGAGCAAAGCTGCCAGGAAGAGGTGAGTGTAGGCATACATAAAGGCATAATAAACCCTCATGGCTTGTTCTCCGAACTGCAAAGAACTCAAATTTGGCTGAGGTGGATGGTGAGGTATGGGGAGGAGAAGCTTTCAGAGAGAAAGATAAGATTGGACAGGGAAGTAGGAATCAGATTGCGGGAGAAATTATAAGCCATCACAACAGATTTACACTTTAGGCAATGAAAAACTATCAAAATGGCTAGAGGAGATTTGCATTTTAGGAAGCTCTTTCTGAGAGCACCAGAAGTTCTCTCAGCGAGAAACATAACAGCTACAAAAAAAAAAAAAAAAAAAAAAAAAACTGTTGAACATATTAGCATTAAAAAATCTCTTAATTAATACAACTGTAAATTCATTAATAATTTTCCAAATGGCAAAATAAAGTATGAGGCCAGAAAAGTAAAAATCACATGTTTTTAGTTTTAATATCAAGGGTATTTTATTTAATATAACTTTGAAAGGTAATCATAAGCTCTATATGGTAGCATCAATGAACCTGACGAGCTAGCCTATGGAAAAGCACCCAGCACATGCCTGAAATATATATGTTACTTCATTTCCTAAATTCCATTATCAACTGTGTCCCTAAACTAGTATTATTTCTGTTCTCTATTTAGAGACACCCAACACCACAAGAGGTCAAAGCAATAAATTCAGGGGGAAAACTAATTTATATTTGCAATTTGAAATTTACGAGCATTCATGGCACTGATTGTTTGTGTGATTAGTGATAACAGGTCAAGAGTCACAACTTTAAAGCCATCTCTTAATCATTGTTTCTCTTTAGATTTATTGCTAATTTATCAAGACCCTGCTCTAGACCACAAAACAATTACTCAGTATTGTTTTGGGGAAAATATTCCAACCATGACCCTCTCTAAATTCCTATATCTAAAAAATTAACTTCAGGGATGGGTGTGGTGGCTCACGCCTGTAATCCCAGCACTTTGGGAGGCTGAGGCAAGAGGATTAAGGAGGAGTTTAAGGCTGCAGTAAGCTATGATCGCACCATTGCACTCCATCTTGGGTGACAGAGCATGACCTTGTCTCTAAGAAAATGATAATAATTAGTTCAATTAAGGACCCAACTGGAAGAAGTTAAAGTGGGAAATAAAATAAACACATAAAACAGGTACAGGGAATATACAATAATATAAAATAAATATATATTATAAAATATTAAAAAATAATTTAAATATAAAATAAATATAAAAACAGGTATAGGCAATATAAAAACAAGAACTTAATGCCCCTCACTTTACTCTAACAACATCCCTAGGAGTTATTCCCGTTTATGTCCATGGCGAAACTGACCCTCAAAGACACTGTGTGACAGACTTCCTTCCACAAGCAAGTAGAGTAAAAGAATTTAGGCTTTGGAATCAGACTCACAAGGGTCTCAATCCTGCTTTCTCTATCATACCATGCTTCCAGGGAGACGACTTTATGTATTATTATTATTATTATTATTATTATTTCTGAGACAGAGTCTCTTTCTTTTGCCCAGGCTTGAGTGCAATGGCATGATCTCTGCTCACTGCAACTTCCACCTCCTGGGTTCAAGCGATTCTCCTGTCTCAGCCTCCCGAGTAGCTGGGATTACAGGTGTGCACTACCACGCCTGGCTAATGTTTTTGTATTTTAGTAGAGATGGGGTTTCACCATGTTGATCAGGCTGGTCTCAAACTCCTGACCTCAGGTAATCCACCTGCCTCGGCTTCCCAAAGTGCTGGGACTACAGGCGTGAGCCACCGCACCTGGCAGAGAAGACCTTATCTTAGTCATCTTTTTAGTTATCTTTTTCTCTCCAGCATTTAACAGATTAAATGCTTCAGAAGAGAAGTCTAATAAATATTGAAGGAAAAAAAGAGGGAAGAAAACCTCATAATGTGACAACCCTGAGATCATTTTTAGAAAAAATTTCAGTACACAATCATTTATGAATTCTACACATAATTAGGAATTCATTTCTAGATGTGTCCTGGAGATAACTTTAAGAAGGAAATGTTGTTGATTAAAATGATCCAGAAAAAGAATGAAGTCAAATGAACAATCGAAAATCAACCTTATACTTCCCAAATTATCAAAAAAATTTTAAAAAAGGAGAATGTTTACAAAAATGGTATGACAGCAACTGCACATTTTCCTCCAATATCTGTTTTCCCTTTCTTCTACACTAGAAGTTTTCAATTTTAGCTAACCATATGACTACCTGGAATAAAAATAACACTTCTCTGTTTCCCTTTCATCTAAGTGTAACCACAGGACTGACTTCTGGCCAATAGAATGTATAGGAAAGCAATGTGTTGAACTTTCAGGACACGCCCTTTAAAGGAAAGGCTATGACCCGTCTTCTACGCTCTCCATCCTGCCTCCTGGAACGTGGATGTGATGAAGACCCATCTTGATCCACGAAATAAGGGAAACAGAACTTAAGCTATAGATGCAAGAAGCAGAGAAGTAGCCTGGGTCTGGTTCTGGACATGAGCAGCCATGCCAGCCCTGGACCACTTTCCTTCATACTATTAGATAAGGGAAAGAGCATGTATTAATAATTTACATGAGCCACTGTTATTTGGGGTCTCTTGTTACATGCCACTGAACTCAAATACTCAACAACACCCATGGAGCCCATGATGGCAGGTTTCTAGCCCTCATGGGACTAGCCCATCCTCTCCTCACATCTCAGGATTTCCTTCCTTCTAATAAAACAGAAGCCAGGAAACCATTCACAGGGAATCAGAAAGCAGCTTATGTCTTTAACTCGGTAAGAAGGCTATTGGAAGCAATTCTAAGTTCATGGAAACATTTCCCAAACCAGAAGACAATTTTAGCCAAATGGCTTTCTTCTTCTCAGCGTGATGAAAAGAAAATATATCAAAATATATATATATCACAGCAAGTTTCTCTTATTTTGAAGAATGGAGTCAAAAAACGTACCTATGTCTGTTACTTCTCTCCGTGTGTATGTGTGTGTGTGTATGTGTGTTTCCCTTTGTGTGTGTGTGTGTCTCTGTGTGTCCTCTCTTCTTTTTTATTTTAAATCTATAGAAGACTCAAGGTGTAGTAAACTAAGTTGGCTAATATAAAAACATATATTAAGCAAGGCAGAAAACTTTAAACAAGCCACCTGACAAATGACTAGAGGGTAAGATTTACATCCAAAGTCCCAGGTCATGTAGGATTGTCTTTAGATATTTTTCAAATTTTACTGGCTTCTGCTCTAGGCCCTGTGTATATTAAACTTTATAGTAAAAATAAAACTCAGTTACATGCTGAAATTTCTGATTTTTGAGCATTTTTGCCTGCTATTTAAATGAGTATGAATTCTTAAAAATTCAATAAAATAACCCTCAGTGATGTAAAATGAGTATGAATTCTTAAAAATTCAATAAAATAACCCTCAGTGATGTCTCTTTATTATAATATTGGAACAACCTATGTACTGCAACCTACTGGCTATGTATCTTGAGCAAGTCACTTAAACTTGCTAAGCTTTGTTTTTTTTTTTTTTTTTAGTCAATAAAGTAGGGATAGTAACTATACTTGACTCATAGGATTGCGACGTGAAACATTGATCAAGCACTTAGCAGACTGCCTAGCTCATTATAGGAGATAAGTAAATATTAGCTGTTATTCACATTATGATTGTGATTGCTAATTGCAAAAGACATTTGCAGTTTCTGTATTCCAAAAATTGGTCTCCTTCCTATGGCGGATGGTATTCCTTAACCATTATCTGTACACCATCTGCTCTAGTTCTTTAATACAAATTAGCTTATTTTAAGCAATCCATATATTTGCAAAGTGACTGAACAGTCAGGAAATTAGTCTACATCTGTGAAATAGAATAAACTAATGGTACAAAGTAAATTTCTCAATTGGCTTTTTAAATTTTAGCTATTTGAAAATCACACAAACTTCAAGTGTGCCTTTTTGTCCAATAATAGTTTATACTTATATGATTACTATGTGATTTGGTCACTAACAAAGTACCTTTCATTATTAAGACAACTTAATTATTACACCACTTACTTTGCTCATTTCTAAAAGACCACACAGAAAATATTATAATTCCTCATGGCTTCATAATAAAGATAGGGTAAACATACATAAACTGTGTGTGTATGTATACCAACCTGTAAAATAAAAATTACCGGTAAACACTGACATGAGAAGAAAAACAAGAATATTCATCCTTTTCCACTGATAGCTATGAACCCAAAATTAAGAAAAAGATTACAAAATTATATAAAATTTCCTGGAGCTGCACTTTTTAAAGGACTGTATCAAGAATGAGAAGATGGCATAAGGCGGAAATACACGTTTGTGAAATAGACATTGTCTTGCAACACATTTTTTTTGGATCAAGAAGATCCCAAATGTAATTCAAGGACTAAAAAATGCTTCCAACTAGCAGACAACGCTTTTTTAATCTTCATTTAGTTCCAATAAAGTAATGTATATTGTGTTGTATTTACTCTGCAGATGATCACCATCCATTTTACACCCTCCACCTCCCCTCCCATAACTTTTACACACACTTCCCACCCCATCCAAAGCAAACCAAGAAAAGGATAAAATCCCTTAATTAAAAAAATAAAATAAAACATAATCTTACGTCCTGATTATTTTAAAGCACTGAATTACTGCCATTTTGCTTAATTTCTTTTCAAATCATTTGTATCTGAGTGTGACTAACACATGGTACTTACAATATAAAAAGACTTAAAATATCAGATTTTAATAATCCTTAGGTGGCTTTATGCAAAGCAGATGTTCTATTATGCTTTCCAGATGCTAGCTGAAAGCACAATTAATTAAAGACAGTGCTTACATATCATTTTAGTACATTTCAGTACATAGTTAAAACTATGTTAAAGAAAAGAGAGACTGAGCAAAAGCCAGCACTGCTTAACTGCAAAGAGAATTGCCAAGAAAGAGTAAGTTCACGTGTCTTATGCCAACAATAGGCAGAACTAAAAAGCAACTGTAACCAAACTAAGAAGCGCTTGCTTGGCACATTGTGATGGCACTAAGAATGATAAATACCAACTTTGTTCACAGCTTTGCACACTGCATGCCTTGGGTGAGGTTTCAACACAGTTATTAGTTATTCCAGAAATCTTCGGCCAATTTAAGATGCAAATTAACACTTTAGGAATGCAATAACTTGATAAAACTCAGATCAAATGATTTTTATCCGGTTTGCTAGAGAAGACAACTTTTACATTTCAAGCAACATTGCTTTTCTATGTTCATCTTACTCTTTCAGGATATCATATTCCATTTTATTAAGTGCTACCTTGCCTTTGTGTGCTCTACAAATTTTCTCCGATATTTAAACTCTATGAGCACTGAGTACTCAATAAGTTCAAAGGCCTGTATTGGGGGAGGGAGGAATAAACTAGCCAGAGCCCCCTAATCAGAGATAAGTCTTTATTCAGAGACTATCAAAGCCTAATCATCAAATTCAGTACCTAATTTACCAAGACTTCTGGTTATACAAATTGAATTTACCTTAGTTATCACAATCTCTATCACACTCAGTTTCCAGTAGCATTTTCTCAAGGTCAAGAACACAGGCAAGCTGTTGTTCATGCATAAATTTAAAAAAACACCTCTTTCAGATCAACCAAATGGATATATATGAATCATTCTTTGTTTGCAAAGCATAGTGCTACCTCCTTACAAATAAAGCTAAGGTAATCAGAATTGGAAAATCAAATACGAAATAACTCATTAATCACCTATTCTCTAAATTTTGCCTTTCGGATTCTCTAGGAACATGCTATCCTTACTTTCTAAACTGTAACAGAGGGAGAAGCCCATTCATTTTTACTCAAAACACAACATGAAGAGATTACCATTTATTTTTCTTTATGTGGTCACTTTCAGATATGTCTGTCTTTACAAAAATTGAAAAACTTAACTTGGTTTATTTGGTTAACTTAACCGATATAGAATCGTCAATATTCTACATTAACTACAAAATTATAATTCCACATAGTCCAGCCTATAGAACCCGACTTTGTAACTTGAACATACTGTTTCATAACATCAGTAGTCTGAAAACTTCTACATTTAAGTCAGTGGGATCTGATTATTTGTAACATTGATTTGTTGACTTTAAAATGATATTTCGTTTTTTTTAAAGCAAGATACAGAAAGATGGAAAATAAATATACAAAGTAAAAAGGGGATACTTTCCTCTAAAGTGAAAGTAAACTCACGTGATAAATTGGAGAAAACATCCTTTTCCTAAGCTCCAAGCTGATGTTCCTACAGATTTGTTTTTTAACAGCCTACTTTCAGAACAGTTTCCTTTTGTCCATTGTGCAAGGGTTGGGAGGATGGAATACAACAGATAGAAAGTGTGTACTGACCTCTCATCTTTGGGGACTAAATTTCAACTGAGTCCATAGATTCATGCCTTCTTAATTCATTACTACTGAACAGTGACCACATAAAATCACAAAAATTAGTCACTCAAGGTTAACCAAAACCTTAGGACCACATGGGCACAAAACTGAATTCATCTTTTAAGTTCAGGAGACATCATTATCTTTCTGGGGGCCCAAAGGTGCATCTGACTAAAAAGATCACATTACGCCCACCCTGGCTGTACCTGCAGCCTGAAGATTAACAGATAAGTGAATGACTAGACAGTCAGGAAAACAATAAAAATTCTCTTCAGAAAAGATGAGGGAAAAAATGAGAATATTTTACCTAGCAAGCCTAATATTATTAAATTAGGCTTTCTTAATGGATTAGGTTTTGCTTGGAAGTGGTAGTGGCCGCTCAGCAGGGACTGTTGAGAGAGTCCTGCTGAGTTCAGCACCTTGCCCTTGAACAAAAACAGTATCAAGTCATTCTATTAGCCCACACCCTGTAGGGTGCTGTCCACCCTGTAAAACACTGTGCAAAAATTGATCATCATTATATAGTCCTCTGATCACAAAGAACTTCATTGGAGATTCTCTACAGCAATATAGTTGACATTTTTATGGCAAGATTAATATTTTATAAGTGTCAAGTTGTCCTTTAGGATCAGCAAAATAAATTCTGAGGGTTGATTCTAATTCAACTCTAAACCATATCCTCTTAGCTAACCCATTAGAACTCAACACTACCAGGCTTTCTCTAGTTCATTTGCTTATTTTACTTGTTTATTGTCTTTCTCTCCATCTCCTAAAAGGTAAACTCCAGGATGGACCTGATTATGATCTGTCTCATCCACGGCTGGCTCTATCTCTAGCATCTAAATAACCTCAGACACTGAGAACAACATGTAGTAAATATCGCTGAATTAATTAATTGGGTAATGAAAACTTTAGTACTAACACTAGTAATAACATCTGTCCACAGGAAAACACTATAATAAAGATGATTTCTTCTTTATACTTATTATTTGTCCTTTCTCAATTCTGTTTTCTCCAACCTTACAAACTTTTTCCAAACTGGACAAATTATTTGTCAACAGTTTGCAGCTGGGCTATGAGTAATAAGAAAACATTCATAAAGCACTTTAAATTTCTGCCTTAAAGCATTATACGTAAGTAAAATAGGACATGTATGAGGGGCAACATATGCCAACTTGTATTATTCAAGAAATCAAACTTTTACTGGGTCTCTATGAGACAACAGTCACTTTCACACAAACTATTTTGATTAAACCTCACTAGATCCTCCAGGTGGAGAATGCGCTTCTAGGTTTACCAATTAGGAACAGTGCTTATACTGGTTGAGCCTATAGAGTAGCTATGATTTGAACATACTCTAATTCAGCATTTTGTCATAGCCTTGGTTTTTTCATATTTACTTTTCCATCCTAGCAGACACTTCAGTGCTGTGTTATTTTCCTATCCATACAGGGAATGTGCCTTCACAATGTGCCTTCACAATGGGGAAGAACTTGCCTTCATATAAAGATCTACTCATCAAAGCCAGCAAAGCCTGATATTTAAG
Source organism: Homo sapiens (assembly GCF_000001405.40). NCBI lineage: Eukaryota > Metazoa > Chordata > Mammalia > Primates > Hominidae > Homo > Homo sapiens. The sequence continues at coordinate 107,776,447 of NC_000008.11, forward strand.
AGCCCAGGCTCTGGTTGTAGGCTGTTCACAACTGGCTTCATCATTCATGGACAGAGTGACCTTGGGCTTAATACCTCTGTGTGTCAGTTGCCCCACCTGTAAAACAAAGATAATAAACAGTAAATTTCAACCATTGCTAATAACAAAGTAGACCACTGTCATTGTTAGTAACACACTATACAACTTCTTCATTTCTTTTGCAGGTTTTAAAACATGTCACCAAGCCTTCCATTTCTCTTCTTTTTTAAAAAAAAGTTGGAGTCAGGGGGTACATGTACAAGTTTTTTACCTGGGCATATTGCTTGATGCTGAAGTTTGAGGTGTGGGTGGTCCCCTCACCCAGTTAGTGAGCATAGTATCCAACAGGTGGTTTTTCAGCCCACGCTCCCCTCCCTCCTTTCCTGCTCTAGTAGGCTCCAGTGTCTATTGTTCCCATCTTTATTTCCATGTGTACTCAATTTTAGCTCCCAGTTATAAGTAAAAACATGCTATGTTTGGTTTTCTGTCCCTGTGTTAATTACCCTAGGATAATTGCCTCCAGTTGCATCCATGTTGCTACAAAAGACAAGATTTTGTTCTTTTTATGGCTGTATAGTATTCCACGGTGAATATGTACCACATTTTCTTTAATCCACTGTTGATAGGCACCTAGGTTGATTCCATATCTTTGCTATTGTAAACAGCCACGACTTCCATTTCAAGTAAGAAGTCCATTTTTGAGGAACTCCCTTTCTTGGAAATGAAAATGGTTTGGAATTTAGTAACAAAATCTGCCTAGAACTAGAGTAAGATTTAGAATATCTCACATATATGTATGGAAAAGAGAAATAAAAAAGAAAAGATTATAATATGAATGTTTCATAAAGATTGGCATGGCTTTAATCTTTCTTTTCTGTTCTATAAGTTTTTATAAGTTATGGAGACAAACCTATCGGCATCAAAGTCAAAATGCTGAAAAGAGCTCATCTCTTTTTCTGACAGCTCTGTCACTCTAGCCTTTATCATATGAGATTTTTTTTAAATAACACATTTGTTGAGATGTTTCACATGCCCTACGATTCACCCATTTAAAAATGTGCAATTCAATAATTTTTAATATATTCCCACAGTTATGCAACCATCACCACAAACAATTTCAGAATATTTTTATTGCTCCCCGCAAAAAACCTCATACCCATTTTCCCTCAACTTCCCCATCCCTAGACAACCAACAATTTACTTTCTGTCACTATGAGACATTTTTAAATGACAGATTCAAAGGTTAAATTAATACATGAATTAAAAATTATATAACAGAAAAGTTTTGTAACTAAAACGTAAATCATTTCTTGAATACTCAGAAATAAAAAATGTTAAAAATGTGTAAGAAATAAATGTTATAATCAACATGTACTTATATATCCTCTACTGTGGTGCTGACACTATAAAGGAGAGTAAGATGCTATGTATTCAGAAAGAATTTGAGAAAACGGGACATGAATAAATAAGAAGCACAGATAAAGTGTCAGTGAAGAAGACCAAGACATGAGTTCTATGGGCACTCAAAAGAGGAAGGGGTCCCTGATGACTGTGGTAGACAATGAAAAGTAAATCAGGCAGTAAGGGATGGGAAAGACTGAGATAAGCAAAGAGAAGGGGGGCAGGAATTTTAATTTTCAACTACAGGTAAAACCTGTGCTTTGTTTATAATGCAAAGATTCCAAAAGAAGTCACCCAAATCACTCTGAGTTATCAGAGTTACAATATATTTACATGAATATTAAATGGATCCATCCTATAACTTTTCTTAAAACATTTTGGAAATAATTTTTAAATTAAATGATATCTGATCAGCTTGTTTTTTTTTGTTGTTCATTATAAAATGTCAAATTTTGCCATATGGATAAAGTTGCTATTTCTGAAATCAAAAGAATAAATATAAAAAAATGCAGAAAAAAACAAAAAAGATAACATACTGCAAAGAGACACACAAGCTTTTTAGAGTGGGAATTATGTTATGACTATGAAATGTACACTGTTTTAAACATACTTCTATATAAATCCATCCCCTCTGCCAGATCCTGAACTTCACTGGAGTCTTGAAGGGGGTCATTGAACAGAATCCGTCTTCCCTGCCTGCATTCTTAACAACTGAAAGATAAGACAAGGAATAGGGTTGGGAGAAGCCAAAATATTACCTTTATTACTGACAGAACGAGGCTGAAAGATGTGACTTACATCTGCAGGCAAATGTGATACCGAACTCTAGAATCTAAATCTCCAGATGGGTGGAAAGAGCCGCTGCTTAGAGGAACAGCTGAGAAGCCATGCCTTCTGCGTACACTTCACTCAGGAAGAAGAGGACGGCGGAGATAAGCATGCCCAGTTCTTTCTTCAAATGTATCAAGTAAATTAATCTACCTGCCCAGGGGCGAATAACTTGGTTGTCAAACTTGAGTGCTCAACAAAATCACCTGGAGGGCCTTGTTAAACCACAGGGTTGCATTTCTGACAAGTGCCCAGGTGATCTTGATGTTACTGGGCTGGATGGTGGGGTGATGGCAAGAGCACAAATTGAGAACCAAGGCATAGCAAATGGTCAAGAGCATCACATTTCCTAAGAGTGAGAAGGAACTATCCTCCACAACAACTTCCACAATGGCGCCTGCTTATCCTGGTGGCATTCTTTTCCCTTCCTCCATTCATAATGGGTGCAGGGTCTGGTGCACAGAGGCAATAGTTTGCTGGATTGAACTGAACACAAACGTTGCTTGACTTGTTCCAACTAAAATATGAAAACGATTTTTGAAAAAAATTAAAAAACGTCACTCTTGAACTTTCACCCATTTTTAAAACTAAACTTCATATGTGTTCATGTGAAGTTCTTGATTCTGATGCATCACTGATTCACCACTTCCTGGGGGCAGGCTGGATATGAAGTAGGAATGACTTGAGGCTACAATGCAGCAAACATGCCTATTTCTGTACAATTTTCCCCTGAAAGTACCAGGAACTCTTCCCCAAAGGGCATTTCCATCCCACTGTTTCTCAGGGGGATTTAGTAGTTTGAGTAAATGGGAAATTAAAACCAAGAGTTTGACTTTTCTGATATGACTCTAAACATTGGAAGGTTTACTTATCTTTCCTTATCTGGCAACTCCTTCTATTTATGCTCCCTTCCACTGCAGATAAATCCTTCATTCAACATTTCTAAATTATATTCAGACTTTTCACAGATAGAGAGAAAATTTTTATTCTCCATTTTGCAGTGAGTCATATAAAAAGCAATTTAGGGTACATTAAATTAAGGAAGATCCAGCTAATAAGACTTCACCAACTTCAGATTCTGAAAAATTTAAAGGAAACCAACGCCTGTAAGGAAGCAATTGTTATAATGGTAACATGAATCCAGAATCCAGAAATGATATAATTAACGCACTGGATTTTATAAAATCAGAAAAGCTTACTGGCAGGAATTTGCAAGAAATATGGAAAGAGTCTGGAGCCCTCGAATTCTATGAACTACTCTTTGACTGCCCTCTACTGGCTAGATTTCAGAGTGCTATTCAGACCGTGTAGTACTTGGTCTTAAGATTTTACGAGAAACATTCGCAGTGGGTTTTCAGAAAGCTTGTGTGATTCATTTTTTCCTATATTTCTGTACAACCAAAATCAATGCCTTTAATCTATCTTTAAGCTTCGCTGATACAAATCTTGATTTTCGATTTGTGCTTGTCACTCTAATAGATTTTCAATAATAATAATAATAATAATAATAATAATAAAATCATTGTACTCAGGAATGACCCCAAATGAGGAACCCAATATATTACATCTTCCGAGAAAAAGACTTCTCTTCTTGTAATTTAGTAAAAGACATGATTTTCTGAATGTAGGGCCTGTCACAAGGGCTGTAGATTTGACTTTTATAATTCCTTTTTTGCATGTCATTTTGTCATTCTATACCTCAGTGTATCTCTATTTATTGATAGCACCAAAACACAGACATGTGGCATCTTTTTAATTGGAAAATAATGTTGTTTTGTAAGGTTTCAAGGAACATCAGTGAGATAATGTCTTAAAAACTTGGAGGGCACTTGTGGAAGTTTAGATGTTCAATATGGGTTTAGTTTTTAAATGTCTTAAGTGGAAAACTATAATCCTTACATCCTTAGTTTCTTGGCCTGTGAACTGATAGTACAGATGGGGACAGTTTAGATACAAAGAATATCTTATAAGCCAGGCCCCTGTGTCTCCTCTGTCCCCTTGTTACCAGGACTGAAATAGAATGACTGATGCTCCAAGGACACTCAGTGGCTGGTAGGGCAACCTATTCCTTCATCGAAATAAGCCTTCATCAAGGAATAGACGATGTCACACAATAGAAGGCTGAAAATATCTCCACTTTTCATCAAGAGAGGAGGTTTCTAGGACAAAGTTTCAGTCCTACCCATTATAGGACAAGTTGTTTCTGCAGAATAAAACCCTAAGATTGTGCAAAGGATAGAACTTGCACTAGAAACTTGAGGGTCTAAAATGTTATTCAACTTTATATTCTCCAAATCTAAATAAATCTGAGACTGAACGCACATCACATTGAGTTATCACGACATTAAGTTTTAGTCGTTATTATTTTGGGGGTTCTCCTACCCTAGGTTCAGATGAAGATCCCAGTAATCTTGTGTGGGATACAATATTTGGAATGGACCCTCCAATTATCCATCCTCCCTGATTCCCCTGACAGCAGCATCCAAGCCCACAGGTTCTGCTTTCACCCTGTCATACCATGGAGAGGGACCACAGGTACCCACTGTTCTCAGAACCTGCAGCCTTTCTCCCCCCTAGTCCTGGAAAATTTCCCCTTTCTATACCTCCCAAACACCTCTTTCTCCTACCTCTCTGAATCACCCACAAAAATCTCCTTAATGAGTTCCAGCTTTCACTGCATCCAAAGATGAAGTACTGTCTTTAGCATCAGCTGGAAGGCTTGCCAAAGACCTCCTTGGAGGCAGATAAGCATCAAGGCAGGTAAAATGCAAAAAATTAAATAAAGCTTGGTTTCCATCCTTTCTGATTCCTCCACATCGATGAAATTAAAACTCACATTGTTACATCAACAAATCATTCTGCCATATTTTCAAAATCAGAGAAAATGAACAGAAATGAGAAAGATAGGAGGTTGAGAAACTGGAAGAAGATTTAAATAAGAGGCCCTCTTTCTCTGGGTATTTTTAATTCATGTTTAGCTTATTTATTTATTTATTTTTGCTGCCACCTGCTGGTGCACACCGATTCCTAGTGCACTGAGCCAGTGAGAGAGAAAATTCATGCTTTAATTCACTGCAGCCTGCACAGATCCGTAAGGTTCAAAGATAAGCCCCTTCAGAAAATCAGTCTTAAAAGGTGACCAGTAAAATACTTATAATGCTTTTTTTTTTTTTTTTTTTTTGAGACGGAGTCTCACTCTGTCGCCCAGGCTGGAGTGCAGTGGCGTGATCTCCACTCACTGCAGGCTCCGCCTCCCAGGTTCACGCCATTCTCCTGCCTCAGCCTCCCGAGTAGCTGGGACTACAGGCGCCCGCCACCACGCCCGGCTAATTTTTTGTATTTTTAGTAGAGACGGAGTTTCACTGTGTTAGCCAGGATGATCTCGATCTCCTGATCTCATGATCCGCCCGCCTTGGCCTCCCAAAGTGCTGGGATTACAGGCGTGAGCCACCGCGCCTGGACATAATGCTTTAAATACAAATACACTTGTAATATACTGGGGGAGAGGTCTTAGAGGAAAATGATGACGATTACAATACCGGAGGTCAGTAGGATGGAGCCAGAATGAAGCTAATATTTGGGAGGTTTTATAAATGCCTTGGGATGCAGTGCTTCTATGTTTGTAACATGGTCTTCTGGGCTCCTATAGTTATTCATGCAGTGACAGAAGATAAAGTAATCAGAGTATATTTAAGCTACTAAATACATGTTCCACTGAAGACTTGCTCATCTCTTGCCCATTTTACTGTTTATCTAAAATGGCATCATCTAATGTTGATAGAATCTTATTTTTAAAAAAATGATGAGCAACAGTATGTAGCCTAAAATCGCTCCAAAATGCCATCAGGAAACAAAATAATAAATTCTACAATTCTAAATTAATTAGACTCCATGCTACATACAACAGCCTTAATATACAAGGATTGGCTTGATGTGATTCAGTGTATATTCTGGAATTAATATGCTGAGAGCTTTTCATCCAAAATTAAGAAAACCCCAGAAGATCCAATGCAGAGGTATGTTGTGTATATTCTTGACTATATATAGAATCAAATTCTAGGCTATAAGGTTTCTCAGGGTCCTGGATTCAGCATGGACTAAAATATGTACTGACAGGATGGCATTATAGAAGGCCAGCATCCTGTAAGCCTCATCAGTCACTCTTGAGAGATTTCAGTTTCACAGAAAGAATCAGCCACTACCGAAAACATTGCTGCTTACAGTTCAGGCTTAAGCAACTGTCTAAACATCACAAATTAAGACATATCTCAGGTCATGATGGAGTCATAGATACAGAGTTCATGATAAAGTCATTCAACATTGCTAATTGAGTGAACAAAATGTGGCATTTAGAGAATACACCCAATAGACTATTGATATTGTTTGGCTTTGTATCCCCACCTAAATCTCATCATGAATTGTAATCCCCAGGTGTTGAGGGAAGAGCCTGGTGGGAGGTGATTGGATCATGGGGTTAGTTTCCCCTATGCTGTTCTCGTGATAGTAAGTGAGTTCTCACGAGATATGAAGGTTTTATAAGTGTTTGGCAAGTTCCTCGTTTGCTTGCTTCTCTCTCCTGCCACCTCGGGAAGATGTGCCTGCTTTCCCTTCTGCCATGATTGTAAATTTTCTGAGGCCTCCCCAGGCACACAGAACTGTGAGTCAATTAAATCTCTTTTCTTCATAAATTTCCCAGTCTCGGGTAGCAGTGTGAGAACGGACTAATACAACTGTATATTAGTAAACTTTTATTCACAAATGTCTCCCAACTTGAACTAGTTTAGAAAAAATGGGAATTTGATGGTTAATAGAATTCAACTGCAGTTTATAAAGCCAAGCCACAAGAAGATTGGGGATCTGGGTGGGCCTTCGAAATAGCTAAAATAAGGTCTTGGGTGCTTACAGTGTTCATGAGGTATGCTTCTCAATTCATAACAGCTTTATCTATGGTCTATAACGTTTTCTTTCACAAGGAGACATTATTCCCTCTCCCAGGTTCTTAGCTTCCCATTTCCACCACTCCCGCCACTTACAATTCCTAGGGAAAAGCACTGATTACATTGAGTCAAGGGTCCACACCTGGACCAACCAGGTGTGGTGAGAGGAAGCATGGAGTAACAGTTTAGAGCAGGAAACCTGAATCCTAACTTCTCCAGGTGTGTCAGTTTCTTGATAAGGAGGGATACAATAATGCCTAGCTCTGAAGTTTATTGTGGAAATTAAGAGATACGATACGTAGTGCTTAAAACTGTGTCAAATGTCCATTGACAGATGAATGGATTTTTAAAATGTAGTGCCTACATATAACAGGATATTATTCTGCCTTAAAAAAGAAAAAAATCCTACCATTTGTAACAACATGGATGAACCTGGAGGACATTACACAAACTGAAATAAGCCAGTTACAAATGGCAAATACTGCATGATTGCACTTATATGAGCTATCTAAAATAGTCAACTCATCAGATAGTAGAATGATGGTTGCCAGGGGCTGGGGGAAAGGGGAAATGGGGAATTGTTGTTCAATGCGTATAAAGTTTCAGTTACACAAGACAAATAGTTCTGGAGGTCTGCTGTACAACATAATGCCTATAGTTAACAGTATGGTATTGTGCACTTAAATATTTGTGGAAAAAGTAGATCCCATATTAAGTGTTCTTAGCACAAAAAAAGAAAAGAGTAAACGGAAGAGAGGAAGGAAGAAAGGAGAGAAGGGAAGGGAAAGGAAGAAAGAAACACAAAGAGACACAAGGAAACTTGGGGGTGATAGATATATTTATTACCTTTATTGTGGTGATAGTATAATGAGTGTATTCATATGTCCAAACTCAGCAAATTGTATACATTGAACATGTGCAATGTTTTCTGTATATCAATGATACCTCAGCAAAGTTGTTAACAAAAACTATGACTGACACAGAATAAGCACATTTTAAGTGGTTGTTAGTATGCTAGAATGGCTGTTCTCAATCTTGGTCATATATTAGAATGATTCGGTCAACTTTAAAAAATACTTGATGCCTTGGTCTCATCCCCAGATAATTGGTTTTGGGATGAGACCAAATGTAGACTCAGTATCAGATTTTTTAATGTGCTTTTCAGAAAATTCTAATGTGCTTCCAGGATTGAGAACTACTGCACTAAATCATAAGCTCTATGGATGGAGGGATTCTCTTTTGTCTACTCTTCAATTGTCAGTGCCTAAAACTATGCCTGGCACACAAAAGGTGCTCAGAAATATTTGCTGAATGAACTAATGATACAGCTATAGAAATGGCTACATCTAGTTAAATGGGGGCAGCTGCGTGTGTGTGTGTGGGTGTGTAAATGTGTACAGAGTGGCTGATAACATTTATGGGGCCAGGGTAAGACCAAGTGGAGCCCCCTATAGCATAGGTATTTATAAATATTTACTATAAATCAAGTTAATAAATGACTAAATAAAATAATTATTATTCTCCTCCCATAAAAAACAAGTCTTAGAGTTTCAAATATAAATTTGAAATTTTTGGACTCCTTCAAATTCCTCTCTAGAACATGGTAGGCTGGGGAGAGCCATTTGCTGACTCCTGGCCCTGCCCATGGCTGCTTATTTTGCTTCCCAATCCCATCTTTGTCTCTCACTTCAGGGATACCCAAATGTCTATACCCAGTTCTCACATCGAACTTCTTTCCACACATCCCACAAATAGCCATCAGGCCAGGTATGCACACACCAGCAGTACTGGCAGATAGACAAGGCAAAGAGAGAGGGGGTTGGGTCCATTTGGACGGGAAATCTAGATGCTCTCTAACTTGATGGGTATGCTAGGAAGAGTTGGGTGGGGCAATTGCATGAGCTCCAGATGGATACATCTTCTTAGCCCCATAAACTGCTAAGCATTATGGAATTGGCGTGACTGGAAGAGGGCCAAAATGAGGCCCTCTAAAGCATGGAGCTCAGGTTAGGGTCCCCAGGTTTAAGGTGGGCAGTATTTTGTGTGCTTATTTGTGTGTGTGTGTACATATGTGCATGTGCACACACTTGTAGTACAATTAGGAAAAATACTGGGCCCACTATAGAATGTAATACTCTATGTAACACAACTCTGTGTAGCTGCTAATGTAAGTTTTTTTCAAAACATTCAGGTATCTATCTCTTGCCTTATATCAAAATGTGCAAAGACATGCACATGCATGCTATATGGTCTTCCTTCAACCTGTTGGTGATTCCCCTTTGCATTTAGAAAAAAAAAATGTTACAGGCAATGTGTATTCATCACAGCAGTTATTTTCTATAAAATCACCAGGAACACTCAATGAGTGAATACTAAGCCATTCTTCCTAAGCAAAATAAAAGGTTACATTCCTGCAAGCCTCTAGTCACAATATTTTCTTCAATTGATCAATATATAACATTATGTATGTGTTTTCTTTTTAAAGACATCTTATTTAATACATATTGTTGATTGACACTGAAATCACAATCAACAGCACTATACCTCCTGCCTGAACAAAGCTTATCTAACACATGTATTTTCTCCATAAGGCATATCACAACTTTCTTTCACATAAGAACCTTATGCAAGACTTTGGCCACTACATTTATGGCTCATTTTAAACATGAAATCACCAAGAAAAAGGACAAAAATGTAAAAAACATGGCTTTAAATATACCTGAGAAGGGATCCTCATGTACAGTATGGGAGCTGAAATAAGAAGGAAAAGCATTGCCTTGTTCGACATTAGCTGGGAATATGCACATCAGGAGACCCAAAGACATGTCACCATATGATGGTGAAAACAATATAAGCATTGATTTGGGGGCTACAAATTTTAGCTAGTAGGCAAATTTGCAACTACAGGATTCATGAATAATGAAGATGAACTGTATTTAATATAATAAAGTCTAAAATCCTTACCCTGGAATTCAAATTTCTCGATGAATTGGCTGCATTTTGTTTTTCCAGCTTTAACCTGAATCCTCACCAATTTTCCCCTCTTTACTCTCCACTCCCCTGCCTAGATGACAGTGTGTACTCTGTCAAAGGCTAGACTTGAAAATGGCACCTTCCTGTAGACACTTAGGTGTCAGAAAGTGTGTGAGACCTAGTGAGAGCTCTCTCCTTGGAGTAGTTCCATCCCGTAGTCTCCTGGCTACTCCCTATGTTAGTTCCAGGGATCAGGAGGGCTGAGAAGCTCTCTTGTGGCCAGGATTACATGATTCCATGGTAGGGATGTGGGCTGCTGGAAGTCTCTTACTTACCATTTAGCCACATTGGGAAGTCTTCCTGGCTTTCATCTGAACCTGGCCAGAAGGCTTCTTGCAGAGCCCTACAGTCATCCCTCTCCTGATTCTGTTTACTTAAGCCAACATTTACCAGAAACATGCAAGTCCTGGAATCTGCATGGGACAAAGAAAAAGGCTCTTTTCAATATCTGTATATATTGGGATATGACATCCCAAACCTTTTTATATTAATTTATATTAATTCATATTAATTACTTGAAATGAAAGCACCCTACTCTGATTAATTGAGCGACAACCCAATAAAACTAAAGAGACATTTATGGGTGGAGACAGTAGAGTGAATGTTTTTACATGACGAAGTGGCTAGAGAGCATCAAATGCCATGACCAGGCCAAATAGGATGTGAATAAATTGACCATGGCTTTTCGAAAGTTCATGGTCAAATATTTCTCCTCTTCCCATGAGATAAGCTCAGAGTTGAGAATAACAATTTTAAATTGTTCATATTCTCTATGAAATAAACTATGAGTTAAAGTTACATAGAAGTTGCATAATAAAATTTACTTTCAAGGATTGATTTCCAACTTTCTGAAAAAGTCTGATTTAAATGACATTGCCATTTGATGACTTGTTATACTTCACATAACTTCGCCCATCACATTTGATATATATACATATATACACACATACATGTATACACATACACATATATATGATATATAAGTATACGTTATATATTTGAGATATGTATATAAACATGAGTATGTGTATATATTATATATGTACACATATATAATATTTTAAGGCTAGTTATAATTCTCCATGGTGTGAATCATTTTACAAGTTGAAGAAATCCAAAACTGGAAAAACTAAGGACCTGTAGTCCATATGTGTGTGTGTCTTTACAGTTTTTAGAAGAAACACAAACAATGAATCTGGCTTTTTCTTTCTTCAGCAAGCTATTCAGAATACAGAAATGCGTGCTTTCCTTATTGAGTCGTTATTATCCTTAGCTTCTATTTTGGTATCTGCTGCCAGGCAGTGGGTTTCTAATTACCTTTGTGACCAATAAAGAAAGTTTAGAACCAGATGTTAAGCTACAAATTAATTTCAGCACAAGAGCATATATAGAAAGATATTTCCAAGCATTTTACTCAGTTTATATTCAAATGAAATAATTCAAATTTGTCTTCAATAAATGTGCGTTTCACATTTTGAGTGGTGAGGAAAATACAGAATTAGAGGAGAGGCTTCAAGATGGCTGGCTGACTAGAAGCATTTCATGTCCACCTTCTCCACTTAGAAGAACCAAAATAATGTATAGACAGTTGCACTTTGAATACATTATCCCAGACAGAATACTGGAATCCAACAGAGAAGTGACCGGAAACACCAAAATCAGGGAAGGAAAAGGGAGGGAGCAGCCTTTCTGACCAGGTTCAGATGAAAGCCAGGAAGGCTTCCCAATGTGGCTAAATGGTAAGTAAGAGACTTGCAGCAGCCCACATCCCTACCATGGAATCATGTAATCCTGGCCACAAGGGAGCTTCTCAGCCCTCCCGATCCCTGGAACTAACATAGGGTGCTGCCAGGAGACTACGGGATGGAACTACTCCAAGGAGAGAGCTCTCACCAGGTCTCACACACTTTCTGACACCTAAGTGTCTATAACAAGGTGCCATTTTCAAGTCTAGCCTTTGACAGAGTACACACTGTCCTGTAGCCCACTGGAACCAGATTGAGGCATTACAGAAAGACTGTGACTGCTGGGACTGGTGAGCAGTCCCACAGCCAGAGCTAAGAAGGAAAGGATGCATGGGCTACAGCTGCCAGTGCCAGGAAACAAGCACCCATTTCCTGTCTTTGTCCTTTCCCAGGACAAAGACTGGGATCTGGGCAGGGCGTGAGCTGCCAACAGAACTTGGTTGCCAGCTGTATGGGGGCTCTTGTGGCCAGGGCAGGGATACAAGCTAGGTACTGGCTACCACTACCAAGGCTTCGGGTAGGGTAAGCCCTGCCAGGACTGGGGCAAGAGAGAGACATGCATTTCCCAACCACCAGTCCAGGCTGTGGCCACCAAGAACAGCCCACCCTCTCCAGTGGCAGGACCTTAGCATGGCTGCTACCACACTTCACCTGAGTACTCTGCCTATGGCCTGAGGATAACCTCACCCCTGTCCTGCCATGGCCAATGCCTAATCTAATCATTGTGGTGGGGAGGGGGTGAGCACAAATCTGCCCAGCCCAGTTTCACCTCCTCCTCTGAGTTAAAGCATATAGCCTGAGATCCTGGGGATTCCCAACCAATCCACTACTTTGGGCACCAGAGCACTCCTCCTGGGGGCCTGAGATGTGGCTTAAACTGCCAGCCACTATCACTTCAGCTGGCACCTACCTGAAAGCATCATCTGAAGGCCTGGAAACTGGCCCACTTAGCCCATTGCAGCCACTCCCAACATTAATGCATACCACTCAAGACCCAGAAAATTGTTCCACCACTACTACTGTCTTTGCCCATGCCACACCAGCTTCCCAGAAGCCCAAGAACCTTCCTACATGCCCAGTCCACTGATGCCACTACCAGCATCCAAGCATGCCACCTGGAGGCCCAAGAAAAGGCCCACCAGTAACCACCAACACAGGTGCCAGCATACACCACTCTGGAACAACAACAACAACAAAGGCAAATTCAGCCCACTGCTGCCACTACTAGGGCTTGAAGACTGGCAATGGGGCATCCCAGTCCCCAGAACAACTTTGCCACAGCCTCCACTAATAACGGACCCTAATCCACTGAGAAAATCACAGATACTACTAATGCTATTTACAAAAACTCATACAGATACTACACTATTGCATGTACCCAGAATGAAAGCCAAAGTACCATACCCAACCAACATCATAGATACATCATCAGAAAAAGTTTCTCCCCTACAAAAGTAAATTCAAAAATAGAAGAAGCAATCATTACATCAGAGGCACAGATACCAATTTAGGACATGGGAAACATAAAAAAGCAAGGAAATATGACACCTCCAAAGGAATACAGTAATTCTCCAGCAATAGATGTAAATCAAAAAGGAATTCTTGAATTCAAAATGTTGATTCAAAATGTTAATTTTAAAGAAGCTCAGTGAGATACAAAAGAATTCTGAAAACAATACAAATAAATTTTAAAAATTAGGATATGAATGAGAAATTTACCAAGGAGCTTTTCTTTTTAGAAGAACCAAATAGAAATTCTGGAATTGAAGAATTTATTGAATACATTATATTTGAAGACATCAACAGTAGACTAGATCAGGCAGAATAAAGAATCTCAGAACTTAAAAACAGATTTCTTAAAATAATCCAGTCAAACAAAAATAAACGAATAAAGGATGAACAAAGCTTTCGTAACATTTGTAACTACATAAAACAATCAAATATTTGAATTATCAGTATCTCCAAGGGTAAAGAGACAAAGAAATGACTAGAAAATCCTATTTAACAAAATAAAAGATGAAAAATTTCTAGGTCTAGCTTGAGATTTAGGCATACAGTTACAGGAGCCTCAGTGATTCCCCAGGCAGATACAATGCAGAAAGGTCTTCTCTGCAGCATGTTAGAGTCATATTGTGTAAAGTCAAAGATTAAGAGTGAATCCGAAAAAACAAGAGAAAAGCATCTAGTCACCAATTGAGGAAACAACATAAGACTAACAGCAAATTTCTCAGCAGAAACCTACAGGCCAGAAAAGAATGAGATAATACATTCAAAGTTCTGAAAGAAAAAACTGCCAGCCAAGAATACTACAGCTAGCAAAATTATCCTTCATAAATGAAGGAGAAATAGTCTTCCTCAGACAAGCAAATGCCAGGAGAATTTGTTGCCACTAGATCAGTCCTACAGAAAAATGCTCAAGGGAGTACTAAACCTAGAAGTGAAAGAATAGCATTTACCCTCATGATAACACATGAAAGCAGTCTGGTTATGGTGGCTCATGCCTTTAACACTAGCACTTTGGGAGGCCATGGCAGGGAGATTGCTTGAGGCAAGGAATTCAAGACCAGCCTCGACAACATAGTGAGACCTTGTCTCTATAAAATACACACATGCACACACACACACGAAAGTATAAAACTCACTGGTAAAGCAATTGCACTAAAAAGAAAGAGAAAGGACTCAAATTGTACTATCACAGAAATCCACCAAACCACAGTGACAACCAATAAGAAAAAGGGAAGGAACAAAGAATACATAAAACAAGCAGAAAACAACAATATAACAGGAACAAAGCCTCATATATTAATAATAACCTTGAATATTAGAAGTTTAATTTTCCATTTAAAAGATATAGAATGACTAAATGGATTAAAAAAAGACATGATTCAATTATATGCTGATTATAAGAAACTCACCCTGCCAGTAAAGACACACAGAGACTGAAGGTAAAAGGATGAAAAAAGATATTCCATGCATATGAAAACAAAAAACAAGCAGAAATAGCTATATTTATATCATACAAAACAAATTTTAAGAACAGTAACCAAAAAAAAGACAAAGAGGGTCACTATATAATGATAAAGGGACCAATATAGCAAAAGATTACAACAATTCTACATATACATGCACCCAACACTGAAGCACTCAGTTATAAAGCAAATATTAACAGCTCTAAAGAGATAAATAGACTTCAATACAATAATATTAGGAAATTTTAACACCTCATTCTCATCATTAAATAGGTCATATAGAAAGAAAATCAACAAAGAAAATTTGGATTTAAACTGACTTTAGACCAAATGGACCTAACAGACATTTACAAAACATTCTATCCAACAACTGGAGAATATATATTCTTTTCATCAGCACGGGCAACATTCTCCAGGGTAGACCATATGTTAGGCCACAAATTTTTAAAGTCTCAAAAAATTTTTAAAAATCAAGATTATATAAAACATTTTCTCAGGCCCCAGTGGAAATACAACTAGAAATCAATACCAAGAGGAACTTTGGAAACTATACATATGCATGGAAATAAAACATGTTCCTGAATAATCATTGTATCAACAAAAAAGTATTAAAATTTAAAAATTTGAGACAAAAATGAAAATGCAACATACCAAAACCTGTGGGATATTGCAAAAGCAGTGCTAAGGAAGTTTATAGCAATAAATGCCTACAACAAGAAAGTAGAAAGGTTACAAATTAAAAATCTAGTAATGAACCTCAAGGAACTAGAAAAAAAGAACAAACCAAACTGCAAATTATCATAGGAAAAAAAATAATAAAGTTCAGAACAGAAATAAATGAAATAAAGACAAAAAATGTTAATGAAAAGTTTTTTCTTTCAAAAGATAAACAAAATAGCTAAACCTCTAGCTAGATTAACCAAAAGAAAGAAGACCCAAATAAACAAAACAGAAATGAAAAAGAAAACACTACAACGGATACCACAGAAACACAAAACATTATTAGAGAATGTTATGAACAACTATATGCTGACAAACTGGAAAACCTAGAAGAATTTCTGGAAACATACAACCTACCAAGATTGAATCAGGAAGAAATAGAAAGCCTGAACAGACCAATAACAAGTAGCAAGATTGAATCAGTAATAATAATTAAAAAAATCTCTCAACAAAGGAAAAACCAGGTCTGAATGGATTCACAGATGAACTGTACCAAAAATACAGAGAACTAATAGTACTACTACTGAAACTATTCCAAAAAATCCAAAAGGAGGGAATTCTCCCTAATTCCTTCTGCAAGGTCAGCATCACCCTGATACCAAAATTAGATAAGGGCACAATAAAAAAGAAAACTACAGGCCAATATCCCTGATGAACACCAAGGCAAAAATCCTCAACAAAATACTAGCAAACTGAATCCAACAGCAATCAAACAGATAATGCATTACAATCAAGTGGGATGCAAAGATGGTTCAACACATACAAATCAATAAACACGATGTATCACATCAACAGAATATAGGACAAAAATTATATGATCATCTCAATAGATGCAGAAAAAGCATTTAATAAAATTCAGCATCCCTTCATGATAAACACTCTGAACAAACTACACATAGAAGAAACATACCTCAAAATAATAAAGGCCATATACAACAAACCCAAAGCTGACATCACACTGAATGGAGAAAATTTGAAGCCTTATCTCTAAGAACTGGAACTAAAGAATGCCCACTTTCACCACTCCTATTCAATATAGTACTGTAAGTCCTAGACAGAGCAATCAGACAAGAGAAAGGAATAAAAGGCATCAAAATTGGCAAAGAGGAAGTCAAGCTGTCCCTCTTTGCTGATGATGTAATTTTATATTTAGAGAAACCTAAAGAGTGTACCAAAAATGCTTAGATTTGATAAATGAATTCAGTGAGGTTGCAGGATAAGAAAACCAGTGTACAAAAAATCAGTAGTGTTTCCATATACCAATAATGATCTAGCCGAGAAAGGAATCAAGAAGGCAATCTCATTTACAATAGCTACTAAAAAAATAAATCAATCAGTCTAACCAACGAAGTGAAAGATTTATACAAGGAAAACTACAAAACACTGATTAAAGAAATTGAAGATGACACAAGCAAATGAAAAAACATACCATGCTCATGGGTTGGAAGAATTAATATCATTAAAATGACTATATTGCCCAAAGCAATGTACAGATTCAATGCAATCCCTATCAAAATTCCAAGGTTATTTTTCACAGAATTAGAAAACACAATCCTAAAACTCATATGGAACCAAAAAAGAGTCTGAATAGTCAAAGCAATCTGAGCAAAAAGAACAAAGCTGGAGGCATCACATTACCTGATTTCTAAATGTATTACAAGGCTATAGTAAGCAAAACATCATGGTATTGGTATAGCAACAGACACATAGACTAATGGAACAGAATAGAAAACCTAGAAATAAAGCTAGGTATTCACAGCCAACTGATTCTGACAAAGCTGAGAAACTTACACTGGGGAAAGGACAATGTAAGGCCTGTCAATAAATAGTCCGGGAAAAATTGTATAGCCATATGCAGAAGAATGAAACTGGACCCCTATATTGCACCATATACAAAAGTCAACTCAAAATGAATTAAAGCCTTCAAACCAAGACCCAAAACTATACAAATACTAGAAAAAGACCTAGGGAAAACCTTCCTGGACATTGATCTATGCGACGAATTTATGGCTAAGATCTCAAATGCACAGGTATCAAAAACAAAAATAGACAGATGGGACTATATTAAACTAAAAAGCTTCTGCACAGGAAATGAAACAGTCAACAGAGTGAAGAGACAACCTGTTGAATGGGAGAAAATATTTGCAAACATCTGACAGGGGACTCATATCCAGAATATACCAGGAACTCAAACAATTCAACAAGTAAAAAGAAATCCCATTAAAAAGTGGGCAAATGGGCCGGGCGCAGTGGCTCACACCTGTAATCCCAGCACTTTGGGAGGCCGAGGCGGGAGGATCACGAGGTCAAGAGATCGAGATCATCCTGGCTAACACGGTGAAACCCCGTCTCTACTAAAAATACAAAAAGTTAGCTGGGCGTGGTGGCGGGCGCCTGTAGTCCCAGCTACTCCAGAGGCTGAGGCAGGAGAATGGCGTGAACCCAGGAGGTGGAGCTGGCAGTGAGCAGAGATCGCACCACTGCACTCTAGCTTGGGCGGCAGGGCAAGACTCCGTCTCAAAAAAAAAAAAAAAAAAAAAAAAAGTGGGCAAATGATCTGAACAGACATGTCACACCAGTCATCATGGCTATTACTAAAGTCAAAAAATAATAGATGCTAGCAAGGTTGTAGAGAAACGGGAATGCTTATACACTGCTGGTTTAAATGCAAATTAGTTCATTCATTATGGAAAGTAGTGTGGTGATTTCTCAACTCAAAAAATAATTATCATTTGACCCAGCAATCTCATTATTGGGTACATACCCAAAGGAATATAAATTGTTCTACCATAAGGACATATGCATGTGTATGTTCATCGTAGCGCTATTTACAATAGCAAAGACATGGAATCAACCTAAGTGCCCATCAGTGATAGACTGGATAAGGAAAATGTGGCACATATACACCGTACAATACTATGGTAGTCATAAAAAGGAACGAGATAACGTCCTTTGCAGCAACATGGTTAGAGCTGGAGGCCATTATCCTAAGCAAAGTAATGCAGGAATGGAAAACCAAATACCACATGTTCTCATTTATATGTGGGAGCTAAACATAAAGTACACAATGACACAAAGAAGGGAACAACAGACACCAGGGCTTACTTGAGGGTGGAGGGTGGGAGGAAGGAGAGGATCAAAAAACTACCTGTCAGGTACTATGTTTATTACTTGGGAGATGAAATAATCTGTATGCCAAACCCCTGTGACACAAAATTTACCTAAATAACAAACCAGCGTATGTACCCCTGAACCTAACATAAAAGTTAAAAAGACTATTCCAGCATTATTTTTTTAAGTAGGTAAAGGAAATAAATACACATTTCTCAAAAGATGACATACAAATACCTAAGAAGTATATGAAAAACTCCACATTGCCGATCATTGGCAAAATGCAAATCAAAACCACAGTGAGGTATAATCTTACCCCAGTCAAATGGGCTACTATTAAACAGAAAAACCATAATAGATGGCAAGGAAAAGGTAAGTGTTATACATTGTAGTGGGAATGTAA
Source organism: Homo sapiens (assembly GCF_000001405.40). Classification (NCBI taxonomy): domain Eukaryota; kingdom Metazoa; phylum Chordata; class Mammalia; order Primates; family Hominidae; genus Homo; species Homo sapiens. Next base: position 107,795,612 of record NC_000008.11, read on the forward strand.
ACTAGTATACCGACTATGGAAAGCAGTGTGGAGATTTTTAGAAGAAAACTAAAAATAAAATTACCAATCAATCTAGCATTCCACTACTGGATACTACTGGGTATCTACCCAAAAGAAAAGAAATCAATATATCAAAGAGATATTTGCATTTGCATATTTGTTGCAGTACTATTCACAATAGCAAAAATATAAAATCACCCTAAGAAGATGAATGGCTAAAGAAAATGTGATATATATTTACAATGTAATACCATTTAACCATAAAAAAGAATGAAATCATGCCATTTGCAGCAAATAGATAAAACTGGAAGTCTTTATCTTAAGTGAAGTAAGCCAGGCACAAAAATGCAGATATCACATGTTCTCACTTATATGTGGGAGATAAAATATTTGCTCACATAGAGGTAGAGCATGGAAAGATACATAACGAGACTGAGAAGGGTCTGAGGGTCTGAGTGGGAGCAGGGAGAAGATGAATAGAACTGGATTAAACGATACAAACAAAGTAAGATAGAAGGAAGAGATTCAATGTCTGATAGCAGAATAGGGTAACTATACTTACAAAAATGTATTGTGCTAGGGTGATGGACACCCTAAAGACCCTGACTTGATCACCTAACATTATACACATGTAACAAACTTCTCAAACTTCATAAATTTGTACAACAAATAATTTGCACAATTAAAAACACGACATCAGTCAGTCATATCCTGAGATCACATAGCAGGCTCCTTATATTCTAAAGGTCCTTGGCTGTCCCCAGATATATATTTCATGGTCTATCTTTACTCTATGTTCTTCTTAACTTAGTTTCTACCATTGGGGAACAATATAGGGAACCATATAATCAGAGAGTGTCTATCAACATGCTCTCAAAATACCTAAGTAAGTCCCCTTTCCTGTTCAAAGACAGTATAAGATCAAGGGCTCATAAAAAGTAGGAGCTTTATCTCACTCTCTCTTTCTCTCCCTCAACAGGGCCAAACATGATAGATGTCAAGACAGAGGTTGAGGGATGTGGAAGAGGCTGAGATGTATCTCTGCTCTCATTCATGATTAGGCTTGGGCCACCTCACAAGTACTTGAGAAATAAATTTATTCCTGAATTCTCATTAGACCAGTAGTCAAGTACTTTGGTTCAGTAGTTGGGCTCATTGTCCAGTGGACTGGTCTAAAAACAATAAATTGGAATGCCTAATTCTTCAATGGCAAGAAAGTTCACTGAGAGGACAGAGCAGGAGATACATCCTAATAAGTGTCTCACTAGCTACTTTCTGATGACATTTATTCCCTGCATTCAGGTGTGCTTTGTCTATCTTAAGTGTTTAAAGGAGAGAAGACAGCAGATCTTAGAATTCTGTGCCATATCCTGGGTAAAATCTGGGAGTGGGGCGAATGCTGACAAAATAAAAGTACAACCAAGAAGTTGAATATTAAAATTTAAAAAATTAGAAAACAGGAGACCTGACTCCTGAGTAGTAAAACCAAAAATTAGTTTCTTAAAGAAAATAACAGGTAAATAATGAATTGGCAATTATGGTCAAGGAGAGAGAGAGAGAGAGAACACAAAAGAACACTGAGAATGAGAAAGGAGGCATAATTATAAATATGAATGAGACATTTTACTCCCATTTACAATTGCTGCAAAGAGAAATAAAATACCTAGGAATACAACTTACAAGGGATGTGAAGGACCTCTTCAAGGAGAACTGCAAACCACTGCTCAAGGAAAGAAGAGAATGCTAACAAATGGAAAAAAAAATTCCACGCTCGTGGATAGGAAGAATCAATATCGTGAAAATGGTCATACTGCACAAAGTAATTTATAGGTTCAATGTTATTCCCATCAAGCCACCATTGACTTTCTTCACAGAATTAGAAAAAACTACTTTACATTTCACATGGAACCAAAAAGGAGCCCACATAGCCAAAACAATCCTAAGCAAAAAGAACAAAGTTGGAGGCATCGTGCTACCTGACTTCAAACTATACTACAAGGCTACAATAACCAAAGCAGCATGGTTCTGGTACCAAAACAGATATATAGACCAATGGAACAGAACAGAAGCCTCAGTAGTAACACCACACATCTACAACCATCTGATCTTTGACAAACTTGACAAAAGCAATAGGGAAAGGATTCCCTATTTAATAAGTGGTGCTGGGAAAACTGGCTAGCCATATGCAGAAAACAGAAACTGGACCCCTTCCTTACACCTTATACAAAACAAATTCTTCTTGAGCAGCTTCTTTATGTTGAGACCTAGAGCATACACTGGGGATGGAGTTGGAAATATGACAGAGCCCTTGCACTCATGGATGCTAGGTTGAAGAAAGTGGAGTCAGATAAACCCAAAGATAATCATTAATTTTAGCTAGTGTATGCCCATGCAGATGATAAAATAGAGTAACGTAAGTGAGGGGGTCCTCATAGCAGCCTTAGGATTGGGCAGTAGATGCCTTTCTGAGAAGGTGACATTTGTATTGAGACCAGCATAATGAGAAGGGTGACACAAACTACACCTGTGGAAAGAGTCTTCTGAGAAGAAGAGCAAAGAAAAAATCCTGAAGCTTGCAACAGCCCTGGCATGTGAAAGGGGCTGTATTAGTTCGTTTTCATGCTGCTGATAAAGACATACCCAAAACTGGGAAGAAAAATAGGTTTAATGGACTCACAGTTCCATGTGGTTGGGGAAGCCTCACAATCATGATGGAAGGTGAAAGGCACGCCTTACATGGCAGTGGCAAGAGATAATGAGGAGGAAGAAAAAGCAGAAACCCCTTATAAAACCATCAGATCTTGTGAGACTCATTCACTACCATGAGAACAGTATGGGGGAAACTGACCACATGATTCAATTATCTCCCACTGGGTCCCTCCCACAACATGTGGGAATTATGGGAGTACAATTCAATATGAGATTTGGGTGGGGACACAGAGCCAATTTTTAATCAAATTGCTAGTTGGGGTTCCCAAAAATATATATTTGCCTAGGATGCTGCACACCCTAGGATCAAGCCCTTAATGTGATTTTTTGACCAATAAATGAAAAGGGTCTCCACCTTACCCCCAGTAGTCACATAATAAAACATCATTCATCTTTAACCTCCTCCCCAGTGCAACAGCAGAGGAGTAGGAACACAGAAAGAAAAGGAGAGTGGAAGATGACAGACTGGACCTCATATATACCCTGTAAGCCTTGGTCTACAGATATATCTTGAAAGAAAGTGACTGAGAAGTTGTGGAATTCGCTTAGGATGAGATTGTTACCTTAGCAGAGGAAAAGGCTCTTCAAAATGCTGGTAATTGCTAGAAAGTTAAATCACATAATTATACTTCAATTCTAGCATCTGCAGTCTCAGCAGAGATTCCTTGAAATTGCAGATTCCTTTTCTTTTCTATTCTACCAACTAAGTACCTAATTTTATGAACAGCCAACATCATTTTGGATGATTGATCCAAATTAAATGTAGACTTTATTCTGAACCTGTTAGGATAATTCACTTTTAGTCCCCATAAAAAAAATTAATAAAACAGATGTGTAGCTAGAGACACATGATAGCTAAAAACACCTGTCTGACAGAATTAAGCTGTAAAGAACAACTAAAATCTTAAGGCAATTATGAAATATGCCATTAGTGTAATCCTTGCCCTAATTTATCTTTGTAGTTCTCACTTAGCGTAGCTAAGGAAATGCTGAAGACTGTTGTGCTCAATGGCTTATAAACATGAATATTTAAAAGAGTTTGATACCAATATTCCTCATAACTTATCACATCACTCTTTTAATGTGTAGAGTGCTGATGACTCAGAATAAAATGTCAATTATAATAGGCTTATGTATTTCAGGTTTAGAAAATACTTTCACAAATATTTCTTCCATTGGGTCTACAAGTGCATTTACAAGAAATAATTCACAGAAGCCACTAAAGTATAAATAGTTTTCTTCTGTAGGAAGGTGTCAAAATCTTGATTAATTTACACGTAAAAACAACCCCATCCTAAAATACCATGATTTAATTCTTCAAATCTAGGACCAAGGAAAAAATGAGTCTAAGTAAAAGCAAAGTATAAGTGCTAAATATCTATACTTAACTACCTGTCTACATGTCTCCATTAAATATTCAGCTACTCTTATTTGTTATAATGTATTATATGCTCTATACATTGTCCGAGATATTTTTTAACTCTTTGATACCTAACACAATTTTTAATTCTCTTTTTCTATCAATCAGTGTGCACTAAGGAAACTAGCTAATTAATTTCTTTCACTCAGTGCACACCAACATGAGCAAAGGCAAAACCCTGAGTTAGGTGTGGTGGATATGACTGTATCATAGAGCTTACATCCTGCAAAAGAAAATAGATATCAAACAAGTATTTACAAATCCTGGAAGTTAGAATACACACTTAGAAATCCCACTGCCATGGTCAAATTCTAGCACTCTGTAAGCAATGAGCTCTGTCATAAAAAATGTGTGTAATAGTGGCACTTCCTAGAGTTATTGTGGGGATTAAGTGAGTTGGTACACGGTAAGATTCAGTATACATTGACTATTGTATTAACAAGCATGATAACTATCATGAGAGGAGAAATACAGGACACAATGTAATTTGAATATCAATTTATATAAAATTTGGAAAATCAAATCTAATTTTTAGAAAACATTCTGTAGTCAAAGTTAGATGTGTCTGTACTACTTTTGCTCACTGAAACCACTGCTCATATATCATTCATTCATTCAACAAGTATTTATTGAGATTTTGCCATGTGACCAGCCTGTGCTAGGTGAGGGGGTTGTGCAATATAAGAACAGCCCCTGCATTCATGGGTCTTATAGTCTATCTTAGGGATTAATCAAAAGTGAGTCACTGACTCATAGACCCCATCAGGCACTTGACTGTAAGTGGTAAATCCAAGCAAAACTCAGAAGTTTTGTGAGAATATAAACTTCTGTTTTTCAGGATTATATAACCTAAAATTCACATGCTACTTAGCACTGGCCAGATAGCTTACTTGCTTACCTTGAAATGCAAACTTTCACCTTACTTCTCCCACTTGCTTACTACTTATGAGCTCACTATTAAATTTTTATAAGATTTTAAATCTTGAAAGCTAGGTATTATAGAATTACCATTAAAAATTCATAATGTGTCATAATTAGATGGCTTATTTACTATCTCACAGAGCTAACATCATTTTAGGGTGGCTAAATGCAGATAATTTCTTCTCTGTGGAGTGGGTACAAACTCAGTGGGGCAAAAATGTCCTCTGTTTTTCTTAAGCAAATGCAATTTCTATTTTATTCTTTCTTCTCATCTGGTGACAAAACAATCAATAGAAGACAATTGAGTGTATCAGTCAACTTAGGGCCTGTTCAGAGCAAAAAGTTGGAATATAAACTATGGAAAAAAGATATAGGCAATGTAGCATGGTTACAACAGTCCTGGCTGGTCTTCGATACTGAAGTCTGTTTCTTTCACTCACTTCAGCTAGTATTTATTAAATACCCACATGATGGATTTCTGTTATTTCAGCCTGCCCAGTGTATTTTCGCCTTCTTAGGAACATCATCCTCATTTTCTCTTAGGAAATGGAGATTGGCCGACCCCAGCCCACAATTTCAATGTAGTCGTGCAAGCCAGGCTAGTCAAATAAGCCTATCCCATCGTTTGTTGTTGTTGTTGTTGTTGTTGTTTTGAGACAGAGTCTTGCTCTTGTCACCCAGGCTGGAGTGCAGTGGCACAATCTTGGCTCACTGCAACCTCCGCCTCCTGGGTTCAAGTGATTCTCCTGCCTCAGCCTCCTGAGTAGCTGGGATTAAAAGCGTCCACCACCAAGCCCGGCTAATTTGTGTCTTTTTAGTAGACACAGGGTTTTGCCATGTTGGCCAGGCTGGTCTCAAACTCCTGACCTCGTGATCCACCCACCTTGGCCTCCAAAAGGGCTGGGATTACAGGCATGAGCCACCACATCCAGCCACCTATCGCATCTTAGTGCAACAGTAATTGGTTCAGAGACATAAGGCAAAACAATTCCATGAGAGCCAGCCCTGGCACTTTTAGGGGAGCTATTGGCATAGAAGTGCTTTCTTTTCCCTTGAGTTGCCAGTGGTTGCATGTGTGCCTGAGACTTCCAGCAGCCACCACTCACCTGGATCCTGCCTGATAGCAAAGCCAGAAGTGGAGCCTGGCTGCAAAGAAAAGGAGAGGGGGAAAGAACGTCTGAGTGCTGATGACTTTATGGAGTGGGTACAAACTTGGTAGGGTAAAAATGCACTCTAGTTTACATAAGTAAATGCAATGTCTATCTTACTATTGATTTTCTTGGTGACAAAACAATTCATAAAAGACAATTCAGTGTATTAGTCAACTCAAGGCCTGTTCTTAATCCCTTTTTTGGGGGGTTGATTCAAAGGGGACATTTGCTGCTTGACCACCCTCTGCTTGTGCCCTCTGAGAAATCCACTTCTCCATGGGGTCCCTGTTCTCTCTCTACACAGGTCTCTTTCTGTCCTCTTCATCTCTGCCATGTAGTCCCTCCAGATTCTCCAGTTTTCTCTTGACAACCCCTAAATCCTCCAGAAAACTCTATATTTCTGACCCAGCATGCCAAACAACCATTTCCACACTACTGTTTGCACACCGTGGTGTCACAGAGTGCCTCTCAGGGTTTAGATGAACAGCGGACAACAGAATCTAGATGTGTGTAAAATCCCCCAAATAGTGGCTGCATCCTGGCCCTGGGCAAGTCCTGCGGTGAATGCATATTAGACAACTCCATATTTAGGGGTGTGGGGGCTTTAGCAGAAAGGACACCCATGACATTATGTTCATCTAAACCCTGAGAGGCACTCTGTGACACCACGGTGTGCAAACAGTAGTGTGGAAATTGTTGTTTGGCATGCTGGGTCAGAAACAGAGTTTTCTAGAGAGGACACCAGTGCGTTGGCCCAGATAAACTAAGTCAAGAGGTAGTAGTGACAGAGGGAAGGGAGCCAGTGAAGACCATGTCCCTTGAATAGGGAAGGTAACAGAAAAAAAAAAAAAAAAATTCAGCGTTCCTTCCAGGTTTCTGATTGGGTAACTAGGAGAATGGCAGGGCTGTTTATCAATAGGTGGAGTTCAGTAGTAGAATCAGAATTAAGGAGCGAGGTATTTGGCTCAAGCCTTGAGTTTGCTATGAAATTTTTGAGAGGCCTTTGGAGAGTCAGCTAATTATGGGTCTAGTTTTTGTGTACATGTTGTGAGAATAATGTGAAATATCTTTAAAGCATTATTAAATATAATTATTGTTTTCAAAAAAAATGTATAATATGTAATATGACCCCTGTAAATAACCCATAGTGAAACAAAAAATATTAAGCAGTCTTGGCTTCTGACCCCTGTTCTTTAAATTTTCTCAAATCAGTTCAGAAGGACAAATATTTAAGAGAAAAATATGGTAAGTACAAATTTTCCTTTACATCAACAAATTCAAGAGAAATAAAATATGTACAGATCAAAATTGCAATAATACATTTGAAAATGAACATTTTCAGAGAAAATAATTTAAAATGTAATCACTAGAAACTCATTGACATAGATTAGCACAGAAAGTGTATAAATTCATTTTAGTAATGTGACAAGTTCAAACAGCTAGGAAGAAACAAGATGAGTCTTGAAATGTGAATAGACACAGGGCCATTCATTTCAGCCTAGTAACATAGACAGTAAAAAGACTTCACTCAATATATACAGTATTCAAGCAGATACCAGCAAATGGAATATAGTACTTCTCCTTTAAAAGGAAAAAGTAGAAACCAAGAAAATAATTTTCAAGCTATGAAACATTTATTACACAGTATTGAAAGCCGATTTTAACACCTACATTTTTTTTTAACTTCTACTTCAGGCTTAGACCTTAAAATCATTCCGTCTCCTTTCGATAATCCTTTTAGGTATCAGACCTCAAAGTTGGTCCTGTGGTCCAACTTGCACCAGTTTTTTACAAAATCCCCCTTTATCTTCCCTTTAAATAATGGCTGCTTTTCATAAAGAAGCATTGATAATTTATTCCTAGAAGTAAAAGCATTTTCCAGCACTGCAAAGAAGGAAGACTCATTTTGTTACACTCCAATGTGCTTAAATTGATTTAAATTCCCAGCATTCTATTTAAGTCTGACCTCTGTCCAAAGCAGCCTTTATTTTTCTCATGTAAGGGGTTTCTGCAGGGGTCTGGAATGCCACCACTGAGAGAGCGTGTCAGCAGCTTTTCTAAGCAAAACACTGCCAGAAATACAGAAAATAAACATCTTTGAAAAATAGCTGAGTTGAAGTGCTTCCAGATTCAACTCCGAATAACTAAACTCTCCTAAAGCCTGTTAAATATTATAAAAATCAGGTCATTAACTGTACTTCAGCTTGCAGATTGCAACATGACTTACAACCACTGAGAACTCAAAGACAAGGTTTACAGCAGAGCTATTGGTCCTGAAAGAGGACAACCTCCTACTGCCTTTGAGGGTGAGGAACAGGGAAGAAGCTGAGAACTCAGCATGAAAGCGCTCTCAGGGGAACATAATGTCGAATTTGGGTTGCCAGGAACTGATAAAGAGCTCAGCACCTAATTAAAGCCGCTTTGCAAACAGCTCCCAAAGCAGAATCAGTGTCTCTATTTGGAATCCACGATGGGTCTCTGGGGAGTCATCCTAAGCCAAAGTCTGAACAGAATGATAACTTGGCCTTTCGGAAAATCTTCACCCTAAAAGATGGTAACCCAAAGAGTGATGAAAATCACAAGTTCTATATTTGAGTTCCAGGACAAGGTCACATTTGTCTTATCTGAGCAAGCATATCTTGTTCAACTATCAGGCTAGGGATAAATAAAGCTTAAAAAAATGCTCAAGCCCTAGGGAGAACATAATCAGCTTTTTGCACGGTGAATAAGAGCAGTTCAGCAGTTCATCCATGAAAACGTGCATCCTGGGCAATAATGATGCCCCGTCAATCAAGACTTCTCTGAATGTTCTTCCAAGGCTCTCAGTACCAACCAGAAGAATATTCAGTGTCTCTCTGTAAGGTGTGGATTTGCAGACATTTGTGAATATAAGGAATATCTTATTGTTTTACTATCTTTAAGTCATATTCAGACTTCTAGCTCCAAGAATCCATGCAGCCCAGATGGCAGGGAATTAATTCTCCATCCATATTTACTCTCTCACAGTTTTATTTGCCTCTAAGACAGTGGTCCCCTTTTGGCACCAAGGACAAGTTTCTTAGAATACAGTTTTTCCACAGATGGGGTGGGGTAGGGGTTTAGGATGAAACTGTTCCGCCTCATATCATCAGTCGTTAGTTAGATTCTGATAAGGAGTGTGCAACCTAGATCCCTCGCATGTGCAGTTCACTAGGAGGTTTGTGCTCCTATGAGAATCTAACGCCACCGCTGATCTGAGAGGAGGCTGAGCTCAGGCATAATGCTCGCTCACCTGCCACTCACCTCCTGCTGTGTGACCCAGTTCCTAACAGGCCATGGACCAGTACCAGTCTGTGGCCTGAGGGTTGGGGACCCCTGCTCTAAGTGGTACAAAAGTACTAAGTTTCCTCAGCAGAGCAAAGGATACAGGAGGGCCACACTGGTTACAGCTGAGATGCCCGGCGGTATCCTGAAAATCAGTTGATTCTGCTCATTTGGGCCACCCCAGATAAGCAGGCTACACAACTCCCTGCAGAGCTGGGAGGCTTCTCTGCACAGGTTTCTCAGGTTCAGATGCTCTTCCAATGGCTTCTTCCAAGGTGTGCACACCAGCTCCCATACCGGTCCCTGTCTGGGGCTTCCGCTGCTCTCTGCTCTGCTCTCTCTCTCCAGAGACATTTAATCATCTCTTTATAAGCTGAGGCTTCCAGAGAAGATTGAAAGAGATTGTGTTCCAGAATTTCAGTGTTGGGCTCCCTAAGGGAATACAATGGCCCTCATTACCTTTCCCTAGCAGAGCTGAAGGGGAAGAAAAGCCAATGCAGCAAGAACAAAACGCAAATCAATCTCTCTCTCTCTCTCTCTCTCTCTCTCTCTTTCTCTTTATCCCTCTTTTTTCCTCTCTCTCTCATATACACCCTTCAGTTTTTAAAATATGTTAACATTAGTTTTATTATTCCATTTAACAAATGAAAAAGCTGAGGTTCAAAAATGACAATGGTGTCATGGTGACACCATTCCCCAGTGACAATGGTGTGTGGCAGGTGAAGGAGCCATGGGGCCCAGGTCAGTCTAAATCTAAAGCCCGTGTTTCTAAAACTGCTTGTCTCAGAAGCTAAAAATGGTCATTATTCCAGAGGATGACTCGTAGGAAGGAAATCATTATTTAATAAAGAAGGAATTAGGTGCTTAGCAGGGCAACATATTAACAGGCAGATGCTGACAATGGCAGGAAGATAAACTGGCTACAGAGCTGTTGTTCTTTGTCATCCTTCTTTTTCCAAAGTAAGATACAGAGCACTTGAAGCCCAGGGAGAAAGCTAGGGACTAGAATTTCCATTTATTATGTGTTTGATTAATTATCTATTCCTGGATAATAAATTACTCCAAAACTTAGTGACTTAAAACAACAAATACGATGGTCCCACAGTTTCCGTGGGTCAGGGATCTGAGCATGATTTGGTGAGGTGCCTCTTGCGTCAACATCTCTCATGAAGCTGTGGTCAGACTATCAACTGGGCTGCCGTCATCTCAGGACTCAACTGAGACTGCAGTTTCCTAGTTCACCCCCATGGCGACTGCAGACTCAGCTCTTCATGGATGTTGGACTGAGAGCCTCAGTTGCCTTATAGGTATCTCTATTGCGCAGCTCACAACAAGGTATCTGTTTTTTGTTGTTTTTGTTTTTTCAAGTGAGTAAGAGAGAGAAGAAGAGAAAGGGAAGGAGAAAACACGATGGAAGTCACAGTCTTCTTATAACTTACTCTTGGAAATATCCCATGATTTTTGCTGTGTGTTATTCCCTAGAAGAAATTTTCTAGACACAACCCATATGCAAGGGGAGGGGATTACACAAGGGATAGAATACCAGGAGGAAGGAATCACTGGTGGCATCTTAGAGGTTGCCTACTACATGCATTTATGTTGATGAGATTGATTACTGGGATGAGCAGTCAGACTACTTGAGTTCACATCTTAGCTTTATTATTTGCTAGTTATGGGATCTCCCGCAAGTTACTGTTCTTTGTTCCTCAGTTCCCTCATCTGTAAAATGAAACTATTAATATTAAATGTATTTGTTCTCAAGGACTTAATGTGGATTAAATTACTAATAAATGATTAAAAAACTAGAATAGTGCCAGGCATGTGGTAGGCATTCCATGAATGTTAGCTAGCATTGTAGTAATAATTCTGTCAGATATGAAATATCTTGTCTAGCTTATAGTGTACATTCAAAAGAGAAGGCTTTTATACTTAGCTTATGAAAATAATGTGGCATAAATGAAGTGGTCACAAAGGCAGCCAAAGCTACAACAATTCTTGGAAAAACTAGAAAACTTTTCTTATGTTGGCACTGAGCATTTTTCTGGACATAGTAGATACTATGGTATAAGGAAGTACTTCATTACAGTATCACTTTCATATCTATTTCATTTCCCGATTTCATCAATATCCTACTGCCCAAATGAGAATATTTGCTGCCCACTGAGGAATTAATTATGGGCTTATTTGGCTAATGTTGCTTTGCCAATTGACTCTCTGGTGTCAAGCTTTCCTCAGCCTGCTTTCATTGTAGAACCCACCAGCTGTATACACACAGACCCACCCACAGACATACAGAGATAGAGGCTCAAGCTCACACAGAAATAGAGATTCAGACACACTTCCTGGATATAAATCTTAATTATACTTGAAAACTTACGAATTTCATAGAAGTGCTTACAAATAAACATGTTGAAATAATGAGATTTTTACCTGAAACTCCTCCTATAGTTCTCAACTTGGTAAATGGCATTTATCATTTCCATCTGCCCAGACACTCAAACCAAAACTGGGAAGCCACCTGGTCTTCCCTCCTCCTCTCTTTTCCTGTCTGGTTCCTCTCTTTTTTCTATGCAGTCCCTTGGGTACTTCATTTGACCCCCAAGTGTAGCTGCCTTAAGCTCCCATCAACGTTCATCATTAGAGTGAGGCATTGAAACTAACTTTGGCCTTTAGGAATGAGCCTAGGTTTGAAATTAGGCTGAACAAACGAACTGGGGCAATGTTTCCGTCAGGAAGGAGACTGCACACAGTGATTCCCCACAGCAAGAGGAGTGCAAAAGCACACCTTGTCCCTTTACTCTCTCAACTCTCAATTGCTTATCAGAAACAAACATAAATAGCAAATCAACTCATGTGTACCATTGCTCTGAAACTGAATCTTTCATAAAAGCTGAAACAAGGCCCTTGCATGCTAGCAGTAAAAGAAAACACATCACAATTCTTACAATGCCCCAAGGCCAAAGTGAATCCCTCTTGGAACAGAGGAATGCTTCTCACTTCACTCCAGCGATTCAGCTGGAACATCTTCTGGCAAAGAGATATCTTGAAATATAAAGGTATTAACCTGAGAAGGGTAGTATATCAAAATGCTGTTATCCATTTAACACTGAGACTATCTGGAAAACAGCAAGGTCCTCACAAGCTGGGACTTGGATACATTTTACAGAAGTTTATAGAAGTAAACTCCTAATCAGGTAGCAGTGTTCAAAGAAATTATTGACAGATTTAGCTTCAGAGTAAGAAATTCTAAGTTGCCAAGGAGTAACATGAGGACTTTGGCTGTTTGATTCCAACTATTTCTGGATGAAGAGGACAGTGTTTTCTCATTGGTTCACAAAGGGGAACCTCCAGATCAGTCTCTGCAGCTGGGCCAAGTTCCACAACTCATACCCATTCTGGTCTCAGTCAGGTTCTAGTGACCTCTCCCCTTCCCTAATTCCTGTTCTGCATTTGCCATGAGCAGACGATTTTGACTTTATCTCAAGCCATCAGATAGGACAGGATCTTTCTAAGACATTGACCACAGCAGATAAAGACAAAAAAAATAAATAAAACCACAACTCTCTATCATAGAACACTGAGAATCAAACATATTGTTAGAAGTCAGATAATCCAACCTTTTTGCAGTTATATAAATTTTGAACATCCTTAATTAAAACATCATTTTTAACAGAGATCTTATGTTCTTGTCTTTCCAGCATCCTTTTCTTTGGTATTTTGTTAGCTACTCCCTTATTTTATTTTGAAGAACTATCCCTCCCACAATTTTATTTCATGTCGTTCTGGTGAAGCTGATTCTACTTCTGGCTTTTGTGAGAGGTGTGTTTTTTCACCAGTCTCAAAAGTGGCGGTTGAAATTATCTCATCTCCAGGCTGCAGTGATTGGCTCAGGGTGGACATGTGGCCCAAGCCAAACCAAATATAGCTAATCCTGGGACTATTGCTGGAATTTTTTAAGAAACAGCAACTCTCTTTTTTTAAGGGATTGCTAATCAGGCAGGATATAGTCCTGAAACTTCTGGAGGCCACAGTGCTTCCTCTTGGAGACAGCCTGCCTGAGAATGAGGCCAACAGAGAGAAGCAGAGGTTGTGGTTGGAACAAATAATGTTCCCGGAGACATTATTTGATTACCTGGATTTAGCCATGCTGGGACATTTTAGTTAAATAAACCAGGATATTCCTTTTTGGGCCAAAGGCAACTTATGATGAGTTTCTGTCCAATAAAGCGCAAAGCAACCAATTCACCTTCTACAACTTCCATGGCAGGAAGTGATTAGCCTTCTCTTTAATCATTCCAGATGGACAGATCTTCATTTTCTACCAGGACTCTGGGTATTGGGTTCTGAGGCTCAGTTCTTCCTTGTATTGAGCAAAATCTGCTGTCTTTAATCTGTACCCACTACTAATGCTTTATTTGTTCATGCAGTTCCTTGTTTAGTTAGGGAACGGCAAGTATAAGAGATTTGAGGTGGATTCGAATTTTTGTATGTTGAAGGAACACAAAGCAAAAAACCAAAAACTAATAGGTCTTGACCCTAGTGAGTGAGGGGCATGGAGACATAAGTGGGTGAAGGTCTGTCATAGGAAGATTGGAGTTCATTGCAAGAATAATGAAAAGTCACGGGAGTGTTAACACACAGGAATAGTGTGGTTTGAGCTACAATGTTTCAAAGATCCCATATTATATCCATTGAAGCACTAGAGGAAGCCAAATCTCTGTGCTACTGACAGTCCCTCAGAAAGTTGAGATCTCTGGTATCCTCCATAATTTTCTTCTTTTCTAGCTTAAATATCTTTGGCTTCTTCAACCATGTTTCATATAGGGTTTGTAGATTCTACAACAACACAGTATCCTCCTCCAAACTCATTGTAGTTTGTCAATGTGCCCTCTAAAATACAGTACTCAGATTGAACACAGTAACTCCAGATATTGCCCAACCAATGAATAATATGAAATCATTATTTTCTTTATTCTATCCCTCGAGCCCTATTGGTGCAGTCACATTTAAGGCAACCATGTCATCCTGTTAACTCTTAATTAAATCAATAATGCTAGCTGAGGGCATATTACTTTCAATTAAGTCAAGTTCTAATTAATTGTTATTTTGTGAGAGAAATATACAGAAACTTATTTTCTGAGTGGATTAAAGACTCCTTGAAGGTCTTTATATTACAAGAAAACAGGGACAAAAGTTGATCTCATTCAACTTTTGTACCTACAAATTGAGATAAGAAAAAGTGAAGTTTAATTTGAACAAATGACCCGATTGTATCTGGAATTATTAATTTGAACAAATGACCAGATTGTATCTGGAATTATAATCCCATTAGGGGATTAGCCCGTTTGTAGCCACCATGGAGAGAAGCCTTTAAGGAATACATATTTAAAGCCATTTGCAACCAGCTCTATTATTAAAATCAATTTTAAAGCATCATAAAAGTCTTTTGCTCCAGAATTAGAAACAGTTTTAACAAAAGCATTGAATTTTTATGTTTGAAGAATCTTTGGAAATCATCTGATCCAAAGTTTTTATTTTATAGATAAGCCAATAGCCATAGAGGCAGAGAAATGTCCAAATTGACTTATCCAGGCAATAATAGAACCAGAACCAGAACTTAGATCTCTTCTCTTCCATTCCAGCACTCTGCCTGCCATAACACATGCCTCCTTTCTTCAGCTTTGACTGTACACTTGAATGTTTTCATTTCAGGGGTCTGTCATTCATGAATGAATTGGGGGAGAACAAGAGTGAATGTGGGGAAAGCCATCTTAAAGATTGTTGCAGTGATTCAGGGAAGTCCAGAGTTCTGAAACAGGGGAAGGGTAGAGGAGGTATGTAAAGCTGCACATATTCCAGATATGGCTAGGAGTTTGAGAAAAAGAGAAAAAAACGAGGATGAACATTGAGTTTCTGACATGAACAACAAGATGGTTAGCAACGCCATTCACAGAAAAACTAGGTTATAGCGGTGAAAAGCAAGAGATTAGTTTGGCCCACTGATTTTGTGCAACATTCTACACACTCAGTTGGAAATGTCCTTTAGGCAGTTGTAGATACATGTCTGGGGTTCAGGAAGAGAAAGTGCAATAAGTACCTTTGGCTCACTCTTTCTTTGAACAAATAATATGGGAACATTGATTTACAGAGGGCTGTGCTATGCTCACAGAGACCACAGTGATAGGCAGGACAGGTTGGTACTGCTGTCATGAGGTTTTCACATTCACAGGACAGTGCAACCCAATGAGCATTTCTGGTTGCATTATTCCTTACAAATGTCAAATATATAGACTCCACACTAAGTTGTGATGTGCCCCAAAGTCCACGTTATTCCCTGTAAATGTCAAAGAAACAGATTCCAGGCTGGGGGCGGTGGCTTATGCCTGTAATCCCAGCACTTTGGGAGGACAAGGAGGGTGGGTCACTTGAGGTCAGGACTTCGAGACCAACCTGGGCAACATTGTGAAACCCCCATCTCTACTAAAAATACAAAAAGTAGCCGGGCCTGGTGGTGGCTGCCTGTAATCCCAGCTACTTGGGAGGCTGATGCAGGAACATCACTTGAACTGGGAGGCGGAGGTTGCAGTGAGCCGAGATGGCACCACCCCACTCCAGCCTTGGCAACAGAGCGAGACCCTGTTTCAAAAAAAAAAAAAAAAGAAAGAAAAGAAAAAAAGAAAAGAAAGGAAGGAAACAGATTCCACAGTGCTCAGTGACTTGCCACAAATTAAGTTAGCTGGGAAATGGTGGAACAAAAGTTCTAATCTGCCTTTCAGTTGCTCATTTAGTTTCAAACTCTCATCTCCTGCCCCTGCCCTGCTCCCATCTCCTGCAAAGTCTGTAATGGAGCTTCTTTATTGTTGTAAACCAGGTGGCTCTTTTTCCCATTTGAGTCCTTGATCCAAATCAAAGGACTGGTACTGAGAACACATTTTGAGGATTTAAACATAGATTTCCTCCCTCCCTCATACACTGTGCTGCCATGGGCAATTCCCATTGGCACAGCCAGGACCTACAGTGTTGGAATAAACAGGGGGCATGACTGTGGACTCTAGTCTTTCTTGAAACTTTTTCCTCTCTTGTTTAGAATGAAATGTCTTTGACCATCAAACGCTAATCACTCTTCAGGCTACAGTGCTTATTGTAGAGGCTTCCCAAGGAGAATCTCATAGATACATGATAGTAAGCCAAGAATTTACATTACAAAAGGTTGTTTAGGCAGGATTAGAAATTAATGGCAAAACATAGGCAAAACTATCATCATAACAACTCCTATTTATTGTTTACTGTGTGCAAGACACTGTACTAAGACTAAGCTATGCGTAAATTATTTAATCCTCCCAAGTTTTTTATGAGGCAAGTACAATTTTTTTGTTATTTGACAGATAAAGGAAATGAAGCTTAAAGGGGTTAAATCACTTTAAAAAAGGCAACACAACTAGTAAGTATCAGAACTAGAATATAGGCCAGGTGTGGTGGCTCATGCCTGTAATTCCACCACTTTGGGAGGCCAAGGTAGGAGGATCTCTTGAGCCCAGGAGCTCAAGACCAGCCTGGGCAACAAAACAAGACCTCATTTTTTTTTTAAGTAAAAATAAAAGAACTGGAATATAAATCTGTCTATTCCCTCCAAGGCACGCTCTTAACTACTAAACTAAATCCTGTGCATTCACCATTTTCTCCAAAGGTAGTCTGGAAGTAGACTGTGTTCTTCTCAGATTATCGCTTAAACCGTTCAACACAAGGGCTTCCCCCTCATTTGTTTGACCATCAGCATATACTGACTGCTAAGTGTGAATTGTCATTCACTTGTTCCTGGCAGTACAAATGTTGCACTAAGCAGTCCTAAAGAGACTTGATGCTGAGTAGAACAAAGAATAAAAGTTTCCTGAATATTTTGTTTAAATTGTAAGCTAACTCAATAATGACCAGACGTGTCTCACATGAGGCAACAGGAAGTTGAACCATAGATTGTTTTTAATGATGCAAAAATGTCAAGTAATATCTCCTTCACTGAGGAATACAAAGGAAGAAAGAAAAGCTAGATAAATTATAGGGAAAATGATCTACACCATTTGACATAATTAAATAAGAGTTAGGTTGGTTTTAGCACATAATAATAAAATAAACCTACCGGAATGACTAGATTGGAAAAACCTATTGGATTTCAGTTTATATAAACTCTATATGGAAGAGAAATACCAAGGAAAGTGATGTTTAAATGTTAAGAAAAATAATGAGTGAAAATTTATAATTCTTTTTATTTTACTCTCTTAAACTTGCCTAGCTCTGTCATAATCTGAAATTTCAACCCCAAAGCTAAGCCACCATGTATTCTCTTTGGAGTAAGACAGCATATAAAGAAAACAAACAGAATCTCTTACATTTTACAAAGTTGAATGTCTCAGGTTTTCAACAAAGTATATAGAAATCTATGTTTGGGTTTAAGTTTTTGCCTTATACTATGACCAGCCACTAGATGGCAAAGTATGACATGAAATGTAGGCTGCAGACCAAGTTAAGAGTCTGACTTGGAATGGAAGCAGAGGAAGCTTGAGTTAGTGAAAACCTTTAGTTGTACTACATGAATAAAGGGATGTAGTGTAGTGTAGTCGTTCTTAAGTTGCATGCGTTACTTTTAAAAAACATTTACTGATTCACTCAAATTCACGTCTAGAAGTCCTAAGACTAAGACTCAGTTGACTACAAGGCTTTGTTCCCTAGCCCACTTCTTATTGCCTGTCACTTCCTGTCCCTGCCTGTCTTCCTTCCAAGAACCCAGTTCTAGCCACTGCTTCACAATATCTCTCAATGTCAACCACCAGTGTTCTAATTATTATTATCTCTTGCCACTTTCTCCATCATTCTTCACTTCCTTTCAGGATCCTTCATTACTACATCCTTGTGTAGCCACTGATGCATATTTGCCTGAACTGAGCCTTGTTGTGGTTGTTGCTGTTTGGAAGCAGAGCAATTTGCTGGCTGATATGATAAGGCCTTGTGTCCCCACCCAAATCTCATCTTGAATTTTAATCTCCACATGTAAGGGAGGGACCTGTAATCCCTACGTGTAAGGGAGGGAGGTGATTGGACCATGGGGGTGGTTTCCTCCATGCTGTTCTCATGATAGTGAGTGAGTTCTCACAAGATCTGATGGTTTTGTAAGTGTTTGGAATTTCCTCCTTTGCTCTTCTTTTTCCTGCCGCCTTGTGAAGAAGGTGCCTGCTTCCCTTCTGCCATGACTGTGAGTTTCCTGAGGCCTCCCAAGCCATGCAGAATTGTGTGTCGATTAAAACTCTTTTCTTTATAAATTACCCAGTCTCAGGCAGTTCTTTATAGCAGTGTGAAAATGAACTAAATACACTGGCCTAATGAACTCATTTCTCAGCAGAACACCTAGTAGGATGCTCTATCTAAGCTCTAGCTTGAGCCAAAATGAGCCCCAAGATATGAGAGGAATGTTTCTTTAAAAATGGGTGTGATGGTTAATTTTATGTGTCAGCTTGACTGGGTGAAGTGATACCCAGAAAGCTGGTATGCATTATTTCTGAGCGTATCTATGAGGGTATTTCCAGAAGAGATCAGCATTTGAATTGGTAAACCAAGCGAAGAAGATCCACCCTCACCAATGTGGACAGACACCATCCAATCCATTGAGGGCCCAAACAGAACAAAAAGGCAGAGGAGGTGCGAATTTTCTCCCTCTTCTTGAACTTGGGCAGTCATTTTCTTCTGCCCTCATATATCAGACCTCCTGGTTCTTGGGCCTTCAGACTGCAGGACTTATGGCAGCAGCCCCTGGTTCTCGGGTCTTCAGCTGTGAACTGAAACCATGGGTTCCTTTGGTTCTCCAGCCTTTGAATGTGTTACACCACCAGCCTTTGCAGTTCTTCAGCTTACAGACAGCATATAATAGAATTTCTTGGCCTCCACAATCCTGTGAGCCAATTTCCATAATGTCTCTTCTTATATATCTGTATATATCCTATTGTTCTATTTCTCTGGAGAACCCTGACTAATACAGCAGGCCACATATATGTTAGAAGAAGGCCAATGAAGGAGAAGAAAGAGAAGTAACTCAGACTAATTTCTCATCAATAACTGCTAAAAGTAGAACCAGACACTCCTAACACCTGATTTGGCACTCTACTTAGTCAATAATATCTTTCCTTGATCATTAAATGAAAGAACAGAGTAGCATTTTACAGAGAAAACCCTGCCAAATGGACTTCATAATCTTTCCCAAGTGCTATCAGTGAAACCAGTAACAGAAAAAAAAATCTGCTAGCCTCTCCACTGTTCTGGAATTGAAAATTTCTATAACATTTTACACTCTGAAATTGAATTATGTTACTGGAATCTCTTGTTAGAGATTAGCAAAATGAAGATTAGACTGAAATTTCCCGAAGTAAGTGGTCTTTGTGAGACACCACCCTACAATGTATGCCATGAGTCCCTTTATATGCAGATTCTTATAAAATGTTGAAATAGCCAAGCAATATTCTCCATGAACTCTTCCCTAACCAAGTATATTTAACTTAAACCAACCGCATTTCCTTTGTGCCTGACACATAATAGAAGCTCAATAGTTATGTAAAGGAGGAAGAAAGAAAGGAGGGAAGAAAGAAAAAGAAGGAGAGAAATGAGAGAGGGAGTCTCTATTAAGAAGACAAAAATAAGAAGACTTTTTACAAGATAAAAAGTCTCTTATAAAATCACCAAGAAGCATACATACTTTTTCCAGTTAAGATGAAGAATTGTCAGCTTTCTTCTCAGCATAACCTGCTTTAGTCTTATTGTAAAAAATTTTATTAAAATATTCCCTAACAATCCCTTCTCTAGACTAAACAATTCCAGTTCCTAGGACTTTCCTGCAGAACTTTCAAAATTATTTTTCATTCTTATACCAATTTTGATTTCTTTTTTAAAACTTAAAATTATTTGAGATTATATTCCATTGTTTTTCATGATCCTTTTCAATGTTATTTTTTTAATGAGGAGAGATTTATACAGTTAAAAGAAAACCAAATGATTTCTTTTCATTTTTAAAGGAGGAAGCATATTTTTGAAGTCCATGGAAAAGTAGTATGTTTAAGGATAGAATACCTAAACAACTATTCTTCTACATACAAATCAACTTTTACCAGAGATTTGCTTTCTTATTTTTTTATTTTTTAAATTTATTTATATATATATATTTTTTTTTATTATACTTTAAGTTCTAGGGTACATGTGCACAACATGCAGGTTTGTTACATATGTATACATGGGCCATGTTGGTGTGCTGCACCCATTAACTCATCATTTACATTAGGTATATCTCCTAATGCTATCCCTCCCCCCTCCCCTACCCCACAACAGGCCCCGGTGTGTGATGTTCTCCTTCCTGTGTCCAAGTGTTCTCATTGTTCAATTCCCACCTATGAGTGAGAACATGCAGTGTTTGGTTTTTTTGTCCTTGTGATAGTTTGCTGAGAATGATGGTTTCCAGCTTCATCCATGTCCCTACAAAGGACATGAACTCACCATTTTTTATGGCTGCATTTGCTTTTTTAAAAAGATTAACAGGTGCATCCAAACTTTTCTGCTTGCTGACACACACATACATACACACACATTTCCAATGGTATGACAAAATAGTCATAGTATATTAATACCTAATAAAATAACCTTTAAAATATTTTACCCTGAATTAACAAAATATGTTTTAAAATCTGTTATAGTATATACAATCTCAGAAGAAAACCTGTTGGCAAATATTGTTTGGAGAAGACAGGTAAACTTTCCAGGCTAAGCATTTTCCTATTTCTACATTTAGCAGTACTTCTCAAAAGTGCTGATTCCTGGAATAGAATATCTGTGGGTGAGGTCCAGAAAACTGGCAGAGTCCCCAAATAATTCTTATGAATATTTCACTTTCAAGGGATACTCATATCAAACTTTAGCCTTTTAACTTGGTGGAGCAGTCCTTTTTTTCCCCTTAGTAAGTCCATAACTTTTTTTTGAGTTAGTATTTAAACAGTGATAGTAAAAATGTGAGATGTACATTTCCTATCCAAATATCAAACATCCTGGATTTGTGTAGCAACCTGATTATTGTGGAGAAATTGTGTTGCTAGGAATCTATAAGGTGCTTTGATTTTCCAGCGACTGTTTTTGGATGTTGATTTAAGATAATGTCTTAGTCTGTTTTGTGCTGCTATAACAGAATTCCTGGGACTGGATAATTTATAATGAACAGAATTTATTGGCTCACAGCTCTGGAGGCTGGGAAGTCCAACATCAAGGTACTGGCATCTGAAGAGGGTCTTCTTGCTTTGTTATCTTATGGCAGAAAGTTAGAAGTGGAGAGAGAGAAAAAGAGAGGCAGAGGAAAAGGTAAAGAGAGAGGGAGACAGAGAGAGGAAGGGAAAGCAAGAGGGGGCCAGGCTCAGGCTTTTATAATGTCACCAATCCCACCCATGAGGGTGGAGCCCTCATGATCTAATCACTTCCTAAAGGTCCAACTTCCTAATACAGTTACAATGGCAACTAAACTTCAATACGAGTTTGGGAGGGGACAAATATTAAAATCATAGCAGGTAAACCCACAAATTTTTTATAATTCACTTACTTGGCCAAGTACCAAGTGTGCATCTCACATTGCAGTAAGTGATTTCTTCTTTGTAGTGAGCTCTAATGCAAGGCATTGTCTTTTGAATAATGCAATGGAAATATTTATTTTCAGTTGGCCACCAGGTCAGCTGCCAGGTATTTTAAAAGAAGGGAAAATAATGCTTAGCTATAATTACTAAGAGATGATGGTTTGGGTCTAAGAAAGGGAATCCCAAGATGTTGGACTATGATCCTGGTATCCTTATTCTTCCAGTTTTCACCACTTAGGTCACTTCAAACTTACTTGCTTTCAAGGTGATTTATTGCAACTATGAGATCACTTAAAATTTACATGACTGCAATCATGATAATTTAGAATGTGTCAATGTTCATGCTAGGATCTGTCAACAAAGGTATTCTTTAAAATGAATTTGCTTCACCACTTTTTTTGCTTTACCATGTTATAAGATATTTTTCTAATGAAACGAATAATTTTGAAAGCTCTATGGTTGTGACTTCCTAGATGTTCTTTTATGATATTTTTCTTTGATTTTACTGATTTTTATTTTATATTCTCTTATTTTAAAAGAAGTTATTGATATTTGGTTTTGATATAGGTATATACTTTGTCAAGAATTTTCAGGTCCATTTGGTTCTCGTAACTACTCAAAATATGGAAAGAATATTTTCTATATTTTAATTAAAACTGTATAAATGTTATAATTATCAACATGAATTTTATCATTATTAAATAGTAACTAAGATGTTTTGAAAATTAACTTTAGTATAAAACCAAATTAACATGGAAAGTATGTTTTATGTTGTGTTAATGCAGGATTACAGAAAAACCGATTGAAAAATCTAAGTTGCATGAATCATATTTCTTTTTATTCAGTATGCTGTAAGGACAAACTCCTTCAGTATTCTCAGGTTTATATTACCTCTGTCAGTAACTCACCAAACTGAACAAATTTGATTATGAATGGGATATGTTTCTCAGTGCACCCAGCATTGTCCCATTTTATACTTGTAGCTCCAGCACTCTAAAAATATTCACATTCAACAATAAATTACATGATCATTCCAATTATGAGTTCCTGGGCCACAATTTGACCAAATATAACACGAGAGAATTTTACTATATGATTTTATTATAACTTCCAGCCCTAAGACTCATTGGAAGATATCTTTATGCTACTTCATGTCATCTTGTTTAATATCCACATTCCTTCTCTCACTGGAGTGCTGTACTGTTGATGAAGAAGAGATAGGAAGCTAGGCTAAGTAGGTAGAAAGGTGGCTGATTCACACATAAGTTGGGTGGTAGAAATATTTCCAGTTGATGACTTGGAAACTAGAGCATATATCTCCCTATAAACAATGTTATAAATTATTATTAAATTCCAAAGTTAATACAAAATGTATGTAGAGAGGCTAGTCCCTGCAAAATGAGAAGTGGATATAGCCAACCAGCCTCCAGAAAATGGCTATGTGGGGACAGCTGTACATTCAGGCAACTGTGAGCCAATCACAGGTGAGGGTCACAAAGAAATGGACAAACAAAAGCAAACCACAGCCCCTGATGCAGGAAGAGGGCCTTTGATTTCTTGACAGGATAATGACACAGCATGGGCTAATTTCCCTTGGGAATGATAACCAGATGGGTTTCAGAGTGTTGGACCTAAACCCTTTCTGAGATATGATTGATATGTTTACTGCAAACATCAAAGAAGATAATGAAGTGCAGTAACTTCCAGCCCTCCCCACAGTTCCTTGTCCACCTCCTGGCCAGTTTGCCCAATCACAGTTCTCCTCAATTTGAGTCATTTGTTTTTCTCCACCAAGAGATCACAAAGATAGATAAAGAAACACCTTCAAAAGTAGCCCCTTCTCTCCAAGTTCTAATTTTTAATCCAACTCTCTTCATATGGCCAAATGCACCTGGAAGGTGTGTTCATGCATGACCCCTATTTTTCCTTCTAGTAAGTAGAGCCCCTCCTCTTCCTGCCTCTTAGCCATTTCTTCCAATCAGAATAAAGCAGGGTGACACAGTAAAAATTCCATCCTCTCCAGAGGGCCATTCCCCCTTATTTGCATATGAGGAATATTTAACCTGATGCTTTTAATCAAGGGAAACTTAAATTATGCTAGCTTCAAAACATATTAAAAAATTGTTGTCATGCTGGTGGTGGCTGTATTGGTTTATGTATGTGTTCACTTGACAAATCTCTGCTATGAATTTGTTTTCTTGTGACTTGCCTCACTTTTAGGAAGCTTAAAATTTAAATGCAGAGATTCTGGTTGTATGTTTCAGATTGCCAGACTCTTTTATTTAATCAAACTTATACTGAGCCAATTAATTATACATTGAGAAATGTATTTCCTGGGACGGATGTATCTATCCTGTTGTGGATTGGTGTCCCTCTTTTCTCTAGCCTGTCACTGCCACATTCTCCCCCAGGAAAACATTCCATGAATATTGAATCAGCTGGACTGAGAGGAGAACTGAGCAGACTCAGGATTTGTATTTTTAAAGAATTCTAGCACCTAGAACAATCCCGGAAGAAAGTATAAATGTTTTTTTTCTGAATAAATTCTGCTATGCATGTTTCTCTCTTCATAGGTGATTAAAACACTGTACAATGTCTGCTGCTCAGATTTATGAGATTAATTTAATCAAAACAAGAAAAGAAACAAATGAATAATTTTTTCTTTATGCTACCAAGAGATAGAACACCATGCCTGTTTCATTTGTGAGTAGTTAGCACATATAAGAATGTAAATATATCTTTCTATGATAATATCCCCATTTAAAAAACTATTTTATCTGGAAGCACATTGTCTCTAGCTCTAATTTGTACCAGGAATTAAAGTGAGATTATGTCACTAAACTGGTTTTATTAGATGGAGGCTGGCCTTTTATTATAATGATTCTCCTTGCTAATATCATCACTTGAAAACGTTACTGGCACTTCCAAATTAAATCCATTCCATTCTTCCTGTGCCCTTCCTACACCCCAAAACTTGTTCTTCCCACACTGTTCATTAGTTTAATCAATGACACTTCCATCCACTCAGGTGCTCAATCAAGAAACTTCATAGTCACTGTCAATCCCTCTATCTTAATTAGGAAAGCTTGACGAACAGAAGAACCATGTTTCTTATTTATCACCAGGAACATAAGTCATTAATGACTATATGTTCGATTCCATGATCACCCATCTGTATGTTGTTAAGACCCTTAATCTTTCAAAACTCTAGTTTCTTCATCAATAACTTCAGAAATATGGACTGTAGAAATAACTCTGAAGTTCCCTAATACAATGCTGCAACTTCAGTCACACAATTGCTTTCTCAACAATTAGTTACCAACACTTTATTTTTACGTGAGGTTTTCCTATGTGTTGGTAATATTATATTACATGACTTCCAAAGTGTCCTGTGTTAGATTTTATGTTAACATTTATCATTTTCAAGTACAAGTTTCTGTTTTTCAATTTTTCTAATAGACACTGAGATTCCTGAAAATGAAAATTCACACATACGATGTCATTTATCATTTTATCTTTCCATTCTAGCATAACACCTATCATGTAGAACCTTTAAAAGAGAGTTGAATTCATTTTAACATCTCTGTTCACACTCGCCACCCTAGACTAAGCCCCCCCTTATTCCTTCCCAGGATGACTAAAAAAGCTTCTTTAGCTGTTTCCCCTCAACCCCATTGCTTATTCCACAGAACAGCCAGAGTGATCTGCTGAAAATCCTTCCATAGCACTTTCCATTGCAGTTTAAACAGCCTCTGAAGTCTTTCTGTAGCTTTACACCTGACCACTGCCAACCTTTACCATCTCAGCTCCTGCACTCTTATCTGCACTCATCTGTTTCAAACTCACCAATCTCGTTTTAGTTCCTCCTCCCTGGCTTAGGACCTTTGGTTATGCTCTCCTATCTGCCTTGAATCCATGGGAACTAAGTCCCAGAAGAAGATACAGGCATACTTCATTTTATTGTGTTTTGCTTTATTGCGGTGGTCTGGAACCAGACCCACAGTATCTCCTGAGGCCTTCCAGACCATTGCAATAAAGTGACTATCACAATAATATGACTCACACAAATATTTTGGTTTCCCAGTGCATATAAAAGTTATGTTTACAACATACTGTAGTCTATTAAGTATGCAATAGTACTGTCTAAAAAATGTATGTACCTTAATTTTAAAATATTTTATTGCTAAAAATGCTAATAATAATCTGAGCCTTCAGCGAGTTGTAATCTTTTCTGCTGGTAGAGGGTCTTACCTCAATGTTGATGGCTATTAACTGATCAATGTGGTGGTTTCTGAAGACTGAGTGGCTGTGGCAATTTCATAAAATAAGATACAATGAAGTTTGCCACATTGACTCTTTCATGAAAGATTTCTTCATAACATGCAATGCTGTTTAATAGTGTTTTACCCACAGTGGAACTTCTTTCAAAATTAGAGTCAATCATTTCAAACCCTGCTGCTGCTTTATCAACTAAGTTTATGAAATATTCTAAATCCTTTTTTGTCATTTCAACAATGTTCACAGCATCTTCACCAGGAGATGGTTCATCTCAAGAAACACTTTTTTTTGCTCATCCGTAAGAAGCAACTTGTCATCCATTAAAGTTTGCTAATGAGATTGTAGCAATGCAGTCACATCTTTAGACTTCACTTCTAATTCTAGTTCTTTTGCTATTTCTACCACACGTGATGTTACTTCCTCCACTGAGTCTCAAACACCTCAAAGTTCTATGGCAGTTCTATCAAAGTTCTATCTATGGCAGTTACAGCCTTATGAAATGTATTTTTAAATATAAGACTTGAAATTTGAAATTACTCCTTGATCCATGGGCTGCAGAATGAGTGTTCTATTCTAAGTGTGAAAACAATAGACAATGGACTTAAAATATTCAGTAAACCATGCTATAAATAGATGTGCTGTCACCCAGGCTTTGTTGTTCCATTTATAGAGCACAGGTAGAGGAAATGTAGCATAATTCCTAAGGACCCTAGGACTTTCAGAATAGTAAATGAGCATTGGCTTTAACTTAAAGTCATCAGCTATGTTAGCCCCT
Organism: Homo sapiens; assembly: GCF_000001405.40. Taxonomy (NCBI): domain Eukaryota; kingdom Metazoa; phylum Chordata; class Mammalia; order Primates; family Hominidae; genus Homo; species Homo sapiens. Next base: position 107,822,813 of record NC_000008.11, read on the forward strand.
AACAAGAGAGTGAGTCTGTCCTTTGAAGCTTTGAAGGCAGACATTGACTTCTCTCTAACTATGAAAGTCCTAGATGGCATCTTTTTCCAATTGAAGGCTTTTCATCTATGCGAAAATCTGTTGCTTAATATAGCCACCTTTATCAATTATCTTAGCTAGATCTTCTGGATAACTTGCTGCATCTTCTACATCAGTACTTTCTGCTTTACCTTACACTTTTATGTTATGAAAACAACTTGTTTCCTTAAATCTCATGAACCTACCTCTGCTAGTTGCAAACATTCCTTCTATGGCTTACTCACCTCTCTCAGCCTTCAAGAGAGGTAGGGTCTTGCTCTGGATTAGGCTTTGGCTTAAGGGAATGTTCTGACTCATTTAATCTTCTCTCCAGACCTCTAAAACTTTCTCTATATCAGCAGTAGGGCTGTTTCACTTTCTTATCATTTGTCTGTTCACTGGAATAGCACTTACAATGTCCTCCAAGAAATTTTCCTTTGTATTTACAACTTGGCTAACTGTGAGTGTAGCACTCTTGTGCTTACCTTTTGATATTTTTCAGCTTTTCTCATGCCTTCCTCACTAAGCTTAATGATTATCTAGTTTTTTATTTAAAGTGAGATAAGTGTGACTCTTCCTTTCACTCGAACACATTTAGAGGCCATTCATTGTAGGGTTACTAAATGGACTAATATTATCTTATATTTTATTTATTTTTAACTTCAAAATCAGATCTTACTGAATTTAAGCAAATAAGTAAAGTCTTTAAACTTACAAAGACAAAATAACATCACTATATCATTATATTATCCTTATATCATTATATCATTATTTAGTAATATAAAATCGAATAAACAGAAGAGTGCACACTGGTGTTTTGAATAGTAATATAAAATCTGGAAAAATTATTAATAAAATCCAACAGTATATTAAAAGAATAGGCCAGGTGCAGTGGCTCACGCCTGTAATCCCAGCACTTTGGGAGGCCAAGACAGTCAGATCATGAGGTCAGGAGTTCGAGACCATCCTGGCTAACATGGTGAAACCCTGTCTCTACTAAAAATACAAAAATTAGCTGGGTGTGGTGGCACGTGCCTGTAGTCCCAGCTACTTCGGAGGCTGAGGCAGGAGAATTGCTTGAACCCAGGAGGCGGAGGTTGCAGTGAGCTGAGATAGTGCCACTGCACTCCAGCCTGGTGACAGAGTGAGACTCTGTCTCAAAAAAAATTAGAAGAAGAAGAATACACTTTATCCAAGTCATAAAAGTTGGCTTAACATCCAAATATCTAGTAGTTATTTATTTTTTTCCTTTTTTAAAAAAATTTTACTTTAAGTTCTGGGATACATGTGCAGAATGTGTAGGTTTGTTACATAGCTATACATGTGCCATGCTGGTTTGCTGCATCTATTAATCCATCATCTAGGTTCCCTCCCCTCTCCCCTCTACAGGCCCCAGTGTGTGTTGTTCCTCTCCCTGTGTCCATGTGTTCTTATTGTTCAATTCCTACTTATGAGTGAGAACATGAGGTATTTGGTTTTCTGTTCCTGTGTTACTTTGCTGAGGATGATGGCTTCCAGCTTTATCCATGTCCCTGCAAAGGACATGATCTCCTTCCTTTTTATGGCTGTGTAGTATTCCATGATGTATGTATACCACATTTTCTTTATCCAGTCTATCATTGATGGGCATATGGGTTGGTTCCATGTCTTTGCTGTTGTAAATAGTGCTGTAATAAACATACGTGTGCATGTGTCTCTATAGTAGAATGATTTATATTCCTTTAGGTATATACCCAATAATGAGATTGCTGGGTCAAATGTTATTTCTGGTTCTAGATCCTTGAGGAATTGCCACACTGTCTTCCACAATGGTTGAACTAATTTACATTCCCACCAACAGTGTAAAAGCTCTCCTATTTCTCCACAGCCTCACCAGCATCTATTGTTTCTTGACTTTTTAGTAATCGCCATTCTGCCTGGAGTGAGATGGTATCTCATTGTGGTTTTGATTTGCATTTCTCTAATGATCAGTGATGTTGAGCTTTCTTTCATATGTTTGTTGGCCACATAAATGTCTTCTTTTGAGAAGTGTCTGTTCATACCCTTTGCCCAATTTTTGATGGGGTAGTTTGTTTTTTTCTTGTAAATTTAAGTTCTTTGTTGATTCTGGATATTAGACCTTTGTCAGTTGAGTAGATTGCAAAAATTTTCTCCCAGTCTGTAGGTAGCCTATTCACTCTGATGATAGTTTCTTTGGCTGTGCAGAAGCTCTTTAGTTTAATTAGATCCCATTTGTCAATTTTGGCTTTCATTGCAATGGCTTTTGATGTTTTTGTCAGGAAATCTTTGCCCATGCTTATGTCCTGAATGGTATTGCCTAGGTTTTCTTCTAGGGTTTTTATGATCTTCGGTTTTTCATTCAAGTCTTTAACCCATCTTGAGTTAGTTTTTGTATAAGGTGTAAGGAAGGGGTCCAGTTTCAGTTTTCTGCATATGGCTAGCCAGTTTCCCCTCACCATTTATTAAATAGGGAATCCTTTCCCCATTGCTTGTTTTTGTCAGGTTTGTTGAAGATCAGATGGTTGTAGATATATGATGTTATTTCTAAGGTCTCTATTCTGTTCCATTGGTCTATATGTCTGTTTTGGTACCAGTATCTTTTTTTTTTTTTTTTTTTTTTGCTGTTTTGTTACTGTAGCCTTGTGGTATAGTTTGAAGTCAGGTAGCATGATGCCTCCAGCTTTGTTCTTTTTGCTTAAGATTGTCTTGGCTATACGGGCTCTTTTTGGGGTCCGTATGAAATTTAAAGTAGTTTTTTCCAATTCTGTGAAGAATGTCAATGGTAACTTGATGGGAATAGCATTGGATCTATAAATTACTTTGGGCAGTATGAACTAACTGGCCTAATTTTAATATTGTTGTATCTCAAAGAATAGAGAGGCCTGAGGAGAGGGAGAAAGATGAGGGAATGGCCTTTTGGTAGAGCAGTCAGAACACACACATCGTCTGAGTGTGGTGGCTCACGCCTGTAATTCCAGCACTTTGGGAGGCCGAGGCAGGCGGACCACTTGAGGTCAGGAGTTTGAGACCAGCCTGGACCACATGGCGAAACACCATCTCTACTAAAAATACAAAAATTAGCCAGACGTGGTGGTGGGTACCTATAATCCCAGCTACTTGGGAGGTTGCTTAAACCCCAGGAGGCAAAGTTTGCAGTGAGCTAAGACTACACCATCGTACTCCAGCCTGCGTGACAGAGCAAGACTCCGTCTCAAAAAAAAAAAAAAAGAACACACACAGCATGTATCAACTGAATTCATCATTTTATGTGGTCATGGTTCATAGTGTCCAAAAACAGTTACAATAGTAATATCAAATATTATTAATCACAGATCACCATAACAGATATAATAATAAAGAAAAATCTGAAATACTGCAAGAATTACCCAAAATGTGACAAAGACACGAAGTAAGCATATGCTGTTGGAAAAATGTGCTAATAGATTTGCTCAAAGCAAAGTTGCCACAAACCTTGAATTTGTAGAAACACAACATCTGCAAAGTGCAATAAAGTGAAGCCCAACAAAATGAGATATGCCTGTATTTTCAAAAAGACAATATCTCAGGGAGAAGAGACAGTCACTACGACCTGGTGCTTCCTAGATTTGAAGATTTCAGGAACATATAAGGAGTCACATAGCTTTAATGAGGGGCTTCCATAGCCAGTAAAATTCTATTTTTGGTTTTGCTCATTTGCTTAGGAAACCTAGAAATAGCATATGCAATACCATCAGTTTATATGTACATAAAATCAAGTCTCCTTTCATGAGATTTAATCCCATCTTTTACCAAAGCATTCTTGAATTTGAGGGAGGTTTTCTGAGTTAAAGTTTGTTGGAGGCTTCTTTTCAGGTATTTGTCCCCCACGTACCCTCAGCGAGTGCTGACACCAGGGGCACCCTCGTGCAATCAGTAAATAATAGGGACTCTTACGTTTACATAAACCCACCACCCAAACATCAGCCATCTGAAGCTTCTGAATCTCATCTGAATTGTTCTAAACTCATTACTTAGAAACTGAAATAACAAAAGACATTGATCCATGAAGTACCTGGGAAAGTGACATACTTCCCTTGGAGCTTCCCTATGCTCTACCCTACAAATGCAATCATGTTGACATAACGATTAGTCCTCCTGACAACTCTCTGGGTTTTGATTTGGGAACTGAATAGGACTGTACCACAAAGAACCACTGGATCACAGACTGTGTGTTCTTTTAATTTACTTCCATAAACAGGCAAAAATTGAAGTCAGCTGTCAGCAAAGACCAAATTAAAGAGCTGAGTGTCAGAGCCACACTTGAATTAAGATCAGTTTTTGAGGTGGGGGTAGTGGGAGTTTGGATTTTTAAGTTTCTAAAAAAGATATGTTGGTAGATACAAAGCAAAGACTTTCACTTTTAACTGTGGTTTAGATGTATTATGCATAGTTTACTTTTCAAAAATTAGATTTAGACTGAAACTAATATCATTTCTAAAAACCTTTCCTTACTTAAATGTTGTGCATGATCTCAAAGTATAATACAATAAATGTGCAAACCATAACCATCTCTGATATAATTATAGCAAGTATAGCTTAGCCTGCTAAGCTTGTGGGCTGTGAACTTCCTTGCTATGGCTCATAATAAACTCCCAATGCTTCTTTTAATGATTTTAATGATCACTCTAATTCTGTTATGGTATTTTTCCCTTTTCTTTTTATCTCACAGCCACCTTGCTTCTATGCATGGCTGCTATGACAGAAAATTGCAGTTGTGATTCAGGGAGGAAAGTAAGCAAAGTCTCAAGCCTGGAATTCTGATAATTCAGTAAGTCGTACGCACATTTAGTGCAGACATCTGTGGCTGCGTGAAATATCTTTAAAATTTGGTTAACAAAGGTATAAATGTAAGTAGAAGGCAATATGTCATAGGGGTTAAAGTACACTGGTTGTGGAATCAAATCTTGGTTTGAATGGTGCTATGGCCATTTAATAGTAAATTATTTAAATTTCTTTGAATTTTAATTTTCTCATCTGTAAAATAAGCATAATATTTCACAAGGCTGTTTTCAAAATGAAATAGGATAATATATACTATGTGCTTAGTATAAAGCCAATCACATTGAGGTGCTCAATAAAATAATTATTCTCACTATTTTATTATCAGTTCAATTCAGTAAGTAGATTGTTAGGGTCTGCTAAGCGTCTGTTCTGTGGGATACATAAAAGAAGCGTAAAATAGTGTCCCTGTCCTGGAAAAGATTATTATCTAGTTGTTAGTTTTAATTATGGAAAGAAACAATAGTGCCTAGAAAGAGCCATGTGTGGCCGGGCGCGGTGGCTCACACCTGTAATCCTAGCACTTTGGAAGGCCGAGGTGGGCAGATTGCCTGAGTGCAAGAGTTCGAGACCGGCCTGGGCAACACGGTGAAACCCTGTCTCTATTAAAATTCAAAAAATTAGTTGAGTATGGTGGCATGCGCCTGTAGTCCCAGCTACTCGGGACGCTGAGGCAGGAGAATTGCTTGAACCCAGGAGGCAGAGGTTGCAGTGAGCCGAGATGGTACCACTGCGCTCCAGCCTGATGACAGAGCAAGACTCTGTCTCTAAAAAAAAAAAGAAGAAGAAGAAGAAAGAAAGGGCCATGTATTACTCTGTGGGAAAATGTCTCACTGGGAGTTGCGGGGGGAGATACAAGAAGTCAGAGAAAGAAGAGGTCAGCATGGGCTGAAACATGGAGAAACACTAAATGGAAGTCATGGGAATTATGATGGATCTTGAAGAGATCCATTCCACACATGGAGTGATTGAAACGTGATAGAAATGAACATGGTCTGTCTAAGGAATTAGCAGCTCTGCCAGAGCTGGGCTTGTGCTGGTGAGGAAGGGAGGATCACACCACGCTGGAAGGGACAGCATTTTGCAAAATGCACTCTGAGAAAAGGTAGTTTAGCAGAATAATAAAGTGTTACACACACATACTGGGCATAGGTGGAGATGGGTTTATTTCTTGGTCAAATGATTGTGAGATGTTGGCCCAATCACAGTAAAACACATGTCCTTCTTGCAGGACTTCTCAAAGACTTTAAAATGCTAATACATTTAATAGAAATGTAACTAACTGTAGTGTTAAATTATAAAACATCTAATTGTGCCCTAATTGTCATAAGTTCCATTCAGCAATAAACATGTACATGGTTATATGCTTCTCCCTTTCTCCGAAAGGAGCTTGCAGTGAGGGAGGAAGGGTGAGACAGAATAGAGAGACAAAATGTAATGGAGTGCAGAAGTGACTGTTTGTATATGCAGAGTGAAGTCCTCCATGGATTTGGTGACAGGAACTGGGAAGGGCTGAATTATGCTGCATTTAAAGATGCAAGGACTTTGGGAGAAAGGGGGGTTGGAGGATTGCCTCCTGAGAATGAGGAGATGGTAGGGGTGTGAGGTGGTGAATAAGCAGCATAGTACAGTTTTAAGAACAGGAACATCTAAAATTTGCTCTTAAGTTGTTTGTGTTAAGATGACATATAAAATTCATCTCCCCCAAAGCTTGAGTAAAATCTGTGATATGGCCAGGCACGGTGGCTCACACCTGTAATCCCAGCACTTTGGGAGGCCAAGGTGGGCAGATCGCGAGGTCAAGAGATGGAGATCATCTTGGCCAACATGGTAAAACCCCATCTCTACTAAAAATACAAAAATTAGCTGGCTGTGGTGGTGGATGCCTGTAATCCCAGCTACTCAGGAGGCTGAGGCAGGAGAATCACTTGAATCTGGAAGGTGGAGGTTGCAGTGAGCCAAAATCGCACCACTGCACTCCAGCCTGGGGACAGAGCAAGACTCCGTCTCAAAAACAAAAACAAAAAATCTGTGATACACAAAGGCCTTATGTACCAGTTAGCTCATAGCTCATGTATCAGTCACCTGCTAGGTCAGCTGGGGCCTGGCTGGTTTAAGATGGCTTCAATTGGGATGGCGCATCTCTGTATTGTACGGTCTTTCATTCTCCAGCTGACTAAACCAGGCTTGTTCATTCACATGGTTTTGGCAAGACTCCAAAAGAGAGAGCAGAAGTACTGAAGGCCTCTGAATTCCTAAGCTTGAACTGTCACACTGTATCCTTCCTGCCTTCTGTTGGCCAAAGCAAGTCACAAGTGTAGCCCAGATCCAGAAGGTGAGGAAATTGTCTCCACATTTGATGCAAATAGCCGCAACATCACTTTGCAAACAGGGGTAGACACAGGGAGGGAGGGAAATGGTTGTGGCCATTTGTGCACTGTACCATATCTTAACATGGGTAATTTTCTCAAGGAATCCTAGTAAAAGACTTTGTTGAATGCTGTGAAGAATAAGAACAGGATGTTCAGAAAGCTGAACCAACTCAGGAGAATGAGAATCTCTGAGCCAAGAGTGACTGTAAGAATATAAATCCCCTGTGAGGTCACCAAAGACTTGGAGCAGGCATTAAACTCTCCAGAAGTAATGGAAGATGGTGCTGAGCCAGTATTACCTGCTGCTTCAGGGACACTCCAACACTAACTGAGAGGCGGGTATTATGAATCTTCAAAAAGTTACTATGGGATATGTTGTGCCCCTAGTTTATCTGACCAGGGAAATTCTTCCTTCTCATTCCTTCCTTACCTTAACTTCCCCCCTTCTCTCATCTCCTTTTCTGTTCTCTCCTCTCCTCCCTTTCCCCTTCTCCCAATTCTGTTTCCCTTTCTCCTCTTCTCATAGGACTAAGAAGTAGAAATAGGATAGGAAAGGGCTTGCTATATAAGGATGAATATTTGACCCAAGTTTTTAAGCAGTGGCCTGTATTTGAAAGATTTGGGGCATAGAGAATATGATTGAATTGGAAGAATTCATCATCTGACAGCATTATGTTGAATGATTCAGAAGGAAGCCTCATTTTTGAGAATCAGGGCAGATACAAAACAAATATATACCTGTTTTCTGGTACCCAAGCACCCAAGACATTCAACCAATGTTTATTGAGTGAATGCTTTGGGAACATTCATGTGGACAAAAGTTTTTAAAAGTTTTATTTATGTATTTTTAATTGACATGTAATTATCGTACATACATATGGGCTACATGGCAATGTTTCGATACATATAATTAGATTGGGGGTAATTAGCATATCCATCATCTCAAACATTTATTATTTACTTGTATTGGAAACATTCAGTATCCTGTCTGCTAGCTATTTGAAAATAGATAATGTATTATTGTTAACAATAGCCATCCTACAGAGCCATAGAACATTAGAATTTATTCTTCCTATCTAGCTGTAATTTCGTGTCTCTTTTTTGTTTTTTGTTTTGTTTTGTTTTGAGACAGAGTTTCACTCTTTGTTGCCCAGGCTGGAGTGCAATGGCGTGATCTTGGCTCACTGCAACCTCTGCCTCCCGGGTTCAAGCAATTCTCCTACCTCAGCCTCCTGAGTAGCTGGGATTACAGGCATGCACCACCACGCCCGGCTAATTTTGTATTTTTAGTAGACACGGGGTTTCTCCATGTTGGTCAGGCTGGTCTCGTACTCCCAACCTCAGGTGATCTGCCCGGCTTGGCCTCCCAAAGTGCCGGGATTACAGGCATGAGTCACCGTGCCCGGCCAATTTTGTATCTTTTAACAAATCTCTATTTGCCTCTTTGCTCTACCCTTCCCAGCTTCTATTAACCTCTGTTCTACTCTTTATTTCTACAAGATTAACATTTTTAGCTTCTGAACATGAGTGAGAACATGTAGGTGTATAATTTTCTGTTCTTAGCTTATTTTACTTAATATCCTCTAGGTTCATTCATGTTCTGCAGATTACAGGATTTCATTTTTTATGGCTGAATAGTATTCCATTATGTATATATATACCACATTTTCTTTAACCATTCATCTGTCGTTGGATACTTGTGTTGATTCCCTATCTTGGCTATTGTGAATAGTATTGCAATAACGTGGGAGTGCAGGTATCCGTTGCATATACTGATTTCCTTTCCTTTGGATAAATACCCAGTAGTGGGATTGCTGGATCATATGGTAGTTCCATGTGTAGTTTTTTGAGAAATCTTCATACTGTTTTCCATAACGGCTGTACTAGTTTATGTTCCCACCAAAAGGTGTAAGAGTTCCTTTTCTCCGCATTCTTGCCAGCATTTGTTATTTTTTGTCCTTTTGATAATAGCTATCCTAACTGGGGTGACAGGATACTTTACGGTGGTTTTAATTTGTTTCCCTGGTGAATAGTGATGTTGAGCATTTTTTCATATATTTGTTGCTCATTTGTATTTCTTATTTTGAGAAATGTCTCTCAGTTCATTTGCTTAGTTTTTAGCTGGAATTTTTTTTTATTTTTTATTATTTTTTTTTTGCTATTGACTTGAATTTCTTGTATGTTCTGGATACTAATCCTTTGTTGAATAAATAGTGTGCAAATATTTTCTTTTTTTAATTATACTTTAAGTTCTAGGGTACATGTGCACAACGTACAGGTTTGTTACATAAGTATACATTGTGCCATGTTGGTTTGCTGCACCCATTAGCTTGTCATTTACATTAGGTATTTCTCCTAATGCTATCCCTCCCCCATCCCACCTCACGAAAGGCCCCAGTGTGTGATGTTACCCGCCCTGTGTCCTTGTGTTCTAGTTGTTCAGTTCCCACCTGAGTAAGAACATGTGGTGTTTGGTTTTCTGTCCTTGTGATAGTTTGCTCAGAATGGTGGTTTCCAGCTTCATCCATGTCGCTACAAAGGACATGAACTCATCATTTTTATGGCTGCATAGTATTCCATGGTGTATATGTGGCACATTTTCTTAATCCAGTCTATCACTGATGGACATTTGGGTTGGTTCCAAGTCTTTGCTATTGTGAATAGTGCCACAATATACATACATGTACATGTGTCTTTATAGTAGCATGATTTATAATCCTTTAGGTATATACCCAGTAATAGGATTGCTGGGTCAAATGATATTTCTAGTTCTAGATCCTTGAGGAATCGCCACACTGTCTTCCACAATGGTTGAACTAGTTTACACTCCCACCAACAGTGTGAAGGTGTTCCTATTTCTCCACATCCTCTCCAGCACCTGTTGTTTCCTGACTTTTTAATGATCCCCATTCTAACTGGTGTGAGATGGTATCTCATTGTGGTTTTGATTTGCATTTCTCTGATGACCAGTGATGATGAGCATTTTTTCATGTGTCTGTTGGCTGCATAAATGTCTTCTTTTGAAAAGCATCTGTTCATATCCTTTCCCCACTTTTTGATGGGGTTGTTTGATTTTTTCTTGTAAATTTGTCTAAGTTCTCTGTAGATTCTGGATATTAGCCCTTTGTCAGATGGGTAGATTGCAAAAATTTTCTCCTATTCTGTAGGTTGCCTGTTCACTCTGATGGTAGTTTCTTTTGCTGTGCAGAAGCTCTTTAGTTTAATTAGATCCCATTTGTCAATTTTGGCTTTTGTTGCCATTGCTTTTGGTGTTTTAGTCATGAAGTCCTTGCCCATGCCTATGTCCTGAATGGTATTGCCTAGGTCCTGAATGGTATTGCCTAGGTTTTCTTCTAGGGTTTTTATGGTTTTAGGTCTAACATTTAAGCCTTACTCCATCTTGAATTAATTTTTGTATAAGGTGTAAGGAAGGGATCCAGTTTCAGCTTTCTACATGTGGCTAGCCAGTTTTCCCAGCACCATTTATTAAACAGGGAATCCTTTCCCCATTTCTTGTTTTTGTCAGGTTTGTCAAAGATCAGATGGTTGTAGATGTGTGGTGTTATTTCTGAGGCCTCTTTTCTGTTCTATTGGTCTGTATCTCTGTTTTGGTACCAGTACCATGCTGTTTTGGTTACTGTAGCATTTTAGTATAGTTTGAAGTCAGGTAGCATGATGCCTCCAGCTTTTATCTTTTTGCTTAGGATTGTCTTGGCAATGCGGGCTCATTTTTGGTTCCATATGAAATTTAAAGTAGTTTTTTTCCAATTCTGGGAAGAAAGTCATTGGTAGCTTGATGGGGATGGCATTGAATCTATAAATTACCTTGGGCAGTATGGCCATTTTCACAATATTGATTCTTCCTATCCATGAGCATGGAATGTTCTTCCATTTGTTTGTGTCCTCTTTTATTTCATTGAGCAGCTCCAGTTTGCAGCTCCCAGTGTGATCAACACAGAAGACAGGTGATTTCCGCATTTCCAACTGAGGTACCTGGTTCATCTTATTGGGACTGGTCAGAAAGTGGGTGCAGCCCATGGAGGGTGAGCCAAAGCAGGGCAGGGCATTGCTCCTAGGTCACCCTCTAACCCATCACTCTGTTTTGTGTTCTTCTCGTAAGCTAGCATTATCTGAATTTGTCTTCTAGATTCATTGGTTTACATGTCAGTTCATTCCCACTCAAATGTCAACTCCAGTGAAGTCAGGATTTGTATCTGTCCTATTAGCTTGCTGCCGTGAGCCTAAAACCGTACATTTTTTTAACTGAATGGACAACTTAGCAATGTGGGTGCTAGTTTTCTCCAAATCATGGAGGCATGCTTGTGCTAAGTAATTTATACAAGGTTTGATCTCAGAAAAGTCACTTAACCCCAAAATGAACTCAGGATTGCCCAAGTCCAAATTCCATGCCTTAACACCCATACTATCTTTTACAAGGTTATAATACTTCTGTTACATATAAAAAATCACTACCTCACTGTCCTTTAGATAAATGGGTATAAAAGGAAGTTATTTCACTCCTATATTCTATCCTGGGTCTGAAGAGAAGAGAATCTAAATATTATAGATTGTCACAGAACTTTTATTTTATAAAGGAGAATCTGCCAAGGACAGAACATGCACTAATATTTGGTCCCCTGCCATGCGTGAGGCATGTTGTAAGTGTTATAATTATTAACACCTATTTGTTACGAACACCACTGCACAGAAGAAATGGAGATTAGGAGAGTTAAAAAATATGCTTGAATTTGCCCGACTTGGTAATAGAATATGAATATTGTGCTATATGAATCCAAAGTCTATGAATTTTCCATGACACCACTAGCTTATTGAGTGGTAGCTGTTCTTAAGAGTAAAACATGAGGATTTTTACTGTTAACACCACCTACGTTTCTTCTTTTTCACTGATATTTGAATATTCCCAGAATATAATATGATATTTTTTATCAGAAACCTGACTTCCCTCTTGTTCAGCAACAACAGAATGTTATGCCAAATTAAATAAAGCCGCATTACCTAAGACAGGCCTACCAGAAACAAGCCAAAAGGCTGGACAGTGCTCAGCCATGGATGCAATTTTGAATCTCCCAAGCAATTAAAGAATTTATTTTTCCCTGGGGTGATATAAAACATGAGCTGTCTTCTCCTTTATAAAATAGATCAAGACAGATATGTGTGGAAATTCTGCTCAGAACTCAATAATTGGTCCCAAATCAGTCAAGTTACTTTTAAGTAAAGCCCAGATTTGACGCTCCTCCTACTTTCATGGAATATAGAACAAGAAACTGCACACATGTGTCAAATGACCAGCCTAGGACTCTCAAAAACCTGAAATCAACATGGAAGAAAATTCTGCTAGAGGAAATGTCCATTTTACTGATTCCTCCAATCCTCAATTAAGGTTTCTTTGAATCTGGAGATAATTGCGTGCAATTGGCCTTAGCAACACTCCAGCTCCCCATGGAACCAGGCCTCACAGACAGTGGCAAAGTGAAAATTATTCAATGCCCTCCCTGGAAACGTTATCATTAGAAACAGGGTCGTAGTAAAGGAATCTGCTTGCAGTTGACAGCATCTCTCCCTGTCAGCAACATCTCATTTCCTGATGAAGCATTTATTTTCCCATCCTGATGAGAACAAAGCTCTTATTTCATCGACAATGTCTGTCTTTTGGTGAACTTCTCGCCCTGAACTTCAACTCTTTTGAAATTGTTTTCCTTCTTCCTCAGATTTCCAAAAGAAACTGCTTCCCTGCAAGTGCTCTCCTGGCAGCCTTTTTCTCTTACTTTAGAAGACACATTTAGACACTCTGTTCCAGCGAGAAGTTCAACCAGGACAATCAGCAGCACACACAACTCAGATCTGAAGGTGTGGAGGGATGATGAAACACGACGTTGTTGTTGGCTGCTGCCCTGCCAGAGCCAGCTGTTCCTTCCATGCAATCTACATCTATGCTGATAGCCATCTATGCAGAGAGCTCTCCTGAGCACTCTGCCCACAGCTGAGCTTCCAGGGTCTGTGGCACGTGCAGCACCCATAGCTTCTGTTAATGCAGGATTCCTGCAACAACAAAAAGGTACCACATGCTCTCACCTTTCAGTACAAGACTCTTCTTTCTGAGATTTCTAAACAAACAAAAAGTGCTGCAGCTAGGCTCTTAAAGAAATCTTGCCTAGTAGAAAATCTCAGGGTTTTTGTATTTGGAGAATGGATACTACTTTGCTGGTGCATCTATAAAATCATTCTTGTCTTGGCTTTTCTCTTAAAGCATGGCATCATCTTAATCATGACTGAAGAGAAAATCCCATAGTACTTAGCCATGTTTCTTAATCATGCTTTTCTGGTTAAAAACTGAAATCTGTCCTCTACCTCTGGGAGGTTAAACTCTATCCCAGCCTTCAAACTACTGGAAAAGAACCCGGATCCTTTCTTCGTGAACAAACAATCCATTTGCATCAATCACACCCCTCCCTCTAGCCTTTAACTCAAATGTACCCTCTTTCTCTCCTTCCTTAGGTGTCAGCATTTTCTTGACTCATTCTCTCAAACATTGGCTCTACTGAGAGGCCAGCTAAAACTGCAGATTGACTCAGGCATTCTGACCTTTGTCTCCAGGCAAACTACAGTTTCTGTTTTCTTCTGTAGTTTTCTGAATTTAGAATCTAAAGTATGTTGGTGGACTGGATTATCCAGATGTCAGAATACTGGACAGTTGTTAAAAAAGAATGTGTTTGGTCGATAATAGTTATGCCCATGTAGAATGATGCCTGACATATATTAGTTAAAAAAATAAAAATAAGTCATAGAATAGTTCGTATATTTTATCTGGTTTGTGTTTAAAATATACATTTTAAATTATAAAAATATTACATATTGGTCAGGTGTTGTGGCTCACATCTGTTATCCCAGCACTTCAGGAGGTGGAGGCAGGTGGATCATCTGAGGTCATGAGTTGGAGACCAGCCTTGCCAACATAGCAAGACCCGTCTCTACTAAAAAATACAAAAAAAAATAGCTAGATGTAGTGGTGCACACTTATAGTTCCAGCTACTCAGGAAGCTGAGGCACGAGAATCGCTTGAACCTGGGAGGTGGAGGTTGCAGTGAGCTGCAAAACAGTACATATTTATATGAAAAAAAAATTTAGAAATCACACTTCTTGGAAGGCCATGAATAAGAAAAAAAAACTACTTTTCACTTTATACTCTTTTGGTTTCTTTGCATTTGTACCATAAGCATATGGTATTTTTTTGTTTGTTTTATTTTACTTTATACAAGTACAGAACGTGCAGGTTTGTTACATAGGTACACGTGTGCCACAGTGGTTTGCTGCACCTATCAACCCGTTATCTAGGTTTTAAGCCCCACATGCATTAGTTATTTGTCCTAATGCTCTCCCTCCCCTTGTTCCCCACCGCCTGACAGGCCCCAATGTGTGTTGTTCCCCTCCATGTGTCCATGTGTTCGCATTGTTCAACTCTCACTTATGAGTGAGAAGAGAGCATACACTATTTTTTAAAGAATTAGCATAAATAATATTAATAATAATAAATTGGTAGGAGGCAAATCAGATATTATGGTGAGGTTAGCTATAAAATAAAGGAATTTTAACTTTGTTTTTTCCTGAGTCAGTAGTTGCTTCTGCTCTCCAATTAGCTCTTTGTTGAAAAATGCTGACATATATGTCTCCTTGGTCTATCGTGCATTTACATCAACCACAAGCTTCTTTTCCTCTTCAAATTTCAGAATGCAGCATTCATTCTGCACTGAAGGTGCTGCCACATCCCCTTCTTTCTGGCAGGTTCATGCAAAAGTCAATGTCTTATCAACACCTTGCTGCAGAACCATGAGCTATTCAGCGGTGAAAAAGCAGAGGCCTTTTCTTCTTCTTGCCTTTCCTAAAGTGTCAGGAAGAGTGTTCAGGGGGAGCAAGACTGTCTGAAGCCAGGCCCCCCAGAGGGTCTCAGCCTTCCGGGAGAAGCTGAGCTGGAGGACTGATTGCAGGAGAGTAAAAGTGGGAACTCTAGACTGGTGTAAGCAAGCAGAGTAGGTTATCCAGAGGCACTGGGGGACCATGGGCAACTTGGTCAGCGATTGAAATACGGTGAGTGGTGCCAGAAAGTCAGGATCAATGGAGGATTTGCAGTAGACGCTATAATTTGGCTGTGGGATGCAGAGGCAGAAAGATAGGGGTCTAGGTCCAGAGGAGGTACCAGCTTAACTGGTTATCCAGACAATTTGGGGGTGAGGGCTCAGTTATCAGAAGTAGCGCACAAGCTTAGGAAGACACTAACAATAGGGCTGATTTGTGCCGAGCTGCCTCATGGACCAGACTCAGGCACCTTTTAATCCCTCCTAGCAAGGAAGGATGGGTCCCACTGCCTGAGGTCAGACGAAATTTGGAAGGCCAGTGAATCAATACATTATATCAGCCAGTGTGGGGGATGAGGACCATTTCAGGTCATTTAGCACTAGACACAAGTGGGGCCAAGGCCAGCCTGATTCTGACATCAATTACAAAGTTTAGAAAAATATAAAATCTGCCTTTTTTCCCTTCCTTTGGCACATTCATTGGACATCAGATACTGGAATCCATTGCATGTCTTGAAAGCCTTGAGCTGTGAAGCATAACAAAGAAACAAACAAGATACAAGTAACTGAACAAACAAAAACCCTGGAACAACACTCTGCAATCTTTGATAGGAAACGTGCTGACTTCTGTGGAGCCTGCAATGAGGCCCATCCACAGCCTTTAACCCTGGTTGCAATTTGCGCTTTATGTCCAGATTAGAGGAACACACCCAATTTCTTTAAATCACATTTAATTTGTTTCTTGGAAATTCTAACGTGTTCCAAGAGACCAACTTCCCTGTTGCCAAATCTCCTCTTGGCCTGATCTTTCTCATCTCAGGTTTTGAGGTATTGTCCATTTGCATCTCACACAATGTTACTCACTTCTTAGTCAGATGGCCTGGATAAGTTGCAATAGTTTCCTCTTCCAGGACTGAAACTGCTACAGCAGGCTAATTGTTGGAAAGGGTGAAAGTGTGGGATGTGGGCAAGAGGTAGTTAGACAATTACATTTTTTCCTTTAACTGTTGAGCTATAGACAATCCAACAGGGTCCTGTTAGAACAGTTACATTCTGGGAACTCACCAAATAGAGTTCAACTCTTAGTAATATTTATTTCACTAATACAAATTGCAGGTGGAGAAACACAAAAAAACAACTTTGGGCAAATTTAACGAGCCACTGTATTTGTAAATTGAACACCCAGTGAATCACCATACCTCCAAATCTAGCCCATTTTGAAATTTAAAATTTTGAAATAAAACTGCATTCTTTTAGCAAGCGTTCCAAGTCCTAAAAGGCAATCTGTGTTTCTGTTCAAAATCTGGCTAAATATATTTAGCTTTCTCATTCTTAAGGCATGGTTGCTTCAAATACTACTCTGATATTACCCCCAGAAATTTCTCCTGATATGTTTTCAAGGCGATAGACCTTCAAGAAAAATGCCTAGGATGTTTCTCTTAATCCTAGTCTTGTAAGTCATCATGGTTGATAAACAGATGATGGATCCCTGTTCTATTTCATCAGCTGCTGCTTTACTCCTTCTGGCTGTTATCTAGTGAGTCATCTTCTTGCAGCAATTCATTTAAAAATGTTTAACCTGCATATGCAAGCATGGTACTTGCTGCAGTGAAGACCAAGTAGTAAAAGACAAGAGTATTTTGTACAAGGTGACCACAACAAATATTTATTGAATCAACAATTGTATTGAATAATTATTTCACTGAGGGGACAAAATGAGAATAATCAGCTCTATTTGGCTGAATAAAGGAAGTTTTTAAAGACAATAAGACATTTGAAAATCTTAAAGGATGTGTGTGTTTCACAGACCTACTGGAAAGGGGCTATGGACTGAATGTTTTTGTCCCTCCAAATTCATACATTGAAGCCCTAACTCCCAATATAATGGCATTTAAAGGTGGAGACCTTTGGGAAGTGATCAGGTTTAGGTGAGGTCATGAGGGTGAGGCTCCTATGATGGGATCAGCGTCCTTATAAGAAGAGGTAGAAAAATAACAGTGTGCGCTCTCTCGCTTTCTCTCTCTCTCTCTTTCTCTCTCTTTCTCTCTCTCTCTCATTCTCTCTCTCTCTCCCCCCTTATCTCTCTCATCTCGCTCTCTTCCTCTTTTCTCTCTCTCCCTCTTTTCTCTCTCCCTCTCTCTCCTCTCTCTCTCCTGTCTGTCTCATCTCTCTCCTTCTCTTCTCTCTCTCCATATTTTTTCTCTCTCCATCTTTTTTCTCTCTCTCCCTCTTTTCTCTCTTTTTTCTCTCTCTCTCCATCTCCCATCCCTCTCCTCTCTCTCTCACCTCTCTCATCTCTCTCTCCCTCTCTCTCTTTTCTTTCCCTCTCCCTCTTCTCTCTCTCACTCTCCCCTCTTTCCTTCTCATCTCTCTCCCTTTCTTCTCTCTCTCCCTGTCTTCTTTCTCATCTCAATCCTTCCCTCATCTTTCTCTCTCCCTTCTCTCTCTTTCCCTCTCTCTCACTATTTCTCTCCCTCCCTCTTCTCTCTCCCTCCCTCTTTTCTCTCTCTTCCTCCCTTTTCTCTCTCTTCCTCCCGTTTCTCTTTCTCTCTTTCTCTCTCTCTCTCTCCCCCCTTCCCTCCCTCCACTATGTGCCCACACAACAAGAAGGCAGTCATCTGCACACTAGGAAGAGAGCCCTCACCAGGAACCAAATCTGCAAGAACCTTTGTCTTGGACTTCCCAGCCTCCAGAACTATGAGAAATTAATTTTTGTTGTTTAAGCCATCTAGTCTATATATGGTATTTTGTTTTGGTAGCCTGAGCAGACTAAGACAAAAGGTAAGAGGGAAGAATGGCATTCTCAACAGATGGAAGAGCTCAGCATCACAACGTATGGAGATGTGCAATGCCATGGCCACACTGGGCAACTAAAGTCACTCATGCCACTGCATCATAGAGGAGGTGGCAATGGCAAGGGCTGTACCTCAACATTTGACAGGCACCATTCCACAGGAAGCACAACCTTCTGTCTCTCCCAGCCACAGTGAATTGTGAACACTTATGGGTGTATTATTCTATCCTTCAGATATTTTAAAGCGATTAATAAAAATAACAACATTGCTGTACACTTTTAAAGCAGTTTCCTACCCATAGCCCATCTGATTTGTTGCTGCAACTGTGTGTGGTAAATGGAATATCCCTGTCTTCACAAAAGAGGGAACTGAAGATCTGAGTGGCTTACAGGAGGAAGCCTTAATCACTCCCTCCTGGCTCCTTTCAATGCCATTTGTGAGAAATTCTGCTACGTGCTCCCCACGTGCTTCAGAATTCTTCCTTCATTAAAGAAAAGATTCTGCCTCACCTCTAGAAAAGAACCATTTCTTATGCTTCTTTTTATTTCCAGTACTGAATTCTGTGACAGGCACATAAAAAGATACATCATAATTGAGAAGAGATAGCTGAGTCTCTTCATTCCAAATCCCATATGTTTGCCCCCAGTTCTCCCAATGATAGGTAATATCATTCCCTAAATAAAGGCTCCTTTCTTGACGGCTTCCTTGTTCTCTGCACATGCTTGTGCCTATGTACCTCTTCTAAACACCATTTTCTATCACCAGTTCATTAATTTCCTAATGCTTAGCACAGCAAGGAACTAGTAAGTACTTACTATAAAATTAAATTTACTTTTTATTATTTTATGATTAAGAGATAGTAGCCCAAGCCTAAAACAGTTGTACTGTACAGATTTCAGATGTGTTGCCTGTGTGCTGTGTGTCAACACCACTTGCAGAAGGTCTTTGGGATCCTAGATACCAAGACAAGGTGATATTCACAAGCTGCCATGCCCACACCTGGGAGAAGCAAGAGGGTTAAACTCTCCTGGTCCTGAAATTCTTCATGCATTCCAGTTCTGTATCAGTGCTTAAATGTCACTTGATACTTTATTTTCTGTCCTCTTTCAATGCTCTAGATATTACTAGTACCTCTCACTCTACATAATAGGAACATTTCTGAAAATGTATATACAAACCAAGTCTAAAATATTTCATGCTGTAGGAAAGAGCACTTGGTTTTAAACAACGATCCAAAAGATGCAAGATAAAAATTGTTTAATTTTTTATGAATTACCAAATATGAAAGTAAACATGGTCTTTAAATACTAAACATTCAATATTCAATATTAAATTAATTAAAATAAATTGAATATTAAATTAAAAATATTAAAACAAAAAAGAAAAAATCCAGCAGTTTTTTACCTTGCATCTTTTGGATAAAAAGTAGTTCTGGAGGAAAATATCCTAGGGTAAAACGTCTGTTTTCCTGGGGTAAGAGTCTAGAAATTTTCCAAGAGGTTATTTCTTCCTACTCAGGCTGCAAAGAGAAGATTAAAAAGAAAAACCCAACCACACATCTTTAGCAAGCTTAAATTTAACATGTAGATGACCAAGTGTGTAGAAAAATAATTTATTTTTTTAACTGATTTCATCTTCCTAGTGGCAGAAAAAAAATTCCGACTTGCCACTTAAAGGCTACTCTCTTCATTTAAAACAGTCTCTTTTCATTTAGCTCTGATTTAGTTTTTTTTTTTTTTTTTTTTTTTTTTTTTTTTTTTGAGACGGAGTCTCGCTCTGTCACCCAGGCTGGAGTGCAGTGGCGGGATCTCGGCTCACTGCAAGCTCCGCCTCCCGGGTTCACTCCATTCTCCTGCCTCAGCCTCCCAAGTAGCTGGGACTACAGGCGCCCGCCACTACGCCCGGCTAATTTTTTTGTATTTTTAGTAGAGACGGGGTTTCACCGTTTTAGCCGGGATGGTCTCGATCTCCTGACCTCGTGATCCGCCCACCTCGGCCTCCCAAAGTGCTGGGATTACAGGCGTGAGCCACCGCGCCCGGCCCCTGATTTAGTTTTATATCTACACAATTTGAATTTCGGACTCTTTATAGCCACTTAATTAATGTTCACAAGGTGGGAGCCAATTGTAATTATGCATAAAGGTTACAAATAACACAGAGAACATTTTGAGTTACTCTGTGCAAAAGTGGCTCTCCCTGGCACTAGGTCTCTCCCATGCCTGGATCGAGTTGATTGAAAGTAACTTCCAAGTCCTTTCCACGGCTCTGGGCTCTGGATTCAGGGCTTTCTAAGTTCAACCCTTTCTGACTTATAAATCATACTAAGGGTGCAACCTTAGGCAAATCATTTTAATACTCAGCCTCCTCACTTGTAAAACAGGCAACTGCTTCATGGGAATTACCAGCGAGAATTGAATTAGATAACAGCCGCAAGGAGCTTTGATGTTGCTGCCTCTCAAACTTATCTATGATGAAAGTCTAGTTTTGGGGGATTTAAAAATTCCTGAATAGCTACATACAGGTATTTTTGTAGAATGTAGTAAAATAAATTATTAGAAATTAAATAACAAAAAGGTAAATGAATATACAACAGAAGCCCAAATTACTATAAAAGTAATCACTTTAATTTCTGTGAGTATCTCATTGTCACCAGTAATAGTTTGTGTGCTCTGGTCTGCAGGGCACTTTAGTAACACTACTGTACACAAGATCTAGCACAAACACACAGTCCATAAATGTTAGCTATCATTAGCTATCATTGTATTTACTGAATCTCAGTAGAAAGATGAGAGAGAGGGTCAGGTAGTATGCACATTAACTCAACCCCAGTGCCATCAGTTCATAAATAGTAAGTATTCCAATGCAATAGACACAAAAATTTCCAAACCCAGACCACATGCATAATCATTATTCACTTATCTTAAAAAATAAGATGCTTTAGGAATAATTTTATTTTATAAATGAGAAAACTGCAACCAAGAACTGTTAAAGGACTTGCCAAAATTCATAAAACTGGTTGCAAACCTGGCTGCACATTAAATCACCTGAGAGTGCTTTTAAAACTACTGCTGCCAAGGTGCCACACTAAACTAATTGAATCAGAGTCTCCAGTGCTGGGACCTGCACATGGAGTATTTTTAAAGCTGCCCGTGTGATTCTAAAATGCAAAGCTTGGTTAGGATTTTCTGATAGAACCTCTCATTGGATGAAACCAGACGCTTGTCTCCTAACCTACTATCCACAACATCACATCACATCACATCACATCACATCACATCACATCACATCACAGTTACAGTGGAGGCTATGTTATAAGGGCAACATTTGTCTTGGAAGAATGTAGATGAATTAATTTTGTGAAAATCAAAATTTAAGATAAAGATAGATCTAGATTAAGCAGAAGACTAATGAACCTAACCCATGATCTGTACAAAGGTACCTTCCTCAGTTTCTCTAAATGTCCCCATGGGCGAGTGCTGAACCCCAGGAGGAACCCTTGAGAAGCTGGAATGGAAGGGTGATAGCCAGAATGGAAGGGTGCAGAGGGTGCACTCTGCATAACCTTTTAGATTGAGCTTGGAATTCAAGGCACAATATTTTTTAAATGAAATATCCTATTTCATCCCTATTTCCAGAATTGTAATCAGAACTTGGGCTTTTACGATGTATTATTTTTCTCATTTGGTTTCCCTTGGAAGAGAATGGAAACTCTGAGTCTTGGCCACTCTTCCGTCGCATTCTGATTTCCCCATTTAGTGGGCCAGAGTGCTTCGTGTACTTTCCTTAATATCAATGGGATTGAAGTGTATTCTGTGGAAAATGTACAATGAAGATTTATAGACTTCAAAAACATCATAAAAAGTAAGCGAAATGTTGAATTTTTGTTAAAGGTAGGTGTGGTACATTTGATGTGCTTGCCAATGTTTGGGGAAAAAGCATTTAAACTTTCCAAGGCTTCCTTGATTTTGTTTGTATTCAAAATATTCGTTCCTAGACCTCCCCTGTGCAGAAGTCACTCTGAGCTGGTTGGGGAGGTCATAGACACACAAGAAGGAGTGGGACAAATTTGATCACATCATAAGCAAAACTGTGTAACCTACTAGAGCAGGAGATTATGAGGAAGAAATATTCTCTGAAAAATTCTGCTTATTTATCGTTTAGCCTGGCTACCTCATATTTCTCGTTCAGTCTCACCTTAACTCCCACTGTCTAGGCCAGTTTGGATCTCTGTGTAATGTTAGATGTTTCTTTAAAAAAAAAAAACTATTGATTATTACAACTTTATTTGCTTGATGTATCTTTCCTTCTGGAGTGTAAGCTCCATGTCTACCTCATTCTATTGCTAGCACCACAGTACCTAACACTGTGCCTGGTATATAGCACTGTTCAGTTTGTTGAATGAATGAATATGCCTCTTACTGGCACAGCCACCCACACACACATTGTTTTAGTGAATATGAATATTGGCCAAAAGAGTAGTGGGAAACATACTCATTTTAAAGCTTTTGTGAAGTCTTTAAGTTCTGCTTTATAAAACCCACAAAGGACTCAAACTTTCAGCCATCATTACGAAATCAAAAACCACTTTTTAAGATGGTTGTAGATGGACTGAAACCTTAAACTTGGAATCACTTGGGCTCAAATATTGAGTCTGCCACTTGATAGCAATTTACCTAATTGCAAAAAGCCTCAGTTTTCACATACATAAAATGTCACACAGTAATAACAATAATGAATAACATACCACACAGCATGGTTGTAAGGATGGAATAAGATTATATATAATTTAAAAGCTAGTAGTTTCTGGTACAGGGTAGGTCCTCAGTCAATGCTTGCAGAATTTGAAAGAAAAAAAAAAGCAATGACAGTTTTGCATAGAAGGTTTCCAGGTCAAACGGTATTTCCAGGTGAAGAAGGCTCAGATAGTTGTTCATGGTGACTCTGCTCCCTGGGACCCCTGAGCCACAGCTCCTGCTGCAGTAACTTTTGTTCTACCTGTGGTTTCTGGAGTCACATCAGAGGTTTGGGATAATTTGAATTAATATTCCCTCTATAATGTCAGATAATCTGAAACATCTATTGCCCCTATTTTTGCCTTGATTACTTTAAAAAATCAGACTGAAAATTATTTTAGAAACTACAGTGTAAAATAATATATTGGTATACTATTTATAAAATTAGTTGTAGAAAGTTTACCTAATATCAAACTCAGATACTCACAAACTTGGTTTCACTTTGATCTCCCTAATTTATTTTGAAGAGCACTTTGTACCTACTTTTTTATGTAAGTCTTGCCTTAATCCAAAATCAACTATTTTTTGAGCTGTTAACAACTTATAAAGTTTATGACTTTAAGGAAATTACTTAACTTCTTTATGCCTTAGTTTTCTTAACTATTATGTGGGGATAATAATAATACTTAATCATATAGGGTTGTCTGGAGCACCAAATAAGTTGATTTGCGTGAACCTCATTAAGTGTCTGGCAACTCATAAGAATTTAACAAATATTTGCTACTTTAATAGTACTGACTAGATGAGTCTCATGCACACACACACAAGAAACCATCTAAAAACACAATCAGTAATTACTGCTTATGGTGACTTTCTATGAAAATATTACTATTAGTTGATTGTGCTCAGAGTGCATATTTAACAGGTATTTTTAAATTTCTATGTAATTGAGGACCAGTATATACTGAGTCTTTTTAAAAATTTCATTAATGCACAGAAACATTCCGGAGTATACTGTAGACTAGAGTTTCTCCAATTGTAGTGTGCTAACCACCTATATTAAATACCTCTTGTGCTTTTAAACAAATTTTAAACAATCTTTAGACATGCTGAAATTTGTAAATAGTTTAAATAGATTGTATTTATTACTTTTGTATCATAATGACAAAATGACATGTTCACAAAAATGTCCTGATACCTTATGTAGTAGTTAAAATAGAAAAACACAAAATTAGCCTAGTTCACTGAAACTAAAACCAGTAAACAATTTTTTTTTTTTGAGACAGAGTTTTGCTCTGTCACCCAGGCTGGAGTGCAGTGGCACGAACTCTGCTCACTGCAACCTCCACTTCCTGGGTTCAAGCGATTCTCCTGCCTCAGCCTCCCAAGTAGCTGGGATAATAGGCGCCTGCCACTGTGCCCAGCTAATTTTTTGTATTTTTAGTAGAGACAGGGTTTCACCATCTTGCCCAGGCTGGTCTCGAACTCCTGAGCTCAGACGATCCACCCACCTTGGCCTCCCAAAGTGCTGGGATACAGGCATGAGCCACCGTGCTTGAGCCCAATAAACTGCTATGTGCCAGGCACTAACTAATTAATATTTTAAGACATATAAGCCTTTTTGCCCCCTGGGGAAGCTCACACTTATAGTCTAGTCTCAGAAGAGCTGAAATTCAGATAGTAATAATTTTTAAATCAAATCTAATGATTCCATTAGGTAGGAGTGAAATTTTATAATAAATTTTATAATAAAATTTTATAATTTCACTCAAAGCAGCAAAGAAAATTCTATCAATTAGCCAACAAATATGTATAATATTAATATGTTTGGCAGAAAGATCACATACTAGTATGTTGATAAACTTCAAGGCAAGAAGAAAAAAAAAATCTCTGATGTGGAACCAAGGTTAACAAATGCCATATGAGCCACTGGTGCAATATATCAGGGCTGTGACTTACAAAAGCTAAACACACAACTAGCAATTCTAGAGGAAGCTGTGCTCATCCCAGTGGATACACTTCATTTTCCCTGGAGATAGGGGTGTTCCTGGGGATCTGGGGATGGGGGTTGTAAAGTCTGTGTGCCTAAACATTATTCAAAACTTCCTACCATCTCTTATATATTAACCTTATAGCTAGCATCCAACAGTGAGTTGTGAG
Organism: Homo sapiens; assembly: GCF_000001405.40. Taxonomy (NCBI): domain Eukaryota; kingdom Metazoa; phylum Chordata; class Mammalia; order Primates; family Hominidae; genus Homo; species Homo sapiens. The sequence continues at coordinate 107,847,838 of NC_000008.11, forward strand.
AACTCAGCCCTGAAGGAAATACCTCTTTTACATGTTCATAAAACAAGTTCCTCTGGAACCTGGCAGATGCTGCTGGAGGCCATGAGTACCCTCGTTCCCCACCAACCGATCTCTCCCAAAGTTCAACAAAGCCCTGAGTCAGTCTATCAGAGGCCAAGAATAGTGTGCAAGAGGAGAAACAAAAGGGATCTATAGTTAAATAATAAAGAAACAATTTTCTATGCTAAGTTGTCCTAGACAACCATAAAATATAAACTGAGTGAAATACAAACACTTTTGTAACACAAATACTGGGCAGTTTTACTCATAGGGAAAAATCTATGATATTTTACTCTTCTTTCTACCCGTCATAAAAAGAGATTCCCTTCTTACATTAAAATATATTTGTTCTTAACTGAATTGGCTGGGTCAGTATAGGCATTTAGAGGGACAAGAAAGTGCATGAAAAACATGAGGCACACACCGAGCTTTCTTTAACTACAGAAATTTCACTATATTTGAGTTTTTTTAAAAAAAGGAGGCACATTTGCATTTGCATTTTTCACCCCTAATTGAAGAACCAGTTCCTAATGGAAGAACATGGAGCTGAAAAGGTGCCAATGAAATAGCTGGGTTTCAGAAGCCATGGACGGCTTTCTCAGTACAAACAGCACTTGTGGTTTCAAACAGGGAGTCTCTGTGGCTGTGTTAAGTGAACAGCAACTCAAACAAAACTCCATGTAGCTGGTTTGACAAGCAGGAAATGTGTAAACGACTTCAAAACCACCAAAGACTGTCAAGTAAGGGGACCGCCATGCTTCTATTTTGCTGAAGGTCCCCCTCTTCATTCTTTGCTTACCTGGTCAGTTTCTTCCATTCAGAATGTAGCCATCATTCATCCTAGGACCAACCTTAATTTGGACATTTTAGGCAAAACATAATAAATCACACTCATACATGCACAAACTATTAGCTAGCATCATCTCTAATTTGAGATATTGTTTTTCCTTTGAGCTATGGGCTCACTGAAAAGTCCTTCTAAACAGAAGAAAATTAAAGCAAGGAAGAGAAACAGGCAGGAAGGAATGAGGGAGGGAAGGAAGGAAAGGGAGGGAGGGAGGGAGGAAGGGGAAGGGGAGGGGCAAGGGAAGGGAAGGGGAAGGAAGGAAGGAAAGAAGGAAGGAGGAAAATGAGAAGGAGGGAAAAAGGAAAAAAAAGGAAAAATTGTGATCATCAGTGGGACAGTAAAGACAAATATTAGGTGTACCCTAAAGAATCCTTCTCTAAGTGCCTCTAGGGTACTCTTTGTATTAAAGGCAAACTAACTCAGCACAACAGATGACAGACAAAACCAAAACTCAGGTTCCCAAGTCCCAGCTTTGGGCTCTTCTTGCTCCCAGCCAACTGCCACTAGGCCATATAGATGAGGGAAAGTGTTTATTTATTGCTCTATTATGGCCTAAACCGGCATTATTTGGCAATTGCTCTCCAGAAAGTTTAATGTCAAAACTTCAATTTCATGAAACAACAGGTTTGGTCAAGGCCAAAATGCTTTGAGACTAACTTTTTATTTCCTCATGGTATTTCCATTGCTGCTGCTAGCCAAAACCCAAACTACATACCCAGATGAAAATAAACATAAATCCAAAAACCTCAGAAACGGCCTGAGCTTAGTGTGAAGACTGAGTGAATGATGGCTTAGGTTTGCTTGTATTTTTTCTGAAGTAGATCCTTCATTTTTATATGAACAAAATTATTGTACTGGTAAAAAATTAAATACACTCTTCCACCTCCAACAAGAGATATCCAGAAATTCAGCCTACTCCGTTAAATGTTGGGCAAATTCCAGTGATTGATGACATATTCCAGTTATTTCTTCTGTTATTTCTGTTATGGGGTCCAGCAAGGAATGGAGCTTTCTTTATAAAATAAAAGGAAACCTTGGGTCCCTAACTCTCAAAATCACTCATCCTTGGAGGAAAAAAAATGATAGCACCTTTTGTGAGGGGTACCTTAATGTCAGAAACAACCAAGAGAGAAATTCTCTGGGTTATTATTTTATTTATTTTGTGTGTGTGGATTTAGTGACTTTTTTGGTAATTTGGACAGGATGAGGCACATAAAAGCATTTATTAAAGGACATAATTTTGCCTGAAAACAAGCCCTGTTTCTGCCCCCACAGGATGTCAGTGCTCTCTGCAGATCTTGTGTTGATTACCCTCTGTGGGAAGTAGCGGTCAACTCTAATTAACTAATTTACTTTCAACAAGTGTTTAATTAGGGCCTATGCCCATATGTTATGCTCTTTTGAAGATTCTGCACAATGTCAGGACTTTATTAAAATGCATAGAATTAATCTGGTTCTCTGACATAGGCCTACGACCATCTAGAAAATAATCTGAATCCATCGAGAACTGCTAAATGTAATAAAATATATGGAACAGATTAGAAAGGGTATTGGGCCAACCACCATGGAGATAAAATACAGTGCCTTCAGAGGCTGGAACGGAAGATGAGCACATGAAAACCCAAGTGCAATCTTTAAAAGTGGCATAATTATAATAACTTATGGTAAACTGAGAATAATAGTCAACATTTTTTGACTTTTAACTGTGCACCAGATATTTTGTGCCCTATCTCATTTAATACTCATGAGAACTCTCGAATCTAAATCAACCTCACTTTGCAGGTGAGGGAACTGAGAGAGAAGTTAAATAACTGGCCAAGGTTACAGCTGGCCAGTTGCAGCATGGGGATTCAAACCTGGAAATTCTTACAGAATCTCCGAGGTACCTTAACAAGGTGCTTTCCAAACTGTAATGACCATAGTAACCACCGGGGTTGGTGGGGTGGGGATCTGGTGAAACTGCAGATTCTAATTCAGTAGGTCGTGGGCAGGGTCTGAGATTCTGTATTTCTAACAAGCTCCAGGTGATGCTCCTGCTGCTTGCCCTCCAACCACACTTTGAGTAGCAAGGATTTAAGTGGACACTGAGGATTTCAACAAACCAAAATATGGTGGAAAAGATGCTGGAGGCTATGGAGGATCAGAAAAGGTGAGCAAATGAATCCATGACATGGAGCTAATAAAATTACAGGGTCAGTTCTCAAATCCAGGGCTTCAGTTTTCCCACCTGTAAAAGAAAGTGTTCAGTGAACTGGACAATTTCAAGCATTCTTCCCAGATGTAATAGAGTAAGAATCTATGATTCTATTATGGGATGGGAAAAGAGGGGAGGGACATGAGACCTGAATAGGAGTTGCTTGCAGAACTCTTAACAATAGCAAAGACAAGGAAATCAACCTAAATGCCCATCAATGACGGATTGAATAAAGAAAATGTGGTAATACTCACTATGGAGTACTGTGCAGCTATAAAAAATCATGTCTTTTGTGGGAACATGGATGGAGCTGGAGGCCATTATCCTGAACAAACTAATGCAGGAACAGAAAATCAAATACCGTAAGTTATCACTTAGCAGTGAGAGCTAAATGATGAGAACTCACGGGCACAAAGAGGGGAACAAAGGACACTGGGGCTTACTTGACAGTGAAAGGTGGGAAGAGGGAGAGAATCAGAAAAAATAACTACTGGGTGCTAGGCTTAATACCTGGATGACAACATAATCTGTACAACAAGCCCCCATGACATGAGTTTACCTACATAACAAACCTGCACATGTACCTTGAAACTATAACAAAAGTTTTTTTAAAAATAAAAAATTTAAAAATTAAAATAAAAATAAGAATTGTTTGCAGAGCTTATTAATAAGGATGTTGGACCCAACCCTCCAGATTCCTAGGCATCCCTACCAAGTGAGTAGATTTAGGAAGAGACAGAAATTTAGAAAAGTCAATCTAGAATGTGGAAGTTTTTACAAATAAAATTAACATATGTGATCCATAGATGGATAAATTAAATAAGGATAATGACAGCTCCTATTTACTTGGTGCATACTCTATGCTACACATGCAATAAATGTTGGATATTTTATATGAATGTGTATAAAATATCCAGTCTTCACAAAATCCCAGCAGGTGTTTTTGAGCTGGATTTCAAATTATGTGAGCCTGTAAATTTTCTTTTTATTTAAGCCACACTGAGTTGGGGATTTTGTTCCTTTCAGCCAGAAATACCCTAACTAATTCACATCTTCTATGCCAGGCATTGTAGATTTAAAATGAGTTTCCCCAAAAAGCTCAGTGACTCACGGTGGGGGAAAGGGTGTCAGACAAGTGAAGTTATGATAAGTTTCAAAACAGAGATTTATTCAAGTTGCTATGGAAACACAGAAGCAGGATAGCAAAGTTTTAGGAAAGGAGAGCCTGACCTAATTATTGAAGAATGAGCAAACGGAATGTGTGAGGAGGGCATCCCGGGCAAAGGGACTGGCTTGGGCAAAGGCACAGATATGTGAGCAAGCATTTCAAACTCTGCAAGAAGCTAGTCTTATTTGCCAGGCTAAGTCATGGAGATTAGCAGCAGTTCTGTTCAGGAAACAAAGAATGATTTTTGTCTCCTCTAGCCATCATGCAGAAAAAGTATATGGAGCGAGGCGTGGTGGCTTACGTCTGTAATCCCAACATTTTGGAAGGTCAAGGTGGGAGGATCACCTGAGGTCAGGAGTTCGAGACCAGCCTGGCCAACATGGTGAAACCATGTCTCTACTAAAAATACAAAAATTAGCCGGGCGTGGTGGCAGGCACCTGTAATCCCAGCTACTTGGGAGGCTGAGGCAGGAAAATCGCTTGAACCCGGGAGGCAGATGTTGCAGTGAGCTGAGATCGTGCCATTGCACTACAGCCTGGGCAATGAGAGTGAGACTCCATCTCAAAAAAAAAAAAAAAAAAAGAAAGAAAGAAAAAGAAAAAAAAAACATATGGGATGATACTACCTTGAGTCTCACAGACCTGGGCTTAAATCTCAACTTGTCCCCTCATTAGCCATGTAATCCTGAGTAAATTTCTTAACCCCTCAAAGCCTCCATTTCCTTGTCTGAAAAAAAAGGGGGGTTGATGATGTCTAATTTGCAAGTAGTTTAAAGTTGAAAGATGAGATAAAGTTCTTGGCATATTATTATAACTTTGATTATGATTCCTGTCTATATGCTAACAATATAAAGAGAAAGAGATGTCGTCCCTGCTTTGAGATACTCAAGTTGGCAAGAACAACATGCAAGCAAGTAGTTTGCTGAGAATGAGGGATGCACAGGACAGTATGAGAAGTAAGCTTTTAAACTTAATTTGGTAATATAAGTTATTAATTAATTTAAAGGTAATATAAATAGGTGATCAAGTTTTTATTTAGGATAATGTCTTCCATAGTTGTGTGGAGAATTCATTGACAGTAGAGGTAGCAGAAGGTGATTGGAGAGTGAGCTAGGAAGTAGCAGTAAGATGAAGAAAACTAGATAGAGGCCAAGCACAGTGGCTCACGCCTGTAATTCCAGCAATTTGGGAGGTTGAGGCAGGCGGATCTTTTGAGCCTAGGAGTTCAAGGCTGCAGTGAGCTATTATAGCTTCACTGTACTCTATCCCAAGACACAGAGCAGGGAGACCCTATCTGAAAAGAAAAGAGAAAGAGAGGAAGGAAAGGAAGGGAGGGAGGGAAAAGGAAAAGAGAAAAGAAAAGAAAACTAGATAGATTGGAGAAATGTTTAGAGGTAAAATTGCCTGGATTTCATGCCTAAGCTAATAGGATAATGATCATGTTTTTAGTTTAAGGATGTTTAATATTGGTGCCATTCTCCAGAAATTAGGAATACCGGAGGTAAAGCTAGAATCATCAGAATTTCCCATTTTCATTTTCCTCACCTGATCTACCAAATGCTTGACCAACAATTATCCTTGTCCTGTAATCTGTGTCATCAATATGCAGCTTTCAGCATGCTGCATTATATTCTGCTACTCATGTTTACACTTTTCTCTATTTGGAAATTCTGTAAGTACAGTCCTTAAACCAGCAACATCAGAATTATATGGAAACTTGCTAGACATGCAAATTCTTGGAGTCCATTCCAGATTCTCTGAGGCTGGGCCCAGCAGCTTGTGCTTAAACAAGGCCGACAGGTGATTCTGATGCATGCTGGATTTTGTAGAATTACAAATCTATAATTACCTTCAAGAATCTAGATGTTTTTTAACCTCCTGGCTTTTACACACAGAAAGGGCTCCTGCCACATTCTGCTCCTTCCCATGCAGAGCAGTGGTGTCCTGAGGATGAAGTAGAACCATGGCCCTCACCACGAATACAGGTGAGATCCAACTGGGAGAGTTACAGTGAGTTTGGGCAGCTCTGTAACTAATTTGGCACAAACTAGGTTTTCTTCTCAAAGCAAATCAGAACACCCAGAGTGACCATGATACAATCTGCAAAACAACCTCACAATTAGTCCTGGATCAAAGCCCCCAACTCCACTAGGAGAAAAATTGGGGACCAGTGGGATATGTGAGAGAATCAAATGAAAAAGTGTCCCCCAAACATGCTCCAGCATATAGAGTCATTCCACTATTCTTATAGACAGAGCCACTCAAACTCCAAGAGACAAATATAATAGCCCATCATGCCAGGTCAATGGGTAGAATTTCAAGGGTCAACAAGCCATGGTCTTAAAGGCTCCAGTTACAAACTAGACCACCAGACAGATGCTCAATTGTCTACTGGCCTCTGTGGCACAACCTCATGTGTTTTGGGGAGCAGGGGAGGGGGCAGGAGGTGTGTTGCTTGGCTCTCAGAGAAAAAGTATTAATCCTGTCATGACCCTTAGGTCTCAGCTCCCAATTGCCCACTAAATGTCTGATTAAATGGCATCCCTGGGTGGGCTGTAATTGCTATGGAATCCCTTCCTGTCAGTTTTCAGAACAAAATCCTATGTATAGAAGTATTCTGTCTCTCATTAAATTTTTATTTCCTTGTCCACTGAGCTCTTTTTGTTGAAATATTATTGAAAGTATTTAACTGAAACTGCCATGTCCCTGATAATATGAAAACTGTTTCCAAAATCTCCTTTCTGTAATGACAAGAAGCTGTGTGGGATGATCTGGCTAAATAACTGCAGCTGCTGGCCATCAAGACTGCTTAGTTTCTTACAGTTCATCTCGTCCCTGACCCTCCAAGCTAATTACACTCACAGCCTTGCTCACAGCTAGACATCCACGGGCAAGGTCTAGACATGTAGGACTACCCAGAGGTCAAATGGAGGATCTTTGATCTGTTTGTTTTTCCTCACTCTTAATAGGAATTGTTTAATGCAGGTAGCCAGACAAAAAGGGACCCACATCCTCAGCTCAGTATGACCCAGGCCTTTGGGACACCTACTGTAACTGCCTCTATTCCACAGTCTCTCGGGGTGCTTTTTTACCACTGGCATCTTTAGAATCTCAGAAAATACTGGACTCTCACTGAGTCAGCTTGGGCAAGTTTCCTCATTTATGTAATCTTGACTTTCCTTATTTGCAAAATGGGGGTAGTTGTAAAAGTTAAATAAGAGAATGCACGTAAAGTCAGTGTTGTGTCTAGTACATGGCACTGAATAAATGTTACCACTGAGATGATGATATCATTGTTGCAACATTGTGGGTGCTCCTCCCAGATCCCCCAAGATCTGTTTTCACCATTTGTGTGTGCTTTCCTCAAAAGGCAATCAACTAATGATTGTTGGGTGTAAAAATATGAAAGCTCCTGAATCCATAAGGACCACAAAGGTGCTCTAGAATCAAAGAAACAAAATGTGTTACAAAAATGAGGGAAAGGGATCCTCTTTGCTTTAACTAAATGGTTATGGCACAACTTTGTGTTTATCTTCCTAAATTTGTGGTCATTAGCAGTGCCAGTGCTCACACCAAAGGTGCTAATGTCTGTGCTAGTACCAGCTTAATATAGTAGTGGAGGCCATTATCTCAAGGGTGAGCCAGCGGCCTCAAGGTCTTGATGGGGGCAATAGCTGGAGCAGATCATTGGCAGGCACCAGTAGCAATGTGAAGAGTTGAAAGAAGCTCAGAGGACTTTATTTGTGAATTCTCTAGATTCTCCTAAAATAACCAAGGAGTCTTTGAAGTGAGCTAAAAGTCCTTTAATAGTAAGTAAAAACAGAAGCAGAAAAATATAACGTAACACTAAATCAGTATGAACTTCCTCCATGATGTTCAAGGTAAAAGAATGGCAGCCATAGAACTCCTTACCTCCCCACAGCTCCGTCATCCCATAGAACCGCAGATGAAGAAGCTGGAGGATGGGGTGACCAAAGGAGAACAGCAGGTTCTTGGCTTGACTCAAATCTTTCCTGCCCAACTTAGCTTAGGTCAAGAACTGGTGACCAGCAGGCTATAGCATGAAGTCTGCCCCTCAGCATCCTGTCTTTACATCCTCTTCTTTCAACTCACTGTCTACCTCCTGGCTCCCCAGTCACAGAATACACCTATGTGAATTGTCAACCCCACTAATGTGTGATATTTGCAATAATTTATTTATGCTGATGTTTTAATTTTTCCAAATCTAGCTCAGACCTGCACAACTCATAGGAAATCCAATTGCTGTCCATTTTTTGTGACCCCGCCTCTTCCTATGGCTGTCCAAGGGTGCTGGGTAGTTCTTGGTAAAAAGAAGTCTCTACACCTGTGAATTTTATTCTACCATTTCTGATTGAACAAATCCTTATGGTTCACTTGAAAACACTTTCTTACGGTAAACCTGGCCTCTGGAAATTTCAACTAGGCTCCCAAAGCCATGGTGCTTAATGCTATAGTCAATACCAGTCCCTGAATATTAATATGATCTGCTCATATGAGTTCTGTCACCTGCAGGGTCCCACGTGCTACTCCTCTGGCCTTCAAGTGTCAAGCAATTTACTTTCCACTCAAATGAAACTTCCTTTTCTGGTGAACCCTCAAGACTACCCCATCTACCATCTACAAAAATCTAGCTCTAGGTTTTATAATAATAGCAACAGTTTACATTTAGTGAATACCTATTATATTTTCAGTACTATGATAAAAACTAAAATTCACAATACTGAAAAAAGCATTAAATAACTTACTATCTCAAAAGAGTTGGAAAAATATGTGAACTATAACGTATGGTGCTAAGTTCTGTGATAGTAAAAATAACAAAATAACAATAATGTCCATTTATTGATAATTTACTGTATCCCATGCACTGTGCCAAATATATGTATCTATTTGATCCGGGTGCATCTGAAAGTGGGGAAGTCTTACTGAGTCTTCTCTCCAAATGAATGTGTGTCCTGTGTGTATTTTGCAGCGTGTATTTTGCATATATGCAGTACACAGTATATATCCTTTTTTATTTATTCCTCATAATAAACCATTTTAAGTACATTTTGAGGTATATGAGGCCCAGAGGTTGAATAACTTGTACAATGTCCCTAGATAATAAGTGACAGGGCTGAGATTTGAATCCAGACGAAAGCTGACAAAGCCTGCTTTATCTTATCTCTTTCCCCACCCACTATGGGTGCATAATGAGGAATATCTCATTGATATAGATCTTCCTAGTGGGAATGATGGAAAGTATATTTAAGAGAAGACCACAGGAATGTTTTGGAATTACCAAAGCAAAATGACAAAGAGAGAGGGAGAGAGAGAGAGAGAGAGAGAGAGAGTGTGTGTGTGTGTGTGTGTGTGTGTGAGAGAGAGAGTGTGTGTGTGTGTGTGTGTGTGTGTGTTGGCAATGGCTAGAGGAAAGAGAGAAGATATAAACAAGAGGGGAGACAAAGGGTTCCTAACAGAGAGGCTGGCAAGTTGCAAAAGCTTAGAAACAACAAAAGCACATTGCTAAATATTAGTTTTGTCTGCTGGTACTTTGAAGATGCAAAAGATGGGGAAGTTAAAAAGGTAAGGAGTTTAAACTTTGTTCTGAGGATTATAGGGAGCCATGGATAGATTTTTTAAGAAGAGATTTATGAAATAACATTTACATTTTAGAAGGTTATGTTGTCAACACTATGGGGAATGGACTGTAGCAGGGTACATCCTAAAGTGGGGAAGTCTTACTGAGTCTTCTCTCCAAATGAATGTGTGTCCTGTGTGTATTTTAGTTATAACTATGGTAGTATATCATATTTTTGTGTTCTATATTTTGTACTGAATTCATTGATTGAAAAAATATTTACAAAGGGCTGTTAGGCAAGGACATTACAGGAAATGAGAATTACACACCAAGATCCCTCATGAATCTAGAGGCAAAAATATTTAGCAAAGTATTAACATATCAAATTCAGAAAATCATAAAAGAATAATACATCACAACCTCAGAAGATATATTCCAGATACACAAGGTTGAGTTTGCTTTAAAAAACAAATCAATGGGGGTAACTTACCACCTTATCAGGAATAAAAGGAGAAAATCATATGATTATATCAACAGATGCAGAAAAAGAATTTGATAAAATTCTACTCCTACTTTAAAGAAGACTAGCAAACTGGAAATAGAAGAAAATTTTCTCAAACTTCTAAGTGTAAGCATACAAATCCTACTGCAGACTTGTACACAAGGAAAAAGACTCAACATTTTTTCTCTAAGATTAGGAACAAAGCAAGGATATTCACTCTCACCTCTGCTATTCAACATTGTAGTGGACATCTGAGCCCAGTAAGGAAGACAAACAAATAAAAGGAATAAATATTAGAAAGATATAATTAAAGTAGGCAAGTCCAATTGCAGCTATTTTTCAGATGTTTCTGCTGGTATAAATCAACATCATCCCTGGTATCTGCTATGGAACATAGCAAAAGCTTTCTCCCCAGCTCAACAAATATACCAAAAGCAATTTGCTATCACTTAGCAGGGATTACAGTAACTTTCCCTATTTTGCCTAGAATTATATCAACTCTCCAACTTTGATCCATAATTGAATCTTCAGGAAATTTGACTGTCTTAGCATCTGTGATGGTTAACTTTGTGTGTCAATTTAACTGGGCCATAAGATACCCAGATAGCTGGAGAAACATTATTCCTAGGTGTGTTTGTGAGAATGTTTCTGAAAGAGATTAGCATTTAAATCAGTGGACTAAGTAGATGATCCTTCTCAGTATGGATCGGCGTTATCTAATCTATTCAGGTTGAGGGCCTAAATAGAACAAAAAGGTAGAGAAAAGTTTAATTAACTCTGCTGGAGTTGGGACACTGATCTTCTCCTGCCCTCAGCACTCCTTGTTTTTAGGACCTCAGATCTGGACTGGAATCTATAGTGTCAGTTTGAACTACACCTTTTATGGATGAACTATACCTTTCCTGGATCTCCAGCTTGCAGACAGCAAATCATTGAACTTCTCAGCCTCAATACTTTATAATGAATCTCTTCCTGGATAGATACCTGGTATCTATCTAGGTAGGATAACAGGTATCTTCCTGGAATCTTTCTAGGAAGCCTTATGCCATCTTATATATCATCCTTATATATCTAGGAGCCAATACCTTATAATAAATGTCTTCCTAAATAGATATAGATGGATGGATAGATGATTGATTAATTGATTGATTGTCTTTTATCGGTTCTATTTCTCTGGAGAATCCTGACTATACAGCATCCTACAGGACATCTAATTTATCCATTACATTTATGACACAATTTTTATAGGATCTAGAGAGCAGGAATTAGGAATTATTGATGTCTTGATAGGACATAAGGTGTAAAGTAAATATCAAAAATATGTAAGGAGTTGCTACCTTGGTTTAGTTTCTGGGGATCCAGTAGTCTGGAGTATACAGGGATCTTCTCTCCAAAGTGAAAGATAAGTAGTTGTACCTAGCACTCTATATATCAAAACTAATGGCATCATTTGTTAGACTCCTTTGGATATTTAGGTAATGTATAACATATTTGAGTTTACTATTTTGAAAAATTTACTATTTTGAAAAATTTATCATATGACCCAAAGGGCTAGTTTTGAGTAGAACCTGAAGCGAGGGAGTCTCCCTCGCTTGTCCATGATATAGACCAACAAAGCCCAGTGGAACCAAAAGTGATTAAAGATTTATAGAAGAGCAGGAAGTTATTTGATGTGTCTGGAAAGTTCCAATAAGAGGTTCACAGTAGAGATTTTGAAGGAAAACAACTATACTCTTCCATAACTACTTCCTTTTTTGGAGAACCAGGTCTTGGCTCCCAGTTGGGCCTCTGGTAGAGACCAACTGTGAAAAATAAGATATCCAGGCAAACTGAGCTGTCTATAGAAAATAGGATGTTATCTATATTACCGACAGATAAAGTTGTCCATGACTACAACTTTTCATCTTTAAGTGAAAGGATAACTGGGGAGGGCTTTGAAAGTATGATTGTTTAAACAGGTAGCTTACATTTCCACTGAAACAACTCCTGCAACATTGCTATCTCTATATGGCCTCATGGGAAATCTTTAATGACAGATTACCAAGGAGGAAAAAAACTTGAGCCTGTTTTAGAGATTGTTCTTCTTAATATGCTGGAATTAGCTTGAAATTAGCAGAAATGACCTTGGATGAGATTTGGAAAAAGATTTCCTCCTAGTAAGTAGAATCTTCTTAATATCTCTCTCTTTTTTTGCACAGTAGTTTGGGACTGTAAAAATTACCATGCAAGCTGTAATTTTGAAAAGCAGTCTTAATCGATGAAAATATGTAATTGTTCTGTGATCTTTAAAATTTGTTGTCAAACATTAAGAACTCTCCTACTATCAATTATAAGTGCATGGGCAAATAAAAAATAGTAAATTTATTAAGCACACTACTATTTAAAACATTAGAAACATGGAGAATTAAACTTTTATTTCTTTGTAAGAAAAAATAACTTATCAAGAATAGTTTAAATAGTGATGGCCTGTTGTTATGTAATTTTAAACATAAATAGCATTTTTTTCTATGCCTTGGTGAACCATCATGCCCCATTCTAAGTTTGAATCTGGTTCCAACATTTTATCCCTTACATTTTCAATATCATGAAATATCTTTGAGAATTCTTTCAATTTTTTTTTGGTCAATATCACTTTCTTTGGAATATCTTCATCTATTGTTACAACCACTTTCCTCATTTATGCAGATAAATTTGCCTTTATTAAATTTCTCTGGCTACATATCTAGAGTCAAAAGTGTCAACATTCCCAAAGTCAGCTGTTTTTTTTAAAATTCTATTTACATTTTATTTGAATCTCACTTCCAGGATTGTTACTTTTGTTTCTTTGCTGCAGTTCTGTCCTGGTGAGCCAATTCTCTTTTACAATTATTCATTTTTGTAGAAGTCACATGGGTTTAACACTGGGAGACAACAAGGCAACAAAATGACACTTTTGCCTTCTGTATGTGAATAACAGATGAGTAATGATCAATCGCTGATAGACTTTGGAAGAAGTGACATATATTGGTCACTGATCATTATATACATTTTTTAAATTTACTTTATTTCAATAGTTTTTGGGGAATAGATGATTTTTGGTTACATGGGTAAGTTCTTTGGTAGTGATTTCTGAGATTTTGGTGCACCCATCACCTGAGCAGTGTACGCTCTACCCAATGTGTAGTCTTTTAGCCCTCACCCCTACCGCCCTTTCCCCCACGTCCCCAAAGTCCATTACATCATTCTTACACTTTTTGTCCTCATAGCTTAGCTCCCACTTATGAATGAGAACATACAATATCTAGTTTCCATTCCTAAGTTACTTCACTTAGTATAATGGTCTCCAACTCCATCCAGATTTCTGTGAATGCCATTATTTTGGTCATCTTTACGGCTGAGCAGTATTCCGTGGTAAATATATATAACCACATTTTCCTTATCTACTCATTGGTTGATGGGCATTTAGGCTGGTTCCATATTTTTGCAAAATTGAGAATTGTGCTGCTATAAACACACGAGTGCAAGTGTCTTTTTCATATAATAACTTCTTTTCCTCTGAGTAGATACCCAGAAGTGGGATTCCTTAATCAAATGGTAGCTCTACTTTTAATTCTTTAAGGAATCTCTATACTGTTTTCCATAGTGGTTGTAATAGTTTACATTCCCATCAGCAGCGTAAAAGTATTCCCTTTTCACCACATCCATGCTAAGATCTATTATTTTTTGATTTTTTAATTTTGGCCATTCTTGCTGGAGTAGCCTGCAAGAGGTGGTATCTCATTGCAATTTTAATTTGCATTTCCCTGATAATTAGTAATGTTGAACATTTTATCATGTTTGTTGGCCATTTGTATATCTTCTTTTGAGAATTGTCTATTCATGTCCTTTGCCCACTTTTTGATGGAATTGTTTTCTTCTTGCTGATTTGAGTTCCTTGTAGACTCTGGATATTAGTCTCTTGTTGGATGCATAGTTTACAAATATTTTATCTGCTTACTCTGCTGATTATTTCTTTTGTTGTGCAGAGGCTTTTTAGTTTAATTAGGTTCCATCTATTTATTTTTGTTTTTGTTGCATTTGCTTTTGGGTTCTTGGTCATTAAGTCTTTGCCTAAGCCAATGTCTAGAAGAGATTTTCTGATGTTATCTTCTAGAGTTTTTAGGGTTTCAGGTCTTAGATTTAAGTCTTTGATCCATCTTTAGTTGATTTTTGTATAAGGTGAAAAATGAGGATTCAGTTTCATTTTTCTACATGTGGCTTGCCAATTATCCCAGAACCATTTGTTGAATAGGGTATCCTTTTCCCACTTTGTTTTTGTTTGCTTTGCCTGAGATCAGTTGGCTGTTAGTATTTAGCTTTATTTCTGGGTTCTCTATTCTGTTCCATTGGTCTACATGCCCATTTTTATGCCACCACTATGCTGTTTTGGTAACTAGAGCCTTGTTGTATAGTTTAAAGTCAGACAATGTGATGTCTCCAGATTGGTTCTTTTTGTTTAATTTTGCTTTGGCTTTGTGGGCATTTTTTTTTTTAATTTTTGGCTCCATGTGAATTTTAGGAATTGTTTTTACTAGTTATGTGAATAATAATGATGGTATTTTGATGCAAATTGCATTGAATTTTTATATTACTTTTGACAGTATAGTCATTTTCACAATATTGATTCTACCCATCCATGAGCATGGGATGTGTTTCCATTTGTTTCTGTCACCTATGATTTCTTTCTGCAGTGTTTTATAGTTTTTCTTGCAGAAATCTTCCACCTTCTTGGTTGGGTATACTCCTAAGTACTTTTTTTTTTCCTTCAGCTGTTATGAAAGGTATTGAGTTCTTGACTTGATTCTCAGCTTGGTTGTTGTTGGTGTATAGCAGTGCTACTGATTTGTGGACATTGATTTTGTATCCTGAAACTTTACTGAATTCATTTATCAAATCTAGGAGCTTTTTAGATAAATCTTTAGGGTTTTCTAGGTATATGATCATATCATCAGTGAACAGTGATAGTTTGACTTACCCTTTACTGATTAGGATGCCTTTTATTTATTTCTCTTGTCTGATCACTCTGCCTATGATTTCCAGTACTATGTTGAATAGAAGTGGTGAAAGTGGTCATCCTTGTCTTGCTCAGTTCTCAGAGGGAATGCTTTCAATTTATCCCCATTTAGTATGTTGGCTGTGGGCTTGTCATAGATAGCTTTTATTACCTTGAGGTATGTATGTCCCTTATATGCCAATTTTGCTGAGGGGTTTTTATCATAAAGGGATGCTGGATTTTGTCAAATTTTTTTTTGCATCTGTTAAGGTAACTGTGAGATTTTTGTTTTTAATTCTGTTTATGTGATGTATCACATTTATTGACTTGCATAGGTTAAACCATCCCTGCATCCTTGATATGAAACCCACTTGATCATGCTGTATTATCTTTTTGATATGCTGTTGGATTTGGTTAGCTAGTATTTTGTTGAAGATTTTTGCATCTATGTTCATCAGGGGTATTGGTTTGTAGTTTTCTTTTCTGTTATGTTCTTTCCTGGTTTGGGTATTAGGGTGATGCTGGCTTCATAGAATGATTTAGGGAGAATTCCCTCTTTCTCTATCTTTTGGAATAGTTTCAGCAGGATTGGTACCAGTTCTTCTTTGAATGTCTGATAGAATTCAGCTGTTAATCCATGTGGTCCGGAACTTTTTTTTGTTGGCAATTTGTCTTATTACTGTTCAATCTTGCTACTTGTTATTGTTCAGAGTTTCTATTTCTTCTTGATTTAATCTAGGAGGGTTGTATATTTTCAGGAATTTATTGATGTCCTCTAGATTTCCTAGTATGTGTGCATGAAGGTGTTAATAATAGCCTTGTGTATTAGTCTGTTATTGTGTGCTAATAAAGACATATCCAAGACTGGGTAATTTATAAAGGAAAGAGGATTAATTGACTTACAGTTCAGTGTGGTTGGGAAGGCCTCAGGAAACGTACAATCTTCGTGGAAGGGGAAGCAATCATGTCCTCCTTCACACAGCAGCAGCAAAAAGGAGTGCAGAGTGAAGGTTGGGGGAAGCCTCTTATAAAGCCACCAGATCTCATGAAAACTCACTCACTATCACAAGAACAGCATGGAGGTAACTTCCCCCATGATCCAGTTACCTCCCACCGGGTCCCTCCCATATCACCTGTCAATTCTGGGAAATACAATTCAAGATGAGAGTTGGGTGGGGACACAGCCAAATCATATCACCTTGAATGATCTTTTGTATTTCTGTGGTAACAGTTGTAATTGTAATATCTCCCATTTCATTTCTAACCAAGCTTATATGGATCTTCTCTTCTTTTCTTGGTTAATCTCACTAATGGTCCATGCATTTTGTCATGATTTGCTAGTTGGTTGGTCTCCAAAACGTAACCAGCTTTTTGTTTCATTTGTTGTTTGTATTTTTTTGTTTGTCCCAATTTCATTTAGTTCTGCTCTGATCCTTGTTATTTCTTTTATTCTGCTGGGTTTGGGTTTGGTTTGTTATGGGTTTTCTAGTTCCTTAGTGTGTGACCTTAGATTGTCTATTTGTGTTCTTTCAGATTTTTTGATGTAGGCATTTAATGCTCTGAACTTTCCTCTTAGCACCACGTTTGCCATATCCCAGAGGTTTCAGTAAGTTGTGTCACTATTATTCAGTTCAAGAGATTTTAAAATTTCCATCTTGATTTAATTGTTGACCCAAAGATCATTCAAGAGCAGATTATTTAATTTCCATATATTTGTATAGTTTTGAGTGTTGCTTTTGGAGTTAATTTCCAGTTTCATTCCACTATGGTCTGAGGGGATATTTGTTTATAGGTGCCTTCACACTGGATTCCTGTGGAGAAGGCCCCAGCTGTGTCTGCCATGGAGTGCCAGAGGAGAATAAGGACCCCTTCTCCAAGGCCCTTCACAATCACAGAGGCTGCCTGCCTGTTGGAGTATAGGTGCAGACTTTCCCTACTGCTTCCAGCACTACAATTGTGTCTCTGCTGTTAGAAACTACCCACCAGTGGAAATATCTGGAACCCAGGGCCTGCTGTTCCGATTCTCTTGTCCCACAGGGTGATCCCTTGAGGTGGTGCTCTCACCCTTCCCCTATGGATGGGGCTTCCTGAGAGCCAGACTGCAGTGATTGTTATTGCTTTTCTGGGTATAGCCATCCAGCGGGGCTACCAGGCTCCAGGCTGGTGTTGGGGATTGTCTGCAAAGAGTCCTGTGATGTGATCTAATCCATCTTCAGGTCTTTCAACCATAAATACCAGCACCTGCTCTGGTGGTGGTGGGAGGGGAGTGAAGTAGATTCTGTGAGAATCCTTGATGGTAGATATGTTTATGGTGCTGGCTTTCTTAACTGCTATTTATGCTAGCAGTGAAGTTGTCACATGGACAGACTCAGGACCTCTGGTTAGCAAGGATGTTGCAGGCAGTGGTATTAGCTGCTGTTTTCTCCTTCCTGGGGGCATGGCTATTCTGTCATGAGTTGCTGTAATGGCCTGGGTTGGTGGGCCTACAGCCAGAAGGTGGCACTTGCAAGAGAGCACCAGCTGTGGTATTAGCAGTGGGATATAAGCTTGCCCTAAGTTGGCCAAGAAAGGTATTCTGGTTTCTCAGGTGATGGGCAGAGCCATAAAGCTCTCAAGAGTGTATGACTCTTGTGTCAGCTACCAGGGCAGGTAGAGAAATACCATCAGGTTGGGGCAGGGTTAGACAGGTCTAAGCTCAGACTCCCCTTGGGCTGGACTTGCCATGGCCACTGTGGAGGATGGGGGAATAGTTCTCATGCCAATGAGGTTATGTTCCAGAGAGGATTATGTCTGCCTCTGCCGTGCCATGTAGTTCACCAGAGAAGTGAGGGATAGCTGGTAGCAAGAGATCTCACCCAGTTCCCACTCAGTTGGTAAGGCCGGTCTCACTCCCACAGTGCCCCACTCATAGCACTGAATTGAGATCCAGGTAGCCTGCACGGCTGGCGGGCAGAACTCAGGCCTTGTCCCAGGTTATGGGCTTCCCTGCTGGGCAAGCAAGCTCTGCTTTCAGGCCTCACCTCTCCCCCATCTGCCCACAGTGTTGGCTGTGGCTCCAGTCCCTACCTGAAGCAGTTCTTGTTTCGTCCCCCACTCCCCCCCACCAACTAGTGCCCAGTGAAAATTATTGTAAAATTTAGTTTGAAGTTTCTTATACCCTCTGACCCCTCCCTAATTCCACTGCCTTCCTTCCCCAAGGGCCCCTGCGAGATACAGTCAGGATGGCTTCCCTGGGCTCCAGCTGGAGAATGGGAGTGCCTATAAGCACTGCTGCTTACTTTTATATTTCATCCATTTCAGCTCCAGGTAAGGTTAAAACATTCTGCTGTGATCTGGATTTTCAGATTTCCCAGTGGGGATGTGTGTTCGGAGGCATCTTCTCCCCACGCTCACATTTTGGGAGCTCTCAGTTTTTCACTTGTCTCATGGAATTTGCAGTGGCATGCAGCTTCTTTCAAAGGATCTGTGAATTCTTCTGGTTTTCCCAGTATGTTCCTGTGCTGGTTCTTGGAGCAAAGGTTTGCAGTGTGACTCCCCACACACTGATCTGTCCATCCAAGTGGGAGCTAGCTGCACATTAGCCCTGTCTCCTATCCACCGTCTGTTCCCAGGATCTGCATTCGTTGTTTACAAAGTGATTTGTGGACTAAAAAGATTGCAGTGAAGTTTGTGCTTCATTTAATCTTTCACAGCTAACACACCATGGTTACTAAAATTTGAACTGTGTTGTTAAGGCACTGGTATTATTTAATTAAACATGATCATTGAAATCCATGTATCTCAGCACTGTGCAAAATGAGGACTGTGGGTACATTGGTTGTCCAGTTTGCCTTGGAGGACAGATGACCTAAGGTATAGATTGGTAGTGATCCTTAGGCACAATTTGGACACACAGAGACTCAGAAGGAAGGATTTTTGCATATTAGAGATTTGGGGAAGGTTTATGTGGATAGCCCCTTCAAAATAGGCCCAGGGTGAAAGAATAATATGTGTGAATGTTCACTGAAGCTCCCCTCTGTAGAACAGTCTCTCAGTAACAGGAAAAGGATGATTCATCCCATGTACATTAAGTCATTCTTATTCCCAGTCTCCCTAATGATTGATCAGTAGATTCATGAACAATGTGGTCACAAAAGCAGAAATGTATTTTATGCAACATAAGTTGCTCTCACCAAGGCTGGTCAGATTGTTCCTTCTTCTGGGTAGTCAATATTCTGTAGAAACCAGCATCAAATCCCTGGAGGTCCAGCTAGCTATCTGGTAGAATGCTGATTATATTGCAACCCTACCTTCATGAAAGAAACCATGATTTGTCTTTATGAAATAGATACTTAGGCATTTGGGTTTGCCTCACCTCACCACCCAAGACTTCTGATGAATATAACATGCATAACTTCTCCTGTTAGAGTTTTCTGCATGACATACCTTGAGCAAGACACCCATCTTTCAGCAAAAGAAGTGGGCCAGTGGGCTGATCCTCGTGGAGCTCACTATTCTAACCATGTAGCTCACTACCCACATAAAACAAGATTTATCAAATAAATAATTATGGTGCCAGCTAGTGGTTACGACCTTACAAGGTTGGGACGCAGCATAAACTCTGACGAGGGACTGATATGAGATGCTACTTCTCCCACTGTTATAACACATGGGTCTGGAAATCAAGGGGTTGATATAGATGTGACATCTTCCATTATTATACCTTATTAACCACTTGCAAAAATTCATTCCTGTTTCCAAAATTCTGTGTTTTGCTGGTTGGAGAATTTAGCACCCAAAGAATTGCTTTCACAAGGGGACATAGCAACCATTGCATTGAATTGGGAGCTGAGACCGATCCCTTGCCATTTGGGGCTTCTTATGCTACTTGACAAATAGAAAGAAAAGGATATCCCACTGCTGCCTGGGTGATTGATCCAGATCAAGTATCTGCAATTGTTTTTTTATAAAAGGACAGATAGTGGAATGTTTTGTGGCTCTGTAGGCCATATGTTCTCTGTCACGATGGCTGCTGTTGTGATCTGAAAGCAACCACGATTAATACTTAAATGAACAGGCATGGCCATGTCTTTTCCAGATAGGATCAAGGAACAGAATCAGAAAATGAAAGGGTCTCTCCCTCCTTCTGAGTCAGCCTCATTTAATCATATGAGTGTAGGAGTAGACATCCCTTCAAATTATCTGCATTTCTGCATAGGCCAATAAAACAAGAATTCCTATCTCCTCAGATGAATTGGGAAGAAATGTTCTACCATTTATTTACCCATTCTTCATTCATACTTCTCTCCAAAGCTTGAGGAATGTCTGAGCACTGTGCATGTGAATGTCAGCTCCATCTGTCCTCTTTCTGTCTTTCAGGGAGTTTCATACCTGTACATTCCTCCAAACACATGCTTTTCTGCTCTGGTCTCTTGTCCGTAGAAATTTAGAGAGAGTCTCAGAACTTGCAAGGGCAGGTAGTTGTGAAGGTGAGGAAGTCTGCAATTTTGCAGCTGCTTTTGTCTGCAACTTTGGGTAAACTCAGCTTCTCCTTTAATATCACTAGTTTGTATGTACCCATTTCTGTTTTATTCCCTGATTTCTCTCTCTTAAACCTCTGCCACATTCCAGGCTAACCAAGAACAAACTTAAGACTCCTCAAATGATAGTTATCTATAATACCTAAAGTGTCTTGCCATTCTAAATAATAATTGTTTATATAATTTATAAATCTCAAGATCAGGAACATCCTTTAGAGCAAGAATGAGAGAAAACAAATTTCCCATGTAATAAGAAGATCAGGAATTCTGGCAGGCCAGAAACCGAATAACAATTGTTTTGGTTTTTATTCATTGTCCTAGCCAATGAGCCTGAGCACTTTAGATGTATTATTTCATTTAATTCTTACAACAACCTTACAAATTAAATATTACATTCTCACTTTAGATGAAAATTGAGTAACCAGAGATGTTAAGTAATTTAGTATTGTTCACAGAAACTAGTAAGCAGCAAAACCAGAATTTAAACATGGATGTCTTTGACTCCCAAGCCCATTCTCTTAATCACTGTGCCATATTAGTAATTAGCCAGAAGGGAAAGTGTAAATGTAAGCCATGATGTTTTTTGTCTATCTCCTTTCCCAAGACAGGAAATACTTCAAAGTAGCAGAAACTATCCAAGAAGATAGTTTGTTTGTGGCCATTCCTAAATGAGGATGGAAGATTCTGGTGATCAAACATCTTCTGCTTTATAGAAACATAAACCCAGGAATATTTAAATCATTCCTTACCAGGGATACAGTTCCTGGCTTTACACAGTACAGTGATCCATTCATGGCTAGCATAACCTATTAATGAACCGACAGGTTAAAAGAACAAGAAATGGGATTTTGGTATGAAGAAACCTGAGGAAGGAGAGCTTTCATGGTTCAACAGTTCAGTTTCACATCTTTTACATACTCTCTACAATGTCTGCTTAACTGGCCCCCTGGAAATCCATGATACGTACAGTTTAGCTGATATTCCACAATCTTTTTATATATCTTTTGCTGGCTTAAGTACCCTCCTCCATAGACACTATACCAACCCTTCACTCTCCTCAGTAATTTCACACCGAACAAATAACTTCACCTACTTTTACTGAGAACTGAGCCATGTGATATATTTCTTTATTTATCCTCTTCAAAATATCTCTGTCTGAATATCATATCATTAGAGAATTTGCTTTGTAAATCTAGAATATTTACCTTGTAAAATAAAAAGACAAGGGGGTGCACAATAGATAATTACAATGATTTAAGTTACTTTGGTTTGTACAGCTAAAAATTTATGTAACAGTTCAGCCATCTGGCTCACACATGGAAGAGAGTAGACTAACAGAATTGGCTGAGAACACAGGAAGAGCCATCTGGTCATCTAGCTAACATTGCCTGAGTGCCTACTCTGTGCCAGCAGCTGAAATCAAGGTCAAAGATAATAGTTTGTTCATATGAGGCTCAGTACAAGAAAGGCTTTTCCCAATTGTTTGAATTCTCAGACAGTGAAATAGGCTACCTTGAAAACATACAAATACTTCATTTGTTAACCAAATACTTAATGGCCACAACAGATATAAAGTTTTACTTTTTTCCAATTGCAGAAGAGATTAAAATCATTTAGTTACCTTAAACTCAGTGCTTCTATGGAATGACAATCCTACGTCCTTTTCCCAGTATTTATTTTCTACTCAGCATTTCTTCCACATATTTTAAAAAATGTATCTACTCACAGATTTACATTTTTGATGATGATGACTCATAAGCAAATGACTCCTAAGTATGACTCCAAGCCAGTCATACTTAGCATACCTACTGGTCATTTCCATTTGGACATCCTGCTGCCTGCCCAAAATTATTTACTCAAACTTGTCCTTAACTTAAAACTAAGTATTATTCCTGAAACCTGCAGTTCTATCAGTAGTACTATTTTATTCTCTCAGTAATTTTGGCACAAAATCTTGTAGCATCCATTGATGCACAATGTCTCTCAAGCATTTAGAATTGGTCAATCATCAAATCAGTTGCCTCGAAATTTCTAATGCTCTCTTATACAGAGCCCAGAAATAAGGCCACACCCCTATAACCATCTGACCCTTTGACAAAGCTGTCAAAAATAAGCAGTGGGGAAAGGAGTCCCTATTCAACAAATGGGATAACTGGCTAACCATATGCAGAAGATTGAAACTGGACCTCTCCCTTATGCCATATACAAAAATCAACTCAAGATGGATAAAAGACTTAAACGTAAAACCCCAAACTATAAAAACCCTGGAAAACAATCTAGGCAATATCATTCTGGACATAGGAACTGTCAAGGATTTCATACAAAGATTCCAAAAGCAATAGAAACAAAAGCAAAAATTGACAAATGGGATCTAATTAAACTTAAGAGCTTCTGCACAGCAAAAGAAACTATCAACAGTTAACAGAGAACCTACAGAATGGCAGAAAGTATTTGCAAACTATGCACCTGACAAAGGTCAAATATCCAGCCTCTTAAGGAACTTAAACAAATTTGTGAGAAAGAACAACCCCCTTAAAAAGTGAGCAAAGAACATGAACAGACGCTTTTCAAGAAAAGACATACAATGCAGCCATCAAGCAAATGAAAAAAAGCTCAGTATCACTGATCATTAGAGAAATGCAAATCAAAACCATAATAAGATACCATCTCACACCAGTCAGAGTGGCTATTAGTAAAAAGTCAAATAATAACAGATGCTGGCAAGGTTCCAGGGGAAAAGAAACACCTATACACTGTTGGTGGGAGTGTAAATAAATTCAACCATTGTGAAAAACAATGTGACAATTTCTCAAAGAACTGAAAACAGAAGTACCATTTGGCCCAGCAATCCCATTAGTGGATATTTACCCAAAGGAATATACATTGTTTTGTCATAAGGACACATGCACATCTATGTTCATTGCAGAGCTATTCACAATAGCAAAGACATGGAATCAACCTAAATGTTCATCAGTGGTAGACTGAATAAAGAAAAAGTGGCACATATACCATGGAATACAATACAGCCATAAAAAGGAATGAGATAATCTCCCTTGTGGGAACATGGATGGAGCTACAGGCCATCATCCTTAGCAACTAACACAGGAACAGAAAACCAAATACCACATGATCTTACTTATAAGTGGGAGCTTAATGATAAGAACACATGGATACAAAAAGGTAAACAACAAACCCTGGAGCCTACTTGAGGGTGGAGGGTGGGAGGAGGTAGAGGATCAGAAAAATAACTATTGGGTACTAGGGTTAGTACCTGGTTGATGAAATAATCTGTACAACAAACCCCCGTGACACAGAATGTTGCATTTAGTAAATTTGTTCAATAAAGAAACCCTAATCTTTTGCTCTGTGAAGGCATTGCTAAAAGAATGAAAAGACAAGCCACAGATGGGGACAGAAGAGTGGCAAATGACATATCTTATTAAGCAATTGTGTCCAGACTACATAAAGAACTATTACAACTAATAGAAAACAAACAATCCAGTTTTTTAAATAGGCAAAATATTTGAACAGACACTTCACCAAAGGTGACATAATAGCAAATAAGAGATGAAAATATGCTAACAGCACACAAATTAAAACATGATCATATATCACTACATATATATTAGAATGTCTAAAATTAAAAGGACTGACTGTATCACATGTTAGTGAGGATGTGAATAAACTGGAACTCATATCTTTCTGACATGGATGTAAAATGGTACCATCACTTTGGAAAATAGCTTGTAAGTTTGTAAAAATCCTTAACATACATCTACCATGCAACTTAATCCTTCCACTCCTAGGAATCTCCCCAAGAGAAAGGAAAGCATATGTCCTCACAAAGACTTATACACACATGTTCATAGCAGCTTTTTAAAAAAGCCCAATACTGGAAATGACCCAAATGCCCCTAAACTGGTGAATAGATAAACAAATTGTGGTATATTCAAATATGGAATACTATACAGCAATAAAAAGTAATGAAGTAATTATACATATGACAACATAGATAAGTATTTTTTAAAAATTTTGTGGGTTTTTTTTTTCTAAAAAACGGATACATGTGCGAAACGTTCAGGTTTGTTACATAGGTGTGCATGTGCCATGGTGGTTTGCTGCACCTATTGACCTGTCCACTAAGTTCCCTCCACTCACCCTCCACCCCCCAATATGCCCTGGTGCATGTTGTTCCCCTCCCTGTGTCCATGTGTTCTCATTGTTCAACTCCCACTTAGGAGTGAGAACATGTGGTGTTTGTTTTTCTGTTCCTGTGTCAGTTTGCTGAGGATGATGGCTTCCAGGTTCATCCATGTCCCTGCAAAGGACATGATCTCATTCCTTTTTGTGGCTGCATAGTATTCCATGATGTATATGTACCACGTTTTATTTATCCTGTTTACCATTGATGGGCATTTGGGTTGGTCCCATGTCTTTGCTATTGTAAATAGTGCTGCGATAAACATACATGTGTATGTATATAGTAGAATGATTTCTGTTACTTTGGGTATATACCCAGTAATAGGATTTCTGGGTCAAATGGCATTTTTGGTTCTAGATCCTGGAGGAATCGCCATACTGTCTTCCACAATGGTTAAACTAATTTACATTCCCATCAACAGTGTAAAAGCGTTCCAATTACTCCACAGCCTCACCAGCATCTATTTTTTCCTGACTTTTTATAATTGCCATTCTGACTGGCATGAGATGGTATCACGTTGTGATTTTGATTTGCATTTCTCTGATGATCAGTGATGTTGAGCTTTTTTTCACATGTTTATTGGCCACGTAAATGTTTTCTTTTGGGAAATATCTGTTCATATTCTTTGCCCACTTTTTGATGGGGTTGACCTTTTCTTGCAAATATGTTTAAGTTTCTTGTAGATTCTGGATATTAGCCCTTTGTCAGATGGGTAAATTGCAAAAATTGTTTCCCATTATGTATGTTTCCTGTTCACTCTGATAGTTTCTTTTGCTGTGCCGAAGCTCTTTAGTTTAATTAGATCCCATTTGTCAGTTTTGTCTTTTGTTGCAATTGCTTTTGGCGTTTTTGTCATGAAGTGTTTGTCCATCCCTGTGTCCTGAATGATGTTGCCTAGGTTTTCTTCTAGGGGTTTTATGGTTTTGGGTTTTACATTAAAGCCTTTAATCCATCTTGAGTTAATTTTTATATAAGGTGCAAGGAAGAGGTCCAGTTTCAATTTCTTCATATGGCTAGCCAGTGTTTCCAGGACCATTTACTGAATAGGAGATCCTTCCCCCATTGCTTGTTTTTGTCAGGTTTGTCAAAGACCAGATGGTTGTAGATATGTAGTACTATTTCTGAGGTCTCTGTTCTGCTCCATTATTCCACATGTCTGTCTTGGTACCAGTACCATGCTGTTTTGGTTACTGTAGCCTTATAGTATAGTTTGAAGTCAGGTAGCATGATGCCTCCAGCTTTGTTCTTTTTGCTTAGGATTGTCTTGGCTATACAGGGTCTTCTTTGGTTCCATATGAAATTTAAGATAGATTTTTCTAATTCTGTGAGGAATGTCAGTGGTCATTTGATAAGAATAGCATTGAATCTATAAATTACTTTGGGCAGTATGGCCATTTTCATGATATTAGTTCTTCCTATCTGTGAGGATGGAATGTTTTTCCATTTATTTGTTTCCTCTCTTATTTCCCTGAGCCGTGGTTTTTAGCTCTCTTTGAAAAGGTCCCTCACATTCCTTGTTAGCTGTATTCCTAGGTATTTTATTCTCATTGTAGTGATCATGAATGGGAGTTTATTCATGATTTGGCTCTCTGCTTGTCTATTGTTGGTGTAAAGGAATGCTTGTGATTTTTGCACTGATTTTGTATCCTGAGACTTTGCTGAAGTTGATTATCAGTTCAAAAGTTTTGAGGCTGAGATGATGGGGTTTTCTAATATAAAATCATTTAGATTTTCTATTTGTCATCTGCAAACAGAGACAACTTGACTTCCTCTCTTCCTATTTGAATACCTTTTCTTTCTATTGCCTGATTGCCCAAGCCAGAACTTCCAGTACTATGTTGAATATGAGTTGTGAGAGAGGGCATCCTTGTTTTGTACCAGTTTTCAGAGGGAATGCTTCCAGCTTTGTCCATTCAATATGATATTGACTGTAGGTTTGTCATAAATAGTTCTTATTATTTTGAGACATGTTACATTAATACCTGGTTTATTGAGAGTTTTTAACATGAAGGGATGTTGAATTTTATCAGAGGCCTTTTCTGCATCTATTGAGATAATCATGAATCATGTGGTTTGTGTCATTGGTTCTGTTTATGTGATGAATTATGTTTATTGATTCACTTATGTTGAACCAACCTTACATCCCAGGGATGAAGCCGACTTGATTGTGGTGGATAAGATTTTTGATCTGCTGCTGGATTCTGTTTGCTAGTATTTTATTGTCTATTGATAAGTCTTAATTATGCTGAGTGAAGGAAGACAGATATAAAGAGTATATACCATATCTTTCCATTTATATAAAATTCTAGAAAATGGAAACTAATTTGTAGTGTCAGAAAGCAGATGAGTGTTTGCCTAAGGACAGATAGGGTTACAAGGAAAGTTTAAAAGGGGCTACAAGGAAATTTTTGGAGGTGATGGATATGTTCAATATCTTGATTGTAGTAATGATTTTATGTGTGTTTACATATGTTAAACTTTATCAAAGTACATTTTAAATATGTGCAGTTCTTTGTATGTCAACTATACCTCAATATAGCCATAGAAAAAGTAAGCAAGAGAAAGGAAGGCAGGAAGAGGAAAAAACCCCTACTGTTCACTGTATTTGAATACACCAATCATGTGAATTAATAGTCTTAGAGGAAGTCTTGTATGTTTTAAATTAAAAATCTGGTTAAGGGTTATTGCCACATATGTAAGATGGACTTAATTATTCATTAATTTATTTAACATATATTTATTTGGGACTTATCATCTAGGCACTATTACATGTCCTACGAATGTATCTGTGAACAATGCAGGTGAAGTTCTCATCCTTTACAGAGATGAGGAAGTCAACAACTGTCCGTAGATTACATTTTATGGAGAGAGGGGAAGACATGCTTACCACAGAGATAAATTGATTCTATGTGATTTTCAGGAAGAGTAAAGCAGAAAAATGAGATAGACAGGAATATTGGGGGAAGGGTTGCTATTTTAGATTGGATGGTCAGGGAAGACCTGGCAGGTGATATTTTAGCAGAAACACCTTTTTATAATGTTAATGCTTTTATTTCATATGTTTTAATAATTTTATCTTTTTAAGATTTTGGATAACAAGTAATGATCTGAATAGTAGCTGGTAATTCTTGGACCTTATGTGACTCACCTCCTCGATCTTAAGAAAGAATTTGAGGGGTTCGTTGGTGGTTGGGGTGAGCTATGAAGAGTTAAGCAAAATATATATAAATTAAAGGCCTGTGAGATTTTTAAAAGCCAAACACCCATTAGAAAACCAGTTTAAAATTAGAATCATCTCCCGTAATTACCACTTTGAAGGGAATTACCTTAACCCCTGTAATAGAACATGTAGCTCCCTTTCATTTTGCAGCTGAGCCCAAGTATTCTGTTTTTGATATACCTTTTCTTGTCTGTGCTGATTTTTACATGTTGAAATCAATACAGTCATAGCAATGAATGATGAGGTCATCTCTATATTATCATATTGCCCCATTTATGTTATTATCTGTTCATTCACTCACCCAGTGTGTATTAAGCACCCATTATGTGCTGAATACTGACCACAGCATGAGGCTAGGACAATGAATCATACATAGACTTTGAATACTTGAATAGCTTATTGTCCACTAGTCATAGACAACCACGAAAATGAATGAGAAAGGAAATTGCAAGAGGCAGTAACTTACGATGTAAAGCAGAAGAAGGAAAGCTTGTCAGGACCTCTATTATGGGGTGTCCTCCATAATTTTTTCTGGGAGCTGGAGCTTTTTCTCCTCTCTTTGGAATCCTGGGTCTAGTTCTTTGGAACCAATTAGACTTGGCCAAATCCCTCTTGTATCTTATACTTCAAAGTCTTAGAAAAAATTATGAAATATTTTAGATACAAAAAGTGTAAATAATAAAACAATAAACCCAGCTTCAGAAATGAAGCATTATCAACAACAGTTGACATATGCTGTGTATCTGATGCTTGCATCTCCCACCTAGCCATATCCGTTTCCCAAAGAAGTAAATTCCATCTTGATTTTGGCTTCTATCAATCCCATGCATTTCTTTCTAATTTATGTATATATATATGTTATATATACACACACACACACACACACACACAAATACATACTACATATGCATACAATGTTGCTTTTTGTTTTTAAACTTTACGTAAATGATGTCATACTTTAGGTTTCTGGAAACCAGATTTTCCTAC
This sequence comes from Homo sapiens, assembly GCF_000001405.40. Classification (NCBI taxonomy): domain Eukaryota; kingdom Metazoa; phylum Chordata; class Mammalia; order Primates; family Hominidae; genus Homo; species Homo sapiens. The sequence continues at coordinate 107,877,104 of NC_000008.11, forward strand.
AAGTATATAAGATTCTTCCTTGTTGATACGTATAAAGTAAGTTTGGTCACTTCTCTTTTCATGTTCTTCCATCATGTGAGCATTCCATGACTTATTTCTGCTGTGGTTGTTAGACTTTTAACAATGACGCTTCAACACCACCACTGTAAACATTCCTATACAGAGTGTCACATGTACATGTGTGAGGGGCTCTCAGGAGTATACTTGGAAATGGAATTATTGCATCATCAAATATGCAAAACTTCCATTTTATAGATGTCACCAAATAGTTCCCCAAAAACTTTATAGCAATGTAAATTTCCACCAGCAGCATATAAATTCCTATCTTCCACATTCTCACTAATTCCTGGCATAATCATATATAAAAGTGCTTTCACATGAAAGGGTGTGAAATGGTACTTCAATATCGTTTCAATTTATGTTTTCCTTATTACCAGTGGAGTTTAGCATCTTTTCACATGTTTAGTGGTCACTTGGGTTTCCTCTTGTATGAATAATTTTTGCTCATTTCCTCAAAGCATTTTCACATCAGAATAACTCGCTTTTTTATCTTCTCCAATTTCAAATGTATTAAAGTTTTGATAGGATATACTTGAGCTTTTTTGAAATCTTAAATAAAACTTTTCTTACTGCCCTTGTTCCCAAACACCTTGTTTTCCTCTTTGTCATTAATTTTTCTTCAAATTTGAAAACTGAGAGCAATTCATAGAGTAGTTTTTCTTTAATTATGGCTGTGCATTGAGGAAGAGTATATAATAGGAAGAGTAAAATTTAGGGTCTTGTGGAAGTTTTTGAAGAGAGAGATCAGAACCAATCGAGAGGCTTTTGTTTCCCTTGAGCAGAGAAAAAAATATAGTTGATGCTGGGAGGTTGCAGAGAAAATTGAGAATGGATGTTTTCAGTCATAGAATGTCTCAGGCTAGGGCTGTTCTTCCATACAGCTGTCTCAGGAGCCATGGTCTTATGAGGTGAACCTGTCTGTCATCATACGGGGTCCTGAACACAAGCTTTACAGAGATGAGGGAGTCAGGACCTTCCCACTAGAAATGTCTTACGAAGCCTGGTCAGTCATGTGTAATGCTGGACATTGCTTTAAGGTTCTCTGACATTATAATACACAATATACTGTATTGTAAAAGTATTTATTCCTTTATTTATATTTATTAAATGTTTGCTATGTAGAAATTACTTTATACTTTAACTCACTGCATTTCTCAACACTCCTGACAGGTTATTAAGCCAATTTCACAGATGAGAAACCTGAGGTTCATTGTGGGAATAACTTATAGCCGTAGTCCCCCATGCCATCATCCTCAGCCATTCTCCTGTGGATATTGGTAGGGAGAAAAAGTCACTTTTAAATAGCAACCCTCTGTGTTTATCACAGAAACAGTAAAGCTCAAGATTTAGGTAAATTGTGAGCTAGCACTTTTCATTTCCTCAAGAAACAAACAAAGAAAAAAAGCTAGGTCTGGAATCCTAGCTTTTCATGTGTTAGCCAAAGTAATTGTCTCTAGGATTTTCTTCCAGAGCTTCCTAAAATATTCTCAGCTCTTCCAAGGTCTCCACTCTCAGAGGCCATGAGTAGTCTCATGTAACCTCAAATGGCCTAACTCCCAGTGCTTGAAGGTAAATTGCCCCTGCCCCTTGAAGAAGTTTCTCACATGAAAAACTCAATGTCTTTTATAAAGAAATTAAGCATTTGTTTTAAAAGGTGATACGTTCCCCCTGAAACTCTTTGTGCTTTCAGCAAAATTAGTCCAAGCCAACTTTTTTTATTCCAGTCAAGGGTTTTACTCAACCTTAAAACTGCTATGGCCACTAATCCACAGAAGCTGTTTACTCCTTTGAAGTTTCCTTTTGCTCAGACTTGACACAATTTTCGCCAAGTTTGTCTTCAGGAGACCTTTGGAGATTGTTCTCTCACCAGGTTATGTCCTGTTTGTGTAGTGGTTGAGCCTGAGGCTTAAATTCCATGGGGAGGACTGAGTTGCTCAAGTCCAAGGAAGAGTGGATAAGTACTTCCAGCACAGGGAAAGGTTTGTGAGAGGGTTGTATATGTGTGCGTGCGGAAGTGCGTGTGTGTGCGCGCGTGTGTGTGTGTGTGTGTGTGTGTTTGATTTGGTTTGGTTTTGCTGAAATGAGCCCATGAGATGCATATTGAAAAAGTTAAATTGTATTTAGTGTGTTCTAAACATTTATATTTATCAGATCTAAAAACAACTTTGTTTCAAAATAGTCACAACTATACAATGGTTATTCTCTCTATATCATTATTTTCCAATGTAATTATTAGCTAACTTGAGATAATGATGAAATGATCTTAGTAAATGTTCTAATAAAAAAAAATCGTGTCTGCCAAATTGACTGTGAGCGGCAATGAAAAAGTAGCACATGAAAGTGGTTAAGTGTATTACCCAAAGTTCCCATTACTGTATTCAGCCATCTCGCCTTACGATGCACTAATATTTCTCTTAAATAGGGTCATGGACCATTAATTTCCTGGCCTTGAAATCTCTTATTATTAAAAGTGTTACTTAGCAACTTTTAGACATTGAAGTTAATCCAAATAAGAAAAGCCAAAAGGTCTGTTGGTCTGTTCACTCTTATTGTAAAAAACGATTGATGTCCTGTGCTGGAATATTTTTCATTTGCTTTCTTAGAATTATATTGTCTTGTGTGGGTTAGGGGAAAAAAAGTACAATGTGAATTTCCTTGGCTCCCATAGATCAGGGAACAAAATTACAAACATTTGGTGTTCATCCCCTATGTCCACTTCACTATTCTTCATATATGAAAATGACTCTCTTCTCTCCTCCAAATGTTGGATTCAGTCTCTGAAACAATACTTGCTACCTATTACCTGGCTAGAGGGTGCAGTAGGCCCAAATAACTCTATTTCATTTTTTTGCAATTAAGTTAATTTTTTAAATTCATTGTCTGCATTTTTTTGCTAAAAGAAGTCAGATTTATCTTGATCATGCAAATTGGCAGAGCTGCTAGAACTGTCAAGATGGAAGTACCACTTCCACTGTGTTCCTATTATAATTTAATACACATTTCTATTAAGGCATTTACCATCTTGTACTGACTTACATTAGGCTTACGTTCAGGACTGGCTTCCTGGGTTGGTGACTTTTGCATTTGCACAGAACCTATGCTTCACAGGGCTCCAGTCTTGGTTTTATTGCATGCTATGGCTGTCTTGAATTTCCTAATTTTTCAAGAAGGAGCTCGCTATGCATTTTTACTTTGTACTGAGCTCCACAAATCATATAGTTGGTCCTGTTTACATGTTTATCTTCTCTACTGGAGATGAGTTATTTGAGGGAAGGAATTCTATTCCAGGTCCAGTTTGGTGCATGGAGTGATTAAGCTACATGGCCATTTAACAGAAAAACATTGGAATCAGTTTAAGTATGTAAGAAATGAATGATTTATTTTAAAACAATATCTACATGTTAACATTGGTAAATGTCTGATACAATATGTTTTTAAAATAATTATAAATCGTATCTAAATCAGTATGAGCTCAATCTTATTTTTAATGCATGAAATGAATTAAAAAATAAACACATCAAAACATTAAAAGTAATGACCTTTTGGAAGAAGAGAGTATAGATACATTTTTTAGCATTTCTGTATTTTAAAATAATAAAGTGTCAAAATATTAGTTTTTGATAATTTTAAGAACACTTTCACCTTTAATAAATATATTAACCTCAGATTGCATGCATGTATATCAAAGATTGCATTTAATCTATAAAAACTCTTGAGTTGTATTTGAAATTTCCAAGAAGAGATGTAATGATACATGAATCTTCAAAAGCAATGATGTTGAACATGATATGTGCTTCCTATACTACAGCAGTCTTTCAAAAAATGTAGCTCAGGAATCCATATTGTGAGCAAACAATATTGATTCAGCTCTGCAAATCACATTGCACCACCTTGGGGTGCAGTAAAACAACAAATCTTCCCTAGAAGGAGGGCGTGAGAGTGGCAAATCCTGCAGAAGTACATTTGTAAGACTGTGACTACTGAATTGATAAAATACAATAGAAATGGTAGCAGAATGTTTTGTTCATAGCTCTATTTTAGCATTTTGTATTCCAAGTGCCCAAGTGTGCCTTTGCAGCTCTGTTTCAGTTGCTTTGATGCTGCTTGAGGGCATGGACTATGTATTTTTTTTGGAGTCTTTCCTCCCAATATATGGTAATACCTGGCATACAGTAAAACACCAAAAGTGTTTTGAAAATGAATAAGGAATGTACAAAGTCAAGTCTTATTTATCTTAATCAGGGTCATATTGCTTGACATTCAATGTAGAATATGTTTTATAAATGTTTTTGATGAAATTATTAAAATTAAGCAGAACCACATTTTGGTGTCAAAACGTTGAATGAGATGATAGAAACATGCCTTCCATTTAGTTATGATAGTAATTTAGTCCTGGAGGAAACACATTGTGAGACCTTTTCACAGACCATTTGGCCACACATTTCAGGTTCAGTTACTGTTGAGCAAACACTAATTGATATATAGCCTTGTATAAAGAAAACTGTAGAACTAGGATAAATTCACTCACTCAACCTCAATTGCCTGTTGTGTAAAATGTAATAGCACTGCTTGCTTGTTATACCTCACAATTTGTATAGAGGCCGAGTTACCAAAAAACATATATTAAACACTGTAAATCACTATAGAAATACTGCTTATTATATGCAAAATACTATATTAAGTGATCTGGGAAAACAGTGATTTAAACCAAAGAGCCTTGTCTTCAGAGAATTTATCATATAATCTATGTATGAATTCTTCAGTCTAGTAAAAGGAGCAACCAATGGTTTTTTGAACCACAGAGCAGAAGTACCACCATAATGAATTTACCAATGCTCCCATCCTGTTGTAGACTTTATGCACCTGCACCTTTAGCTGCTGGGACTTTCAAACACTTTAGAAATTTAATTTTGGTTATTTCACGCATTTACCACAGTGACAAGGGGCAAGGATTTTTATTGTTCTTTTTAGTTTCTTCTGCTGTGAATAACATCATTTCCAATGAAAATCATGGAGTCTTACTTTCCCTAAATTGTATTTCTCAAGTTGAAACAGCCACTGGGCAAGCAAAAAGAGAAAGAAAAGGAGAGAAGCAGGGAGTAGAGCATTTGGAGGGAAAGAGAATAGAGCCAGGACCCTATGAAAAGGCCCCTTTAGCAACTCACTTTCCCCTTTTTCCTTAGGCCGCAACAATATTCACCACTCAGTTTATTTCCTGGATGAGGACATTTGTTAAAGATTTCAGTATCCTTGTACAAAAGGGGAATAAAAGTTATAATAATAATCTCTCCCCAAATCATCATCATCAGCAGCAGCAGCATCAATACCAACCAAAAAGAAATGGTGAGATTATATTTAAAAGGTCCACACAGTAGCATAGAATGGACACAGCTAAGAAATCCTGCCACTCTGGGTAAACTCAAACATGCCCAAGATGTAAATTAAATCTGCCTTGAGCTTGGACAATTTGAGTTTTACCTGGAAGAACACAGAAGAAATTGCTCAGGTAATAACAGCCTGGGGATTTATGCAGGGTAGATGTGGGATGTGAGGTAGAGAGTGAATCACTCCTGCCCTTCTTTTTTCTGGGCCCCAGTTCCTGTAGCTCCATTGTCTGGGGAGTCCAGACCAAATTGTGGACTTGCTATAAACTTTACCCAATGTTCAGCTATACTCATTTTTATGTAGTTTCATATTAAATCATCTAAGGCCCTCACAGAATCATAGGGTGAGTTTGTGGTAGCTTTTCCCCCAAATTATTCTGGGATGTGTTTAGATTGGCATTTGAGTACCAGTTTTATTTGTTACTGAGTATAAATCAAAGAAATAATTTCTGGATAGATTCAGACCCAAATATCTCCAATACAGCACAAGTATATATATATAGCCAGTAGAATGTTATATATTTTAGTTCACTTTGATAAAATATTGTTTGTTCTAACATCAAGAACATGTTTTAAAACAAACCATTTCAGCACTAAACTCAATCAGTATTGTGGAGCAAAAAAAAATCATATAATCAGAGAAAATATATTTAATAATTGGTGCCAATATTTAGATGGTGGTCTTTTGAATTTTCTAAATTTCCTAATTAGGGTGTAGCAAATTTAATGACAAAGAACTACACACAAGCACCTAATTACAGTGGAACACCACTGATACTGAGGAGGTAAAGAAAGGGTAACTAACATACCATCCATTTTGTCTGTTGCTATCCCACAAAACACATCAGAGTTCAAAACTATAAGATGAAACACATTCAGCCAGCCTATTTTCAAAAGCTCAACTGTCTGTTTTTGAAATGCACTAATTTAAATTTAAAGACACATATTTAATGTTTTCCCTTTGTAGGTTTTCAGCAGCATACACACATGGAGTCACCATCTGTTTTCAGCCTGGTTCATTACCAATTCATCCTCCTGCTCTGTATTATCAGATCAAGAGGGTGGACATAAATTTGGCCACCTGGGCACTGGTGTCATTAACGTGCACCCCAGCCACACACTCATAAAGTGGTTTTGCTTGGAGCTGTAACTTGGTGGTGCTTCCTTTTTCCATTTGATCAATGTTGAGATTTGTTCAGTAAGCTCTTAATAATATAATTTCAGAACAAACTGGAGGACACTAAGAACTTTCAAGAGTATTTTGCCTAGAAATACAGGAGAAAACAGCTTCTGTTTTCAGGAACAGACACAGAATGGCAGGACCAAAGGGGCAGGGAAGGAATCAGAGAAGGGAGAAGAGAAAGGCAGAAGGAGATACATGAAGACACGAACACAGAGTTAAAGGAATACACATAGGATCATTTACTTATTTTAATGAATGCATGTATGAAAGAGGTCAGAGTGGCTCAGTATCATTCTGAGTACAGCTCATCATTAAATGTGGGTGAGCCCACTTTTTTTCCTTCTTGTGAAGGAAACCTATGTCGATTCATCCCAAGTCACTTAGTTCATCACAAAATTGAAGTGTTTTTAAAATTAAAACAGAAGTTCTACTTCCCTAATTAAAACGTTAACTGACCATGTGTCACCTTGCAAACTACACTGAATTGAGAACTCATCGATAAATATGAAGTAAATTTATACAGATAAATTGCCCTGGTTCCTCTTTACTATCCCTTTTAAACATTGAGCAAAATCAGATAAGTACATTTAGGTTATAAAAATAATGGGAAGCAATGCATTGTGTAGTAGTCACATCTTTTAGAAAAATGTAATATTATAACTGAAAAATCATATAAAAAAATTGTCTCTGCTGACTCTCAAAAAAACTTTCTTCTTGGGATTCTGGGCTTATTCAGATTTTAGAAATAATAAAAATAAGAAAGGTCTACAGCCACACCACCCCGAACGTGCCTGATCTCACCTGCTCTCAGAAGCTAGGCAGGGTTAGGCCTATTAGTACTTGCATGGTAGACTGCCTGGAAATAGCAGGTGCTATAGATTTAAGAAAAGAAATCAGGCCAGGCACAGTAGCTCATGCCTGTAATTCCAGCACTTTGGGAGGCCAAGGCAGCTGGATTACCTGAGGTCAGGAGTTCGAGAACAGCCTGGCCAACATGGTGAAACCCCGTCTCTACTAATAATACAAAAATTAGCTGAGTGCAGTGGAGCACGCCTGTAATCCCAGCTATTCTGGAAGCTGAGGCAGGAGAATCACTTGAACACAGGAGGCAGAGGTTGCAGTGAGCTGAGACCATGCCACTACACTCTAGCCTGGGCGAAAAGAGCAAAACTCAGTCTCCAAAAAATAAATTAATTGTTTAAAAATCTGGAAGAAAATATTGAACCATTAATATCCTTTCAATTAACCAATAACCAAACCTTTACTGAATTGCTACAATATTTGCGATTTTGAAGAACAAAAAGATGGAACACAAAGCATACAGCTCTCACTTTAAGGGGTTTACAGCTCAGGATGGTGAGATAAGATTATTGAATATAAAAGTTGAAGCATGTTAGTTTTACTAGGTATCAAATTATATTCACTGCAGAAATTCAGAGGAAGATATCGATGATGATAAGTGAGGGCAGTAAGGCCACATGAAGGAGGTGATGGTTCTGGGGAACCTTGTGAAGGATGGTGCATTAGTTTGCTAAGGTTTCCATAACAGAAGACCACAGACTGGGTGGTGCAAACAACAGAAATTTATTTCTCATAATTCCGAATGCTGTAAGATCAAGTTGTCAGCAGGTTTAGTTTCTCCTGAGACATCTCTCCCTGATTGTGGATGACCATCTACTCACTGTGTCCTCACAAGGCCTTTTCTCCATGCACCCATGCTCATGGTGTCTCTTCCTGTTCTCATAAGAACAACAGTCTTATTGGAAAAGGACCCCATCCTTACATCCTACTTTAGCCTTAATCATTTCCTTAAAGGTCCTATCTCCAAATACAATTGCACTGGGAGTTAGGGCTTCAACAATGGGTTTTGGAGGGTGAAGAAGACAAATCGGTCCATGACAGATGGAATTTGGATGAGGCTATGTTTTGTAGGGAGGGCAGGCAGTGATATGATATGAGAGAATACAAAGATAAGCCTCATTAACAGAATAATTATCAGCCATCACTAATACAATTTTGTAGGTTGCCTACACCTGTTGCATAGAATAGGCACATGGAAAAAACAGAAATCATGTGTTCCCTTGGTCATCTAATGATATATGAATCTTTAAAGAAGTTTGACAACAGATTATTATATCACCGTTATCAGAATATTTGTGTCTTTCATCAAAATTAGATACTTCATTAAAAATAAACGTCCTTGTTCAAATTCTTTTATGCACATTGACTATCTGGTGAAATATCCTTTGATTCTTCTGCTTTTCTATATCTACTGATAAGATTTCAACTAATAGGTCATATAGTTTCTTGATCCCAAGAAAAAGCAAATGGAAAAACTGTAATACAGAGAATGCAAAGCCCTGTATTGGGTTATTAATTACAAAGGTAACTAATTACTCCAGAATTTCAGTGGCTTAAAATGATAAGCATTTATTTTTTTGCTCAGAGGTCTATTTGGCTTGGGCAGCCATTCAAGACAACATTTTTCCCTGCAGTAACTTAGAGATCCAAGCTGCTTTCACCCTGTGGTTCTGTCTTTGTGGTCACAGCCAAAGAAGAAAAGAAATCATGTAGATCACGTCCCTGCTCTTAAGTGTCCCAGCCCTGAAGTGACACACATGGTTTCCCATCAAATCCCATTGGTTAAAATCGGTCACAAAGACCCATCTAGTTGCAAAGGGATTGAGAAATGAGATGTTGCTCCGTGGTCAGAGAGGAGAGAAGTGAATGTAAACAAGTACAAGAAGTCTCTGCCATATTTAGTTTTCCCAGACAGTATACATAGGAGAGAGGGAACTCAGGTGAAGCATGTGTGATGGGGAAAAAGATTAGGAACATGTTTATTTAATTTAAAAATGAAATGGAAGTACTTAAAGCTTTAGTTTTCCTATTTTAAACAGCTAACAGTGAGAAAGATACTTTACCACGATCTTGCTTTCCAGTTAAATACCATGATTGCATGTGTGTACAATACCTAACTGTTCAAACATGTATGCCCTCACATCAGAGAGCTGCTACCAAAGTACCTCAGTAATTACAAGTTTAAAAAAGTCCTTGTGTTGAAAATTACAAACCCAAGGACCTATAATTCTCAGAATGCTTGTTTTGTTGTTCACTTGATATATTTTATTAAATTTGAAAGAAAAAAATTTGTAGGGTCATTAGATAATTATTTCATCATAAATGTAGATGACATTGGTAGGTGATATGGTAACCTTAAATTAAGTATCATTAACACATTTATACAAAAAGCCATTTCTAAAGTTTTTGAACATTGAATTATTTTATGTTCTTTCTACCTCAAAACCGTTTTCGTGGAGATTATAAACTATTGTTAAGTTTCACTCCTGCAGTGTACAATGAGGAAATGAATTTGAGAAGACCAAAACCTGAAGTCATTATAATTTTTTTCTAATTGTCTTTCACATCTTCTGATATTTTCATTGTAAAATAAAGGGGAAGGCAACTATGTAAGCCTTGAGTCCCAGCTCTTAGTCACTCTTATTGACTCCTGGCTCCTGGTTTTCCTCTCTAGACACTTTTTCAATTTCTTTACTAGTGCCTCATTTGCTGGCTGATGTCTAAGCTTTGACTGTCCCTAAGTATCTCCTTCGAATATTCTCTCTCTGGGTTATTCCATAAACTTCCATGGTTCTAAGTGCTATCTACACACTGCTATATCCCAAAGTTGTATCTGTAGCCCTGATCTTTTCCCTAAACTCCAGATTTATATCCAGCTGCCTTCTTGATATCTCCACATAGATATCCAATAGGCACCTCAAACTTAGCATGTGAAAAATGGATTTATTTATTATCCTGTCTTCCCTGTGTCCCCTGTATACCCTGTTGCTCAGGACAAGAAGCCTAGGAAACTTCTTTGGTCCCTTGTCTTTCTTTACCCCACATCTAGCTCATCAGCAAGTCTCATGGGCTCTTCTGCCAAACTATATCCTGAATCCAACCACTTCTTTCCTTCTTTACCACCATCTACCAGCTCATGTCACACTAATTCTCATCTGATTATTGCAATAAACTGCCAACTTGTCTTTCTGCCTTCACTCTGAAAATCCACTTTCCACACAGCAGCCAAAGTAAACACAGCACGGGAATCAGCACATTGCTCCCCTCCTTAAAATCCTCCCATACTTCTCCAAGCCTGTAGATCAAATCCAAGTTTTCACTACAGCTTTCATGGCCCTTCATGACCTTGGTTTTGATTACTTCTGACCTCATGTTGGTTCCATTCTCCTCCTAACTATACTCTAGCAACTCTTCCTTTTTGACTGTACTTTGATCTTGCTGACCCTGTTTGCACTTCGGGACCTTCACACAGGTTGTTTCCAGTGTCTGGACTGTTCTTAGACTTCTATACATTCATTATTCAGATTTCATGCAAAATCACACTTCCCCAGAGATGCCTTCCTTGATGCCTCCTCCATTATCACATCACTTATTCTACTGTCTCTGTAGTAGAAGGGCTCAAGATGACACAAAACATTGGCCTAAAAATTACTTAGCAGATGAAATGAACAAGCTAGAGAATGGGGGTACTGCTACCATTGTCTACAAGGTTTTACTCTTAAAAGGCATTCAGTGCGTACTCAATTTTCATAGGATAGGCATAAAATGGGGGCCAGACTCTCATAAGGAAAAGATAAGATAATGGGAAAAACAGGTAAGGAATTATGGATTCCAGAGCAAGTAAGGAAGCCAGAAAGGGCATTCAAATACTTATTTTTTGAAAGAGTTTTCTTGGCTGTGTGTGCGTCCATAACCTTAATTCATGTAAATTGGGCTACGAGAGCAAGGGAAGACTGCACCACTGACACATATTACAGAAAGGATGGAGTGGTCTTGATGAAAAAGAGATAGAAGCTATTCTCTTATTAGAACGCAGGGGTGTAGAGTACACTAAAAGGCAGTGGTACTACTTATATCAATGAAGAAGTTAGGAGAGAACTTATGCAGAAAAAAAAATTCACTTTTTACATTTTTAACATTTCACTTAAGGTTTGGGCTCAAAACAAATATAATATCCTATGGCCAGGAAAAATCAAAATAAGAACTAGAGACTTCAAGAGTGGCATTATAAAGTTGGAATTTATTTCCATACACAGGGTAGTTAAAATGCCATCTGCATTCAACACAGTTATTGGGCTTCTACCAGAAGCAGAGTGTATGTAGCTGAGACAGAGTTAGAGATAGGCTTTCACAGTTTTCAAAGACACTTCATGAGCCATCGAGTTATCTTGTATACCAGGGGTCAACAAATCCAGTCTGTGGACCAAATCCAGGCTGGCCACCTATTTTTGCATGGCTGATGAGCTAACAATTTTACACTTTTTAAGTGGTTGCCAAGAGTCAAAAGTATCAGAGGAAACCACCCCCAATAATTCAATGTTATTTCACAAAGTTTCTTTTCTATTTCCCTAAGTGTCGGCCGCTCTGAGAAATAAAGGGAAAGAGTACAAAAGAGAGAAATTTTAAAGCTGGGTATCTGGGGGAGACATCACATGTTGGCAGGTTCCGTGATGCCCCCTGAGACGTAAAACCAGCAAGTTTTTATTAACAACTTTCAAACGAGAGGGAGTGTACAAATAGTGGGTCACAGAGATCACATGCTTCACAAGGTAATAAAATATTACAAGGCAAATGGAGGCAGGGCAAGATCACAAGTTCAGGGTAAAACTAGTATCACTAATGAACTTCCATGTCCCTCTGTGCACGCATTGTCATTGATAAATATCTTAACAGGGTTCAAGAGCAGAGAACCGGTCTGACTAGAATTCGCCGGGCTGGAATTTCCTAATCCTAGCAAGCCTGGGGGTGATGCAGGAGACTAGGGTGTGTTTCATCCCTATCTACATCTGCATAAGGCAGACACTTCCAGGGCAGCCATTTTAGAGGCCCCGCCCTGGGAATGCATTCTTTTCCCAGGGCTATTAATTATTAATATTCCTTACTGCGGAAAGAATTCAGTGATATTTCTCTTACCCATTTTCGGTAATAAGAATATGGCTCTGTCCTGCCCGGCCTACAGGCAGCCAGACTTCAAGCTTATCTCCCTTGTTCCCTGAAAATCACTGTTATCCTGTTCTTTTTTGTTTTTTTTTTTTTTTTGACTTGGAGTTCATTTGTATATTTTTTATTTTTATTTTTTATTATTATACTTTAAGTTTTAGGGTACATGTGCACAATGTGCAGGTTAGTTACATATGTATACATGTGCCATGCTGGTGCGCTGCACCCACTAACTCGTCATCTAGCATTAGGTATATCTCCCAATGCTATCCCTCCCCCCTCGCCCCAACCCACAACAGGCCCCAGAGTGTGATGTTCCCCTTCCTGTGTCCATGTGTTCTCATTGTTCAATTCCCACCTATGAGTGAGAATATGCGGTGTTTGGTTTTTTGTTCTTGCGATAGTTTACTGAGAATGATGATTTCCAATTTCATCCATGTCCCTACAAAGGACATGAACTCATCATTTTTTATGGCTGCATATTATTCCATGGTGTATATGTGCCACATTTTCTTAATCCAGTCTATCATTGTTGGACATTTGGGTTGGTTCCAAGTCTTTGCTATTGTGAATAATGCCGCAATAAACATACGTGTGCATGTGTCTTTATAGCAGCATGATTTATATTCCTTTGGGTATATACCCCGTAATGGGATGGCTGGGTCAAATGGTATTTCTAGTTCTAGATCCCTGAGGAATCGCCACACTGACTTCCACAATGGTTGAACTAGTTTACAGTCCCACCAACAGTGTAAAACTGTTCCTATTTCTCCACATCCTCTCCAGCACCTGTTGTTTCCTGACTTTTTAATGATTGCCATTCTAAATGGTGTGAGATGGTATCTCATTGTGGTTTTGATTTGCATTTCTCTGATGGCCAGTGATGGTGAGCATTTTTTCATGTGTTTTTTGGCTGCATAAATATCTTCTCTTGAGAAGTGTCTGTTCATGTCCTTTGCCCACTTTTTGATGGGGTTGTTTATTTTTTTCTTGTAAATTTGTTTGAGTTCATTGTAGATTCTGGATATTAGCCCTTTGTCGGATGAGTAGGTTGCAAAAATTTTCTCCCATTTTGTAGGTTACCTGTTCACTCTGATGGTAGTTTCTTTTGCTGTGCAGAAGCTCTTTCGTATAATTAGATCCCATTTGTCAATTTTGGCTTTTGTTGCCATTGCTTTTGGTGTTTTAGACATGAAGTCCTTGCCCATGCCTATGTCCTGAATGGTAATGCCTAGGTTTTCTTCTAGGGTTTTTATGGTTTTAGGTCTAACGTTTAAGTCTTTAATCCATCTTGAATTGATTTTTGTATAAGGTGTAAGTAAGGGATCCAGTTTCAGCTTTCTACATATGGCTAGCCAGTTTTCCCAGCACCATTTATTAAATAGGGAATCCTTTCCCCATTGCTTGTTTTTCTCAGGTATGTCAAAGATCAGATAGTTGTAGATATGTGGCATTATTTCTGAGGGCTCTGTTCTGTTCCATTGATCTATATCTCTGTTTTGGTACCAGTACCATGCTGTTTTGGTTACTGTAGCCTTGTAGTATAGTTTGAAGTCAGGTAGTGTGATGTCTCCAGCTTTGTTCTTTTGGCTTAGGATTGACTTGGCAATGCGGGCTCTTTTTTGGTTCCATATGAACTTTAAAGTAGTTTTTTCCAATTCTGTGAAGAAAGTCATTGGTAGCTTGATGGGGATGGCATTGAATCTGTAAATTACCTTGGGCAGTATGGCCATTTTCACTATATTGATTCTTCCTACCCATGAGCATGGAATGTTCTTCCATTTGTTTGTATCCTCTTTTATTTCCTTGAGCAGTGGTTTGTAGTTCTCCTTGAAGAGGTCCTTCACATCACTTGTAAGTTGGATTCCTAGGTATTTTATTCTCTTTGAAGCAATTGTGAATGGGAGTTCACTCATGATTTGGCTCTCTGTTTGTCTGTTGTTGGTGTATAATGCTTGTGATTTTTGTACATTGATTTTGTATCCTGAGACTTTGCTGAAGTTGCTTATCAGCTTAAGGAGATTTTTGGGCTGAGACAATAGGGTTTTCTAGATATAAAATCATGTCGTCTGCAAACAGGGACAATTTGACTTCCTCTTTTCCTAATTGAATACCCTCTATTTCCTTCTCCTGCCTAATTGCCCTGGCCAGAACTTCCAACACTATGTTGAATAGGAGTGGTGAGAGAGGGCATCCCTGTCTTGTGCCAGTTTTCAAAGGGAATGCTTCCAGTTTTTGCCCATTCAGTATGATATTGGCTGTGGGTTTGTCATAGATAGCTCTCATTATTTTGAAATATGTCCCATCAATACCTAATTTATTGAGAATTTTTAGCATGAAGAGTTGTTGAATTTTGTCAAAGGCCTTTTCTCCATCTATTGAGAAAATCATGTGATTTTTGTCTTTGGTTCTGTTTATATGCTGGATTACATTTATTGATTTGCGTATATTGAACCAGCCTTGCATCCCAGGGATGAAGCCCACTTGATCATGGTGGATAAGCTTTTTGATGTGCTGCTGGATTCTGTTTGCCAGTATTTTATTGAGGATTTTTGCATCAATGTTCATCAAGGATATTGGTCTAAAATTCTCTTTTTTGGTGTGTCTCTGCCCGGCTTTGGTATCAGGATGATGCTGGCCTCATAAAATGAGTTAGGGAGGATTCCCTCTTTTTCTATTGATTGGAATAGTTTCAGAAGGAATAGTACCAGTTCCTCCTGGTACCTCTGGTAGAATTCGGCTGTGAATCCATCTGGTCCTGGACTCTTTTTGGTTGGTAAGCTATTGATTCTTGCCACAATTTCAGAGCCTGTTATTGGTCTATTCAGAGATTCAACTTCTTCCTGGTTTAGTCTTGGGAGAGTGTATGTGTCGAGAAATTTATTCCTTTCTTCTAGATTTTCTAGTTTATTTACGTAGAGGTGTTTGTAGTATTCTCTGATGGTAGTTTGTATTTCTGTGGGATTGGTGGTGATATCCCCTTTATCATTTTTTATTGCATCTATTTGATTCTTCTCTCTTTTTTTCTTTATTAGTCTTGCTAGCGGTTTATCAATTTTGTTGATCCTTTCAAAAAAGCAGCTCCTGGATTCATTAATTTTTTGAAGGGTTTTTTGTGTCTCTATTTCCTTCAGTTCTGCTCTGATTTTAGTTATTTGTTGCCTTCTGCTAGCTTTTGAATGTGTTTGCTCTTGCTTTTCTAGTTCTTTTAATTGTGATGTTAGGGTGTCAATTTTAGATATTTCCTGCTTTCTCTTGTGGGCATTTAATGCTATAAATTTCCCTCTACACACTGTTTTGAATGTGTCCCAGAGATTCTGGTATGTTGTGTCTTTGTTCTCGTTGGTTTCAAAGAACATCTTTATTTCTGCCTTCATTTTGTTATGTACCCAGTAGTCATTCAGGAGCAGGTTGTTCAGTTTCCATGTAGTTGAGCAGTTTTGAGTGAGATTCTTAATCCTGAGTTCTAGTTTGATTGCACTGTGGTCTGAGAGATAGTTTGTTATAATTTCTGTTCTTTTACATTTGCTGAGGAGAGCTTTACTTCCAAGTATGTGGTCAATTTTGGAATAGGTGTGGTGTGGTGCTGAAAAAATGTATATTCTGTTGATTTGGGGTGGAGAGTTCTGTAGATGTCTATTAGGTCCGCTTGGTGCAGAGCTGAGTTCAATTCCTGGATATCCTTGTTGACTTTCTGTCTCATTGATCTGTCTAATGTTGACAGTGGGGTGTTAAAGTCTCCCATTATTAATGTGTGGGAGTCTAAGTCTCTTTGTAAGTCACTCAGGACTTGCTTTATGTATCTGGGTGCTCCTGTATTGGGTGCATATATATTTAGGATAGTTAGCTCTTGTTGAATTGATCCCTTTACCATTATGTAATGGCCTTCTTTGTCTCTTTTGATCTTTGTTGGTTTAAAGTCTGTTTTATCAG
The DNA here is from genome assembly GCF_000001405.40 of Homo sapiens. Lineage (NCBI taxonomy): Eukaryota > Metazoa > Chordata > Mammalia > Primates > Hominidae > Homo > Homo sapiens. The sequence goes on from NC_000008.11 coordinate 107,893,685, forward strand.
AGACTAGGATTGCAACCCCTGCCTTTTTTTGTTTTCCATTTGCTTGGTAGATCTTCCTCCATCCTTTTATTTTGAGCCTATGTGTGTCTCTGCACGTGAGATGGGTTTCCTGAATACAGCACACTGATGGGTTTTGACTCTTTATCCAATTTGCCAGTCTGTGTCTTTTAATTGGAGCATTTAGTCCATTTACATTTAAAGTTAATATTGTTATGTGTGAATTTGATCCTGTCATTATGATGTTAGCTGGTTATTTTGCTCATTAGTTCATGTAGTTTCTTCCTAGTCTCGATGGTCTTTACATTTTGGCATGATTTTGCAGCAGCTGGTACCGGTTGTTCCTTTCCATGTTTAGAGCTTCCTTCAGGAGCTCTTTTAGGGCAGGCCTGGTGGTGACAGAATCTCTCAGCATTTGCTTGTCTGTAAAGTATTTTATTCCTCCTTCACTTATGAAGCTTAGTTTGGCTGGATATGAAATTCTGGGTTGAAAATTCTTTTCTTTAAGAATGTTGAATATTGGCCCCCACTGTCTTCTGGCTTGTAGGGTTTCTGCCGAGACATCTGCTGTTAGTCTGATGGGCTTCCCTTTGAGGGTAACCCGACCTTTCTCTCTGGCTGCCCTTAACATTTTTTCCTTCATTTCAACTTTGGTGAATCTGACAATTATGTGTTTTGGAGTTGCTCTTCTTGAGGAGTATCTTTGTGGCATTCTCTGTATTTCCTGAATTTGAATGTTGGCCTGCCTTGCTAGATTGGGGAAGTTCTCCTGGATAATATCCTGCAGAGTGTTTTCCAACTTGGTTCCATTCTCCCTGTCATTTTCAGGTACACCAATCCGACGTAGATTTGGTCTTTTCACATAATCCCATATTTCTTGGAGGCTTTGCTCGTTTCTTTTTATTCTTTTTTCTCTAAACTTCCCTTCTCGCTTCATTTCATTCATTTCATCTTCCATAGCTGATACCCTTTCTTCCAGTTGATCGCATCGGCTCCTGAGGCTTCTGCATTCTTCACGTAGTTCTGGAGCCTTGGTTTTCAGCTCCATCAGCTCCTTTAAGCACTTCTCTGTATTGGTTATTCTAGTTATACATTCTTCTAAATTTTTTTCAAAGTTTTCAACTTCTTTGCCTTTGGTTTGAATGTCCTCCCGTAGCTCGGAGTAATTTGATCGTCTGAAGCCTTCTTCTCTCAGCTCGTCAAAGTCATTCTCCGTCCAGATTTGTTCCGTTGCTGGTGAGGAACTGCATTCCTTTGGAGGAGAGGCGCTCTGCTTTTTAGAGATTCCAGTTTTTCTGCTCTGTTTTTTCCCCATCTTTGTGGTTTTATCTACTTTTGGTCTTTGATCATGGTGATGTACAGATGGGTTTTTGGTGTGGATGTCCTTTCTGTTTGTTAGTTTTCCTTCTAACAGACAGGACCCTCAGCTGCAGGTCTGTTGGAGTACCCGGCAGTGTGAGGTGTCAGTCTGCCCCTGCTGGGGAGTGCCTCCCAGTTAGGCTGCTCGGGGGTCAGGGGTCAGGGACCGACTTGAGGAGGCAGTCTGCCCGTTCATTCTCAGATCTCCAGCTGTGTGCTGGGAGAACCACTGCTCTCTTCAAAGCTGTCAGACAGGGACATTTAAGTCTGCAGAGGTTACTGCTGTCTTTTTGTTTGTCTGTGCCCTGCCCCCAGAGGTGGAGCCTACAGAGGCAGGCAGGCCTCCTTGAGCTGTGGTGGGCTCCACCCAGTTCGAGCTTCCCGGCTGTTTTGTTTACCTAAGCAAGCCTGGGCAATGGCAGGCGCCCCTCCCCCAGCCTCGCTGCCGCCTTGCAGTTTGATCTCAGACTGCTGTGCTAGCAATCAGCGAGACTCCGTGGGCGTAGGACCCTCTGAGCCAGGTGCGGGATATAATCTCCAGGTGCGCCGTTTTTTAAGCCCGTTGGAAAAGCGCAGTATTAGGGTGGGAGTGACCCAATTTTCCAGGTGCCGTCTGTCTCCCCTTTCTTTGACTGGGAGAGGGAACTCCCTGACCCCTTGTGCTTCCCGAGTGAGGCAATGCCTCACCCTGCTTCAGCTCGTGCCCAGTGCGCACACCCACTGACCTGCGCCCACTGTCTGGCACTCCCTAGTGAGATGAACCTGGTACCTCAGATGGAAATGCAGAAATCACCTGTCTTCTGCATTGCTCACGCTGGGAGCTGTAGACCGGAGCTGTTCCTATTCGGCCATCTTGGCTCCTCCCTCCTATCCTGTTCTTAAGGTGCCCATATTTCATATTGTTCAAACACACATGCTCTATAAACAATTTGTGCAGTTAATGCAATCATCACAGGGTTCTGAGATGACATACATCCTCATCTTACAAAGATGATGGGATTAAGAGATTAAAGTAAAGACAGGCATAGGAAATCACAAGAGTATTGATTGGGGAAGTGATAAATGTCCATGAAATCTTCACAATTTGTGTTCAGAGATTGCAGTAAAGACAGGCATAAGAAATTATAAATGTATTAATTTGGGGAACTAATAAATGTCCATGAAATCTTCACAATTTATGTTCTTCAGCCATGGCTTCAGCCAGTCCCTCTGTTCAGAGTCCCTGACTTCCTGCAACACAAAAGAATATATTATGACATGTGAGAACTATGAAATTCACATTTAAGTTTAGATAAAGTTGTATTGCAACATAGTCATCCCCATTCATTTACATACTGAATATGGCTGCTTTTCTGCTATAACAGCTGAGTAGCTGCCACTGAGATAGTGTGGTCCACAAAGCCTAAAATATTTACTCTCTGGCCCTTTACAGAAAAAGATTGCTACCTCTTTTCTCAAAAACAGAGGGAAGGCAGCTTGTGGCTGAATCATAACTAAAGTAGAAAAGAGGAGAAAGGAAGCCAGTAGAAAAAGAATCAAATTAAAGTTGAATGTGCACCTGGGGAGCCTGAGGTCATAAAACCCAAGGAGGAGTTAGTTGGTAAAGCCATTTGTGAACACTACCAAAGAACTACTCTTCAGATTCTTAAATGAAGATATGTATTTTTCCAGGGACAAGGAACTACTTGCCAAGGAGTATGTAAAACCTAGGACTGAATAAACATAGAACATCTTCCTGAAATGTGATTTTGCTCCAAGGTTTTCGGAGGGAATGTCAAAGGATAGGGGAATAATTTTGCATTTAAAAATAGGCATTTTATTGAGTAGAATGCAATATTCACGTGAATTATTTTAAAATCAGGATTAAAATGAGGCTGCTTCAGGTTATAATTCCAGAGTTATGAATTTGTTCTTCTCTGCCTGTAAGGGTATTAGCGGAAATGTTTGAAAAATAAGTCATGGAGTGCTCCAAAGAGGGTGTCTGGGTGAAGTCACTCTCTAGGGCATTAAGTTGAACCCGGAAAGCAAAAAGTTGTAACTCCCCTGTCAATTCCAATATATTGGTAATGTTTTCTTGGAACACTTTTGTTGGGAAGGATTCTGAATCTACATGTCTTGCTCAGAGGTAGAGAGACAGTGAGTAACAATGTCTGCTAGAGCAGGAGAAAATGGCACATGGCAGTTTGCTGTAATGATTCATCAGAGATGAATATGGAAATCCATCAAAATCTTTATTCATCACACATTTTTCAGCTTCTTCAACCTCTCAGTCAAGGGAATGCTAGAAGGTAGTGGTGCTACCCATGTAAATGAACCTAGAAAGAGAAACTGTATGTAGAAAAAACATTTGCTTTTTGAATGTTCAATATTTCACTTTAGGTTTGGGCCTAAAATAAAGATCCATTTTGTTTTAATAAGAAGTAAAACAAGAATTGGAGATTTCAAGATTTAATGTTTATCACCTACATTTTTATCAGAAACCAACACATGCTAATATCATCTACTTTTAAAGCCATGTCTGCCCTTGCATTTCTGTCTTTGTGATTCAAGGGGTATCAACTAATACAGTGAGCATGTCCAAGTTTACCATCAAGGAACCCTTGAAGATTTTACCACAGTCTTCCACCCCATTCAGTCTTTTGTTGATCTCTGTAAGATACATGGGTGAAGATGACATTAAAAGGGCACTGAAGAATTGCAAAATTTTATTCTATAGGGAATGGGAAAGTATTTTTTTAAAAAGCAGTAAAAAATTGTTAATAGAAAAATAAGTGATAGAAATACAAAGGAATAATTGGAGTGAGTGAAGGTGGGGGCAAGAATGATGTCTAGGAAGAGTGGAACAGTCCAGAAAAAGAGACAAAGAGGACCAGCCTTGGGCAAAGAAAGTAAAGGGGTACGGAGAAAATCAAGAGATATTTCCAAGGTAAACTCATTAGTAACTGACTAGATGTAGGGAACAAAGGAAGTAAATGACGAATACAAGAGCCTTTAATCAACTAGGTAAATAATTAACTGTCCAATAGGAAAAGCAGGAAGGGGAACAGTTGAAGGCAGTTATCAGTGATTATGCCGATCATTTGGTTGCTCTTAGATCTACCCGCTGCCCTTCCCTCAGGCTCTTCTGAACCACAGAAAACTGTGTTACCCAGACTCCCTTGCCTACTGGCTTCTGGGCAGCTTTGGGCAATAGCGGGCACTGGTGGAAGACTGGAGGTTGGGAGATAGGGAGAAGCCAGGCTATTTCCTCCTCTATGAATTTGCCTCAAGCAGCATTTCTCACAGCAACAAGATCATCTACAATATTTCAGCTCCTACCAAACAAGCTTTCTGTCCTCAGTTCCAGCTCCTTCTGTGGTTATAGCTCTAGCCTCAGCTATGGTTCTAAGTCTAGCTGGGCACCTGTGGCTTCTAGATTTTGGAAACTCCACCTCTTCTTGTAATTCCTCTTGCATTAGGGGTAAAATAGTGCCTCCTGCTGTTGCTAATCTCTGGGTCATCTTGGCAACATATTTTGGCTTCGTGTCTCCTTTATCACCTGTATAACCAATTTCTGGTGTTAAATTCCCCATTTGAAACACCCCGACTAGTTTATTTCCTTGATTGCACCCGTACTGATTGATAGAGGAAAGAATTCAGTTTTGTGTGTATCTGTGTGTGTATGCTGCTTATATCAGGGAGAGTCAGAAATCAAGCAGATGTAAATGTTTTAGCAAATAATGCCCAGGCACCAAGCAATAGATTAGATTGATACTTTTCATAAATGTTCTATTTTGTTAATAAGGAGAAATCAATATTTTTTAAAAGAATCTAAATAGCCATTGAAAGATGTAATAGGTGACCAACTTGTATAGTACTTAGTATATAGAATGCCGTGGTGACCATACTTTACACATTTTACCTAATTATATCCTTAAAGTACAACCCTGTATATATTTCCCTGTATATATTTTCATTTGGTCCTTAAAACACAGCCCCTAGAGGCAGATGATAATGTGATCCCCATTTCACAGATAAGGAAACTGAGAGTGGAGGGATTAAGTAATTTTCACAGGCCACTCTCAGTCTGGATTAGAACTCGGGCACTTGGACTCTAGTTTACAGTTATCTAGTTTATCTATAAACTAGTTAGTTAGTGTTCTAGATGTAGTTACCAATATAGGTTTTTAAAGATTTGCCTGTCTTTTTTAAAGGGCTGTTATTTTGGGGGTAGAACAAAGTACTGAGTTATTTCTAAATGTATCTCTAAAGTAAAAAAGAAATCTCCACAAAAAATAATTTTGAAGTTTTTAATGCACAAAAAAGAACATCCCAGGAACAACAGGTATTGACTTATTAACGATGAAGCACTATATAAGGAGACCCCCTCCCCACTTAGTAAATGGGAAAATAGTGTAAATAGACATGAAAGGAGGTAACACTTCAGGATTAAATGTAAACCCTAAAGTTGTATACAACATTCATATGTGGCTTATTATCTCATAGCAATATTTTCATAACGATGTATATGATATTTATCCTTATTGGTAAGATGCTTTTGAATCAAAAGTTAAAAACACTGAAGAGGTAGTTTTGCCAATGCAAGGTGAAAAAAAAAAGGCTTTACCTTGCTTTGTTTCAAAATCCACAACCATTATTTTTCTGTTCTAATTTTCTCCTGGATCAGCCAGGAAGATAATCATGCTTTGTGAAAAAGCCAATTCACAACCTTCTAAAAACTGGTTCCCCTAAAAGGACAATGATGTGTTTGAAACAACTGCTCTGAAAGTCACCTGGGAAGTTTCCATAGTGTTCCTCTCCATCTTGGATCTGAAACAGATTCTGGCTCAACAGAAACCTGTTAAGATCTGACTGGCAGTCACAGAAATTCATCCTTTTATCTCCTAAAATTCTATGCCCAGGCTCATGGTAGTAGCTTCTTCAGTGACCCAAGAACATTGGTAGGTGCCTTGTCATTTAAAGCCAGGGATTGCTTTAAATTTGGGGGAAAAAAATTGCAGTCAGAAATAATGTTTGTTTGGACAATTCTGTAGCTGGCCTGTGAAACTGGCTACAAGTGACTGGATATAGTCCCTCATGTTTTCAGTTGTGTTTCATCAAAGTCATCACATCTTAGACTCAAAGGCAGTTTGGGCTTCTGATTGCCAGATGCCGCCTGCTGCTTTATCTATATGTGTGGGACATGTGGAGTGGAGAAGGTCTACCCAATATGCAAACTCTTTGACACTGGTCATTTGACTCTATATACAAAAACTAGTTTATCCTACCCTTACAATGAGAAATAAGCCCACAATGAGGGGAAAAAAAAAAAGTTTCAAGAGGCAACAAAACAAGTGTCAATTCCCCAAACTAGAAAAGTCATTTATCAGACAATGGGTTAGGAACCACTAGAAACAAAGTGGCATCATATTAATCAGGTATGACTTGTTACCCACAAGAAAGCATAAATATACAGTAAATAAGAGCTTTATATGTAGCTCCTGCAGTATATGTACATATTAGGGCTGCAGTGAAACTGAGCAGGAATTTCCAGAGCATATCCTCAGCTAAAAGCAGTTTCATCGCACAACAGTGTGAAGGTAACATGCTGAGAATACCATGTGGTAACACTAAGCAGATATCCACACAAACATATCCTTGAAAATGCACAATGTGAGAAATAAAGGTCACGAGTGAGTAGCGCATTGCCTGCCAAGCATCTTCTTTCACATAAATAGGCACAAGTCCGTCCTCCAGCGGTGTTCTGCAGCCTCACACCTCTAGCATGTCCATGGTGCCGGGGACGGATTCTCTCAGCACACACTGAGCCAAGTCACGGGCTGTGCACTTACTCCTGCCTTCACAGTCTCCAGATTCAAATCAAAGCATAAATAACACAGGGGCCATGCTGGTGGTGCTTCCTTTCACCATGTTACTGGGAACAGATACTGGGCAGAGCAGCACAAAGGCTGCACACCAGTGTGCAGGAGTGGAGAGTAGCTTTGTGCACATTTGCAAAAACAAAAACCCCTAAAAATCTACCGGATCTCTTGTTTTATTGGTTAGCTCTGTCTGTAGCTAGGAAGACGCTGTGTTGCTCCTGGGCCCTTTCTATCAGCTTCCTTTTCTTTTTCTTGTTCCTCTTCTCCTTCGCCTTTGGTGTTCTCTTCCCTGCAATGAAGGAAAGAAAAGAAGAGATGTCAGAAATGGCTCTTTCTCTAGGAAAGAAAACACAAAAATATTGGGAGTTTTGCACAAAGCCCATCTGGAAAACATCACCTATGGAAAAAGCCTCAAAGAGAAAATTGTTCACATTAATTTTGACAGAATAATAATAATTTACTAAATTAGATATGCTGTCTAAAACAGAGACTGATTTTCCTGTTACAGGGAACTGGCATATTGAAAAACCTCCCAGTGGCCTGATCCGTCTTTCAAATATCATCCTGCCACAAAAATTCCATTTATTCCCTCCTACTTCTAACAATGCTACCCTTTTCTACACATCTTTACATCTTACTACTGCTCCACGTGTCAGTGGGTCAAAAGAAAATAAGCATCTATCTATAGCAAACATACCAGAAGTTTCAAACTCCTCTCTCCCTTTCCCCATGGGGGAAAAAGAGTCTTGCTTTTAACATTATTTCCTCCATATTCCAAATACCAATGTATAAAATGACATATGTGCAATCCTTTATTTTCTATAAAAATTCATGGAGACATCATTCATTATATACCTTATGGCTTCTTATCCAAATCCCCTGGACAAGTTGTTGTTATTAATGGAGAGCAAGAAGAATGCTTATTTGTTTTGATAAACTGGTGGTATGTGTCTAACTACCAGACGATCATACCAAGTATTTCTCTTCTTTGCCTTAGCCACTAGGAAGCCCAGGCTACAAGCTAACTAGTTGAGGTTTTCCTCCAGCAGGAATTTTTTAAATGCTGTTTTTTTCTTTGCCTCTGCTATATTTTACTTCCTCCATCTGTGGTTATAGTTTTACAGTCTTACTTTATAAGGTCTCAACCTTTGTACACATAAGATTTTGAGAAAAAAGAATAAAGAACATGAGACATCTGTCTTAGGTCCATCACCTCTTTGAGTTCTAAACACACAGAAATCAGAGGATTTTTAGAACAGAAAAGGGCTTTAAAGGTCTCCTGCATTTTACAGAAAGTAAGTCACCCCTACACACCTTCAGTACAGGAAGACTTTTGTCTCAATGAACAAGAAAGAATCCTGTTGGCTGTTCTTCCTCTCTTACTTTCCCTACTTCAAATTTTATCTTGTAATTCTATAAAGCTTAACTTTTCTCTTCCTGTAAGGTGTAGCTATTTGACAGCACAGTAATCAGTACTACGAATAGGGAACAGGACATTCAGTTTTGTGCTCTTCATCCTTCCCATACCTGTAAAATTACATAACCCAGACCCTTTCATTCCAGGCATATAGCAGGCCAATTTTTCAATCTAGCCTATGGAGAAGGAGGCTGATGTCAAAAATGAAAAGGAAACAGACCAGAGTCTAGGGAGATACATGAATTAGGAAACCAGAGTCATACAAGGTTAAGGAAGGCCATGAGATTTCTAAATAAGGTAGATGTTTCTTATTTCTGTTCTTTCTGATCAGAAAGGATCTGTTTTAAGGATGGAAAACAGGCTTACTCTTCAAGACCCTAGCACAGTGACTGGCACTTAGTCGATAGTCAATAAACATTTGCTGAGCAAATGTTTTTACATCTTTTTATCACAAGAAAAAAAGATTTAAAAGAATAACTTATGTTTAATAGGACATTGCATTAAAACAATGAGAACATGATCATGCCCCCATATTAAATTATAAAGGTCCTTAAAGCTAACTTCTGGTTCTCATTAAATTCTGGCATTAATGTTATAATGGCAGTTTGCCATCTTGAAACGTAGTTAATCCTACCCCATGAAACCTTAGTTCAAGCCATCATTAATCAAAGCAGCTGTAAAGTTACAACTATTTAGTAACATTATCTCTAATGATGAGACACACCAAAGGAGGGCAGAAAAATGAAATATTTAATACAAAATATAGCATATTTTAAAAGCTTCAATTATAAAGTGTTATGAAGAAGTTTTTGTTCTGTATTTTCTCTAAACAACAAAATCCTTAGTTTAAAAAATCATTACTGACTACATTTTAAATTCATTTGGTTTATGTTTAATTGATATAAAGCCTGGAGTTTCTTTTAAAAGCAAATTGAAATTAAGTGAATGGAAAAATAAAGCTTATCTTACTAGATTTTAATACTGAATATATGTTAAAGAATATATGTTAAAGAAAGCTTTTCACATTCACAAGAAAGCTTCGTGTAAATTATGTAGTTGTGAGTTAAATATGTACTACTTTCACTAACAGCAAATCCATGCAAAATGATGGGAAAAGCTCATTTTAAGATGGTCAATTTCGTTTCATTTACCCAATATATTATTCTGAAGTAATTGTCAATATTAAATGGTTTTGGGTTTACTGGCTGATATGATATTGTGTCATAGGGAAGTTACTCAATACTTGCATAAAACAGTTGGTAATCCTGGCCAAAAATTCAGCAATGCTTCTGAAAGCTTATTTATGTAAAATAATTTTTTAACTTGTACAATTACTCTGTTGGCAATAAGCTATATGGTACCAATTCCAACAAGCAATGTTTGGGGGCCCTAATTACAACCCTAAAGATTTCCCTCAGAAGTCTCTCTTGAATGACACCTCTTTGCTATTGTTTGGTTGGTTGGTTTTGCTTTTGGCCAGTCCCTTTTCTCACATAAGACATATTGCAAATACCGAGGAATTAAGATGGTTAGCCAAGATTTGACCACAGACAGGCCTAAATTAACTGAAAATATTTTGTGGTCCATACTACGTTGTTCTGACTTCAAGCCCAGCTCAAAGTAGCAAAAGTAGTAAAAGAATACTAAAATACAACGTAACATACAGAAAGGGTCTTTCATACAAATGCTTTTTTCACGTTCTAAGATTTTCAAACATGAGAAAAGAAATCGGTAAGATTAAAGCTAACAAAAAAATCCTCGTTTTATCTATATATTTGAAAATAAGTTATAATAGACATACAAACGTGCTAATTTCTGTTTCTGCTTAATTTCTTTACCTCTGTGGATGCGGGATTAGACTTGGAGAATGACTTCTAGACTTCAATTGCTGCACATTCCCAAGCACATATATGCTATACGGGAAGTATTTAAAGGCAAATATGATGGCAGTCACCCAACGCATAATTCAAGTCATGAATTTAACTTTACTTTTTAGTTCACAAGAGAAGACTTGGAATAGATACTGCCCAGGATCATTAGAAAAAAAAAAAAAGAAGTTTGAGTTTTACGAGGGGATTGTCAACATCCAACATATCCAATTCTAGTGACAAATTTTGCATATCTTTATCCCTAGTGTCTTGAGAATGCAGTGGCCTTGACACATCATAACTAAGGGAATCTCTTCAAAATCAGGTAGAATCAGGTCTACAGGGCAGATCTTTTCAGCACTGTTATGCAGATGCAAGGAGATGACTGGTCCCAATTATTACCGTTTTTAAGGAAGGCAATGCAATGTGGTTTAGAGAAAGGCTACTTCTGGGAATAAGAAAACCTGGTAGGCTAGGCACAGTCTTGTAACTGAGATGTCTGGTAAGGCATATGCCTGACTCTTAGTCTCTATGTTTATAGAATGAAAATACTACAGTCATCATTCACTAGAAAGTTATGAGACACTGTGAAAAAGTTGTGGCCCTAGGATGAAAGGAAGATGTGTAGAATATCACTGGCAAGACAAGATTATCCTCAAAATGAACAAAATTAGAAAGATACTATCAAAGCCACATTCTAACTAATGTAATTACATTGACTTGCTCACATGTGGAAATGGTCCAAGAGCATAACCTATCAACTCTTCTGCAGAGAAATATGAACAATTCCTTATGGAAATACTGCTACCATCCAGCTGTGAATTGCTGCTATTAGAATCAGAAACAGGGTAGATTATTTTGAACCAAGATATAGGCAGACTCACAAATTACATGAAGCGGTGCAAATGCCAGCTCCACTGCCAGTCAGACAGTGATTTCATTCTTTCATAAACTCTCAAAGTCAAAGGTCTTCAAATGCTCTCTTTCCTCTCACTGGGTATAGGTAAGAATCTTTCCATCACTGGAAAAATGTTTCTTGTACATCCCTCAGAGTAAGGCACCGAGGCTGTCTAGAGTTTCCATAATGCTGTGTGTTTTAAGAAAGGCTTTTAATGGAAGAAAACTAAAGAAAAATTTCAGTAGCTTTGACTATAAAAGAGATTAAAGCTTCTCTCTATATATATATGTATACGTAATACATGGACATACCTACATACATATATAAACACACAAGCTGTGGAAAGTAAGCCACAATTATGACAAATATAATTAACTGGAATTTACTGTTGTAGCCACAACTGCGACAAAACTAGGACTGAGTTTTACTGATTTTTAAGTTTGTAATGCTCTAACTTGAAACCTGGGCTTCACTGAATTATAAAATTCATCATGGAGATTTCGAAATCACCTCAGAGAGATTCAGTCATTCTTCAAAGCCACTAAAACTTAGGGACAAGAAACCTGTGTAACCACCAACCTGGCAGATATTGTCATATTTCAGAGAACACTCTGGAAGCAGAACATGAAATGCTCCTTTTACATCTAAAGTCAGAAGGACTGAGTTGTAAATGATGAGTAGTACTGTACCATTTTTTTTTTCCCATATGGGCAACTTGATTTTGCCCAAGAATGAGTAGCAAGAGGTATTTATTTAAGACTAGTGATTGTCTAGAAAACACCAACTGGTTTCTAAAATATTTTTTAAAGTTCATTTAAAAATAGACGAGACCTAAACAATTCATAAAGGAAATAAAAATAGCTAATAAATATATTTAAATAATCAAATCTCACAATTAAAACCTCCAAATAAGATGAGATGCCACTACAAAGATCCTTAAAAGTAAAAATATCTAACACTTGTAAGAATGTCATGAGACAGGCAACAGGATGCATTGAGAATATAAAATTGATACAGCCTTTCTGAAAAGCCATCTGCCAATGTGTAGAAAAGTAATAAAAAATATTCTTAACTTTTGACTCAGATCTAGGACTCTATCCCTCAGAACATAATCTAAACTTGGACAAAGATTCATGCACAGGGATCTTTAATACTGAAAAAATTGTAATGTACTTAAATGTCCTGACTACACTTTTCATGACCTCTTCTTTTTGTGATTACTGAGGGAATAAAGTTTGTTTTCCCTTTATGAATGCAAGTATTTTATATTTTATATTTTATATTTTTATTTTAGAAATAGCATTTTATATTTTTATATTTTATATTTTAAGTAATAACAATTAACTTTATATCCAGGAATACTACTGTTGGATATCACTAAAACTTATCATAAATGGATCTAAGAAAAAGCCTGTAATACAAAAGCATTCCTACTATGATGGAAATGATAGTAAGCAGATTCTTTTGCAGAGTCATCACTTGTAATTAGATCTGAAATATAAAAGCTTAAAAACTATTGGCCTAAACACTTCAGACATTAAGAATGGAGGTTTGTTAGTTCTTGAAGCTTTTTTCCTTCTAGAAAGCAGTTCAAGTGGGCAAATATGATGAGCAGGACTGGGATCTACCACACTATGTCCTATGTAGCCTAAGATAAAAATCTTCCTACTGTCCATATAGTTCAGAATAACACATTTATTTTAGTTGACAAATAAAAATTGTAGTGTATAACATGATATTGTGATGTATGTATATAATGTGATATGGTTAATCAAGCTAATAATCAAGCGAATTAACACATCCATCACCTAATATGCTTTTTTCTTGTGTGAGAACATTTTAAATCTACTCTTTGCAATTTTCAAATATAAGAGTTATATAAGTAAAATGCACAACCAATACATATATATTTAACACATATACATTTTACTTATGTATTAAAATGTAAATTTAAAAATTTATTAAAAATAAATTTACATTTTACTTATTCACATAATGTAAATGGGCATATTTTAATTATTTTTATTTTACTTATTTACATAATGTAAAATGTAAATAAAATAAGAGTTACTTATTTACACTGGCTGTGGAGTCAGAAGTGAGGGTAAGGTGGAAAGAGTAAAGGAAATGAATCAATTGTGGCTCTTTACTGACAGCACAAAGTGTTGTCAGTTCCTTTTAAGGCATTTTCAGTAACAATCATTTGGTTTTCTAGAAATGCACCTCTTCTTTTCACTAAAAAGATTTTACAGATAGCTGTGTTTTGAAAGGACTGGCAACATCTAATCCTTCAATAATGGTTTGCTATCATTTTCCTTAAGAAAAAATAATCTAGAGACAAAGCAATAAACATTAAAGTGTTGAAAATAATAACAAGCCACCTGCTGAGAGTTTACTTGAATGTCAAGTAGTAACTTAGAAGATTTTTCAAAGGGTCACTTAGTCATTTCATCGTCATAAAAGAGCATGTGCTTTTAAAATCTACACATGATCTACAGATAACTTACAAGAGTTGTTCTTCTTGCAGGGACTATTGATAGAGGGTGACAACTGTCCAAAATAAATAACGGACAAAATTTACTTCTCTCAACATACAAATGTGACAATCATTCAGAATATCAGGATTCAGACTACTTACTACCTGCACAGGTTTACACTAATTTGTAAAAGCTATTTCAATCAGCCAGTTTAAATGGGAAGCCTCTGACTGTTACTATTCTTTCATCTGTAAAAAGTTACCATATTTTTTTATCTAAAATAGTATGAAATTATGAAATGGCTTCTTTAAGACTTCAATTTTTCTCATAGAAGACATTTTATTAGGAGTCAGATCTGTTACCCACTTTGTTGACAGGAAGTCCTATTTGGTTTTAAAATTTTATTTCATGTTCAAAATGATGGAAATGGAAAAAAAGCTAACCCTGAAGATCACCTGAACCTTTACAAATGAACTGTATTCAGAAAAGCTAACCCTGAAGAAGATCACCTGAACCTTTATAAATGAACTGTATTTACCAGTACGGTTTCCTGCACACGGTATTTCAAAAATTCTCAGAAATTCCTCATTTTACAGCTCTGAAGAAAATCTGTTCTTCGAGTGTATGACATGGCTTTTAAAGGGGCAGTAAGAATATTCCATAACCTTTTTCAGCTTTCTTGAAGCAATAAGGACTACAACAAGGTAATCTGAATGAGATTTGGGCTTGTTTCTTAAATCCGTAGTCCGTCAAAGAGAAACACAAAACAGTTTGAAGACAGGATTCTGTGGTGTTTCACATAGGTAAGCACAAACAAGAAGAGATAGTTTTAAAACTATCTAAAATTATTTTCATAAATACTTTAGGTTAATTGTAAAGGACAAAGTTTTCAGAGCAGTAGAAACAGTAAAATACGACTCTACTATTTGTGTGAAAAAATAAATGCACAATTCTACCACAAGGGGGCAATAATTCACTTTTACAGTAAGAGTACTGGTTAAGAGATGGTTTTTTAAAACAATGTACAGGGCAACTTTGGGGCTCTAATTTCTTAAATACTTTTTGTTGAACCCCCATTGGAGGCTTTTTATTTCTTTCTAACCATAGGTAGTCTCTTTAGTGGACTAAAGATTAACAAGACCCAAGTACTGCACAAGGTAAAAATATAATTGC
The DNA here is from genome assembly GCF_000001405.40 of Homo sapiens. NCBI lineage: Eukaryota > Metazoa > Chordata > Mammalia > Primates > Hominidae > Homo > Homo sapiens. The sequence continues at coordinate 107,908,735 of NC_000008.11, forward strand.
ACTGCTGTTAAAAAGATATTTGGGCTAATGAGAGAAGAAAAGAAAATTAAGAAGGAAAATCTGCTATTCAAATACTGATTTAGAGAAAAAGCATTATTCACAAATTCTTGTTGTCACTTTCTTATGGGAAAGTTAAACTACCTGCAAATAACAGGTTCTTATCTTGGATTCCTTATTTATAAGAATAGAGATGTAAAACTGCAAATGATCTTCACTAACTTCTGGTGCAGAAAGTCACATAGATTTGACATCAAGGGTGAAAGCTGTTTGGTGGTGATTCCTGACAAGTTGGCCTTCCAGCACCACAATGAGTTGGCTGCACTGGTGAGGGTGGAAAGACAGCAAATATACTAGGCAATTTGCTAGGCCCTGCTGTAGTCCACTTCTGCAAGGTGGTTTAGATATGAAGCAACTGAAGCACAGAAGATCTAGAGTGACCCCTACCCATGCTTCTACAGCTAATTAGAAGGGGAAACCTGTGCTCTGAGCCTAGTTCAGTTATTCTCTCATATACTTTCCCAGTTGTTTTTTTTTTTTTTTTTTTTTGAGATGGAGTCTCGCTCTGTCGCCCAGGCTGGAGTGCAGTGGCATGATCTTGGTTCACTGCAACCTCCGCTTCCTGGCTTCAAGCGATTCTCCTGCCTCAGCCTCCTGAGTAGCTGGGATTACAGGCACATGCCACCATGCCTGGATACTTTTTGTATTTTTAGTAGAGACAGGTTTTCACCATGTTGGTCAGGCTGGTCTCAAACTCCTGACCTCGTGATCCTCCTGCTGGGATTACAGTACAGGCATGAACCACCATGCCCGGCCACTTTCCCAGCTTTAAAGGTCAATAAATACGGATAGTCATTTTTCAAGTTATTGAGTCATTTTGCAAGGAAGGCAAAGAAGCACTGAAGACAATATTACCCTGACTGAGTTCCACAAAAAAAGTCATTGACCTCATCCTAACTCTGAAACCCTGTATGAACTGGTAAATTCTGCATAAATAACAACTTCTCTGTAACTTAGATTTTCTGTAAATTTATACTGCATTGATTCACTGCTTATTCTTTTTCTTACATTTTAGCAAGATGCAGGCTATAAAGTTTCCTAAGTAAGGTGAGATGGTGAACACTCCTACTTTGTACCAGGCCCTATAAGTGCTTTATATCCATTTTCATTTAATTGAATGTTTTGGGGGAAAAGGTAAGGACTCAAACTGTGCTGCCAGGATGTTGTACAGGTGCCTGCCCTAAATTAACTCAAAATAAATGCAGATAAATATCAAGCTCATTTGGCACTCCTAAATTAAGTCAGAAAAACCATCAGGTTTGCAGAGAAAATGATTCAGCTGTTTTCATTTGATTAGGAGGTATGGGATAACCAGAAAAGAATTAAGTTCCTCCATAGCTGACTTCATACTATAACGGAAGGTACCTTTTAAAATAATTCCATTAGAACAAGAAGATGTAATACCTTCCTCTTGGTCTTAAATCAATAACCATTAACTAAATGAAAAACAAAAAGTAGTAGCCCAAGAAATGACATTTAAGACCATTGTCATATGGCAGCATTTACTTAATTTGGATTCAACACAATTTCTATGGAACTTGACACACAAGTGAAAAGAAAGTAATGGTTTATACATGGCAGCTATATAAGATAATGAGACTGGGCATGGTACATGCCTGTAGTCCCAACTACTCAGAAGCCTAAGGCAGGAGGATTGCTTGAGTCCAGGATTTTGAGGCTGCAGTGAGCTATGATCATGCCACCATACTCCAGCCTGGGTGACAAAGCAATACCCTGTCTCTTAAAGAAAAGGGTATAGGTTATTGGTCCAAGCCAACAGTTCAGTTAAGTGGCAGGTCTTACATGAACACAGTTAACACAAGATAATATGAGGGGATGTATGCTCCACAAAGAATCATAAATACATTCCCCACTCTGTGCCCTGCAGCACTTTGAACCTCCCTCATTGTAATATTTACCACCTCCTATTGCAGTTTTGTTTGGCTGTATATCATGGTTACTAGTTTGTAAATAATTAAAAACAGGTTGGGCATGGGGGCTCATACCTGTAATCCCAGCACTTTGGGAGGCTGAGGTGAGAGGATCACTTGAGGCCAGGAGTTCAAGACCAGCCTGGACAACATAGGGAGATCCCATCTCTATTTTTAAAAAATTTTAAAATAGCTACAATGTAATGTGCCATAGCATCCTGGTTAGAGTCTTCCCAAAAATCAAGTTACAGATATTCAATTACACTCATGTCAACTGAGAGTTGGAGCAAAGATATAAGGGCTACATCTAAACACTGAAAGTGGTCAGGAACCAAAGCCATACTTTGTCATCTACTGTTAAATGAACTCTCCTGTTCTTCCTAGGCTCCCCCACGGCTTCTGGCCTCAACTTCAGCTTTGTACATGGTCTATGTAGGCTACACTCTATCCCTGATAAACCCTGTGACTTTTTGGCTTACCTCCCTCTTATAATAGCCTCTGTCCTCTTTTGTCTCAATTGCATATTCTCTAGAGAGGAATTCAACATGCCTCAGTCGCCACAGAGCCATGGATGCCTGAACAGCTCTTGGATGGATCACTCCCAGGCCTAACCTGGAGAAGTAGCAGGGTACAACATGATACTAGCCTTGGCAGGCATCTAGAATACAAGGTTAAGAACATGAGTCTGGGGCGTCAGACAGCCCTAGATTCAAAGCAGAGTTATGCCACTTAGAAACTAGAGATCTTGGACTAGACACTTTTTCTAAACCTTAGTTTTCTCAATTCTAAACTGGTAGTAACAATGATGCCTGCTTCAGCATCTGTATAAGGAAGGAGAATATGTATAAAATTTCACATATTATACCTGGCACACAAACACTAAATAAACGATAGCGCTATATAAGGTGCCCTACTTGTATTATTTCTAATCCTTACAGCAACTCGCAAAGCAAGCATTATTTCTATTTTGCCGATGAGGAAATAGGTTTCGAGAAGTTAAGTAAATAGCACAAAATCACATAGCTCAGCAGTGATTCAAACCAACATCTGGCAGATTCTAAAACCTGTACTTTTTCCACTATAGTCTTCGGATCCCTTATGCCCAGCAAAATGCCTTTGATCTCGTAATCATTTAAATGGCTGCTGAACAAACAAATTAATAAGTAAATACTAGGCTGGAGAAGGGCATCAGCCTTCCTGCTCAATCCCACACAATATCAGGGTTCCCTTGGGTCCCATTAGATCCCTGATGGGCCTGGCCTACAACCCATATTCCTCAAATCAGTTATTCCCTGGGGTTAAGACATTCAAAGCCTCAGTTTCCCAGGGTCAAGCAACACATTTAGCAGCTCCAACTCAGTATCAACAGTGTGCTTATGGCAAAACTCAAGGAAAAAAACAAAAAATACAGGATGCTTATTTTTCAGCTGAGTCAGAAAAAGTTTAAACCTGTGGTTCCAAAAGCCAGCTCACAGGCCAGAAGTAAAACAATCCTCCAGGGAACTTAAAAAAGATTCCCTAGCCATGCACCAACTCCTGAAAGCCAAGAATATTTTGTAAGCTTCATAGATGACTTAGTGCGAAGTTAACTGCATGCAATTCTAGAGCATAAAGTACTGCTGAAAGGGTGTGCAAACCTCTTTCTGCCTGGACTCCCTTCCCTGGGATCTATTTGTAGGCAATCCCCCAAGAAGCAAGCAAGCAGAAATTAAGCTTCCAGTGTGGGGAGGCACACCCATGGGTACACACCCAGGGGTAGGGCCCTTATCTTTATGTTCTGGCCAAGGTGGAGCAGGTCACTTGTGCTATAGCAGATTCATCTCTCCTGTGGACATATTCCAGAAACTGGAGTTACTCTACAGAATATCTCTATTCATGAACAGGTTCTTTTTAAAAGGCTGTCTAGTTCATTTGCAAAAATTCTAAAGAGACTAAGAAAATTGCAGTTGAAAATAAATCAAATTGATAATCAAGTTTGGGGCTTCTGCCTAACTAAGGGATGCAGAGTTGGCACTTCAAAAACTAAAAAGATGAGAAAAGTACCTCTCAGTCCAGGTGACACAAATACCAGTGGTATCAAGATATTTGCTGGATTACAGAAAAAAGGCAAGAAATATTTTTCTTTTAGATGCTGAGTTTCTTCCAAATTATTAAAATCAAATAAATGTAAGTAGTGTGCCAAGTACCAAGTGCTGAGCATAACTCATTTCATATTTAAAATATCCCTATGAAATACTTTATTCCTTTTTTATTTTGTAAAGTTTTCTTATTGATACATAAGAGCTGCACATATTTTCATGGTACATGTGATAATTTAACATTCATATAATCAAAGAAAGGTAATTGGGATAAATATTTAAGGTGAAGATATCCCAAATTTTCAGAAGAATCTGAGGATCAGAGAGGTAAAGTAAACCTAAGATGCCACAGGCAGTAAGTAGTAGAGTTGGGATTTGAACTTATGTAGTCTGGTCCCAAAGCTTACCCTCTTGTCCATTATAAGACTTACATAAATATAATCCTGAGTGGGAGGAGAGGAAGGAAATGGCCAATGTTACTCTCTTCCCTTCTGTCATAAATTCCTGCAAACCCCATGAACTGGTCATTCCTTTAAGTGGCTGAATCTTTAAATTCATAAAATGAAGCCTGGGGCCATTATTGGTTTGATACAAGACGAGGATAACCAATGGTATATTTTGTTATTCCTACAGGACAAAGAAAGTAACAAACATTTGCCAAAATAGTCTCTATCCACAAGACCAGACAAATATTTTGGTCACTTCAGAATCTTTGTCAACTACCCAAGTAGAGGCAATGGATTTCAATTAGGGGAAAAATATTTGAGAAGGAACTCTAACATGTTTGGCATACCTCACGATTATTAGAGACAGCACATTTCCAAGGTTGTAAGAAATCTACAGCCTTGCTGGATTATCTTGATACTAAATATCTTTGTCTATAACTACCAAATATTAAAACACGAGAACATAGTTAATTATATTTTACAAACAGCCTCATATTTAATGAAATGAGTTCATGTCTCCTCAACTGAAAATGGCATTCTACTCTCCAGAAAAAGTATAGAGACTGTTAAACATACAATATAAACTAAAATCAAAGGAAGCTACTACATGTATACACACACATATAAATGCAACAAGTATCTGTAATAAGTTTTCCAAGTATTGCTTATTGTCATGCTTCTATCAGTATGTTCTTGTCAGTTTTACTTAACTCAGGCGTTAAAGCATGAGAAACCAACAGTTTAAAAATAGCATTTAGAAATTTTAAATGTAATGAAAATTATTTAAAATGAATCACCAGTGAATCAGAGGTATCCAAGAAGAGATTCACAGTCCAAACTACCATAATTTTAGTAAAAGACATTACCTGGAGATTGACATATAAAGAGTATCAGTGACTTATGATGAATACAAAACAAACCTTCCATGATCTTAGCAGGGCAGGTTCAAGGACCTGTACTGAAACTTGAGCTAAATTGGTGAGTGCCTTTGAGTTGAAGTCTATGCCAGTAACAGTGAACAGGAACAGTAAACATAAGATGGCCACTGAATATTTACTGTGCTCAAATACTGCATTCTGTTTGGCTTTTGATGATTTAAGGCAGCAGATCCAAATAAGAGTTCCAAAAAATGAAAATAATCATAGGTACTTTGAGAAGACTACAGAGAATGCATTGTCAAGAAATTTAAAAAGATGTCAATGCTCACAGAATAGGTAAAAAAAAAAAAATACCTTTTAACATTTCTATTATAAAAATAGAAGTGTTTTCTACTGTTTACTATGTAACTAATCAAAAACAGAATTGCAACTACAAAGCTATAACATAGTTATAATAATGTCTTTATGTATTAGAAAAGCTAGACACTGAGTTATTGAGAACAGATGTAAAAAAACCTTCCTCCTTTAGAATTTTCAAAAATTAGTTACCTATTTTCATTACAGTAGCTTAGAAATCAGAAGGAATTAATGAATTAAGACACTTCTGGAAATTCCTTCCAATCAGTTTGATTCTAATACAAAACAGACAAAATTTGTGGGTAATAAATTGTAAAGAAGATCAATATGTAAGTGTATTTTAGGTGCCTTTATGTGTTTTCCTAATCTTCCTGTAGAAAAAAAATTAAATTCCAGTAATACAATGCCCAGGGCTCATCATCTAAATGTTTTATTAATAGCCAGATTGGTTCTAACATATATCTTTCTTTGAAAGACAACTGCAGCTGTTTTAATGACCATTGAATCTTAAATTCGGGGTCACTGATAGTTTCAGTGCAATGAAGTAGGCCACCTGAAAAATTATGGAGACTATGCACAATTTCCCCAAGATGTGTATGTTTTTGTGTCTTCATATGTGCATGTGTAATCTAAAATATACTTTTCCATAGAACACATCTGGGCATATTGGTGAGAAGACAGTTTACTTCTACATAAATGTGTGTTTTTAGGATTATGACTAACAAATTACAAATATCCTTAAATGTAAAACCAAAAAATCTGGATATTTAAAAATTATTGGAGACATCCCATAACTGTAGCCATATTAAAGGGAATCTGTAGCTCTATTTTGGGGTGTCTGGGTTGGTGAGTATCCTAGGGTCTGCCAACACCTTCTTCCTTCTCCCGACTGGTTCTGTAGCACCGTGGTGGGGTGTCTGTCTTGGTTTGGCTTCTGGGAGGTCTCAGTTGACTCTCCCTGACTAGTAGAAAGAATCTTGGTTTGGGAGACTTCTCAAACAGGAAGATTTCAGGGAGATTTCTCAGATGGAGAATAGAAGGATAGTTTGGAAGGTATACTCTTGGAGTTCTTGGTTAGGGATCTGATTTGGAAGGCCTTCTATCCTTCTCGTCTTTGTGTGTGTGTGTGTGTATATGTGGAGTGGATCTCAGAAGGAACTGCTGAAAGTCCAGCAGGTCTAACTCAGAGAACCCTCCTTATTTGTCTGGTCACATTCGGTGAGCCCTGAAGAGAGTTCAACAGGCCTGTCTTGGGACGACTATCCACTCTTCGCAGGTGACTAGTGTCTGTTTTGTTATGTGTATTTTGCTAGGATGAAAAATGTTAATTTGGTTCCCCTGCGGCCTATTGGGAAACATCTTGCAAAACGGAGAATCTTTTGCCTGTGGTTCCATAAAACAGAAAAGGGTGGGTTTGTCTTTGGGGATCTGGCTTTGCCCTACAGCTGTGTCTACTTATTAGGCCCTAGAAACTGCATGCTTTCCTGGCCCTGTTCTCCAAGAGCTTCACCCTGAAGCCAGGAATCCAACTAAGAAACTGGCAAATGAAAAACTGTACAACTACTATATCTTCTGTCTATTTATATGTGTTGTATATGTGATGTTTATATATAAAAGAGCTCTGATTAATTGGCTTAGAAAAATAAGTTCTTAAATCAAGTATTTTGTCAGAGAAACAAACTTTAATGACTTTTTCTTCATGTGACTTCAAAATGTAGACATTTGGTCTAAATTAAGGTCATATATCACATTTGCTAAATGCTTTGTCATAAACTGCCTCTGACATTTAAAAAATTGTTCAATATACCTACTTTGGAGCACTAGATTCTAGATGAGGCCTGAGGACATGTGGAGTTAGCCATGCCCCACCTAGTTACTATGCTGGGAAAAGTCAGACCTTATTTGCCTGATGGCCTAGACTCCACACCTAGTACATAATTAAAATCACTTACTTGTCAGGTTTTCACCGAAAATAAAGGTTGCTAACAGTTAACATTGTAACATGTAATTGAGACTACTGGAGAAACAGTTTTACATACAAAGTGCATAAGAAAAGAGGAATAAGTTTTTGGTAAAAGATTATAAGAAGGCATGGGAATATGGCTTTTGTTAAAGGAAATGTAATTTTTTCTAGTTCAGACAAACAGAGTAACAGAGTAATGGGACAAAACTGAAGACTTAAGCAAGAGAAAAGGGTTGGTCTTGTAAAGAAAGTTCTGTGGGTATGAGCAAGTTGGCTAAGATTTGAAGGGAATTATTTAATTGTTTTTCCATAGGTTAAATATTAAAATAAAAGCACACTAATGAGGGGCCAGAATCTCAGTCCATGTGCCCAAATAACATGGTTTTCTTAGAAAATTAATCTGTTGTGTAACAGAAAATTGTAAAGCATCCTAAAAAGTTTATGAAAATGTTACCTTATGGTCAAACGAATTAAAACTGGATAGATTTGTAAAATTTTATTTAAAAACTAGCTTTAGCATTAAAGATGCACTAATGCAAAAATGCCATTTTGTTTTCTCTTTTGAAATATTTTTATGCAATATTAAAACGTAATGAAAGGTTTTTGTTTGTTTGCCCTTTTGGGTAAATAACAAGGGGAAAGAAAGAGGAGAGAGAAGGGACAGATTCCACTGGCCTCATGCTATCTTCATTGGGTCTTGTTTGAAAAGCCAAGTTTCTTCTATCAGAGTAAAGGTTTTTGCCTTTAAAATTTTTTTGAGGCCAGGCAGGTGGCTCATGCCTGTAATCCCAGCACTTAGGGAGGCCAAGGCAGGCGGATCAGCTGAGGTCAGGAGTTTGAGACCAGGTTGGCCAACATGGTGAAACCCCATCTCTACTAAAAATACAAAAATTAGCCGAGCATGGTGGTGGGTGCCTGTAATCCCAGCTACTTGGGAGGCTGAGGCAGGTGAATCACTTGAACCCAGGAGGTGGAGGCTGCAGTAAGCCAAGATCACACCATTGCACTCCAGCCAAAAAAATAAAATAAAATTGAGTTACTATTTCAGATAAATGAATAATCTGTGATCCTATTTTGTGATATCCAGTGTTTTAAACCTTTGATATTTGACAAACTTTCCAAAATCAAATTATTAAGTATGTCATTTTCTGGCCTAACTAATCCTTTAGACATGAGGTCCCCTGAAGTCTCAAATCATGTGTTTGGCTTATTTGGTATGAAAGTCATACAGGAAGCATTGTCAAATATGAAATGGTGTTTGGCTTTCTTTGGACTATATTTGTATAAATACGTTACTGGTGTATGTTCCAAAATTATGTGGAACTCCCATAATTCTGATGACTTAGTGTATGTCATTAATAGTTATAATTGTTATGTAAAATTGTATGCCACAGAAGTAACCAAAATTCCTAGTCAATTGTGGCTTTAATAATGGCTGTTTTGTCCTCCACAGACAATTGTTGTCTTGTTTTGTTCCTCTTCAAAAGGTGGTTTAGAATCAGCTATAGGACTTTTTATGGGTGCTATTGAATGCACGTTTCTAATAACTTTAGAGAATGTGACGTTAGAATAGAGAAAAAGACTTTTGGGACTCTCATGGAAAGCTGAAATCTTCATAAATATCAAGCATAACAGGAGTTAATTGAATGGACTGAACTAATAGACAAGTAATCTTTTTTAAAAACTTTTTTGCTTAAAACGTTGTTGATCCTTTTTGTTTTCCAGGGCCAAGAAAATGTCTTCCGAGCTATGTACAGCATTTTTAACAATTGAGTAAAATATACTCCTATGAACAAAATTTTGAGCATATTTATTTTTCTCTACCTGATTCTTCCAGAATTTGGAAACTATTTGTGAGTATTCTCAATTTATGGCGGTGTAGTTGTTTGCATAAGTGTAATAAAAATCTGTTTTCTTTGTAATGGGACACCATTGGAGAAACTGGTTATTTTACCAAGGCTTTGACTGGAATGATATGCCTTCTTTAAAGAATCAAAGTTGACTCAGAGTCACTAAGACCCTCTTGAGAAATCTGGCCTCATATCTTGTCTGTACAGTCCCTGTACAAGGTTCCTGACCTGTGGTAACTAAAGAATATCACTTTCTAACAGACCCACGAGCCCCAAGTGATCTTAGGACCTCCAGAGGAGAAGAATTTACCCAGCTCCTAAGTATTCGAGGATACAAACCCATGGCTAGCCTCAGCTTTTAAAAAGTCTTATCTGAGATTCCTTATGGAACAGAGTCCCATCAAAGCCAATTTTAAAAGCCTATGTGAAAAAATAATTATTCTCGCTGCACTTTATGCACATAATCAGGCCAAGTACAATAAGACTATAGTTTATTTTTTAAACAAATCAGTTCTATCATGATTTGTTTTTAATAGAAAATGGGGACTGGAGAGAGAAAAAAATATACTTCAAAAGAAAAACTATAGTATATCTGTTGTTAGCTGTTCTTGAATTTTTTCTGCAGTTTGGAGTAAATCCTAAATTCTTTGTGGGCTACAAGTCCCAAAACTAATGTTTTCAAATATTTACTTTTAAAACTGGGAATTGCACTTCTTACCCTAGTCGGTATTAAAACTATAGATAACAATACTAACACCTTTGCCATATAAGCCTTGGAACCCCAGCCAGGCCTGCATGGGTATGCTCAGACAGTTGCAAAGCAGTTTCACTCCTCTTACCTTGGGGTCAACACCTACCCCCACTATTCCCCTGATCAGCACGAAGAAGTTAGAGCAGTTGTCACCCTTTTTCCACCTTCTTTAGCCAACATATTAAGATTTAAGGTGTTATAAAACCCAAAAGGAGGGATTGAAACTACCATTGCAAAATTATAACTGAGATAGTGAAAGAGATTTGACTTAACCTCCAAGCTGTCTTTGTTTATTCCTGGGCCTAGGCTGAACTAACTTTGGGATGAACTTAGTTTATAGTTTAAAACAAAGACGATAATAGCCCTTTCACAAAACAAACCTCCCTCTTGACTGGGGACTAGACTGCCTTTGTAAGACCAAGAAATTAGCCACAAGATTAGAAATTATGATTTAGGAGTCATGCAGCTGGAAGCTACAAGATTCTGACCCTCTGTAACCTGCTCCTAAGATCAATGCTTGAGATATTTTGCAGATCCTGCACTTGACGGATTAGCTGGCACCAGCCAGTTTGATAAACTGGCTCATCTGACCTTGTGGCCCCCACCCAGGAACTGACTCAGCACAAGATGACAGCTTCAGCTCCCTATTATTTCATCTCTGACCTGACCAATCAGCACTCCTGGCTCACTGGCTTCCCTCCACCCACCAAGTTGTCCTTAAAAACTCTGATCCCTGAATGCTCGGGGAGACTGGTTTGAGTAATAATAAAACTCCTCTGAAAAGAAAAAGTTACAAAAATTAAAGAAATAAAAATTATAATAAGAGTTGCAAAATTGCTATAGTAAAAGTTTATGAGTCAAAACGAATCACTGCTACTTTTCTGGCTCTGATGAAGAACATTTTTCACTGAACAGCAAAGCTTCAAGCGTCCAGTATTTTATGCCACAAAATAAGGTGAAATAAAGTCTATTAGCTAGGGACAGGGCAAGACTTATCTCCCTCCAAGTTCCTGTATATATGAACAAGATATGGAAATGACCAAAAATCTGGATGAGGCAGGTTATGTATTAGGAGGAAGAGAAAGAAGGAGGGAAGAATGATGCCTGCCAGATGTGAAGAGTTGATTCTCTCTCTTTCTTAAGGATGAGACTTTAATTACTATGGCTACCACCTAAATACACATTGGCTTAGGGGATCATTTTATAAAAACCTTCTCATTTAATAATAATTCACTGAGATCACAAATATGGCAGGTAAACATTTTATTCGTGACAGGATATGATTTTTGAAGCTACTTGTTAGAGCTTATAAATTGGTATTAAGATCGCTTTGTCATTGATCCTATCCAAAAGGTTTCTATAATGCCAACTCCAAAAAAACTAAATCATAAGGAGCTTCTAAAAACATGATCCTCTAGGGAAGTCTGCAATGGAAACATTAAATGTGACAATATTTGGATCATATGCCACTTTAAGTCATTAAAGTAAAAAGAAAAGTAGGATTCAAGCATAAATCCCCTTCCATATTTATTCCATAAAACTGCATAAATGGTGCATTTCACAATTTGAGTACATTGATTGATTGAAATACTGTGGTTCTTCCACTAAAATCATGAGTGTTTCCCAGTGCCAGAAAGACTTTATTTTAGAAGTAGAAATTAGATACGTTCCCATTAAGGATTATATGAATGCATAATGTTATTCAGGTAAAGAGTTCCTTCCCCAAATGCCACTATGGGAATTTTCTATATTATCAATTACAACTGGTACATACCTGTATATCTATACATTCAAAATTAAGTGCAAGAAGTTAAAACGTAAAGTAGATTAAAAATAATGAAGTGTTCACGTATACATCTGGTTTAAGTGTAAAATGGTACAACCTGTCTGGAATGCAATAGACAGCTGTTTTAAACTTCTTCAAAAAGTGTGTACTTTTTGATTCTTTTAATGCAATTAGAGGACTAACATGAGAAAAATATTTGAAAGGCAGAAAAGGATGTTAGCACAGATAGTTACTGCAGATTTATGTATATAATTAGACATGGACTCAACCTAGAGGTTAAACACTGAAGGAATTTTTTGGTGGGTACATTATACCCTAAAATAGATTATACAGCTATTAATGTTGTCTGTAGTGACTTTTTAATGACTAGAAAACACACTTCTGATAGAAAATAAGTTTTGAAAAATTTCTAAGACTATAGAAAATCGTTTTGATTAGCAGATTTTACACACACACACACACACACACACACACACACTCCCCTTTAGAAAAAAAGAAGAGAAGAAAAAATTTACTCTTCCATTGTGAGATATGAGGCAGTGGTGAGTTTTTAAGTTTCTGTACTGTCTAGATTTGTGTCACATCACTTATAAAAGTTATTCTTACATGGATTACTGAATTTTCAACAGCAGAGGCCACAAAATCTAAGTACTGAAAGTAACTATCAACTTAGATTTGTATAACAGGAAAACTATCTTTTAGGAGTGATGGTAGCATTCCCACTAAAACTATTCCAAAAAAATTGAAGAGGAGGGACTGACTCCTCTCCAACTAATTCTATGGGGCCAGCACCATCCTGATAACAAAACCTGACAAGAAAAAAGAGAAAACTTCCAGCCAATATCCTTGAGGAACATTGATGCAAAAATCCTCAACAAAATACTGGCAAACTGAATCCAAAGCATATCAAACAGCTTATCCACCATGATCAAGTAGCTTTTATCATTGGGATGCAAGGTTGGTTCAACATATGCAAATCAATACCAGTGATTCATCACATAAATGGAACTAAATACAAAAAAACACATGATTACCTCAATAGATACAGAAAAGGCTTTTAATAAAATTCATTCCTTCACAATAAAAACTCAATAAAGTAGGCATTGAAGGAACATACCTGAAAATAATAAGAGCCATCTATGACAAATCCACAGCCAATGTCATACTGAATGGGCAAAAGCTGGAAGCATTCCCCCTGAAAACTGGCACGAGACAAGGATGTCCTCTCTCACCACTTTTATTCAACATAGTATTGGAAGTCCTGGCCAGAACAACCAGGCAAACAAAAGAAGTACAGGGCATCCAAATAAAAACAGAGGAAGTCAAACTATCCCTATTTGCAGATGACATGATTCTATACCTAGAAAACCCCACAGCCTCAGCCCTAAAGCTCCTTCACCTGATAAACAACTTTAGAAAAAGTCTCAGGATACAAAATCAATGTACAAAAGTCACTAGCATTCCTATACACCAACAGTCAAGCTGAGTGCCCAATCAGGAATACAATCTCATTTACAATAGCCACAAGAAGAATAAAATATCTAGGAATACAGCTAACCAGGGAGGTGAAAGATCTACAAAACACTGCTCAGAGAAGTCAGATATGACAGAAACAAATAGAAAAATATTCCATGTTCATGGGTAGAATGGATAGGAATAATCAATATCACTAAAATGGCCATACTGTCCAAATCAGTTTATAGATTCAATGCTATTCCTATCAAACTACCAATGACATTTTTCATAGAACTAGAAAAAACTATTTTAAAATTCATATGAAACCAAAAACTGAGCCCAAGTAGACAAGGCAATCCTAAGCAAAAAGAACAAAGCTGGAGGCATCACACTACCTGACTTCAAACTACATACTATATACTACGGGGCTGCAAACAACATGGTACTGGTACAAAAACATACATGGAAAAATGGAACAGAGAGCCCCAAAATAATACTGTACATCTACAACCATCTGATTTTTTATGAAGCTGACAAAAACAAGCAATGGAGACAGAACTCTAGTCAATAAGTAGGATAATTGGCTAAGCATATGCAGAAGATTGGAACTGGACTCCTTCCTTACAGCATATAAAAAATCAACTCAAGATAAATTAAAGTCTTAAATGTAAAACTACAAACTGCAAAAACCCTGGAAGACAACCTGGGCAATACCATTCTGGACATAGGAACAGGCAAAGATTTCATGAAGACAGGAAAAGCAATTACAACAAAAGTAAAAATTGACAAATGGGATCTAATGAAACTTACGAGCTTCTGCACAGCAAAAGAAACCATCAATAGAGTAAAATAGACAACCTCCAGAATGGCAGAAAATATTTGCAAGCATGCATCTGACAAAGGTCTAATATCCAGCATCTATAAGGAAATTAAATTTGTAAGGGAAAAAACAACCCCATTAAAAAGTGGGCAAAGGACATGAACAGATGCTTTTCAAAAGATGACACACATGTGGCCAAGAAACATGAGAAAAAGCTCAACATCACTGATTAAACAAATGCAAATCAAAACCACAATGAGATACCATCTCACACCAGTCAGAATGGCTTTTACTAAAAGGTCAAAAAATATCAGACGCTAGTGAGGTTGTGGAGAAAAGGAAACATTTATACACTGTTGGTGGGAGTATAAATTAATTCAATCATTGTGGAAAGCAGTGTAACGATTCCTCAAAGAGCTAAAAACAAAATTACCATTCAACCCAGCAATCCCATTACTGGGTATATACACCCAAAGAATATAAGTTGTTTCATCATAAAGACACATGCACTCATATGTTTGTTGCAGCACTATTCACAACAGCCAAGACATGGAATCACCCAAGATGCCCATCAATGATAGACTGGATAAAGAAAATGTAGTACATATATACCATGGAATACTATGCAGCCATAAAAAAGAACAAGAGCATGTCCTTTGCAAGAACAAGAGCATGTCCTTTGCAAGAACATGGTTGATGCTGGAGGCCATTATCCTTACCAATCTCAGCAGGAACAGAAAACTAAATACCCCATGTTCTCAATTATAAGTGGGAGCTAAATGATGAACACACATGGACACATAGAGGGGAACAGCAAACTCTGGGGCCTATCGGGGGTTGAGAGTAGAAAGAGGGAGAGAGTCAGGAAAAATAACTAATGGGTACTAGGCTAAGTGCCTGGGTGATTAAATAATCTGTACAAACAACCCCCTTGACACAAGTTTACCCATATAACAAAGTTGCACGTGTACCCCTGAACATACAATTAAAAAAAAAAAGACAAAAAAGAGTGAATGTAACCAAGATACTTTAAGACATATAAAAACTGAGGTTACTACAAACAAACCCTCACTAAAGGGAGCATCTGAAGATGTGCTTCAGAAAGTAGGAAATCGGCCACAGAAATAAATTGAGACACAAAAAGGAATGCTGAGGGGGAGGGAGACATGAACATATGGATAAATCAAAACAAGCATTGCATATATCAAACAATAAAAAATGTCTAATTTTGAGGTTAAACATAAGGTGGAACTTAGTACTGCACAATATTAACATATTCTTTGAAAAGAGAGAGGAGGGGATCAGTATTAAACTCTTTGAAAGTCCGTGTATTGTCTGGAAAATGGATGCAATTCCAATAAAAATTCCTCAAGGCTTTTGTGTACCTCTGTTGGTTTCAACATTTTTATAAAAGATCAAGAAGCCAAAATGGCCAAGACTCCTCTGAATTAAAACAAGGTGAGGTGAGGAACCTTGTTCTACCAAATTTTAAATTTATTATTATTAATGTATAGTAATTAAGAGCAGTAGGGTACTGATGAAGGGATTGATGAACAGACAAACTGAACAGAAAAGAGACCATACCCATACATATATAGAAACCTCATACGCCAGAGCAGTGGAAAAAGAATAGGATCTTAAATCAGTCATGCTAGGATGTCTGGTTTTCCAAAAAGGAAAGCAAATAAATTGTATTCCCAGCTCTCACCTAACATGCACACACACACACACACACACACACACAAAATAAGTTCTCAAGTAGATTTATGGTTTAAATATGCATGCAAAAAAAATGAAAGCTTTTAGCACAAAATACAGGAGAATACAGAGGTAGGGAAGTATTCTTCAAATCTCCATAAAATATCAGTATATACAATTACAATAAGATCACTATCCTGCACTCAGATAAACCTCATAGCTATCTCCCATTTATAAGTGATAACATATGATTTTTTTATTCTTGAGTTATAAAGTTATCTTTTATGAATGCATTTTTGAATGAATTCAGAGTGATATGATGGATTTAGAGGCTTGGCAGGGGGTTAAGGTTGAGAGGGGATGTCAGGGGTAAAAGACTACATATTGGGAACAGTGTACACCGCTCAGGTGACAGGCGCACTAAAATCTCAGAAATCACCACTCGAGAACCCATCCATGTAACCAAAAACCACCTGTACCCCAAAAACTATTGGAATAAGAAACAACTTTAAAAGAGGTGTAAAACAAACTGTGAGAAGTTATTTGAAACACACAGAACTGACAAAGGATTTGTGTTTTTTTTCTTTTATATATATATTTATATATATTTTTTATTATACTTTAAGTTCTAGGGTACATGTGCACAACGTGCAGGTTTGTTACATATGTATACATGGGCCATATTGGTGTGCTGCACCCATTAACTCATCATTTACGTTAGGTATTTCTCCTAATGCTATCCCTCCCCCCTCCTCCCACCCCACATCAGGCCCCGGTGTGTGATGTTCCCCTTCCTGTGTCCATGTGTTCTCATTGTTCAATTCCCACCTATGAGTGAGAACATGTGGTGTTTGGTTTTTTGTCCTTGCAATAGTTTGCTGAGAATGATGGTTTCCAGCTTCATCCATGTCCCTGCAAAGGACATGAACTCATCCTTTCTTATGGCTGCATAGTATTCCATGGTGCATATGTGCCACATTTTCTTAATCCAGTCTATCATTGTTGGACATCTGGGTTGGTTCCAAGTCCTTGCTATTGTGAGTAGTGCCACAATAAACATATGTGTGCATGTGTCTTTATAGCAGCATGATTTATATTCCTTTGGGTATATACCTAGTAATGAGATGGCTGGGTCAAATAGTATTTCTAGTTCTAGATCCCTGAGGAATCACCACACTGTCTTCCACAATGGTTGAACTAGTTTACAGTCCCACCAACAATGTAAAAGTGTTCCTATTTCTCCACATCCTCTCCAGCACCTGTTGTTTCCTGACTTTTTAATGACTGCCATTCTAAATGGTGTGAGATGGTATCTCATTGTGGTTTTGATTTGCATTTCTCTGATGGCCAGTGATGGTGAGCATTTTTTCATGTGTTTTTTGGCTGCATAAATGTCTTCTTTTGAGAAGTGTCTGTTCATATCATTCACCCACTTCTTGATGGGGTTGTTTTTTTCTTGTAAATTTGTTTGAGTTCTTTGTAGATTCTGGATATTAGCCCTTTGTCATATGAGTAGATTGCAAAAATTTTCTCCTATTCTGTAGGTTGCCTGTTCACTCTGATGGTAGTTTCTTTTGCTGTGCAGAAGCTCTTTAGTTTAATTAGATCCCATTTGTCAATTTTGGCTTTTGTTGCCATTGCTTTCGGTGTTTTAGACATGAAGTCCTTGCCCATGCCTATGTCCAGAATAGTATTGCCTAGGTTTTCTTCTAGGGTTTTTATGGTTTTAGGTCTAACGTTTAAGTCTTTAATCCATCTTAACTTTTATATAAGGTGTAAGAAGGGATCCAGTTTCAGCTTTCTATATATGGCTAGCCAGTTTTCCCATCACCATTTATTAAATAGGGAATCCTTTCCCCATTGCTTGTTTTTCTCAGGTTTGTCAAAGATCAGTTAGTTGTAGATACGTGGTATTAGTTCTGAGGGCTCTGTTCTGTTCCATTGGTCAATATCTCTATTTTGGTACCAGTACCATGCTGTTTTGGTTACTGTAGCCTTGTAGTATAGTTTGAAGTCAGGTAGCATGATGCCTCCAGCTTTGTTCTTTTGGCTTAGGATTGACTTAGCAATGCGAGCTCTTTTTTGGTTCCATATGAACTTTAAAGTAGTTTTTTCCAATTCTGTGAAGAAAGTCATTGGTAGCTTGATGGGGATGGCATTGAATCTATAAATTACCTTGGGCAGTATGGCCATTTTCACGATATTGATTCTTCCTATCCATGAGCATGGAATGTTCTTCCATTTGTTTGTGTCCTCTTTTATTTCATTGAGCAGTGGTTTATAGTTCTCCTTGAAGAGGTCCTTCACATCCCTTGTAAGTTGGATTCCTAGGTATTTTATTCTCTTTGAAGCAATTGTGAATGGGAGTTCACTCATGATTTTGCTCTGTGTTTGTCTGTTATTGGTGTATAAGAATGCTTGTGATTTTTGTACATTGATTTTGTATCCTGAGACTTTGCTGAAGTTGCTTATCAGCTTCAGGAGATTTTGGGCTGAGAAGATGGGGTTTTCTAGATATACAATCATGTCATCTGCAAACAGGGACAATTTGACTTCCTCTTTTCCTAATTGAATACCCTTTATTTCTTTCTCCTGCCTGATTGCCCTGGCCAGAACTTCCAACACTATGTTGGATAGGAGTGGTGAGAGAGGGCATCCCTGTCTTGTGCCAGTTTTCAAAGGGAATGCTTCCAGTTTTTGCCCATTCAGTATGATATTGGCTGTGGGTTTGTCATAAATAGCTCTTATTATTTTGAGATACGTCCCATCAATACCTAATTTATTGAGAGTTTTTAGCATGAAGGGCTACTGAATTTTGTCAAAGGCCTTTTCTGCATCTATTGAGATAATCATGTGGTTTTTGTCTTTGGTTCCGTTTATATGCTGGATTACATTTATTGGTTTGCATATGTTGAACCAGCCTTGCATCCCAGGGATGAATCCCACTTGATCATGGTGGATAAGCTTTTTGATGTACTGCTGGATTCGGTTTTCCAGTATTTTATTGAGGATTTTTGTATCGATGTTCATCAGAGGCCAGTGATCATTAATCCTATGTTCAAATACTCTGTATTACAGATGTGCAACTAAGGTTTATATAATGGAGAGCAACTCACATGTCCAATTCTGTTTTGTTTACACCAATGGTAACTAGCAAATTCTAAAATTCCTAACTAATCAGAAATATTAAATATAGACCAAAAAAATCACTGTGCAGGTAAAGACCTAGAGGGCTCATCTGCTCTATATATATGCCTTAAAATATGTATACCTGCATTTATCCTGGAAAAAGTATTTTAGAGACCCATGAGAATACTTAAGTATTCTTAATAACCTTAAGTGCTAAGGATCTCTTGATTATTTGAACTCTGAACCCCCTTCTGTCGTTACTTCAGTAGTTTCTGAGAGAGAAAAATAGCCACCAGGTTCCATATAATCTCTACATTCCTTAAACCTTATTAGATCATCCTTTACCCTTTTAAAAAATACATAGTTAACAGATGTACTGCTTAGCTGACAAAGTTTGAATAATTAGCTTTTTATATAAACACATACTGCCTATTCTTCTTTTGAAATGTCATTTTTATTTTAAACAAAAGACTAAAAATTTAATCTTGCCAAAGTATTCCAGATTACACTGTAAAGACTTCTCCAACACTGTGCTTCTAAGCCTAACCTTTTGATTCCCTTTAGTAAAGGCACTTAGATTACATAAAAGTAACAGAACTAGGAGAAATGCCATTCCAAATTTTGATGTATGGAATGTTTAAAAGTGGTGAGTTCCTAAAGTGGATGCTTTCCAACAATCATCTTAATTCAGGAGAGCAATATAACAGACAAGTTTAGAACATGCTCTTTGGAGACTGAGCCTTGGTTTCAGCCTCAGCTCTGCCACTGTAACTTATCCAAAGCTTCATAGCGGGTATCTTCTCTAGGGCTTCAGTTTCTCATCTGTGAAGTGTGAGAAATAGTAGTTCCTATGAGATAAAGTTGGCGTTATGATTAAATAAGGAAATTAAGTAAAAGTTTAGTCCGGTTCATGGCGTATTGTGAGCATCAGTACATGTTAGTGGTGGTGGTGATGGTAGTTGGTGGTGATAATAACAATGACAGTGACAGAGAATGTCAATGAGACCAGAAGATCAAGAATAGATTTTCTTAGCCTTCCTTAAACCAACCATATAAATCAATCTAACTCAGAGCCAAATCACAAGAAAGGCTGGACCGCATGCCCTGACACTGTTGCAAGGCCAATGCCACGGCTGCTGCCACAGCTCAGTCACACCATGGACTGTGAGTTGTCTGACTGGTAGTAGACGTCTCTCTTCCTACCTCTGATGGATGGTAATGGCTGCTTTGGATGGGATCCATTTTACATCCTCTGACTTAAACAGCTTTGCAAAAGTAATTTTTCATTGTTTTGAGAGGATAAGTAACACTACAGAAGTACTCATGTCCAACGAAGTGAGGATCATACAACAAAAGGAAAACACCCAAAGGAAAACAAATGTGTAGAGGAGATAAATTCACTTCAGGATGGATGTTTACCAAAAAGAAATTACATCCACAATTCTCGCAGTTGGGGACCAATGGCAAGTTACATGCCCCCTGTTTAGCAGCTGAAAGCCAGCCAGATCCTGTGGCTTGGCTCTCTCACAAGCTTTAAATACACGAACTCGCATAACAGCACCCAAGCAAGCAAATAATATGCACACTGCTCTTGGCTAAGAAGAGAGAGAGAGGGAGGACAGAGAACTTTTTCAATAACTACAAGCTTGGAGAGCTTATACAGATAAATGGGTTCAGTTTCTGCTGAGGAAGAAAACATTCAATTAAGACTTCAAAATTGCTGAAGGATACTTTAAAACACAGTGTCAGTGTCTGTCTCTCACCTTAGAACTATCTAGTATATATTATAGGAAACTTAGAACAGTTAGAGATTTTAGTTTTTCAGTAACTGCTTTTCTTCTATTTCTTCCACCTATCCAAATAGGTTTTCTACCATGAAGAAAAATGCAAAGCAATTCCGTCTGTATTTATTAACTCTAATTTTTAAAGAAGTAACAGTATAAGGCACAATGTCTGCCAGACTGGATTACCTCACCCCAATTCAGTTCTAGTATTCATAGAAAAAAATCTATGCATCTATTTGCCTACTTAGTTTAAGATTTTCAGGTGATTCTGATGTTCTCCTTGGTTTAAGAACCACTTCTCTAGATCAGTACCATTAAGATCATTTTATCTATATTCCTTAGTGGACTGACATTATCAACATCATTGCTAATTACCATTAATATGCGCCCATGTACAACATCAAGCATTTCACATGTATTGACTTACTTGGTATTCATTACAAGTTTTGACATAGGTATTATTTTACAAATGAGGAAACTTTTGGGTTTGTAAAGGATTGGTGAAGTCACTTAATCGCAAAGTTCACAGAGGTACTAAGTAAAGAAGCTTACGAACCCCAAAGATTTCACTCTTTAACAATGTGTTGTATTTCCTTGGTTATATAAGAGCTGAAAGGGTTAGCAATAAAGTAGAAATGGAATATAGGGAACTAGGTTTGCAATAAGGTTGAAGATAAAGAGAAATTAAATTTCACAGGCTCTATTAATCAGATCTCTGTCACTCTAATGTTCACTACCTCCAGTTCTGAAGCTGCAAGGCTTCCTCAACTGCTGAATAACTGATGAATGTTGTAGGTTTACTCATTCATCTAACCTTTGTTACACCATATTGCCACTAGCATTTTTCATGATATGCAGATACATTCTGAACCACAAAGTTGAATAACACACCAGTGCAATAAAATTATATAGTCATGGTTTTGCAATGATTTCAAAGTATGTTGTTTCATCCCTAAATCAATCATCTAACTCATGATGGACACTCCATAAAGCCTTATTAAATATACAACTATGATCTCACACTTGGAGAAACTGGATTATTGTCAGAAAGGCACACACATACCACCACCAGATCAACAGCAGAGCCAGGCATTGAGGTTTGCCCGATTACCAGACACTTGGCTTAACCAGTGTGTGTCATTTTTCATCCCATGACCATATAATATGGTTCGAATCCTTACTTAACTGACTTGCTAAACTATCAAGCAGGATTTTATAATCCAATTTGCTTCTCATCATTTAGGCAGCTGTTTTAACCAAACTGTGCTAATTTGTTTCAGGGAATACATAAAATCCAGTGTTTTTCTACCCGGGCTGGAAAAATAACATATTTTGCTAGTGAAAGAAGTATAGATTACTGCTATAAAAACATATGATAGGAAATTAAGCCAATTACAAGATGTAAAATTTAAGGTTTAAACTGCTTAGTAAATTCTTATTAATCTTGCACTAAAAATTGATACCAACAACAGATAAGAGTTACTTTGTGTAAACTAGCTCTCCTCAAATTAGTGCTATTTCTTTCCTAGTAAAAATAAGTATTAATATAAAGTGTGTCTTTATTCTCCCCGTATCCTCCAAATCATATCAATAGCTTTGGAGTACTTTTGGCTCCACGATAGCCAAAGTCCAGTAAAGCCCTTGGTAATTTGAGACCTGCAGTACACATTTGACAGAAGCCCCCTTTATTTTCCTTTCCATCAAAACACATGATTGTTATCACTACATATTACTTTATGTTTGGACACTTAGTGCTCACGAAATTAACTGAATCATTTGTATCAAGGCACAGGAAGAATTATTGTACTAAAAAATAGAAAAATAAAATCAAGTAAAATAGAATAAAGTCTGTGGACGTCCAGTTACACAAAACTAGTAACAAGTAACATGAAACAACCAACGGATGTAAGTTTCAGAGTATTTAATGGCACTCACTACATAGTAGTTCTGTACTATAAGAGCAAGGAAAATCCTAGGTTGTCAAAAGTGCATTCATCTAATTTTCATTGTCAAGCAGAGAAACTTCCATATAGCCAGATATTAAATCTTAAGTTCAGTTCTGACATTCCTAAGATATTGTACACACAAAGGTAAGCTGTTCCTTGTGTATGTATGGGGTATATTTAATGGAGAGGGGATTAAGAATGACAAAAGACAACCCCATATTATACATTGGCATGTGCATCTACCTCCACTTTTGTTTACTTCATTAACAAGAAATTAACAAGTTACCTGAAAATTTACAGTCAAGTGACTACCATAATAGAATAAATGCAATGTATGTTTTTTTTAAAAGACTATCTCCAAAATACAGTTAATGCTTAAGATCTTGGCAACATGATAAATATAGGTGCGTAATTGGTTGTTTCAAGGTAATACCCAGAAGAAGTTAAAGATTATAATTTTGCATAATAAATACCTATTCTCCTAGAGTTGGTCTTAGAGAAAAGATCACTTAAGAGACCACTGAAGTAGTCAAGGTAGGCAAAGAGAGGAAAGAGTAGAGCTGGGTTAAGAGAGGAAGAAGCCAACAAGTTGTGAAGGTGGTAGAATCCAGTGGAATTGGTGACCAAATGTATATGGGAAATAAGGATAATCTCGGAGGAGTTTCGGGTGACTTCTAGGTTGTGGCTAAAGTGAGTAGGGAGGTAATACCACCTTCTAAAATAGGGCATAGTAGGCTGAAGAGCCCATTTGAGCAGAGAATTAGATGTCATTTTAGATATTTTGAATTTGAAATACATGTGGAATAACCAGGTGGAAATATGAAGATTAGGCGCTGGAGTAATAACGACATGCAGAAAGAGCTGGTAGAGAAAAGGAGGAAAAGATAATAAACAGGTCATAACAGGTAAATAAGATCCTCTTGGAAAAGAAGAGCTAAGGCCTAAGAATGCTTGGGGTAGCCTTAAAAGAAAAAAGTTTATCTCTTTCACAAGAAAATACAAGTCGGTACAATGTTTAAAGATATACAGATGGGCAGAAAGGTGAGGGTGCTGACTTCCAATTGTCTGTCATAAAGAGAAAACAACATCATCTACTGAAAAGAAACAGTCAAGTTTAGGAATAACTACTGTGCCAAATGAGAGAGAGAGAGAGCAAGGTAACCGATCATTAAGCTGGCCTGAGGGATCAGCTGAAATTGTAAGGACACTCATCCACACAGTCTGTAATTTCTGAAACCTTATGCTAAATCTGCATTGGAAAACTTTGATGTACTAGAAGGGGATGGGATAAGAAAGTGGCAAGAAGATAGAGAAATTAGTATGCTTTTCATGTCTACTTTATGTGGGTGGCTGAAAGGACAGATCCTAGAGAGCCTTCTCTCTATCCCTACAGAACACCAAAACACCAGCCTATCTTCCTTAGCCTGTTTATGTTATTCCATCATAAAAAGACTAACAGCCATGATGCAACTTTCTCATCAACACTGCCTAATGGAGTCTTTCCTTATACATAGGTACACCTCTCCAATCTGATGCGAGTTTAAATTAACCATGTCACTATCAGCATAAGAAATCAGATGGCATCATTTTTCTAGCATTACAACCTAGTCCATGCACATGTTGAGCCTGCTATAAAAGTAAAAGAACACAAAAATAGTCAACTTTTGAAAAGTAACTGGCCAAAAGGATTGTATACGAAATATACACATATTTAAATTATCCATTCTCTTTCATTTACTTCTATGCTCATAAAAATGTTGGTCTTAAATTTATCACCCATTTATATATATAAATTTATCACCCTCTCTCTATATGTGTGTGTGTGTTTATGTAAAAAAATGTTTTAAGTACCACCACATTAACAATGCTAAAAATTGATGAAACCCATGAACAGATTTCTGGTGAAGCACATATGCCAAGTTTTACCTCAGGAATATTTTAAAATTCTTTTTCTTAAAGCAATTTTTCAAAAACAAGTTGACATGTCCTCAATTCTATTTGCCTTAGCTGGCAACACTCAAGACTTAGAAAGCTTAGAACTCAAGAACAGAAGCTAAAACTATCATTGTACGACAAAACAGTCTATAAATTCAGCATTTTTAGTATAACTTTGGACTTATTTCAATCCATCTAAAAATTAAAGACCTTGTACTTGGACCCAATAATCTAGTTTTAAGTTGTCCAGCTCTGAAAAATTCAAAGTTCTTTGTCATTGTGGAAGTCTTGGACACTCATCTTAAAAAATAAAATAACCACATTTTTAATATATTTTTTAAACCTGTTAAGGAATGCATGTTCTTTGCCTATGGTGGGCAAGAGTTCCAAAGACAATTCACAAAAAAATGAAGTGCAACTTGTAAAGAAATGAAGGAGGAATCCTCCTCATTAATAAATAAATATGACTGAAAACAGATCAAGTATTGTTTTATAAAATTATGTTTTACAATACAAAATTAAGTTCTGGCAAGATGTCGTAAGGCTAGTACTCATGCTGGTAGCATAATAACAAACACAAGCTTTTTGGAAAGCCATTTGGCAATATAAATATGTTGGCAAAAAAAATCACATCCTTTTATACAGTAATTCTACTATTCAATCTATTGTAAGAAAATAATCCAAAATACAGAATGTACTAAAATCTTTAAAAAGTTTAGGTATGCCTTAAAAAAAACCAGACTCATTACATACAAAGCATCTTCTCATTTCCCTTTTTTTTTTTTTTTTATTAGACAGAGTTTCACTCTTGTTGCCCAGGCTGGAGTGCAATGGCATGATCTCGGCTCACTGCAACCTCCGCCTCCCAGGTTCAAGCCGTTCTCCTGCCTCAGCCTCCCAAGTAGCTGGGATTACAGGCATGTGCCACCACACCTGGCTAATTTTGTATTTTTAGTAGAGACAGGGTTTCTTCATGTTGGTCAGGCTGGTCTCGAACTCCTGACCTCAGGTGATCTGCCTGCCTCAGCCTCCCAAAGTGCTGGGATTACAGGTGTGAGCCACCATGCCTGGCCCTGTTGCGGGAAGTCAGAGACCCCAAACGGAGGGACCAGCTGAAGCCATGGCAGAAGAACATAAATTATGAAGATTTCATGGACATTTATTAGTTCCCCAAATTAATACTTTTATAATTTCTTATGCCTGTCTTTACTGCAATCTCTGAACATAAATTGTGAAGATTTCATGGACATTTATCACTTCCCCAATCAATACTCATAATTTCCTATGCCTGTCTTTAATCTCTTAATCCCATCATCTTCATAAGCTGAGGATGTATGTTGCCTCAGAACCCTGTGATGATTGCGTTATCTGCACAAATTGTTTGTAGAGCATGTGTGTTTGAACAATATGAAATCTGGGCATCCAAAAGGAACAGGATGGCTGCGATTTTCAGGGAACAAGGGAGATAACCATTGGACCTGACTGCCTGCGGGGCGGGACAGAACAGAATAGTATTTCTCTTCTTACAAAAGTGAATAGGAGAAATATCGCTGAATTCTTTTTCTCAGCAAGGAACAGCCCTAAGAGAATGCATTCCCATGGGGAGATCTTGCACTCTGGGAGTGTCTGTCTTATACAGTTGCAGATAAAAATTACATACTACTGTAAATCTTCAAGCTAATTTTTAAACTTTTTTCAGAAGATATATATTAATAACCCAATAGTTATGCATTATGAGATAAGAATAAAATGGATATAATCTAAATATTTACCTTAGAATTTTGTAACCTCATGGCTTCCTACTGGGTCCTGTAAAAAATTCTTATCCTCCTGGGAGGATTGTCAGGTATTGGGGAAACCTTGGCCAGAACTCTAATAGAAATTAGAGACAACTGCCCAAGCCAGTGGGGACAGTAAATCAAGCAGATAGGAAGAATAAGAAGACACGAAGGCTCAGGATGGATGCACCAAAGCCACAAAATCATGCTCTACCACAAAATCATGCTCTACTGGATGGTAAAATGGTGCCCTTCATGCTTCATGAATAAAGGACCTAGGTTCACTTGTCTAACTGAGGAGCTAGGAATCTGGAACAATACTACTTTATGGAAACTGAAGAGCTCTAGTGTCTTAGCAAGCCACCCTGGGTCAGCTGAAAGAGTTGCCACACACTAATTAAATAGCCGGAGGCATTTGGCAAATGGTGCAGACACCATTTTTTTTAAATCGATAACAAAATATTTTACCTATCTATGGGTACATCTGAATATTTGTTACATGCATAGACTGTGTAATGATCAATTCAGGGTATTTGGGGTATCCAACAACTTGAGTATTTATCATTTCTATGCGTTGCTAACACTTCAACCCTCTCTTCTAGCTTCTTTGAAATATACACGTTGTTAACTATAGCCACCCTACTCTGCTATCAAATATTAGAGTTTATTTATTCTACCTATGTATATTTTTATACCCACCAACCAAACTCTGTACCTCCCTTCCTACCCACACATCCTTCCAATCCTCTGGTATCCCATCATTCTATTCTCTATCTTCATGAGATCAATTTTTTAGCTTCTACATATGAGAACATGTGATATTTGTCTTTCTGTGCCTGGCTTATTTTATTTAACATAATGACCTCCAGTTTTAACCATGTTATTGCAAAATGATGATTTCATTTTTTATAGCCAAATAGTATTCCATTGTGTTTATATACCACATTTTCTTTATCCTTTCATCCATCCATCCATCCTTGGGCACTTGGTTTGATTCCATATCTTTGCTATTGTGAATAGTGCTGCAATAAACAGATGAGTGTTGATTTCTGAAGAAAATCACACAGAAATCCATTGTTATTCTGTTTTTTCTTTGAATAAATACCCAGCAGTGGGATTACTGGGTCATACGGTAGTTTCAGTTTTTTGAGAACTCTCCATACCGTTTTCTATAGTGGTTGTATTAATTTACATTTCCACCAATGGTATAGAAGCATTCCCTTTCTCCACATCCTCACCAGCATCTGTTATTGTCTTTTTAATAATAACCTTTCTAACTAGGGTTAGATCATATCTCATTTTGGATTTTTTATTTTTACATGTTTTTAACTTGTAAATTCAGAGGTACAAGTACAGGTCTGATTTGTATTTTTCTGATGATGAGTAATGTTGGTATTTTTTCATATACCTGTTGGGCATTTCTCTGTCATCTTTTGAGAAATGTCAACTCATGTTCTTTGTCCATTTTCTAATGGGTTTATTGTTGTTTGAGATCTTTGCATATTCTGGATATTCGTCTCTTATTGGTCAAATACTTTGCAAATATTTTATCCCTTTCAACAGATCGTCTCTTCACTTTGTTGTTTCCTTGGCTGTGCAGAAGCTTTTTGGTTTAACGTAGTCCCGTTTGTCTATTTTTGTTATAGTTGTCTGTACTTTCAAGGTCTTAGTCATGAAATATTTACCTAGACCAATGTCTTAAAGTGTTTTCCCTATTTTTTTACTAGTAGTTTTATGGTTTCAGGCCTTAGTTTAAGTCTTTAATCCATCTTCAGTTGTTTTTTTTTTTTTTTATATGGGGAGAGACAAGGTCCAGTTTCATCCTTCTGCGTATGGATTCTCAATTTTCCCAGCACCATTTATTGAAGAGGCTCTCCTCTCCCCAGTGTATGTTGTTAGCACTTGTACTGAAAAATCAGTTATCTGTAAGTCTGTGGATTTATTTCTGGACTATTTTGTTCCATTGGTCTATGTGTCTGTTTTTACAGCAATACATGCTGTTTGGATTACCATGGACTTGTAACATATTGTGAAGTCAGGTAATGTTAAACCTCACGAGCCTGCAACATCAGTTCCATAATCAGTCTCCACAGTATCAGAGATGTGTCCAAGTCCACATAGTTATTAAGTGGTAGTCCTGGGAAGAAAATCTGAAGGCATTTTTTTTCCTCTCTGTACACTGCTTTGCTGCCCTTGCTCTTTTTATTTCTTTGCTATTATACCTTCCATCATTTGAAGGAAAAAAAAAAAGAGCAACAGAAGAAGGTGGCCAGAAGTGGAGCCCCAAGGTGGTGTCAAGATTGGAACAGATTGGCATCAACTAGAGATGCCAGGTCATCAAGGAACTGATCGCAAAAGAATCACCATAATTCTTACCCCAAATATCTAAATTTGCAATTCTACATTACGGCTTTTCTGTAAAGTTACTCTCACCAAAATTTTTAGTAACTGGATGCTTCACCAAATGAATTTGATCCATATACAGGTAGTGCTCCCCATCAATATTTTCAGCAGACCAGTTATGAAAATACACAATTTGCTCATATACACACACTGAACAAATGGGGTATATATAAATATTTCTTGTTAGTCTACTGAAAATCCTAAACCTGTCCACAATAATATCCTTGAAATGAAATTGCAGCATAAAAGTGCTGTATCAAATAACACTCCGACAACATAAAAACTTAGTGACATTAGAGTTTAAATTTCAAGTTAGGATAAAACATTCTACAAAATTAGAAGTCTTATCACCACATTAAGCTAAAAATTTTAGTTTTGCTACATTTCTTGGTATGTTTATCAAATATTTTGCCTCTTTTTAAAGTCTTTGTGAATTTAGTTTTTAAAATATTAATACATTAAAATTAACCCAGAAATACTCATGTAATTTCAGCCTTGTGATAGTTCTAACTATCCACCTTTTCCCAGGCAAATGCTTCAGCCTCCCTCCTTCAAATACGTTATCTTAAATCTTTCATTTATGAATTCCTACAAGAATTACTTAACATATTGAAATAAAAGCTTTTCTTGTCAAAATATACATTCTCTCTGCTCACAACACAAAAGGTCATTTATTAAAGCTGTAATATCCCACCCACTTAGTGAAAATAAATAAATACAATAAAACAGACTGTAATTCCCCAGCCCATCAACCAAGTCGATTAAAAATTGGGTGGCTCACCTGGTGGTGGCTATAGAAACATGTAAAGTATTTGGAAGCTAAACATAAAGCACAGATTCAGTAAAAAGGAGTCCCTCCCAAGAGGCATATAACCTCTGAGGAGACAGGTGACAGATGTGCCTTTGCACCAAAATAAAATAAAGATCTGGCCAGCCAAGCTGGGAAGAAATTTAAACACAACAAAAGCTCATGTTAGCACATGTTGGTGCCAAATGCGTTCTGCAACCATAAACAGTAAAGCATTTTGATGAACTGAGGCAGTTAAGTCCTGGAATTAAAATGAAAACCTTCCAGACATCAACCTTGGACTGCCTACTACAAATGCTACCCACATTTTGCCATAGCGCAGGCTAACTGAGGCAAGAAAAATGAGATTTTTCTGTTATTGCATTTTTAATGAATAGTAGGAATCAAAATAAAGCCTTGAATCAGCACAAAATACATTTTGAACATCCCTCCAAGAGCGAAGCCAGGTGTCAGGAGAGCCTGAAGTATCTACAAAAGATGAGGAAAGGGATTCTGAAGAAAGGAAACATGTTTATGAGCAAAAATAAGATAATTCTTGCTTGTTATTAACTCCGGCCAAGTCTAAACAAACATTTTTTTTTTCCTTCCAGTTATTATTGAGTCATATGGCCACCGGCAGGAACTGTTATCACTTCATTTTCTGCAGAATGTTTCAGAAACTTGAAACCTCCCACACTTTCCCCATGTGAATACTCTGGATTTTTAAACAATTGTGAAGTGTTTTCTTCTAAAATTGAATACATTTGATGGCCTAGTGGTATAGCTGATTTATCACAAGCTGAGAGAACAAGCGAAAAAATATAGAAAAGTTACTAGACCAAAGGGCTCAATGATGAAAAAGTTATTATGGGACAGTTACACCAAACGACAATTTAAATAAATTAAATTATCTTTTTTTTTTTTTTTTTTTTTAACATTAAGGCTGTCTCTACTGTGCTTTTGACTCTGGTTCTGCTGTTCAATAACTTAAAAATGAAGAATATTTGCAAGAGCACAGCTCGAATTGCTGAGAGTAAAGTACTAACAGTTCAGAAGTTTGTTGTAACATTTGTATTACTGACCCCCATAAAGCACCTTCTCAACTTGTATAGAACCACAGGCAGAAGATGGCAAGTTAAATGCCAAGCGTTTTGCCTGCATTCTGGCAACATAACAAGAAAAAAAACATCTAGAATCTCAAAGTCTAGTGTGTGCTACTAGCTTGGTAATTTTAAAAAAATCCTTGATTTTTCTGGGACTGTCTGGCAAGTAAAATGCCTATTTTAGCTAAGTGTGGTTTATTTTAAACAGTATCGCTCCTAAAAATTTATAGTTGCTTAATATTAATATCATCTTTGAACCAGAGGTAACATCAAGGAAATATCTAATACCAACAGATCTGAACTGATGCCCTATAAGTCAGCAGAGCAGAACATAGCTTCTTCAAAGTTATAGACTGCAGCCACCCTAGATCCCTTTGATTTTGCTATTATACTATCATCATCAATTTCACCAACCAACAACTTGAAGAAAGTTCTGCCTTTGCCACTGAACTGGCTAAGGGCTTCATCTCAAGTGGATTTCCTCTCAAACTAGTCTACTTCTTCCTGTGCTGAGGGCTAGTTCTTAAATTTTCTCAGAGGTGGTCATTTCTGCTTAGCAGATAAAGTGTTGGATTTTGCCTTAAAGGAACTCAAAATGTAAAACACCAGGTTTCGTAACTCCAGCCAAGTTAAGTATGTGTGTTTTATTAACAGACACTAGCCAGAAATGCAAATTATTTCTACAAAGTTCTAATCCTGTTATCAACCCCTTGAGACATACCCCCTTACCCTTCCATCCCTCCCCTGGCTATGGTTCTATATTTTTATTGCATGTTTTAAAAAAGAAAAACACTAGTAAAGCTACCCTAGATTCTGGTTTAGGAGTCCCAAGAGATGACACTGAGGTGTGGACTGGAGCAGTTTTCTAATTAAAAAGTCAGATGGTCTTTTTCTCTAAGGAAAGCTTCAACTCCCAGTGAATGCTTGGCTCATAGCTTCTTGGCCCAAGGCCATTTAGCATCTGCCTCAACAAAACCCCTTCCTGAAGTAGAGTCTAGCAAGCAATGTAGATTCAAGTCCTCAAAAACCAAAGAACTTGGAAAGCTAAAGAACCCCTTCCAAGCACAATTTTGAAAGAAAATTCATTTAATGGAAACAGCTATTTGCAAAATTTTAACCAATAGATGAATAAGGAAAAAATGGAAAAATGGAACCGTTTTAGCCATTGATGAAAACATCAATCACAGCTCCCTTCTGATACAGTTTTTTTCTTTTGTTTTAGAAAGGCTTATTATATTTCCCCTTTATGAACCTTCAAACAATTGGAATCAGCGGTTTGAGTTCCCTGCTATCAGCATTTGGTTCTTTTTTTAATCTCTGTTGTAGCAGTTTATATACCTTTTCAAATCTTGAATCACTTCATTATCACAGCTCATGGTTTTAAAATATTTGCTATAATGAAAAACCACACATCTTACCCCCCAAAAAAATGTATAGTTCACTGATTTTTTTTTCAGGCTGGTGGATTGGCGTGGACCTTATACCAATCATATCCCGACTCTGAAATAATTATTTGAGATTCATCTGGGGCTGTGACACAATCAGTCAGAATCCAGAAATGAGGCTCAGAACAGAGCTGTTAGAAATCACTTTCCTACATTCTTCATTTAGAAATTATCTCTATGGTGGCCTTCCTCTAAATCAAACTGCAAGAAGGTCTAGGAACTTGGGTGTTACAATAGACTCATTAGATGCTTTGTCTAGATTGCAATGATAACAGACTAATAAATGGGTGCCAAAAAATAGATCACTGCAAAATGTAAATTCTAACGTTATTTATGTAAAGGCAATTTCTACACCCTATACATAATAAATGTAGACCATTTTTGTGTTTTGGGGCTTCTTCTGTAAAATCCATTAAGATAGCCCCCGGCTAGATATTTACTTAAACATAAATGAAAGCTATCATAAATTACTTAAGATATAAAATAAAATGAAATTTGTATCACTATAAGAGACCACTCTGACCATGAATAAATCTAATCAGTGAGAGTCAGCATGTTGCTTATTCTGTTCTGTTCACACGCAGAAATCTGCTTGGTTTCACAGTGAGCAGACTTGGTAATGGTGTAATTCTGAAGTGCTTCTTGATTGAACACTCTATAAACAATGTAGTAAAACTATGAAGTGAATTCTTTATAGTTAGTGATTCATAAATCAGGTTAGGCCCACTGAAAACTGACAAAGGAAAAAAACATGAAAAGGGAAAGATTTGAATTAGGTTCTAGAAAGTCTCATGATTGTGCAGAAATCTATATAACTTTCTCCCATGACCACAGAACTGCCACCAATTATCTGCCTTCATATAAACTGCCACCATCTGTAGGAGTTTTAGAGGGGGGATGTTCTGTGCCAGCCTTTGAGGGTCAAGATTCGATAGTAACTTAAGAGAATCAACTGAAACCAGAAAACTGAGATAAGCAGAGAATAATCTCTAAGTGTTCAGACAACAGCCCTGGTCTCCCCAAGAACCTCCAAGGGTGGCTAAACTGCCCATGGTTACCCTAAAAGTAGGGTCTCTTCCAATTCCAGCCCCAGGACAAATTTGATTTAGAAGCCCTGGGGAAAGGAGAAGGTTGCTGACTTCCTATATTAGGAGAGTAAAATGTACTGGCTGAACACCTAAATATCTTATTTCAGCCCATGTTAACATTTTAAAAACCATTTGCAGTGCTATGATCTAATGCCCACGCCTCTTGAAATTGTCACAATGATCTCCTAAGAGATACAGTGTTATCACATAGTTTCATTATATAAAATTTCAGCAAGCTTAATTTCTTCTACATCTTAAGTATCTAAAATAAAGATCTAAGTTTAGGATATTTTGATTCTCTTATAGCACTGACTTTGTAGCCTGAAATAGCACTAGAAAGTAAAAATTTTAAACTAAATTTCTTTGTTCATAAAATTAAATATCTTGAATTTTAGTATAAAAATACAAAATCATGTTTGCCCCTCTTAGGAAAATCCAGATAACAGGACAGCAAAGCTTTTTTTCTGGTCAATAGGAACTACACATTTGCTTTTTCTAGTTGTTCATGGGTAAAAATACTTTTGGCTAATAACTAATCCTGATTTTATTGTTATTGTTGTTAAAAGGAACAGATGCTAAAACATAAAAAAAAGGTTGTTTCATAGCTAGCTTGTCCATGCATTCAAAGGTATAAAATGAACTTAAATTATAGTTGCTGTTTTTATTTGACTATCTTTGTTTCTTACTGGGCTTCCAACTCCAGTAGCGGACAAATGCACTAATTTTCTCAATATGGAAAATGCCAGCATTAAAGCCAAATAAAGTTGGGCTTAAGATGATTACAGTAGATTTCATCAAAGCAACTTGACACTCATCAAAATTCAGTCCCAGTTAGCTGATGAGATTTCATCAGGCTGCTTAAGCAGCAGGGAAATAAACAAAAGTGGAGAGACAATGAAAACAATGTGACAACTGTCAAACAAAATGCCGAGCCCAACATTGAACATTTCCTTAAATGCAGTGCTGAAAATACTTATTCCCTCTCCTCCCCACACCATGCACACATGCGTGCGTGCGCGCGCACACACAGACACACACACAATAAGTGATCACATATTTTTGAATTTTCAATCTTTATGTGTTCATTGCATAATACTGATTGTGGAATAATGTTACTAAGTACTGAAAGTTACATAAAATATCAGCATTTTGAGAACTGTATGGTTAAAAAAAACTTTGAAATATGGGTGTTTAAGAGGTCACCGCCCTTGCTTGAACTCCTTTGAGCAAGTTCTTAATAAATGCAAGGTATTATAAAAGGAACGGTTCAAATTAGGCTACTACTGATGTTATAGTTTTGCAACTAGACATGCTCACGTGCCATCGCCTGGTGGAGAAATTTCACGTAGCGGTTCTTGGGATATCCAGGTCTTATGTTTCTGATAAAGTAGAAGCAAACTGGTAATGGCAACACAGAGTACACTGCTTCAAACACAGCTGCAGAAGCAACCCAAATAACTCTTAATTCAAAGCATATTTGATGACTATATTAAGTCAATCTGCACACTTAGAGTTGACAATTATACCAAATAGAGGAAGATCTGAAATGCAACAGACACTTGACATTTGAGGCCAAAATTACTTTAAATTACTCAAGTTAGCAATATCACTCTCACCATGTAAAAGACAAGAATACTACAAGGAATCTGTGCACAGATGCAAGACACAGGCATGTGGTTTTCTTCCACAGGTTTTGACGTAAGATGAAAAGAAGAACAGAGGGAGAGGGGGACGGGAGCTTACACAATACACATCTTACCTGGATTAGTACTCAATTCCTTTTACCATTTATTTAGAGGTTCATTTCTTTTAGAGTTTTCAAGAAAGAGGTATAAGCACTCAGTATTTTGCAAAATAGACTCTTCAAATAAGCCAAAGTCTTTTGTATATTTTCTAAGTTTATGGTAATAATCAAACTTATAATTCAAGTCTCTGGTTTATTATCTTGGAATAGACATTCTAATAACTAAATTAAGATTGCATTAATGACTAATAGGATTGTATCACCAAAAAGTGAGCAGAAAATCTGTGAAAATTTTCTCGTAGGACTAAGGAAAGATAATAACTGCTGAATAAAATGTTATAGGGGCAATTCAAGATAAAATAAGTTTTGCTGAGGTACATATCATGTGCTTATCCACCTTATACTATATTTAAGTATATATAATTTGTATATCTAAATGAAAGATTGTAAGCCACTTAAAGATAACTTTTTATTGGTATATCATAGAATCTTGCAGAGTCCACCAAAAATAGGAGACATGTTACTGAATTCAGTCCATGCCAAGTTTCATACTGGTCTTTTGAGAGGAAACACTGCAAAAATAATAGCTTAATCACCACAGTTCTTCTATACCATAACACAAAAAAAATCTTAATTGCATTACATCTGAGCAATTCTCAGGGATTATTATGGGTTGAAAGACAAAGAAGCCATATGGGAGAAAGTGCTCTAGGTTTAACATCAAAGCAAGAATTAAGCTTTGCTTTATCATCTACCATCATCATCATGGGGAATTCACTCTTTCACCTCTCAGCACTTTAGTTTCCAGTCTGTAAAGGAAGGGATGCAAATGAGTGCATCTTGAAGTTCTGTTTTTATAGGAAGACATGCTCTTTTTACTCATGCATACAAAATCCCTGAAATGTCAAAGAGAAAAACAAAAAAACAGAACTACCTTATTTAACCAAGGATGAGAGTCCAGATATCTACCTGCCAGGCCTCTCTCCAAACCCTGAGAAAATCTAGTTTTATCACTAGATAAACTAGTGATAAACTCTAGGCCTAGAGTTTCCTTCTCTTCTACAAGCCCCATGCTGTCTTTAAGATTGAATTACTAATATATAATGGTTTAAGGAATTAAATTTCCAAAGGAAAAATATCTTTGTAAATGAATCATCACAAATGGGCAATGACTTTTTCTTCCCTGTGTGAATTCTGTAAACCTCAAATTCTTCTGGAATGGCCAATCTATGAGATTCAATTTGGTAACCAATTCTTACAGATTTTGATTTATCTCCTGAGTTCATTCTTTTACCTTTTTTTTTTTTTTTTTTTTTTTTTGAGACAGAGTCTCACTCTGTCACCCAGGCTGGAGTGCAGTGGCGCGATCTCGGCTCACTACAAGCTCCGCCTCCCGGGTTCATGCTATCCTCCTGCCTCAGCCTCCCGAGTAGCTGAGACTACAGGCATCTGCCACCACGCCGGGCTAATTTTTTGTATTTTTAGTAGAGACGGGGTTTCACCATGTTAGCCAGGATGGTCTAGATCTCCTGACTTTGTGATCTGCCTGCCTCGGCCTCCCAAAGTGCTGGGATTACAGGCATGAGCCACCGTGCTCGGCTTCTTTTTCCTTATTTCTATTGTATGCCCCAATTTTTATTCTTTTGCTACGTAACACATGCATTGTTTCAACAGGTTCTCTATATTTTAGTAAATGTTAGGCTGTATACATCCCAATGTTCATATTTTAGCTCAGTTTATCTTTTCCCTTCACCCTCCTTTTCATTTATTCAATTGTCCCATACTCCAGGTCTATATTCTGAAGTCTCATCTCCTCAGCCACCATTAGCCTGCCCTGTTCATCCTGCAACCCTCATTCCTTTCAACATTTGAGGCTTCCTCTGTTCTAAGCCCTATGCTAATCAGGAGGCTCAGTGCCTCTTCCTGCCATTTTTAAAATTTAATGTTTCAATTTTACCACCTAGATTACACTGTCGATGAGGTGAAACGAGTTCACCTTTGTATATGTTGACACATCTGTTTGCTGAAATGCAAATGAATATTTGCTCCCTCTGCCTAACAAAAGTTATAGCAACATTCTAGGTAAAGAGAATTAAAAGTCTTTGAGTAGAGACAATAAAAATGAAGATGTGTGGAGCACTGAGATGTAAGACTGGGTGGGTCATTATTTAAAGAACTCACACTTTGTGATCCTTCACTCTGTGCTAGGCAAAGTATGAATGATGTCCTTTAATCCTCATAACAGCCCTGTGAAGCAAGCATCTGTTATCCCCGTAACATAGATGCTGACACTGAAGTTCAGAGAGATTAAGTAAACTTGTCTGGTTCATACATTTTAGGTGGTTGGGCAAATCTTCGACTTCCAATCTGTCTGAATGTGAGGAAAAGATTCAAAGATAGGACTGCAAGCCTGAGTAACTAGAAGACTAGTGATGCCTTTGGAAAGGGGGGCTGTCCCAGGAGAAATGAGGTTTTGCAAAGACAGTTACAGTTTAGCTGTGCTTAGTTGCACATGCTGGCAGGACACCTAGGGAGAGGTGCCCACGAACGGACAAACCTGTGGGACTGGGGCACAGAAGGAAGGTGCATGTCTGAATCATAGTTGAAGCCACAAGGTAGGCCGAAATTAAAGGAGAATGAAGAGGCAAAAACAGGCCAGCTATAAGAAAGATGAAAAATGTGAAAAATATTGTATAATTAACAACAGGATTACAACAAAATGTAACAGAATAGTAACAACTCACCTGTTTGTATGCATGTCCCTTTACTACTCTCAACAATCTTATTGAGATTACATGTCATACATGACTAAGCTTTGGGAAATAAAATAACTTGTCATTCAACCCGTAAGTAGTCAAGACCGGCCATATACCAAATTTAAAACCCCATTTAAATTTCCCGATTCTGTTTTTTCCAACATACAAAGACATCCACCATCACTGAAGGTAAAAAATAAAAGCTAGATGATTATTTGTCAAAGATGTCCAAGTGTGTGCTGTAGGTAAGGTTGGAGAGAAGGCAGCAGGAAGAGCTGTAAGCAGAACCGGTCAAGGGATTAGAATTCAGAGGAATGAATACAAAATACATTGCTTCTCACTTCATGCCACAAACTGCAAACTGATTAGCTACATGGTTTTCTCCTGAACACAGCATTTAACTCAGAATCCTTTTCAACCCAATGTTCCAGGACACTGCTTTTGCTAGTCAGCGGCATGTTAGATAAAACCATGTTAGATTATACAATTGAAATTGAACTTTGTAGGAACATTTTCATCCTTGACCTGAATATTTGATTTGTGTACTTTAAATTTTCAGAGTACTCCAAGCTGGCTAGTACAGGAAACTCATTATAAGGTTAACATGGCAAGCTAGAAAATAGGAAATACTACATCCAAGGATCTTGGTAAATGGCAGATGAAAGTAGTAGTTAGAAACAAATATAGTTCACTTAGGGTGAAAGCAAATTGTGCCTAGATTTCAAAAAAAGAAAAAGAAAAAACTGTACAAATACAAACTAGAGAATGGCCTGGCTTAGAAAGTTGGCAAAAAGAGATACAGGGGCCACAGTGGACCACAAGCCAAGGCAAAATCCTCCACTCTTTAGAAAAGCAAACAACAGGAAAACACGTAAACATCAGAACCCGTAAGTATTCTCTGCTAATTCTCTCATCAGACTCAGACTCTGTTTAATGCTCTGCCCTAAATCAGGGATGTACAGTTGATCCTCTTCCTAACACTTTAGCAACACCATTTCAGTCACTTCCATCTTCAGTCAGCTTTCTACTGAAACACCTTCACACTCAAATGTCTCATAGCTCTCCACAGTACACAAGGTAAAATTCAAACTCCTTGTCTTCTCCATGGACACACTTCAGTCAGGCTGCAACTTATATTTTTTTCTGTGAGCTTCTGTGACTGCCATTCACAAATTCTGCGTTTCGGCCAGGTTCATTTGCTTCACCTCCCTTGGGTGCATGAGGCACATTCTGGTGTATCTTTCCTCACAGTGTTCTGTCTAAAATGATCTCCCTTTTTAAACATGGTTTCTACCCACTCCTCCTAATATAAGTTATCCTCTTCAGGAACTATTCCTATTCCCTGGCAATGGCAGCTAAAAACAATACCTTTTGTTCTATAGTATCAGAGCCTGTAACAATGTCATCTTTACCTGACACTCAATAATTTAAAAATTAAGCTTTGCCTTTTATCTTTAATGTGCATTTTCTTATTCCGTAACCTGGCTATAAACTCTCTTGTTTGTATCACTCTCTCCTCCCAATCTTCCCATTTCTTTAGAACATAGGAAGTAATGGATGCTTAATTGATTCAATGGACCTAAAGACACGGCAATAGAAAAATGACAGATTGCTTAAATCCCAGCTCCAACACTGGATTATCTTGGGGAAGTAGGTTGAAAGAGAAATTGGAAGGCATCCTGTAACATATTTTTTAAAAGTCAATGCAATTCGGTAAACATTTACTCAAAATCTCCTTGGTTCTCTCATAACAAATAGCTTTGACACAGATTAAGATAATCAAAGGCCAGCCTTGGAGAGGAAACAACAAAAAATTGCAAAAGGTTATCTAAAAATATGAGTGCAGGCCTTGAGATAATCACCAGAAATAACTCTGCACCTAAATATGCAACTCCTGACCTTATTTAAGAATATCTTAAGGCCGAGGCAGGCAGATCACAAGGTCAGGAGATCAAGACCATCCTGGCTAACACGGTGAAACCCTATCTCTACTGAAAATACAAAAAAATTAGCTGGGCGTGGTGGCGGGTGCCTGTGGTCCCAGCTACTCAGGAGGCTGAGGCAGGAGAATGGCATGAACCTGGGAGGCAGAGCTTGCAGTGAGCCAATATCACACCACTGTGCTCTAGCCTGGGCAACAGAGCAAGACTCCATCTCAAAAAAAAAATAAATAAATAAATAAATAAAAATCTATTTAGAAAATACATATTTATTGACAAGTTTGAAGAGTAACTGCCCCCTGCAATATAATAGGTCTGCACCTTTTTTTTTTTTTTTGGTTCAAATTTTATTGCATATTAGAAACACCTGGGGAGGTTTTTCCCCCTAATAGTTTTTGGGGAACAGGTGGTTTTTGGTTACATGAAATAAGTTATTTAGTGGTGATTTCTGAGATTTTGGGGCACCTGTCACCCAAGAAGTGTACACTGTACTCAATGTGTAGTCTTTTATCCCTCACCCCCTTCCCCCCAAGTCCCCAAAGTTCATTATTTCATTTGTATGCCTTTGTGTCCCCAGAGCTTAGCTCCTACTTATAAGTGAGAACACACAATATCTGGTTTTTTGTTTCTGAGTTACTTCACTTGGAATAATGGTCTCTAACTCCACCCAGGTTGCTGCAAATGCCATTATTTCATTCCTTTTTTGTGGCGGAGTGGTATTCCATGGTGTATATCCACATTTTCTTTATCCACTCTTTGATGGGTATCTAGGTTGGTTCCATATTTTTACAATTTCGAATTGTACTGCTATAAACGTAGATCTACATATTTCCTGCATTCACTAGATACCATGAAGTTCCAAAGGCATTCAATATTCACCAAAATAGCCTACTGGGTGATTACAGCAAAAAACAACTGATAAGTCAAAACATTTTGATTCCATGGAACTGGAGGCCATTATCCTAAGTGAAATATCTCAGAAACAGAAAACTCTTATGTTCTCACTTGTAAGTAGGAGAGAAATAAGAGGTAGACATGGACTTAGAGTATGGAATAATAGAAACTGGAGACTCAGAATTTGGGAAGTTGAGAGGAGGCTAAGGAATAGGAAATTACTTAATGAATACAATGTACATTATTTGGGCGATGGTTACACTAAAAGCCTAACCTTCACCATTATGCAATACACCAACCAACCTGCACTTGTACCCTTTAAATTTATATGATTTTTTTAAAGTCCTGAATCAGTATTACTCATGCCACTATTGAGTCAAGTTCATAGTCACACCTTCAGCCTTCATCCAAGGATAAACGCCAAGCTGCTTTCTACCTTTTGGAAGCATGTATGTGACATGGGTGGTGTGACGACATCGTCCACCATGTGATTCCCCACTTGAGAAGTCTAATACTGCAGAAATGTGTTTAGCTTTTGCCTCCCTACTGAGCTTTTTTCTGTGAGAATTTCCTCAATTCCATAAGTCCTACTACCTCCCTGAACACATGCACACTTTAATGTGTCTGAAATTGGAATAAGTATTTGTATATATGTGCATGTGTGTACATGTACCATACATGTGTGTTTATTGTGTATAAACAGATACATACATATGTGATTTTCCCCTCTAAAAGCTGCTATTAAATTGATATTTTAAAATCAAGCACTTATTTTAAATCAACCTAGAACCATGTCTACTTTTTCCCTTTGCCTGGTAGCAAACCTAAAGTCAAATTTTTGGCTCAATTACTTCAACCAACACAGATCTAAATAGCTTATTTTTTCTTTTATTCGGGCCTGAGCTCTTATTCTAATTTAAATTATTCCTAGTTTTAATAGGTTACATTTTGGGGTGTTTTTTTTTTACCATGTTATCTTATGTCTTTGTACATTAAGTTCTTACTAAATCCTTTGAGTAATGGGCAGGATATATGGACACAGCATCAGTTATTAAACGTCTCTTGACAAGCTCAACTATTTTGCTCCTAGTTTCCAAAGTCCTCAAACACAAGATGATAGTATTAACACAAAGTAACATTAGGTCTGAGTATCATATCAACAGGTCAGTTGTAAAGCAAAAACTACTGCCTTTACATTTTTAGGTTAATTAATGGTAAAAAAAAAAAAAAAAAATTTGACACCTCTGTTACACAAAGTAATTTTATCATCTTAACTACTTCTGTATGATGACATGAATCATGCTGAGATTTTAGTAAAATTCTGTTTTTCTTTTCACTAAAATGTTTGTCTTCTGATAGTGAAGGATATCTACACATACAGCTCTAGGTTAATCTAGTAGCTAGAGAAGTATTACAGGAAATCTAGATGAGCAAATTGACTGCTCTTTTTATCAACACCATTTAAAGATCCCAGAGAAGTATGTGATGAGGCGATAGGGAGAATAAGTTTTTTTTTGTTGTTGTTGTTGTTGTTGTTGTTGTTGTTTTTGAGAAGGAGTCTTGCTCTGTCCCCCAGGCTGAGTGCAGTGGCACGATTTCAGCTCCACCTCCTGGGTTCAAGAGATTCTTCTGCCTCAGCCTCCCAAGTAGCTGGGATCACAGGCATGTACCACCACACCCAGATAATTTTTGTATTTTTAGTACAGAGTTTCACCACATGTTGGCCAGGCTGGTCTCAAACTTTTGACCTCAGGATCTTCCTGCCTTGTGCTCCCGTAATGCTGGGATTACAGGTGTGAGCCACCAGGCCCAACTGAGAATAAGTTGTTCTAAAAAATGATTAGGACATTTATACTTAAGACATTCCTATCTTATAAAAGGGAAAAACGAGTCTCCTGCACGGAGGGGGAAAAATATCTACCACTGACACCATGTGTGTCCTATTAAAGTTGTTTTTATTTTGGAGTGTCATAAAAAATGTTTTATATATTTTATATTACCATAAGAGTAGCTTACTGCATAGAACTTTGGGTCTTCAGTGGCATATGTAGTTGAGAAATTCTTTTTACAAGTACCCATAAAAGAGACTAGTACGTGCTGCCCCAGACTACATTGAAATGGGGCTGGCAGAGATTCCAGATGGGAAGCTGTAGAGAACAGCACAAAGGTGTGTCTTCCTCCACTAGAGTTCACTCACTCCCGGCCCCCAAGGCAAGCAAGGCTGGCATTCGGATTGTCTCAAAATGAAACCGAGAAAAGAAGTTGTCTCATGTCCACCCCCTCATCCTCCACGTTCTGAGTGTTTTGCACCCCTTTATATTTATGTCTATGTCCATGTCTATGCCCAAGACTGAATCTAATTTGGAGACCCCTTTTCTGCCCCCCTCATTTCCTCAGACCCTTACCCTCCAATATGTGAAAATTAGTCAGTCTGAAAGAAATCGTTCCTTGAAAAGAAAAACTACCACCACCATCACCAGGTGCCAGTGGTTATCCTCTGCCTACTTTCAGGAAACAAGTAAAAATATTTTAAAAAGTGAGGGTGGGCTGGGGAGAGGAAGGGGATTCCTCTTAAGATTCTGTTCAGACCCCTGACGCAGGAATTTCAGACACTTTAGCTCCTTAAAGGAATGTTTGGAGGCAAGTGGATCTTTGTTTAACACCAACTTAATAATTATACACTAACATTTTCAAAGTGGCTACTTATGGGTTACCCTCCCAGTTTATAATCACTTAAAACACACACACACATGCACACACACACACACACACACACACACATATTATGATTAGCTTCCATGTAGCCGGAGTACCTGGAAAATAGTATAACTTGCTTAATTTAAAATGACTAACACAAATCATTGATTTCTCAGACAGACATTATAACACTT
This sequence comes from Homo sapiens, assembly GCF_000001405.40. Taxonomy (NCBI): domain Eukaryota; kingdom Metazoa; phylum Chordata; class Mammalia; order Primates; family Hominidae; genus Homo; species Homo sapiens. Next base: position 107,952,428 of record NC_000008.11, read on the forward strand.
TTATCATAGCAAACAGAAAGACAATAAGAATTTCCTTTTAGATGCTCTCTTCTTCACATAAAAATTTTAATATCGACATTCTTGACAAACTCTAAAAGAAAAGAGGTTCTCTCTTATCTCCTCTCTTCCAAACTACTCTTTAGGGTGACATGTATAAAGCAGACCACATAAATTGTGACTCAAATGTAAACAAAATGTAGAGAAATAAAGAACATATGTCCATCGCATATTTTCTTGACCCTGTCCCATTGAAAAATATGCTTATTTCCTGCTCTGGGGTTAATCTATCACAATCTACAACCATCTTTAGTCATATTACCTAATACGTAGTCCACATGTTGCTGTCAGTTTATACACACACGAAAAAACATAGGTTTGGAGAAGTCTTACTACTACTACCTTTTTAAAAGTAGATTTTTGCAGAGATCAAGGTTCTAAGTAGCTAATACTTTCTTTTGTTTCCTACCAAGAACCACTTTTGAAGAAAGAAAGAATACCCTAAAATTAAAATAGTATACAGTAGCAGATTTCATACTTAAATTTAGCACAGTACTAAGAAAATGTGACTGGAGTTTAAAGAATTGCTGTGTGGTTACTAAAAACTGCACTATCGTGAGTTGAGGCAGCTGTGAGCAAAAGAGGCAGAAAGCTATCCCAGTATATGACAAAGCATCACCTTAATTACTTTAAGAGTCCGATAGTTGAAATGTGTCAGAAGGAAAAAAACATGCCAGGCACAGAGCCTTCTGATGTGGAGATGGGGATCAGGTTACCCAGGGCTTCTGTGTAGGCCAAGGAGCAATGGTCAAAGATGAATGTTGGATGTGGCTCCACACAAGGCAGTCTCCTCTAGAGGGCTGGCTTTGAAAGATTAGGGATGGCAACTACAATCTTGAAGCCACATTTCCCCCCACTACCAACCAAGGACCAATGACTCTAAAGGAGAGTAGGGCCTTCACAGGGAAAGCTGAATCAAAACAAGGCCAGTGGCTCAACACTTTGGCCCTTATGCAATGACCATTGGGATATGTTTCACCAGTGATTCCAAATTGGAAGGGATGGCGATGGCAGGGTTGTTTAAAAGCATTTGTAGAGCAAAAGTAAAATGATATTTCTGCATAGAGGGAGAAATGGTTAAAAGTTGGGAAGTTTAATGTTGGACAACCATGGCTTTATCTTTGGTCTTTATCATAAAGACCAAGGAAAAAGCACAGGAAAACAGGTTTCCTAAGCAGCAGGATGATGGTCCTACTCTCGGTTCTACCACTAGTAACTTGTTAGGTATCACTTTGGACCAGTCAGAGCCTCCATGGAGCTCAGTTCTTTCCTCTTCCCTAAAATATGGCAGGAGAATCAAGGATGCTCCAAAAAAAATTTCCCTTAAAGCTTCAAAGTATATCCCTCATTTAGATCTCTGATCAAATGTAACTTCCTCAATTTTCCTGATCACTCTACATAACATAGTATACCCTGACCCATTCACTAGCTCCCTGTCCTACTTGTCTCCACAGCCCTTGTCTTCACATGAGATTATGTACCATCACCCACTTCTTTATTGCAGCTATTCCTGCTAGAAAAAGCTCTCTAAGGACTCTTTGAGCAATCCCATGCCTAGACTTATGATTGGCACATAGCAGTGCTCAACAAGTATCTGATGAAATAAATTAACAAAATGAGTTGTGATGGGGCTTGACAAAGAAAGCAGGGAGTCCCACACAGATAGGACAGAATATTTCAGATTGAGATCATGATGTTGGTCAATCCTCCTGTGAAAGAATAGAAGACCACAGCCACCTACAGATGACATTTTGTCTTGTACATGAACATCCTCCAACATAATACCTTAGCAATCACAAATTTGTTCTTCCATGTGTCATTTAAATATATGACAAAAAGCATGTTTATACTTTTGTATTAAGATATTCCCTAATGTACAACATGGCCCAGACTTGAAATTCTTTCCACTTAAAGCTTCAGGTTATATATTCATAAATTGGTCCCAACATGATTTTCTTAATTAGTATACTCAGGGAGAGGGCAAAGGGAGTGGAGACAGTTATATCTGCCATGGGTACAGCTTTCATTTTCAAGTCATTCACTCTTTTTTTCCACTTGTTTCCTATACTCAGTGTTCAATATTTTTTCCTTTCATTGTCCATCTTTTATTTATTTATTTATTTTATTTATTTATTTATTTATTTTGAGACGGAGTCCTGCTCTGTCACCAGGCTGGAGTGCAGTGGCACGATCTTGGCTCAATGCAACTTCCACCTCCGGGGTTCAAGCCACTCTCCTGCCTCAGCCTCCTGAGTAGCTGGGACTACAGGCACCCACCACCATGCCCAGCTAATTTTTGTATTTTTAGTAGAGGCGGGGTTTCACCATGTTGGCCAGGATGGTCTCGATTTATTGACCTCTTGATCTGCCTGTCTTGGCCTCCCAAAATGCTGGGATTACAGGCGTGAGCCATTGCGCCTGGCCTCTCTTTTTTCCATGGTCTTTTATGCACCCTTTTCTCTTCTGTCATTCGCCATAAATCAGTCTGCTATATTGGTAGCTAAGTCACAGGTCATGTACAGATTTAAAAAGAATCTTGGTTAGTCTTTGAAGGACCAAGCAGAGTCCTCCCTGAAGTAGGAAGCTGAAAGCTGCTGGATGTGGAAGGCTTGGCAAATGCAGGGGGCAGCTACTGGGAAAGTGTTCAGATCCTTCATTGTGAAACTACACTCCTGGCCTTCCAAGTCTCTTCCTCACCTTCATATGACAGCCACAGAACTTGCCTGCAACTTTTGGCAATTAATCCTAGAATCATCAGATTTTAGAACAGAACAGGACCTCAGAGATCACCTATCCCCCCCTAAATCCTCAATTTTACACATGAGGAAATGGAGGCCAAGAGAGGTTAAGTGACTTGTCAGGGCTCACTGAATTAACAAGTTGACACGATGTAGGGACCCAGATAACTCCAGACCAGGACCCTGAAGAATGATTGTTGGAAAAGCCCAAGAAACCTTACAGGTTATGCTATCAAAAATGAAAAAACAAGACAACTGATCTAAAGGAAAAGTTTGGGAATGAAGACTGAGTATTTCAAGTGTAATTTGATCTACTAAAGATATTTCCAGATATTATTTGATTTTTTTTAAAAAAAGAAAGCAAATAAGCATATAACAGTTAAGGAAAAACTAGGCTAAGCATTACACTGTTTTTTAAAAAAAACTCTTAAAGCCATTTATGTTTTCATATTTAATAGTTTTCAGTGTAATATCTTATATGCATAGTGATGACTATAGCATTACACTGACCTCTAACTTATGCCTTTCAGTAATCAGAAGCAGCTGATTTTAATGTGCTGCTGCTTTAGTGTGAAGGAGCTTAAGGCTGCGTTTGTGTGCAATCAGGTTAAGATTGGCTTCAACAGGAGAAAAATCCATACATATGTTGCAAAGATCTTAAAAATGCCTGTATTCCCAACCTGATTACGACTTACATTTTTGCATGGTTTGTCAAAGCAGATCACTGAAATCAAATCAAGATGTAAAAAGGGATAAAGTGGCTTTCTTCTCCATTCTTCCACTAGTCGCCATGACCTATTGAAGAAAGGAACTTTTCTCTCTCTCACCTGAGGCAAGGTAGGATACTCCCCTGGAAGTTACGCCAATTTTTATCAATCGGTGCTCAAGTTACAAAGCTAATTTTGTAGTTTTCATTTCCTACATTTTTAAATATAAGTAACCTTATTACAGAATAATTTGCCATTTCTCTCAACAATTATATTTAGTTTCCTTTCAATAAAATAGTAAAAAATGATATAACTTTGAAAACCTATTTAAAGGTTATATAAAATTGATTTTATTAAACTGAAAATGTAGACACAAGAATTAGAGCTATAGCTAGTCTTTCCTAATAAGTAAAACTTGGTAAAACTTCAGTAAGAATTAAATCAGTCTGTTACTGGCTTGTCAAAAAGAGAATATTAGCAGATGATACATAAGCATTTGTTTTGGCGTAACTTAAATTGCTGACAGTATCAAGTTGTATTCAACTAAGACAGTATGTTGTTGTTGATAACATAAAAATACAAATGCAATAAATATTATGGTTAACAATCTAGCTGTAATCTAGAAAATTCTCAAGCCAGACTGTGGCTAGGTCAAAATAAAGAGTTTTGGAGGGGAGGGAAATGTGTTGCCTCTTGTTACACATGAGCATGTTTGTTATAGGAGCATTTTCAGTTTAATTTTTTCTATTAATGTAAACCACAATTGGGGGACCACATTGCTGGAAGAGGAATGGGGGAGGGGCTAGTTATGTAAACAATATACAACAAAGAAAGTCTTTATTTCCAATACCTGAATACATCAAGTTTGTTTTTAGGGAGAAGGTTGCAGGTTAAATGCTCTCAGCTATCCAAGAAGTGGCTTATTAGTTTTGTAAGAAAACATTTTCTTATATTTTGACTGAAAAATACCTAGTTTAAGTGAACAAAACCATCCTTGTTAGTGAAAAGCAGACCTAAAAAAACTTTGTTTCAAAGATCCAGTAAGGAAAAGCAAAACTAATTCAAGAGGAAAAGCTGCTTTCCTAATAGTAGCTTCTGAATCTGGATCTAATAGTTCTCAAAGGCCGACTGGAGTCTTCGAGTCTTAAAAGTATTGTCTTTCTCCATGGATCATAGACATTCTCTATGAGGCAGCATAACACGGATATAAACCTGTTTTAAGCAGTTATATATTCTCTTTCTGGGCTATGGTCATAAAGCTGAAAAGCTATGCACCCACAGAAAGAATGAAGGCAAACAAAAGTTATGATTCTTTTACAGAGCAGTTTTCCAAACACAACTTTCTTTTTTGCTCTTCTATTTTGAGCGAATGACATTGTAGCATCCGCTAGTGATAAAATAAATGTAACCCAGTGATTACTGCTTTAGGGACAGCACAGTGACAGGGCTCAGACCCACATTTCAACTTACTGATTCTGCATCGGCCAGTCACCTCAGCTATGTGCTCTTCCAATTTCTAAATGGGCCTAATCCTGTTATTACAGAATAATTACTGCAAATCAGCACAATTACTACAAAGATTTGAATAAACACACACATACCAGTAGCTGTTTTCTACAAATTATTATCAAAACAAAGAGAAACGGCTAATTGTGGTAACATTAAGACAATGTTTATTCCTCTCAGTGTTTGGGCAAGTTTATTTTAAGTTGTCATCTTCAACTAGTAATGATACAGATGATTTTACAGACTCCATAAACCTTTCTAATCTAAACTCTTCTCAACTGAAAGTTGGCCGCTTCCCTCAGAGCAACATCTGCGAAGGCCTGATTTCGTAAGAACCCGCTTTTATGGTACATTTGCAGAAAAAGCCACCAAAACACATTTAGAAATCTCATTTTAGAAAGCTCATTACTAAGGTACTCTCCTAAGTTATGTTTAAGATATTATGAAAGTAATAAAATATGCACTTCATATTTTTCACAACTGAAGCATTTGTTTTTAAATAAGTACAACAAAACTTTATCCCCTCACCAATATTATTGGGTTTCCTTCAAAGATAAATACTTATTTTTGGAAGGGAAGGTGGTTAGGAAGCGGGAGAATTCAGGAAGCACACAGCACACAGTAGTGATTATATCCACACCTACCTCCTGGACAATGCCTCATTGTCATCTTGCATCTCCTGGATTCAGCAATGGTTGGACACAGTATTGTGTCTTTCACTGGCTTTTTAACAATTTGCCGTGTTCTGGTTTCCAGACCCCATTTAAATCCACATGTGCGATTATTTCTGCTACAAGTTCCCCATTCGCTCCAATGACCAACTTCACATCCTTCTAGTAAAGATTTTTAGAAAAAGAAAAAAAAACACAAGCACATAAGTTAGTATCCATTTGCTTCACTGTCATCAAATTTACAGAGCAGTGTTCCTTCACTAACCCCACCTTCAGATACCAAAAATTAAGTGGTACAGCCTTGAAGACCTATACTCACCTTTTGGGAACTTTAATTTTTTGAACCATAAGATATTTCTATCAAAAAAAAGCTGTTACTTTCCATTTGTCTTAGTTCAGTTTTTGAAGGATGCTATTGGTCAGTTCTGTTTTTTCCTTCAACTTTTAAGTTCAGGAATACATGTGCAGGATGTGCAGGTTTGTTACATAGGTAAACATGTGCCATGGTGGTTTGCTGCACAGATCAACCCATCACCCAGGTATTAAGCCCAGCATCCATTATCTATTCTTCCTGATGCTCTCCCTCCCCGCATCGCCCCCATTCTTACAGGACCTAGTGTGTGTTGTTTCCCGCCATGTGCCCATGTGTTCCCATCATTCAGCTCCCACTTATAAGTGAGAACGTGCGGTGTTTGGCTTTCTGTTCCTGCACTAGTTTGCTGAGCATAATGGCTTCCAGTTCCATCCATGTCCCTGCAGGGGACTTGATCTCGTTCTTTTTTATGGCTGCATAGGATTTGATGGTATATATGTACCACATTTTCTTTATGCAGTCTATCAGTGATGAACATTTAGATTGATCCCATGTCTTTGCTATTATGAATAGTTCTAATGACACTAAAATGTGTAATTTTTAAAAGAGTCAACAGCTAAAACCTAAAGTAGAAGACACTATTTCCTGTCATGACAGAAGACAAAATTTTACAGGCTAGTTCTAAATTTGCCTCCACCAAACCCACAAATGTGTTTTAGTTGGGAAGCACTTGGTGAAAAAGATGGGGAGCTTGCTTTGCATTTTCTGATTTTTTCTGTTCTTTCAACAGGTTTCTGGAGACCACAGTTCTTATTCCCCACATTGGCGTTGTACATTACTACAGTTTGAAAAGTAAACAAATGTGATCAGTCATTTGAAAATGTATGTTTTTACTACATACGTAAAAACTTTAGCATCTCCTATGTTAAGTCCACATAGTGGAAAATAGGCTACCCCCCAACTCCCAGGGGAGGGAGAGGAGGAAGTAAAAGGATAAGGGTATACAAAGCTAAACCTCCTCATCAACTTCACCGTTAAAACTCCTCTTCATGCTAGTGGATGAGGGCTCAGGTCCAGAGTCTGCATACAATTAATATTTCCATCTTCTAGACATCAGTGGGTATCACAGCTGCTTCTTAGACTTTTCAAAGACATTTAAGATTTTTTATTCAGGGAATGCATAAGACTCTATTTATAATATGCTTATAGTTAAGGATTTCAGCGTTTCCACTAAACATGTGTAATGTGTGTGTCCTGCCTCTCAAAAGCAAATTCAACATTCTGAATATGTTCTTCTAGTGACTTTCTTATTTTAATAGTGGTGCCTATAAAATGTATTAACTCACACATAAGTAGAAACATAAATGCACACATTTCTTCAAAAACCACTTGTTTAAATGTCTTCTTTGCAAGCTCTCAAATACACAATTACAGACTACTTCAGCAATATTTTCATAGAAAAATGTCAACTTTTCTTCTAAGTCTCCATTTTAAGGGAAGTAAAGTCTAATACATAGCTGTGTTGTATATCATATCAGATATATAACATCAAATGAAATTCTGGGGAGGGGGCATGACAATACATCCATGATTAGATTAAGAGATTCATCATAATGTAGCCACTGACAGATCTTTACCTTTCAAATGGTGATATAAGAATGCCAAGGTATTTTACCAACTCTCAGAAGATATAAAATTTATAAAATGTGTTACTATTTTCACAAATAGTATATATATCAAATTATGCATTCCAGGTATATAAATTTAGTAATTGTTTTAATGCATTTGTAACATATAATCAACAAAATATGGCACAAAGAATTTCTTTTCAAGTTTTTTTTTTTAAACAAACAGCTAAGCAAGCAGTTCTGTAATATCCACACATAGCAGGAGCAATAGAGTAGCTAGCTGATGTGGTAGTGCTTAAAACTTCTCTTCTGAACAAAATGTTTTTCTCTAACAGTTACTAATAATCTATTAAGAAATTGATGTATTACACGGATGATTAAAAAAAAACCTTGTTAGCACTTAAGTAGATTAACCTAGCAAATGCACAACTAGCAAATTTTACAGCAAGATATGAGACTATCCAATTGTCATGATGCTTAAAATCAGCAAAGAACTTAATTTTCAGTTCTACTGAACAAGAGAACCAATTTGTTTCTTAGTTTAAATATATCCAGCATGCATATTTTTAAGAAACAAGTGCTAAAATAAAAGTTGCAGATTGAGAGTTACATTAAAAACTACTCACCCACACATTCCATGGTTTCTTCTAATGGTGCAAAACCATCTGGACATTCATCAAAGCAACGGCCTCTATGCAAATAAAAGCCTACTTTGCACTTGGTACAAAAGTCTTTGCTAAAGCAAGAATCACAGTTTTCTATTCTGCATCCTAAAAACAATTTTAAAGAGAAAAAAGAAAATTTCAGTCAAAGAAATTTACTTGTTTTACAAATAAAATTTTTGTAAACTCACAAGTTAGCCCATTTGAAATTCTCATCATCAGAGAAATATTGTTTAACTCATTTGTTTCCTAGCGCCATCTCATTCTAAGTCATCCCTGTCTCTTTCAACAGCTTACTACATCAAGAATCCAAGAGAGAATGCCAGCCCAGGGTCCCAGGCACCATGAGAACTTTTGGACATGTTGGTAATCTCCAGATGGGATTAAAACAAAAAATTCAAAAGACAAAGAAAACACTCCCTCTACAAATTACTTGCTGCCAGTATTGAAATCTGTCCTGCCCTCAAAAGGCCTACAATGGGAACACTGTAATAAGTGTTTGTGTATAGTAAATGAGTTAAGAATTTTAATTTTTAAAATGTTTTAAAATGCATGGTCTATTTTACAGGGCACTGGTCAATGCTAGCACCTACATTCATCAGAGGGTGACCTGGGTGGGGCATGGGGGTGGAAGTTTAGGTCATTTTGTTGAAAACCTACAATGTATCAAAGGCTTTACATATATTTCCACTGAATCTTCACAATAATCCTACAGCTGGGCAGTAGAAACTCCATTTTGCAAATAAGAAACCTGGGACTAACAGAGTAACAGCTGAATTGGTTCTGAAAGCCACCAAAACCATCTGCCTTTTAAATCCATTCTCTTTCTCTCTATAACTCGCTCACTGCAGTCCACTAGGAGTTTGTGAAACAGATGTGCTTTCAGGTCTGTTACATCTGGGTGTGAATACCAAGCTCTGCCCTTACCAGCTCTGTAACTTTAGACAACTATATGCCTCTCTGAGCCTCTATTGCCTCCTGTATTAAACAGGGGCATCACTGACCTTACAAAACTATTGTAAGGTTTTGTAATAATATATGTAAATTGATAGGCTCATAATAGGTAGTCTGCAGATAGAAGCCACAGTGAATTAGAAACATGTATTTTTCCACTAAACCACATACATTACAATAAGGTATAAAAAGAAGCAATAATTTATAAGCTTGTATTCTAGATCACATTCCCTGGTAGGCCAGAACATCTGGGCCAGAAATCCTTGGCATGCACAGGTGAAAATAAATACACTCTTAACTACTCTTCAAGGAAAGTAAAGGAGAGAAGTTCGCAGGACCGGTAAATTCCAAGGTCAAGTTTTCAACAGATTGTGGTACATTATTACTTGTAACAGTTTTAACCGACGCAATTGACAGCACGTAAAGTGCTATGAAAACTCTGTGACATCACATGTATTCATTTTACAAGGCTCCAGAACTATACTTCATGCTTTAAGGATTCAGAAAAGCTTTAAGACATATAGTTCCTATAAGCAAAGCGATAAAGGGGTAAAAAAAAAATGTAGCCAAAATGTTAAATCACTGAAGATTTCAGTGATTTAAAGGCTAAATTTAAAGGCTAAAAACAAATTTCATTAAAATAGATCACATAAGAAATAACTGTGTCTAGACCTATTAAAAATGCCAACTCTTTGCCTTTCAATTTTGAGTCTAAACAGGCTTCTTTGTATTAAATGACCACTATGAAGCAGCTAATGCAACTTCTAAAATGTTACCAAATTTATAAACAGAACACCAAATATGTGTGGGTCAAAGTCCACATACAAATCTACACTACTGCTCCTTTGGTGGGGAGGGAAATGGTAAGCACAGAACAGTTTATCACCCCATAAAAGGTTCATTTGTAGTCTTACATGCTGTAACCTATATTTTAATAAAACCATGGTCCATAGCTGGTCAATAACCTCTTAATCATGGTCAAACTACATGACCATTATGTCCACAAATTGTTAGTTTTCTTGCTATATTTTTTTAAAAAACAAGCAGCCCTTCCTGCCGTAGTTATTTTCCAAGAAATAGTAATGAGCATTCCAAAGGATAAAACAGAACTAAAGGGTGAAGATGAAAAAAAAAAGCTCTTCTACTTAAAGAGAAAAAGAGGACTTTACACTTCATAAATCAGCTATCATCTATGAGGTCTGACTTCTCTTTAAAATAAAGCCACACCAATAAGCTTTTTGGCCAAAAAGTTATAGCAATAAGCATTTGGAATTAATTTTACCAGGCCCTTTGCTGATCTTTATTGTTACTTGTAGCTCCCTTTCCTCATTTCATTCCATGCTCCCAATACCAGTTCATAGAATATGGAATTGCTGAAATACCTATCATGCTCTGTAAAGTCCCTGAGGACTTCTTCAGGTATAAATCATGTTGGATGAAAGCTTAATTATTTGTTCTCAAATTCAAGTAGAATATAAATATGATATGTTCAAATTGTAGAAAACTATAACCATTTAAAAGTACAAGGTGAAGTATAAGTAATGACCTGAAAAACCCATTGTTAAGTTAAAAAAAAAAAAAGACAAGTTGGCTGGGCATGGTAGCTCACATCTGTAATTCCAACACTTTGGGAGGCCAAGGCAATGCATCACTTGAGCTCAGGAGTTCAAGTTCAGCCTAGGCAACATGGTAAAACCCCATCTCTAAGAAATTAGCTGGGCATGGTGGTATGTGCCTGTTGGTCCCAGCTACCTGGGGGCTGAAGCAGGAGGATCACTTGAGCCCAGAAAGTCAAGGCTGCAGTGAGCTGTGTTTGCACCACTGCACTCTAGCTTAGGCAATGAAGTGAGACCTGTCTCAAAAAAAAAAAAAAAAAAAAAAAAAAAAGGCAGGTTGCAAGATATATATAGTATGACACAATAAAACTACGTATGTGTGCGTGTGTTCATGGGTATGAAGTAGCTTACGGAAGTTAATTTGGGGAGGGGATAGTAGAATTTTGAAATATGTTATTTTTCTGAATCATATCCTTTATAATTACATTTATGTAATTAAAGTATCATAGAAAAGGTTATTACAATATGTATTTGTGACCTACTTAAGTTTACTCAAAAAAGTGCCACTTCATTAACATTGTAAAATTAAGCTCTTTTGATTTTAACAGGCAAGAATAAAGGCATCTATCCAATCTAAAACTTTTTCATATTTGAGTGCATGAATTATACCCCTGATTTAATAATGTTGAACCTGCTATAACCTTCAACATACACCTTCATTTAGCCATCTCCGTATCCTTTGTTTTCACATGTTCAATAGTGTTGCTTTTCCTTCACTCAAATTGTAAGGGGAAAAAACTAAATAAAATATTGTCTGTGTAATAAAGCATTGTTTTAAAAGCTTTGATCAGTGCCAAGTCCTAGCACCTGAAGCTATGCTGACCATCTTGGCCTCATTTGCTCTTTGCCACTGCATAAAACCAGTGCAGGTGGCCCATGCATTCAGCAGCCTGCACTGACAGAGCTCATCTGCTCACAAACACCTACAAACCCAATATTTTTTATGCATTCATTCGTTCATTCATTCATTCATTCATTTAGAGACAGAATTTCGCTCTTGTTGCCCAGGCAGGAGTGCAATGGCACAATCTCGGCTCACTGCGACCTCTGCCTCCCGGGTTCAAGTGATTCTCCTGCCTCAGCGTCCCAGTAGCTGAGATTACAGGCATCATGCGCCACCATGCCCAGCTAATTTTGTATTTTTAGTAGAGACGGGGTTTCACCATGTTGGTCAGGCTGGTCTCAAAGTCCCGACCTCAGGTGATCCACCCGCCTCAGCCTCCCAAAGTGTGTGAGCCACCATGCCTGGCCAAACCCAATATTTTTGAAAGCAAGCAGCACCACAAGCCACCTAATCCAGGAGGTCTCCTACTTGATGTGCTTCACAGCCCTTGATGACCTTTCCTCAGCAGCTCCAGATCCAACTACAACCCCCTGCTCTGTTCAGCCATTTCTCCAGGAGGTAACTCTTCTGCTTTGCAGGGGGTGGGGGGAACTCCTGTGCAGTCTCATAGTCCTATATTTTCTCCCCCAGCTTGTAGCCATTTTCCAAAAACTACTTAAGCATTTTACCCTTCACTGGGATTCATATCAACTCTATTAACTCATTTTTATATAAAAGTAAAACATTCTCATTATAAGTAAAAACTCAAAGCAGTACAGAAGTTTTACAGGAAAAAATAGAAATCCTTTTTCTCACCTGAATGGCACATTAGGCCTACTCCCCAGAAATAGCCACTGTGTTAACAGTTTCTTCCATACACTTTAGAAAACCTCTATGTAAATCTTATAAATGAGTTAGTCACCATTAAAACACCAGTAGGATCACACAATAGATTGTTAAACCTTAGAAAACTGTATGCTACATAATAGGTATATTAAAATTTACTAAACATAGGACTTTTCTATAAAAATATGGGTTTTAAGTCCTCGTTCAAATAAAAGACCCTAGTTCAGCCAACTTACATGCTTCTAAATTACAGTGCCTCCTCAAAAATGTAACCCACCGAATGAGGACTGCCAATATTGGTTTAAGTAAAATTACTGTCCAAGTGAAACTGCATCCAAATACAGTCTGATGGGGCTGTCATTTGGCAAGAAGGGCTTAACCTTGGCCAAGAAACAGAAAAATAGGCTGAGCACCCTCTCTCCTATCCTCTTACAGTACCCCGTACGGGCTCTAATATAACATTTTTCAAATCACACTGTAGTCCAGCTCAACAGTTCATTCTCAACATTCTCCAGGAACCTAGTATATGCCAGACCCTAAGAACCTAAACCCATTCCCTATCCTGGAGGTGCTAAGCCAGAGGGGTCCACGTGGCACTAACAGAGCATCACAATGTAACAGGAGATATTAGAGGCATGTCTTGGGTACATTAGAGACAGAAAAGGGACCAATTTCTGTCCTGCCATTCAAGTTTTTTTTTTTTCCAATCTGTGAATTCCCCATTCCTAACACAGTATTGGAAACATGGTGGAGTTTTAATGCTTGCTAAGTAAATGAACATGAATGCCATTCAAAAATTCAATTTCTGTAATATTTGCATGCTTAGTGAGAGACTGATTGCACATGCACTGTATTTCTAATATTAAAAAGCCATACTTGTTGTAAAGAACTGCAAATCATATGGAAGAACCAACAGTTAAACACCTGAAAACAATTATACTGGAGAATGTAACTATCAAAGGAAGGCGGGTGATGTGTGCTATAAGTTGGAACTTCAAATGAGCAAGTTTTAGGGAGACAAGAAGAAGCAGAGTCCTGGCAAGGGTGGCTGCCCTCATCATGAGGCAATAGAGAAAATCCATATGGCAAGTGACGGGTCCAGTGAGGAGTGGCTTGGAGGAAAAGGAGGTTAGGCTATGGGATGGTTACTTGGGTTTAGAAGCTTTGGGTGGGGATTATAAATTATTCATACTTTGAGTGGCTTTAAGTATTTAAGTAATAATTAGTATTAATAAAAATGAAGCTCAGTTCAAGATTAGGGGTTTGGTCTGACTAGCAGTGAGTAGTCCCTGTAGATTCTGGCCATGAGCATAACATCACCATGTTTCCTCATTGAGACAGGTAACAGTCCCTATGGGCCAACCATCCTGACAGGTACATAGAAGCACAGATGAGAAAACAAGGTCCTTACACCTCAGGATCTTCAGTCCACTGAGGGGAAAGCTCTACAGAGAGGCAATTAGGGAATAAATGACTACTCTAAGCTTGACGTAAAGACACAGCGAGCTGGAGAGTGAACGTTTTCAGAAAGTTAACCTTCCTGAAAGCAGAAGACAGTAGAGGTCAGGAAAACCATTGGTAGGCTCAACAATCCGGGGAGTGGAGTTATAATGAATCCATAAAAGTGACAAACCAAGTGGAAGAGAAGATGGAAAACTGAGAGAAGCCAAAGATCATGCAACTATCCTCTCTTCCTTTGGTCTCAACAGTGCTTTCAGGGCACTTGGCAAATGGACAGAGTTCCTTTTGTTTCTCTTCCCAGCTAAATTAAGATGACAAGAATCATCTCTTAATTGAATATCTCAGCATGGTCAATCAGATAAATGAGAAAAGTAAATCCTTAAAAGCAGAGAAACATCAACCTTTGTTAAATCTAGCTGTCAAAATGTAATTATATATATTACAATCAATTATTGGAGAAAGGGAAGAAGTCAATAAAGTAGAAGGAACCTCAAACACCCCTGGGAATCTATGTTCTCTTATTTCTTCATGCCCATCAGGGCTGTGGACTTCAGACTGCCTTAGCACACCATGAAAATCCAATTGCTTGTTGCTCCAACTGCTCTTATTTTAAACTAGCATCTCTGTTCAGAATGTGGCAGTCAATGACAAAAACAGGGCATTTATTTAGTCCCCACATAGTAGATGAAAGGATCAAAGAACATCAAGCCAACCTCTAGAAACCTCTAGAGATTTCTCTGCCCACTGCGTGCTAAAATATGAATAGAAATTAAAGGCACAGTTTGTTCCCAAAACATTCAAAATTAGACTTTCAGCAAATTTTCACATGGAAAGCACTAGACTATGGAACTTAATATAAGGTTTTTAAAAATTAGTTTTAGGCTTATCTAACAATTTCAAGTACTATTTAACATTTCCTCTCAAAACTTGCAATGGGGTTATAAATATCCCAAGTTTTAAGCTTTATGTTATCAAAATCATGCATTTCTAATATGTACCATTACAGTAATTCCACTAGACTATGTATTGATAAAAATTATTATACCTAAAAGCTAAAATTACATTTTTTTGTAATACAGTCAAGTAACACACAGCTCATTAGAACTTCATTATATTTCAACCTAAATAAAAGATGAATCCAGAAGTTTCAGGACTCAATGTTTTATATTTACAATTAAACTCTTTGAATGATGACACAGAGAACCAGCATTACTAAATTAACAGAAGATACAGGGTTAAAGTCTGTTTATAACCCAGTAGAATGAGTTTAAATCAAGATTGCCTTAATTAGTTCAGATAGTTGGTATAGGATAAAATTCAACTATGTCAAATGCAGAACAGGACACTTAGAATAAGAGCAAGGGGCAGGAAATAAGAACTATGTGGAGAATATAGTGGCCACTCAAATAGTACAGTGGTTAGCAGATCTGAGGTTAGAATCTTGGACCACTTACTATTGTGTGACTGTGGTCAAGTCAGTGAAGCTCTCTTTGTCTTAATGTCCTCATGTATTTTTTTAAAGGTATTATCAGTCTCTATCTTACAGGCTTTTTGAGAGGATTCAGAGGCTTAATCAGTGCAAAGATCTCAGCACAGTACCTGCTGTGTAATTAGTTATTAAAAGTGAGCTTTTATAAGTATAAAAATTTACTACCAATGTGATCCAGCAATCCCACTGCTGAGTATATATCCAAAAGAGGGGAAATCAATATATCAAAGAGATATCTTCACTTTCATGTTTATTGCAGCACTATTTATAATAGCCAAGATATGGAATTAACCTGAGTGCCCACCAATGGATGAAAGGATAAAGAAAATATTTTATGTATATACACACAATAGAATGTTATTCAGCTATAAAACTAGAATGAAATCCTGTCATTTCCAGTGCATGGATGGAACTGGGGGACATTATGTTAAGTGAAATAAGCCAGGCACAGAAAGACAAATATCAAATATTTTCATTCACCTGTGGGAGCTAAAAAAGTAGATCTCATGGAGATAGAGAGTAGAATGGTGGTTACCAGAGACTGAGAACGGAAGGGGATGAAGAGAAGTTAGTGAAGGGCTACAATCATATAGTTAGATGGAAGGAATAAGTTCTAGTATTCAATAGTACAGTAGGAAAAACTATAGTTAGTAATCATTTATTATATATTTCAAAATAGAAGAATTGTAATGTTCCCAACACAAAAAAAATAAATGTTTGAGGTGACGGATATCCTAATTACTCTGATTTATTCATTTCACATGGTATACAGATATCAAAATATCACATGTACTCCTAAAAATACATACAACTATTAAATATAAATAATAAAATACATTTTAATCTAACAACTAGGACAAAAGGATTGCAGCCCAAGATGGTGAATGGAAGGAAGCTCAAATAGGATACTCCACATGGAAAAAATAGATATAATTTTAATAAACTGTATATATGTAGTTTTAATAAATAAATATATACATATGCACTACTCAAAGGGCATTACCCAATAAAGGGCATTACCCACTGTCTAGAGTACACTTAGTGGCTTCACCCTTGTTTAGGTCACACAGCTTAACAAACTGATCACAATCATTTGTTGGGTACCTACATGGAAAATCATCTGCTTTGAACATTAGGAACCAGGAGTTAGGAAACCAAGATCTAAAGGCAATTTTGACCTGGGGTGTGGGGACAGATGGTAGAAATCACATTCTCTTTGTGCCCTACTCCCTTAACCATCAGATAAAAAGGGGGAAATACCTGACTTACCTATATCATACAATAAAATCCTGACGTAGGCTGTGATTTAAATCCTCAAGTTCCAATTAGGCAGAATAAATTTCTATCTAGAAATTTACATACTGTTTTTCAGATAGCTATAGAGTTCTATCTTACATGCCATAGTATCTTTTATTTTAACTGCCGAGGACATATATGCTGTCAAAAAATGTATCAGGGAAAAGTATTTAACTTGAAGTGTCACAACAGTTCACTTTTTAAAAACTCCAAATTCAAACTTTTGCAATATGCTGCTAGTAGCTTCACTGTGATATTTGAATGTTTAAATGTTATATCTTGCCCACCCACATAGAAAAAATATGAAGAAACGTGGAGGCTTGTGTAAAATTATGTGGTCAAATAACGAGGAACTCTGAAAATACTGGCTTTATTTCTCATATATTCAAGTGATGCATATTTGAAATCATTCTCAAAACAAATGAAATTAAAATGAACACATTTGCTAAGAACGTTAAATGCTTAAAGAGAATTTTTTTCCCATGGTGAAGGTGTGAAACAGTGGGAGAAGGACAACTACCTCAAAATAAAATAGCAAAGGAATGTGATAGTAATGAAAAGTTTCAAAAATTGTAAACCAAATTAGTATCTCATATCAGATTTTAAATTCCTGCCATTATTAGAACTCTCATCTTGGTTACTTCTTGTGCTTTTCCTTTTTTGGTAACTTGTCACCCTTTTATATTACAGTAGAAGTAGAGCGGTTTAATCAGCTTCAGACCTGCATCTTAGTTGGATTTTTCCAAATGTTGGAAAATGCAGATCTCTCCACCCAACTAAATGGAAAAGCATATGTAAGCTAATATATGTGGTGCCCTCCACTCAACCCCCATCCAAGGAAAACAAGAAGAATACCTTAATCTCTTTATACTCCAAATAGGCTAGAGCAAACTTTTCCTATAATGAGCCAGATAATAAATATTTTAGGCTTTGCAGACCATACGGTATCTGTCTAAACAACTCATGTCTGTCATAACACAAAATGCAGCCACAGACAATATGTAAATGATTCAACATGGATGTTTTCCAAAAAAACTTTATGAACATTGACATTTAAAAGTTAATATCATTTTCGTGTGTCACAAAATATTGTTCTTTCATTTTTTTGTCTTAAAATCTCAATGACTTAAAAATCTGCAAGCTATTCTTAGCTTAAGGGCCCTAACAAAAAGATAGCAGTCCAAATTTTGCCCTTGGGTCATAGTTTGCTGACCCCTAGGCTAGAGAATTACTGAAATCCCTGGGGTACCTTGATAGAAAAAAGGAAAAGAAAATAAAGAGTTTTATTTTGAAAACACCAAATGGTAGCATTGAAGCTTGGGGAGGCATAGTGATGTCTTCCATATACCATCTGGCTGTGGGCATAAGACAAATATCAGATAAGCATGAGGATGCTGGAATTCAGTTGACATGGGAATACTTTCATTTCAATATTTTTAACTTTATTCACACTGTATTGATAAATCAAGAATGACAACTCCTGATCAGTTGTCTGTGGGTCAATATTCCATTCTATTTTAATAAGTTTTTAATTTCTTGCTTGCTGTGGCACTGACTTTTGAACGAAGTTGCTGGTTGGAAAGGAAGGAAGAGAGAAGAATTTTACGAAGCCATATGTTTGGGCTGAAACTAGCTTGACATTTATGTCCAGTCCTGTAGTTTGATATTTTTAATTGCTCTGTTTGTGAGGGTGGCTTTGTCATGTATGCCCATCTAGTTTGATGATAAAAGTAGATACAGTCTTGGTTGTACCACGCAGTGGCAGGCAACCTTCGGGCCAGTCAGTGGACTTATCAGAATGCATGTTACCTGCTTTGTAAATGAGGATATTAACTGCCTCGCAGGATTTCCAGATGCGGTTAAGAAGATGCAGGTGAAAGTATTTTAAAAACTAAAGCACTAGGTGTATGTTTTATTTACATAAAAACAGCACAAGGTGGCTTCTGCCCTGGAAATATAATAATAGAACGATGTTGCCTAACTTGGGCCTATGTTGAAATAATAGGCTCACTTACAAGAACTACCAAATCCACAAGAAACAAATGTAAGCTTGAAAAATACAATTACCTCTATTAAACGGAAAGTCACGACTTTTATTTTCCAACCATTAGTACCATTACTAAAAATAAAAGTAAAATGTTTTGTAAAGAGTATCAAAAATCATATAGCCAACTTTCTCACAGAGAGAAAAATGTTTATTCTAGCTTTTAGAGTATCAGTTTGATATAATCTATCTTCCAGGACAAATTAGGAGAAAGAATGCCCTTTGAGTTTTCCATAAAGGGTAATGGAATAGAATTAAAACAGGGTTTACGTCTCACAACAGGCAGCTACTGCATTGCAACTGTGGACCAGTACATTAAACAGTGCACTGTGCAGGTGAATAACCATTACTGAAGTTGTTAATATCATCCCTGATCTGGCCTACTGAAATCTTTGATGGTGTATCCATACAGGTGCTACAGATCACAATGACAAAATTAAGATTGCTTTATTGCAGCTACAAGAGAACACTGTGATCTTTCAAAAACACACATTTTTCACGTCATTTCCCTACTTTAAAATGCTTCAATGGCTCACCTTCACTTGCAGAATCAAGTACAAACCCTTGATTTTAAAATACAAGATCTTTCTTGCTAGGCATGTCTATCTACCTTCTTAGCCTCAACTCCACATGTACCTTTCACCTTAGTCATGCTCAGTTATATGTGTGAAGTTTCTTGAAAACATCCTCTGCCCTCCCAACACCCAGATACCTATGATAGTTCTTCCCTCATGGTTTTACCACTCTGTCCATCATAATCCTCCTATTAAATGTAGAAAACAGAGCCTGTCTTATGCTAGTCTGTATTCTTAGATCTCAGCATGGGGGCCTGACATGACAGATGATGATAGATGTATCTGCTGAATTAACAAATTTAATGCTAAGTTTCTATCAGTTTAGAATAAACACAGTCTTTTTTTTTTTTGAGACAGAGTCTCACTCTGTCACCCGGGATGGAGTGCAGTAGTGCAATCTCAGCTCACTGCAACCTCTGCCTCCCAGGTTCAAGTGATTCTCATGCCTCAGCCTCCCAAGTAGCTGGGATTACAGGTGCCTGCCACCATGTCTGGATAATTTTTGTCCTTTTTGTAGAGATGGCGTTTCATCACATTGGCCAGGCAGGTCTCGAACTCCTGACCTCCAGTGATCCACCCTCCTTGGCCTCCCAAAGTGCTGGGATTATATATGTGAGCCACTGTGCCCAGCCCATTTTGTATATTTTAGTGTAATAGCATAATTCTGTAACAAACAAAAATACTTCAGATTATGCAGAGCTACATTTTCAAATTAGGCACCAAATTACTAAATATCATGTTAAAGCTTTTATGTCTCATGTTTTGCCTTTAAGAAACAAAAGGTATGCACAGTCCTTAACCATAAACCAAGCAGAAATAAGGGTGGGAGGGAGAGACTGAACATTAAACTAGACTTAGAATACACAGAAAGTCATAAGGTGATCAATACTGTAAAAAGAAACTGCCAACATCAGATATTACTCTTTTACTGAGATGTTTTCATAGACCCAAGTTACTAGGATGCTATTATTCCAGAGTGTGTTACATCATTTGTCTAAGCTTACAAAGCTAGTTACTGTCAGAGCTCAAATCAGAGCCCACCATTTCTTCCAATCCAGTGTTCTTTTAGAGATAGGATTTACCATAATCCTTTCAGAAGATAAAATTGAATGTTTTGATATTTTTAATGGGATTTGAAACACTTAAACTGACCATTTGTTTAAGAAAAAGCTGGCGGCCGAGTGCGGTGGCTCACGCCTGTAATCCCAGCACTTTGGGAGGCTGAGGCAAGTGGATCACAAGGTCAGGAGATCGAGACCATCCTGGCTAACACGGTGAAACCTCATCTCTACTAAAAATACAAAAAATTAGCTGGGCATGGTGGCAGGCACCTGTAGTCTCAGCTACCCAGGAGGCTGAGCCAGGAGTATGGCGTGAACCCGGGAGGCAGAGTTTGCAGTGAGCCGAGATCACGCCACTGCACTCCAGCCTCAGCAACACAGCGAGACTCCATCTCAAAAAAAAAAATGGGGGGGGAACTAGCCAAGGAAATTCAGATTTTTCTAATATTTGCATTTATAACTGCATAACGGTTTTGTCAGTTTTGTCTGTATTACATGGTTTAAGGTACAGTTGACCCTTGCACAATGCAGGTTTGACCTATATCGGTCTGCTTTATGAAAGAAAAAAGAATCTCAGAACTCCAAACTCACTATGCCAAAGGGAAAGTAAAGCTTGGGAACTGAGTGATACACACACAGACACACACAGACACACACTCACACACACACACACACACACACACACACAGAACAAGCAAACAAAAAAAAGAAAACTGCCTCCCGTTGTTCTAAAACAGCCATAATTTCACATGCTGACTTTATCTGATGTAAAATGCAGATTTACTGAGAGTGAAACAAATGCATACTTGACTTTTTCTCCAGCCCCTGAAAGGTATAGATTCACTGAGCACTATTCAAAGCCTTGCAAGAATATAACTACTTGCCTTACTGCCCATCCCTTCCTTTTTTCCCCCCATCTTCTTCCCTTCCTGTTTGCTCTTTACTCTTTAAATATTGAAGTCCTCAAAACCCTCTTTGGAAAAAGCATAAGCCGCAGATTCTACTGTAACTTGTGTTTTCCTTTCCTAAATGCGTCCTCAATCTTGGCAAAATAAACCTCTAAATCGATTGAGACCTGCCTCAGTCACTGTTTGGTTTACAACTCATATGAAGATTTTTCAATAAATACTGTAAGCCCTCTGTATTGGCTCATTCCACATCCTCAAACAAACATGCATTGAAAATACTGTATTTGCTGAATGGGTAACCTGCCTACAGGGGTGCCAACTTCATATTTGAATTCCGCAGGTCTAACTGTTCCAGGGTGGTCCCAGAACTGATCCTCTGCACATACCAAGGAGCAAGGACTATACAATGAAAAGAGCATTCTGGTCAGGTGCAGCGGCTTATGCCAGTAATTCCAACACTTTGGGAGGCCGAGGCAGGAGGGTCACATTAGCCCAGGAGTTTGAGACCAGCCTGGGCTATGTGACGATACTTCATCTCTACAAAAAAAAAAAAAAGAAAAAAAGAAAAAGAAAAGAAAAATTAGCTGGGCATGGTGGCACGCACCTGTAGTGCCAGTTACTCGGGAGGCTGAGAGATAGGAGGATGGGTTGAGCCTGAGAGGTCGAGGCTACAGTGAGCTGAAATTGTGCCACTGCACTCCAGTCTGGGCAACAGAGTGAGACCTTGTCTTAACCAAAAGAAAGAAAGAGACAGAGAAAGAGAGAAAGACTTTGACACCAGTGCAATATCAGTATTCTTAGATGTCAAGGCCACTCTGCTACTGAGTAATTATGTGACTTTGGAGAAATACTACCTTTGTAATGTTCAGTATCCACATTTGTTGAGGGAAGAGAGGTGGGAGGGAGAGAGACAGGGAGAGAGGGGAGAGGAAAAAGCAGGGAGGGGGGAAGAAGAAGAAAATATAATTAAGTCTCTTCCAGATCTATGTATATAATTTTTAATTAGTTTAAAGGAACATCTACCTGACAAAGGTCATGCAGGATTGTGAACACACACATACACATACACACACACACACACACAGGTTAATCAGTGAAAGTGTTTGTTAATTGAACAAGACATACTCTCCTTTAAGAATTATTTGAAGTGTACTGTTCTTTTCTTTAACCGATGCAGTAAGTTACTGCTTATCTTCATCTGAATTCAATCTACAGAATGCAGAGATTTGGTACATTGTCAATTATTTCCTATTAAATAAAAGAACCACCTGATTATCACTGTCCACACTAGCTCACTGAAACAATAACAAAGACATTGAAAAGGGCTGTCCCATGATAAATAGTGGCCTATCAGGTTGTTCCACTGTACCACCACCTTCCTAGATAATTCATATTTAGTATCTTGTGATCAAGAGATTCATTTATCTTTACATGACTTTAAATGCTAAAAGTAGTTAATAAATAGGAATGCCTTCATTAAATGTAAAAATAGTTTCAATTTACAGTTTTTCTCTTCCACAAATTTATAGTGATCTGTGGAACAAAACTGAAAAGCATTCCAGGAAACTTACAGTTCAGTAACAACAAACATAGGATGTCATCAGCCACACACACACTCTAGTATTATCTCCGCTACATACTAATTGACTTTCATTGAACTATTTAACTTCTCTACGCCTCAGTTCACTTGCCTCTGGTAGTCATGTATCTACTGAATAACTCATTGAAAGGACTTAGCCCCCAAAGTGCTAAATAAGTGTTTATAAGTAGTAAGCCACGACATAGTATCTGGCACAAAAGAGCAACTAATATAGTGAGCCCTTGCTCCTACTCTTAGGGACCCCATGCCACCTGGGACATTTTAATCATTCAATTAATATGTACTGAGAACTTATGAGATGCCAAGGCCTTGACTGGCTGGCCTCAACTAAACTGTGGCCCTGGTGAGGTCACATTTTTTATATAATCTCCCAAAACTAAAATCAATTGACAATTGTGAGATTTTCTAGATATACGGTTTTATCCCAGTCATAGGTACATCCAAATATAGCCAGCTGTCTTGCAAAGATGGGTTTTCTTCAGGAGAAAGCATAAAAGAACTGAGAGATTTGGCATGTAATAGTATCCAGCTGTCTTCTAATAAGTGGATAGTAGGGTGTCCACCCCATCAAGTGACGGCCAGGGTATTAACCAGCTGGTAGCCACTCCTGCATAGTGATGTAAAGCCACTTCAGGGCAATGAGCTTTCTCCAGCTGGCAGGAGCCTGTTAACCCATGAAGTGCCTTCTGCAGACTGGGCTGTAGGAAAGGTCCCTTTTCAATTTGGAAAAGAAACCAGCACAAAAGAATGCTGAAAGTGTACCACTTCAAAGTGAAGACCTACCTGCCTCACCCTCTGCCAAAGGGGAAAAAATCCTAACCCTATCCAATGATGTATTTCTTTTTTATGATGGGCAGTTGAACTGGACCAAATGATGCATTTTTACTTTGTTTTCTCCAAGAGAAGCTGCATGGTTTAATTAAAGAAACATGGGCATTAGAGTTAGAGAGAATCCTAGATCCTGTTCTTAGCTCTCCATACTGTGTGTCCTTTGGGTAGGTTTGTAAACCTCTCTGAGCTTGTCAGAGTGCAAATGTGCAATGTAAATGTTTACAAATACTATAGAGTAGAATGTAATGTTTAACTATATCATAGGATTCTTAGGAGAGTATTAGAATGGCCATTTCTATCTGCAGTTTGAGGAGACAGGCTGGTCTGGAATGTCAAAAGGCAGTAACTTCTGGAAGCATTCACAGAACCACAGAATGTTAGAGCAATGATCTCACAGTCTCTGCTAATTTTTAGACATGAGGACACTGGGGCTCAGATTATGTAGTTCACTCATTGTTAAAGAGTAATTTAAGGCACCTGTCCAACCTCTAACCTGGAAGCCAGTTGTGGACTGAGCAAGAAGGGAGTCTGGCTGCACAGTCCACCATGATCCCTGTTCTCCTGTCTACAAACACTCCCCTCCTCTTCCTTTCTTTTAAACTATTGCACAAAATAAAGCTTTAAAATGATTCTATTCATGTAGAAGCTATAGTTCAATCAGAACTTTATCAACAAAAATCAATAGAATAAATTAGTTCTAAGATACAAGACACAATTACAAATTAAAATGCATGTGCCAGAACACATAAAGTAGTGAAAATCTTAGAGAAGGAAGAAACATGGTATGAGAAAGTGTGGGAGGCAGAGAAAAAAGTTAGGGAAGGGGAGAGACAAGTATAGTGAAAGGCTGTCCCAAAAGCCAGCATATTCTAACACATTCTATCATGATCAGCTCATGATCAGTACAGCCCATAAACAGGTATGTGTGAATGAGAGAAGTGGGGAGAAATATACATTTCCTCATAATATCCTCATATGCTTAGAAGGTACTGAAACTCGTCTTCCATTAAATATGAAGTCTTCTATTCCATAACTAGTGACATAATTATTACACGGTAGCAGTGATTCTTAAAGTGTAGTCTTTGAGCCAGTCGGGTCAGCCACACCTGTGAACTTGTTAAAAATGCAAATTCTCGGGCTCCATCTCAGATCTACTGAATCAGAAACTCTGGCGGTGCAATCTTGCAATCTGTGTTTTAACAGGTGGTTCTGATGCACACTTTGAGAACCACTTCATTCTAATATGAAGAGGTTTCAAAGCAGTATGTGTCAACAATGAACAACTCCCATCTTTGGGAATGATGGAGATGGGATAATGATTAAAATACACAGTCAGTAGAAGAGAAAGGGTCATGACCAATAAAAAACATAGCTAAAGTTTGGGGGAGTGGGTCTGAGAGAGACAGACACCTACGTAAAAAAACTATACAAATTTGTGTGGGGTGGTCCTGTTTGCCATTCACTGTAGAGGAAAATAATTTTCCCAATATATGGCCCTCTGTTTGAAGGACTACTGGAGGTATCACATATCTTTGCCACAGGTAGATGATGTAGCAGTTTCACTCCCACCAGATTCAGGTTTAACCATATATTAGCATCCTGGTAAGCATTTAAGCATAATAAATATTCCTGGTAACATCTGTACCTGTGATCAGTATTTTTGATCAGTATTAATAGGATCGTCAGATGTGACAGGAGAGCAAGGAGATACTAGATCCTAACTGGCTTTTATCTAAAACAGACTCAGGTATCCGACTCTCCAATGCACATCTCTATGCAACTGTGTCATCTCAAGTCAACATTTCTAAACCTGAACTCCTTTTGCTATCTATCAATCAAAACCAAAATCAATAATAATATCCAATAATCCCAATAAATCAATAATAATATCCAATAAACCAGTATTTATACAATTCTTAAAAGCAGAAACCTGGCTGGGCATGGTAGCACATGCCTGTAATCCCAGCACTTTGGGAAGCCGAGGCGGGCAGATCACCCCAGGTCAGGAGTTTGAGACCAGCCTGGCCAACATGGTGAAAACCGTCTCTAATAAAAACACAAAAATTAGCCGGGCATGGTGGTTGGCATCTGTAATCCCAGCTACTTGGGAGGCCGAGGCAGGAGAATTGATTGAACCCAGGAGGCAGAGATTGCAGTGAGCCAAGATCATGCCATTGCACTCTAGCCTGGGCAACAAAAAAAGAAGAAATGGGGAAAGGATTCCCTATTTAATAAATGGTTGCTGGGAAAACTGGCTAGCCATATGCAGAAAGCTGAAACTGGATCCCTTCCTTACACCTTATACAAAAATTAATTCAAGATGGATTAAAGACTTACATGTTAGACCTAAAACCATAAAAACCCTAGAAGAAAACCTAGGCAATACCACTCAGGACATAGGCAAGGGCAAGGACTTCATGTCTAAAACACCAAAAGCAATGGCAACAAAAGCCAAAATTGACAAATGGAATCTAATTAAACTAAAGAGCTTCTGCACAGCAAAAGAAACCACCATCAGAGTGAACAGGCAACCTAAAAAATGGGAGAAAATTTTTGCAACCTACTCATCTGACAAAGGGCTAATATCCACAATCTACAATGAACTCAAACAAATTTACCAGAAAAAAACAAACAACCCCATCAAAAAGTGGGCAAAGGATATGAACAGACACTTCTCAAAAGAAGACATTTATGCAGCCAAAAAACACATGAAAAAATGCTCATCATCACTGGCCGTCAGAGAAATGCAAATCAAAACCACAATGAGATACCATCTCACACCAGTTAGAATGGCAATCATTAAAAAGTCAGGAAACAACAGGTGCTGGAGAGGATGTGGAGAAATAGGAACACTTTTACATTGTTGGTGGGACTGTAAACTAGTTCAACCATTGTGGAAGTCAGTGTGGTGATTCCTCAGGGATCTAGAACTAGAAATACCATTTGACCTAGCCATCTCATTACTGGGTATATACCCAAAGGATTATAAATCATGCTGCTATAAAGACACGTGCACACGTATGTTTATTGAGGCACTATTCACAGTAGCAAAGACTTGGAAACAACCCAAATGTCCAACAATGATAGACTGGATTAAGAAAATGTGGCACATATACACCATGGAATACTATGCAGCCATAAAAAAGGATGAGTTCATGTCCTTTGTAGGGACATGGATGAAGCTGGAAACCATCATTCTCAGCAAACTATCACAAGGACCAAAAACCAAACACCGTGTGTTCTCACTCATAGGTGGGAATTGAACAATGAGAACACCTGGACACAGGAAGGGGAACATCACACACTGGGGACTGTTGTGGGGTAGCGGGAAGGGGGAGGGATAGCATTAGGAGATACTAATGCTAAATGACAAGTTAATGGGTGCAGCACAACATGGCACATGTATACATATGTAACAAACCTGCACGTTGTGCACATGTACCCTAAAACTTAAATAATAATTAAAAAAAAAAAGGCAGAAATCTGTGAGTCATTGAGGTCTCTTCCCTCTCTTACCCTTGTGTCCAATGAACCACCTTCTGCTGGTTCTATCTTCTAATCTCTTGAATCTGTCTCTTCCTCCCCACCTCAAGTACCACTGCCTTAGCTGAAGTCCCGGTTTCTGGCCTGGGATTACAGCAACAGCTTCCTAATTGGTCTCTGTGCCTCCTCTCTGGCTCTCTGCTCAACCTATTTCCCCTGGTGACATCAGATGACATTCTACAACAAGAGCATTATATGTCTTCCCAGCTTATGAATCCTCCATCCTCAGCTTCCAAGATTTCATTTCTCACATTTTGCATTCCAATGCTCAAGTGACTCTCTGCTATGAGTACCCTTTACCCTCTTACTCTTACTCACCCTACTCCTCTTTCAAGATAGTTTTATAACACACTCTTCGGAAAATCTGAAGACTCACCCATCTCCAAGGGCAAGTCAGCTGATGCCCCATGGGTTCCCTGAGCAGCCAGTGTGTCACCCTCACAGTTCTTAGCACATTCAATTCCATTCCATTTTTTTTTTAATAAAAACACACATTGGCCCTGCCTAGTATATCAGCAGTAAATGTTTGCTAAATGTGTAAGCTGTATTAAGCAGGCTAAGCCATCCCCTAAATTACAGTCTTCCCCTCTCTTTCCTTATCAGATAAATACCTACTAATACTGTTGGGAAAACCATGCAAGTGGCTGTTTTCACCAGGCTTTCTTAATTCCAGCACTGCCTGTATTCCAAAATTAAAGAATATTATAGGCTTCTAAAATGTAGCCCTTATTCATGTGCTGGTTTGATAAAGATTAAACCTAAAGTAAAATAACTCTAATACATGATTTAGAGCATTTCTGGTTTAAGTGTAATCAGAATACAGTCCCTGAATTTGAATCCTATTACCTTTAGTTGGTCAACATCAATCACTTATCTCCAGGTCTTCTATCAGGTCTTGTCACTGGTCCTTTCACCCCTCATGCTCATGCATTTCCTCTAAACCTAGAATGCCCCTAACTCTTAACAGCCTCGCCACCCAGGTTAGATGGTGAAGGAAGGGAAGGATACACCTGAGCCCTGCAATTTTTCATGACTGTTCTAACCTAACCACTAACTTGTCCCTTCTGTGATCCCTTCTATAACTGTGCAAAATACTAACCCCATTGGCCCACTGGGGTTCAGCACCACTTTATGTAATGATGCTATCTAATACTGTTGTCTAATTCTGTATCAGTTTCATATGCAACCTGATGGTCTCCAACCTAATGGTCTAAGTATCCTCCAAACGAAGACATTTGTTATTTTTAATTTTATTTCTCAGTAATCCCAAACATACTGGGGTTACATCAATATATTTGGAAGTCTGTATCTTTATAGATCTTCAAACACATTATATAGAATTTATGGTACTTAGAATAATTATATGTGTGTCCACAGTTGTCCAGATTTGGACATTTCAAACATATTTATGTTAATTTTAAATACCTAGACTTTTTTTTTCCCCAAATGCATCATTAAATTACATTATTCAAGAATGACAGGCTGGGCTCAGTGGCTCATGACTGTAATCTTAGCACTTTGGGAGGCCAAGATGGGGGGATTTCCTGAGCTTAGGAGTTCGAGACTGGCCTGGGCAACATGGCAAAACTTCATCTCCATTAAAAATACAAAAAACTTAGCCAGGCATCGTGGCGTGCGCCTGTAGTCCCAGCTACTTGGTGCACTGAGGCACGAGAATTACTTGAACCCAGGAAGCGGAGGTTACAGTGAGCTGAGACCAAACCACTGCACTCCAGCCTGGGAGACAAAGTGAGGCTGTCTCAGAAAAAAGAAAGAAAGAAAGACAAGAAAACAGGTGTTTCTAAAGGCATTCAAACTTGATGACATGTAGTAATTCTTTAAAAACACCTAAATAGTGATCTTGGAGTTCACAAATTAAAAGATGATATTTAACTTTGGATTTTCTTATATGTTAAAAATTACTAGTTTTTAAAACCTGTGTCATTTCATTTGAAAAGCAAAATGTAGCAGCTCACACCCATAATCTCAACTACTTGCGAGGCTGAAGTGGGAGGATTGTTTCAGGCCAGGAGTTAGAAACCAGCCAACATGGCAAGACTTCATCTCTAAAAATATTTAAATAAATAAATAACAGCCAGGCATCTCTAATAATACATTTTTTAAAAAATTAGCTGGCTATAGTGGCACACGACTGTAGTCCCAGCTACTGGGGAGGCTGTAGTGGGAGGATCCCTTCAGCACAGAAGGGATTGAGGCTTCATTGAGCTATGACTGTGCAACAACAACAACAACAAAAAAAAAAAAAAAAAAAAAAAGGAAGGAAAGAAAGAAGAAAAAAAAGGAAACAAAATGTAGTGTTCTCCTAGCCTAAATACATATTTCACAAAATGTCAAAACAAGGGTAGAATCATAAAATGTAGCAGAAATAGTTAAAATGTAGCAAATTCATGGATCTAAAATTATAAAATATCTCATTTCTGTATTTGTTTACAGATGATTTTCCAAAGTACTATTTCTGGCAAAGTATATTGTTTTCTTATACATAAATTTGGAGGTTAAAAAAGTTTACTCCTCCTTTTTCCTTAATTTCAGCATATTTCTGATACCTTCCTGGTACATGACAAAAAAGAATCCTTAACCTTGATTGACATGAGGTAGATACTTCATAAATTGCTGAATAAATGTTTGTCCAAGGCTAATTTTCCCACCTATGTTTTGGACTCTATCCTCTTCTGTCCCTTCAGTGATCTTGTTTCTTCATTATTTTTTGTCTTTCCTCCTCAGCTGGCTCTTTCCTAGTTATGTCTCCTGTCACTCACAGACACACACACCCCAACTTCCCCATCTGTGTGAGCCTTCCAGTTATCAGATTCTCTTTTTAAATACACTTAGAGGAAGAAGAGAATGAGTGTATATAATCACTGGCTGCTTTCCTATGACTCCATGTACTCCCCAAAACCATAGCAATCAGAATAGCGACCCAACAAAAACAATGAAATGGCTCATATGAAGGTCAACAACTCTATTGTTTAAACAGTGCAACGCTGACATTGACCACTTACTTCTCCGCAAGCCTTCCCATTCTGCTTCTGGGACATCATCCTCTCTGCTTTCCTAGTGACTTAGTCACAGCCTCCTCCACTGGCTTTTCCTTGCTTTCTGTTAAATGTCAATATTAATATACTATATTTTTTAGGTATTGTATTGTTTGGACATTTGAGTTGTTTCCAACTTGTAATTAGTATAAATAGTGTTGGCTCCCTCAGCGCCTACGACTGGCTCCTGGGGTGCAGAGAGGGGCCACAGTCTCTGCGGCTGTGTCACGCTCCCCTGCAGTCCCCTCCATGTTCCCTGGCACCACTACTCCCCTTCCTAAGGCCGCCGCTTACCCCAGGGTCTATGGAAGTAATGAAGGACCCCTCAACCTGGCTCATCAACAGAGCAGATGAGCAGACCGTTTATTAGCTGTAGGCAAATACGAAGAGGCTATTTCTTGTCACAAAAAGGCTGCAGCGTATCTTTCTGAAGCTATGAAGCTGACACAGTCTGAGCAGGCTCATCTTTCACTGGAATTGCAAAGGGATAGCCATATGAAACAGCTCCTCCTCATCCAAGAGAGATGGAAAAGGGCCCAGGGTGAAGCAAGATTGAAAGCCCAGCAGAACACAGACAAGGATGTAGCTGCCCATCTTCAGGCATCTCACAAACCCTCTGTAGAGGATGCAGAGGGCCAGAGTCCCCTTTCTCAGAAGTACAGCCCTTCCACAGAGAAATGTCTGCCTGAGATTCAGGGGATCTTTGACAGGGATCCAGACACACTACTATATTTACTTCAGCAAAAGAGTGAGCCAGCAGAGCCATGTATTGGAAGTAAAGCCCCAAAAGACGATAAAACAATTATAGAGGAGCAGGCAACCAAAATTGCAGATTTGAAGAGGCATGTGGAATTCCTTGTGGCAGAGAATTAAAGATTAAGGGAAGAAAATAACAACTAAAGGCTGAAAAGGCCAGACTTCTAAAAGGTCCAATAGAAAAGGAGCTGGATGTAGATGCTGATTTTGTAGAAACATCAGAGTTATGGAGCTTGCCACCACATTCAGAAACTGCTACAGCCTCCTCAACCTGGCAGAAGTTTGCAGCAAATACTGGGAAAGCCAAGGACATTCCTGTCTTCCGCCCTTGGATTTTCCATCTACAGAACTTCCTCTTATGGAGCTCTCTGAGGATATTCTGAAAGGATTTATGAATAATTGAAATAGAAGGCCACCAAAAGGGGAAAAGAGGAAATAATACAGTAATCGTTAATCCAGCAAAAAGAAAAGGGAAAACCACATAGAAGGGTCATCCCGGAAATGCTTCATCTGGTGGACTGTGGGAGCAGAGGCATTGCCAGGACTTGGGAAACAGTCACTGTGAAATGCGCAGCATATCTCATTCACTCACTTGAGCTAATGATTCTGACTTGGCAGACGCTAAACTCATGGAGGTTCAGTTTCTCCTGATCCAAACCAAATGGCTACCTGGAATAATTTCTTCCAAGCAACAGTTATTTTTCTTATCTTCAGGTTTAAAATGTATAAAAGTTATGTGTAATTAATCTATAATGCCATAAATGATAATGCAAAACCTAAATAATATGGTGGCCGGAGGGGCTGCTTTATATTTGAAACATGCTTTCTATCATGCATTAACTGTATGCACTTTGTTAATGCACATTTTGTTTGTTTAAGGTAAGATCCACACCCTTCTAGATGAAACTATATGTGCCACACTTTGCACTACTCATAATGATAACCTCAAGACTATCAGAAGAAATATTTAAATTTCCATTTTATGAAGAAAGGAACCAAATTATTATGCTTTTTTAAACAAATTACCAGTTTACATAATTAATCAGGGTGCGTTTCAAGTTCTAACTTTGTTTATTGTATAATGCATCATTTGAAAATACCAAGGAGGAAATACCCTTTGTTTTTAATGATGCAAGAGTGGAAGTAATGCTAGTTGGTGGTATTTGATTGTAAGAAATCAATAAAGTAATTATGTTTTTAAAAAAATAGTGTTGCCATGAATAATGTTTTATATGTGTTTTGTTTACAAGTCAGGATGGTAGTTATGCCAAAGGAGAAGACAGTAGTGAATGGGAAGTTAGTGAGTGGGTAGTACTAACATTCTTTCTTGACATCAGTGGGAGTTAAATGTATCTACTTTGTAATAGTTCATTAAACACTCCATTTATTATTTGTGAATTTAGAATTCTGCATGATACTTCAAAAAGTTTATTTTTTAATTACTAAAAACATGACAGTTGTGCAAATAGAAAAAAGGGGAGCAGTGACTCTGGTAAACATCCTATAATGCCAATATTCAAGTGACAAATATGTGTTCAGCTTCATTTGTGTCAAAGAAAAAGCATATTAAGACAAAAATGAAGTTTTATACTTGTTATTAATAGCCAGAGAGATGCAAGTGAAAATGACCACTGTTAGTGAAGATGTAAACTGATAAAACTTTTCTAGAAATCCATTTGGCAATATATATCTTTAAAACATGTATTATGTTTAAACATTTATCTTATAAAAATAAACCATGCAAGTGTGTAAAAATATGTGTATGAGAGAGCAAGAATTTATATATAAGGATATTTTTCATAGAACTGCTTATAATCATGAAAAACTAAAAGTGAATTTCAATAGGCAATTAACTATAGTATAACCATTCAGTAGAATATTTGCAACCGTATTTAATGGCATGAAAATATGTTCATAATTCATTAAACAAGTTACAAAACACAATGACACATTTGTAAGGTGAGGATAACGACAAATACTCATAGAAACAAAAATGTCAAGAACAGAAGACAAAATGGTTTTTGTTATCTTTTAACTGTTGTTATCTTTGAGAGAAGTGTTTGCTTTTGCTTTTTTTAGGCCTGTGTACTTTTCTAAGTTTTCTACAAGGACTATTTAGAACAATTTAAAGAATAAAGTTTTATGTAAATGATTTCATTAATGAATGAGAAAAAATATGAGTGAATTAACATCTAACATAGTATCAGGGACAATGGCAGCTTCTAGTGTCTGTTAGTACATGTATCACAGAATTACTCAGATAGTTGTTGGATTGGTTTCCATAAGTATGGTTGAACTGCATAAGCTTCATACTGTCTGCACCAAGAAGCCAACCTCAGACAACTTTTCAGAGAGCAAATCTTCCTTCAAAAGAAGGATATTGCTTTACATTGGAAATCATACTCTAGTGATTAGGAAACAGATGAGCAAGTTTCAAGTTTCACTTACAAGATTTTTTAGGCTACTATTGCTAAAAGTATAATTTTCTTCTCTACTATTGAGCGATAATCTTTTAAGGAAGAGAAAAGTGGATATCATTTCAAATTCTAAGTCTGTGACAGCTTTTCCAATTTAAATCTTTCTCATCCCCTGAATAAAATACAAATATCAATGCAATATATGCAAACTAGTCATGAAAAAGAGCAAATAATTGGCATGAAAGAAACATGATTATCCAAAGTCGTATACTGTTAAGAAATAATTTTCCATTTTTCACTTTGCTCTAATGGGGTCTTGTTAATAGCACTTCCTGCTTGTACCAGGTAATGATTTTCTCTAGGTCAGTAAACTCCAACATTGATTGTATTCACTTACAAGAAGTCTATCCATAGCAAACCCTTTCTCATATGCAGATTTTCTTTCTAAGGCTGATTTACAGTCACTGCTCTCCTTTCCATTTCTGAGAAAACTAAGCCAAAATGTGCTATTAACTCCTGCCTGAGAGTATCTAAGGAAGACTCCATTGATATACTACAAAGTATTGCTCAGGTGACCATTCATACCAGTTTGCATAGGATGGTCCTGGTTTACATCCAATATCCCTGCATAGTTGTTAATGGCAGCCCCTCTCATTTCCCAGTGTCCCACATTGAGTAATACATTATACGGCCACCCTATTGTCCATATAAGTACATACAATGCTAGCCCTAGAACTTGGAATAAATGTTTCTATCCATCTACACTCTTGCCTTGTCTTCCTTGTGCGCTAATAGTCTGGAATGAAACACATAAAACTGTGGACTCAAACCACCACCCCCGCCATAGGTAGTCTAAAGAAATCTGAACAGGAATCCTTTCCAAGGTGGAACATATCTTCCTCTGGAAGTTTATAAACTATGAGAAATAAATTATCAAGTAGCCTAAATCATATGCCTTAAGAACAAAATTCATATTTGCAAACATATTTGCAAGCCAGTCTACAACTGGTGGGGAGTTGTTTCCTTTAAATATTAATCCAAACAATTCCATGAAATGAAGGTAGATCCAAGTTTCCTCTAAGCCTAAATATTTCTAACTCTGCTAACGACGTAACATCATCCAGTACTTTAGCTAGAAGACCTTAGGATCAAGTTTGATTCTTTCTCTTAGCTCTGTCCAGTTAGTTACCAGGCCCCACTGGTTCTATTTTTAAAGCCTCCGCAATTTATTACCCACAAAAAAAATCATCAGAACAAGTTTTCTAATCTGCAATCATTATAATAGCCTTCCTTTACTTTTTGTTCCTCTCCAATTCATCTCCCTCACTTCTGCTAGAATTATCTTAAAGCAATCTCTTTAGTTCACTGCCTACTCAGTACCCTTAGATAATACCAAGACTTCTTAGCCTAGCAGGAAACACCTTTATCAGTTGCACTGCAGCCTCCCTTTCCTTCCTCAATTCCAACCACACCTCCCACTAGGCACATGCTCTTCAATGGTTTTCATCCAGCTACTGTACTGCTCTTCCACGAAGTGTTTAAAAATGTTTGGGGACATGTTTGCTTATAACAGTAGTGAAGACACAAAGGACATTTAATGGGCAGGGACCAAGGACACTAAATGTCCAGCAATGTAGGACAGGTCCCATGAAACAGAGAACTGCATTGCCAAAATGCCAAATAACACTCCAGGTGAGAGTTCTTGTTCCCCAAATACATTATTTTTACATATATGTGGTTCCTTCTTTCTAGAATTTATTTAACCAGCCCCCACTAGTTCTGCCACCTTCCAAAATAATATTGTCCTTGGTTGATGTAATTCAAACTCTTCTCATCTAAAGACTGTCTTGCCTGAATAGACACATA
This sequence comes from Homo sapiens, assembly GCF_000001405.40. Taxonomy (NCBI): domain Eukaryota; kingdom Metazoa; phylum Chordata; class Mammalia; order Primates; family Hominidae; genus Homo; species Homo sapiens. The sequence goes on from NC_000008.11 coordinate 107,987,852, forward strand.
CACAGTGTGTTAATGGGAGATCATTAAATCACTCTCATAAATATGAGATTTAATTATCTCATATATATATGAGTGATTTAATGATTACTGACACAGCCCTTAATATATTAAATTATGAATAACCTGCTTACCTTTTGTCATTTTATTCTGTGGTCCCCTTTTTCTTATCCTTTCTATCCCCTAAAATTTGAGTTCCTTAAAGAAAGGGATGTTCCTTTGGTATCTATTTTTTTAAACCACAATTTCTATGGCTGACCTAGAAGACGAGACTCATTCTGTAAGTGATTTTTGGATTAAAAGATGAAAAATTGCACCCTCATTACTATGTACAAAATGCCATTCCTTAAACGTTTTTAAATAGTTGTTAAACTTATAATTCAGATTACTTTAAAATAACCTAAACATTTTAGTTATATTAGTAATGGTACTTAAAAAAAAACACCTTTACCATATATTTAATTGCAGGTTAGACTAATGAAGGATTACCAACTCAGATAAAAAGAGAAAAAGAAGCTATAGAAATTGGTAAACCAGAGAGATTGTTCTCAGCATAAAGTACTTAAATTCCTTTGTGGTTTTTTTTTTTTTATAAGCACTGAGTAGGTACTCGTTACAAAAATCTGTCAAACAAGATTGTACTTGAGATCGTTGTGATTAAAAAACTACTTACATAATCTAAAATAAAGTGTGTATGTGGAATTGTGTCTTACAGCTCTATACAAAATATAAAGTAAAAGTGCTCTTATCCTACCATACTCATTTTTTCCAAGTTTGAGCTTAGACTCTTTTTTTTTGAGATGACATCTCACTGTGTTGCCCAGGCTAGAGCACAGCGGTGCTATCTCAGCTCACTGCAACCTCCGCCTCCCAGGTTCAAGTGATTCTGGTGCCTCAGCTATCCCAGTAGCTGGGATTACAGGTGTGCACCACCATGCCTGGCTAATTTTTGTATTTTTAGTAGAGATGGGGTTTCCTCATGTTGGCCAGACTGGTCTCCAACTCCTGGCCTCAAGTGATCCACCTACCTTGGCCTCCCAAAGTGCTGGGATTACAGGCATGACCCACCACACCCAGCAAGCTTAAACTATTTCTATCACCTATTACAAACACATTTTTTTTAAAAAAATCATTCAAAATCTTCAACTTAGCTCCTCTCCTAAGTTGCATATCCAGCAATACAGGATAGACAAAACCAAATGCTCACTTGCACATCTGTTCATATCTGGGGCTCGGTGTCCATAGTACCCGGATGGGCAGGAATGCAGGCACTCTCCATACTGGCGCATCCCTTCTCTTCGAAGGAAGAAGAACAACTTCTGTTGACATCGGCTACACCCATTGTCCTTTGAACAAGACAAACAACCCTTGCAAATGGGATTTGATACATAACTAGCTGTAAAAGAAAAACAAAAATTGTGTTTAATTATCAGTATAATCAGATTTTTGGTAAATACACCTGCTGAAAAGACAAATGTTTCTTTTCTTTCTGCTATACTCACATAGAAATACTAAATAAAATATCCCTCCCCTTCTTCCCTCTACCTCCTCCACCCAAAAAGTTGTTAATACACAACCAAACTTAGAAACAAAGAGGAAACTCAGAGGCAGAGTTGAGGCCAGAAGCTAAAGCTGAATGGCTCATGGGGATGTCAGACCAGACAGAGGTAGAACTTAGGGCAAGGTCCTCAACCCAGGCCAAGAAATATTTATGTGAAGATCTAGCACTTAGCTCCCTTTATGTAGATGGAGTAAATGGGGCTGTTTGTCCATGACCCCCTGCCCTAACTGGCTAGAGCAGGGGATTCTGACCCTAGCTTGGGAGCACACAGCAGGTAAGCACAAGAGAAAATATAATTCATGAGACATCAGAACACCAAGTCCACAAGGCTGGGATCCAAATCAAAATTATCATTGTAGCATGGGGGCTATATGATGTTGACAAGTTAAAATAAGAATTTGTCCAGATCCAGGAAAACCCAGAAAGAAAAAATAAATAAATATAGAATTACTCTCTAGATATTTTCTACAATCCTGAGACCTAGACTTTCATGAAATGCTACCTTAACATCAAGATGAACAAATCATATGAGCAAGTAAACCTTCATGAGGAACAGTCAACAATATCAGTAACAAGAAAACTTCACACCTAAAAAACCAGAAATAAGGACATTCTAAAGGAGTCTTTAAAATGAATATCTACAGAATATCTGAAGAGATAAAGGGATAACTAGAAATCACATGGGAAAAAGCAAGAATGTGCACATTACAATGAAATGAAAATTCTAAAACTTAACAAAAAATTCTATGGACAAATTGAATGGTAGAAGAGAATGACATAACCAAAAACACTTTTAAATAACTGTAGCACAAAACAAGATAAAAAGGTACTAAGCATGTAAGAAAAAAACAGAAACGTTCCAATACATGATTAGTAGTTACTACAGAAGGAAAGAGTAAAGAGAATGAATAAAACACACCTTAAAATGAGACGCAACTTCAGCAAAGTCTCAGGATACAAAATCAACATGCAAAACTCACTAGCACTCCTACACACCAACAGCAGTCAAGCCAAGAGTCAAATCACAAACAAACTCTCATTCACAATTGCTGCAAAAATAATAAAATACCTAGGAATACAGGTAACTAAGGAGATGAAAGATCTCTATAAGGAGAACAACAAAACACTACCCAAGAAATCAGAGATAACACAAACAAATGGAAAAACCTTCCATGCTCATGGATAGAAGAATCAATATTATTAAAATAGCCATACTGCCCAAAGCAATTTATCGATTCAATGCTATTTCCATTAAACTACCATTGACATTTTTCACAGAACTGGAAAAAACTATGTTAAAATTCACATGGAACCAAAAAAAAGCCCAAATAGCCAAGGCAATAATAAGCAAAAATAACAAAGCTGGAGGCATCATGCTACCTGACTTCAAACTATACTACAGAGCTACAGTAGCCAAAACAGCATGGTACTGATACAAGAACAGACAGGCTAATGGAACAGAATAGAGTATCCAGAAATAAGACCACACATCTACAACTGTCTGATCTTTGACAAACCTGACCAAAACAAGCAATGAGGGGCTGGGTGCGGTGGCTCACGCCTGTAATCCCAGCACTTTGGGAGGCCGAGGCAGGCAGATAACCTGAGGTCGGGAGTTTGGGATCAGCCTGACCAACACGGAGAAACCCTATCTCTACAAAAAATAAATAAATAAACAAAACACAAAATTAGCTGGGCATGGTAGCGAATGCCTATAATCCCAGCTACTTGGGAGTCTAAGCCAGGAGAACTGCCTGAACCTGGAAGGCAGAGGTTGTGGTGAACCAAGATTGTGCCATTGCACTCCAGCCTGGGCAACAGGAGTGAAACTCCATCTCAAACACACACACACACACACACACACACACACACACACACACACGCAATGGGGAAAAGATTCACTATTCAATAAATGATGCTGGGATAACTGGCTAGCTATATGCAAAAGATTGAAACTGGACCCCTTCCTTATGCTATATATAAAAATTAACTCAAGATGCATCAAAGACTTAAAGGTAAAACCCAGAACTATAAAAACCCTGGAAGAAAACCTAGGTAATACCATTTAGGACATAGGCACAGGCAAAGATTTCATGATAAAGATGCCAAAAGCAATTGCAACAAAAGCAAAAATTGATAAGTGGGATCTAATTAAAGAGCTTCTGTACAGCAAAAGAAAATATCATCAGACTGAACAGGCAACCTACAGAATGGGAGAAAATATTTGCAAACTATGCATCTGACAAAGGTCTAATATTTAGCATCTATAAAGATCTTAAATTCACAAGGAAAAAAATCATTAACAAGCAGGCAAAGGACATGAACAGACACTTCTCAAAGGAAGACACACACGTGGCCAACAATCATATGAAAAAACTCAACATCACTGAATATTAAAGAAATGCAAATAAGAAATCACAATGAGATACCATCTCCCACCAGTCAGAATAGCTATTATTAAAAAGTCAAAAAATAACAGATGCTGAGAGGTTGTGGAGAAAAAGAAACGCTTATATACTGTTTGTGATAGTGTACATTAGTTCAACCATTATGGAAGACAGTGTGGCAATTCCACAAAAACCTAAAGATGGAAAAACCATTCAACCCAGTAATCCCATTACGGGGTATATACCCAGAGGAATATAAATCCTTCTATTATAAAGACACATACACACATATGTTCATTGCAGCACTATTCTCAATAGCAAAGACATGGAATCAACTTAGGTACCCATCAACAACTGACTGGATAAAGAAAATGTGATACACACACACACACACACACACACACACACCATGGAATACTATACAGCCATAAAAAAGAATGAGATCATGTCCTTTGCAGGGACATGGATGGAGCTGGAGGCCATTATCCTTAGCAAACTAACACAGAAACAGAAAACAAAATACCCCGTGTTTTCACTTATAAGTGGGAGCTTAATGATGAGAACACATGGACACATAGAGGGAAACAACAGACCCTGGTGCCTATTGGAGGGCAGAGGATGGGAGGAAGATGAGGATGAGGAAAAATAACTAATGGGTACTAGCCTTAATACCTGGGTGATGAAATTATCTGTACAGAAAACCCCCATGACACAAGTTTACCTATGTAACAAACCTGCACTTGTACCCGTGAACTTAAAAGTATATGTTAAAAAAGGAATAAAACACACTGTTCAAAGAGATAATGGCTGATTAATTTCCAGATAAAGACATGAGTTCTTAGATTAAAAATTAAGAGACCAAACAAGTCTACATCTAAATGCAGTACATTTACATGCCATGAGAATAAAGTCAAGCCAGAGAGGAATAGCAGATTATCTAGATAAGGATAAAACTTTGACTGACAGCAGACTTAGAAAAAAATAAAGATTAGATAGCCGAGATACTATCTTCAACATGTTGAGGAAAAATTATCAAACTATAATTCTATAAGCAGTTATAGTTTAACCAGGTGAGCAAAATGAAGATATTTTAGCCAAAGTAAAGGCAAATATCTTAATTTTTTTTAAAGCATTAACTAAAAGATTAAACTCTGAATATTGGAGAAAATAAAACAGAACCCAGAGGAAGTAGAATGCAACAAGCTATAGTGATCACACCAATTGAAAAACATGTTCATGTCTCTATACAAAAGCATAGCATGTAAAAAACATATAATGATTTTCAAGTTTTGAAACTAAATATCTTATATTCACAAAAATAACACAGAAGACTTGAGAAGGAAGCCAAACTTAAAGCATTCAGAGTTTCCGCATTATCAGTGAGGAAGACTAATGTAAATTAAAATGTAATTACTATAACTTTAAGTTCCTAACTACAAAAACAATAACAGAATCTATAACTTCTAAACCAGTGACAGCTACAAAAGATGTAATATATGTATAAAATATGGGTAGGAAGAAACAATCCGAATATCTATGAACAGAATAGACAAATTACGGTATATTCAAACTATTTGAGTTTTACTCAGTAATAAAAAGGATAATACAGATACACATGACATGAATGAAATTCACATACATTATGCTGGTCAAAAGAATCCAAACAGATACAAAAAAGAGCATGCTCTAGATAATTTCATTTATATTAGGGTCAAAGGCAGGCACGGCTAATCTGTGGTGATAGAAATAAGACTACTACATGCCTTTGAGGATTGAGGACTGACTGGAAAGGGGCATAATAGAATTTGCGGGGGATGGAGGAGGTATATTAGTTTCCTTGGGCTGCTGTAACAAATGACCACAATTTGGTGGCTTAAACAACAGGAATTTATTATCACAATTCTAGAGACTAGAAGTCTGAAATCCCAATATCGTATCAGCAGGGCGTGCTTCCTCTCAAGGACTCTGGCAAATCCTTTCTTGCTTCTTTCAGTCTTTGGTAGCCCAAGGCATTCTTTGGCTCATAGTTACATGAAGTCAATCCCTGCCTCCATTGTCTTATGCCTTCTTCTCTTGTATCTCTGTGTCTTTTTCTGTCTCTTACATTGACACTCTAATTGGATTTAAGGCCCATCTTTATCCCATAATCCCATAGAATCTCATCTTCATCATCTTCGTTGCATCTGCAAAGACCCTGTTTCCAAAAAAGGTCACCTTCTAAGTTTCCAGGAGGATATGAGTTGGGGTCATGGGGTGAATATTGGAGAAAATAAAACAGAAAACCCCCATGACACAAGTTTACCCTGTGCACTAGTCAATTCGCTAAAGGGGTTGATGGAAATGTGCTATATCTTGCCTGGATTTTGGTTACACAAATGTATACATTTGCAAAACCCAAAACTATGCATTTATCTAAGTATATTTGTACATTTTTACAATTAATATGCATAATTTACAAGTAAATTATATCTCATTAGAAAAAGTAAAGCATATAAAGGCTATGTGCTAATTTCAGTACAATGTACTTACTTACAATTACACCTCTTTTGAAGATTCCATAAATTATATTACTCACCAGTAAGATATTATTTACTTTTTTTTTCCAAACAGAAATATCCTACTGATGGGACATGGTGGGAGAAGACAGTACTAAGCAAATGTCGAAATAGCATCTAAGATAAGTTAATACCTGAACCATATGAAGTTCACTGCATCTGATGGGGACAATCGTACCTTAAAAGAAAAGACACAAAATACTCTTTCCTATAGCTGGTATAAAATGTAGAAATGATACAATCTGAAATATTATAATTTCTAAAATATTAAAAATTCATGTAACTTTTAGTTTTCACTACGCCAAGCAAGGTCATAAATACAACAGAATACATGAGGCCACAATGACTTCATTTTATCGAGTTAACCCAAGAAAGAATTAGGAGAGAAGAAATAGAAAACTCATCAATTATTGAAACTTTTAGCTTTGAGACTACATGTTGTTTACCCTCCATATAATCAGTCTTGTGTATAAAACTAATATCAAGCAATAAGTGGTCAGACTGGCAGCTATACAGAGTACATTGTATACCATGTCATTCCTTTATTATAACAATTTAATGGCCATTATATTTATAGCAACTTGCAGCAAATCTACACAGATTTTAGATCCACAAGAGAGTCTTCCTTCTTCCCCAAAGCTTCCCACAGCCTCTCATCCAGGAAGTCCCAAAACCAGGGCTTATTCTACCAAAGGGACCAAACAAGAAACAAGGCCCTTCAGGATCAGGAATCAAGGCCAATATAACATCTTGAATTGGCCAGAAAGATCTACTCTTCACATCTATTCTAGGACTCTTTTCTATCAACTGTTCTCTTTTATTTGCATGTTGAATCTATTTCATGGACATTCTCTCACTTGAAAACCTATCTATGCTTTCCAAATAATTCTCATTTAATACTTTATTTCCCTAAATCTGCAATTGTTGGGGGGCAGAGCTAGGGAACCAATTCTGATGAAAAATCATCACCTCAGATACAGTTACCAATAAAATTCTGGGTAAGCGACTTTCCAAATGCTCCTTTATATATATATGCATGTATACATTATATAATTTGTGTTTTTCATACACATCATACTGTACCTGTTGGGTCATAACTTGTTCAATTTCAGCTAAGTTGTTAGCATCTTTCCATAACAATGAACCAAACCAATGTCACCGTCACATTTCTTCAAAGTGTCAGTTAAACCTGTTGCCTCTACTTATCACCATCCTCTGCTGAATTATCTCTAAAACTGCTTTTATGAAGACCACAACCAGTTTTCTCATCCCTCATTCAAGATCTCATTCTCAATTTCTGATCCTCACAATTCCAATAGCCTAGGTTGCTGAAGGTTTTCTTCCTCCTCTAGCTTCTATGATAATATCTTCTCCTACAGATTTGATTCTGACCCTCACCTTTGTCATTTCCATGAATCTTCTCATAATTCAGGCCTTTATCACTTCTCATTTGAATAGTTATGAAGTCCCAACCCTAGACCTACCTCTCCCTACTTCACTCTACATTCTATTGCTCAATTTTCCTGCTTTTATACTCACTATGGTATTTTGTTACACCTTAATATTGCCAGATAATTATGATTTGAAAATCATTTTTGCATAGCTGACCAAAAATAAGCTTATACTATCTACAATTTTTCCAGCTGCCTTCTGAAGAGGTTTTATTCTGGTATCATTCTTAGTATCCTGAGTAGGGTGTAAGTGAGTGAGGTTCAAAAAAATTAGGATATCGTTTAACTTCTCTGTGCCAGAAAGGGTAAAAAATTGAGGGAGATGGGAAAAGCTGGAGAAGAGCAATGAAACTGGGAATACTGACAGGCTGTGTGAGGAAATGGCTATGGTGGAGGAAAAGGTAGCTAGAGAGAATCCAACTCTTGTTCATTTTCAGGGTTGTCCAAGATTGTAACCCACCTTAAGCATGAAGACCCTATGGAATGATATTTAGAGAAACAATTTATGACTCTTTCACGAAAAAGCCACCCCTTTAACATGAACAACTGAGAGACTAAGGCAAGGGCAAGGGTTGCTGGCTGAAGCTACATCAGAAGTAGCCCCACACTACAAAGCCCTCTGAAACATACTGACGAACTTCTGCTCTAGAATTTATATGCAGATTTGAAAAACCAAGATCAAGCAATTACCCAAGGAAATATCCAACCCAAATCTAGCTTTATAAATAAAAGGAGATTCTGGAAGGTTTACAAGTACACAGCAGAATGGTTTAAGGAGGAGGTTCACTGTCCTACAGTCATCACATGCTAAAGTTGAAGCTATACTTTCAGTTCAAAAGTTAAACCAAAGCTCTTTATCACCATAAATCATGCTCCACAGTAAGAAGTATAGAGAAAAGAGAATTACAGAACCAAGAGAATCAACACAAATTAAAGGCTTTTTGTTTTGTTTTTATGTATCAGGAGCCAACTTTCATCTTGACCACAAAGATCTCAGAGTCAACAAACTGTGCCCTGCATTTTTTAAAAAAGGTATTATTAAAAGCATTGTTTTATTTACTTGAACCTCAACAGACTTAAACAATGAAAATGAATTAGGGAATACTTACCCAAGTCCATATCTTAGGTTATCTTTATAACCCTACACACGAGGAATTCCCTTAAAGCAAAAGTGATGTGAACCACACCTAACCTGAGTACTCTCTCCCCACTTTCTCCAATCTTCAATCATGATGCTGCTCAGTGCTGAAGGACAAGAGCCCATGTGATTTTTACAATTTGAAGCTTCTTGCCCCAAACCTCAAACAGACTTTTCCATTTAATTCACCATTGTCCACTATTTTAGTGGCATTCTCCCTGTTGTAAATCAATAGCTTAGTAATTCCACAAGAACTTCTCCATCTACCACATGGTCACTACACCAACCTCTGTGTCTAAACACAGGCAAAAAATAGACGTTTAAACATGAATAGAGTAATTTATTTTGTCAGGATCTTCATAAGTTGAATGGCTCTGCCCATTGCTCTGAGATTTAATTCAAGTGTGCAGGTGGATAAACAGATCTTAATTCTCAGCTTTGATGACCATGTTTATTTGCTCTCTGTGAGCTTCAACTTTTCCAACCCTAAAGCCCGCTGAGATCCAGAGCCTTATCATTCCAACCAAAACAGTTTTCTAAATCTAGACCCACCCAAAATTCTAAAGATGAAATATATCTCATAAAACATGGAAAATCCTGAAAATAGTCATAAACAGTGATTCTAGCACAAACCCACACATATCCCCTTGATGGGAAAAGGAATATTATAGGGATTTAGCAAACAAGAAAAACCATGAGACTGAAACAAGGTAACACTACCTAAATCACAAACAGTTATATCAAGAGAGAAAAAAGCAGCATAGGTATTACTCTTTATTATTAATTCTAATTAGTTGATTTGTGTTCCCCTTAAATTATAAAGTAAGTTTAGCCTTTTTATGAATTCTGGTATTCTAAAGTCTGGCCCTTTGTTAAATCCAGTTATTCACATTTATCTCATAGAGTATTTTATGTAGGTGTTGAATGCCCATGTGTTTCTAATATACTCCTGACTTTTAAAAAAATGTGTTCCGTTGTTTCTGCAGTTAGCCCTTGCCAAGCAAGAAGAAATCTGAATTCCTTCTAGGTGAAGGCATCCATCCTGACAAAGGTACAGATTTCTAATTCTGAAAATAATAAGACTGAACAGTGGGCTGTTGGCATCTTAGCCTCACTCTGTATTTGCTGGTCAAATAATGTTGCAAGTTCAACAAATTTTTAAATGAACAATTAATATTAACTTCATCAATTAATATCACAAAATTGCTAATGTATGCCTCTTCTTAACCTCAAGTTCAAGATATGTATTTAAGGAAGAAAAAAAAAAACCCATAGAAGGAGCAGGATTGAGAGAGGTAGGGGGGAAACCCAACTCTGGCACCAATAACAGGGAACTTGCATGTCGGATGCTATAGAAATCAAGTTGGATACATTCTCCCCACTAGATCTTGGCAGCAGTGGTATAAAAATCCTGTAATCATGTATACTACCAAGCTCAAACTCAATTAAGCAATCAACGTAATGAATTAATGTGCCACACAAGATTTGACCAAAATGGAAAATGCCTATCTTAAGATACTTTGCTTAGTTTTATATAAAATTATAAATATTTAAATATCAAACCCAGTAGTCCGATTGTGAATGTAAAGACAACAAATTTTAATGCTAGACCATCACCATTATAAGCATCATGCCTTGGATAGAAAATAAATACCATGATTAAAAATGTTAATAAAGCTTAAAGGTAAATTTCTAAATTTCCTTTAATATTTAGAAGGGCTATATTAACATAAATTTAATCTAGAAAAAAATTGATAATCAAGATCAAAGCTTGTATCAAAAATTTCAAAATTCTAGAACTCCTAGAATTAAACTGTATTTATGGCCAGGCAATGGTGGCTCACGTCTGTAATCCCAGCACTTTGGAAGGCTGAGGCAGGCCGATCACCTAGAGGTCAGGTGTTCAAGACCAGCCTGGCTAACATGGTGAAACCCTGTCTCTACTAAAAATACAAAATTAGCTGGGCATGGTGCCGCATGCCTGTAATCCCAGCTACTCAGGAGGCTGAGACAGAATTGCTTGCGCCCAGGAAGCAGAAGTTGCAGTGAGTTGGGATCGTGCGCCACTGTACTCCAGTCAGTAAGACTCCATCTCCAAAAACATAAAAATAAAAATAACCCATATTTTCTCAGAATCTTTTTATCTTTTCTTGAGTTCTTTAATAGAGAATGATATTTTTAGGTACAAGGTTTACAAAGCTTTAACCTCCCGAGAAGCATTAACTTTGAGAAACTCATATTAATTTATCTAACAATATTATTTAAATATTAATAAATCATATCAATTAGGAATAAAAGATTGGACATATAATTGTCTAGGAGTATTTCCTTGGGAAAATGGTATTTCTAAACATTTGTAAGCCCCTCAAATATGGAAATCATCTCTACAAATGAATATTTTTAATGACATCAGGATTAAAGGTCTTAGATCATTTGGCTTCTCCTATTAAAATATGTATTTCACTGTACAAAAACTCAAAGCTAGGAGAAACTAGGAGTTTTTGTTTGTTTTGAGACAAAGTCTTACTGTGTCGCCCAGGTTGGAGCGCAGTGGCACTATGTTGGCTCACTGCAACCTCCACCTCCAAGGTTCAAGTGATTCTCGTGCCTCAGCCTCCCGAGTAGTTGGGACTACAGGCTTGTGCCACCACACCCAGCTAATTTTTGTATTTTTAGTAGAGACAAAATTTTGTCATGTTGGCCAGGCTGGTCTCGAACTTCTGGCCTCAAGTGATCCGCCTGCCTCAGCCTCCCAAAGTGCTGAAATTACAGGCATGAGCCACCGTGCCCAACCAAACCTAGGAGTTTTTAAATATTGGGGGAGAAAGTTAGAGTCACAGATCTATTTTTAACACATGAAGTGCTAATATCTTCCAAAAAAAAAAAATGAAGAAAATTACCAGAACTATTAGCCCTTAAATACTCTCCAGTGCCAGCACCATTCCAGTTGTAATCCTCATACATTGGCACCTCTGAAGGACATTCACAACCTGGATTAACTATGGCCATAGCATGGGTCACTGGAAAAATATATGTATTTAACACAGCACAAAAGAAACAGGAATGATCTATGAGGTATGTGTCATGAATGCTTCAAAGTCTGATTTAATTAAGACGTCACAGGGCAGCTCAGAATACTTAATAACTACGGTTCAAGGAAAGACGATGAACTGAGGTATGGTTGCAAAATAAATGTGGAGTCTTAGGTGGTTCTGCTTGAGGGCACAATGGACCTGCACAGAACATGATAAACACATTCTCATTCTAACAATTTACACACATCATTAACATTCGAGATAATCTGTCAAACTGGAGGAGATTTAAAGGATACAGACCAAAGCAAATAATCACGGTGGTCATCAGAAGAAAAATAACTTTGGTTCAATACATTTTACCTTGAAACAAAGCAGTGTCCCTTCAACATTTCCCACCCAAAACATAAGCAGCACATGTGGCTTGTGCATCTGGTGGGGGAGTCAGAGATATTCCAAAGGAGCTGCTGATGTGTATCAATGGCAATGAAAGGTACTTTTGAGAAATATTTTTGTGGGGGACACATCAATAGCAAGGCAAGATACTTTTGAGAGTTTTGTGTTTTTTTTTTGAGTTTTTTTAAATCATAGGCTTAGCACCACAGAGAGAGGCTCAAGGAAAGCTAAATTTAGCACTTTGCCAAGCCAGTTCTATGCCCTAGCCAACTGAGAACCAGTCAGAGTGAGAAGCTCAAGTAGAACAGGATTCAACTGAAATAAGTGGGACTTAGAAATTCTCCAGGGAACTCCCGGGCACGGTGGCTCATGCCTGTAATCCCAGCACTTTGGGAGGCCAAGGTGGGCAGATCACCAGGTTAGGAGATTGAGATGATCCTGGCTAACACAGTGAAACCCTGTCTCTACTAAAAATACAAAAAAATTAACCAGGTGTGGTGGTGGGCGCCTGTAGTCCCAGCTACTCAGGAGGCTGAGGCAGGAGAATGGCTTGAACCAGGGAGGTGGAGCTTGCAGTGAGCAGAGATCTCACCACTGCACTCCAGCCTGGGTGACAAGAGCGACACTCTGTCTTAAAAAAATAAAAATAAATAAAAATAAAATAATAAAAAAAATTAGCCAGGCGTGGTGGCGGGCGCCTGTAGTCCCAGCTACTCAGGAGGCTGAGGCAGGAGAATGGCGTGAACCCAGGAGGTGGAGCTTGCAGTGAGCCAAGATCGCGCCCCTGCACTCCAGCCTGGGCGACAGAGCGAGACTCCGTCTCAAAAAAAGGAAAGAAATTCTCCAGGGAACATTTCCAAAAACAGTCATGAATACCCCAAATCAAGTAAAAAGACAAAACACAAGAAAAAAGTAGTTATCTATAGGCCCCAATAAGAAATTAAAATCGTGAGACCTCAATTTAGCATAAACAATTCCCCAAATGATGAAGCCCTTCCCATAATTAACACTTTGGGAAACCAAGCCCTATAAGAATTACTCCCCTTTTTCCCCCTAGAAACTCTTTTGACACAAAAATCTTAATGCATATCCCTACACTAGACGTTAATTCTCACAGGTAATGAAAAAAAGTGTACAATTAAGGATCACAACACATGCATCGGAAAACTGAACTATTTAAGTGGGAAAATATGCTACCAGAATCACGAGCTCCTCAATTTGTACAACTGCTAACACCAATAACATTAATTAGTTGAATCAGAAGTAAAACATAGGATGGTTGGGTGTTGCTCATTTTTCCAGAAAGAGATGATGTTTTTGAAACAAGGGAAGAATCACATCCTAAGTTCTAGAAAATAAGCCACCTGCTTGAATCAGTGAGGGAAAAAAAAAATTGTACTCCATAAATTTCTTCCAACACCAAAAGAAAAGTATGCTTAAAGTTAGCATGTGTGTGTTGAACAAGGAAAACACATGGACACAGAGAGGGGAACATCACACACCAGGGCCTGTCTGGCAGGGGGTGGGGGCAAGGAGAGGGATAGCATTAGGAGAAATACCTAACGCATGCCGGGCTTAAAACCTAGAAGACGGATTGATGGGTGCAGCAAACCAACATGGCACATATATACCTATGTAACAAACATGCACATTCTGCACATGTATCCCAGAATTTAAAGTATAATAAAAAAAAGTTAGCATGCGTGCTATCCTATAAGCCTTAGCTTGAAACTGCTGTGTTGTACAGATTACTTATGCCAAGTGTTGGCTGGAGCTTTCACAACATACTTAAAAGACCCTGTGGAAATGTTGACAGACTGCTGGTGCTAATGGTAACCCCAGCATGAGCAGATCTAAATATATACATTTATGAAGATTGCAAAACCACCACCCTCACATGGTTCCATGTTTATACAGGGAGATAATCCAATTATTTAAATAGAAGAAAACAAACTGCTCACAAACAGAGCCAGATTTTTGTTCCATAAAGTACTTAAATACTTCTTATACTAACACAATTTAAAAACAGTTTTGCATACTTCCTAAGAAATGGAATGTAAGTGCCATAGTGTCTGACCTATCCAACTGCCTGTAGGAAAATCTTCCCCTCCTGCCTATCCAAAATTAAATTGCTTTTTTAAAAAGAGGGGTAGGATGGACTCTATTTAATGTATAATTCTCACCGTGTTTAAGTTATTCAATTATCCCTCATATATCACCTGCTTCCTAGAATAGAAACTAGTTGGTCACTCCTGCTTACATCACTGTCTTAATATTAAAAACAATAAATGGAAACAAACTAGATGACTTATTTGGTGTCATAAACACAGCCCTCAAGAAGAATCAGTGTCATAACTAACCAGATCAAAGACTCCATGTGTTTTAAATGTGGAAACTTCCATGGGTTTTACCACTGTGTTTTAAAATTGAGAATGGCCACTCTTGTTAACTACACTATTTAGAGAAAGGTTTCTTTAAACAAAGATAATTTTTTTAATTGCCTTAATAAAAAGCATATTAACAGACACCTAAAGTTGACAAATGTTATTATGGAATACTATACTATCATGCAAAAAAAGTCAGTTTTCTACAATGTAGTTCACTGTTGGTAAAAGTCAAATGTTAACAAAAATCAGAATGATTACTGAATCTCCAGACTTGCACAGAATTTAGACCTCAATAATTTTTTTTTTTTTTTTTGAGACAGAGTTTCATTCTTGTTGCCCAGGCTGGAGTGCAGTGGTGTGATCTCGGCTCACCACAACCTCTGCCTCTCAGGTTCAAGTAATTCTCCTGCCTCAGCCTCCCAAGTAGCTGGGATTACAGGCATGCACCATCACACCTGGCTAATTTTGTATGTGTGTGTATATATGTATGTATGTATGTGTGTGTGTGTGTGTGTGTGTGTGTATATATATATATATATATATATATATATATATATTTTTTTTTTTTTTTTTTTTTTTTTTAAGTAGAGACGGGGTTTCTCCATGTTGGTCAGGCTGGTCTCAAACTCCTGGCCTTGGGTAATCCGCCGACCTCTGGTGATCCTCTGGCCTCAGCCTCCCAAAGTGCTGGGATTACAGGTGTGAGCCACCGTGCCCGGCCTAACCACTGGTCTGCATTTAACATTTATAAGCAGGTTATTTTGACATGCTTTGTTGATTTGCTAACTTCACAGCAATCCATACCTTAGACCGACCCAATTTGAAATCTAATTGCTTAACTATCCTTACTCTAACAAGGTTCTGTCTATTATGAATAAGAAGAAATTAAAAAACAGCAAAGTCAAAATAAGGGTTAAAAAGAAAAAAAATTAACCCCGGGGAACATGCTACAGGACAGATTGCAGGCTACAGGTTTTCACACTTTTTGAAAGTAATGCTTCTGATGTATAATTTTCATTTATCAAAGTGAATAAACAGATCAGAGAGTTTTAAAAAATCTTTCCAAGATCATAGTTTGTGACAAATTTGAATGCAGTTCTGACCTTTAACTTCAAAATCCTGGCTGTTTATTTCCTGTTAAACAATATATGTACAGCACCTAGGGGAAGAAATGCATTATACCATAATTTAAATTGCAAGAACTTTCTTTCAAATTAGGCCATACCCTCATAATTCGTTCGCTGCTCCTTTCCTCCGTTTTTAGCTACAACAAAATAATCAAAGTTCCTTTTGATGATTAGTCACTAAAAATACTATGCTAATTTTTCCTAACACAACTAGAACTATAAACCAACAAAATTAAGATATCACCCACAAAAACACTTCAGAGTAAAACTGCTGATCCATCAAAAAGGATAATGGGGGAAACTGAGTTACAAGTTTCCTCTGGCAGAGGTTAAAGAGAAATCTTCAGAATTATAAATGGAAAGTCTTTTACTGTTTGGGCATTCAGCAAAAGGCCAGCACTTTTTACAGAGGGATCTCCACTTGACAAGTTCAAAGAAAACAAAAATCACCCCCAAACCATGCAATTTCCTGCAAATGGGCCACTCTCCTCACTGTCTTTGAAGATAGATCCTGCCCTGGCTAAGGGGCCTTTGAAGTAACACAGCAAGCATACCTATGTAATTAGAAAGCCTGAGTATACCACTCAAATGATCAAAACTAGACTTTACAAATGCATGAAAGCCAGAGGAATGAAATGAACAGTTTTGGAGAGGAATTTGTCACTGCTTATTGACCATGAGTCTCCTCCATCTTCTCCAATTCTTGGAAGCCAAAAGCAACCTGCATCTACATTCATGGAAAACTGTAAATGGTACTTGATCATTCTCAAAAAGTGGCAAAACTATATGTGTATGTATATGTAGCCAGATATGTATATAGACATGTAGGTTTATACATATGTAATATATGTGTGTATACAAATGTATACATATGATTTTCTGAGTCATTTAAGTATAATTTACAGATATTCTGCCCTCTTACCTCTAAAATT
Source organism: Homo sapiens (assembly GCF_000001405.40). NCBI lineage: Eukaryota > Metazoa > Chordata > Mammalia > Primates > Hominidae > Homo > Homo sapiens. The sequence goes on from NC_000008.11 coordinate 108,004,815, forward strand.
TTTCAGTAATCAGTATGTATTTCCAAAAACAAAGACATTGCTTTACATCAACCATATTTGATATATTATTTTTTAATCCTCACTCTATAATTATGCCAACAATGTCCTTTATAGTTCTTTATTTTTTTCCTAGATTAGAATCCCTTTTAAGCTAATGTATCATATTATGTTTGAAATCTAACCCAATATGATGGGTTTGAAAATCATATCTCCAAGTCTCCTTTAATCTGGAGTTCTTTCATGAGCTTAACAGTTTTTAAGAGAACAGGTCAGTGATTTACAACATGTCTGTCTGGGCTTGTCTGATGTTCCCTCATGACTGGTCATATATTTGGGGGATAATGTATGAAGTGATGTTTTTTTCTGTGCATCATCTTAAGAGGCACACGATGCATTTTGGTCCCATTACTGGTGATGCTAACTTTGATCACTTGGTTAAGGTGGTGTCTGCTAGGTTTCTATACTATAAAGTTGCTATTTTTTTCTTCTGTAATTGGTAAGTATTTTGAGAGGTGACATAGTAAAACTGTATAAATATCCTGCTGTTCAAATTTTCACACACTGGTTTTGGCATCCAAGAATTGATGATTTTTGCCTAAATAAACTATTACTGTCAGGTTGTCGAAGGTGATTCTTTAACTCCGTCATTTCCTCTCCATTTATTAGTGGGCATGCTAGTTTTGGGGAGGCCTTTCCCTTCTCCCTCATTTGTCTGTCTGCTTGTTTGTTACGTCAAACAAGCAGACAGAAAGGTACTCGTGAATGTTATTCAATGGGCTATAGGCTGTTACTGTCTTTGTTTAATACTCAGATTATTCTAGATTTGTTCAGTAAGAGCTCTCCAAAATATTGTAGTTTTTAAGTTGTATTTTATGTGCATACTATCAAGTGCTTTGGGGTAGAGAAGGAGGAGATGCAATTTATCCTGGAAGAGCTAAGAAATAGGGAGTAACACTACTTGGGTCTTGAAGAGAATACAGGAGTTTGCCTGATGGAACAAGATTTCCAAGTCCAAGGTACAGCATGTACATAAACATACAGATGTATGCACAGGATTGGGGAATGCAAGGATAAAAAGTTTACTATGTCTGATACACCTTGGCTGATTGTATTGGCCATTTATCTTTCACATAAATAGCAAAAACGAAAGGAGTCACTCAATACTTGAATACAAGGAAGAACTGTTAATACAGAAATCAAATGTTATTATGGGCCTTTTTAGAATAGCATACAGAAACTGTGATCCTAGAAGTATAATCCTATACTTTAAGAACATAATTTTAAAAGTTCAGAAGAAACACGTTTGTGTTTGCGGCCAAAGTTTCTAAATTAGAATATAAATTAGAAGGACATTTACAAAATAAGAACATCTTTACATAATCCCAAAGGGGAAAAGAAGAGTGATATTCTAGAGAATTCAACACAATTGCATAGGAAGTTCTCTGATGAATTCAAACATTTTAAACAACATGTACAAAAGGATATATTCAGGGGAAAAAATAATATCAAAAGAAATGTGAAGGTTAAAGTTTCCTAATATTTATGAAAAATTATTTTTAAAGCAAGTTTAATTTTAAAAAATTAAGCTCACTTACTAAGTTATAATGTAATATTAGATGAAAGGGATAGGAAGACTATGGGGTTTTTTGGTCTGTTAAAAATAGGGACCTTCAAAGTGAAAAGGAAAAGATCAAGCATAGCTTAAGGAGAAGATATTAAAATATAAGACAGACAAGAAGGCTCTAATTATTTACATTTTTATAGATTTTTTTTAATACTGGCAAACTGATTCTGAAAAAAAAAAGAGGAATTCAAGAAGAAAGAAGGATAAATGTCTGATTTTCAATATGTTGGGAAAAGTCAACTTTACAAACTCCAAATTCTGAAAAAGATTGTAGGACACCGGGATTGTAAACACTGTATAAACACCTTACCTGGTGTAAGTCACGAAGTCATATCAAAACTATCATTATTTAAAAAATAATTTCCCTTGCATTCTCTCCCTCTGTGTATGTCAACATTTATATTTGTCTATATCTATATACACACAGATCTAAAGGTAGAGATGAAAAGGCACACACATAATTGTTTTGGTGAACTGTTTGAAAGTAAATTGCAGACATCGCAGTACACCACCCTATATTCTTCAGCATGTACCTTCTAAAAATAAGAACACTGTTTTACATAACCACAATACCATTGCCAGATCTCAGACATTTAACATGGACTTAAAGTATTACAAATATGTTGTCTATATTCCTATTTCTTCATTTCTCCCCAAAAATATTGCTTTTTTCCCACCTATCTTTAGAAACCTATCAAGGGTCATACATTGCATTCGGTTTAGTCTTGTTTAATTTAGAGCAGTTCCTCCACTATTTTTTGCCTCTGTTGACACTGAGATTTTTAGACTCCAGGCTAGTTGTCTTGTAAAATATTCTACAATCCACATTTGAATGATTGCGGCCACACAGATTCACCATTTTGCCATCACTAATGTAATAACTTAATTCAGACAGAGATCATCACCATCCAAATACCATTTGGTGAAAGTTTATTGGGAAAAAATATACCACCCAAGAGATTATGTATTAATCACAAATGAGAAAAGTTGCCTTTATAATGGAGAGATTTGGCCAAACTTACATTAACCAAGTGATCAAAACTAGAATCACCAATAATGGGACAAACTGCCTTACACGCCTGCTGATGTGATGCAACAGAGAGTACACGTCTGCAGAAAAGTCTTGTCAAAGACACATTCTTGCAGTTACTTCATAATCACTAAGTCTCCAATTTCATCTTCAGGCAAACAGAACTTGATACTGTAGAAACCCCATTTCTTCCTCTTTAAAAACTCTTCATTTTTATTCATAGTACCCCCAAGAACAATGTATTTCAAATAAAGAATGTGGCAGAAGGAGAAAATAGCCAGTAAATAAAGACTGTGAAGAGCCTGAGTTTAGCTCAACCTCAGAGCTAATCAAGCTGTGCACATGCCTGTAGTCTCAGCTACTCCAGAGGCTGAGGCAGGAGGGTCACGTGAGCCCAAGAGTTTGAGGCTGCAGCGCACCATAATTAGGCCTGTGAATAGCCACTGCACTCCAGACTGAGCAACATTTTGAGACCCCGTATCTATGAAAAAAATTAAAAATACACCTTGCCTGACTCAAAAAAAGAAAAAAACAGAGCTAATCACTAGGTTCATACACATAGGCATTCACGTATGCAGTACACACATGCCTGCACACACATACACCCAAGGGAGTGGAGTAAAAGGAGAAATTAGCTATTCTCTAGAAAGATCAGTTCATCGCCTTGGTATATAAACATTTCTAGGGCCACCATATATGTTTACGCACTACAGAGCTCAATTTTGTTTTATCTGCACCAATTTTTTCCCTCTAGAAAAATTTTAATGTGAAAACCCAAATTTCTTGCTTTTTTTCTAATAATCAGATGGCATGGTCCACATTCCTGCTTGATAATCATTAACCAGAGCCGAGTAGCAGCCGCCTGCATTAAAATCCATCTATTTAACACAGAGTTCATCACTGTTGGGTAGCCTGTGGCCTTCCTTACTCACAGAAGTAACTGACTGCCTGGCCTCTGAGGATTCAGCTCCACAAAGGGCAGAAGACACCAGAGCTCATATTATCACAGACAACTTCTTACTAACATCCAGCTCACTCAACTCATGGAGAGGTTGCAATCCTCTTACAAACCACTGCAATCTCCTCACTGTGAATTATTAATCATGAAATGGCATAAAAATATTGATGTCATCATATAAGTAACATGCTTAAATTATATGTATTAATACATATTAAGCTATTATAAACACATTTAAAATGTACCCTAATTTCATAATATATCAAATATACTTTGTACAATGGTTTGCTCAATGTAAGTCTATGTTCACAGGGTAATTAAAGAGTCTCCTGAAAGGCTATCTAAAAAGGTCATAAACTGCAAAAAAAAAAAAATAAAGAAAAAGGTAAATTTGACTGAAACAATAAACTTCTTTGCAAGAAAGTACATAAACTAGAAAAGGTCATTGAAACATACAATAATGGTAAATTTTTTTTGTATAAAGAATATTGGCAAATCAAAATGAAGAAAAGTCCTTTCAGAAAAGGAAGTAAAAATATAATAAGCTATTGAAAAAGGTAGAAATTAATTAGACATGAAAAGATGTACAATATATCCAATCTCATTATTGACAAAATGCAAATCAAAATAAAGAGTCACCCCTACATAAAATTAACGTTTAAGGGACTGATGATTTTAACAATTGGTAAGCATTCAGGAAATTAACATCTTATATGCTGCTGGTGGTAATGTAAATTGGTATAAATCTCCTAGAATTGGAATTATTGAACTTTTCCTTTGTAATATTACTTCTATGAAATATGAATTTCATAGAAATTTCATGTGAATTTCATAATATTACTTCTAGGAATCTAGCTGAAAGAATTGGATAAATGCAGAAATACATACAATTTATATCACAGCATTTGCTTTAATAGTGAAAGGACAGTAAACAGCCTAAATGTCCATGAATAAAATACTGAATAACTTACATTAGGTATAAAATATTGACTACAAAGAACCACTGATTATGCACAGCAGTGTTAGTTAATATATAGACAAGGCTCTATATAGAATGGGGGGTAGATTATAAAAACAGTGTAGAATCCTATTTTAAAAAGTCACACACATTACATGTGATTAAATAATATTTGAATATTAACTGATAATTTTAAAATTTATTTTTAGCTCTTAGCTTTTTCTTCATTCAAATGCTCAAGTGGAATTCACTGGCTCAAAGCAAAGTTTCTCAAGAAAAAGAAGTACAAATGCTCAAATTTTGAGTTTCCAAACAGAATTTTAAAATTCTTGGAAGAGACAAAAATCTTCCCTTTCCTTTATCACATTATAAGACACTGAATAGGCTGGTTGCGGTGGCTCACACCTGTAATTCCAGCACTTTGGGAGGTTAAGGTGGGCAGATCACTTGATTCCAGGAGTTCAAGACAAGCCTGGATGACATGGCAAAACTCCATCTCTACAAAAATACCAAAATTAGTCAAGTGTGGTGGCACACGCTTGTAGTCCCAGCTACTTGCGAGGCTGAGGCAGGAGGATCACTTGAGCTTGGGAGGCGGATGTTGCAGTGAGCTAAGATTGTGCCACTGCACTCCAGCCTGGGCAACAGAATAAGGCCCTGTCTCAGAAAATAAAAATAAAAAAAAAAATTAAGAATTAAAAGAGATACTGAATTATGAGTATCAAAAACCAGAGACAAAAAAAGACTCAGAGCAAAAGTTTTTCATAAGCATAAAGGGCTAAGTAATCTTTCAGAGCCAATTATCTGCTTAGACAAATAAAGACCCCATGAGTCAGCAGCAGAGTGGGGAGAGAAGAAAACACTGAGTTTTGGTTGAGTGGGTGTCTACAAAGGTACATGTGCTATAACCTTCGGGAAATGGAACAAAAGATAATGCATATCTTGCCCTGACAAATGTGGGAAACACAAGAAGATAGCTGCAAAGCCCAAGGAAGCAGCAGCATCCAGGGGTGCTCCTTCATCCCAGACACTTATGTGAGCAGGACGCGAGACATGGTAGTAAGATGTTCAGGGCAAAGAGGGCCTGAGATGTCCTCTTGAGCCCGAAGCAGTATAGTAAGCCATCCAAAATATCTTACACTCCAAGAAGAGTTCAGAAGTGTCTTAGAGAGCGAGCAAGAAGACAACTTCACAGTCAGGACAGAGATGCAGAGAGCCTGGACACATGAACAGAGCCCTCATGAATGTGTGATATGCAGGGGTTGACGTGGGAGCAGATGCAGAAGAGTGAAGATCAGTAAGGTCAGCACACGCAGGGGACAGGAGCATCAGGATGATATGAGGTCTCCATCGCTTTCCCTCCCCTGGCAAACCTTGATGCAAGCCTTGGTGAAAAGGCAGGGAAGGAAGGAAGAGCACACCCAGAAATAAAAATGAGAAAACATTCATTAACAAGACACAAGATTAATTTACCAGAATTCATTTTCCATGACTAAGAGAAAGAAAGACCAAGATAGAAACTAATTCAAGTGTAGAATGTAAAGTGCCAGCCTGAGCAATATAGTGTGACCTTGTCTCCACATACAAAAAAATTTTAAATTAGTGGGGCATGGTAGTGCACATCTATAGTCCCAGCTACTCAGGAGGATGAAGTGGGAGGATCCCTTGAGCCCAGGAGGCAGAGGTTGCAGTAAACCGAGATCGCGCCATTGCACTCCAGCCTGGGTGACATAGTGAGACTCCGTCCCAGAAAAAAAAAAAAAAAAAGAAAGAAAGAAAGAAAAGAAAAAGAAAAAGGAAAAGGAAAGGGAAAAGGAAAAGGAAAGGAAAGGAAAAGGAAAAGGGAAAGGAAAAGGAAAGGAAAGGAAAGAAAGTAAAGTGACTTGGTTGTGCCCATAGGTATGGTCTTAGGACATTTCTAACCTTTTACATACACACAAAAAATCGTAAATTATATTTATATTTTAAAAAATCTTGCAAAAAAGACAAAAAATATTAACAGTGATTACTACAAGGTAGTATGAATCAGTTTTCTTTATTGTGTTTGGCACTTCATAAACGTCTTGCAATGAACTCATATTGCTTTAATAGAGAACAGAGTGATTTTGCAATAAAAGGTAAATGACTATTATTCTCTCTTCAAATGTTTTAAAGAAGAATAATTTGGCTTTTAAAATAATTTTGGTACCAAAGTACATGGATTATTTCTTAGTTTTTGCTTTAAAAGTTGTCCAGTGTTTCATATATGGCAATTGAGAAAAGAAAAAAGTTCTCAGCTTAAATCCATGACTTACCTAAAAGAACAAAGTAGAATGTGTGCCGTTTGAACCACATGCATGGAATGTACAAGGTTATCCGTGCAGAGGAAATAATTGGGCAGGGAAGAGTTACTGTCTCTTTAAAAAACACATAAAGTCTTAATTTGCTTAAAATACAAGAACCCAAAGGCCTTAATAACCTTAATTACAATTTCCTCCAAGTAGAACATTCATAAGCCTTAAATCCCTTTACTGAGTTTTACTGCCAGTAATTAGGCAAAGTACACAGAGCTGAAAGAGTATGTGTGTTTAATAGAATCAAGAAAGATTTGTGTCATTTAAGCCTCCAGTTTTCAATACAGAATGGAAATAAGAAAAAGAGAAAGAGCTGGGAAGAATACAGAATAGGTGGAAAGAAAATATTTCTAGACGAATTCAACATCCAAATAACTATAGTATTTGGATCCTGCTCATATAAATAATTTGTTTTCATTATTCCTTTACCTTTCCAAAAACATAGTTAGTGGAAAAGCTGAAACCAAGACTGGTTTTTTAAACTACAGCACTAAGTTGGCAAGCAATGCTTTAAAGTCTTGCTATACAAAACATGGTCCTCAAACCTGCAGCATCAGCATCACCTAGAAGCTGAATCTCAGACTTTCCTCATCCCACACCTTGTGTATTGCAGAATCACGGGCCTCACTCTACTGGTGAATCCAAATCTGCTTTTGAACAAGATTCTCAGTTGATTCCTACACATTGCTGTAAGGCATTCAGATCAAAGTTTTGAATTCAGCCCTTCTCCCTCAAAATAGTAAGGAAAACGGATAATCTGCACCCAAAAACCCTAAAATTACATGTGTGTTTTCCTACATATAGATGAAAATCCATTCAAATGGGAATTTCAAATATCTTTCTATTAGAAAAGTCAAGAATCATAACTGAAGTAGAAACTTCTTTTATAATCTCAAACTGCAAATTGAAAATGGAGTGATATGTAAGAGAAATTCCAAAAGTAGGGGCTCTATTCCTATGGTAATTAATTGATCCTATTCAACCTATAGTATGAGAAACTACTAGTTCAAGAAGTATCACTATAGTCAAGTACAGGATATATAATAAAAAGATCTTCCAAGAAAGTTAAAGCTTTAAGAGCACACTACATAAATGAGAATTAACAAAGATTAGAAAATATAAAAGTTAAGGTTTTCAAGTTTTCATTCATTGACATTTACAACCCTCATGTTGGAATTTACTCTAAATTTACAACCCACACAAACCTGGCACAGATCAGAGCCTAATGGGTCTTGCTACATTGGATCAGGCTCCCAATTCTTCCTGTCCAGGTTTCTGATGATGACACCAAGGGATATGCTGTGGAAAGAATGGCTGTTCTTTGATGTCAACCCCAAAGGTTAGGAGTGAACCCAAAACATCCTAGTTCCCTACAATAACCCATTATGGATCTGGCATCTACAAATTTAGTTAAATCATTTTTGAGATTATTTGTATTTTCCACCCCTACTTCCTCAGGGATGCTGTAACCCTTGATCAATACTAGTAACTTAAACTAGAAACTTAACTTCTCATGTTTATAGATTTGCTCTTTCTTTTTCTATTTTTGGTTGGTTTTTGTACTCACCCTTATACTTTTCCACCACTGTTAATAAATTCATCAGCCTGTTTCTGTTTCTTTACACTCAAGCAAGCTCAAAGGCTTGCCCTAAAATTTCTCCCCATTGGATGGGGCTTCTACCATTCAGTAGAGATTAGTATTAGTAGCCAAAAGCAAAGCCTGCTGCATACTCTTTCAAAGTAGTAAACTGACTTAAGACTACACTAATCATTATCAAAACAGATATATAGGCCAAAGGAACAGAACAGAGGCCTCAGAAATAACACCACACATCTACAACAATCTGATCTTTGACAAACCTGACAAAAACAAGCAATGGGGAAAGGATTCCCTATTTCATAAATGGTGTTGGGAAAACTGGGTAGCCATAGGCAGAAAACTGAAATTGGACCCCTTCCTTACACCTTATATAAAAATTAACTCAAGATAGATTAAAGACTTAAATGTAAAACCCAAGACCATAAAAGCCCTAGAAGAAAACCTAGGCAATACCATTCAGGACATAGGTATGTGCAATGACTTCATAACTAAAACACCAAAAACAACGGCAACAAAAGCCAAATTGACAAATGGGATCTAATAAAACTAAAGAGCTTCTGCACAGCAAGAGAAACTACCATCAGAGTGAACAGGCAATCTACAGAATAGGAGAAAATGTTTGCAATCTATCCATCTGACAAAGGGCTAATATCCAGAATCTACAAAGAACTTAAATTTACAAGAAAAAAACAACCCCATCAAAAAGTGGATGAAGAATAGGAACAGACATTCTCAAAAGAAGACATTTATGCAGCCAAGAAACATATGAAAAAACCTCATCATCACTGGTCATTAGAGAAATGCAAATCAAAACCACAATAAGATACACCATCTCACGCCAGTTAGAATGGTGATCATTAAAAAGTCAAGAAACAACAGATGCTGGAGAGGATGTGGAGAAAGAGGAACACTTTTACACTGCTGGTGGGAGTGTAAATTAGTTCAACCATTGTTGAAGAGAGTGTGGCGATTCCTCAAGGATCTAGAACCAGAAATACCATTTGACCCAGCAATCCCATTTACCAGGTATATACCCAAAGGACTATAACTCATTCTACCATAAAGACACATGCACACATATGCTTATTGCAGTACTGTTCACAATAGCAAAGACTTGGGACCAACCTAAATGCCCATCAATGATAGACTGGATAAAGAAAATGTGGCACATACACACCATGGAATACTATGCAGCCATAAAAAAGGATGAGTTCATGTCCTTTGCAGGGACATGGATGAAGCTGGAAACCATCATTCTCAGCAAATTAACACAGGAACAGAAAACTAAACACCGCATGTTCTCATTCATAAGTGGGAGTTGAACAATGAGAACACATGGACACAGGGAGGGGAACATCACACACTGGGGCCTGTCAGGTGGTGGGGGGGCTAGGGGAGGGATAGCATTAGGAGAAATACCTAATGTAGATGACGGGTTGATGAGCGCAGCAAACCACCATGGCACATGTATACCTATGTAACAAACCTGCATGTTCTGCCCATGTGTCCCAGAACTTAAAGTATAATAAAAAAAAAAAAAAGAAAAAAAATTCGGTAGATTGGAATAAGTTAGGGATGATGGAGCATTCGGGGGGAAAAAAGAACACTGCAGAAAAGCATGCAAATGTGAAACAAATAAATAATAAGCTCCTGGAAAAACTAAGGGCCATATAAGAATTAAAGCATAATATAGCCCACTTCTTGATTAAAAAGAAATGCTTCACTTGCTACATATTTTCTTTGTAGAAAAGTACCCCATATTATACCTGTGATTCATACGTTGGTTTCTTGGCCATAATAGAAGCAGCATAAGTATATCCTCTAATTCTGTGGTGATAAAGTATTTTAGACATAAAGTTATATCACATTCTTGTGATGTATATACATATTGAGATTATTTAATCTGGTTAATGGCTGGGCATAACTAGCCTTAGGGGAAAAAATAACCCATATCACCATTCTCCTGAGCAGGTTATGTAAATGTCAATAGTACTACCATTTATCTCACGTTCTAATCATATGTCATGCACACACACACAAATAACACTAGTATGAAAAGTGTCACAAACCCTATCTTGAGAATTTTTGCTAACACCTGAACACATGTGGTATGGTCACTTGAACCATGGCAAAGACTCTCTCCTTGAGCAAACAGTAGTCGGGTTCCTCTGAGCCCTCTGCTCTGGACTAGGCCTCAACTGTGACCCCTGTCCTTGTTGGGCCTACCTAGCAAGAATCCCGCTAAGTTAGCCAGAATCCCCCATCCTGGATTTCTGACCACTCTTGATATCTGATCAAATGCCTCACCCCCAACCCTTGATATCTGATCTTAAGTCAGATTAGCAAGAATCCCCCTACCCTTAATGTCTCCTCTTAGTAATTTTCCATCCAAACACCGCCCCACCAGCCCCACTCCTTGTGTATAAATCTCCACTTTTCGTTGTGTATTTGAAATCCAGCCCAGTTCTATACTGAGGTATCTTTCCTCCTATTGCAATAATTTCTGGATAAAATCTGTTTTTAATCACTTTCACTACTCTCTGGCTCTGGTATTCTTTGACAGTCACCAAGAAAAATAAGACGCCAACTATCGGCACCTATGATAACTTTTGAAGGTGAGGAAGAGAGAATGCAGAGAAAGGAAAGATACTATTCCAGCGGAGGCACAAGCCCCTAACTTCCACCACCCACTCGGGTGCTGGAGAAGAATGGGGAGGAAATTAGGAGTCAGATGTAACAAATGCTAGAGGAGTGCACGTCCTGAGGTTGAAAGCTGGGAAAGAGGATATGGCTACAGAAAATCTCTAGTAAGAATCCAGGACCATCCAAAATAGTCAACTGCAAAGCAGAATAAAGACATTTTCTGGCATATAGGGTCTCAAATATATATATCCCAGGTATCCTTTCTTGGTAAGCTATTAAAGGATATATGCTCCACAAAAACGGAAGTACACAAAAACAGTAAAAGAATCCAGGCAACAGAGTATTCAACACAAGTTAGAGGCAGAAGGAATTCCCCAAGATTATGCTGATGGGAAATCCCAAGTAAACGTCTGTGAAGCAGGCTATAAAGCAGCCAGACTAGACTGCTGCAAGACCAGCAATGCTGAAAGGTGTCTCTCCAAAAGGATAAAATAAGATAGCTAATATATTCAAACATACTAGGAAGGGATTTAGCAAACTGAAGAGCATTTACAGTTGAATTTGAGAAGCACACACAGAGAAAAAAAACCACCTTCAGAGAAAACAATAACTATATAGGATAGGAAATGTAACCAATATTTAACATATACACACACTATGTGGCTCAGCTTTGGATAATCTTCGCAAGGTTGATACGGTTTGGATGTGTGTCTCCACCAAATCTCACATTTAAATGTGTTGTTGGAGGTGGGGCCTAGTGGGCGGTACAGATTCTTCATGGCTTGGAGCTGTCCTGGCAATAAGTTCTCATAAGATGTGGTTGTTAAAAGCGTGTGGCACCTCTTCCCAACTCTCTCTCGCGCTCCTGCTCTGGCCATGTGATGTACCTGCTCCCACTTCACCTTCCACCATGAATAAAATCTTCCTAAGGCCTCCCCAGAAGCTGAGCAGATGCCAGCACCATGCTTCCCATAAATCCTACAAAACCACGAGCCAATTAAACCTCCTTTAAAAAAAAATAAATTACCCAGTCTCAGATATTTCTTTCTTTTTCTTTTTTTTTTCTTTTTTTTTGAGACAGAGTTTCACTCTGTCGCCCAGGCTGGAGTGCAGTGGCGCGATCTCGGCTCTCTGCAAGCTCCGCCTCCCAGGTTCACACCATTCTCCTGCCTCAGCCTCCCGAGTAGCTGGGACTACAGGCGCCCACCACCACACCCAGCTAATTTTTTTGTATTTTTAGTAGAGACGGGGTTTCACCGTGTTAGCCAAGATGGTCTCGATCTCATGACCTCGTGATCTGCCTGCCTCGGCCTCTCAAAGTGCTGGGATTACAGGCTTGAGCCACTGCACCTGGCCAGATATTTCTTTACAGCAGTGCAAGAATGGCCTAATACAATGGTTATAAGAATATAAATGCCAACTATTCATCCCTGCAAAATGACAATATAACTCTACTAGGAGGATGGGGAAAAGAAGTGGGCTCTTGTGTAGTGAGGAAGAGAAACAGTGGAAGTAAGCTAAATACTTCTCTTCCATAGCAGCAATTCAGTAGATAATGCCCCAAATTAAAAAGCAGAGAAGGAGCAATAAAAGCATGTTATGGAAAGTTATAAACATAAATACCCAAAGGTTCTGAAAGTAGTCAAGGGGGGATGGGGAAGTAACAAGAAGGCATTGGAAAGGAACAGTTTTTCATTACAGGTCTGACAGAACCATCTGTCTCCAAACAATGTGTGTGTACAACTTTGATAAAAACAAAATTTTAAAACAAAGAATATGGTTATTTCATTTTAATATTAGTAATGAACGATTTGTCAATCTAGGGAAAATTTCAACCTTATGGAAATAAAGAAATTTCTAACTAAAGATTCAATTACATGGAACCTCCAAAAATCAAAGGGAGGAAAACATACAGCTGAATGTTAGTAGTCTGTGGGCTGTCAGCACTTAACATTACAATCTTTAAGTTCCTAGATTTGTTTTCCTAATTGCTACCAAAATAAAAGCTTTCCTAAAATTTGAAGGCTCAGTCTACAGAATCTTGCATCATTCAGCAATTCAGAAAAACTTAACTTGTTTGATGTAGAAAGAAAATAAATTATTTTGCATAATATTTTTATTTACTTAATGGCAGATAAAATTATACCCTCATTTCATATTTATACTTTCTTGCTAAAAGGGGACTTCACTTAAATCTGGCAGAAAACAAGAATCAGAGTTAAGACAGAAAAATTCACCTCATTCTAAGGTGAGCCCTTTTGGGGAGTCTCATTTTACCCAGGAAAAATAAGAAAATTAATCCTAGTTATCATGACACATTCTTATATAAAGTATTGGTTTACAAGGGGAAGAATGCCTATAGTAATGACACATGGCACTTGTAATAAATCCTTCTCACACTGTAGTATATTAACCAATATTTCCCAAACCTTCCTTAGGTCAACACAGGAGACCTCAAGCAGCCAACCAGCTTAACTGAGACCACATCAAGTAAAACCAGGCCACAGATGAGTACTTTCCTACATAAGAGACAAAACAATACATGTATGATTTTAATAGTTTAAGCTATTCCAGCATTGGCTAAAATGTACATCTTTCCAGACTTAGAAAAAATACAGACATTATCCAGGCCTAAGGAGTTTCATATTCAGTAAGAATTAAATTTCTTTGTTCCCCTTTGCCAAATGTCTTAAATAGGAACAGAAAAGCAGGAGGCACATGATAGAAAATCTGGATAAATATTAAAAATAAATGCACAGTGGAAGTAAGCTAAATACTTCCAAATATTTCCAAATGCTAAGATATATTTTCTGTAAACACCCATAGTTAAAAGTGCCAGTACTCCGAATTTCATATCTTCAAGATCTTTTAGTGAATTTGGCCTTTATATTTAATGATTCATATTTTAAGAAAACAACGTTCATGCCAGCCTAAGAACTGCATGTATGTTATTGCATAGATGCTTGATAGAGTTTTAAAACCTGACTTGTAGCACTATATGTATGTGTAGCTAACACAACATAGATCATTCTAAAAATAAATACTAAAAAGATGTACATAGAAGCAAACTTGGTAGAAGATTATTTTATTTCTGATCCATGAATCACATAGTCTCGAATATATCCAAGTTTAGTAAAATGAATTCTACTCAAAACTCTGAACTACCCAACACTGATTCTTATTTTTTTAAAAAAACACGGCCTGGCCAACATGGCGAAACCCCATCTCTACTTTAATACAAAAATTATCCGGCTGTGGTGGTGCATGTCTCTAATTCCAGCTACTCAGGAGGCTGAGACACGAGAATTGCTTGAACTCAGGAGATGGAGGTTGCAGCGAGCGGAGATTACACCACTGTACTCCAGCCTGGGTGACAGACCAAGACTCCAACTCAAAAAAATAATAATAAATTAAGGTAAAAAAAATAAAATTCACACATACACACACACACACAACCCATAAAACCCTTTCCCATTTCTATGTTTATCTGATCTTCTGCAAAGCTGACCCATTCTCCAAGGTAGGCGTTCCACTTTGAGGGTTTCTCTCAGCCTTTCGGTCTTCTCAGCCTTTCGGTCTGAGCCAATTCTCAGTCACATGTTTACATGCTGCTTTTAAACTTTCCTTTAATGGTTTTGTTTTTTTAAAAAACTTTGCCCTCAAATCAAGCTGGGTGAGAAAGACCACAATTGCCTCCCTTCTCTTTTTATTTTTTTCGTTTGTTAACCTGTGTGACAAGAACACTAGTCAGTCTTAGAAACTGCCAAAGCACCTGCTGATTGAGTGCTTTTCAAAGAAATAATAGTGACATTTTTCTGACAAATATAGTAGTCCCTTATGGGGATATGATGGTTTTTTCCAAATGTTCTTTAAAAGGGTAGACTTTGTGCTCTGGTTTAGTGCTACTAGCAGTAGTAAGACTAACAGGTAACTTGGTGTCAGACATTACTAGTGGCTGCTCTTCCTTCAGGACTAATTCTCTTCAGGGCAGCAACATGCCTGACAGAAAAAATACTGTTTTCCCAGACCTTCTGGCAGTTAGGAGGCATTTGTTGCAGAGCACCCTAGACAGGAATGTGGTGTATGCCAGTTGATCTATTTTGTTCATAAAAATTACAAAAAAAAAAAAAAAGAGGAAGAAGAAACAGTAGCTTTTCCAGAAGCCCTCTCCAGGAGATGCCTTCTTACCTCTCAGGGAACAAAAACTTTTTGTCCCATCTCAGAGTCTCACCCCCTCACCACAGTCAGCAGCTCTTATCACTCTTCATTCTCCAAAGTATCTTTCACTCTGTTCTCTCTTCTGCATTTTTATCAACACATTTCTCACTCCAGAACTTGGGCAACTCTACCAACGTACACGCCTTTCATGCTCCCAACTCTCACATCCATCTAATTCATTCTCCACTATACAATCACCAGGATTTCTTTAAAAAATTAAATAAAATCCTATCACTTCGGCTGTTTAAAAATCCACCGTATTCCCTACTACCTAAAGAACAAAGTCTAGTCTCAAGTCTGAGCTATGTCTCATCTGTGCACATAACAGCAGTCTCAAACTCGAGTTTGTTTCTGCTCATCACTACCCATGCCTAGAATACCTTTACCTGCAATGTTCTTATTTTTTTAGTTTTTCCTCATAATTTAAGACTCATTTGAACTCTTTTTCATACATCTGTTTATTCATTTACAAACATTTATGATTACTTGCTATGTCCTACACATTAGGAACACAATAATAAGTATAAAAATGATATACAATTCCCTAACCTATAAAGGAACATGCAATCTCCTCCAGGAAGACTTCCCTGATACTCTAATCACTTATAAGGGCTAAGGGCCACTATAGTATCACTCTGAGGCACGCTGGAGTCTTCTATTTCTATATTTGTTACATTATAAAATTACCTAGCTATATGTATGTCTTCCCCAGTAGACAGTAAGATATCACCTCCTATACATTTTCATGTGCCCAGAGTCCACTTCAGTACTTGGTGTCAAATATAGACATTTGCTACTGTGCAAGAAACATATTGCTAAAATAAAGTTCCTTTCAGTTAGCAAGTTTTAGCACATACTTTTACTTGGCTCCTTAGAAAATAAAATAAGGTTCCTGGTCTCCAGGAACATACAGTCTAACTTAACAAGATATTTATGCAGAATATCCCCAATTTAGTGCAACATTAATAAAGAGAAAAATCCCTAAGGCTTGGTCTCAACCATTTTGAACAATTTTATGTTATATAAATCATTGACTTGAAAGGCAAATCAATTGTACTTCTCTGCCAAACAAACCATTAACTAATTTACTGAGACAGTCTGACTCACTGGGATATGTAAATAAATGAACTTTTTTCTCAAAACCTTTCCCCTTTTGCTACCCTGAGCCCCCACTTCCCAGATGGGTATCAGTGACCTAAGTAGAATGAGCAGATTCTATGAATGAAAGCAAGTAGGAATTTAGTATAGTAGTCCTTCCTCCATACTTAAGGCCCATTCCTTTTCAGTTTAAAGCATCAATGTAAACTGAATGCCAAACCTCTCCTCTTCACAACACAGGTGGGAAACATCTAATTCCAAACAGCTTGGGGAACATGGGGATTGAAGGGATGTGCTAATACCCTCCAGTGTGCTAGGGAGAAAAAGGGGGCATATCTTCCACCTAAAAGGTGAGGACTTAACCCTCTCCTTGGTGGCCCTAATGGTCTCATTGCCAATGGGCTAAGAAAGAAAAAATGATGTCATAAGTGGGAGTTGAACAATAAGAACACATGGACACAGGGAGGGGAACATCACACACCGGGGCCTGTCGGGGGCAGGGGTTGGGGACAAGGGGAGGGACAGCATTAGGAGAAATACCTAATGCATGTGGGGCTTAAAACCTAGATGATGGGTTGATGGGTGCAGCAAATCACCATGGCACATGTATACCTATGTAACAAACGTACACATTCTGCCCATGTATCCCAGAACTTAAAATATAAAAAAAAGAAAGAAAAAATGATGGCTTCATCACTTCTATCATCAAAAAGGAGAGAGGAACTGCCATCCATGATGACTTCCATAGGCCTTGGCTAACCATTAACAAAACTCCCACCACATCTTCTAGCTAACACACAGCTGGCAGTACTGACACTTTATCCCTCCAGTATGTGCTTTAGGTGGTCACCTCCCCACACCATGCTACAAAAGTCCTATCAAGACCATAATTCCCAATCTCACCCACCCTGTAGGCAAACAGCCACGCTCCATCTTTAGTACCTTTCAGAGGCAGTCCCCATATCTCATAACGTCTTTCTCTTTTTCAAATAGCAGAGAGAGAGAGCAACAGTTAAAATGTCTAAGCAGGTCTCCAACAACAGAAGGAATGGCTATTCTCCCCTTTCTAATAGTAGCACCAAAATTTAGGAGTAATTTTCTTAAAGTCATCAACCTGGCCTCTGGAGAAGAAAAACATTTCCCCTTAATCCCCAAGTCCCCAAACACGTATGAGAGTTTATATGTGTGTATAGGTATAAACACAAGAAAATACCAGAAATTTATATTCTCATTGCTCTTAACACACATAACTATGGAAAGTGATGGCTATGTAAATCTGCTTGAGTAATCATTTTGCTCTGTATTTACATATCAAAACATGTTGAACATCTTAAATACAAACAATAAGTTTAAAAACACAGTAGTTGTGCTGGGCATGGTGGCTCATGCCTGTAATCTCAGCACTTTGGGAGGCCGAGGTGGGCGGATCACCTGAGGTTGGGAGTTCCAGACCAGCCTGACCAACATGGAGAAACGCCATCTCTACTAAAAATACAAAATTAGCCGGGCGTGGTGGCGCATGCCTGTAATCTCAGCTACTCAGGAGGCTGAGGCAGGAGAATCATTTGAACCCATGAGGCAGAGGTTGCTGTGAGCTGAGATTGCACCATTGCACTCCAGCCTGGACAACAAGAACAAAACTGTCAAAAAAAAAAACAAAAAAAAAAACCACACACACACTCACAGTAGTTGCATCTGGAGAAGGGAAATAAAGGAGACCCAAGAGAGATGCTTTTTATTCTCCCTGCCCCACACACCTGAGGATATATTTATGTATTACAAGTGTAACTAAAATAAGAATGAAGAGAGAGGAAGCGATAGAGGGAGATTCATTGATTGATTTCTTATAATAAAATGACTCAATCAAGTTTTCAAATTAAACTCCTTTAGCATTCATACTGCTATTGGTTTACTCTTCAGAAATACTAAGAACAATCTCTCTTCATAGTTATTTAAGGGAATAAAATTATATCACTTTAAGCAAATTCAGGAAATTCCACATTGAGAAAAATGTCCCAGTATTTAAGCATCCCTGGGGAGCATGCCACATTACCCCCAGAACCCATTCAAATACAGAGCTTAGAAAGCACCAGCTTCTGGTTAAAGTCAATCCACCCAGGAACAAGAGAGTCTTTGTCAAGGAAACCCGAGTTCAAGTGCATGAGGATCAGATAAAACACAACACATGGCATCTGAACTAAAATGATACGCTTTGATTTTCGATTCA
Organism: Homo sapiens; assembly: GCF_000001405.40. Lineage (NCBI taxonomy): Eukaryota > Metazoa > Chordata > Mammalia > Primates > Hominidae > Homo > Homo sapiens. The sequence continues at coordinate 108,023,504 of NC_000008.11, forward strand.
GAGTTAAGAAGCCAGCAGAATGTGAATACAAGAGAAAGGATGTAAAAATAAAATTAAGATTGGCTTCCTCTTAGGTAGTGAGAGTTGAACAGAAAAGTGGGGTTACTGACGGTGTTGCAGAGCAGCTCTGCAAATATCCTTATTTGCAAATCCATAATATATATGGCTCTACTCATAAATAGGACACTCTGTTATGGCCACAGGTAATAGATATTAGACAAACAAGTGTTTGGGAAATACATTGTCTCTAAGGCTACTGACAATAAAAGAGCAAGTATTAATTTGGAGAAGTAGATGGCCAGGCTTGTGTTCTTTAAGGTCTGTATCCTGTATGGGGAGGAGGAAGTGGTGGATGGAAAGAGTTATGCAGAGTTGTGTCTCAATTACAGCTATAAAACCAGTTACCCAAATTCTTTTAGAACCTCTAGTTAGAAGCCACTCAGATTACCTAAGATAATAAAAACCCAGGAAGCATAAGGGCTCTTTTGACCACACATTAAACATGAATTAAATTACTAAAATTTCATGGTGTGTTGTCCAAATACGGTGTGTCCCTGTATTTAAAAGTAGGGGAATTTGACAATTTTGTTGCAAAGGTATTCAAAAGAAATAAAAGAGGGTACTTACAAAGAAATAAAAAAACAAGTGACATATATATAACTCCAATTCTCTCCAACGACAACTTAAAAAAAAGTTGAGTTGCTTCAATGAAATAAAAATATTAACCTGAAAATATACTTGGCACAAAGTTATTCTTTGCGGTCTGCACCTACAGACTACTGGAAGCAACCTAAATGCCCACACACAGGAGAGTAATTGGATAAGTTGTGGTACTTCCATGCAGTATAGTACACTGCAACCAAAGCCACTAAAAAATAATGAGGAAAATCTACAAACTGATATGGAGTTATTTCCAACATATACTGTTAAGTAAAAAAAAAAAGCTCAGTGCAAATGAGTATCTAATGTATGTTACCTTTGATAGCAGAACAAAAGGGAAATAAAATATACACATCTATTAATTTGTACAAAAAGATATCTAAGATGAATAAATGAGAAACAAAAGAAATTGGTTACCTACAGTGGACAGGTGGAAACAGAGTGACAGGCAAATGTGAAAAGGGTAGAAGGGATGGGGTATGAAAAGTACACACACACCTCTTTCTATTGTTCTGATCTTTAGAATCATGTTAATATTTTACGTACTCAACAGATAATAAACACAACAAGGATAGGCTGGGCATGGTGGCTCACGCCTGTAATCCCAGCACTTTGGGAGGCCAAGGTGGGTGGATTACTTGAGTCTGAAAGTTTGAGACCAGCTTGCGTGACATGGAAAAACACAATCTCTACTAGAAACACAAAAATTAGCCAGGTGTGGTGGCACACACCTGTAGTTCTAGCTACTTGGGAGGCTGAGGTAGGAGGACTGCTTGAGCCCAGGAGGCAGAGGGGCAGCGAGCCGAGATCATGCCACTGTACTCCAGTCTGGGTGACAAGAAAGACCCTGTCTCAAAAAAGCAAGGATAGGGAAGAAGCAACTCAAAAATGGAATAAAAGCAGAAACAAATTTATAAGTGTATATATGTATAAATGTGTATACACACACACACACAAGCAAACATACATATATACACTTATACTTCCTAGCTCTGTTTGCTGAGAAGGCATAGAAATAATAACACCCCAACAGTAATGAGCATATCCAGCAACCAGATTTTGTTTTCTAAATACCATTCTCAACTAAAAGGAGCTCCTTGGAGAAATGCTTATTCCAAGGCTAGGGAAGAGAATGTAAAAATCCACCTAAAACACATTGTGCCAGAGAGAACCGAAGTGTTCAAAGAATGATGGAACATGTCAAACAGAGAAGTTTAAAGGAGGTCCCAGTGTTCCATGTCCATCCTGGGACAATGTGTGCAACAGAATAAATGGCAGTAAGAGATTATAATAAATTGAATAAAATAAACCATGAATCTATACTGCTATAAATAAGTAAACAAGGACAAGGAAAAGGTCTTCCTGATTTTTTTATTCTTTGAGATATATCTCATTCTGTCCCTGTGGCTGGAGTACAGTGGCATAATCACAAGCTCACTGCAGCCTCAACCTCCTAGGCTCTAGCAATCCTCCCACCTCAGCCTCCCACATAGCTGAGACTATGGATGCACCCCACCACACTTGGCTGATTTTTTTTTTAAAGAAAGAGGATCTTACTATGTTGCCCAGGCTGGTCTCAAACTCCTGAGCTCAAGCAATCTTTCCACTTCAGCCTCCCAAGGTGGTGGAGTTACAGATGTGAGCCACTACACCTGGCCAAAAACTCTTCTTTGCAGAATTCCAGTTAATGAATATAAAATTAATGAGAAATTAGAAGACCACCACTTGGCAATCATTACAGTAATAATTATTTCAGGCACTGGCTAAAACCATTGAGTAAATATACAATGAGAAACAAGATTTTATATCATATCAAAGTATCTCCCACAAGATACTTATTCCGCTGGGAAATCTAGTAACTTTACAAACAAGAAACCTTAACATAGTGATCAAAGTTAATGTCCCTAGAATGTGCTTCCTGCTATGAGGCACTGAAAAGAACACAATAGCATGTTTGTTGTATCCCTGGCAAAAACACAGAACTTCAATCAAATCATGAAGAAACAGCAGACAAATCCAAGTTGAGGAATATTGTACAGAATAACTGGCCAGGATTCTTCAAATGTCAAGGTCATAAAAGACAAAGAATGGCTGAAGAATTGGTCCAAATTAAAGAAGAATAAAGTATGACCACTAAATGCAATATATGACCTGGAATTAGATCTAAAACAATTTTTTCTTTAACTACAAAAAGCAGAGGTGCAATTGGCAAAATTTGAATGTTATCTAGACTAGATAACAGTATTATATCAGTGCTAGTTTCCTTATTTTAATAAATTCATTGCGATTATAAATGAGGTCCTTTTTGTTTTTAGGAAATGTGCACTGATATTGAGAATCATGTCTCCAACTTATAAAATTTCAGAAAAAATAGAGAAATATATAATATAGCAAGTATGAAGTATAGTAAAATACTAACAAGGCCAGGAGCGGTGGCTCATGCTTTTAATCCCAGCACTTTGGGAGGCCGAGGCAGGTGGATCACTTGAGGTCAGGAGTTTGAGAACAGCCTGGCCAATATGTTGAAACCCCATGTCTACTAAAAATAAAAAATTAGCCAGGCATGGTGGCAGATGCCTGTAGTCCCAGCTACTTGGGAGACTGAGGCAGGAGAATCGCTTGAACCCGGGAGACAGAGGTTGCAGTGAGCCGAGATCATGCCACTGCACTCCAGCCTGTGTGACAGAGCGAGACTCCATCTCAAAAAAAAAATACTAACAATTAAGGAATCTGGATAAATGGCATACAAGAATTATGTGCATAATTTAACTTCTCTGTAAAGTCTGAAGTTATTTCAAAGTAAAAAATATAGTCAATCCAAGTATAGGCGGGAAAAGCAATAACCAACCAATCCATATCAAAATAATTGACAGAATTTCCTTTAAGAATCTATAGCAATTAATATGAAGTAGTTTTGTGAAACTTCACCTGGTTTTTTCAAATCATCAGATTTCTACATCACTTCTATATTACATAAAACTTCTGATTACCTAAGTTCAACTTCTGATATTTCTTAAATAATAAAGCTCATCATTTAAAAGACAAACATGCTCAAACATGTCACATTTTCCTCTTGGGATTCTCAGTAGTTAGATTTATCCAACTGATTAACTCATTAACAAGTAGTTATTGAATGAAAGACATTGTCTAGATGCTTAAACTGAATACATCTACATCTGGTTCATTCCGTCTCTTAGTTCAGTGCCAATAACAAGCCACCATATAAGATTTACCCAGTGGGCTTTTCCAAATGAAGTATCTATCTGGTACAATGACCAGATTCAGGAGTAACATACAATAATGATAATGAAAACAATCCTTAAGTAAAAATTTCAAGAAACTTACTAGAAATGCATTCTTTATTACCAAAGCATTTTTATTTGGGAAAATACAAGAGCAAAGTATTTATATTTTTTTTAAAAAAGTTCAATTATAGAACTATTCATTCCAAGCCAACAGTATCCATTAGAATGAACATACTAGGATAGTTTTGGGGATTGAATTCTAAATAACTCTTTTTCAGAGCCTGATGGGAAAATAAAAAGGGACTGATAATTAATTAATATTTCATCTTTCTCAAAAAGAAAATACATCTCAATATTTTATTTCACCCCTAATATGTTCTCCACTGGTTTTATATTAAACAGTCCCCGAGCTTCTTTCTATACATTTCCTACTCTAAGAGTCAATGTAACCTTCATACCTTTCAAAAACCTTCAGTAGTTCCCAATGTCTATTAGCAGCTTTTGGCCTCTCACCTTTCATTCCCAGCCTAGTGACTCACCTCAGGAAGTAACCATATCAAGAAGTTCAGGGTGTGGTAACTTTGACCAGCCCTACATGAAGCCATTCTACATATTCTACCACTCAACGAATGGGAGTTCCAAGTTCTTAGGCTGACGCTCAAGAGACCAACCATCTGTTTCACCCAGGACTGGGCGGTTCCCAGGATGTGAGATCTTCACTACTGATACCCAGAGTCTTAGGCAAATCAGGACATTTGGTCACCTTAACTCTGACCTAGCAATTGACCTTCTTGACCCCCCTAAACTGCTCTGTGCTTCTGATATTTCCTTTCTCTGGCTTATCTTACCCCCTCACCTCACATATCCAAGTGAAGATTGTTCAAGAACGTGTCCAAATGCCACCTTCTCTGTCAATTGCTTCCTTTTCTCCAATCCTGGAAGTAATTTCTCTTTACTGTAAATCCCAAAGCAACTTAGTTATTCTCTCCCTTCTACTGCTTGCTCTACATCGCACAGGAGGAGGCAGGACACTTTCTCTTCACTCCTGATCTTTCCTTAATGGGGAGTGGACACCTGTTCACACATTATTCACATTCTCCTCCCTCTCACTGATGTTTCCAAAGGAGAGGAGAGTTCTCTGTGTGGGAACTTTGGAACAAGGAACTGTGCATGGTAGACCAGCAGCTCTCTCCATCCTTCTTAGGAATTTGCTTGCCATTTCTGAAGTGTTACAGAAGCTGGCCTCCATGTGGAGTCCTGTGGTTGTCTACACTGTCTGTGCCTAACTGGAACAGCCTATCTCATATGTTGTAGTATGTTCTCTATTGCCAACTTTACAGGTAAGAAAAGTGTTCATTTGTCATCCGGAAATCATGATGCCTTGTCATCCTTCATAACTTGGGCAAGTGAGAGGAATGATGTTCATTGACTACCTCTCCCTGTAAACTATAGGAAGCTGTAAACTTGGCCTCTATCACTTTCATAGCACATTGTACAGGGCCTTGCAGGTACCAAACATTCATAACTGAGTGAACAAATATAAATATCTAATTTTTTTTTTTTGAATCATGACGTGAAGTCAGTTCAAATTCTAGTGCTGGTACTTACTAGAGCAGGGTAAACTTGGGTAACTGTTAACATGAGTCTTTTTTTTTTTTTTTTTTTTTTTTTTTTTTTTTTTTTTGCCTAAAAAGGAAATCCTCTGCATCAGGGATTAGCAAACTACAACCAACCAGCCAAATCCAGCCCACCACATGTTTTTAAGTAAAATGTTGTTATCTGAATACAGCCATACTTATTCCTTTACATATTGTTTGTGTCTGCTTTTGCACTACAATGGCAGAATTGAGGAGTTGCCACAGAGATCATATGATCTTCAAAGCCTAAAATATTTCCTCTCTGGCCCTTTACAAAGTGATCCAACCCCCTTCTAAGGATTGCTGCAAGGATTATGGATAGATGCTGTTTATTGCTAACACCTAGCACATAAGTGGCTGTTATCAATTTAAATACCATAGCAAAATGCAAATTAATATTTTTGAAAGTAAATTCCTGTAGGCATACAAAATCAACAGCTAAGATGTGCTCTACTCATATATTCCACACCTAGAAGAGTGGGGGAGAAAGCCCACAAAAATCATTTTTAATTTGCTACAAATTTGGAGGCCCAGGAAGCATCACCTACCACAAAGCTCTTACACTGCAAAGAATCTGCAAGACAACATTTATCACAGCATTCCCAAGAAGAACAATGATGACTCAAGGGAAATAAAAGATGCACCAAACATTTTTTCCACTAAAAGGAGTCCTGAAATAGAACTTGAGCAATATTTACATATTTAATATTCCTTAGTGGATGAGAAGAGGGTATCGACAGGAGTTATTACAGCTTGAAATGAGTTGTGAAAACTCTTAAGTCTGACTGAGACATTGCAATAATTCTTCCTTCAATTAATTTTGACTCTTTTAACATTGTCTTAAGTGCCAGGGATCAAAGATAAAGATAGTCCTTGTCCTTGTAAAGTTCAGAATCTAGTGAGGAACACAAGTATGTGTTTAAAACTGTTATCTAATTTCTAACAGCCAGAGTTCAAACATTTTTTTTAAATAACAGAAATGACCCTCTCCTTTTGTCTCAGCTCCATGTCAATTTTGTTTGGTACCTGGGTTGTAGAGAGAAGTTTTGAAAGTAGGGTCCTGGGATAGATAGGAAAAAAAAAAAAAAAAAAAAAAAAGCTAGGCATATGATGTTAGCCAGGCCCTCTGGATTTGATTTCAGTTCCAATCTAGGAGGATGAGAAACTGCAGCTGGATGAGCTGGTTGAGGACACACTCTGCTGGAGAAACCCAAGCAGTATTCATTCATGTGACCAAACTACAGCTTCAAGTTTCGAAGGGTGCCAGTGTCTCTGACTCTATCTGGAAGCCAGCATGGCCCTGACAGTAGCAACTTGGGACATTTCAGAAGCTAGACTCTGGTCTTGCCTGCCTGGTATCTGTAATGTATAAGCAGTGGCCATGATGGGGCTCCCCTAAATGACTTCATGGGCCACAGACATTGACTAGTGGATGCCCAGGCAAGGGAGGAAAGCCATAATGACTACCATGTGGTGACTGCATGTGATGCCCAGAAATTACTGGGGAAATTAACTAGAGATAGAACACACACCATCCTTTAATCATCCATCTGCTGGCTTAAATACGCCTTACTCACTTAGGATTCCTATGAAAATAAAACCAAAATGCTGGGTAAGTGCTATGATAAAGGTGTATCCAAGCATCTGTGGGAAGTCAGTGGGTCCAGGGGTGGAGGGAGGGACTCCTAATCCAGCCAGTTGAAGAAAATCAGAACTCTAAGAAAGCCCAATTAAAACTCATAAGAAAAGCCATTCCATTTTATGAAATTGTTCCTTTTCTTATATTTCTGTTAATGACTGAGTTTGCTTCCTTCAGAAGGTATAGTATTACAATAGGATACATTTTATCAAGCATATTTCACATTCATTGAAATCACTGAAGGCTGTCCGAGGTCCCTGAAAAAAATGGCGAATATTTTGCCACTGATGATTATACTACTGGATTAATATTCTTTAAGGATCAAGATGACTACTTTATACAAGCAGGGAGAGAAAGTTTCTCCCATTGATTGATTTTGTTCAGGTTCCATCAATTCCATTTTTAAATTATTCTTGTGTCTCACAGGATATGCATCTAAGTTACATTTCTAAACTGGAACAAGCATAATTTGAACCAGTCTATTTATAAATCATGGTGTTATAGGCTTGAACCTACCACCAGATTAATCTTCCTTCAAATAGTGGCTATAAAGAGGGTACTTAAAAGATTGCAAAGATTTTGCATCTCTAATGGATCACCATTACACGGTGCAGAAAACGTGACTCAGGAAGTTGTAAGAGTAAACACATGGAGTCCATTATGAGTTTTCCTTTCTTGTAGTGTAACTAAATGGCCTTATTATGCTACCAACTTTTTAAAAAATTGTAATGGTTATTACCAATCATTAAAAATACTATACATCCCATGCACTTTGAAAAACTCACAAAGTAGACTGTCAATTCATTTTTTAAAAGACTAAAACTTTACGTTTGCAAAAGCTCTTTCAAGATAAGATAAACGTAAGCATCAAGTATCACCTGGGTGAGATTACATAAAAAACAAAACGGTAAAAGGCCGTAACTTCATACACTGAACATTTAATATCAACCAAAAATGAATAGATTAAAAACAATGTTTACTGACACTGGGAATGTTAAAGTTTGAAATTTTGGTTAGTGAACTTTGTTTCTGATTTGTTTCTCTCTGTAAGTGAAGGAGGGAAAAAATGACCTTGAACAGGAGATGCATCAATCTGCAGAGGTTATTTGCAATCTTTTGGATATAGTGACTAGCTTTCTCCATTTCTAGCACAAGCAGAAAAGAAGAGGAAAAAAAAAAGAAAAGGAATAGAATAGGATTGATGCCCCACACCTTACCTGTAACACAATTAGTTGTCCCACCAGCTACAATGGTGACTTAGATTGGCAGAGAACAGTAGGGGGCAGAGGGAAAGGAAGGTAGTCACCCAATACATCATCACACAGTTGGTACAGATTGTAGCTACAGCTACAGCTATGGCTGGACCACAGGCATATAGACCAAATACAAGCTCTGACCCTATCCTGCCTCTTAAATTCAACAACTTCAGTATAACATCTTGCACACTTGTTCTACTATAAAGTTAAGATTTTTAAAAAAGAAAAATAATAGGAAAACAAGAATAGAAAAGGAAAGCAGAGAAGAGGAAAGGAAGTTTCAGAAAAAACATCTATTGAGTCTACCAAATTTACAAATCACTATACATAAACATTTAATAACACATATAGTTCCCAGATTGTCTATCCAAGGATCCATTCATTTGTCTTTGTTCTCACTAAATGATGAACTCCTTGAGAGCAAACACTCTTAAATTTTTCTGTCACCTTAATACAGTTTCTGGTACATTAATGTAGTTATATAAATGAATAAATGGATAAATGGCTTTACTTATCTTCCAAATCAATAATTCCAGTTTCTATTTTGTGTCCTAGTCACATACCCTAGATACATATTATTTCCCCTTGTCTATTACTTCAAAATTAAGATATTAAAATAAATGAAAATCAACCTCCCCCTACCAACCTACTGTCTCTTTTCAGAAGCATAATAAGCAGGGTTTTTGTTTTTTCTTTTTCCTTTTTTAAGAGGTAGGGCCTCACTCTGTCACCCAGGCTGAAGTACAGTAGTGTCATCATAGCTCACTGCAGCCTCAAACTCCTGGGCTCAAGCAGTCCTCCTGCCTCAGCCTCCTGAGTAGCTACGTCTACAGGATTATACCACTATGTCTAGCTAATTTTAAAAATTTTTTACTTTGGGAGGCCGAGGCAGGCGGATCACAAGGTCAGGAGATCGAGACCATCCTGGCTAACATGGTGAAACCCCATCTCTACTAAAAATTAGCCGGGTGTGGTGGCAGGCACCTGTAGTCCCAGCTACTTGGGAGGCTAAGGCAGGAGAATGGCATGAACCCGGGAGGCGAAGCTTGCAGTGAGCCAAGATCGCACCACTGCACTCTAGCCTGGGTGACAGAGCAAGACTCTGTCTCAAAAAAAAAAAAAAAAAAAAAAAAAAAAATTTGTAGATACGGGGTCTCGCTATGTTACCCAAGCTGGTCTCGAACTTCTGGCCTCAAGCAATTCACCCACCTCAGCCACTCAAAGTGTGGATATTACAAGTGTAAGCCACCGTGCCCAGTCTAGCATTTCTTATTGTATACTGCAGCAAAAAATTATTGATCACCACCACCTTCTTTCATCTCCAAGGTCCAGTATGTCATCAATGTGAGCGGATATTTCTAAAGCTTTCTAGCATCTCTTCTTGGTGCCCAATGCCATGACCCCAGTCCAGCTGCTAATTAACTTGTGCCTGAATCACTGTAAGAATATCTAGCTGGCCTCTCAGATTCTACCTTCCTCCCCTCTAAGCCACTGATCTTCTCCATAACCTGTGTTCATCCCTCCGTGTAAGATAAGCATGCCTGAGAGGCAGGTGCCATGTCTTTTTCAAGTCAGAGTGTCCTCTCACATATTTTGAATAAAAATATTCAATTACCCCAGAGACTGAGGTGCCATATGGGCATCAATTTATTTTCAAAAGTAGACCTCTTTGGAGTCACTGAATTATATTTTTTAAGTATAGCCTTACAAGTCTTTGTGATGACAAGAGAACTGAGAGCTTCTTATTAAAAAGCAGCTCTTGCTATGGAGTTTTTACAATTTACTTGTATACTGTGTTTTCCAGACTCTTTTCAATGTCTTGGAAAGGAGGCTGGGCATGCTTGGTGCTGGTGGCCATGTGTGGAAAGAAAGGCATGGGGAGTAGAAAAAATGCAACACCAAGTTGTACATTCTTTGTGCAATTCCATCATATCTGAAAACTAAAAACTACAACCCACTGGCAACACCCTTCGCTGAGTCACTGTATTCTTTGTGTGCATTTTTCTAAGAGCAATCAAAACAGTAATTGCAGGACTAACTTTAGAACATGAAATCATGGCATCTGTGCTGACATGGAATGCAATGTGAAAAGTAATCTCTCATTAAACCAGAAACTGTGGTTTACATTGTTTAAAAAGTGCATCGGATCGCTCATTCTCAGGGGATAGATCATAATGCTCCTAAGGACAGAAAATTGAAAGAAAGTATTAGTTCCTTCTACAAAATATTTAAGAAATCCCATGAGGTTCTGGGGGTTTTTTTTCCCCTCCTTACTTGTTCTAATTACATAAGGAATAAAGTGTTCTTTAAATATGTCTTTAAAATATCCTTTTCCCCACCTAAGATTCTGATTCAAATAAACTATTTTAAACACACACACACATATTTGGAATAGTCTGAGAAATTTGGTTACGGTGGGTATTCAGTGACCCTGAGGAATTACTGTTAATTTTTATAGTAAGTGTTATGATGGCATCGTGGTTGTAAAAGAAGATTTTATACATAAAGAAGGAAGTATGTTAGGATAAAGTACATGATATCAGAGATTTGCTTTAAAACGCTTTGCCTGAGACAAAAGGGAGAGGACAGATGAAGCATATACAGAAAAACATTTTAAAACATTGAATCTGAGTTATGGGTGTAGGAGGTATCTCCTATTTGTGGTTTGACTGAAATATTTCATAATAAAATTCTCAATTCCTGTTTTGGCCCTTCTATTTAAGACTCAGAATAACAATTACAGAGGCCCAGCCAAGAAGTTGTGAGTCCACAGTAGCATCAAAATAGGAGATTTTGCTGTGCCCTGGTTATGGTCAAAGCTACGTGATAATCAAATTGTGAAATGGCCAGTCTGTGAAGTGCACTAAATATCAAGAAAAGATGGGTGTGCACGCACAGAACACTTAATCTTGTGATAACCTGTGACCAGTCGCACTCCTACACAGAAGCTAAGCTTTATTATCTTCATGATTTGAGCAATATTACCAACTGTTTTCCCTAAATACTGTTTTGCTTTCCATCCTATCATAACACATAAATGTTTTATATTAACTAATAAAATCGATTGAATGTTCTTTCCAGGGAAATACATCTTCCAAGTTTTGACCTTTGCTTATTTAGTAGGAAGAGAAAAAAGAGCTGGGGAACAGAGAGATTGAATCCTTTTCCAAGGAAACAATATAACAGAAAGACCAAAAGATTACCTGAGTATCTAGAAGTAGCAATAGAGCTTTAGAATGCTTTTCTGAATTGTACTATTATCTTTGAATTACTGTCTCTTAAAACTCCTTCTTAGTATAAGTAAGCCACCAGGTAAGAACAAGTCAACAATTTGGTGAGACTTCCTACTGTGCGTCAACTCTTTTTTTGGGGGGTTTTCTTACTGTGTTTAGTCTCACCTTTGGGTATGAATTCATAGTAACACAGACACAATTAGTAGTTACCACATCGGTAGCACAAATTTATAGTGACTGTTGATTCCTCACCAGTTCTTTTTTTTGTTTTGTTTTTTTGTTTTGTTTGTTTGTTTTTGTTTTTGTTTTTGTTTTGAGACGGAGTCTCGCTCTGTTGCGCAGGCTGGAGTGCAGTGGCGCGATCTTGGCTCACTGCAAGCTCCACCTCCTGGGTTCACACCATTCTCCTGCCTCAGCCTCCCGAGTAGCTGGGACTACAGGCACCCGCCACCATGCCCGGCTAATTTTTTTGTATTTTTAGTAGAGATGGGGTTTCACCGTGTTAGCCAGGATGGTTTCGATCTCCTGACCTCATGATCTGCCTGCCTCGGCCTCCCAAAGTGCTGGGATTACAGGCAATTCCTCACCAGTTCTTAAATTTTTGATTCCTAGACATAGAATCTGAGATTGCCCCAGAAGAGACTGTTTCAGTTTCGCTGGATTGGGAACTGGGCTCTTGAGTCACCAAATGCTCCCTGGGTTACTTTCACCATTTTCAGGTTTGGGAACCACCAAGTCTATCTATATGCTGGCTAATAAAAACATTTTTCATGATTTTGGTAAATATATTACAAAGATAGAGACCCAGAGGCATCTTATGAATCTAGGCATACTGTCCTCCAAGTATTAGACAGCAACTTTTCAGTTTGTTCTAAAATCCAAAGTATTTTTTTGAAAATTTGGTAGAATTAGCAATGGGCATTTCCTTCATGCCAGGTAAACTAATACAGGTGATTTGCTATCCTTAGAGATATTAAGCAAATAAAACCCAAAACCTAAAAAACACCCCACTTCAGGCTGACCCTCATTAGGAATGCAGCTGGTGACTTTAAATGAAACCAATGCTTATTTACCATTCCAAAAATCCTAGATCCCTTAAGAATTATGCTAAATCTATTCCGCCTGTGTGCTATAAATGGAGCAGCAAAGCCTGGATAACAGCACATCTGTTTACAGCATGGTTTACTGAAAATATGCTAACATATATAGCAAAAGATCCTCTCTGCCCCCTCTGCAAAACTGACCATCTTTCAAGTTTCTGCACCTATGACAACCATTTCTGTCAAGACCTGAACTGTCATTCAGGCAAGGAAGCCTGTGGCACATCATAAAGACCTGTGTGATGCCTGTGGCCATGGCGCTTTTCAATGTTAGGCTGTAGCTATACCTTTACCCATTTGTCCCACAAGTTTGAACATTCCCAAAACAAAGACCACGTGTTACAAAAATATCTCATTTTCTTGCATTTCACTTTATTGTGCTTCACAGATATTGCAGAATTCTTGCTGGGGGTGAGGTGGGAGGAAGGTTGTTGTTTTATATATTGAAGGTTTCTGGCAACCTTACGTCAAGTCTATTGGCACCATTCTTCCAACAGCATGAGCTCCCTTCTTCTGTCACATTTTGGTAATGCTTGCAATATTTAAAATTTTTCATTATTATTAATCTGTTATGGTGATCTGTGTTCAGTGATCTTTGATGTTACTTTTGTAATTGTTTTGGGGCACCAAAAACTGCACCCACATAAGATGGCAAACTTGACCAATCAATGTTGTGTGTTCTGACTGCTCCACTAACTGTTGCCATCTCTCTCACTCTCTCCTCAGGCCTCCCTATGCCCTGTGGTACAACAATATTGAAATTAAGACAATTAGTAACCCTACAGTGGCCTCTAAGTATTCAAGAGGAGGAGTCCTATATCTCTCACTTTAAATAAAAAACTAGACGTGATTAAGCTTAGTGAGCAGGGCATGTTAAAAGCCAAGATAGGTCAAAAGCTAGGCCCCTCAAGTTGTGAATGCAAAGGAAAAGTTCTTGAAGAACATTAAAAGTGCTATTCTAGTGAAAACACAGATAGGTGAAACAGCCATATTACCGATGTGGAGAAAGTTTTAGAAGTCTGGATAGAAGAATAAACCAGCCAGAACATTCCTTTAAGCCAAAGCCTAATCCAGAGCAAGATCCTAACTCTCTTTAACTCTACAAAGACTGAGAGAGATGAGGAAGCTGCAGAAGTTAAATTTGAAGCTAGCAGAGGTTGGTTCATGAGGTTTAAGGAAAGAAGTCATCTCCATAACATGAAAGTGCAAAGTGAAACAGTAAGTATTGATGTAGAAGCTACAGCAAGTTGTCTAGAAGATTTAATGAAGAAATGAAGGTGGCTACACTAAAAAACAGATTTTTAAATGTAGATTAAAAAGCCTGCTACTGGGAGAAGATGCCACCCAGGATTTTCATAGCTAGAGAGATGTGAATGTCTAACTTCAAAGAACAGGCTGACTCTCTTGTTAGGGGCTAATGCAGCCAGTGATTTGAAGTGGAGGCCAATGCTCATTTACACCTTGAAAATCTTATGGCCCTTAAAAATTATACTAGCTCTACTCTGCCTGTGCTCTATAAGTGGAATAACAAAACCTCCATGACAGCACACCTGTTTACAGCATGGTTTACTGAAGGTTTTAAGCCCGCTGTTGAGACCTACTACTCATTGACAATGCACCTGGGTCAACCAAGAGCTCTGATGGAGATGTACAAGGAGATTAATGTTTTCATGCCTGCTAACACAAGATCCATTATGTAGCCAGTGGATCAAGGAGTAATTTCAACTTTCAAGTCTTATTATTTAATAAATATTTCATAAGGCTACAGCTGCCATATATAGTGATTCCTCTAATGAATCTGGGAAAAGTAAATTGAAAACCTCCAGGAAAGGGTTCACCCTTCTAGACGCCATTAAAAACATTAGTGATTCATGGGAGAAGGTCAAAATATCAACATTATCAGGAGTTAAGTAGATTCCAGCCCTCATGTATAACTTCAGGGGTTCAAAACTTCAGTGGAGTGAGTAATTGCAGACATGGTAGAAATGGCAAGAGAACTAGATGGAGAAGTGAAGCCTGAAGATGTGACTGAATTGCTACAATTTCATGATAAAACTTGAATGGATGAGGAGTTGCTTCTTATGGATAAGCAAAGAAAGTGTTTCTTGAGATGGAATCTACTCCTGGTGAGAATGCTATAAACATCACGGAAACAACAACAGATGATTTAGAATATTACATAAATGTAGTTGATTAATTAAAGCAGTGGCAAGGTTTGACAGGATTGACTCCGATTCTAAAAGAAATGCTACTATGGATAAGACATTATCAAACAGCAACACAATGCTACAGATAAACATTTCATTAAAGGAAGAGTCCATCAATGTGGCAAACATTGTTGTCTTCTTTTAAAAAAACTGCCACCAGCACCCCAACCTTCAGCAACCACCACACTGATCAGTCAGCTGCCATCAACATCAAAGCAAGACCCTCTACCAGCAAACAGATTATGATTCAGTGAAGGCTCAGATGATTGTTAGTGGGTTTTTTTTTTTAGCAATAAAGTACTTTTTAATTAAAGAATGTACATTGTTTATTTCGACATAAGGCTATTGGCTACTTAATAGACTACAGCACAGTGTAAACATATGCACGAAGAAACCAAAAATTTGTGTGACTCACTTTACTGTGGTGGTCTGAAACACAACCCACATTATCTCTGAAGTATGCCTGTATTTATATTATCAGTACCTAGGAAGTTATTTGATAAATGCTTTGCTAAGTGTCTAGTAGACATCACAAATTAGTATCCACATTTTGAACGGCTTAAATAATTAAATCAGTAGATCAGTCTTCTAGTGTATATGACAACAAAACAAACACAAGGCTAGATTGAATCATTTTTCCTGACATTTCCATTTATTCTCTCTTTCACTATGCTCTGTATTTTACAGGTTCCTAGATCAGTGATTCTCATCTTCATATATTACCACAACACTTTAATAATCTGGAAAACTAATTAGAAATTACAAGTTCTAATACCTCCCCCTTTTACTTGCAGCAATTCCTCACTACTTAATAGTAATATTAATTCCCAGTAATTGAGAATATACTACATGCCATACTGTTTAAAATGCTTGTTTTAGAGGTATTAACTCATTTAGTATTCATAACCATCTTATGAGTTCAATTATACAGGGGGTGAAAATGAAGCACAGAGAATTCCATATCTTACCCAACGTCACCCAGCTACTAAGTAGTAAATCCAGGATTCCAACCCAGGCAATCTGGCTTTAGTGCTTAGAATAAAAGAATGCTTAAAGTGTATTTTCATAAATATATATATGAATTTAAAAAAGGAAAACAATATTTGAAAGGTGGTTTGTCTTAAGGTACCTTTCAAAAGGGAAAACAAAGCCAGATAATGAACAGGCCCCCACCCATCCAGCCTCCACTCTAGGCTGGCCTCAACTCTGTCTCTTCCCATCAACCTTAGGAGCATCCCAGTGACAACTGAGCTGTCAAGCACATGTATGCTTTGTTATAGACCAGATGCTTGTGTCCCCTAAGTTCACATTCTTAAGACCTAACCCCGAATGTGATGGTATCTGAAGGTAGGTAAATCAGGTCATGAAGGTAGATCTCTCATGAATGGGATTAGTGCCCTTAGAAGAAGAGGCCAGAGAGTTAGTTAGTGGTCTTTCTGCCATGTGAGGATACAATGAGAAGTTGGCAGTCTACAAACCAAGATGTCCCTCACCAGAGAATGACCATGCTGGCACCCCAATTTTGGACTCCTGTGCCTCCAGAATTGTAAGAAATAAGTTTCTGCTGCTTACAAGCCACCTAGTCTATGGTACTTTGTTATAGTAGCCTGAATAAAGACATCCTTTCTCACTGTCAAATAATAAATAGTATAATCAAGGGGTTAATCAAGAAAAATAATACTAAACACCCATTTCTAGAAGGCTCTGAGAAATAGGAAAATAGATAAGGTTGAAGTCCTCGAAAAGCAACCAACCAGAAGGTTGTATAAACAGGCATTAAAATAGCTACATTAACAGACAGTGTGTTATAAATATTGAAAATCCCTTTTTTAATCCATGAACTTCTCCACTGAAGGCATCTAGACTGGGTCTTACAGGCTAGACTTCAAAATCAGAAGGGAGATGAAGAGAAAGAAAGACACTTTAGACAAGAAAAAAAACATGAACGCAAAAGGTACAGGGGGAAAAAACCCAAGGCAGGCTTCGGAATAGTAAGTGCTGCTGTTCAGCCAATGCCCAGAGTAAATCCCCGATGGTCTCAGAAAAAAAGTTGTAGATTGGGTCCAGACCAGGCAGAACATGAAATATCACACTGAAAATGAGAACTATCTTCCAGGCACTGAAAAGATCCAAAATCTGAGCAAGAGAACAACATGACCAAAGAGTAATCAGATGATGACTAATGTGGTTTGAGGTGTAAAACTAATGGAGGAAGGGGGCTGACAAATACAGAGGAAAATTAGTTACGAGACTTTTGCAATAATCATGGCTAAAATATTGATCTGGGCAGGAGTGCTGATAATGTGAAATTTGGCAAAGGGTGGATTTGATTCCTCATGAACCAAAACATAGCAGGTGTTGGTAACAGATGGGGTGTGGAGGTCTAAAACAGAATATTTGAAGATGTCAAATTGCCAACCTGTAGAAAAGAACTGAGGTATCACTCAAATCAACAGCAAATTCAAATGTTGAGCAAAACAGTAATTTGGAGACATGGGTTTTTACATTTGTTTAGTTTTGTCTGGGGCAGGGTGTACAGAAAAGAAATCAATTTAGGACTAGTTGGCCAAGTACATTGAGCTTTCCAGCATCAAAGGAAAATGCGGGGCTTGTCTAGAGAGATTTGAAAGTTAAGCAATTGAGAAGGAGATCCCTGAAATGTGAACAAAAATCAGGTTTTTTCTCCTCACAACATTTTAGAAAGAGCTAAAACAAAAAGTGGCAAAAAAAAAAAAAAAAAAAAGAAGAGCCCTATGATGATAATAATTTCTCCCTTAAGTAATTGGACAAAGAAAAGAATGGTAAGAGCAAATATGCTGCGTTTTAAGGGCTGTAGAGTCAAAGGACATTTTTATTTAATGTATGACATTAAGAATACCTAAAACTCTTTGAAAACAAAAAAGCAGATGGTGCTGGGGAATGAGAGAAGATACACATGGAAGAGATCATATCCAAGAACAAGGTTTAGAAGAGAAATTGAGACCAACAGCAAAAGCAACAGGCCCCACCTTCATCTGAAATAGGAAGAAAAAAATAAATTTAGAAGAATTGATGAATAAAGCAGCTTTTAAGAAGACAGTGGGTTATGCCAACAGCAAATTGCAAGTGTGGTGGGAATGAGAGAAAAGATTAGTGGGCTTTCAGTGAACATCTTTAATCTTATTAGTAAATTAAGTGACAGGGTTGTTATCAGAGTGATAAAAGACACCATAGAATAAAGATCAATACTACAGAAAACCATTTGGAAGAGTCACTATTGGGGAAATGCAATAAAGAGTCCAAAACCAATGATGGAAAAAGAGGCTCCAAGGAGAGTAAATCCCAACTGAGACCAAAAAGCACATTAAACCTCCCTAGGCAGCAGGGGGTTGGCATCACAACAGGTCAAAGGGGAAGGGAGTAGGATAATAAAGATGGCAGCCTGGAAGATGACCATGGGTCCATTTAGAATCCTGGGTCTACCAATATCTAACAGTGTTTAAAAAAATAGTAAAAATAATAAATAACCAGAATGAAATTCAAGGACCTGTAGTTACAACAAGGCCAAAGAACAAGTGCATCTAAGTGATGGTAAGGAACAGTTCAGCAATGTAAATTGTATTCAAGAGGAGACACAAATTTCAGAATTGAGAGATTGAAGGGTCTCAAGGTCACTTCGTCAGGTAATTGAGAAGAAAAGAAAATCAAGGACAAGCTCTCCTGAGTCACCCACATGGTACCTACTGGTGCTGAGTTTAAAGAAACCCTATTGAGCTAAGGGTGAGGAAGTTAAAGGAGGATCATGAAGGAAGACCCCAAAGGTCTGTGGACTGGTGATAACGTGGGGGAAGACAGCATGAATGAATGCAGTAGACTACAAAGGAGACTGTCCAATAATGACAGTAGGAAATAACAACTAAGCAGGGCTACAGAGTAATGAGAAGCAGCCCTTCCCTTCAAGGAAATCCGGAGATATGAGACGAGCAGTCTTCACAAGAGGAAGATTCCAGAAAAGAGTCATGATTACCTGCAACCCAAGTCTCATTACAGCTCAATACCCGTGCCGTGCTCATTAACTGCCAAGTTAATTAGAATGGCAATAAGATGGATGAACTAGCTGTAAAAAAAAGAATTGAAGCAACTTTGTGATTAACATAGCTGACAGCTAGGGAACCCAAATGACAAAGTGGGGAGCTTGGAGAAGTAAGGAGCCAATGAGTGCTTCAGGAGGATTCACTAATGGTAAGTGCAGTATGGCTTTACGGCTGGGGCAACAATGGCCCAACAATGAAGGGTCACAGATGAAGGATGCATGAAACTGGCAGATGAGCAAGCAGCACAAAACTGGGAAACTGGGAATCAAAGGCTTTGTTTGGAGTCAGGCCCAGCTTTAGACCCTCCTTCCTTCACATGATAGCTGTAAGAGCTTCTCACCTCACATCTTTGCTCCTTTAACCCCTTGCCTATGAGCTTCATACTCCATATCAACCACATACTGCTGTTGCAAGGAGCAAATGAAATAAACACTTATAAAGGACACGGCTAAAACATCCTGAGTATACAAAAAAAACAACAAAAATAAACAGTTGTATTACTATTGGATGGGGAAGAGGCATTAAATAGCCTCAGATAAAGGCTGTGAAACTGCAAACAGCCTCAGGCAGTTTGTGAGTGAGGAAGAGTGGAAGATAAGAGCAATTATGGAACAGCAAGTGCCTTGATAAATGGGGCTTTTAAACCTTAAGGGTAAGTGTACTCAATTTGTAGCGGGAAGTTTGTTTTGATTAAAATACTTGCTCTGTTTACATAGAATGTTAATGTTTTGTCACTTTAAAATCCTGCATGTTTTTTAGTACAAGCCTCAGAGAGATAAAAGCAGGAACAACAACTCAGTGAGAGGCACTGGTCTGCCCATATAGAGACCTCCATTGTGGTCTTTCTGGGTCTGGCAAGGTAAAGGATTACATTTCATCTGTTTTATTTCTCTAACAGTGTCAAAGAAGTCATACTTGGTTCATACTAAGGAACAAAAGAGAAATTATTTTTAAAATTGTGTCTACTCTTTTGCTAAGTTGCTACAGAATGGTTAATTTGGTTCTATTTTTTTACTCATATACTTTGGGGGAAAAAAGTATCTTGGAAAAAAAAAAAAGATAGTCTTAGCACCTCTCGTCCTGAGGCATGCCAACATTCTCTCATTCCATGTTTAATTTGAAAGAAAATTAAAGAGATACCCATGGCAACTTGGCTGAACTTTACAACTGTGATAGCCAGGCAAGAAGCAAAGGAATGTAAAAGTTCTGCAGGCTGGTTCTGGCTGTCCGAGCAGGGATGAGGAAAGGAAAGAAGTCTCTGGGAGGCAAGAACAGTGAAATGAAAGAGTTACTTGTGCAAAACATTGTCTTAATGACCAGGAATTATTATCAAACTCAGCTTTAGAAATAAGTTTTTAAAAACCTCAGTTTTCTACTTTTAAAAAAAAAGTCAATACAAAAGCAATGTTTTTACTGGCTTATAAATAATAATAGTAATACTAATCACTTCTAGCACAATGCCTGATACCCAGTAGGGTCTTAATAGATTTTTTGTTCTATGAATCCAAGCTCCATGAAAAGCTTATTAGGTCCCAATGGTTATGCCACTATCCTACCTAAAGTGGGTTTACAGTCAAAATATCACTGATTCTGTTGTCTGAAAAAAAAAAAAGAAAAGCTAAGTGCATTTATTTAGGAAGTGATCAGGATGGGAAGAAGTCTTTTCTGGGGAGAGGTTTTGTGTTTTTTTGTAATTATTTTATGTTCAGGGGATACACACGCAGGTTTGTTATATGCATATATTGTATGATGCTGATGTTTGGGGTACAAATAATCCCATCACACAGGTAGTGAGCATAGTACCCAACAGGTAATTTTTCAATTACCCCCCTCTCTGTGCACTCTCAGAGTCCCATCTTCATTTCCATGTGTACCCAATATTCTCACTTTTAAGTAAGAACATGCAGTATTTGGTTTTCTGTCTCTGCATTAACTCGCATAGGATAACAGCCTAAAGCTGCGTCCATATTCCTGCAAAGGACATTATTTTATTCCTTTTTATGGCTGTGTAGTATTACCTGGTATATATGTACCATATTTTCTTTATTCAATTCACCATTGATGGGCATCTAGATTGATTCCATGTCTTTGCTATTGTGAGCAGTGCTGCAATGAACATACATGTGCATGTGTCTTTTTTGTAGTTATTTTTCTTTGGGTATATACGTGGTAATGATATTGTTGGGTCAAATGATAGTTCTGTTTTAAGCTATTTGAGAAATCTCCAAACTGCTTTCCACAGTGGCTAAACTAATTTACACTCCCATCAGTGTAGAAGCGTTCCCTACTAAATAAATGATGCTGGATAGCTGGTTAGCTATATGCAGAAGGATGAAACTGGACCCCCTACCTTTCACCGTATACAAAAGTTAACTCAAGATAGATTAAAGCTTTAAATGTAAGACCTTAAACTGTAAGAATCCTCGAAGAACCTAGGAAATACTGTTCTGGACATCAGCCTTGGCAAAGAATTTATGACTAAGGCCTCAAAAGCAATTGTAATAAAAACAAAAATTGACCAGTAGGACCTAATTAAACTAAACAGCCTCTGCAGAGAAAAAGACACTATCAACAGAGTAAACACACAGCCTACAGAATGGGAGAAAATACTCACAAACAACATATCTGACAAAGGCCTAATATCTAGAATCTATGAGGAACTTAAACAATTTAACAAGAAAAAACAAATAACTCCATTAAAAAATGGGCAAAGGATATGAACAGACACTTCTCAAAAGAAGACATAAGCGGCCAACATGAAAAAATGCTCCCTATCACTCATCATCAGAGAAATATAAATTAAAACCACAAAGAGATACCATCTCACATCAGTCAGAATGGCTATGACCCAAAAGTCAAAATTCCTGTATAGGTCAAGAAATAACATTAATGTTTTTATTAGACCATTTTTATTAAAATACATTAGTCCATGTATTAGACACTTGGGCTCAAAATTCAAACATTCGGAGAACATTAGTTCCTTTCTCTGTTTATTATATAATATGATACATTCAGGAGTATAAAGAAGTATGTTTCATTCACTATCCACAAATACTGAAACTCACAAATATTACAACATTTTTGTTGGGAGGGCAGATATGTCTGAGCCATATGTAGCTGCAACACAAGGTTAACTGAGTAATGTTCACCTTTTCTGGACATTAAAAGATAGCCATCTTGTCTGTATATGTTATACTGATACATACATCTGAAAAGACTTACATTAGTGTGTTGCAGGGGAAAACATGTGAACAATTTGCTAACTGTTTACTGCATTCAGCCTGCCACAGAGTCGACACTCCGGAATATATCTCCAACCACCTATATGGTTGGAATTAAACTGTGTAATATAAAACATAGCTACTTTTTAGGTCTTTTCCTTTTTACCTTGTCAACTTTATTCACTGAATTGGAGAATCTCTACATCTCAGGCATACATAAGTAAATATTCAATAAAACATGAGACACCTCTTAGAGAGCCAAAAAGCCAAGACAGGTATTGTTAAATGCTAAATGACCCAGTACTACTCCAGACAATGCAAATGATAGCTGCTGCTGCTTGAATAAGGCTTGCCCGCACACATTTCCGAGTATGGAAACCATTTGTTAATGAGCAGCTATAATTTAGGCCTACGGCTTTATGAAAAGAAAACGTTTATACATTTGCAGAACAGTGTAATAAGATTTCACAAATGCAAAGATAAAATGTGCTATCATTTATCTTGGCTTATAATATCTGGGGTTTGATTGCCTTGTGAAATGTCCAAATCAAGAACAATTATAGATTTTTCTCACACCACATACACCATGAAACATTTAACAAGTACTTCTTTTAGACTATTCAAAAGATTAGAAAGAAAATTATGTATTCAGTGGTAGACTAAACCATTAAGATGTGAATATGATATGATATAAAGGGGAAAAATAAAGAGAACTAAGACTAGCAAAGAAAATGGTCACTGACCATTTTCTTAAACCATTCGTTTAGGGAAAGAATAATCTTGTAACATATCAGGCTATGCAAACTTTTTTCTTGGCCTGAAATTGGGCACCTTGAAACAAAAGCATCATTTGCAAACAAACAAACAAAAAAAACTGCTCTATTAACTACACAGGCACACCCGTGGTTTGAAACAGTGCATGCTTCAAGTCTATAATTCAAGTCATATCAGGGTATGCAATTTTGCCAAGTTACACATGAAATAAACAAGAATTTAAATATTCACCCTATTAATTCCCCCTCCCAACACAATTGTTAAGGGCAATTCACAGTACAGGTTTTCTACAAATAAAATAAACCATTCAGTTGTGCAGGCAAAACACCTTTTACCCAGTCAGAAGATATAACTGAAAAAATAAATATATATAGTAATCATTCCCAAGGACAATAGTTGATTCCAAGTATCTGAAGTGGGAAAAAGTCAAGAAAGGTTAAAGAGAGAGAAAGGAGAAAATCATAAAAATGAGCCTAGAAGCTCCATGAGTCAGAAGCAGAAAGTAGCACGTAGAGGCATGAGTGGTAAGCAGGGCTGAGCTGCCAGAAAGCCATTTCCTTGCCAGTGGTCACTCCAAAGATGCAGGACGAGCAATTGGTAATATTTTTATCACCTTCCTGCTCTTCATTATAATACTTGTTATCAGTATTATCCAGGATATGAAGTATTATTAGTGAATGCAACATTTAATCATGTAACAGAAGACATTACTCAAAGCTTTCAATCCTGTTACACATATTTAAGCAATTCTTAATCCTTCATATGTCAGAGGCCATGCCTAGTATATGCAAGGAGACTCTGGGGATTTTGTGACTTCATGTCTTGAAAGAAGTGCTATCTTGTGATAATGATGAAGAATTGGCACACTTGACCATATATGCTCTTCAAAATACCTTAGGAAAATTATTTTTTAACAAAATTAAAGTTGTAGAAAGAGATGCTCAGGAAAATTCTTGAAAGGCTGCTGAGCAGTGCTTCTATTCATTCAATTGAAGTGGATGCCTTTTGGAAGCCTGTGGTCAGGCATGGTGGCTCATGCCTGTAATCCCAGCACTTTTGGAGGCCAAGGCAGGTGGACCATTTGAGGTCAGGAGTTCGAGACCACCCTGACCAACATAGTGAAACCCCGTCTCTATTAAAAATATCAAAAACATTAGCCAGACATGGTGGCACATACCTGTAGTCCCAGCTATTTGGGAGGCTGAGGCAGGAGAATTGCTTGAACCCGGGAGGCAGAGGTTGCAGTGAACCAAGATCATGCCACTGCACTCCAGCATGGGTGAGAGAGCAAGACTCCGGCTCAGGGAGAAAAAAAAAAAAAAGCAGCAGCAGCAGCCTGTGATCCTACTGTGTCTATAATATTCATTCGAGGTAATGGGGCAGGTTAAGAGATTGACACAAATAATTTTTCTCTATTCTTTAGAGAACAAATTATGTTAAATAATCCTGCAGAAGATAATTAACAGAACTTTTTGCCTTTATTATGTGCTAAGTACTATGCCGCGTGCTTCTTAGGTATTGCTATTGAATCCTCACAATTATCCTAAGGAGGTAGATACTACTCGCCTTCATTTAGCAGGTTGGAAAATTAAGGCCAAGAGAGGTTGAGCAACTTCCTAAAGACACACAGCTGTGACCTAGGATGCTATCCAATAAGCACCTTGCCTCTCATTATGTGTTTCACATCAGCTTGTAAGAAAGTCATGGGGGACTTTTAAGAAAGCCAACTCCAGAACACTGACAAGGGGGAGTGGAGCTAAGCTGTCAACCTCTACTGCCCTTTGCATCCCTCACTGAGTTGCACAATAGCATTATAGCTGCAACTAGATAGAACAAAGTCACAAAGTAATCTCGTGATTCTTACCCTCATGTATTAAAACCATAGCACTTCAGTAATGTTAAGAAAATTGATGTGTTTCTTAAAGTTCCAACACTTAAAATATTCATTTTCTGTGGGATTGGTGGCGATATCTCCTTTATCATTTTTTATTGTGTCTATTTGATTCTTCTCTCTTTTCTTTTTAGTCTTGTTAGCGGTCTATCAATTTTGTTGATCTTTTCAAAAAACCCGCTCCTGGATTCACTGATTTTTTGAAGGGTTTTTTGTGTCTCTATCTCCTTCAGTTCTGCTCTGATCTTAGTTATTTCTTGCCTTCTGCTAGCTTTTGAATGTGTTTGCTCTTGCTTCTCTAGTTCTTTTAATTGTGATGTTAGGGTGTCAATTTTAGATCTTTCCTGCTTTCTCTTGTGGGTATTTAGTGCTACAAATTTCCCTCTACTCACTGCTTTAAATGTGTCCCAGAGATTCTGGTACATTGTGTCTTTGTTCCCATTGGTTTCAAAGAACATCTTTATTTCTGCCTTCATTTCGTTGTTTAGCCAGTAGTCATTCAGGAGCAAGTTGTTCAGTTTCCGTGTAGTTGTGTGGTTTTGAGTGAATTTCTTAATCCTGAGTTCTAATTTGATTGCACTGTGGTCTGAGAGACAGTTTGTTGTGATTTCTGTTCTTTTACATTTGCTGAGAAGTACTTTACTTCTGAGGCCTGTCGGAGGGTGGGGAACTGGGGGACGGATAGCATTAGGAGAAATACCTAATGTAAATGATGAGTTGATGGGTGCAGCAAACCAACATGGCACACGTATACCTATGTATCAAACCTGCACGTTCTGCACATGTACCCTAGAACTTAAAGTATAATAAAAGAATAAAATAAATAAAATAACATCAGCCCAACCACACGATATATTCATTTTCATCTACCTGGAATCTTAGCTTTCCAAAATGACCCTTGTTTTTTGGCTGGGACTTTTTTTTCTTTTTTTAAAGAATACATGCATCTTTTTTAAAAAAAAATTACTTTAGATTCTGGGATACATGTGCAGAACATGCAGGTTTGTTACATAGGTCTACATGTGCCATGGTGGTTTGCTGCACCTATTAACCCATTATCTAGGTTTTAAGCCCCGCAGGCATTAGGTATTTGTCCTCATGCTCTCCCTCCCCTTGCCCCCACACTGACAGGCCCCAGTATGTGATGTTCCCCCCTTCCTGTGTCCATGTGTTCTCATTATTCAACTCCCACTTATGGGTGAGAACATGCGGTGTTTGGTTTTCTGTTCCTGTGTTAATTTGCTGAGAATGATGGTTTCCAGGTTCATCCATGTCCCTGCAAAGGACATGAACTCATTCTTTTTTATGGCTACATAGTATTCCATGGTGTATATGTGCCACATTTTCTTTATCCAGTCTGTCATTAATGGGCATGTGGTTTGGTTCCAAGTCTTTGCTATTGTAAACAGTGCTGCAATAAACATACAACTGCATGTGTCTTTACAGAATGATTTATAATCCTTTGGGCAAATGACACATTCTATAGAGTTACATATATCTTAGGCTTTACTGTACCTTTAAAATCCTAACATTTAGAAAGAACCCCCCAAAACTATTTCCATCCTGTTTCTTTTGTACCCTAAGCTTGGAATTATAAAACTTAAATTCTCTCTATTATGTATATAATTCCATAATCTCATGCAGGAGGGGTTGGGGGGAATCACAGATCACTCACTGTTGTACTTTTTCTACTATAATTAAGTCAACATTAGGAAACCTTCAGTATCCTTCAAACCACTTTTGTTTCTAAGATCTATTTGTTTTATACCTATTGCATTTTCAGATTTTCCACAGTCCTAGAAAAAGCCTCCCAGTGAAAGTAAGTTGCTGGAATATTGGTTTTCATAAGATTTTGGATTTGAGGTATGGATCGGTTAATTATAACAATGCTTAATTTTAGAAGAGTTTGTGCAAGAGTGAGATTTATGATTTTGAATAATCTCCTGTTTCTTTCATAGGATCATTCTAAATATCTATAGTTTACCTGTTAAAAATAAGTAATAAAGGTATGTATATATAGATTGATAAAGTAAATATGGAAATATATTAATTTTTTTATTCTAGACCATAAGTATGTAGATTTTTATTTTACTATTCTATGTTCCTGGTTATTTCCAGTTTAAAAAAAAGAAAACCTCACTTTTAATTTTGAAGTAACAAAAGGAGGCAAGGTGGCATTAATAAAATCCCATTTGGAATGAACAAAGCAAAGAAATAAGTTGCAAGCATGGATAACTGAAACAGTCTGCAGGGAAAACGGCTGCCACTATCTAGCAAATGTTGAACAGGACCTGAACTCTGGCTCCCTCTCACCACCCTCCACGTTGGTAGTGGGGAGGGTGAGGCAGGGAAAGAAGTGGCCGAATATGCTCTTCAAGATCAGAGAGAAAGACTACCTCCAACTCCAAGGACAAAAGAATCCTCTGGGTTGGGGGGAAATGTTGCTAAGCTACTTGTTCCTGGGTTCACTTTTTTTAATTGACTTGAACCTTCAGATTTCTTCCTAGGAGATTAATTACAGTGATGGCTACAGCAACATGCCACAAATGAGTCAAGAAGTGAAAAACCCTCTTATACCATAAAATCAAAACCATGTGTAAGGATGTATGCAAGAGCTGAAGAACACTGCAGGGCTTTAAGCAATGAGCAAAATCTTCTCTAGCCCCACTGTACCCTTTAACTTCAAAATTAATAAATTTGGTGAAGAAAGAGAAAAACTAATTGAAATTGTAAGGGAGGGAATAAAAGTAGTTGACTTTTTAAAAGCTCATCTAAATGTTAATATAGGATGCTTATTACTATAAAATAATCTAGAATGTGTGCCACTGGCAGTCACCAAGTTGAGACTGAACATGACAAAGGTAGCTGGAGGGGAGAGGAAGGGGTAGCAACCAAGACTCCAAATTTGGCATAGTGAAGGTTTGAGGTTTTGCAGTTCCACCAGCAGGGGGAAAAAACGGCTACAAAAAATGTTTTCTTTGGAACTGGCTGCTTTCTGCAGTGTCAGAAGATGTGTAGACTGGAAGTCAAATCATCTAAAAGAAATGTTAAGAACACTACCAATTACCTAAAGGCCTAAGCAATAAAAATAGCAATGCGTGAATGGTTTGAGAGCAGGGCAGAAGACTCAGGGTCTTATCAGAACTGGGATATAAGACATTGTGAAAGGACAAGTGGAGCATCTAAATGGTACTGAATACCATTCCAGTAAATAAACACAGACAGTGAATATTCAGAAACAGGAGAGGTAGTATAAATCCAATACTCAGATCCATTCCTTCAACATGAGGCCCAGAAATATTCCAAGACTATAGTCATGATGAGAGCTGACTCCCATCTGGGACTCCAGCTCAAGACTGGTCTCTGAAGTCTGCACTTTCAATTAAACTATCACCAAAGAACTCAAATCACATGCACAACCAGGGTTAAGTAAATTTGTTTCTTAAGGGGTTTGGCATGGGTTGGAGGGTGGTGGAGGCAGGGGCATTTCCATCCTAGTTCATTGGTAACTTGCACCAAACTGAGCAATGCACGTGTTATATTGGTTTGTATGTATATTTAAGTAGTGAAAATGCTATGATAATAACTATGAAAACATTTAGCTTTTTCAGCTGGTGGAGTATCTCTAAAATGACTCATTCTCCCAGTGAAACAAACCTACTTATATCAAGCTAGATCATACAGAAACTGGATCATATAGAAAGCCAGGAAATTAAATATATGCAGACTTAGAGATCTAGATTTGCATGTTTCTATGAACTGATTACTTTTTATAAGTATATTTTGTACCTTAGCTAGCAAAATTTGGCCTCTGTGTACACGCACATTTTCTATTCTTCACCAGAAGCAGCCAGTTTAAAAGTAAAAGCTCGTTCTTGTGAGAAACTCAAACTTACCTATGATTTTGACACAGACTTCCAACAGGGATGTATTCCCCAGAATCATGATCAATATATGCTTTATTAATACTTAATATATTGTTTATCAATGTTGATAAAATTGTACCTTTTCTCAAATTCCTATATATTTTAGAAGTATTACTTTAGTAATTCACTGGAATTAGAATGAATTTTAAAGTGTTTCAGGGAATCTTTCCAAAGCATGGAGAATTTATTAATAACCTGTTATGGGAAGCAAATATAAGCAAGAAAATGTCCACAGAGTAAGCAACTGGGAAATTCAACTAGCAGCAGCTAATGGTCACCGCACACTTGCCATGTTCCAAGGGCTCGGCACACACCATCCAATTAATTCTCACGACAAAATTATAAACTAGATAACTACTATTATTCCCATTTTAAAAGCAGGAAAACTGAGGTATAGAGATATGAAATAATCGGATCAACATTACACAACAATTAAGAGATGGAAGATTTTTAAATCAGTGTGAACATCTGGACCAAATGACTAATAGAAATATGAATTTTATTGGTAGAACGGCTCTTGGGATCATATAGTCCAAACTTTTATTTTAAATAGGCAGGAAACATGGTAAAAAGGTGCCTTTAAGTTATCTCTCTTACACATATATATATACAGTTTGTGGCAGAGCTAGTCAAGAGTTGTTAGTGCTAACCTAGGTAGGGTATTATTTTACCAGTGACTTCAGGATATGAGTAGGAATAAAGGTCTTGGATTTTACGTATTCTAGGTCTCAACTGGGGGACTGAGTGTATCTTGATCTGCTAGATAGTACAACCTCGGTTACCTGCTGCCACTCCACAATCTGTCCTCACATGGCTTGCAGGAGAGCTTCTTGGGGAAAAGGCACCCACAGTTAGCAGTGATGCACTCCATATTCCCATCCACCCAGAAACTTCATCAGCAGAAGTGTTCATCTCCTCTGGCCTGTCTTCCTCCATACCTAGAATCTCAAGGCTTCCAAGAAATTAAAAACAGATTCTCTTCTTAAAAGAGTTGGAAATCCTTCCTCTTGACCAAAAATCCTTCCCATCAACAGTTCAATGTCAAACAATGCCCTCTCCTTAGAGCCCACAGATATTCCTAGAAGGAATGCAACCAAGCCCCATCTAACGTTTCTATAACTAGGCAAGCAAAGCAATCTAGTGAATCTTGAAAAAGCCAATGATTTACACTATATAATAAAAGCAGACATTACTTCTCTGTTACATCAATTAAGACATTTTTAAAATAAGAGTTCAAATATACTGGACATAGTAAGAAATAAAGGGAAGAAATTTAATATTTTCTAGTTATAGGCATGTAACTATAAAAATGATTTGACATGACTTAATATGTGATTAAAATCCTATTAAAAGCCTAAAAAATCTACAAGTTATTACAATTCTATACTTTTGGTGTGAAATCACTGCCCTATGCCTTTGGAATATGTTTTCAAAACATTACTGGCTAAGAAACGTAAGAACCACTTTATATACAGTGAATACCATATACTTAAGAGTTAGCACCCCAGCCTGGGCAGCAGAGCGAGATCCTGTCTCTACCAAAGAAAATTTAAAATAAGCTAACTCAAGTCCCCATTTTCTTGAAATCCACAGTGCTCCTTCCCCTTTGAACCCCGAATGTATTTCCTATGTATATCATTATTTCAGCACTCTCTCGAGTTGTTTTTATGTTAGTATTTATATGATGCATTTGTTGAAAAAATTATTTATTGGATACCTGCAACAGACACTCTCCTGGGCACTGGTGATACAATGTAAACAAGGCTCTCACCCTTTTGGATCTTATGTTCAGAAACTCTGGTGGAGATAAGAGAGCCTGTACTGGTGAGGGCACACAGTGCTAGCTTCTTAGAGGGACAAACCTCAATGTCTCAGTGACTTGACACAAAACTTCCTTTCTTGCTCAAGCAGGGTCCAGTGGAGATTTGCAGCAGGAAGACTTTGACAAACTCATTTAGGTACCCAAGCTCTTTTCACTGGTGGCCCCATCATCCTACAGAGGCTCAGAGAAAGGGCTAGATCCCCTGCACCAAGGTGGCAGACACACAAAGAGTGAGAGACTCTTCTACAGGAGGTTTACTGGGGCCAGGCCTGGAAGTAGTAAATATATCACTTCCACCCACATTCCATGAGTCAAAACTCAGGCCCACAGCCACCCCTAACTCCACGAGGGGTTGGGAAACATAGTCTAGCGACAGCCCCAAGAGGCAAAAGAAAAGGATTTTGATAGACAGTGTTCTCTGCCACAGGAACAAAGAAAATTCTAGAGTGTTTAAGAAATAAGCAGTGGATACAACAGAGCAGAGCTAGATGTAGGGCACAATAAGTGAGGCGCCTAGCATGTAAAATGCAAGGAGGCACTGGTTCTCAGGCTGGCAAGCATACGCCTTCCATTTTGTGCCCTAAGGCCCCCTCTTGCCGCACCCTAGTCCTGGTCCTCATAGTTTACTACAGAAAACGGAAAAGGGCTGGGCAGGGTGGCTCATGCCTCTAATCCCAGCACTTTGGAAGCCTGGGGTGGGCAGATCGCTTGAGCTCAGGAGTTCAAGACAAGCCTGGGCAACAAAGCAAAACCCTGTCTCTAACAAAACAAAACAAAACAACGATTAGCCGGGTGTGGTGGTGCGTGCCTGTAGTCCCAGCTACTCAGGGGGCTGAGGTGGGAGGATCGCTTGAGCCCAGGAGGTCGAGGCTACAGTGAGCTGAGATCGCACCACTGCACTCCAGCCTGGGTGACAGAGCAAGACCTTGTATCAAAAGAAAAAGAAAAGAAAACAGAAAATAAAAATGTGCTGCTTTAGATACAGTTACTGTGAAAGGATCAAGCTAGTTGTGAAAAACACGAGTAAAGAGCTTTCTAGACAGAGTGAACAGCAAATGCAAAGGTAATGAGACAGGAGGAAGTCAAGAGTGTATGAGAGACAGAAAGAAGCCCAATAGGACTGAGATAATGAAAGGAGAGTTGGAGGAGGCAGAGGCAGACAGGTCACAGAGAGGCTTCCAGGCTAGGCGAGGAGTTTGTTTTATTTGAGGTGTAATAGAAATCCACTGAAGCATTTAAATGGGGGGGAGAATTGCTGATTTTCATTTTATAAGCAATTCTTGGCTGTCCTAAGGAGAATGGATCACAGAAAGATCAGTGGGAAGGCCATGGACAGGTTCGGAAGATGGTGACATCCTGGCCTACAAAATGGCAGCCGACTTAGAAGAAAAGGAGTTCAAAACATACTGAAAAGAGGGTGTAAAAATAATGGGTGTTGAGGAGAAAACAAGGACTATTTAAGCAACTAAGTAGATATTAATGTTATTTGGAGCCAGGAAATGTGGGAAAGAATGCATTGTTTCCCTATTTAAATACTAAATTTCTTGGGGATAAGGGAGATGTTTATTTTTATCCACAACAGGAACAGGCCAACAAGACGTTAAAAAAAAAATTATCAATGGCTCAAGGCAATATGCCCAACATCTCCCACCTACAGAATTATAATTAGTACAATATCCTGGAGAACAACTGGCAGTGAGATTGACAGCTTCACATTTCCATCTCGTGGTTAAGAGCATGGCTGGGTCAGAATGCCTAGATAGAATTCTAGTTCCATCACTTATTAGCTCTGAACTTAGACAAACCATTCACCCTCTGGTCCCTCAGATTCATCTTTAAGATGGAGAGAAAAATAGGTCTACCTCACAAGGTCATTTGAGGATTAAATAATATGTAACCTTAAAAACTATGCTTGCCTGCAGAGATTATGTATTATAGGGGAATTGGTTTTTTCTTGACTACAGTCTCACCACTGAAACATGAAATTTGTATTATTGGACATTTATAATCAAATGAGATCCTGCAGCAGAGAAGTTACCTTAGGCTATGCCCGGAGTCTTATGCTCCACAGATGCTGTAAGCTAATAAGTATGTGTGTTCTTTAAAAAGGCAACAACAACAACAACAAAACCTACGCTTGGGCCCAATCTTGTAAGCATAGTGACTCACACCTGTAATCCCAGCACTTTGGGAGGCCAAAGCAGGCAGATCGCTTGAGCTCAGGAGTTTGACACCAGCCTGGGCAACATGGCAAAACCCCATCTCTATAAAAATATACAAAAAAAAATAGGCAGGCCTGGTGGTACACATCTGTGGTCCCGGCTACTTGGGAGGCTGAGGTGAGAGGATCACTTGAGCCCAAGAGGTCAAGGCTGCAGTGAACCAAGATGGCACCACTGCACTCCAGCCTGGGTGACACAGAGCCAGACCCGTCTCAAAAAAAAAAAAAAAAAAAAGAAAAGAAAAGAAAAAGAAAAAAGAAAACCAACACTATGCCTGGCACATAGTAAATGCTCAATAAGTGATTATAGTGTATTAACTGGTATTTCTAGTTCCATAAATGATTCCTAAGATAAAAAAGATGTGGGCCAGGCATGGTGGCTCAAGCCTGTAATCCTAGCACTTTGGGAGGCCAAGGGGGGTGGATCACTTGAGGTCAGGAG
This sequence comes from Homo sapiens, assembly GCF_000001405.40. Classification (NCBI taxonomy): domain Eukaryota; kingdom Metazoa; phylum Chordata; class Mammalia; order Primates; family Hominidae; genus Homo; species Homo sapiens. The sequence continues at coordinate 108,056,851 of NC_000008.11, forward strand.
TTTGAGACCAACCTGGCCAACATGGTGAAACCCCATCTCTACCAAAAAATACAAAAATTAGCCGGGCATGGTGGCACATGCCCGTAATCCCAGCTACTCAGGAGGCTGAGGCAGGAGAATCTCTTGAACCTGGGAGGTGGAGGTTTCAGTGAGTCGAGATCACACCACTGCACTCCAGCCTGGCAACAGAGTGAGACTCTGTCTCAAAAAAAAAAAAAAAAAAAAAAAAAAAAAAAAAAAAAGACGTATAAAATATAAGGTTATTGATAGCATATTAATAATCTTGAAAACTTTTTAATACTGAAATGGTTAACTGCCCAACAATAAGGAAACTGATTTTAAAATTTGATGTTGAACAATTATGATGCAGACATTCTAAATGTCATCAAAATCAGTAAGAATATATACTTATGACACAGGCACTTTCAAAACTTTATATTTATGTAGAAGGGAAAAACATCTGGAAGGATAAAATGCAAAATGTTAACAGCAGCCACTGAGTAGAAAGGTTATTGGTAGTTGTATTTTCTTCATAGTGTTGTTCTCTATTTTTCAAATTGCCAACAATGAATAGATTTTGGGCTTATATTCATTTTTAAAGAACTACAGTAAGTGGCTATAAAAAAAATCAACTATTTATACAAGGACAGTGTAAAGTCTTTACTACCTGCTTCCAAGACAAACACCTAAATGTCTCAACTATGCAGGGGGTTATTACCAAAATAACATTCAAAATTCAAATTTTAAAAAGCAGGAGGCATATAAATGACATCAATGGCTGACCCCAAATAGTGGATACAGATCATTTATTTTCTTACTTAAAAACACTAAACAGGTAGAAGAGAAAAAAAATCCCAAGAATCTTTTCATTTGTAAAAGCTATGTGTATTCCTAGTTCTATTCCCTGACTTGCAATATAACCAGTTTCTTCAGTTTGCAATACTGTTTGTTCTTTTAAGAGTACTACATTGATTTTGTATCCTGAGTTTTGCTGAAGTTGCTTATCAGCTTAAGGAGATTTTGGACTGAGACAATGGGGTTTTCTAGATATACAATCATGTCATCTGCAAACAGGGACAATTTGACTTCCTCTTTTCCTAATTGAAAACCCTTTATTTCCTTCTCCTGCCTAATTGCCCTGGCCAGAACTTCCAACACTATGTTGAATAGGAGTGGTGAGAGAGGGCATCCCTGTCTTGTGCCAGTTTTCAAAGGGAATGCTTCCAGTTTTTGCCCATTCAGTATGATATTGGCTGTGGGTGTGTCATAGATAGCTCTTATTGAGATACATCCCATCAATACCTAATATATTGAGAGCTTTTAGCAAAAATCACAAGCATTCTTATACACCAATAACAGACAAACAGAGCCAAATCATGAGTGAACTCCCATTCACAATTGCTTCAAAGAAAATAAAATACCTAGGAATCCAATTTACAAGGGACATGAAGGACCTCTTCAAGGAGAACTACAAACCACTGCTCAATGAAATAAAAGAGGATACAAACAAATGGAAGAACATTCCATACTCATGGGTAGGAAGAATCAATATCATGAAAATGGCCATACTGCCCAAGGTAATTTATAGATTCAATGCTATCCCATCAAGCTACCAATGACTTTCTTCACAGAATTGGAAAAAACTACTTTAAAGTTCATATGGAACCAAAAAAGAGCCTGCATCGCCAAGTCAATCCTAAGCCAAAAGAACAAAGCTGGAGGCATCACACTACCTGACTTCAAACCATACTACAAGGCTACAGTAACCAAAACAGCATGGTACTGGTACCAAAACAGAGATATAGATCAATGGAACAGAACAGAGCCCTCAGAAATAATGCCACATATTTACAACTATCTGATCTTTCACAAACCTGAGAAAAACAAGCAATGGGGAAAGGATTCCCTATTTAATAAATGGTGCTGGGAAAACTGGCTAGCTATATGTAGAAAGCTGAAACCGGATCCCTTCGTTACACCTTATATAAAAATTAATTCAAGATGGATTAAGTACTTAAACATTAGACCTAAAACCATAAAAACCCTAGAAGAAAACCTAGGCATTACCATTCAGGACATAGGCATGGGCAAGGACTTCATGTCTAAAACACCAAAAGCAATGGCAACAAAAGACAAAATTGACAAATGGGATCTAATTAAACTCAAGAGCTTCTGCACAGCAAAAGAAATTACCATCAGAGTGAAACAGGCAACCTACAAAATGGGAGAAAATTTTTGCAACCTACTCATCTGACAAAGGGCTAATATCCAGAATCTACAATGAACTCAAACAAATTTACAAGAAAAAAATAAACAACCCCATCAAAAAGTGGGCGAAGGACATGAACAGACACTTCTCAAAAGAAGACATTTATGCAGCCAAAAAAAAACATGAAAAAAATGCTCACCATCACTGGCCATCAGAGAAATGCAAATCAAAACCACAATGAGATACCATCTCATACCATTTAGAATGGCAATCATTAAAAAGTCAGGAAACAACAGGTGCTGGAGAGGATGTGGAGAAATAGGGACAATTTTACACTGTTGGTGGGACTGTAAACTAGTTCAACCATTGTGGAAGTCAGTGTGGCGATTCCTCAGGGATCTAGAACTAGAAATACCATTTGACCCAGCCATCCCATTACTGGGTATATACGCAAAGGACTATAAATCACGCTGCTATAAAGACACATGCACACGTATGTTTATTGCGGCACTATTCACAATAGCAAAGACTTGGAACCAACCCAAATGTCCAACAATGATAGACTGGATTAAGAAAATGTGGCACATATACACCATGGAATACTATGCAGCCATAAAAAAAGATGAGTTCATGTCCTTTGTAGGGACATGGATGAAACTGGAAATCATCATTCTCAGTAAACTATCACAAGAACAAAAAACCAAACACCACACATTCTCATTCATAGGTGGGAATTGAACAATGAGAACACATGGACACAGGAAGGGGAACATCACACTCTGGGGACTGTTGTGGGGTGGGGGGAGGGGGGAGGGATAGCTTTAGGAGATATACCTAATGCTAAATGACAAGTTAATGGGTGCAGCACACCAGCATGGCACATGTATACATATGTAACAAACCTGCACATTGTGCACATGTACCCTAAAACTTAAAGTATAATACTAATAAAATAAAATTAAAAAAAAAGAGTACTACAATACCAGGGGGTGGTTCCAAGATGGCCAAATAGGAACAGCTCCAGTCTACAGCTCCCAGCATGGTCGGAGCAGAAGATGGGTGATTTCTGCATTTCCAACTGAGGAACACAGCTCCTCGCCAGCAATGGAACAAAGCTGGATGGAGAATGACTTTGACTAGTTGAGAGAAGAAGGCTTCAGACGATCAAACTTCTCCAAGCTAAAGGAGGAAGTTCGAACCCATCACAAAGAAGCTAAAAACCTTGAAAAAAGATTAGACGAATGGAAAACTAGAATAATCAACATAGAGAAGTCCTTAAATGACCTGATGGAGCTGAAAAACATGTCAGGAGAACTACATGATGAATGCAAAAGCTTCAGTAGCCAATTCGATCAACTGGAAAAAGGGTATCAGTGATTGAAGATGAAATGAATGAAATGAAGCGAGAAGAGAAGTTTAGAGAAAAAAAGAGTGAAAAGAAACAAACAAAGCCTCCAAGAAATATGGGACTATGTGAAAAGACCAAATCTACGTCCGATTGGTGTACCTGAAAGTGATGGGGAGAATGGAACCAAGTTGGAAAACACTCTGCAGGATATTATCCAGGAGAACTTCCCCAATCTAGCAAGGCAGGCCAACATTCAAATTCAGGAAATACAGAGAACGCCACAAAGATACCCCTCGAGGAGAGCAACTCCAAGACACGTAATTGTCAGATTCACCAAAGTTGAAATGAAGGAAAAAATGTTAAGGGCAGCCAGAGAGAAAGGTCGGGTTACCCTCAAAGGGAAGCCCATCAGACTAACAGCAGATCTCTCAAAAGAACCTCTACAAGCCAGAAGACAGTGGGGGCCAATATTCAACATTCTTAAAGAAAAGAATTTTCAACCCAGAATTTCATATCCAGCCAAACTAAGCTTCATAAGTGAAGGAGAAATAAAATCCTTTACAGACAAGCAAATGCTGAGAGATTCTGTCACCACCAGGCCTGCCCTAAAAGAGCTCCTGAAGGAAGCACTAAACATGGAAAGGAATAACCAGTACCAGCCACTGCAAAAGGATGCCAAATTGTAAAGACCATTGAGGCTAGGAAGAAACTGCATCAACTAACAAGCAAAATAACCAGCTAACATCATAATGACAGGATCAAATTCACACATAACAATATTAACCTTAAATGTAAATGGGCTATATGCTCCAATTAAAAGACACAGACTGGCAAACTGGATAAAGAGTCAAGACCCATCAGTGTCCTGTATTCAGGAGACCCATCTCATGTGCAGAGACACACATGGGCTCAAAATAAAGGGATGGAGGAAGATCTACCAAGCAAATGGAAAACAAAAAAAGGAAGGGGTTGCAATCCTAGTCTCTGATAAAACAGACTTTAAACCAACAAAGATCAAAAGAGACAAAGAAGGCCATTACATCATGGTAAAGGGATCAATTCAACAAGAAGAGCTAACTATCCTAAATATATATGCACCCAATACGGGAGCACCCAGATTCATAAAGCAAATCCTTAGAGACCTACAAAGAGACTTAGACTCCCACACAATAATAATGGGAGACTTTAACACCCCACTGTCAACATTAGACAGATCAACGAGACAGAAAGTTAACAAGGATATCCAGGAATTGAACTCAGCTCTGCACCAAGCGGACCTAACAGACATCTACAGAACTCGCCACCCCAAATCAACAGAATATACATTCTTCTCAGCACCATATCACACATATTCCAAAATTGACCACATAGTTGCAGGTAAAGCACTCCTCAGCAAATGTAAAAGAACAGAAATTATAACAAACTGTCTCTCAGACCACAGTGCAATCAAACTACAACTCAGGATTAAGAAACTCACTCAAAACCGCTCAACTACATGGAAACTCAACAACCTGCTCCTGAATGACTACTGGGTACATAACGAAATGAAGGCAGAAATAAAGATGTTCTTTGAAACCAATGAGAACAAAGACACAACATACCAGAATCTCTGGGACACATTTAAAGCAGTGTGTAGAGGGAAACTTATAGCACTAAATGCCCACAAGAGAAAGCAGGAAAGATCTAAAATTGACACCCTAACATCACAATTAAAAGAACTAGAGAAGCAGAAGCAAACACATTCAAAAGCTAGCAGAAGGCAAGAAATAACTAAGATCAGAGCAGAACTGAAGGAGATAGAGACATAAAAAACCCTTCAAAAAAATCAATGAATCCAGGAACTGGTTTTTTGAAAAGATCAACAAAATTGATAGCCTGCTAGCAAGACTAACAAAGAAGAAAAGAGAGAAGAATCAAATAGATGCAATAAAATATGACAAAGGGGATATCACCACCGATCCCACAGAAATACAGACTACCATCAGAGAATACTATAAACACCTCTACACAAATAAACTAGGAAATCTAGAAGAAATGGATAAACTCCTGGACACATACACCCTCCCAAGACTAAACCAGGAAGAAGTTAAATCCCTGAATAGACCAATAACAGGCTCTGAAATTGAGGCAATAATAGCCTACCAACCAAAAAAAGTCCAGGACCAGTTGGATTCACAGCCGAATTCTACCAGAGGTACAAGGAGGAGTTGGTACCATTCCTTCTGAAACTATTCCAATCAACAGAAAAAGACGGAATCCTCCCTAACTCATTTTATGAGGCCAGAATCATCCTGATATCAAAGTCTGGCAGAGACACAATGGAAAAAGAATTTTAGACCAATATCCCTAATGAACATTGATGCAAAAATCCTCAATAAAATACTGGCAAACTGAATCCAGCAGCACATCAAAAAGCTTATCCACCATGATCAAGTGGGCTTCATCCCTGGAATGCAAAGCTGGTTCAACATACGCAAATCAATAAATGTAATCCAGCATATAAACAGACCCAAAGACAAAAACCACATCATTATCTCAATAGATGCAGAAAAGGACTTTGACAAAATTCAACTGCCCTTCATGCTAAAAACTCTCAATAAATTAGGTATTGATAGGAAGTATCTCAAAATAATAAGAGCTATTTATGACAAACCCACAGCCAATATCATACTGAATGGGCAAAAACTGGAAGCATTCCCTTTGAAAACTGGCACAAGACAGGGATGCCCTCTCTCACCACTCCTATTCAAAATAGTGTTGGAAGTTCTGGCCAGGGCAATCAGGCAGGAGAAGGAAATAAAGGGCATTCAACTAGGAAAAGAGGAAGTCAATTGTCCCCGTTTGAAGATGACATGATTGTATATCTAGAAAACGCCATCTTCTCAGCCCAAAATCTCCTGAAGCTGATAGGCAACTTCAGCAAAGTCTCAGGATATAAAATCAACCGGCAAAAATCACAAGCATTCTTATACACCAATAACAGACAAAAAGAGAGCCAAATCATGAGTGAACTCCCATTCACAATTGCTTCAAAGAGAATAAAATGCCTAGGAATCCAACTTACAAGGGACATGAAGGACCTCTTCAAGGAGAACTACAAACCACTGCTCAATGAAATAAAAGAGGACACAAACAAATGGAAGAATATTCCATGCTCATGGACAGGAAGAATCAATATCATGAAAATGGCCATACTGCCCAAGGTAATTTATAGATTCAATGCCATCCCATCAAGCTACCAATGACTTTCTTCACAGAATTGGAAAAACTACTTTAAAGTTCATATGGAACCAAAAAGAGCCCGCATTGCCAAGTCAATCCTAAGCCAAAAGAACAAAGCTGGAGGCATCACGCTACCTGACTTCAAACTATACTACAAGGCTACAGTAACCAAAACAGCATGGTACTGGTATCAAAACAGAGATATAGACCAATGGAACAGAACAGAGCCCTCAGAAATAATGCCACACATCTGCAACCATCTGATCTTTGATAAACCTGAGAAAAACAAGCAATGGGGAAAGGATTCCCTATTTAATAAATGGTGCTGGGAAAACTGGCTAGCCATATGTAGAAAGCTGAAGCTGGATCCCTTCCTTACCCCTTATACAAAAATTAATTCAAGATGGATTAAAGACTTAAACGTTAGACCTAAAACCATAAAAACCCTAGAAGAAAACCTAGGCAATACCATTCAGGACATAGGCATGGGCAAGGACTTCATGTCTAAAACACCAAAACCAATGGCAACAAAAGCCAAAATTGACAAATCGGATCTAATTAAACTAAAGAGCTTCTGCACAGCAAAAGAAACTACCATCAGAGTGAAACAGGCAACCTACAGAATGGGAGAAAATTTTTGCAATCTACTCCTCTGACAAAGGGCTAATATCCAGAATCTACAAAAAAAACAAATTTACAAGAAAAAAACAACCCCATCCAAAAGTGGGCAAAGGATATGAACAGATACTTCTCAAAAGAAGACATTTTTGTAGCCAACAGGCACATGAAAAAATGGTCATCATCACTGGCCATCAGAGAAATGCAAATCAAAACCACAATGAGATACCATCTCACACCATTTAGAATGGCAATCATTAAAAAGTCAGGAAACAACAGGTGCTGGAGAGGATGTGGAGAAATAGGAACACTTATACACTGTTGGTGGGACTGTAAACTAGTTCAACCATTGTGGAAGTCAGTGTGGTGATTCCTCAAGGATCTAGAACTAGAAATACCATTTGACCCAGCCATCTCATTACTGGGTATATACCCAAAGGATTATAAATCATGCTGCTATAAAGACACATGCACACGTATGTTTATTGGGGCACTATTCACAATAGCAAATACTTGGAACCAACCCAAATGTCCAACAATGATAGACTGGATTAAGAAAATGTGGCACATATACACCATGGAATACTATGCAGCCATAAACAAGGATGAGTACATGTCCTTTGTAGGGACATGGATGAAGCTGGAAACCATCATTCTCAACAAACTATCACAGGGACAAAGCCGAACACCCCATGTTCTCACTCATAGTTGGGAACTGAACAATTAGAACACTTGGACACAGGATGGGGAACATCACACACCGGGGCCTGTTGTGGGGTGGGGAGAAGGGGGAGGGATAGCATTAGGATATATACCTAATGTAAATGATGAGTTAATGGGTGCAGCACACCAACATGGCCTATGTATACATATGTAACGAACCTGCGCATTGTGCACATGTACCCTAGAATTTAAAGTATAAGTTAAAAAAAAAAGAGTACTACAACACCTAGATGACGTGTTAATAGGTGCAGCAAACCACGTGGCACATGTATACCTATGTAACAAACCTGTACATTCTGCACATGTATCTCAGAAATTGAAAAAAAAAAAAAAAAAGAAGAGTACTACGAAGGCACTTTACTAGTAAGAAAAGCACACACCTCCAGTGTTGTCTTACTCCAGCAAGAGTTTTACGAGCCACGTATTAAATATTGTATATTCATAATACTTATGGCCAAAATGTATAATGAGCCCTTTAATCCTCTCAATAGGCATTCGTGTGAATTAAATTTTTGACTTCACTGGATAGTAAAACTGTTAAATGTACATATTATGGGTATCTTTCAACAGGTCATACAAAAACTATGCCAATAGTAATGATTCAAAGCAATGAGCTAAGTTTTTAAATGAATAAAGGAAAGGTTTCTGTAATTAGAAAGAGCCAGCTGCACCTAATAAGCAGAAGGAATAAAAAAAAAAAAAAAAAACTTTACTGTCCCCTGCCCACAGAAGACATGTAATCTCTAGGCCCCTTCTTTATATGTTAAGTTAAAGACTGCACAGCAGGCTGGGCGTGGTAGCTCACGTCTGTAATCCCAGCACTTTGGGAGGCCAAGGTGGGCGGATCACCTGAGATCAGTAGTTCCAGACCAGCCTGGCCAACATGGTGAAACCCCATCTCTACTAAAAATACAAAAATTAGCTGGGCATGGTGGTGGGTGCCTGTAATCCCAGCTTCTTGGGAGGCTGAGGCAGGAGAATCACTTGAACCCAGGAGGCAGAGGTTACAGTGAGCAGAGATCGTGCCATTGCACTTCAGCCTGGGCTACAAAGAGCAAAACTCCATCTCAAAAAAAAGAAAAAAAGAAAAAGAAAAAGAAAAGACAAGAGTGCACAGAAACAGACAAGCCTGATGGGTTACAAGGGCCAAATCTAAGTGGCTAGCTGCCATTCAAGACAAGCTTTGAGAAAACTTAATCCTTCTCAGGTGACATTACTTGTATTCTACAACATCCAGTTGATCTCCTCAAATATTTTCCTTCCTCTCCTCTCTAAGCCTTCCAGAGAGTGTTTAAAGTAGCAGAAAGTACTGTTTTTCCATCCAATGAGCCTCAGATTACACCATACTGAAGCTACTGTATGTTCAACTCAGTAGCTTCTCTGAAAGCTATTAACAGAAAACATTATCAGAAGATGTCTAATTGAATTCAGGTTTCCAGAAGGTTTGCATTTCATTCCTGTTAGCAAAAACCAACAAGTCTTTTTTTTTTAATGTCATTTTACTACTGCTGTTGCAGTAAGCAGAAACTGTTGGAAGACTTCTCCTCCATCTGACAAGGAATGGCTTGACACAAATCAAAGCACTTTATTCACTTACATGAAGCTCACCCACTGTCCCAGCTAAACACGTATCAACTCTCTTTTCTAAGAACCTGCAATTAAAATGGAAGAAAATAAGCTTATCATCTGCTTTACCTGGAAGAATTGTGTTTCATAGTACAAAAATATCTATAGCTGAAAAAGGAACAGTTTTTAATAGAAAATTTTCAGCTAATAAATGTGGTAAGAATTAGAAAAAAAAATCACTATTTTGCAACCCCTAATGAAACTGTTAATTCAGACAAATATTAAAATGGAGGGTGATTGGGCTGGTACCACATGAACCCACTGGTTAATCTCAGCATGACTAAGAATGGCACAACGAGACATTGTGTGCCTCCTGGTGTGATGTAATATGAAGCACTCAGTATCACCTACACAGTGTTCCAGCCAAAAAAGTTGAACCTGAATCTAATCCAACCTTCAAGGAGAACTTCTAGTTCACAGAAATTGTGGAAGATTGAGGAACAAGTTAAACAACCCCAAGAGGAGAACACATGGAAAGATGTGAGATATTCTGCAGAAAATTGACTTTTCTTTTTCAATAAGTCAATGGCATTGAAAACTGAGTGGGAAGGAAGTAATACCCTAGAATCAAAGAAACTTTAGGTACATACCCACCAAGTGCAATGAGTGGGTGTTATTTCAATGCTGATTCAAGCATAGCCACTGTATAAAGACATTTTTGAGGCAATTGGGGAAATCCATTACATACCGATTATTAAGAGGTGCTATCAAGAAATAACGAATTTTGTCAGGTAGATTAATGACATTGAATTTTGGAAAGAAAATCTCTATTTGTAAGAAATACACTCAGAAATATGTAGGGTGAAATGATGTAATATCTGCGATTTTCTTTACAACATTTCAGCCAATACAAAGTAAAACAGAAAATAAAGAATAAATAAAGTCAGTGTGGCAAAATGTCAATATTTGTTCAGCCTGGGTGAGGCATATGTAGGGATTCATCACATTACTTTTTTATGTTTCAAAAATTTCACAATAGCTTTAAAAGAATGTTCTTACTAGCCCTTTATATGCAACACACAAGCATGAATAGATCAAGCCCCTTGGCAGTGCCAGCATTTGACACTATTCAAAATCAGAGAAGACTAGTTTAAGACACTCTACCACCAGAAGCCATGTATAGTAGGCAATATTGAGATTTCACTAATGCTCCATAAAGAGCACTAGCAGCTCTTAGAGGACAGCTAACTTCTTCAATAAAAACAGCTAAGGCCAGGCACGGTGGCTCACACCTGTAATCCCAGCATTTTGGGAGGCCGAGGCAGGCAGATCACAAAGGTCAGGAGTTTGAGACCAGCCCTGTCTCTACTAAAAATACAAAAATTAGCCAGGTGTGGTGGCACATACCTGTAGTCCCAGCTACTCAGGAGGCTGAGGCGGGAGAATCACTTGAACCTGGGAGGCAGAGGTTGCAGTGAGCTGAGACCACGCCATTGCACTGCAGCCTGGGTGACAGAGTGAGACTCCGTCTCAAAAACAAACAAAAAAAAAACAGCTAAACTGAATGTTCAGCTTCAGCTGATAGAGATGAACAGCAAGAAGCCAAGTTGATGTACAGATTTGTTTGAAAAAGTAATAAAGATGTTGTAATAAGTAATAAAGAGGTGACTCTGAGTTTGTGTAGTTTCACACAACTTTAGAGGAAGAAAGGAACTTGAGGTTACATACTCCAAACACCGTACACTTATAAACCATGTCTAAAGCATTCCCACCCTCAGGGCCATGGTATGCACAAGTCCAGGGGGTGCCATTAATATTCTTGCTTTATGTCCAATATACACTCTGTAGCTATATGCAGTGATCCTACCTCTACTAAGTATTCCACTTCTATAACCACTACTTGTTATACTAATAATATTATGGTATAATTAACAATATTCCACAGGGTTGTTATGAAAATAAGGATTTAAAAGACTACCGGGTATGATGCAAAGGGTATTTGTTATGGGTTGCATTGTGTACTCAAAGAAGATATGTTGAAGTCCTAATTCTCAGTGCCTGTGAATGTGGCCTTATTTGCAAATAGGGTTTTTGCAGATGTAATCAAGTTAACATTAGGTTATTAAGGTGAGCCCTAATCTAATAGAACTGGTTTTCTGACAAAAGAAATAAACCCAGAGGTAAGACAGCCATGTGAACATAGAAGCAGAGATTGGAATTCTACTGTTACAAGTCAAGGAACACCTGAGGCTACCAGAGGCTGGAAGAAACAAGGAAGTCTCCTCCCCTAGAGTCTCAGAGAGAGCATGAACCTCCTTGCATCTTGATTTTGGACTTTTAGCCTCCAGATGGTGAGAAAAGATATTTCTGCTGTTTCACACCATCCAGTTTGTAGTACTTTGTCACAGCAGTCCTAGGAAATTAATACTGTATAATAATGTGTGCTGCCAATGCATTTCTTAAAGTAATGACTCTAGAAAAGAATATAAGATAGGCTAAGAGCCTTCATCTGGTTTATTCTTGAATCTAGGTAAATATTTCTCTTAATGCAACCAATTCTTTTTGCAATTACATTACATTATAACCTCAGAGTAAGTCAAAAATCAATGAGAAAACCTTGTGTCCGACATCCTATTCTTCCATTGTTGGTGCATGTATGTGTGAACACACACACACACACACACACACACACACACTCACAGAGTCTCGCTCTGTTGCCCAGGCTGGAGTGCAGTGGCACAATCTCAGCTTGCTTCATCCTCCGCCTCCCGGGTTCAAGTGATTCTCCTGCCTCAGCCTCCCGAGTAGCTAGGACTACAGGCATGCACCACCCCACCCAGCTAATTTTTGTATTTTTAGCAGAGACAGGGTTTCACCATGTTGGCCAGGATGGTCGCAATCTCTTGACTTTGTGATCTGCCCGCCTCGGCCTCCCACAGTGCTGGGATTACAGGTGTGAGCCACTACGCCCGGCAAGTTCTTTCATTTTAAAGAGTAAACTCTACATGTTTCTGATTAAGATTTCATTTGTAAATTCATCCTGTCATTCCTAGCCATTGAGATCTTTTTGTAACCAGTCATCCCACATCCTAAATGTCCTGTTCAACTTCATATTATGCAAAAGTGTGGTTAGCCTACCACCTGTCTTCAATGAAATCATTAAGAAAATATTGTTTCAGACAAGGCTGAAGACAGGTTCCTTCTGTATACCCAGGATTCCCACAGAGTAGACATCAATCCATTACTCACCACTCTCTACCAAATGTAACTCACGAAAGTAACTTAAGATGATATACTTGCATTTCTCTACCTTGTCTGAACGGGTTTTTAAGCCTATTATGCCCTCATAGGTGTGCCAGATAGTATTAATAAAATTTTGTCTAATACTTGTCTTCCAGTCTAGCAACCCATTAAAGAAAGCAAAATATCTGTATGGTATAACCCATGCTGATTATAGTCATATTGAAATCTCAAAGTTTCTTATAATGAAACATCCTACAAATTAGCATCATGGTCATGTAAGAATTGAGGTATACACCTTCTTTTAGAAATTCATATTGAATGTCAATATCTAGCATATTACTGAAGTTTACAACAATGATGCAGAAGCATATGGTGCGGAATCTCAAGAAGCAATTTTAGCTGAGAGTCGTGGCACATGCCTGTCATCTCAGCTACTCAGGAAGCTAAGGTGGGAGGATCGCTTGAGCCCAGCCTGGGCAACACAGCAAGACCCCATCTCTTTTTTTTTTTTTTTTTTTTTTTTTGAGACAGAGTCTCGCTCTGTCGCCCAGGCCGGACTGCGGACTGCAGTGGTGCAATCTCGGCTCACTGCAAGCTCCGCTTCCCGGGTTCACGCCATTCTCCTGCCTCAGCCTCCCGAGTAGCTGGGACTACAGGTGCCCGCCACCGCGCCCGGCTAATTTTTTGTATTTTTAGTAGAGACGGGGTTTCACCTTGTTAGCCAGGATGGTCTCGATCTCCTGACCTCATGATCCACCCGCCTCGGCCTCCCAAAGAAGACCCCATCTCTTAAAGTAGTTTTGTTTAGTGTCCTCTCTTCAGGAAGGCAAGAGTCTTGTATTTTGAGTTCAAGCAGCTGTCAACAAGACTTTATATTTAACTACCTATTAGATACCACATGCATTACAGATGGCTGTGGGGTGGCTCTTACAGTGTGAAAGGTCCTTAGAGTTCACTCTTGAGAGTGTTGTCAAGTCACCAGCTTTAAAACACTCTCACGAGATGCTCTCTGCTGTTGGAAAGAGGCAGCTTCCAAAGTCAAAATTCCAAAGAAGGGTCTCTTCCATTAGTGGATAATTTTCTAAATATAAACTTTAATCTTCCTCTTCATAAAATACTTTTTTCTTTAATTTCAAAAATAAATCACATTCGTTTTTCACATGATCGACCTCAAGTTTGAGGAAATGGTCTTGTTCCTGCTCTTTCCTTTCCCTAGGTCCAGCCTGTCACATTTCTTAAACTTTTCTCTCTGAATTCAACAACAACAAAAAACGACTGCTTGATATGCAGAAGCTTGCCAAGCCTCCTGAACAGTTATTCATCTGAGTCACTTTCAAATAAAAATCATGTTGAGATCACCCATAGTAGCTGCAAAGAACTAATTCCCCTCTGCATAGAGAACAATTAAATTACACTAAACTTATGATTTGGGGAATCAGTTTTCAAGGGGTAGTTTCCAAAGCTCTAGATCAATTTTCAGGGTAATATTATTTAAATGAGGGGAAAAAAGAACTTTCATAATTGACAGGATTCAGTCAAGAATCATATCAGCCACTGCTGATGTAACTTACTGACCACCAGGAGTGGTGCAAATGGCTTCTCTATCACCACAACAAACTAACCTCAACCCACTAATAGTGCTTCTGGGAACGACTGCTGTACATTTATCAGACACCAGTGGTTTTTCAAATTACGTAGTTTCTTGACCCTAACAAAGTTTCTCAATTGCACTATGCTGGGTGAAGGAGGGCGGCCACAAGATATCTTTCATCAGTGGAAGGAATGCTATGGATAGGACAGCTCTGATTTTTCTGAAGTCCTTGGATAAGTAAAAAATATTAAGCTAGTTTCTTCATTCCAGTTACCCAACCTACAGCTATTCTCCCCCACTTCCTCATATCTCCTTAGAAGAGCCCAGAACTAACAAGCAAGAGTTTCTCAAAATTCCCTTAAACACACACACATCTGAAGAAAGTGAACCTCTAGAACGTCATCAAGAAGCAAGTATCAAAATAAACATAAGTTCTTGTAGACGTTCTTCCACCTACTAGAACTACCCAGAAGACATGACAAGTCAAAGACCAGGATTCCCTTCTTTTAATGTCTGTTTAGGTATGGTAACATGGGAGCTGCAGGAACAACTCTTCCCAATACACTAGACCAGCAAGGTGTCTCATCCAGGGCAGAGTTTTTAAAGACCATCTATGACAGTAAAAGAGCAGGGAATGACAGATACCATAGTTACCCCCAAAGAGTTATATTTTTGGGGGTGAGCAGATGATATGTCATTTGGTCATAGGATATTAATCTCCTATGATTCGGTTAAACTTCATGGGGATTGCAGAGGAGGTCTGCCAGCTGAATCAACAGGGTAAAGTAAGTCTTCAAAATCTTGGAGGAGAAAAAGAGTGAATAACTAAACATGAAGTTTAATGATGACACAGCGCAGATCATTCAACATTAAAAGCCTGCTTTTGACTACCAGGAAGAGGCATGAGAACATAGCATGTGAGGTGAAAAACAATGAGATGGCAGAGAACTTTTTTTTTTTTTTTTTTTTTTTTGAGACAGAGTCTCGCTCTGTCACCCAGGCTGGAGTGCAGTGGTGCGATCTCGGCCCACTGCAAACTCCGCCTCCCGGGTTCACGCCATTCTCCTGCCTCAGCCTCCTGAGTAGCTGGAACTACAGGCACCCGCCACCAAGCCCGGCTAATTTTTTTTTTTTTTTTTTTGTATTTTTAGTAGAGACGGGGTTTCACCATGTTAGCCAGGATAGTCTCGATCTCCTGACCTCGTGATCCGCCCGCCTCGGCCTCCCAAAGTGCTGGGATTACAGGCATAAGCCACCGCGCCCGGCCGATGCCAGAGAATTTTTCAGCCCCAAGTCATACTTTATTACACAAGGGGGAATAAGAACTTAAAAATACTTTGGCTGGGACAGAGCGAGACTCAGTCTCAAAAAAATAACAACAACAACTTTGGATTTTCAAAATATTAGACAATTTTTACAATTCTCAAAGGGCCAAAGTATGAGAGAAGCATCGAAATAAATAGGTCCCTCTATAAAGATTAAAGAATTCGAAAAACAATTAATTGGGAAGTATTAATTTGCAGTCATTTGGGCAACTCCAAATTTCACCAGTTGCTTACATTTTAGGGCATTCATCTTATGTAAAACATCTGAATTTAAAAAATAAAATAAAACCCACTGATGTTTTTCAAAGTGGCTGTAGAAGCTGGAATCTACCTGCATGTTAATTAAATCTGTAGCTTTCACATCTGTGTCTCACAGATACTAAAACAGTGAGGTTGGTTCAGTTTGCCTCTTGGTGAGGTCTTGTCAAAAGGAGATTAGCGATCAAAACAAGAAATGCTCAGTAAGACTGAAAGTTCTTTTTATTTGTTCCTTTGTTCTCTCTGTGATGACATCAAGATGACCACAGTGTCCATGGGGGGAGCAGAGCAGGTTTCGCCCCTGAACCAATAGGGCAAAGCAAAGGAAGCACAAATCCCACAAAATTTCAGAGAACAAAGCACAGGGAAAAGAATGCAAAGTGTGCCCTCTATTGGTCCATGTGTTTTCATTGCTGAGGTGATTAGTTGGCAATTGTATCCAGCAACAGGGGAGGGACTAAGGCCTTCATGTTACAAAAATTCTAAAATGTGCTGACACAGAAACAAAGATCTAGCAGGAGCCCACTTGGCCAGAATTGAAGAGTGCTAAGCCCCAGTTCTGGCCATTCTGTGAACTGGCAGCATGATGCCTCAAGTCAGATCAATGCCAGCACCACATGTCACCAGCTGGAAAGCTACAACAGCTATTTCTAAAACTATATATTAACTGTTTTCTTAATGAGATAAAAGTTAGATCACATGAGAAGTTTTAACAAAACCCCTATACTGTATATTTGTGTTGTACTTTTATAAACTCTTTAGTGGGATTGAGAGAATTTAACAACTATTGTCTTTGAGTAAGGAATTACTTGCCAAGTAATTATTTACTGAAATAAATCTTGAGACAGTGCTTCCAGTGTGGCTTCATATTGTTAAATATAAACATAGCAAATGGCTGAAAACTCACACAAGGAAAATAAACTTTTAGAAAACAATTATGTGTATCACTTTGAAGCAGTCATTTGGCATCATGCTAATTTGGAAGGTCCACCTCCTATTTTTTAAGCCAATGCTCCTTAACCTATTGAAGGAAAGAGATGAAACTTGGACCTCTTTGAGACTTTAGTGAAAGCTCTATATCGTCCCTCTACACCACAAAAAGCAACAGAAAATGTTTTTGCTTCTAATTTCAGGAAGCTTACAAAAACCCTAGCCCTACCTCTGGACCCCAAGTTAAGAAACCCTTCTGAAAACAAATGTGCTAAACTGGGTAACTTCTATTTTATAAGTGCTCTTAGTATCTTTCAGCAAGAGATGAAAATTGAAAAAGTTTTAAGTAAATTGTAAAAGGTTTTCTCCAAATGACTAGATGAGAAAAGCTACCTATAATCACTTTCTCTACATTTTAGAGTAAAAAATAAGAGATATTTAATACCTTTGCTCTGACCCTTATTATTCTAACATGTGTTAAACACAAAATACACATAGACACCCATACACACATACATGAACACATGTACAGGCAAGTACACACATGCACACACACATTTGTTCTGGCTATACTAGAAATGTTTCTATAATTCATATTCAAAAATAATTTTAAAAATTACCAATGCAAGTATGCAAATTTTTACTAAAACATACTTATGGTCCTGCCCCTCAATTACTCCACCCCTCAGCCTTCAGTTATTTAATATTCATTACTTTATTAGCATAATTATGAGTTGTAGGAAGTTCTGGGGATCAATAAGGGTCTGTGGTCTGAAGAATTTTGAATGGGGTCAAAGGGAATTTCTTTTCTTTGAATTAATGTTTATGTTGAAACATACCGTGTACAGGAAAACCTAGTGAATTCAGGAAAGTTGGATCCTAGCTCTGTTCTCTTCCTCTTAACTGTTAGTTTTAAAACCACACGTTTCTATAAGCAGCTCACCTTCTGTATACGTCAAACAGGTCCCACTTCATTCAAAGGACAGTGAAATGTCAGTGTTCTCCTGGAAGGCACTACACAGAACTGTGTGGTCTCTTCATACTTACAGAACTTGTTCTAAAATACACACACATCTGTATCTCTCATGGGTATGTCCACATAGCTACATTTATTATACTAAAATCATAAATATAATAACTAGGATTAAATTTTTTCCTGTACTTATATTATTAATATGAGTATATAGAAGGCAAATACCACTTTCTTTTATTTTATCCTAAATTATTATTCATTCATATGGTCAAAGTGTTTGGGGATAAAAATCCTTTATTGCCCTTTTCTATAAAATAAGTATTTTTTAAAATATGGGTTACCAGCCGGGCACGGTGGCTCACGCCTGTAATCCCAGCATTTTGGGAGGCCAAGGCGGGAGGATCACCTGAGGTCAGGAGTTCAAGACCAGCCTGGCCAACATGGCAAAACCCCATCTCTACTAAAAATACAAAAATTAGCTGGGCATGGTATTGGGCATCTATAATCCCAGCTACTTGGGAAGCTGAGGCAGAAGAATCACTTGGACCCAGGAGGTGGAGGTTCAGTGAGTCAAGATCACACCATTGCACTCCAGGCTGGGCAACAAGAGCGAAATTCCATCTCAAAAAAAAAAAAAAGGGTTACCCCACTACCACCAGTTTTCCCTACCATACCCACAAATCACCTGTCACTTGGAATACTCAATCATTCAAATAACAAACAAGTATACAGATACACAGACACTAGTGTACTCGGAGAAATTCTGAAATAATCAGAAGAGACTTCAGAATGAGTACTGGGCTGGGAATGCTTTTATACCTGTTTTTTTTTTTAATTTTTCTTTAAACTATAAAGAATTATAAATAATGAGAATACCCATAATATTTAATCATTCAAACATCAACTATGTGCAAAGAACTTCAATTTTTAAAAAAACAGCATTTCTCATTAAGTCACCAAAATAATTTTAAGGGAAAACAACAAAAATGTTATATACAATGACTTTTTGTTCCACTACATTTTGTGGAGAAAGCACTCTAAAAGGTCTAGTTTGAGGAGTACAAAGATAAATGTACCGTAGTTCTGCCTAAGAGAAGCTTAAAATATGATGATACATAAGGCAAGATAACCAGAAAAAAAGGAAAAATAAGAGTCCTTTAAGAATAGCCCAGAAATCTAAGAAACTATGAGGGAATAATTGATTTTGGCTTTAGAAAGGAAGGCAGAAAATTCCAGGAAGGCTTCACAGAAGCAGTGGCATTTTAGGTGGGCACCACACACATGCTCAACAGCGCAAGAGCTTGAAAACACATGGCATGCCCAGAAATGAAGTTATCTGGGATAGCTTAAGCCAAGTGTGCTTTCAAGGTGGTAGAAGGTTGAAAGCAGGCTGTGGTCAGATGGTGGGGAACGCTGACTGCTATAGAAAAGGCTGGTGTTTATTCGGCAGTCAATATGGAGGCCTGGGAGGTTTAGGGTTTATTAGCAGAGAAGTAATATGATCAGATCTGTGGTGGAGAAAAATGGAATGTGGCAGCACTGTAAGGGATGGAGCATCATAAGTGGATTGAAGTAGATGCTGGAGGATGAGGAGTCTATGAGAGCCTGAGCTAGGAAATATCTTTGGGAATGGAAAGAATGAGATGGATATAAACTCACTAATCCGATATAGTTTAGGCAAGAACAAACTGATACGAGGCAACAGAAAAGTCAAAGACTATAGCGAGGCTCCCAGCCTTGGCACCCAGAACTCCATGGATAAAAAAAGAATATAAGCAGAGGAACACATTTGGGAGGGGGCACAGAAAAGAAAGCGAATTGTCAGGTTTGAGTATGCATGGAATATCTATCCATATTGGCAGTAATTGGGAGATCTGAGTGTAGGATAATCTGAAGCTGAAAGAAAAAAAAAGAAGAAAAGAAAAATTGAGCCTAGAATTAAAGGACTTTATGTAGAAATGACAGTTCGAGAAACAGGGACGGGTAAAATTCCCCAAGGAAATGAATAAAGGTGAAGAAACACTAGTCTACATTCTCAGTGAGGGAACCAAAGAAGAGAATGGACAGAAAATAGGAGGTAAAACCAGTGCAGTGTCACTAGCCAAAGGAAAGAGGTGATAAGATATCACCATAGGAACAAGTCCCAGAGAACTGTACCGATGCTGGACTTGGCAATGAGGGGAGTATGACTGGCCATTAAGAAACCCCTTTCTAAAAATCTCTGTACCTTCCACTCAATTTCGCTGTGAACCTAAAAGCGCTCTAAAAAATAAGTCTAACATTTATAAACTTTTAATATTTTTCTTGTTTGTTAATTTCTTTAAAGAAAAGAAAATCTTTTTATTAAAAGGGTGAAGGTAGAAGCCAAATAGTAACAGATTGAAGAGTGAATGAAACAGGATTATCAAGCCAGAGGAGGGAAGGGAAGAAGTGAAGGAAAGCAGAAGAGATTGGAAAGCAGTGTGAAGAAGGAGGGAATCAGCAATTTTGGGATTAGAGGAACAGCAGCATGCTTGAAATAAGGGTGACTGATCCAGAAGGGTCCTAGAGGAGAGAAGAACAGGTGGAAGGTGGGCTTTGGAAAGAGTAAAAACACTATCCCTACCCAATCTTATTCTCATTCTCTCCCTGCCACCCCCTTTCCCACCCACTCCCATCTTTTCATCTTGTCGAAGAGAAAGATGAAAAGGACTAGAAAAAAATGAGTGAAAATCTTTTAGTTCTGAAATCCCGATCCTCCATAATTATACTATACTCATCGCTTTCCCTACACACACACCCATGTATACACGTATGCATATATACCTTCCCTAATATATATAAATATACATTATGTATACACTTTAGTATTAATTAGCATGTTTTCTATTTATTCTGGATGAACATATGAAAATGTATAAATATAGATACGCAACACTGTCTTCACCTGATCAGCCCTTGATTGCTGCAGTTAATGGAGAAAAAATAAGCTTCATGTCATCTTAAATACAGAAATTTTAAAACTTTGTCATCCCAGAGTTTATCACCTCCTTTTAGCAGAGTAGTTATCAAGCTTATATCAAATAAAATCTGTCTGTCCCCTACTTCCTGGACTTGGGATGGATAAGGATACGTATTTCCAAAAGAAATAGTTTAAAGGCAGTCAGTTGGAAGGAAAGAAGTACCCTGGATATTCCACAAACTGGCCAGTTTGTCTCTAAATAAGAGGTGGTTTTGCATTAGGGAACTAGAAGTGTCATTTCCAACTTGTGATTTCTGTGAATATTGGATTCTAGCCAAGCTGGATTTTAAAAGCAAATAAAGAAAGCCCAGGGCCTAGGGGAATGTCACCTATTCTGAATCACTTCCAAATTTCTGTGGCAAAATAAGATGTTAGTTTGAGCACAGCAACTTTCTGACCTCTCTGTACTGGTAAGACCCTGCCTTAAAAAATTATGCCGTTATGTTGGAAGAGAAAGCAGCCAATCAAAAAAGAGAAAAGAACAGAACATGTTTATGTTGCAAAGTTAAACATCACATCAGCTTTTCTGAAATACTTTGGAACTTAAAGTAAGCAAGTGTACAAAATGTGTTTTGAAACTTTTTCATTTAACTGTAGGTTAGTATGTTCCATGTGTCATTTTGTATTTTGAAAGAATATCAGGAGAAGTAAACTATTTAGAAAGTATTTGTAAAAAAAAAATTCGAATCTTTTCATTAAATTTTTAAGAACACAAACACAAATTAATTTATCTCTATAAGGTTTAAGAGAAAATGTTTGCTTTCTCTGGCCTCAGTTACCAGAAACATGCCACAATATTTGTGACAAACCCTTCCTTTTTATGGAAGAAACTATATCTAATTTTGTGAAACAAGGAGTTATTAGAGGAAGGAGAAGCTGAGGATTCAGTACGGAAAAGGCTACGGAAAGAAACACTAGTCATAGCACGCCCCCTGCCATCGGACCACCAGAAACATGAATTATACATTTGGAAACCTTGCTGCATTGAGAATTATATCAAGAAGTTTTCATAAATCCCTGGTTAAAATACCACAAGGTATAAAAATAGAATGAGGGAGATATAAGATTAAGTCATTACATGCCATGCTCCAGAAATTCCAGGAGACCACAATAAAGTTATGATTTGTCTATCCACCTTTCAGTAATCCAGTCTGAAATGTGGCTTACAACCATTCCAAAAAATGAAAGTAATCAAAGAACTCCACTTAACATATAAATCAATCATAAGTGGTTTCAAGACCAAGACAGATAGTAGGGGTTAACAATAGCCAATCATGACTATTTTGAAGGGGGAGTCAGGGAGACAAATCTTAATATGCTACATGGAGAGAAAAATAAGAGTTATTAATCAGCTTTTCAAAATGTTGGCATGTGTCTCCCCTCTAAAAGATATTCATTGTCAGTATTGTATTGTGTTTGTGCCTAATTAATTTTTTAAAATTATTGCAACCAGGCCCCATTAGTGACTATCAAATGCATTTTTATAATTTTTCAAAATAAGGGGAAGAAAATATGGTAGGTAGGTAGTCTTATTGTTCGTGATGATCTCCCCCATTTGAAGTTTTGTCCAAAAGTAGAGACGGTCAAAATACTATTTTCTCAATCGTCTGGCTATATTTTGAAATAAAATATACCGTTAAATGATATATTTGCTCTCCATTCCAAACTGGATGCAATTGATTTTAACTGACTAAATTATCTAATCTCTGCCAAGAATTTTATTTCATTAAGAAAATGATATTATGGAGCATGTGAGATCATAGAGCAGACTAAACATAATGCCAAAGGAGTTCGGAGAATGCTCCACAGTGAAGGTTTGATTATTCGCAGATGGAATATGGAAAAAAAAAAAAAAGAATCAGGTCCCAGGGGTAAGCCTAACCAATCCTGGTACCACTGCCACCTACTTGTAGCACAAAGCCAAGAAAATAACTAATCTTCCAAACTACAACACCTTTTATAAAAAATACCAATTACTTTTCTTCTTGGAAAATAATATTTAACTGACACTATCCAAAACAAAGGGGAAAAAGGGAAATGTTGGTATCACATAGGCCCTAACATGTCAACTGTCACTGCTGACATGATTTGGCCAGTAGTCAAGCATTCACTGAGGAACTAATTGAAATCAATCTTTTTGGGGAAAGCCAATTGTTTGGTATGCACAACAATTGGTGTAGGATCAATCAGTGGACATGAGATCAATTAAAACCAGCTTAAGTTTGTGAAGAGGGACAATTCACACAACTTGAGTTAGATCTCTATTCATTTCAATACTCTCACAATGCAATCCTTAAGCTTCCCTGCAAAGTAGAAAAGCTACTATCACCCTACACTGTCTGGCCAGCCCTTTAAGTAGTTCCACTTTTAATTAAAAACACAGTACACCCTTTGTTGGTACAGATAGTGTGGTCACTTTTAAGGACGACAGTTATTTTAGCCAGAAACTTGGGATTTGTAAAGGGATATCTGTTGAGAAGAAGAAAAAAAGTTTGATTTTTTTTTTACACCCTTACCAATTTACACGTTCTTGAAAGCATTTGAATTTTATTAAATCGAAAGGTTGATTTGGCATAAGTTACTATTGCACAATTTAGAGTTAGACTGTCAGTGCTTTGGGATGTGGATGGTAATCGTTACAAGAGATTTTGCTAAAAGTAAGCTTTGAAATAAATAGGTTCTGCTTCAGATACCTAAGAAGGCATAGGCAGATTCTTAGAGATGGCACTGCAGAGAAGGCATGCAGTATCCCTTCTGGCCGCAGGAGTGCTGTAATGTCCTTTTCCACCAAACAGCATCTCTGCATTAAGTTCTACTAAAACAATATGCTTGGTTCTTCCCCACTCAACCACAATGGGACAGGCAGGGTGGATCAGAAAGCCATCACTGAATTAGCAAGTCATCTAATAAGGATCTGGCAAAGGATTTTAGACATTTCTATATTTTGCAGACTTCAAGCACTTTAGTTTTTCTAAGTAGACTGCAGCTTTGACTTATAAAAAGAGGAAAAGCCTCTCCAAACACTTTTGACCATAATGTAATCAAAAATTGCTGGCTCTGCCGAATACTCGAAAGAAAGTACTGGGATTGAGAAAGGAATCAGGAGGGGAGGAGAGAGGAGATAAAAAGGGACTTTTTCAAGACAAGTATCAATATCAAACTCTCATGGCCTTTGGGAAGAAATTTCTCTCTAGTATTTTTAAGTAAAATAATTTCTGAAAATAAACAATTTCCAAAAGTCAGAAATCGGGGGAGAGGGAGGGAGAGAAGTTGGAGAAGGTTTATTCTTACAAGCCGCAGATACAGAGACAATTGAAGCGCAGGGACTACAGAAGTCGCACACCATCAGTTATTTGGAGCTCTGCGCTCAGGTGGGCCAATCTCTAGCTCTGCCCCTAGGTGAGAACAGCTTAACAATGTCCTAAAAAGCCATCAAAAAAATAAGGTTCGGAAAGTCCTCCTCAAAATCTGGATGCAGGAGCGGAGATTACACACAATGAGTTATAAACAAATCACATCACAGATCGAGTGAGATGTTTACATCTTGGAGAAAAAGTCAACATTCATGAACCCGGCGACAAATTCTAATTGCGCAAAAGTCCAAAGTGCCGAATGAAATAGACAGCTCTCACCAGGTCCCTGGGAAGGGGCTGCTGCGCGCCCTTCCTGCGCGGGTAATTCGATGTGCGTGTGGTGAGTGGTTTATGTTTAAATCCACCCAGAAAATTGAATCGTGTCTAGCCGCCCTTCTTCTAAAATGCAGTTGGATTAGTTGCATCTCCAGCGGACTCCGAGACAGAAATACGCACTAAATCTGCAGGAAAGCGAGTTCCCCGAAACCTTTCTGGAGGCTTCCACCCGCCTTCTCCGCTACGCACAAGTGATGGAGAGGGAGGGAGCAGTTAAAAAGCCGCAAGTGAATTTCATTGAGAACAGAAGCCTCCACCGGTGTGGCTGCTTTTGCAAAGCAAATGGAGAGAGCGAAGTGGGGCCTGTTTTAAAAACAAACCTCTGGAGGCGAGGACTCCCCAGAAAACCAGCGCGGGAATTGCTGCTTAATTCAGAAAGTTCCCATCTCGTCGCAGTTTCCAGAAAAAAGAGATCTATGTTGGCCTTTTTCTGGAAAGGGAGGTCCTCCCCCTCGACTTGGTACCCCTCCCAAGCTCCGGAATACAGACACACGCTTGGGTACACCCACACACCACACACACACTATGCTAGGTCAAGTCCGAAGAGATCTGAGGCCGGGTTTGGGGCGCACGTGGATGGGGAAGATAAAACAAATGAGCTACAGGGAAGATGGTTAGGAGGACAGAGAGAAGAACAACGACGACAAAAAAAAAATGCATGTCAGATAAGAAATACGTCCTAAAGAGACAAGTTTAGATGAGGAGGTGGGGCGGCGAACATGAGTGCGGACCGCACGACTTAGCCCTGAGCGCCCGATTGGCGCCCGGCTCGCCGAGCTCCCAGCGCGTCTCGCTCCGGCTCCCCGCGCCTCCAGGGTACAGAAAACAGAGTGTTTTGTAGAGCTCCAGGGTCCTAAAGGTGGGGACTGGGGACCCGCAAAAGCTGGGGTGGAGAGCACAGCCCTGACCATCTGAGCCCCCGGAGCCAGGGCGTGAGTGAGCGCCTCCACACGCCACCCCTGAAGCCCACCACGCACCTTTGGCAGAGAGGGACCCACCTCGCTTACTGCGTCTCCATCGGTTGCCTTGGCAGTGGCTGTAATCCATGCAGTTCAGAATGATGAGGGCAAAGGAGAAAAGGCGAAACTGCATCTGGGCGGTCGGGCGGGGGAGAGACGCCTCTCAAAGTCTAGGAACTGGAGGGTTCGCCCAAAGAGCCGGCGCCGGCCGCGCTGCTGGGGAGGACTCAGAGGGAGACTCGCCACTCACCCCCGGGCCGCACCGGTCAGTTCAGCGCGATCAGCATCTCTCCGCCACGAACCTGAGAGACAAGAAGCGAAAACAGGGTGTGTGGGGGATGGAGAGAGCCCCGGGGAGGCAGCTGCGCCTTCGCACGTCCCAATTTAAAGAAGAGAGGGAAGGAGGAAGCGAACCCACTGCCTAGCACGAGCCGCGGAGCGGCTTAATCCAGAGCGGGCAGCTGCGGACGAGTTGGAGAGGAAGGTGATTATAATCAGTGAATTAGCAACCTCTGCCGAGCCCTAAGCTCCGACCCAGCGGCATAATGCGTTGTGCCGGCGCTCCGGGGAAAGGAAAGAACTCTAAAGGCACTGAGAGCGCAGGGCTAAAAGAACGCTCTTAGGCCATTTGGAGTCCACGGCGGTGTACCCAAGCGCCGCAGCTGCGGCTGCCTTGGTGTGGGTTGCCTACCGTGCGCACGTCTCGGGCGGCGCGGCCTCCCTAGGCGCGGTGCTCCATCCCGGGCTCGGGAAGCGAGCCGCTTGGTTAGCACGTGGGCTGGGGAAAAGTTTGCCGAGACCGGCTGGGAGCGCCTGGCAGCTCTGGAATTCCAGCGGCCGCCGCGGGGTTGGCGACGCCAGGCAGGAGCGCGGAGCGGCGGGTGCAGCCACTGGGATGCTCCGTCCCCGCCCGCGAGCGCGGTCCCCAGGCAAGGGGTGCGCCCGCTCACACTCTCTGCCTCCCTAACCAATTGTGTCGCTTCCTGCGCTTTCTCCACGGTCACTTCACAGCTAAGATTTCTTTCTTTCCGAGCTGTAGAAGGCAGAACGCTCTCGGGAGGACGAAGTGATCCGAAGGGATGTGGCAAGCGCACTTTCCGATGGAGATGCAGACCGGCTGAGGCTTGGGATGCTTCTATAAGTAGGTGGTGCTGTGGTCCAAGGCATCTAAGTCTAGGCTGCCTCGGAGTTCCTGGGTCCTAAAGCCAGAAACGTCCCGGTTTCCCTGAGGTCCTAAAGAACGTTGACAGCCAACAGCGCGCCTAACTTGGAGCGAATCCTCTTCGGGCTTTCCAGAGTGCGGGGGATAGATAAAGAGTAGCTGGGGAGACGCCCCCTGACCTTGCTGGGTCCCAGAACCCGGCTGCTCACCCCCAAGGGGTCCTCTCCAGCCCTCTAGGGTCAGTTCCAACCTCAGCGCCAACCTTTCTGCAGGGAGATCTGACTGAAGGACTGATGACTCCCTTTAAACTTTTGCAATATGCCACAACTCTGCCACTTTTTAATTTACATCTTGTCTGTGTTTTGCAGGAAGGTATGTTAGCCGGCTGAAATTATTCATAAAACGCGCCCCCACTTTGAGGAGTGAAATGGGTATTCCCAACAGCTTTTGTTCATCCTCAGAACTGTTATTTACTTTGTTTCTTCTCCAATAAAACAAAAACCTGTGATCCGTTGCCTGAAGTGCTGAAGAAGTTGGGGCCTTGATTCTTTAAAAATAATTTTAAAAAGTTCACTTCCCACTAAAGTATTTTTCATTCTTAATCCTCCTCTCATTTCCAAAGTCTCCTGAATTAAACTTTTAGGTGCTTTGGGTTTGGGGAAAATATTCTGTTTAACAAAGTGTTACATTAAATAGACTTGATGCCATCCAATTTCATTCTGGTGAAATCTGTCCTGCATTCACTACTGTAGGAAAAAATGTATTTATTCCTTAAGCAAAAGATAAGAATTTATGCCACTAACCGTGGCAGTATGAATGTCTATAGATATGCCCGCAGTTACCATATTATTATGATAGCATTTTATACTATTTAAATTCCCTTTTCTATTCCTTCAGTTTCAGAAGATGTTCAGAAATTTGATGACTTAAAAGACAATCATATAAAAAGAATATTGCAATACTCATATTTATTAACTATTCCATTATTGCCTATTCATAACTATTTTACAGACTCACTATTACATAGTGGTATTTATGTGCTAAGAATTTCAGCAGTATGCCTTTGATGCATGCCTGAGAACACCCAAGTAAATCTGAGTTGAGGTCATTGGTCCCATTTCATAGATAAGAAAATCCATCACTGAGACTGGCCCACAGGGCACAAATAGAGTTCACAAAACACATTGCAGAAACAGTGGATCTGTTTCTTGACTTTTGAGCCTTTGATTTTTATCACAGAATTTGGAAACATTTCAGTGTAGGGAGTGGCCCCAGTGTTTGGCATAACTTGATATTTCTTGATCATCTTGATATGATGCTGAATATCTCTTCAGCACCATAAATACTACTTCTTTCCAAATATAGTCATATATGCACACAACAAATGAATTATACTTATAAAGGAGTTAAATCTATGGGAGAAAGGAAGTCTTCCCTAAGTAAGCCCCCCTGCCTCCTTGCAAAGCTTTGAGATCCATTCAAGATCAGTGGTCATCAGTGTCTTTTAAAATATTTAAAGGCAAAAGTAAACACAAGACCAAGCAGAGGTAGCGCTACCATTAATCACCTGCGTCACTTTGGGCAATTTTCTTGGTCTCAGTTTCCTTGGCAGTATTTTTAGGAAGTCTGTCCAAGGTCTCTTTCACTTCTACATGTTCTGGTTTACAATCAATTTTCTATTTGTACTAGGAAGTTTGCTATGGTATCTAACCAGTGTAAGGGCAAACTCATCAGTGATGGGTTCTTTGTGTAGAAAGAAGAGGGTTAGCCACTGCCTTCCTTAGTTAAATTTACAGACCACTTCACCCTTATCCCTTCAAAGACAACTTTCCATAATTTTAATTTTAATCTTTTGTGTTGTACAGTTGGTGCATTTTTAGCCAGAGATGCTTTTCAGTTTAGTGAACCCCCAGATTCAGTTCATGAGGAAGAATTTTGACAGTACCACTTCTGTAGAAAATTGGTTAATGTGTTTAGTAAGAAAAGAATAGGCTCTGGAAGAAAGGAAAATTCTTAATTCCTTCTTTTGCTCCCTCCTGGTCTATCTCTGCCTCTTAAAAGACACCAGTGAACCTTAAAACTCTGTCAGACTTAGTTCTTGGGGTACTTGGAGTCTCACACTTAATCACTTTGGGGCTAATTTGTTGATAATGCAGAATTTTTTTTTTTTACATTCACTGAATATTTTTCCTGACTTCAAAATCCCAGGAATGTTCTTGCTACTAAAAAATACAACCCTAATGGATCCTAGACTATCATTAACTTTAATCCCATATCTCTGCTTCCTTTCATTTCTAAACTCAGAATGTGGTGTTGTTGAGGCTCACAGCTCACAGTTTCTCCATCTTGGAGACTCAATGGACTTTTTCTTCAAACTGAGTTTATATAGTGGTTTCATTAAACTGGCTTTGTAAATAGACTTGTGCCTGGGTTCTGTTTACAGAGAAGTATACTGATATACTGAGGAGGTTGACTCTATACCACTCATTGGTGATAGGGAAAGTTAACTGAGGGCAGAAGTGGGGGATGATGTTATAGAGAGGAGATAACTTCTGTATTTTATTTTTTGACTTGTAATTCGTTCATACAGCTCAAAATTCAATCCTTACAAAACACCATAACAGGGCAAAGTCTCTCCTACCTCCTTCTCTCAGGCATCCAGTTCTCCTTAGAGTCAATCAGTTATTCTTTTACAAGTGTTCACGGTTTTTGGTATACTTCAGAAGATGTTTGGTGCTTATCAAACAAGTAACTTGATAATCTTTTTGCTTATCAAGCAAGGAAAGAAGGAAGAATGTATTATATATATGTACATGCACATATATAGGCATACATATAATATGTGCGTATACATATATATAATACATTCTTCCTTCTCTGTTTTATAATATATTCTTCCTCTCTTTTATGCAATTAGTAGAATACTGTATTCACTAATCTGTACCTTGAGGGGTTGTTTTTTTTTTTTTTTTTTGAGATGGAGTCTTGTTCTGTCGCCAGGCTGGAGTGCAGTGGTACGATCCGGGCTCACTGGAACCTCCGACTCCCTGGTTCAAGCGATTCTCCTGCCTCAGCCTCACGAATAGCTGGGATTACAGGCACATGCGACCACACCCAGCTACTTTTTGTATTTTTAGCAGAGACAGGGTTTCACCGTTTTAGCCAGGATGGTCTTGATCTCCGGACTTCGTGATCCGCCTGCCTCGGCCTCCCAAAGTGCTGAGATTACAGGCGTGAGCCACCATGGCATCAGTTCATAGAGAACTGTCCTGTTCTTTTTATATAGTCACATATTATTTCATCGTATGGCTGTATTTAGCCAGCCTCCCTATCAATATACATTTAGATTGTTTTCATACTTTTTGTATCTTAAGCAATGCTTCAATTAACTTTTTCATGTGTCATTTTACCTTTCCATTATAAATTCTTAAAAGTAGAAAAGTTGAATCAAACAGTTGGATATATGTGTGTGTGTTCTGCAAATTGCCTTTCACAAAGGTTCTTTCATATTACACCGTGTGAAAATGCCTATCTCTAGATGCTGACCAACACTTTTTGACTTTTGACACTTGTAGGCAAAAAGTCGTATCTCAGTAAAGTGTTAATTTGTATTTATTTTCTTTTAAATGAAATTTTGTGTGTCTTTAGTATGCTCCATCCATTTGTATTTTCTTTTCCATGAACTCTCTGAAGATATAATTTGCCTATTTTTCTATTGTGTTCTTGGTCATTTGTTTTTGTTTGTAGAATTTGCATGTATTGATATAATGTCTTTTGTGATTTGAGTTGCATATTTTTCCAAGTTTCTTATTTACCTTTTGACTTTGTTTTTGATGTATATTAATATGTAAAAAAATTTTAAATACTTTTACATAGTGCAGTTTGCCAGTCTTATCTTTTATAGCTTCTCTGTGTCATACTTGAAAAAGCTCTTCCTCGCTATTTATGACAAACCCACAACCAATACCATACTGAATGGGCAAAAGCTGGAAGCATTGCCTTTGAAAACCAGCACAAGACAAGGATGCCCTCTCTCACCACTCCTATTCAACATAGTATTGGAAATTCTGGCCAGGGCAATCAGGCAATAAATAAAGGGTATTCAAATAGGAAGAGAGGAAGTCAAATTGTCTCTCTTTCCAGATGACATGATCCTATATTTAGAAAATCCCATTGTCTCAGCCCAAAATCTCCTTAAGCTGATAAGCAACTTCAGCAAAATCTCAGGATACAAAATAAATGTGCAAAAATCACAAGCATTCCTATACAACAATAGGCAAACAGAGAGCCAAATCATGAGAGAACTCCCATTCACAATTGCTACAAAGAGAATAAAATACCTAGGAATACAACTTACAAGGGATGTGAAGGACCTCTTCAAGGAGAACTACAAATCACTGCTCAAGGAAATCAGAGAGGACACAAAGAAATGGAAAAAACATTCCATGCTGATGGATAGGAAGAATCAATACCATGATAATGGCCATAGTGCCCAAAGTAATTTATAGATTCAATGCTATCCCCATCAAGCTACCATTGACTTTCTTCACAGAATTAGAAAAAACTACTTTAAATTTCATATGGAACCAAAAAAAAGAGCCCATATGGCCAAGACAATCCTAAGCAAAAAGAACAAAGTTGGAGGCATCATGCTACCTGACTTCAGACTATACTACAAGGCTACAGTAACCAAAACAGCATGGTACTGGTATCAAAACAGATATATAGACCAATGGAACAGAACAGAGGCCTCAGAAATAAGGCCACACATCTACAACCATATGATCTTTGACAAACCTGACAAAAGCAGTGGGGAAAGGATTCCCTATTTAATAAATTGTGTTGGAAAACTGGGTAGCCATAGGCAGAAAACTGAAACTGGACCCCTTTCTTACACCTTATACAAAAATTAACTCAACATGAATTAAAGACTTAAACGTAAGACCTAAAACTATAAAAACCCTAGAAGAAAACCTAGGCAATACCATTCAGGACATAGGCATGGGCAAAGAATTCATGACTAAAACACCAAAAGCAATGGCAACAAAAGCCAAAATTGACAAATGGGATCCAATTAAACTAAAAAGCTTCTGCACAACAAAAGAAACTATCATCAAAGTGAACAGGCAACCTACAGAATGAGAGAAAATTTTTGCAATCTATCCATCTAACTAAGGGCAAATATCCAGAATCTACAAAGAACTTAAACAAATTTACAAGAAAAAAACAACCCCATCAAAAAGTGGGCAAAGGATATGAACAGACCCTTCTCAAGAGAAGACATTTATGCAGCCAACAAACATATGAAAAAAAGCTCATTATCACTGGTCATTAGAGAAATGCAAATCAAAACCACAATGAGATACCGTCTCATGCCAGTTAGAATGGTGTTCATTAAAAAGACAGGAAACAACAGATGCTGGAGAGGATGTGGAGAAATAAGAACACTTTTACGTTGTTGGTGTGAGTGTAAATTAGTTCAACCATTGTGGAAGACAATGTGGCAATTCCTCAAGGGTCTAGAACCAGAAATACCATTTGACTCACCAATCTCATTACTGGGTATATACCCAAAGAATTATAAATCATTCCACTATACAGACACATGCACACATATGTTTATTGTGGCACTATTCACAACAGGAAAGACTTGGAACCAACCCAAATGCCCATCAGTGATAGACTGGATAAAGAAAATGTGGCACATATACACCATGGAATACTATGCAGCCATAAAAAAGGAAGAGTTCATGTCCTTTGCAGGGACATGGTTGAAGCTGGAAACCATCATTCTCAGCAAACTAACACAAGAACAGAAAACCAAAACCAAACACTGCATGTTCTCACTTATAAGTGGGAGTTGAACAATGAGAAGGCATGGACACAGGGAGGGGAACATCACACACCAGGGCCTGTCAGGGGGTTGGGGGCTAGGGGAGAGATAGCATTAGGAGAAATACCTAATGTAGATGATGGGTTGATGGGTGCAGCAAACCACCATGGCACATGTATACCTATGTAACAAACCTACACATTCTGCATATGTATCCCAGAACTTAAAGTATACTTTTTAAAAAGAGAAAGAAAAAGCTCTTCCTTGTGCCATTATTTTTAGATTTTCATTTAGGAATTTTCCAATATATTTTTTCAATGTTAACACCCATAGGATGCTAGTGATTTTATGACTGTACAGTGTGGGCTACAGTAGAATAGATTTAAAGTTTTCTGAATCTTTCATAAGCATTTATGCTTATAGATTTGGTTGACTTTGGCACTGATTCTTGTTTTCATTAGCTAATTGATTTAGAGTTATCTTTTATGTTATCTGTTATTCATTCTCAGATTTAAAATTTCTCACAATCTTTTTAATCATTGTTGATATTGATTGTATGCACTCTTCCAGTGTAGAATTTATCCTTTAATTGCTTTGGAACAAATTATAGCATTTTTGCCATTGTGCTACTATTGATAGTTTTTTCCTGTTAAATATAAGCACGTCTGTTTTGCCAGTTGCATGTGATAGCCCATGTTCATTTATTATATTTTGTGTGAAGTAATTATATTAATATGAAAGGTCTTCAACAAGGTCACTGACCAGTCCTTATCTAGGCTGATTTGTTGTTTTAAAAAGCCACATCACAATCACTTATTTAATGTTTAAAAAATGTGTAAATATTTGACTCCTCCGAATGTTAATACTGCCTTCTGCCACTTGAGTACTCATCTGTGGACTGATGTGATGAAGCCTATTTCTCATTTTGTGCTTCATCCCCATGGAAGAAATCCAGGAGGCAGCTTTGTTGACTTCAAAGGAAGTCCAACACAGACCAGCTCAAAAGAGAAAACTCAAGATCTGACCCAAAGTTTTCAAATAATTTCCCTTATTTAATTTTGTGTGCCCTGAACTCTTTTGAACTAAAGTAATATGTGTCATTTCCATTCCTTGTGGTGTGAATGTTGTTGCTAGAAGGAACTATTACTCCACACAAGTAACAAGAGATTCTCAGTTTTCTTAAAAATTAGGTTGTTTTCATTAAATGAATAGAAGGTCTGGTTTTACTTTATTTGTGGACACTCAGCTTGCTATAATAGAAGTAAACAATAGAACAGGTAATTCCTAAAGGCAGGAAATATCCTCCTCTGAACTTTTTTCTGTACTGGTATCCAAAATAGATACGCCTCCCCTAATCATTCCATTTGTCTTTAACTTATAGTTGTAATGAATTGTGTTACTGCTCAAGAACAAATTTGTCAGCCACCCTCAGCAAATGTACAAAAGTTTATGTCACACATTTTATGTACTAGTTTTATTTCTTGCTCCATTTTAAGTTTCTAGCCTTATTTTCCCTTTCCCACATTTTCCTCAGCTATTTGCAATATATTTTACTTTGCTACTTTGCAGTATCACGTGCATCTGTAGAAGCCCTTTTAACCTTGGAACAGTATGGAAAAATTTTGTTACAGATATAAAATAAAAAACATATACACAGGTCAGAGAACAAATGTGGGAATTCTTCTAGTTGCTAAACATGTCTATTCTAACTATTCACTCCAGAAGTGAAGAAATAAACATGGGGTAGGTTTGGGGATCAACTAAGCCCACTAGGGCATAGGCTCAAGCCAATACCCCAGAAATCATCCAGTCTTCATAAGCCTCTCTAATGTGGTGAATCACAATGACATTTTGGGCATCAAGAAACTAAGGTCAGTTTAGAATTAATGTCCAGTCATCCCCAAAGGTCCAATTAGTTCCTGTTCCCAGAAACACAGTCATCTGAGTAAATGGACTGAGGTCCTATTGTGGAAGACCAGGAAAAAGATTTACAGTGAGGATGCTGGTTCCAGAGATTTGACCTCTTCATTCAATGAGCTCTGGGGCTATGAACTGGCTCAAGTCCGGAACTGGTTAAGGAGCTGTGGCTCTCTGTTGCAGTGACTCGAGTGGTACCTCTGTTAGTCAGAAAGGAAATACTTCTGCTATACAAATCAAGAAAGGCATTAGTAAGCTGCTCACCTATTTCAGTCCTAGAGAAAAAATAAGTTATAAATACCAGCTACAGGCTGAGTGCAGTGGCTCATGCCTGTAATCCCAGCACTTTCGGAGGCTGAGGCGGGTGGATCACCTGAGGCCAGGAGTTTGAGACCAGCCTGGCCAGCATAGTGAAATCCAGTCTCTACTAAAAATACAAAAATTAGCCAGGTGTGGTGGTATGTGCCTGTAGTCCCAGATACTTGGAAGGCTGAGGCTGGAGAATTGCTTGAACCCGGGAGGCAGAGGTTGCAGTGAGCCAAGATCGCGCCACTGCACTCCAGCCTGGGCGACAAAGCAAGACTCTGCCTCAAAATAAATAAATAAATACCAGCTACAATCATATGACTAGTTGCAAAACACAGACTATAGCAGTTATAAGTATTTCCTCCTTGATTTAAAATGAATATCAAATATCAATATTTTTATCTCATATTCCTCTATTATCTAACATAAGATGTGTTAACTGTAGTTAACCTTATATCTCAGTATTTAGACTATAGAATATGAAATAGCAAGTGTGACTCAGATAAAAGAATGAATATTACCCCAGGATGAATAAATGGGCATGTGGGACTTTGTATATTTCCTTTTGGGAAGAAAGTCAGTATGTTTTTGTGTGCATAAGTGTGACATGTTATGTGGAAGCACAAATTTGGGAATTAAATGTGGTTAAAAGAGGCATGGGTTGGGTGC
The DNA here is from genome assembly GCF_000001405.40 of Homo sapiens. Lineage (NCBI taxonomy): Eukaryota > Metazoa > Chordata > Mammalia > Primates > Hominidae > Homo > Homo sapiens. The sequence continues at coordinate 108,092,393 of NC_000008.11, forward strand.
CAGACTGTCAAGGGATGGACTGTTGTGATTTACAGTGTGTTCCCTGGGGTCAGTTGGGAACTGTATTTCCCAAAGCCTCTGCTGTATAACGATTTTGTGTTAGAGTTGGATAGAAGAGGAATTATATGAAGTTTGGTGGGGTAGAGATGCAAAAATAAAATTTGTTAAGACTTTCAGAAAGTCTTTTCACAGTAAGATAATGAGGGACACAGCAGAGGTCTACAGCCAGTAGCAGCTTGTAACTCATTCTCTGCATGATGTCTAGCTCTTCCTCCTGACTAATGTCCCTGGGGACCCTCAGAGAGAGCCCAGGCCCACCACCATCTAGTTATAGAGTCAATATCTTTCCAAAGACCTCTCCAAAAATTTCTCTGTCGCCACCACACTATGGTGGCTGGGCATGCTTGGCTTCTCAGACATGTTAGTGGCTCCTCTGATCCTCCCGTTCCCTTTTCGGAACTTTACTTCCTCAGCTGTAAGATCTCGTTCCTATCGTAAATCCATTATTTATAACACCCAGTGACTCTGTTCCCCTGACTGAATCATGATGGACACAAATATTATATATTGATTTTCCACTACAAAAAAATGAAAACTTGTTTTTCTCCCACTTCTTCCCTATCCACCCTCCTCCCATTCTTCAAATATGGTTAGATCAATATTATGTGGTTCTATTATTATGACTAAATATGTTATTCAGAGCTGAGTCATGTAGGAAACTGTGACTACAGTTACTTTTCTGGCAACTTTTTGTTTTCTCTGGAATTATCATCACCTTGTTTTCTCCTTTGCAGAGTTTTTTTTTTTTTACCAGGAATTCAACCCAAACTTTCTTCAGGTCATTTTAATTACCTCTTAATACCTTCATTCATACCACGTAGGCCATCAATTTCATCTTCTTAACATCCCTTTTGAAAGCTCTGGCATGCTTCAGCTAGACTAGTTCACGTTTGTGCCTGATACACAGTTTTCATTCTGGGATGTCCCCTCACCATCTTCCTAAGGATTCCCTTTCTCTCTCACCTCTGGTGGACTTTGTTTCCTGTGTCTCATATCTTCCTTTTTCCTAATCCTTTTTTGTGGTGAAGAATATTCTCCAAGAGTTTCCTTAAAATTTTGCATAGGGATAAATATTTTGAAATTTTGCACATTCAAAATATGTCCCTATTCTACCCTCACAACTGATTGTTTGACTGTATAAAATTCTAGATTGAAATCATTCTCCTTTAGTATTTTGAAGGCATTTCTTCATGGCTTTTTACCTTCCAATATTGCTTGGCAGAAGGCAAAAACCACTCTAATTACTGATTCTTTTTTATGTTCCTTGTCCCAGAAGCTTACAGGCCTGAAATTTCACTAAAAGTACTTAAGTGTGGATCTATTTTCATTGACTTTGCTGGAAGTTTGATGACCTTTTACATCTGCAACTTTATGTCCTTCCAGTCTTGAAATATTCTTGAGATGTTTTGTGGATTTTTCTCCCCTTCATTTTCTTGCCTCTTTTTTTTTGAATAACTATTATTCAAATATTGGACTGTATAGAATGGTCCTCTAATTTTTCTACACTTTCTCTCCTATTTTTCATCTCTTTGTCTCTTTTTCTCTACTTTTTGGAATATTCTCTCAATTTTATCCTCCAATTCTTCTAATGCATTTTTCATTGCTTTTCTCATTTTGTTAAAATGCAAGAGGTCTCCTTTTCTTTATACAAATTTCTTTCCTGTATATTAGTCTGTTTCTTCCAAGCTGCTTTTCTCTGTGTCTTTACCTTTCATCTTTAAGGATTTGAGGATTTTCTTGATATGTGGTAATCCTTAGATATTTGCTTATATTTAAAAGTGAGATAAAAGGCTGATTAATAACTCATCACACTTGGGTGATGCTTTTCAACTTGAGCTTTACCATATGGTAAAAATGGACCATAAGTCAACTGACTGAGAAATTTATTAGGGGAATCCAAATATAATTTATTTAATTGTTTTCACTGGTTGGTCAGATTTCCCAGAGAAAAGTTTGCCAGGATTCTTCCAAAAGGGTAACTTCTGGAGGAACAGGGAGGGTTGGGGGTGGATAGTGATTGTTTTCTCTTTTATTCTTCTTTTCCTTGTAGACTCTTCCCCTTTTGAAAAAAAAAAAAGTATTTTGCTGAAGATTTAATGGAGTTTCTAGAAAGAGCAAAAGTAGAAGCATGCAAGTCTGTTCTATTGTTGTTTTTCTTCATGTGTTTTGCCTTTATTCATTCAACAAATATTTAATGATGTCCTTTATATTGACATTGTTAGGGTGCTAAGGATACAGCAGTGAGAAAGGAAGACAAGATCTTTCCCCTTATGAAACTTACATCCCAACTGAGAAGAGTTAAAAAATAAAAAGTAAATAAATAAACAATAGATTGTCTTTGACTTCCAAGGTTTTTATTTTATTTTAGTACTTTTTATTCTGATACCATATTTAAAACTCCCAAATAGCCTTTACCAAGTATCACCAGTTACTTAAAATTTACTTCATTTCCTTTATCATTTACTTTATAGCTTTGCATTTGAAAAATATAAACCATTGATGAGTAAACTTTAAACATGGTCTGTTACTCTTAAATACTTCAGTGTATACTTCCTGAGACAGTAACACCTACTTATATAACCTCAATATTACGAAAATTAGAAAACTTAATATTGATGTAACATTATTATCTAATCCAAAGTCTATATTCAAACATTCTGAGCTGTCCAATATGTCCAATAAGTTACAAACATGTTCTCCAAACCAGGATTGAGTCAAGAATTATATAAGAATTATATACTATACCAGTTGTCATGCTTGTTTGTCCCCTTTAGCCTAGAACTGTTCCTCAGGCTTACTTTGTCATTCATGTCCTTGATGTTTTCAAAAGCACAGTTCATTTTGTCCCGTGTCCTTTAGTTTGGCTTCTGATGTTTCTTCATAACTAGATTGAGGTTATGCTTTCTTTAGGAGAAATGCTGTAGAATTGTTGTGGTATTTGCCGTAGGACATCACATCAAAAGGAACATGATGTTGGTCTGTCCCATCACGTCAAGAAGAAGAGAACGTTGATCTGTTCCATTACCCAGTACTTGGTTAAGATGTTTTCTGTCAGGATTTTACATGGTAAAGTCACTATTTTTCCTTTTGACGTTAATAATTAATATATGGAAAACACTTTGGAACTATGTAAATGTTCTCGTTCTCATTAAAATTTCACCCACTAATTTTGGTATCTATTAGTAATTTTTGTCTGATCAATTATTACTCTGATGTTTGCCAAATTGTAACTTTCTGACTATATTATTTTTTCCACAATTCTTAGTTGTCATTTTACTGTAAGAAAGAGCCTTTTCAGTTGGGCCCAGTGGCTCATTCTTGCAATCCCACCACTTTTGGAGGCCAAGGAAGGATGATCACTTGTGGCCAAGAATTTGAGACCAGCCTTGGCAATATAGTGAGACCCTGTCTCCATCAAAAAATAAAATAAAATAAAATAAAATAAATTTTAAAAAATAGCCGGGCATGATGGTGTGTGTCTGTAGTTCTAGGTACTTGGGAGGCTGAAGTGGGAGGATCACCTAAGCCCAGGAGTTGGCGGTTGCAGTGAGCTATGATCAGGGAGGGAGGGAAGGAGGGAGGGAGAGAAGGAGGGAGGGAGGGAAGGAGGGAGGGAGGAAGGGAGGGAGGGAGGGAGGAAGGAAGGAAGGAAGGAAGGAAGGAAGGAAGGAAGCTTTCTCTTTTCCAGGAATGATTGATTGGTATCAGTCTGGATCCATGGATTCTTATTTTGTTTAATAAGTTATATTGTGTTATTATATTTATTTTGATGTTTGATTTGTCCCAGATTTGGTCTGTGAGGAAATTTTAAACTAGGTTCTGTGTCCTTCTGATATGTTCTCAACATATTTCGAATTCATTTTTACTTTTTTTACAACCATAACTTCCAGACTCATCTTGTATTTTCCTTCTTCAAGCCTTGGAATGCATCTTTTCTCCAGGCAGTCTTGGCTTCTTTTAGTGGAGAATTATATTATGAAATGAAAAGCTGGATGCTGAGTGTATACATTGCTGCTGTAGTGTCATAGCTTCTAGCTCTTTTCAGTGTCAGAGTTAAAAACATGAATTCTTTATGTACTCTCCTATTCCAATCCAACACTAAGCTTATTCTAGCCTTTCCGCTTCCCATATTTGTAACTACCTCTGCAACAGTGACAAATGTGAACTGGAAATAAATATAAAGAGCCATTACTTCTTTTGTGTAAGTGTCAAGAAAAGCATTGCAGGATGATATATGAGCTTGGTCTTGAAGGCTGAGTAGGATTTTATCAGAGAAGTTAGAAAGGGCATTTAAGTCAAAAGTGATAGAAGAGGGAAAACAGAGAGCTATAAAGTCAAATAGTTGTCTAACCGACCAATGTGCTATTTGGGTGTGGCACAGAGTGAAGGAGGGAAGATGAAAGTTTAGATTGGCAAAGTAGATAAGTGAACTGGACTTCCATGCAAACAAATATAAATTTTATATTCAATGCATTGAAGATTTTCAATTTTAAGTAGGACTTGTAACATATTCGATTCTACATTAAAAAGATAATTACTTTGGCAATACTGAGAATGCCTTGAAAGAAAACCAGTTAAGAGGTTGGTTACAAAAAACTATATGTACACACACATATATAATAATATGATTCATTATATATTATATGACCATATTATATATTATATGTATGCACATACATTACAGTTGATTCTTATTACTTATGATGGATAGGTTCTATAAAATCACTATGAACACTGAATCAGTGAACACTGGAACATTATTCCTATGAGAAATACAGCCTTAGGTTCCTACAAGCCTTTGATCACAACATTTTCATCAACTAATCATTACATAATCTTGTTTTACGTATGCTTCTGTTTAAAGACACTTTATTTAATATATATTGTTAATACATTAACACCAAACTCATGGCAACAGTACTATTTCTCATGCCTGTGGGAAGCTTATTTAACACATGTATTTTCTTCCATAAGGCACATCACATTCTTCTTGCACTTAGGAATACTAGACAGTACTTTTACACCTCAGCTGGGAATGATTTTAAAGAATGAAACCATCGGTCAGGCACGGCAGCTAATGCCTATAATACCAGCACTTTGGGAGGCCAAGGTGGGCAGATAACCTTAGGTCGGGAGTTTGAGACCAGCCTGACCAACATGGAGAAACCCTGTCTCTACTAAAAATACAAAATTAGCCAGGCATGGTGGTGCATGCCTGTAATCCTAGCTACTCAGGAGGCTGAGGCAGGAGAATCACTTGAACCTGGGAGGTGGAGGTTGTGGTGAGCCGAAATTGTGCCATTACACTCCAGCCTGGGCAACAAAAGTGAAACTCCATCCAAAAGAAAGAAAGAAAGAAAGAAAGAAAGAAAGAAAGAAAGAAAGAAAGAAAGAAAGAAAGAAAGAAAGAAAGAAAGAAAGAAAGAAAGAAAGAAAGGAAGGAAGGAAGGAAGGAAGGAAGGAAGGAAGGAAGGAAGGAAAGAAAGAAAGGAAAGAGAGAGAGAGAAAGAAAGAAAGAGAAAGGAAAGAAAGAAAGAAAGAAGGAAGGAAGGAAGGAAGGAAGGAAGGAACGAAAGAAAGAAAGAAAGAAAGAAAGAAAGAAAGAAAGAAAAGAAAGAGAGAGAGAGAAAGAAAGAAAGAAAGAAAGAAAGGAAAGAAAGAAAGAAAGAAGGAAGGAAGGAAGGAAAGAAAGAAAGAAGGAAGGAAGGAAGGAAAGAAAGAAAGAAAGAAAGAAAGAAAGAAAGAAAGAAAGAAAGAAAGAAAGGGAGAAGCCATCAACAAAAGCACACAAATGTAAAAAGGCTGGCGCTAAATAGATTGCAAAAAGGACACTTGTTTGCAGTATGAAAGCTGAAACGAGAAGGCAGAACAGCATCTTATCAACACACTGGAAATGTGCACACTGAAAGTCTCAAATTTTTCAACACTCTGTGAATGTCCATGACTCCCTGTGAAAGTGCCACAAATATTAATTTTGGGGTTACATGTACAGAGGACCTGTACAGCAGAGCCATTAATGGACCTCAGATACCTTTGCTGTTCCAAGTGAGAAGGCAAATTTGCAAATATGGAATCTGAATAATGAGTATCAACTGTATATACAGAAATACATACATACATATGAAACTAAACCAGTGCAATGTTAGTGGAAATGAAAAGGAAGGAAGATGACCGGTTCAATATGGGAGTAGGAGAGGTAGAAAACAAAGATGATGCTGAAGTTTCTATTTTGGAAGACTGGGTAAATGTTGATGTTATTACCAAAAAAACACAATCCTAAAGAAGATTAGGAGTGTCTTAGGGGTCTTAGGAGAAAGAAAGAATACAATTTTGGAAACGTAGAATTTTGGAACATGAACAGCATCCTCATAGAAATAGCAAGAAATCATTTGGGAATAATGTGGAACTGAAGCACCTTGCAGAAGCCATAACTAGAGATATAAAATTTAATTATGAAGTGCACATATAATACAATGAGGCTGTGAAAATGGAAGAGGTTGTCTTGGTATGGAGGCAAAATCCAAAGAGAAAACCTTGAAAAAACAATTAAATGTAAGGGACCTACAGGAAGAGAAGCAGTGAATAAGCCAAGGAGAAAATTGAGAGGAAATAACTCAAATCTAAAGAACATAAAAGGACAATAACAAGTAAAGAAGGCTGGCCAATATTTTCTAAGAAGGACAGAAAGTAAAGGAAATATTTTACATGCAAACATGTATGTAATACAATTCTAAATATGTAACATTATTTGTATCTTTGCCTGTGTCACACTAATTTTTATCATGCTTCCAGATGGTAGAAATGATTTAAGATTAGAAAGGTAGGTATTCCCAAAGCATACCAGAGTTCAAATGGACCAGTGCAATAGTGTATTGGGGAAATCAGAAGCAACCTGTTACTATCAATCCAAAGACAGAGAAAGAAAGATACACATCAAAGATCATGAAAAGTTGATTCATGAAGCCACATTAAGAAACAGAGGTTTGAGTATCTCATCCTAGCAGGGCCTATCCACAAGCAGAGTATGATGAGAGAATAGGGGCAGAAAACTGGGAAAGAATACAACAGAAAGAGAAGATCAGGCATGATGAAGAGTAGGCCAGAACTTCCAGAAAGAAGACTTTTAGATCCCAGAAATGGTAAGCTAGACTATTTGAACCAACCCACCTGCTGAAAACAACTAAAAATGATGAACATAATATTAATAAACAGCCAAGGAAGCATTAATATAATAAGGAAATTACAGGCCAAACAAGACCCTAGGAAGGTAAGTAAGAACAAAAGCTACTTTCATCCTGAGGGTATTTGCCCAACTTACGAATTTTGAATTTTAATTTTCTCAAGACGAAGAAAGTCCATTGTGGCAAGAGAAATAGAAGCACACACCAATTGAGGAATAAACTAGAAGACCTCTCTCATAATAAACTGGTACAATAGTTATACCCTCAGCGTCAAGGTAGCTCAGTAGTAAATCAGTCCTCATCACATCTTGCATCCCACATTTACATCATTTGGGTGGTTTAGGGACCCTGAAGCATTGAATTTAAATTAAGGTGATCCTAGACTGATAGTGTCCACAGGTGCTGGCAGAAGCAAATTCAAAACCTGTCTGGGAATAAAGTAATTTCATCTTGGACTCCATTATTCCTGCAAATAATTTTTCAAACACAATGACTAGCATAAAATAAAGGATAATCAGATACATACACACAAAAAGCACTGTGGGTAAGAAACAACAAACAAACTAAAAAGATCCATGAAGATCCCAAATGTTGGTGTAATCAGACATACTATAAAACAGTCATGCTTTAATGTATTTAAAGAAGTAAAAATGAAGCTTGATGATATCTACAGGGCATAGATTTGGCAGCAAATAAGATAGAAAGAAAAGGCTAAGAACAATAAGATTTTGGGAAGAGAAGAAAGGATTTTCTTTGCATCCATACATGCCTATATAATGAATAAAAGCAATAATAACATTCTAATCAAAATGCACTAGTAAGCCCCTGCTATGTAGCAGATACCTGTTGCTTTTGCATGTCTACTTTCCATTTCCCCTTCCTCTAAAAAAGCAATCTTATTTTCCTTAAAGTTACTCATCCAACCCCATCCATTTATAAGTAAGGCTTACCTTTCTGTAGACCACAAGAGTGGTAACATGACCCCAGCCTGACCAATTAAAACATTCCATTTTCATTGTCACTGTGATTGATTCAGGAGTGAGACTGTTTCCCAAGACAAACCAATGAAAGTAGAACTGTTGATGGAACACCTGAGAGAACTGGAACTGCTCTTCCAGTTTAGGTTACTAAACTGGTAGGTTGTGAGTCTGGTGGCTATCTTGAAGCCATGAGGAAAGAGCTTGCCTGTTGTATTAGCTTATTTTCACACTGCTATAAAGAAATTTCCACAACTGGGTAATTTATAAAAGAAAGAGGTTTACTTGACTCACAGTTCTGCATGGCTGGGATGGCCTCAGGAAACTTACAATCATGGCAGAAGGGGAAGTGGTCATCTTCTTCACAAGGTGACAGGAGGGAGAGAGAGAGAGAGAGAGAGAAGGAAAGGGGGAAGAGCCCCTTATTAAACCATCAGCTCTAGTGAGATCTCAGTCACTATCATGAGAACAGCATGGGGGAAACTGCCCCCATGATCCAATCACCTCCCACCAGGTCTCTCCCTCCACACCTGGGGTTTACAATTGAAGATGAGATTTGCATGGGAACACAAAGACTAACCATATCACCTGTGAACACCAAAACCAGAAAAAGAAAAGTTGAAAAAGAAAAACAGATTCCTGATGACATCCTTTCTAGACTCTATGTCTAAATGCCTGACACATTTCCATTTTATGACCAGTACATTTCCTTCTCTTACTTAAACCAGCTTGAATTGAGTCCCTGTAAATTGCAAACAAAATAGTCCTGGTATAGAAGAATTATATTCAGAGCCCATGGCTAGGCACCACGGGTGAAATATCTGAAAAAGAGAGAGTTTGTCAATGAAGTAGAAAGAAAATTTAAAAAGAGGAAATGATTAGAAAATTTAAATAATGAGACTGATATATTGCCAACCTATCCTAAAATAATCTCCTTCTTCTGAATTTTCATAGCACCTTACGAATTACCCTTTCTTGTCCCTTAAAACAGTTTACTTTGTAGGCCAGACACAGTGGCTCCTGTCTTGTAATCCCAGTGCTTTGGGAGGCTGAGATGGGAAGATTGTTTAAGGCCAAGAGTTTGAGACCAGACTGGATAATATAGTGAGACCCTGTCTCCACAAAATCGAATAAAAATGTTTATTTTGTATTGTAGCTTACTTTCTATATCTTTGTCTATGCTACAAATCTACATGCCTTTGGGAGCAAATAATCATATGGATTCAGAGTTATAAAGTACCTTGAACACACTTAGTAGGACTTCTAATTTCATAAACTGAGGTAGGGACCATGTCAATTTTGTCTTGATATCCTAGATGTATCCAGGAGGTAACATCGATTGAATAAAGGAGTGAATTTACTGAAATGAAAAGAGAAAAGGAAATAACAAAGAAAATAAATTGAGAAAAAGTAAGAAATACAGTAAAGAAAATTTTTGCATTTTGGGGAAGGGAGAAGAACAGGTTGGAATGCAGAGAAAGAAAGTGAAAAAGAATAAGAGAAGGTGGAAAAATTTGAAAACTTTAAGCAATATTTGGGGAATTGTGAATGCCTCCAGTTGTGGGGCTACATTACAATGCTTTCTTTCTTTCTTTTTTTTTTTTGGAGATGGAGTCTCGCTCTGTTGCCCAGGCTGGAGTGCAGCGGCATGATCTCGGCTCACTGCAAGCTCTGCCTCCCAGGTTCACGCCATTCTCCTGCCTCAGCCTCCCGAGTAGCTGGGATTACAGGCACCCGCCACCACGCCCGGCTAATTTTTTTGTATTTTTAGTAGAGACGGGGTTTCACCGTGTTAGCCAGGATGGTCTCGATCTCCTGACCTCGTGATCCGCCCGCCTCGGCCTCCCAAAGTGCTGGGATTACAGGCTTGAGCCACTGCGCCCGGCCAATGCTTTCTTTTAGAATACTGACATTTCCAGTTTTTTTCTGCTTATGCAAATAATGATTTATTTTTTAAATATTCTGAGTACACATCAAACAACAGGAGGAGAGAACTATGGATGTGTTCCTCATAGTGGGTAAGTTCTGATTTAAATCATGAAAAGAAGCTGGAGGCTGGAAGCACCCTAGACTGACTGGTAATGGGCTTATAGAAGTTCTTGATCATTCTGGTAGATTGTACTGTGGTTCTTAAGTATTTACTCCCCATTTTCTTTAGAGTGATTGTTAATCTTATTCATTGCCATGGAACTTAGCAGTGTCTTCTTATGGGAGAAACATAGTTTCCTGCCTCGTTGGTATGTCTTGGCCATACAACTTGCTTTGGTCAGCAGCATGTGAGACTCATGCCACATCCAAGCAGAAGCTTTAAGAACATAAAATGTTTTTCTTGCCCTTTTCGTTAGGTGTAAGAATGGCATGTTGCTATTCTATCCTGGATCCTGGAATTAAGAGGACATGTACAGCAGAGCCACTGATGGACCTCAGATACCTTTGTTGTTCCAAGTTATTGAGACTGGGGAATCATTTGTTACAACAGCAAAGCTGACTCATATATCATTAAATTGTCTTTGAGGCATGAACACCAATATTCTTTAAAGTAAACTCCTGAATTACTTTCCTTCCAGGACTACATGCTCTGAAATTAAATTGATTCAGAAAAAAAATGCAATATTTGAAATATCATTTTGTCTATCTATATAAACTTTTTTATTTCTCAATACCTATGTTGTACATTAAAGAGAATGCCAAAAATCCATTATTCGTGTGCACAATTCACAGATCTACAATGCCTGAGAATGTTAAAAAAAAAAAAAAGATTCACCATAACTTCTCCAAGCAGAGACTTAGATTGCTTTGCTCTCAATGCAGGAAAAATAGACTTTACTTATAAATGTTAAAAAAAAAAAAAAAAGAAAAGAAGAGACCGGGGACCTGGGCAAGATAGCAGAATAGGAACAACTCCAGTCTGCAGCTCCCAGCGAGATCAACACAGAAGGTGGGCAATTTCTGCATTTCCAACTGAGGTACCTGGCTCATCTCACTGGGACTGGTTAAACAGTGGGTGCAGCCCACAGAGGGCGAGCAGAAGCAGGGTGGGGCCTTGCCTCACCCAGGAAGTGTGAGGGGTTGGGGAACTCCCTCCCCTAGCAAAGGAAAACTATGAGGGACTGTGCTGAGAGGAACTGTGCATTCTGGCCCAGATACTATGCTTTTTTCACAGTCTTCACAACCCTCAGACCAGGAGATTCCCTCAGGTGCCTACATCACCAGGGCCCTGAGTTTCAAGCAAAAAACTGGGTGGCCATTTGGGAAGACACCAAGCCAGCTGCAAGAGTTTTTTTTTCTTACCCCAGTGGCTCCTGGAATGCCAGCGAGACAGAGCCATTCACTGCCCTGGAAAGAGGGCTGAAGCCAGGGAGCCAAGTGGTCCAGCTCAGCAGATCCCATCCCGATGGAGCCCAGCAAGCTAAGATTGACTGGGTTGAAATTCTCGCTGCCAGCACAGCAGTCTGAAGTCGACCTGGGGCACTAGAGCTTGCTGCGGGGAGGGGCATCCACCATCACTGAGGCTTGAGTAGATAGTTTTCCCCTCACAGTGTAAACAAAGCCGCCTCAAAGTTCAAACTGGGCAGAGCCCACCACAGCTCTGCAAAGCCACTGTAGCCTTATTGCCTCTCTAGATTCCTCCTCTCTGGGCAGGGCATCTCTGAAAGAAAGGCAGCAGCTCCAGTCAGGAGCTTATAGATAAAGCTCCCATCTATCTGGGACAAATTACCTGGGGGAAGGGGCGGCTGTGGGGGTGGCTGTTGGGGTGGCTGTGGGCGCAGCTTCAGCAGACTTAAACATTCCTGCCTGCCAGCTCTGAAGACAACAGCAGATCTCCCAGCACAGCGCTCAAGCTCCGCTAAGGGACAGACTGCCTCCTCAAGTGGGTCCCTGATCCCTGTGCCTCCTGACTGGGAGACACCTTCCAGCAGTGGTTGACAGACACCTCATACAAGAGAGCTCTGGCTGGCATCTGGCGGGTGCCCCTCTGGGACGAAGCATCCAGAGGAAAGAACAGGCAGCAATCTTTGCTGTTTTGCAGCCTCCACTGGTGATGCCCATGTAAACAGGGTCTGGAATCAACCTCCAGCAAACTCCACCAGACCTGCAACAGAGGGGCCTGACTGTTAGAAGGAAAACTAACAAACAGAAAGGAATAGCATCAACATCAACAAAAAGGATGCCCACACAGAAACCGCATTCGAAGGTCACCAACATCAAAGACCAAAGGTAGATAAATCCATGAAGATGAGGAAAACCAGCATAAAAAGATTGAAAATTCCAAAAACCAGAATGCCTCTTCTCCTCCAAAGGATCACAACTCATCGCCAGCAAGGGAACAAAACTGGATGGAGAATGAGTTTGACAAATTGACATAAGTAGGCTTCAGAAGGTGGGTAATAACGAACTCCTCCAAGCTAAAGGAGCATGCTCTAACCCAATGCAAGGAAGCTAAGAATCTTGAAGAAAGGTTAGGGGAGACCTGTAATCCTGGCACTTCAGGAGGCTGAGGAGTTTGAGACCAGCCTGGGCAACATGGTGAAACCCTGTCTCTACTAAAATACAAAAAAATTAGTGGGCCATGGTGGCATGCATCTGTAGTCCCAGCTAATTGGGAGGCTGAGGCAGGAGAATTACTTGAACCTTGGAGGCAGAGGTTGCAGTGAGCCGAGATCACACCACTGCACTCCAGCCTGGGTGACACAGCAAAACTCTGTCCCTTAAAAAGCAAAAACAAAACAAAAAAAGCAAACACACACATACACGTACACACACACACACACACACACAAAAGAAAAAAGGTTGGAGGAAATGCTAACTAGAATAAACAGTTTAGAAAGGAATATAATTGATCTGATGGAGCTGAAAAACACAGCACGAGAACTTTGGGAAGCATACACAAGTATCAAAAGCTGAATCAATCAAGCAGAAGAAGGGATATCAGAGATTGAAGATCAACTTAATGAAGAAAAGCATGAAGACAATATTACAGAAAAAAAGAATGAAAAGGAATGAACAAAGCCTCGAAAAAAATATGGAACTATTTGAAAAGACCAAACCTATGTTTAACTGGTGTACCTGAAAGTGATGGGGAGAATGGAACCAAGTTGGAAAACACACTTCAGGATATTATCCAGGAGAAATTCCCCAACATAGCAAGACAGGCCAACAGTCAAATTCAGAAAATATGTAGAACACCACAAAGATACTCCTCGAGAAGAGCAACCCCAAGACAAAAATGGTCAGATTCGCCAAGGTTGAAATGAAGTAAAAAAATGTTAAGGTCAGCCACAGAAAAAGATCGGGTTACCCACAAAGGGAAGCCTATCAGACTAACAGCAGATCTCTCTGCAGAAACTGTACAGCCAGAGGCGAGTGGGGGCCAATATTCAACATTCTTAAAGAAAAGAATTTTCAACCCAGAATTTCATATCCAGCCAAACTAAGCTTCATAAGCGAAGTAGAAATAAAATCCTTTACAAACAAGCAATAGCTGAGAGATTTTTGTCACCACCAGGCCTGCCTTACAAGAGCTACTGAAAGAAGCACTAAATATGGAAAGAAAACCAGTACCAGCCACTGCAAAAACATACCAAATCTTAAAGACCATCGACACTATGAAGAAACCTCATCAACTAACAGGAAAAATAACCAGCTAGCATCATAATGGCAGGATAAAATTCACACATAACAATAGAATCTTAAATGTAAACAGACTAAATGCCCCATTTAAAAGACTCGGACTGACAAATTGGATAGAGTCAAGACCCATTGGTGTGCTGTATTTGGGAGACCCATCTCATGTGCAAAGACACACATCGGCTCAAAATAAAGGGATGGAGGAAGATTTATCAAGCAAGTGAAAAGCAAAAAAAATAAAAATTTTAAAAAAAGCCAGGGTTACAAACCCTGTCTCTGATAAAACAGACTTTAAACCAAGAAAAATCAAAAAAGACGAAGAAGAGCATTACATAATGGTAAACGGATCAATGCAACAAGAAGACCTAACTATCCTAAATATATATGCACCCAATACAAGAGCACCCAGATTCATAAAGCAAGTTCTTAGAGACCTGCAGACTTAGGCTCTCACACAATAATAGTGGGAGACTTTAACACCCAACTGTCAATATTAGACAGATCAACGAGACAAAATTAACAAGGATATTCAGGACTTGAACGCAGCTCTGGACCAAGCAGACCTAATGGACATCTACAGAACTCTCCACCCCATATCAACAGAATACACATTCTTCTCAGGACTACATGACACTTATTCTAAAATTGACCACATAATTGGAAGTAAAACACCCCTCAGCAAATGCAAAAGAACAGAAATCATAACAAACAGTCTCTCAGACCACAGTGCAATCAAATTGGGACTCAGGATTAAGAAATTCACTCAAAACCACACAACTACATGGAAACTTAACAACCTGTTCCTGAATGACTACTGGGTAAACAATGAAATTAAGGTAGAAATAAATAAGTTCTTTGAAACCAATGGAAACAAAGACAGTGTACCAAAACCTCTGGGACACAGCTAAAACAGTGTTTAGATGGAAATTTATAGCATTAAATGCCCACAGGAGAAAGCAGGAAAGATCTAAAATCGACACCCTAACATGACAATTAAAAGAACTAGAGAATCAAGAGCAAACAAATTGAAAACCTAGAAGAAGACAAGAAATTACTAAGATCAGAGCAGAACTGAAGGAGACAGAGGCACGAAAAACACTTCAAAAAATCAACAAATCCAGGAGGTGTTTTTTTGAAAAGATTAACAAAATAGATAGACTGTTAGCCAGACTAATAAAGAAGAAAAGAGAGAAGAATCAAATAGACACAATAAAAAAAGATAAAGAGGGTATCACCACTGATCCCACAGAAATACAAAGTACCATCAGAGAATACTATAAACACCTCTATGCAAATAAACAAGAAAACCCAGAAGAAATGGATAAATTTCTGGACATACACGCCCTCCCAAGACTAAACCAGGAAGAAGTTGAATCCCTGAATAGACCAATAACAAGTTCTGAAATTGAGGCAGTAATTAATAGCCTACCAACCCAAAAAAGCCCAGGACCAGACAGATTCACAGCCAAATTCTACCACAGGTACAAAGAGGAGCTGGTACCATTCCTTCTGAAACTATTCCAAACCACAGAAAAAGAGGAACTCCTCCCTAACTCATTTTTTGAGGCCAACATCATCCTGATACCAAAACCTGGCAGAGACACAACAACAAAAAATTTCAGACCAATATCCCTGATGAACACCAATGCAAAAATTCTCAGTAAAATACTGGCAAACTGAATCCAGCAGCATATCAAAAAGCTTCTCCACCATGATCAAGTTGGCTTCATCTCTGGGATGCAAGGCTGGTTCAACATATGCAAATCAATAAATATAATCCATCACATAAACAGAATCAATGACAAAAACCACATGTTTATCTCAATAGATATAGAAAAGGCCTTCAATAAAATTCAACACCACTTCATGCTAAAAACTCTCAATAAACTAGGTATTGATGGAACATATCTCAAAATAACAAGAGCTATTTATGACAAACTCACAGACAATATCACACTGACTGGGCAAAAGCAGGAAGCAATCCCTTTGAAAAATGGCAGAAGACAAGGATGCCCTCTCTCACCACTCCTATTCAACACAGCATTGGAAGTTCTGGCTAGGGTAATGAGGCAAGAGAAATAAATAAAGGGTATTCAAATAGGAAGAGAGGAAGTCATATTGTCTCTGTTTGCAGATGACATAATTGGATATTTAGAAAACCCCATTATCTCAGCCCAAAATCTCCTTAAGCTGATAAGCAACTTCAGCAAATCTCAGGATCAAAATCAATGTGCAACAATCACAAGCATTCCTATATACCAATAACAGACAAACAGACAGCCAAATCATGAGTGAACTCCCATTCACACTTGCTACAAAGAGAATAAAAGGAATACAACTTATAAGGGATGTGCAGGACCTCTTCAAGGAGGACTACAAACCACCGCTCAAGGAAATAAGAGAGGACACAAGCACATGGAAAAACATTCCATGCTCATGGATAGAAAGAATTAATATTGTGAAAATGGCCATACTGCCCAAAGTAATTTATAGATTCAATGCTATCCCCATCAAGCTACCATTGACTTTCTTCACAGAATTAGAAAAAACTACTTTAAATTTCATATGGAATCAAAAAGAGCCCATATAGCCAAGATAATCCTAAGCAAAAAGAACAAAGCTGAAGGCATCATGCCACCTAACTTCAAACTATACTACAAGGCTACAGTAACCAAAACAGCATGGTACTGGTACCAAAACAGATACATAGACCAATGGAATGGAACAGTGGCCTCAGAAATAATGCCACACATCTCCAAACATCTGATCTTTGACAAACCTGACAAAAACAAGCAATGGGGAAAGGATTCCCTATTTCATAAATGGTGTTGGGAAAACTGGGTAGCCATAGGCGGAAAACTGGAACTGGACCCGTTCTTTACATCTTATACAAAAATTAACTCAAGATGGATTAAAGACTTAAACATAAGACCTAAAACCATAAAAACCTGAGAAGAAAACCTAGGCAATACCATTCAGGACATAGGCATGGGCAAAGACTTCATGACTAAAACACCAAAAGCAATGGCAACAAAAGCCAAAATTGACAAATGGGATCTAATTAAACTAAAGAGCATCTGCACAGCAAAAGAAACTGTCATCAAAATGATCAGGCAACCGACAGAATGGGAGGATTTTTTTTTCCTTTTTTTAAATTATTATTCTTTAAGTTTTAGGGTATGTGTGCACAATGTGTGGGTTTGTTACATATGTATACATGTGCCATGTTGGTGTGCTGCACCCATCAACTAGTCATTTAGCATTAGGTATATCTCCCAATGCTATCCCTCCACCCTCCCCCCACCCCACAACAGTCCCTGGTGTGTGATGTTCCCCTTCCTGTGTCCATGTGTTCTCATTGTTCAATTCCTACCTATGAGTGAGAACATGCGGTGTTTGGTTTTTTGGCCTTGCGATAGTTTGCTGAGAATGATGGTTTCCAGCTTCATCCATGTCCCTACAAAGGACATGAACTCATTCTTTTTTATGGCTGCATAGTATTCCATGGTGCATATGTGCCACATTTTCTTAATCCAGTCTATCATTGTTGGACATTTGGATTGGTTCCAAGTCTTTGCTATTGTGAATAGTGCCACAATAAACATGCGTGTGCATGTGTCTTTATAGCAGCATGATTTATAATCTTTGGGTATATACCCAGTAATGGGATGGCTGGGTCAAATGGTATTTCTAGTTCTAGATCCCTGAGGAATCGCCACACCGACTTCCACAATGGTTGAACTAGTTTACAGTCCCACCAACAGTGTAAAAGTGTTCCTATTTCTCCACATCCTCTCCAGCACCTGTTGTTTCCTGACTTTTTAATGATCACCTTTCTAACTGGTATGAGATGGTATCTCATTTGTGCTTTTGATTTGCATTTCTCTGATGGCCAGTGATGATGAGCATTTTTTCATGTGTTTTTTGGCTGCATAAATGTCTTCTTTTGAGAAGTGTCTGTTCATATCCTTTGCCCAATTTTTGATGAGGTTGTTTCTTTTTTTCTTGTAAATTTGTTTGAGTTCATTGTAGATTCTGGATATTAGCCCTTTGTCAGATGAGTAGGTTGCAAAAATTTTCCAGAATGGGAGAAAATTTTTGCAATCTAAGCATCTGACAAAGGACTAATATCCAGAATCTCCAACAAACGTAAACAAATTTACAAGAAAAAAACAAACAACCCCATCAAATAATGGACAATGGATATGAACAGACCTTCTCAAAAGAAGACATTTATGTGGCAAATAAACATGAAAAAAGCTCGTCATCACTGGTCATTAGAGAAATGCAAATCAAAACCACAATGAGATACCATCTCATGCCAGTTAGAATGGCAATCATTAAAAAGTCAGGAAACAACAGATTCTGGAGAGGATGTGGAGAAATAGAAATGCTTTTACACTGTTGGGAGTGTAAATTAGTTCAACCATTGTGGAAGAAAGTGTGGCAATTCCTCAAGGATCTAGAACCAGAAATACCATTTGACCCAGCAATCCCATTACTGGGTTTATACCCAAAGAATTATAAATCATTCTGCTATAAAGAGACATGCACCTGTATGCTTATTGTGACACTGTTCACAATAGCAAAGACTTGGAACCAACCCAAATGCCCATCAATGAGAGACTGGATAAAGAAAATGTGGCACATATACACCACGGAATACTATGCAACCATAAAAAAGGATGAGTTCATGTCCTTTGTAGGGACATGGATGAAGCTGGAAACCATCATTCTCAGCAAACTAACACAGGAACAGAAAACCAAACACCGCATGTTCTCACTTATAAGTGGGAGTTGAACAATGAGAACACATGGACATAAGGAGGGGAACATCACATACAGGGGCCTGTCAGCGGGTGGGGGTTAATGGAGGGATAGCATTAGAATAAATACCTAATGTAGATTACAGGTTGATGGGTGAAAAACCAGCGTGGCCCATGTATACCTATGTAACAAACCTGCACATTCTGCACATTTATCCCAGAACTTAAGGTATAATTTTTTTTCCTTTTTGTTTATTATTATTATACTTTAAGTTTTAGGGTACATGTGCACAACGTGCAGGTTAGTTACATATGTATACATGTGCCATGCTGGTGTGCTGCACCCATTAACTCGTCATTTAGCATTAGGTATATCTCCTAATGCTATCCCTCCCCCATCCCCCCCACCCCACAACAGTCCCCAGAGTGTGATGTTCTCCTTCCTGTGTCCATGTGTTCTCATTGTTCAATTCCCACCTATGAGTGAGAACATGCATATAATTTTTAAAAAATCATAAGGGAGTCTGTGTATAGGGGAGACCACTCCTTTCTTTACCACTATCACCATAAAAATATTTACAGACTATAAATATCTTGGTTTCAGGACCCAACTGGTCATCTGATAGTTTAGTTATGGTCTCAGTGCAGAAAGAAAAATATGTTTCTTGGTTTTAGAGGAAGGAAAAGGAAAACAACTCAAATGGTTGCATTTTTTAATTCCAAGCTGCAAAGGAAATGTTTTCTTTCACGAAAAACCAATGAAGCAAGACTCCTCTGAATTTTTACGTAAAGATAAAAAAAAGTAATATTATTTCAGAAAAGGTGGGGTTCTCATTTGAAAAGTTAATTGTATTAAGTCGGAGTACCACGAGCAATACAGTAAGTAGATGAATGTAGATGAATGTGTATAGATATAGATGCAGCCAAACTGCTACACAGCTTTCCTACTTTACAAAAATCAAAATTACTTTTCTCCTAAATCTAAGAGAAGGTAAATTTCCCCTTGCCCCCTTCTTTCTAAATCACAGTATAGAAGAAAGTGAGAACTAGAGAAAACATGAAGGGATGATGTTTGTAATTCATTTGAGTTTCAGTTCTAGGGACGTTTTTCTATTTTTTTCTCCAAAAATCTAAATACGCATAAAAAATAATAAGAAAAATATGCTTCTCACTGCATCCTGAATCCTCATTTTTCAAACTGGACCTGTTTGTGAGTGTCAGTTAGAGCCTGCCAACTGTAGAAGCTGTATTCCTGCTGGAAACTCCTAGTGCAAGAATATCATATTTCTTCCAGAGCATAACCATTGCAATTTGCTAATATTCTTAAGGTAAGAGGGAAAACTCAGTTTGCTAGCTGTACTCACCGAGTTGGTGTTAGAAGATGATGATTGTTGGGTGCACAGAGAAAGATTTTTTTTTTTAGATTCCAAATGTTTTCTATTTGTTTGTTGTTGTTTTTCCTTTTTAAAGACCTACTCATCCATCAAATGAGTAGGTTAAGATTTTCTTTCTTGTTTGGGAAAGAATCTGTTCTTTCCCCCTTTTTTGTGGCAATTTGTTATATTTACAAGATTGATCACTGGCTATAAATCTCATGTGTCAAAGGTACTTGGCCTGTTCTTTGCTGCATCATTGTGAAATATTAGTAAATCTAATATAACAGATTGTGTCATCCAATGTGTGTGTTTCTGAAAGTGGAAGCCAAATGTAAGTAAATTGAATTGGCTGACTTCTAAGAACCAGAGAGCTGTATGAGGTAGTTTGGACGGGGTACAATCCCAGTCCTCCCTCATTGTACTCCTTCCACTTCAGTAACCAAGTTCTCTAACTGCAAACCCCTGGCTTTGGAAAGGCTAGTCTTTGTTTACAATGATGCACCATTACGCAGCAAAGTGAAATGGAATTTGGAATCTTCCATCCCTTCATCTCTCAGTGCACAAACAGTTGTATCAGCTTTGCCTCCAAATTCACTCATGCTGCAGGTGTGTGGTCCTTCCAACTACAACCACATCAGGTCCAATTAGACTTCTCACAGTATTTTTGGAAGAGAAGAAGATATCCCCCTTCTTTCCCATATGCCCCCTCTTCTTTTTTGTTTTAACCAGGTTATTGTCTGGTGCAGGGGTCACAAACTCAACCGTTAGGGATTTGATAGGTCACATAAATGAGGAAATTGAGTCGGTGGGAACTATGGTGAATTAGAGATTGCGTATCCTATTTATAGAGGGAAGTCACTACTTTATTCTACCCAAATTTTTTTCACGTAAGTATTTGAACTCCTGAAGCCAAATATTTCCATTTTTCAAGAGAAATCGTCTATCATTCAAGATTCAATCAAGAGAACTATGCAAATCCAAATTTTATGATATATTCCCACTTCTACATGTAGCCAACTAACAGCTTTTTTGTATTTGTTATTGATATATGATAGCTGTACACATTTTGCGGGTACATGTGATATTTTTATACATGTATACAATGTGTAATGATCAAATCAGGTTAAAGACATACACACATACATGCCCTGCTTACCAATTAAGCCAGTGGTGCTCCAATTTATGATAGTATTATAATGATATTTCTGTAGACACATCAATGAATAAAATTAGCCTCAAAATATTTTACTGAAGTTATAACCTCAACCTTCTCAGAATTGTAGGACACATTCAGCTCAGCAACTGCAGGCCACTTAATTTTGTGATCATTCATCTATTTACTCATTTATCCACCAAACATTTACAGAGTGTCTACGCTAGAGGAAGGGTGTGTAGAGAGAAATAAGACATTGTACTTGTCTTTAAGGAGCTTATAAACTACCCAGGAGGTCTGACCTGTAAACTGAATTAGGCCAGGCACAGTGGCTCATGCCTGTAATCCCAGCACTTTGGGAGGCTGAGAGACAGGTGGATTACTTGAGGTCAGGAGTTGGAGACCATCCTGGGCAACATGGTGAAACTCTTTTTCTATCACAAAATACAGAAAAAAAATTAGCTGGGCCTAGTGATGTGGCCTGTGGGCCCAGTTACTTGGGAGGTGGGAGGATTGCTTAAGCCGGGGAGATAGAGGTTGCAGTGAGCCAAGACTGCGCCACTGCACTCTAGCCTGGGCAACAGAGTGAGACTCTGTCTCAAAAAAAAAAAACTAAACTAAATTAAATTAATATGTGCATTAACAGCTTATTACAGGAATTTATTTAGTGCAAAGAAACAAACTTGGGTCATTTAAAAATCAGTTGTCAAAACCACAGTTCTGCTTACCCTTCCCCCAATCTCCCATGCACAATTCTCCCCACCTAATCTGCATGTCACATATGCTAATTATTGTATAGACTGAAGGAGTTGGGAATATTTGCTGGCTGTTTCACACTTATAACTCACTAAACTTCATTACTCTACCAAACTGTGCATGCCAAGAAGCCAGTTACACAGCCCACCTTCTCAGACACTCTGTATATGGGACTGGACATATATAACTTAAGATGGAATAGAAATAAAGACTGTTCCTTGTTTTAACTTTTCTCATCTTAATTTCTCCCTTATCCCCTAAACCTCCTAATCCCCTCACCTTAATATTCATTTCTATGTATAGGTAGAACATAGCAAAATACCTGGCATGATTTTTAGCCAACAGAAAATAATGGAATAAGATTTAATCTCTCTTAAAAAAATGAAAGTATGTCATTTGCCTTTGAGACTTCCTACCTTAAGCCCTACAATGTAAATAGGTATCCAAATATACTGGACTGAGGAAGGGAGTTAGAATAGTAGGGTTTTCAGAGTTTTGGAATCATTCAAATTAGAATCATACAATTGGCTGCTGTAATGTGTAACTGAGTTTGGGGGGGGTCCCCATACATTTCTTTTTATTCATAGAATAGAAACTATTTTCATCCTCTAGAATAAATTATAAGCTAAAAAGGATAGATTTTATTTATTGAGCATCTTCTATGTTTTAGACCCTATGTTAGATTTACTGTTGAATTTAATATTTATAATTACTAGGTAGTGTTACCACTTTCCAGATAAAGAAACAGACCTGGGTAAATAGAGTAACTTGTGCAAAAGGGCACACTAGTCAGTGACAGTGTCAGGGCAGACATACAGATTTGTCTAACCCTGGGCCTTGCTCCTCTCACTAAACCACACTGCTACCCTGAAGTATATCCTTGTTCACTTGGTCATGATTTCACGTTTATAGATTCCCTTAGCTGCCACTTGATCTTTAAGCCAAAGAAGTAAAAGAAAGCCAGAGAACAGTTTAACAATTTCAAATACAGCTGTACCTGTCCAATTATCTTAACAAGGCCACAATCTGATTTCAGCCATGGTTGTAGCAAATACACTAGGTAAAATGCTTGTGAATTGGCTTCCCTGGTAATAAGTAGGATGTGGTAACAAGTACAAACATAAGATAATATTGGTTATTCTCTTGTAATTTATTTTGGGAGTGGATTGGCTTCACTGAGACTGAAGATAGATAAATTTAATATATGCCATTTTACAATGCATAGAGACAAATTGTCATTGGTTGCTATTAACATCAAACATCAATGTAACGGTGCTGTTCAGTTTCCCTAAAGTCCCTCTTGGCCTAGCTGCCTATTTACCCTCACCCATTAGATATATTGTATGCATTAATAAATGCATATACTGAAGTAGTTATGTGTGCCTGTTGTATGCTTTACACACAGTAATTTTCATTCCTTTATCAAATTGAGCATGCAAATAAGCCAATTATATGCCACTGTATTGGTCTGCTTTCACACTGCTATAAAGAACTGCCCAAGACTGGGTAATTTATAAAGAAAAGAAATTTAATTGACACACAATTCCACAATGGCTGGGGAGGCCTCAGGAAACTTACAATCATGGTGGAAGGGGAAGCAGGCACATCTTGCATGGCGGCAGGCAAGAGAAGAAGTGTGAAAGAGGAACTTCCAAACACTTATAAAACCCATCAGATCTTATGAGAACTCACTCACTATCATGAGAACAGCATGAGGGAAACTGCCCCCATGAACCAACCACCTCCCTCTCTTGATATGTGGGGATTACAATTTGAGATGAGATTTGGGTGAGGACAGAGCCAAACCATATCAGCCACCTTCTCAGATTCTCAAATCTACCCTGAAGAACATAGATTCTACAGTCAACCAGAAGGCTGAAGAGGGTCTAGTGTGAATCAGGTTCCCTCTTACCCACCCACCTCCCAATCTCATTAATCTGTAATCTAGAACTCTAATGAGGTAGGTCCTGGACATCTCCTCTGCAACCACAGAAAGAACTAGGAGAGTAAATATTAAGCATTAATTTCTAGTGTAAATAGTCTAGGGAGGAAAAAAATCAGGGCAAAAATAGAGCCTCATGCCACTTTCCCTACTGCTCTGAGCCAGTCCCTAACTCAAGCTTTTTTCCAGATCCGAAAACCCTTCCATTCAAGGTTATTTCACCACTCCCTCCACATGTGTGTTCACTAACTTTTACTATTTAGGATAAATCCAGGTACATGATGAGCCTTTGTCTGTTTTCCTTTCTAAAGGGGCCCAAGTTGATGGGAGAATCTGCTTCCTACCTAGTGTGACCACATTTGCCGTTAGACATTCTGCTTCCAAACTGTAAGAATCTGTGCTAGTGAAAAAGATTCTCCATGAAATTCCCCTGATCCATTCCATGGTGCCCCATTCTTTAATTCCAGCCCTGGCCCCTCAAAATTAGGGGATGTCAATAATATTTTTTTTCTAGGATATTTGTCCATTTACTCTGTGAAATTACTCTACTTTATTAAAAGGGAAGTTTGTAGATCCCTTAATAATTTTTTAAATTTGATCCCATCTGCAATTAATCTAGCAAATTTATTAAAGCTTATAGCATATGGAAGACCTTCTTTCAAATTTCATGTACAACTTCTCTATTTCTGTATTCTTTTATTCTTTTTAGTTGAGGGTAGGAGGATTCTATCATACCAGTGTTCATGCTTCCATTTTCCCAGTCTTTCATTGAGACTTCTACGTCTATTTATTTAGAATGCCATACTCAACTTCCCCCATTCTGGAATTTTGATTAAAATACTAATTTTCATCCATGGGAGTTTTCTGATGCTCAGCGAGGTCTTTTGTGCCCAGAAAAGACTATTTAGAATTATATGTGATTTAAATATTCTATGTAATGAATTTCCCAACTAAAAATACAAATTTTCCTTAAGCCTTTAAGTCCACCTTACAAAGTTATTTTATCTGTAAATGTGGCAAATTTTATAGAAAACAAGAACAATAATTTTCAGGAGGATCTTTACTTAATATTTGGCTAACTAGAGTAGAATAAATTCCACATAAATGTTCAATTTATGGACTTAATTAATTTTTCTAAGTATTTTAAAGTCCACTTTTTAGATTAGTATATTTTATTTCCTTTTGAGGAAGTTTAAATGCTTGGGTAGGCAAGCACACAGTACTACTAAGAAAATTCTTCCTAGAACTTATACAACTCATTTGTCTAATAAATTGTGTGTGTTTTTATGTGTGTGGGTAGGAAGAAAGAATGAATTAATCTGAAGTTCTTAATACAAATACTCCAATAGTGTTTTAAAATTTAGGCAAATTATCTTAACTTTCAACTTAAAGTCACAAACTTAATATCAATTACTTTTTTAAACTTGGAATCACAGGATTCAGCTTACAAATTCTCTAAAATTTCAAATTCCCTTTAACATTATAAACTAGTTATATAACATATATACATATTGTTCTTAGTTCAGCACAAAATGATTTAAGCTATGGGCTTAATTTCCTCATCATTTGAATAATATAATTAACAAGATGAACTCAAGAGCTACATATCAAACTTCAGATCTCCAAAACTGAGACTATACATTCTTTTCAAACAACAATGGAACTCTGACAAAAACTGACTATATACCAAGCAACCAAAAAAAATCTTGAATAAGTTTTACAGAGCATGTAAACAGACCATGTAACATTGCCAAAATATTATAAAATTCAAAAAGAATACTAAAGAACAAATAAAAGAAATCCATTGATTTAGACATTTAAAAATATTTCAGTAAAAATTAAAACATAATTAAATAATATTTTTAATAACAATACTGGATACCAACACATAATCATTGGCAATATTCCTTACTGAACCTCCTTGCAGCTACCATCTACCTTTTGATTAGTCTTTCTTATTCTGAAGCACATTAGTACTGAGCTCACCATTTTCATCTCCAGTATTTATTCTCATCATTCTTGGTAAAGTTAAATTTATATACACAATTTATCCATAATCTTGAAAGTTCAAGTTCTAGACTTCCTCAATTGCAAAGTGGCTTCTTCCACAGCTAAAGAAAGAATATTTCTTTAAATATGTATTGGAAATTTGTTACAGGATTATCCTCACAGTATTATATTATTCATTCCATAATAACTACTCTACTAAGATATAGTTTATATATGTCCTATAAGGTTGCCCAACTCCGTCATTTACCTAATTATTCTATTTTAACACTAACTACTGAAAGTACAAGTATTCCTGCAAGTATAGCAAAATATAATAAAATTAAGTACCAAGATGTAACTGAAAACACTCTTGGCAACCATTTTAAAACAAATACATTTTTAAAATCCATATGCAGGGATCTGATTTCTAGTGTCACAATGAAACTATTCCAAAACTCAAACTCCCTCAAACTGGTATGATGCCTACTATGCTGGACACATAGTTCATATTATTATAGAGTTACTGGATGATTGATGTAATTTATTTCAATAGCATTTGCACGATATTTATTTATTAGACTCCTCAAATAATGTCTAAGAAGAATAGTGATGAAATATAAATAAAGACATTTAAAATCACATCCATCTACAAAGCAATAATATCTAGTTGGAGAGAGAAAATTAACAAAGATGAAAGAAAAAGAGAATAATTGATTTATGGTATGATCTTGGCTCTGAATATATGTCAGTATTAGATAAAAATTGTATTAAACTGTATAGATTATCCACTGACCTATCGTGAATTACCCAACAGGGGTTTATATTCCTTATATAAAAAGGAACGTATGGCTATACATAAGCAGAACAGGGCTGGGACAGTAGCTCCATGATGTTATCAACATCTCCGATTCCTTCCCTCTTTCCATTTTGTCATGGTTAGCACTTAGCTTTCATTCCTTTGTTTATTTTGCAAACATAAAATGACAGCTCCATCTGCAACTTCAGGTTTAGATGCTAGAAAGAATATAAAGGAAGTACCAAGGAGGAAAAGTGGTGCCAGGTCTATATTGGGAGAACAATTCCTAGAAACTCATTTATGTTTCAGTTGCCAGAATATTAACACCCTTGCTCAAAAAAAGAAAAAAAGAAAAGCTGGCCAGAATAAAATTGGGATTCCACAAGAAGAAAGAAAGGGAGAGAGGACGTTAGGTGGATGATCATTTCTGTCTGCAATCTTGAGAGTTGGAAGAAGGGAGAAAATTCTTGGCAAGTGTTACTGGAAAAGGTTTCATGGAGGAAGTGGAACAAGAGGTAGATCTTAAGAGATGGCAGCATTTAGATACCCAGAAGAAGATGGAGTTTTTCCAGCAGTGTGAACAGCATAAAGAAAAGTGAAAGGTAAGTTTGAATGATTAATCTGACATATTTAGAGAACAGATTAAATTGGAGACAGTTACAAGGAGCAATGAATTGGTGGAGAGTTCAAATCATGGTGCTCTTTGACAGAAAGACTTTTTGTACTTGACATGGAGTACATGAGGAATCTGTTGGAAGTGTGAAGCAAGGGGAAGAATGTATTTAACTCATAGTTTAACAAAGCTTGCTGTGGTTGCTGAATGTGGTATAGATTAAAATGGAAAGAAACTGGAGCTATGAAGTCACTGAATAATACTCAAGTGCTTTTGCTGCAACAATTATGGTTGTTGCCCAACTCAAAGTCTTAGAGTTATTATAACACAGTGTTTCCTGACTGATGATTCATAAACTGTCAGTTGTCCATGACGTGCTCTCTGATCCTCTCAGAAAATGTATTATTCGTTCTTGAGACTTCACTAACAGTCATTATCAGAACAATATTGTCAGTATATTTTTCAACACATGAGATATAGTCTACATTGGATTGCTGCAATTGAGCTTTTGAGGAGCAAATATAAGTGGCGATTTTTAAAAAGTAGGCCATTTTTATTTTGGTCAACATGTTTAAAGTTAAGGGTTGACAGCATCCATGTGTGGAGAAGTGTGTGAAGACTAATTTTTATGCCAGTGTCCTTTTCAAACACTGTGCATCGAGTCTGGTTTAATGGCCTGACTCACTCTCCACTCCTTACCCCATCCCTCCACTCCCCATCCCTGGGGCAACTCAAATTTCTGCTGCAGGAGTTGAGCCCCACCCCCAGCTTGGGGACCAATCTTGCTTTCTTCTATAAGAGGAGGAATTCTGAAACCATAAGCAAGTAGCTCGGTGACTCAGCAACACAGCATGAAGTCAGCCTTGCCTCTGCACAGAGTTAATCTTTGCATCTCTTTCCAGTAATTAGGTTTTTCCTTCTTGAACACCCTATTGTGAGGGTGACTCAATGTCCTCTTTTTCCAGATCCAGATTCTCATCTGAATGCTGTTGGTCATCCTGAAGCCAGTGTTCTACCCCTGAGTCCTATCCATCCACCCTCTGGCAATTCTTCCTCATGCTTCCTACCTTCTTGACATTTCTAGCTATTTCTAGTTATCAAATTCCCAGGAGCTCAGATGCCAGTATTTATTTCCTATTTTGTATTGCTTAGAGTTGTCTGGCCTCCTGAGTCAAGACATTCAGACTTGCCCTTCACTTTTATAAATGTTTACATCTCAGAGTCAGTCTATCAGCCTTTAATTTGTGGAAGGATTTTCCACCCAACTAATAATACATTTTTATTTCTTATATTTTCCCTTCCCCATTTCAAGCAGATAGCCAGGGCCTTACTATTTCCTTGGCTCAGATAATTTTGCTGAGAAGAAGGCAGAAAAGAAACTGCTTGATGAAGATGAATTTTTTTTGTGGCTTTAGAAAAACTTACTGAAGAGTTAATATTAAATATTTTAAATGGGTAGAAGAAAGAAATGTAGACCAGGCAGTTTCTTCATAGTGTCAATAGTCTTTACAATTTGGTATGCTTTTGCAGTGGCTGGTACTGGTTTTCAATCCCATATTTAGTGCTTCCTTCAGGAGCTCTTGTAAGGCAGGCCTGGTGGTGGTAAAAGTCTCTCAGCATTTGCTTGTCTGTAAAGGATTTTATTTCTCCTTCATTTATGAAGCTTAGTTTGGCTAGATATGAAATTCTGGGTTGAATATTCTTTTCTTTAAGAATGTTGAATATTGGCCCCCACTCTCTTCTGGCTTGTAGGATTTCCACAGAGAGACCTGCTGTTAGTCTGATGGGCTTCCCTTTGTGGGTAACCTGACCTTTCTCTCTGGTTGCCCTTAACATTTTTTCCTTCATTTCAACCTTGGTGAATCTGATGAATATGTGTCTTGAGGTTGCTTTTCTTGAGGAATATCTTTGTGGTGTTCTCTGTATTTCCTGAATTTGAATGTTGGCCTGTTTTGCTAGGTTGGAGTTCTCCTGTATAACATCCTAAAGAGTGTTTTCCAACTTGGTTCGTTTGTCCCCATCACTTTCAGGTACACCACTCAAACTAGGTTTGGTCTTTTCACATAGTCCTATATTTCTTGGAGGCTTTGTTCTTTCCTTTTCATGATTTTTTCTCTAATCGTGTCTTCATGCTTTATTTCATTAAGTTGATCTTCAACCTCTGATATCCTTTCTTCCACTTGATCAGTTCAGCTATTGATACTTGTATATGCATCACAAAGTTCTCATGCTGTGTTTTTCAGCTCCATCACGTCATTTATGTTCTTCTCTAAACTGGATATTCTAGTTAGCAATTCCTCTATCCTTTTTTCCAGGTTCTTAGTTTCCTTGCATTGGGTAAGAATATGCTCCTTTAGCTCAGAAGGGTTTGTTATTACCCACCTTCTGACGCCTACTTATGTCAATTCGTCAAACTCATTCTCCATCCAGTTTTGTTCCCTTGCTGGCGAGGAGTTGTGATCCTTTGGAGGAGAAGAGGCATTCTGGTTTTTGGAATTTTCAACCTTTTTGTGCTGGTTTTCCACACCTTCATGGATTTATCTACCTTTGGTCTTTGATGTTGGTGACCTTCGAATGCGGTTTCTGTGTGGACATCCTTTTTGTTGATGTTGATGCTATTCCTTTCTGTTTGTTAGTTTTCCTTCTAACAGTCAGGCCCCTCTGCTGCAGGTCTGGTGGAATTTGCTGGAGGTCCACTCCAGACGCTGTTTGCCTCACCCGCAGTGGCTGCAGAACAGCAAAGATTGCTGCCTGTTCCTTCCTCTGGAAGCTTCATTCCAGAGGGGCACCTGCCATATCCCAGCCAGAGCTCTCCTGTATGAAGTGTCTGTCGACCCCAGCTGGGAGTGTCTCCTAGTCAGGAGGCACAGGGGTCAGAGACCAATTGAGGAGGCAGTCTGTCCCTTAGCAGAGCTCGAGAACTGTGCTGGGAGATCCACTGCTGTCCTCAGAGCCAGCAGGCAGGAATATTTAAGTCTGCTGAAGCTGCAACCACAGCTGCCCCTTCCCCCAGGTGCTCTGTCCCAGGGAGATGGGAGTTTTATCTATAAACTCCTGACTGGGGCAGCTGCCTTTCTTTCAGAGATGCCCTGCCCCGAGAGGAGGAATCTAGAGAGGCAGTCTGGCTACTGTGGCTTTGCAGAGCTGCAGTGGGCTTGACTCAGTTCGAACTTCCAGGCAGCTTTGTTTACACTATGAGGGGAAAACCGCCTACTAAACCCTCAATGATGGTGGACTCCCCTCTCCCCACCAAGCTCGAGTGTCCCAGGTCAACTTCAGACTGCTGTGCTGGCAGTGAGAATTTCAACCCAATCAATCTTAGCTTGCTGGGCTCTGTGGCAGTGGGATCCGCTGGGCTACACCACTTGGCTCCCTGGCTTCAGCCCCCCTTGTAGGGGAGTGAATGGTTCTATCTTGCTGGTGTTCCAGGAGCCACTGGGGTATGAAGAAAAACTCCTGCAGCTAGCTCGGTGTCTGCCCAAATGGCCGCCCAGTTTTGTGCTTGAAACCCAGGGCCCTGGTGGTACAGGCACCCAAGGGAATCTCCTGGTCTGCGGGTTGAGAAGACCTTGGGAAAAGTGTAGGAACTGGGGTGGAATGCACAGTTCCTCATGGCACAGTCCTTCACAGCTTCCCTTGGCTAGGGGAGGGAGTTCCCTGAACCCTTGCACTTCCCAGGAGAAACAACGCCCCACCCTGCTTCAGCTCTCCCTCCATGAGCTGCACCCACTGTTTAACCAGTCCCAATGAGATAAGCCTGGTACCTCAGTGGAAATGCAAAATCACCCACCTTCTGCGTTGATCTCACTGGGAGCTAAAGACCAGAGTTTTCCTATTAGGCCACCTTGCCAGCATCAACTAATGGGCAAAATAACCAGCTAGCATCATAATGACAGGATCAAATTCACACATACCAATATTAACCTTAAATGTAAATGGGCTAAATTCCCCAATTAAAAGACACAGACTGGCAAATTGGATAAAAAGTCAGGACCCATCCAGGTGCTACATACAAGAGACCCATCTCATGTGCAAAGACACGCATAGGCTCAAAGTAAAGGGATAAAAGAATATTTATGAAGTAAATGGAAAGCAAAAAAAGCAGGGATTAAAATCCTAGTCTCTGATAAAACAGACTTTAAACCAACAAAGATCAAAAAAGACTAAGAAGGGCATCACATAATGGTAAACAGATCAATGCAACAAGAAGACCTAACTATCCTAAATATATATGCACCCAATACAGGAGCACCCAGATTCATAAAGAAGTTCTTAGAGACCTACAGAGAGACTTAGACTCCCACACAATAATAGTGGGAGACTTTAACACCCCACTGTAAGTATTAGACAGACCAATGAGACAGAAAATTAACAAGGATATTCAGGACTTGAACTCACCTCTGGACCAAGCAGACCTAATGGACATCTACAGAACTCTCCACCCCAAATCAACAGAATACATATTCTTCTCAGCACTACATGACACTTATTCTAAAACTGAACACATAATTGGATGTAAAACACCCTCAGCAAATGCAAAAGAACAGAAATTATAAAAAACAGTCTCTTAGACCACAGTGCAATTAAACTGGAACTCAGGATTAAGAAACTCACTCAAAACCACACAACTACATGGAAACCTAACAACCTGCTCCTGAATGACTACTGGGTAAACAATGAAATTAAGGTAGAAATAAATAAGTTCTTTGAAACCAATGAGAACAAAGACACAATGTACCAAAATCTCTGGGACACAGCTAAAACAGTGTTTAGATGGAAATTTATAGCATTAAATGCCCACAGGAGAAAGCAGGAAAGATCTAAAATCGACACCCTAACATGACAATTAAAAGAACTAGAGAATCAAGAGCAAACAAATTGAAAACCTAGCAGAAGACAAGAAATTACTAAGATCAGAGCAGAACTGAAGGAGATAGAGGCACGAAAAACCCTTCAAAAAATCAATGAATCCAGGAGCTGGTTTTTTGAAAAGATTAACAAAATAGATAGACCGATATCCAGACTAATAAAGAAGAAAAGAGAGAAGAATCAAATAGACACAATAAAAAAAGATAAAGAGGATATCACCACTGATCCCACAGAAATACAAAATACCATCAGAGAATACTATAAACACCTCTATGCAAATAAACAAGAAAACCTGGAAGAAATGGATAAATTCCTCGACGCACACACCCTCCCAAGACTAAACCAAGAAGAAGTCAAATCTCAGAATGAAGCAATAACAAGTTCTGAAATTGAGGCAGTAATTAATAGCTTACCAACCCAAAAAAGCCCAGGACCAGACAGATTCACAGCTGAATTCTACCAGAGGTACAAAGAGGAGCTGGTACCATTCCTTCTGAAACTATTCCAAACAATAGAAAAAGAGGGACTCCTCCCTAACTCACTTTATGAGGCCAGCATCACCCTGATACCAAAACCTGGCAGAGACAAACAAAAAAAGAAAAATCAGGCCAATAACCCTGATGAACATTGATGCAAAAATCCTTTAAAAAATACTGGCAAACTGAATCCAGCAGCATATCAAAAAGCTTCTCCTCCATAATCAAGTTGGCTTCATCCCTGGGATGCAAGGCTGGTTCAACATATGCAAATGAATAAACATAATCCATCACATAAACAGAACCAACGACAAAAACCACATGATTATCTCAATAGATGCAGAAAAGGCCTTCAATAAAATTCAACACCCCTTCATGCTAAAAACTCTCAATAAACTAGGTATTGATAGAACGTATCTCAAAATAATAAGAGCTATTTATGATGAACTCACAGCCAATACCATACTGAATGGGCAAAAGCTGGAAGCATTGCATTTGAAAACTAGCAGAAGACAAGGATGCCCTCTCTCACCACTCCTATTCATCATAATATTGGAAGATGTGGTCAGGGCAACCAGGCAGAAGAAAGAAATAAAGGGTATTCAAATAGGAAGAGAAGTCAAATTGTTGCTGTTTGCAGATGACATAATTGGATATTTAGAAAACCCCATCGTCTCAGCCCAAAATCTCCTTAAGCTGATAAGCAACTTCAGCAAAGTCTCAGGGTACAAAATAAATGTGCAAAAATCACAAGCATGCCTATATACCAATAATAGACAGAGAGCCAAATCATGAGTGAACTCCCATTCACACTTGCTACAAAGAGAATAAAATACCTAGGAATACAACTTACAAGGGATGTGAAGTACCTCTTCAAGGTGAACTACAAACCACCACTCAAGGAGATAAGAAAGGACACAAACAAATGGAAAAACTTACATGCTCATGGATAGGAAGAATCAATATCATGAAAATGGCCATACTGCCCAAAGTAATTTATAGATTCAATGCTATCCCCGTCAAGCTACCATTGACTTTCTTCACAGAATTAGAAAAAACTACTTTAAATTTCATATGGAATCAAAAAGAGCCCGTATAGCCAAGACAATCCTAAGCAAAAAGAACAAAGCTGAAGGCATCATGCCACCTAACTTCAAACTATACTACAAGGCTACAGTAACCAAAACAGCATGGTACTGGTACCAAAACAGATATATAGACCAATGGAAAAGAACAGAGGCCTCAGAAGTAAGGTCACACATCTCCAACTATCTGATCTTTGACAAACATGACAAAAACAAGCAATGGGGAAAGGATTCCCTATTTAATAAGTGGTGTTGGGAAAACTGGATAGCTATATGCAGAAAACTGAAAGTGGACCCCTTCCCTACATCTTATACAAAAATTAACTCAAGATGGATTAAAGACTTAAACATAAGACCTAAAACCATAAATACCCTAGAAGAAATCATAGGCAATATCATTCAGGACATAGGCATGGGCAAAGACTTCATAAGTAAAACACCAAAAGCAATGGCAACAAAAGCCAAAATTGACAAATAGGATCTAATTAAACTAAAGAGCTTCTGCACAGCAAAAGAAACTATCATTGAGTGAACAGGCCTACAGAATGGGAGAAAATGTTTGCATCTATCCATCTCACATAGGTCTAATATCCAGAGTCTACAAAGAACTTAAACAAATTTACAAGAAAAAACAAACAACCCCATCAGAAAGTGGTCAATAGACATGAACAGCCCCTTCTCAAAAGAAGACATTGAGGCAGTCAACAAACATATGAAAAAAATCTCATTATCATTGGTCATTAGAGAAATGCAAATCGAAACCACTATGAGCTAACATCTGACAGCAGTTAGAATGGTGATCATTAAAAAGTCAGGAAACAACAGATGCTGGAGAGAATGTGGTGAAATAGGAAGGCTTTTACATTGTTGGTGGGAGTGTGAATTAGTTCAACCATTGTGGAAGAAAGTGTGGCAATTCCTCAAGGATCTAGAACCAGAAATACCATTTGACCCAGCATTCCCATTACTGGGTATATACCCAAAGGATTATAAATTATTCTACTATAAAGACACGTGCACACATATGTTTATTGTGGCACTGTTCATGATAGCAAAGACTTGGAACCAACCCAAATGCCCATCAATGAGAGACTGGATAAAGAAAATGTGGCACATATACACCATGGAATACTATGCAGCCATAAAAAAGGATGAGTTCACATTCTTTGCAGGGACATGGATGATGCTGGAAACCATCACTCTCAGCACACTAACAAAGGAACAGAAAACCAAACACTGCATGTTCTCACTCATAAGTGGGAATTGAACAATGAGAACACATGGACACAGGGAGGGGAACATCACACACTGGGGCTTGTCAGTGTGTGGGGGGCTAGGGAGGGATAGCATTAGCAGAAATACCCAACGTACATGACAGTTTGATGAGTGCAGCAAACTACCATGGCACGTGTATACCTGTGTAACAAACCTGCATGTTCTGCACATGTATCCCAGAACTAAAAGTATAATTAAAAAAAAAAAAAAGAAAAGAAAAAAATGTAGGCCAGGCACAGTGGCTCCCACCTGTAATCACAGCACTTTGGGAGGCCAAGGTGTGTGGATCACTTGAGCCCAGAAATTCAAGGCCATTCTGGGCAACATAGAGAAACCCTCTTTCTACAAAAAATACAAAAATTAGCTAGGCGTGGTGGCGCATGCCTGTATCCCAGCTACTTGGAAGTTTGAGGTGCAAAGATTGCTTGAGCTGGGGAATTCAAGGCTGCAGTGAGCCATAATTGTGTCACTGCACTCCAGCCTGGGCAACAGAGTAAGACTCTGTCTCAAGAAAACAAAAAAGAAGGAGGAAGGGAGGGAGGGAGGGAAGAAAGGAAGGAAGGAAGGAAGGAAGGAAGGAAGGAAGGAAGGAAGGAAGGAAGGAAGGAAGGAAGGAAGGGAAGAAAAAAGATAATTGGATGAAAAAGAAAAGGGAAAGTAACAGAAAGGAAAGGAAAAGAAAAGAAAAGGAAGGAGAAGAGAAGAGAAAAGAAAAGAAAAAAGGAAAGAAAAGAAAAGAAAAGAAGTCCATGGAAAGTAAACTCATCTCAGGTCAGTCTCCCTGGGAGTTCATAAGACCAGAGTGGGTAGCTGTATGGGATACTAAGAAGCCTAGGCCCAGAAACCCCCCGTGCCCAAACTTCCCACACTTCCAGAGTGGTACAGACTGGACACAGCTTCAGAAATGGAAAGGGCCAGTCCAGCTAGAACAAGATTGTCATGGCAGTGAGTGGATGGGAGGTGAGCATAGGAATCAGACTGATCATCCTTCTAGCCTACTGCAGTTGGGGTTCAAAGATGGCCTCAACTTAATTTTTAAAAAATAATTTTATAGGCCGGGCGTGGTGGCTCACGCCTGTAATCCCAGCACTTTGGGAGGCCGAGGTGGGAGGATCACGAGGTCAGGAGATTGAGACCATCCTAGCTAACATGGTGAAAAAATTAAAAACTAAAAAATTAGCCAGGCATGGTGGCAGGTGCCTGTAGTCCCAGCTACTCAGGAGGCTGAGGCAGGAGAATGGTGTGAACCTGGGAGGCAGAGCTTGAAGTGAGCCGAGATTGTGCCACTGCACTCCAGCCTGGGTGACAGAGCGAGACTCCATCTCAAAAAATAATAATAATAATAAAATAATTTTATAAGACATCAATATAAATAAAATATGAACTCTGCCTTTGAGGAATTTTAAGATCAATATGGAAAATAAGACAAGGTCATTAATACGTTATAAATAAGTACGCCAGACATGGTGGTACACACCTGTAATCCTAACACTTTGGGATGGTAAGGCAGCAGTATTACCCGAGCCCAGGAGGTCGAGGCTGCAGTGAGCTGTAATAGTGCCACTGCACTCCAGCCTGGGTGACAGAGTGGGACCCTGTCTCAAATAAATAAATATATAATAACATAACATAGCATAGCATAACAACATAATATCTGTGTCATTAAAGATGTAAAAAAAATTACCTCTGATTGGAAGGATCAATAACATCCTCATAGAGAACTGAAAAAAAACTGATAAAACATAGGAAAGAATAGTGAAACCCCATCTATACTAAAAATACAAAAGTTAGCCAGATATGGTGGCACACACCTGTAGTACCAGCTACTCAGGAGGCTGAGGCAGGAGAATCGCTTGAACTAAGGAGGCAGAGGTTGCAGTGAGCCACCGCACTCCAGCTTGGGCGACAGTGAGACTCCTTCTGAAAAACAAACAAACAAAAAAAACATAAGAAAGAAAAGGCTGGGTGTGGTGTCTCATGCCTGCAATCCCAGCACTTTGGGAGGCCAAGGCAGGTGGATAACCTGAAGTCAGGAGTTCGAGACCAGCCTGGCTAAAATGGTGAAACTCTGTCTTTACTAAAAATAAAAAATAAAAAAAAAAATAGCCAGGCGTGGTGGCGCGTGCCTGCGATCCCTGCTACTTAGAAGGATGAGGCGGGAGAATCGCTTGAACCTGGAAATGGAGGCTTCAGTGAGCCGAGATCATGCCACTGCACTCCAGCCTGGGTGACAGTGAGACTCCATCAAAAAAACAGAAAAAGAGAGAGAGAAGAGAGAGAGAGAAAGAGAGAGAGAGAGAAAGAAAGAAAGAAAGAAAGAAAGAAAGAAAGAAAGAAAGAAAGAAAGAAAGAAAGCAAAGGAAGAAAGAAAGCAAGCAAAGGAAGGAAGGAAAGAAGAAAGAGGAAGGAAGGAAGTAAACAGAAAGAAAGAAAGAAAGAAAGAAAGAAAGAAAGAAAGAAAGAAAGAAAGAAAGAAAGAAAGAAAGAAAGAAAGAAAGAAAAAGAAAGACCTCAAGGTGGGAAAGCAACATTCAATAGGCAGTCTATTTGGCTGGAACATACAACGTCTAAAGTGTCCTGGGAAGTGATAAAGTTAGAGATGAAAGAGGACATGTTGACGCTCTGAACAGAGCACCCAAAGGGATCCAAAGAGCTGCCTTAGCAATGTAGGAGACTCACTCCTGATGCAGTGCCATCCTGCAGGGTGTCAAGAATTAGCTAGGACATAAATACAAGCTACCGTCCTTTGTCCCCTTATAACATATGGTAGAATCAGTCAACCTAAAATAAAATTGGCAACAGTTAAAGTGTGAGATCTTCAATTTTACCTGTGAGCATTAGACTTAGTAAAAATATGGGTCCAAAGGGGGTTAAAAACATAGAAATGAAAGAAGCCATATTTGGCAATACTAGATGTGGAAAAAAGAACTAACTGATGAATCAACTTTCATTACAAAATTTTCACAGGAAAAAAGATCTCAACAAAAGTAAGAAAATAAGAATGAAAATGGAAATATTAGAAGTGGTTTCAACGTACTCTGCAGAAAAGTGATCAGAAATTAAATTGATTTGATGCAATTCACTCCAGAAAAAAAAATATTTTTTCAGCAAAAAATGCATTGCTGTGGAATAATTAGGATGAAATTCTCCACACTAGCACTACACCATGAGAATGGAAGCACTGCCCTAAAGCAGGGATTTTGTTTTATTCATTGCTAAATCATCAGTGTCTAACCCAGTACAGGTCTCAGACTGACTTTTCCCATTTTATTTTACTGGGTTTATTCAACAGTTATTTACTGAGTCCTCACTGGGTAGCAAGTCTTCGATAATCGTCATGGATAGAGCTATGAACAAGAGCTATGAACAGCTCACTCCGCCTTTGAGCTCAAATCTGGCAGTGTCTCAGAATCCCCCAGGAAATCTTCCAAGCATGCTTTGCTGTCTAGAGAAGTCCACTAGGATTCTGAATCCACTTTATGTTCCTCTAATTCTCAACATATTAAAGCTGAAGCCACCTTTTCCAACCCAAGCATTACAATGAGCAATGTAGACCAAGGCTTCATAATTGATTTGGTCTTTTCAAAATTCTCCTTTTTTACACTTATTTACCAAAAAAAGAAAAAAAAAAAGCTTCAGTCTTTATTAAACAAAGGAAGTAGAAGACAGCTAAGGGAACAGGTCAGGACCGCTCCTTTCCCCTACACATATGCAGACTTACAAACACAGACGCCCCCGAGTGAATGTCAGGGACCACCAGGGGACAGACTGATGGGCAGAGGGAGGCAAAACCC
Organism: Homo sapiens; assembly: GCF_000001405.40. Classification (NCBI taxonomy): domain Eukaryota; kingdom Metazoa; phylum Chordata; class Mammalia; order Primates; family Hominidae; genus Homo; species Homo sapiens. The sequence goes on from NC_000008.11 coordinate 108,131,129, forward strand.
TCCGAGAATGGGCCAGGATCCCAGGGTGGGCTGAGACCTGGGCCAGGGGCAGCCGTTCTGAGGGGTTATGCCTAAGCAGCTTGGAGATGAGGTCCTGGGGCTCTCATGGGCACAGAAGGGGGAATTTTAGGGCCACCTTGACGATTCGCCCATAGGCCTCATTGTGTGTGGGGTTCCCCACCAGCGGCTCATAGCCGAGTGCTCCGATGTACCACAAATCCACCTTCTCGGTGTGCGCGCGCCCCTCAATTGTCTCTGGGGACAGGTAGTCCAGGGTGCCACACATTTGTCTTCCTCCTCAGTGAGGGGGCGTGCACAGGGCAGCCGAAGTCGGCAACTTTCAGCTCGCCCTCAAGCCCTGAGAGTAGATTATCTGGCTTCATGTCTGGGAGTCACCTTCTTCCCGTGGCAGTACATCAGAGCATCTGCCACCTCCCCCGTGATGGTGGCTGTTGGCTTCTTGTCAAAGGTGCGGCTCTTTCGCAGCTCCTGGTACAGCTCCTCGGGGGTAGGGGTGGCGGGGGCGTACTCTAGAATCCAGTAGATTTTTCTCAGGTCATAAAAATAGTTGTAGAGACTCAATATGTTGGGATGCTGAAAGGGGGCCTGGATTTCCATCTGCCTGCGCATCTGGTGCTCCCCACGCCCTCCTCTATCTGAGACTTGAAGGCCTTGAGGGCCACGATGAAATGGCTTGTCTTCTTTCGAGCCAAGTACACATGTACAAACTTGTCTTTGCCCAGGGGACGCCCAGTCTCAAGGTCGTCGACCAGGAAGGGCCGCGTTAAGATGCTGCGCTTCCCACAACTGTTCTCTACCACCTCATGGCCAGGGGCCGCTGCGGGCTGTGGGTCTGCGCAGCTCGGGAGCTCACGCGCAGCTTCGGTGGGGATCCTCGGGAGGACTCGCGGGAGCAGGGTACTCAGGCCGGCTGGAGCCGTCTGCTTGCCATAGGGCCAGGGATAACTGTTCTCCTTCTGGGCCATCCTTGGAGGGAAAGCAGGAGGAGAGCTGAGGCCCGAGGCACAGCCGCTCTCCCAGCCACCACAAACGACGGAAATCTGCCTTAAAAAACAAAACAAAACAAAAAGAACTGGCAGCATTTTCATCATTTTTTCTCACTCTGGAAGTATTAACCACAACTGTTTATAAAATTATTCTGACGCCCGACTTAGTAAAAAGCTTGAAAAATGACTTTACAACAGCTAAATTAGAATTCAAGAGTTCAAGCACAGCTCCAGTAAGAATGTACGTAAGCACGCCACACATTCAGAAATCATGATCCTAACTATAATTGTGTATTTTGTCATTTAAAAGCAATTGTATTATTTTTCATAATTAAAATCAAGGCAGGTGGAGCTACAACTAGGAAAAAAATAAAATAAAATGAAGGCAATCCTCTTTCATCATCTCATATATTTCTCAAAAATGTTCTTTTCTTCTTGTCTACTGAAATATAGTTTCTGGGCCCAAGAAATAAGAGGTTTCTCTTCACACCCTTGGGGATAATTCTGAGACGAAACCTGTCCAGGGACCATTGCTGACCAGTGCTGATTCACATGACTGTGTCACGAAAATAGAAGATGTCATTGGGTTTGGGTTCCTCTTGGAACACCAAAATAAACACAGATTGAAACTCTCCCAAAACTACTCCCCAACCATTTTAGCACAGAGAAAGGCTGTTCTCCATGTGGACATGTTGAACATATTCTGATTGTTCAAGCCAGGATCTCAAAGGATTTGGCAGGTGGAGACAGCAGAGCAGGTTATGACACCAGCTTTGTCTTCCCACGTGTGGATCACCATTCTTTTCCTCGCTCTCTCCCAGCCCTTTGCCCCCATTTCCACTGTTTCCCCAAATCCCAGATCATCCATTTAACATGCATTCACTGGGCACCTACATCAGTAAGAATGTTTGTCACTGAAGGGAAAATACACTTATTCATCTTCTGTTCCCCTTATCCAGGGCATCTGCTGTTTTATGTGTGAGGAGTTAGGGGAGTGTAGGCATGACACAGAGTCTAGCGGGGACCTGTGAGCTTATCCATCATTGTGCATCAGGAGAGTGCTAAAAGGCCACAAGAAAAGTAAAGCAACTGAACAAACTGTCCCTTCTCTATTCTTCATAAGTTGCCACATCACAGTGCTTTGAGGTGCCAGATCATGCCTTTTATTAATTTTGTCAACAAGACTCAATCCCTTCAGAGCAAGAGCTAAATCCCACCCCAGTTGTGACACAATAGAATTCTCAGAAGCTAAAACTTCTTAGGGAAAGAGCAATAAATCAGGATGCAGAACCTCCTCCCTGAATCTTCTCCAGCAAAATTTATATTTTTCAGGCGAATAGGATCAAGCAGCAAAAAATAAGTGCACTCAGGTTTCTCTGTGATGTGATTACTACCCTGTGGGAGGGAGAGGATGGTAGATGGAGAGAAAATTTGACCCTACCTTGGATTTTTTTTCAAGTTGGCATTTTGGCAGTCTATCTACAAGTGCTTTCAGAATGCCAAGTCCACCGTAGAGCCCAGCCAGAAACAGAGACCTCAGGTGCCTTGTGATAAGCCACTGTTTCACTTGCTCTGCTTTTCTAAGGTGTCAGGTGAACAGAGCCTTGTGCTGCAACCTTAGAACTGGGCGCACAGTGGCTTCGAGGCAACCAAACACCCCCGCCACCACGGTGCTGCACTGCCAGGCTGGGAGAGGAGGAAGCCCAGCTTTCTTCTTTTTAAAGAAAGATCTTGCTACTTTGCCCCTGTTTTTAACCTTCCCTTTTCTGCCATATACTCTACTCAGGCTTATCAGTCAGTGAGCCAAAGTGGACCAGCTCCTGCCACAACTTTGCTGTTGCCACAACAGGCTGTTTTACCCTCAGGGCTTTTCAAGGGTGGAGAGCACCTGGCTTCTCCATCATCCATTCTTCCTTTACGCTTTGCAGAATGTCAGGAGCACTGCCTTGGGAGACCAACAAACCAGGCTTGGACTTCCGCTGTGCATTCTTGGATAACATGCTTAACGTCTCCGAACCTCAGTTTCCTCATCTGTAAAATGAGGATCGTTATATCTGCCCTTTGGTGCCTTGTTAGGGATTAATAAGAGAATACATAAAACACTTACAATAAGGTCTAACATGCACCAAGCACTTGCATAGCAGGTATCAAATGCAGGTATGTGCATAGCAGGTATGCAAAAACACAGATTTTATTTTACCAGGAAGGTGCCTTAAATGCCATTACTTCTTTTGATAATTCCCTCTTGTTCATTTGACCCTCTTACTGAACCATCAGGATTCAACCCAAGTCTCTTTGACCCCAGAAAAATTTTTCCCAACTTTGTAAAGTTCAGTGTGTCTTGGTCCATGTTCTCAAAGCAAATTGTTTGAGCATCTTCACTGCAGCAATTCCTGGAATGTTGAATGTAGTCATCTCCTTGTCTGTCAGTCCCTTCCTGCCATACCCTCAACACTTGGAAGGTAAAGGAGAGATTGTTTGGTGTGAGGGTTTAGGTACAGAATTCTGAAGCCAGACTGCCTGGGACCACATCCCATCCTTCTTTTGCCAGTTAACTGTGTGCCTCAGCATTCTCCCTCAAACCAGGAGTGAGAATAACAGTACCTACCTCCCAAAGTTAACTTAGAAGTGTGCCCAGCACATAGTAGTCACCATAGAAGTGTTAGCTTTTATTTATTTATTTAACTCTTCTTTGAGTCTTCAGGTTCTGGGAGATACCAGGTGTTTGATACAGAGGGGTTGGAGAAACCAGGGAACCACTGCAAATTACAAGGAGAATGAGTTTGGCATTTCATTCAGGGCAACACATCATGTAATGGTTCAAAAGTAATGAAACTGGTATCCAAAAGATTTGAAAACAGGATCTCAAAGAGATACTTGCACACCCATGTTCATTGCAACATTGTTCACAATAACCACAATGTATCCATCCAAAGATAAATGGGTACACAAAATATGGTATATACATATAATGGGACATTATTCAGCTTTAAGAAAGAAGGAAATCCTGTCATTTGCTACAGCATTATGAACCTTGACGACATTGTGCTAAGCCAATCACAAAATGACAAATACTGCTTGATTCCGCTCATATGAGGTTGCTAAAGTAATCAAACTCATACAAACAGTGAGTAGAATGGTGGTTTCCAGGGGCTGGGGGTAGGGGAAAAGAGAAAATTGTTATTCAATGGGCAAGAGTTGTGTCATGCAAGGGGAAAAAGTTCTTGAGCTCTGCTGTATCACAATGGGCATATACTTAACAATTCCGTAATATACACATAAAAACTGTTAAGTAAGTAAATCTATGGTATGTGTTTTTAACCACAATTTAAAATTTTTTTAATTTAAAAATTTAAAGCCAAAAATAACTACATCAGGTGTGTCAAGCTCAACACCATAAACTTATTTCTGTTCACTCCCACCTCAGGTGACTGCTGGTCTGCATGAGACAGTCAGTTCTTAGTAAAAACTAAAAGTGGGTCATGGTTCTTTTTTTTATGACATATACCTATGTCTCTATGTCTGCGCCAATGTGTTTATTTTTACTGAACACACATTGACATCATTTGAAAGTCCTGAGGCAATTAGGGAAAAACTATATGGAATGAATGTTACCTGACATTTTAATGCTTTACTTTCTCTCTACCCAAGGAGTAGTTTGCTTTCCAAACAAGTCTTCTACTAGATAGCCTGTTTTATATTTCTTCATAGTACTTATTTCACTGGCACTATACAATATAGTGGGCTATTGATCTACTGCATGATAGTATAATTTAATTCCATGAGAGCACAAATTTGTTTTTTTTACTACTATATCCTCAGCACGTGGAAGAGTTTCCAGCACATAGTAGGTGCTCAATTAACACTTGTTGAATTAATGAATAATTCCTCTGATAGTGGGAAGGACAAGAAAAAAAACAGATTGTCCCAAGCTTAGCCATCAAAGTAAATGTGCTTACATTGAATAGAAATTGTCTTTGGAAGGATAGAATTCTTTGATCTTTTTGCTTGCATTATTTTATGCCTTTGAGTCAGAGGATGAAAGCCTTAGTGCCGCTCTGCAACCCAGCAAATATGAACGTAGTTATGATTCTTTAACTAGATGTGTCTAGAGCACAGTGAACTTTATAGACTTCTTAACCACCAGATAATTCCAGGAATTGAATTTAGTGACAAAAATTCTTTAGATGTAGGAAGAGATAGTGAATCACTCAGGTGGGACCAAGAAGACAAGTATAATTATATCCTGAGCCATTTTAATACACTCCCAGATAACATTGCTTGAAACTCTTTAGGAGCAAAAAGAGGGAGGTATCGGAAACACACAGACTTAGAGTATTACCCAGGCATTCATTTAATCAGCCTTCAAACTTGAGTCCTCACCCAGAGTTAAAGCTTTTCCTCTTTATTTCTTTTTGAAGCTAGCAAAATTTTCTACCAAAGATGTCTGCCAGCTTTTTATGGCTTAGGATCCTCAATTGCAGAGTCATTCTTTAGGTACCTGATGCCTTCTTCACATGCTTTTTAAGAGGATAAACCACATTTTTCTTATTCTGACCAGAGAAGATCCTGTGTCTATAATCGTCAAAGAGGTACTGCTCAAACCAAAGCTTCAATTCCTTTGAGTCAGCATTCAGTTTGTAGCATCTATGTCATTCCTTCTGTTGGCCCACAGAAGATTATTTTTATATCTTCATTTGGGTTTTCTTATGGAATCTTGAGTCAGAACTCTCTCCAGAATGATCGTTGGGGAAGCTACCATAGCTTCAGAGGGAGAAGGTACAAGCAACATTTTCTCTCTCTCTTTTTTTTTCTTTGAAATAATCCCAGAGAAGAAGTTTGAGGGAAACTTGGTTGGATTTATAATCCTCCTGCATCAGAAAACAGCAACAAAAACTTCCAGTAGCTGACTTCACACAGCAGTTTCAAAACCAGAAACCAAAATAAACTGCCAATAGGAGCATCGATGGCAAGATTTCTTGCATTTTTCCTGTTGTGTAACCTAGCCTCCATTTCACCTTCCCTCCCAGAGATCATTCAATGTGGAGGGATCAGTTCTCCTTTCCTGCCCCAAGCAAGTGGCCAATGAATGTATCTGCAGTTTATAAGATTCCTCAGTCAGATTGGATGTGACAGAACAAGACTTTGGCAGGATCTGGGGTGTCTGGGTGACAAGGATCTGAGACTGTGATTTCTCTGCCACCTTTACTCCTGATTAGGGAGGGTGGCTCAAAGAGAGCACAGAGTTCAGGGAACGTATATGTAAAAAAGTGAGCACTTGGTTACAAGTAAAATCTAGGTTAGAAGTGAAATTGTTTGCAGCATTCAAGAGTGAGTGGAGTCAAGAAAGGTCAGCAGGTTGCTGCCAACAGATATGAGCGAAAAAGGAATGATTTAGTATTAGCAGTGGCAGTGGGACCCACTGAATAGTAGTATGCATGTGACTTTAACGTTTATAATAACAAGAGTAGAATAAAAATAGCTACCATTGACCAAGCACCTGCCATGCCCCGCTGTGGCAAGTTTTCCCCATCTATTAACTCAGGCACAATACCATGTATTCAATCCTTTTAACTCCATCTCTCAGATGAGGGCCTCAAGAAGCAGGAAGGTTAATAGATTGAGCATGGTCATTTAGTTGCAAAAAAAAGAAGAGCTGGAATTTCAACTAAGGTCTATCTGACTCCAACTTAGCCATCCCTGCCTCCTGTGCAAGGCTGCTGTAATGGGAGCTTTGGAATGGCCTCTGGATGGAGGGTTCAAGCTTTGACTTGTGTCCTCCTTCCAAGCTATTTGCCAGTCACGCTATTGCATAAGGGGAAAGGAAGGGAAAGTGGGGAGGTGATTCCTACTTTATTCCTCTCTTGGGAGTGGCTTCGCTCTATTCCTAGAAATGGGGCAAATGGATCTTTTCTATGGGTTGATGAATAGCAAAGAGAAGCCCATAGACGGGCATCTTGCCACACCCTCCACCACCATATATCTACCCCAGGGCCCCTGGATCCACAGGGTACCCACCTAGACCGATCTTGATTGCTTTATTTTCCTGTCAGAAAACTCAACTCGTTAGTAATTCCTCTGTTTCTAATAACGCTTCATCCAGGCTTAGCATTTGATGACTCTTCACACGCCTCCCCGTGAGTATGGCTTCCTTCAGCTGCCAGCGTGGAGAGAAGCTACAGGGACACCAGGAAGCCCCAGGGCCACGGCTTCCTTGGCAGAATCTCCAAAGAACACAAATATTCCCATTTTTCTTTTTGGCAGAAGTGGTGGATAAGTGCATTAACAAAAACAGGAATATGATGAAGGGAGGCTGAGAAGAAAGGGGTGAAGAGGAGAAACTCCTGATCAAATAAGAAGTCCACAGGGAGCTCATCCCCTGTGCTGCTGGGTGGTCTAGATTGTGTGTTTTAGACTCATGCAGATGAGAGTCTTATCTCCTGTGTTCTCAGCAGTTACTACCACATTGTCAGAGCTCCACACATTTTGGTTTTCCGTGGTGGTGACAAAAACACTTCTCTTCCCCACAGCTAACTATAAAAATAATAATGATGCCTGTGATGATAGCTATCATGTATATGACCCTGTGCACAACACTTTACAGGATGGTGATGATAATTCACACTTTTATAGTTTACCATGAACCAGCAATGTTCTAAGTGATCAACAGACAGACAGGTTAACTTATATGTCAATATATGAATTAACATATTAATCCTTACTGCAAAACTATGAAGTTGGTACTATTATCCTATTTTACAGAATAGAAACTGAAGAACAAAGAGTTAAGTGACTTGCCCAAGGTCATGAATATGAAAAGTGGCTATTTATCCCCCAGGAAACTAAGGTTCAGAGGGGCTAAGTCAACTGCTCAAGGTCACATAGTGAGAAAGTGGTAAAACTGAGTCTCAAACAAAATCTGCAGGAATCCAAAGTAAATACTATTAACTGCTAGGCTAGATTAACTCTCTCTATACACACAACTACATACACACATATATATGTAGATACACATATGCACATACATCCTAGAAAACTAGAAGTTTTTACCCCAAAATTTGGGACTCCTGGATTCTAAGACAGTATTTTTTATTGCCTCCAAAAATTGTACATCTTGGTATACATAGAAAAGCATTACATTTGAAGGTGACTTGGGCTACATAGAAAAGGCACCTCGAGGCTCTTTTTGACCCTGACCTGTGAGCTGAAAGATCAGTATTTTGGCACACCTGAAATCCACTTTGTTCAGAAAGTTCTGGCTTAGAGAAATGTTCCAGGCATGAAAGCAAGAAGTGAGTTGAGAACCTACCCCATCATCCCCTTCTCACCTCTCCCATTTCTCTGCTCTTTCACTTGCTCTGCATTTCACTGTACCCAGGAATAAGAAGAAATATATTGAATAAAGTCAGTTTCACTAAAAACAAACAAATATGCTCTGCCACCTGAAAGATTCCCATTTCAAGTCTCCTTCTCCTTTCTTATTCCTCCAGGAAAGCAGAATGATAGTAATTAAAATGGAAGCATGAAGAGGCCCTGGGCATATCGCAAACACCATTTGCCTAAAAGACTTCCAAGCTGCAGAACCCACTTTTTTCCCCCGTGAATGAGCAGCAACTACTGTCCTGCCATGCCGTCATCAAAACCTGCCTGCTGGATGAGCAGCGCAGGCGTGTGAAGGCGCTGGGTTTCCCTCTGAGCCAAAGCGGCGGGAGCTGCCCCGACTTGGGGCTTTTTTTTTTTTTTTTTTTTTTTTTTGCCAGAAAGAATAAACATTAACACACATATCACTGGGGGCAGGCGTGCCCTGGCAGAAGGGCACATTGTGTGACTGGCAGCCTGCCCTCTCTGGCTTTCAGTTTTATATTTCTCAATTTCTAATTGACTTGCAGCAGCACTGGGAGGAGTTTTGCTTCATTTCTGTATTACATAAGATTGGACGGCCTGAGGGCATATGGGCTGTGGAGTTCTCTGGAGCCCAGGCTTGGAGTGAGTAGAGCTATTCCCAAAGCTGCCTTTATGCATGAGGAGGGGAGAAAAGAGGACAGCAACTGTAAGCTTTCTCCTCTTCTCTGCCATTTTCCCTCAGAGGCCATGCAGTGAAAGATGCTCCATAGACCCTGTTCCTCCTAATGCCAGATGCAAAGCACATGTGTTGTCAAACTAGGATTAGTTTGTTATTTCTCCTTTAAGTAGGTTAAGCTTTTTAAAGCAGGGGTAATTAAGATTATGACTAGACAATGAATGAAAGAAATCATGCGGCTTAATGAGGGTACTGTAGTTACCCTAGAATGGAAAGGATAACAAGCTTGCTTTTATTGGTATGAGAAAAGGAAAAGGAAAAAAGAGATGGCGATAAAAGATACATATATATATATATAAGGCTTCATCCACACTAACACCTGGTAGAATTGGGAGCACACCTGACCATTAATATAACCCACTGCTCACTTTGGGAACTGTTTTTATAAGAAAAAAGGGTTTTCTCTGCACATATTCCCACTGCTTATTGGTTCCTTAACTTTTCTGTGGTTACTAATTTCAAAATATTAAAAACACATTCTAACCCTGAAAGATAAAGGTGGTCATGATGTCAGCACACATCTTTTCTGATCATAGGCTCTAGGTATCTCCCAAAAACAGCATAGTGGAAAACAGAAAGGCATGGGAGAAGAAACAAGAGCAGCCAGAAAGGCTGTGCAAATCCTTTCTCAGTTGATTATATTTGTAAACTCTTCTTCTACTCTGTCTTCTGCTCCCAGTGCACATTGCTGGTACTTTCAGCAGCTCTCACTGTCTCTCTCCTGAATAAATCAAGAGACTCTTGACCAGTCTCTTGCTTCTAATTGCTCCTTCCTCCGCTCCGTTATTCACACAGCTGCCAGATTCATAGCTCTAAAAGGCCAGCTTGTTCATGCCTTTCCTCTCTTTCAATTATTTCCTAAAGGCACAAAAAATCCACTTGGGGAAGGATCTCCTGTAATATCTACATGTTTTGAAGACAAAAATATTCAAATCAGCATTGTTTATTCACTATAACATATTTAATGTCTATCATTAGTTAACTGGTTAAATAAGACATGGTTCAACTACATAATTTGAAAACATGGAGCTGTCAAAAAGAATAAGATAGATCTAAATGTGCTGATATGGACCAACCTCAAGATACAAAGCAAGATTTGTATAGTATCCTCCTTTGCATGCAACAAAGGATAAATAAAGAAGATGCTTATACCTACACTATTTCCGCAAAGATACATAAGTAGTTAATGATGGTGGGTGTTTCCTGGGAGGGAAGCTATGGAACTGAATATCTGGCATGGCTTTTTTATTGTATGCTCTTTGTAGATTTTAAAATCACACATAGGTGCTACTTTCGTAATAAGAAACACTAATTTAAAAAACAAAAACAAAGCCTTCCATGTAATAAAAGCACTTACCACCTGGCTAAGTGATGAGGGCACTTCATCACCTGGATCCAACCTACCTTTGATGCCTCCGATGTTGACTCGAGGTCACATCATGCCATTTGCCATTGCCTGACCTGCTCATGCTACCCAAGAGTATTCCACACACGTGCACGCAGCTGGGTTTCTTCATCTATGTACTGAGGATTATAACAGCACCCATTACACAGAGTTTTTTAGAGCGAGAATTAAATGAGATAAAACATAACAGGTGCTTATAACAATGCCTAGCAAATAAGTTCTCAATAAATGTCAGTTGCTATTATTATTTTATATGAAGGTGGCACCTCTTTATAGAAAGGCCTTTGCTGCATTCTCTGCCTGGTGAAAGGCTACTTACACACTAAGGCTTAGCTCAAATATCATCCTTTCTGTGTTCTTCACAACCTCCGAGCTCTGAGCACTGTGTTCATACGGTTGTTTGGTGCCTTTCATATTCTATCATAATAAATATCATACCAGTCTACTTCTAGCTACCCCTTATAAGGTACATTGAGTAAGGACCATGTTATGTATCTTTTTTGAGTCTAATATAGTTTTTCAGTAATTATTTAGAGAATTTAGTGCAATTAAGGCAGTTTAAAAAAAATCCCCAGGAAATGTAGCATGTATGCATTGCAGCAATCAAAATCTTCTCGCAGTGTGTCTGCTAATGGTTTCCCCACTGTGTGACACTAAAGGAACCTTCTGGGAAACAGAGATTAGCATTAGTGCCAAGATTCCCCCAAAGGTGATCTAAGCACTTCACACCATTTTGGTTGTCAAGACTCACTCTTCACAGCTCATCTTTCTTGCCAGAATGCTGGGCCAGCTTTTAGTACTTAACAATATAGATTGTGAGCTAACGCTTGGCTGATGTCTAATTTAAAAGATTGACTGTGCATTAAAAGCCCTAGCAGGCTTTAAAAAAAAAAAGATTTAAACCATTGCAAAAGGAATATCTTGGCTGATTGTTGCTTTGGATTTGATATTGGATTTAATATTAACACAATAGCATATTCGATTTTCTTCTGTGCTCATGAGAAATAATATATTATTCATAGGTTTAAAACACAATTCCAGAGTTAAAATATCTGAGGGGGAAAAGGTTATTCAGACTGATATTTCTCCATGGATCATGTGTTATCAGCATCAACTGGAGATACTTAAGACTCAGGTTCTCAAAGTCTACCTAAGGCAATGAGGACCCTAGAGTCTGCTTTTGCATGTAGGATGCCTTGGTGATTCTTAAATACATGAAACTTGGGAGCCACTGATTTATAATGGCATTCCGATAAGATTCTTGAGGCTGGGAGCAGTGGATCCCTCCTATAATCGCAGCGTTTTGGGAGGCTGAGGCGGGAGGATTGCTTGAAGCCAGAATGTAAAGATTAACCTGGCAACATAGCGAGACCCCATCTACACACACACACACACACACACACACACACACACACACACACACACACACACAGATTAGCTAAGCATGGTGGTGTACCTGTAGTCCCAGCTACTCTGGAGGCTGAAGCAGGAGGATCCCTTTAGCTCAGGAGTTCAAGGCTACAGTGAGCTGTGATCACACCACCACACTCCAGCCTGGGTGATGGAGTGACAGCCTGTCTGCAAAAAAAGAAAGAAAGAAAAGAAAGAGAAAAATCAGCTTGAATAAGAAAGTATAGCAAATGTAAAAATCTCATGAAACAAGCTTCAGCAAGTCACAAAATACCTCCTTCGTGCTGCCGCCCACCTTATGTACCTCTTAAGCATGGATTCTGTATCCTTGGTGCCTATAGGACACCATGCTTGGAAAGAAATCAAGGATATAGTGTGGTTTGGATGACGGTGGAGATTTGAAATGTGGTTACTTAGTGATTGATTCTCTTTCTTCTTAGGCTCCACCTTGAGTTTCTCAATTCTAATCAGAGCTATACTTTCCTAGGTTTAAGGCCTGACCGGGGACAATGGTCATGAGGAGGAGGAGAAAAGCATCAGTAGTGTTCAGGGTGATCTCAGCAAATAATTGCTTTGAATTATTCCTTCTCATTTGTCTATTGCATTTTTTAGTTATATCCTTACTCTAGCAATTGATCACATACTGCCTCATGTAGTGTTCAGGGTGATCTTAGCAAAAAACATGGTGTGCCTTTGGTCTCAAGTAATTGGGAACGCAATGAAAATGAATCAAAATCCTTCTTTACCTTTTGTGACCCCTTGCTTCGCATTTTTAAGTACCTTCTCAATGCAGTCAGTTCCCTTTCCAGTCCTTCTTTACACCAAGCACAGGACACAAAGGTAATCATCAAAAGCAACATACTCCACTAAGCACGTTCTTTTTCCCCCACAGTATACAAGTCAGCTCAGTGTGGTTTGGGAGTCATTGAGCTTTATAAGTGAATCTATATGTTAACAGAGATGTATGGCAAAGCTATGGTGTCTAGTAGAAAGAGCATTTGTTTTCCAGTCAGTATCTAGGTTTAAGACCCATTTTACCTTTACTTGCGTGTACAACCCTAATTAAGCAAGTCACTCCTTGCTCAACCATAGTTTTCTTGTCCACAAAATGAAAATGAGAATTCCTACTTCAGATTGCTGTTAAAAGGATAAGAGAAATAATATCAAAACAGCACTTAGAATACTGTCTTGCACATAGTAGGTATTTAATAATATGTCATTAGTTTAATCATCAAATATCAAAGTGGCTATAGATTTCTGCTATGGGGTATCACAAGAACTGTGTTGCTATGGGAAATACTAAGAGTAGTACAGATCATGCTTAAGTTACTGTGATGCTTGTCAATGAGATAAAAAACAGAAACACACAAATGATAACAATATTGTATAAAAGTTATTTAAGTAATATAAATATATATCATGAGACAGTATGTGACCAACTGCTAGAGTAAGGATATAACTAAAAAATGCAGTAGACAAATGAGAAGGAATAATTCAAAGACCAAATGAGCAATTTGCTAAGATCACCCTGAACACTACTGAAGCATTTGTGAAAGTATATCTTTATTCATTTGACAAATGTCTCCTGAGTGCCTACTCCAACCAGGCACTGTTCTAGACCCTGAGATACAGTGACAGACAAGACAGAAAAGATCCCTCTGTCTATGGAGCCTATATTTAAGTAGCAGAAGACAGACAAAAAGAGACTAAGTTCATGTTAAGACTACTATAATTTCAGGTAGTTTGTCATACGTTCTATGAAGTAGAATGAAGTGGGGTAAGGGATTAGAGTGGGACTAGCTGACAGTTATTTGAGAAATAGAGAATCAAGGGAGCCCTCTCTTAAGAGGGAATAGTGATCAGAGGTCTGAATGAAGTAAGAGAGTGAACCAAGGAAAGATCAGAGGGAAGACAAGGGAGAAGCAAGTGCAAAAGCAGGAATGAACTTGGTGTCCAAGATCCTGCAGGAGGACCAGTGTGGCTGCAGTGAGGTGAACCTGCAGGGCAGTGGCAGGAGACAAGAGGAGAGAGAAAAGTGAGGGCCAGATCATGCAGGACCCTCTTGGCCATCAAAAGAGGGAATTTTACTCTAAGTTGTGACGTAAGCCTATTGCAGGATTTTGAGCAAGAGAGTAGCATAATTTATTTCCTTAACAATGATCATGGGGGGAGAACAAAGAATAAATATGAGGCCAATTATGGGTTAATACACTGGTAAAGAAAAGACGACAATGGCTTAAGCTATTAGAGACCAGGAAGGAAATCAGAAATATAGTTATTTTAAAGAGTAATTAAAGAGATTCTCAAAAGGAAAAATGATGAAGAAATATGAAAAGATGGCAGATGATATAAAATGGCAAGGTAAAGAAGATAAAGAAAAACAGAAAGTTCAGAAAAAGATTTTTTAGGTTACAAAGTATAAAGACCTGGTATCTGGAGCCAGCACACTTGGATTTGAATCTCAAGTTTATGACTTACTACTCATGTGCCTTTAGAAGTGTTACTTAACCTTTCTCAGTTTCCTCATTTATAAAATAAGAATAATGACATCTGCATCATTGAGTTGTGAGTCAGATAAGAAAACATAACAACTTTCTGACAGGTAGTAAGTTCTCCAAAAATATTTGTTCTTTGCCTTCTACCCCTGGTTGAATTTATACTTTTTTCACCAGCTTATGGTAACAAAAAACTTATAAATTTCATCTTCATCATTTAGAAGCATGTGTAACTTCCTCATGGAGATTTTGTTTCATCGGATTAATTATTACAGTTTATTTTTGTTAATTATTGTATTATCCAATAATATGAGTTCTGAAAACTGGCCCAGCATTATGGCAAGAAGAGAGAAGATTTCCAGGCAAAAGATGTGGTGTGGTCAGATCACCTTAAGGAAAGAAGCCCTGTGCCAAACGCTATTTACCAGATGGCTCGATCTTGGGCCCACTGCAACTGAACTGTTAGCAGGCACATTGTGGGGCGATTTTGATTGTCTGGGACAAGTATAGCGGGAGGCAGGCTTTAAGGTAATCAAAGCATAAACTGTATAGGGCTTTATGGATTAAGGTCACAGCCCCTCAATGAATACATAATGCCCTAAAGATGATTCCCATTTGCTCATGCAAAAGGAGAAATGGCACAATAGAAGGGAGATGACTTTTATTTCCATTGTTTTGTATTAAGTGACTCCAGGACTCACTGCAATTCCCACTTAGGACCTCCCTTGTAGGAGAGCTTCCTATTCATCCTGTGGCATGCAGGAAAATTGAACGGTTTTCTAAAAATTACAATGTACTCCATCAAGCAATTGAAGATGAAATGTTGAGTTAGAGTCTCCAGGTATGAAATACAGCTCAAGGCTTGGGTTTTAATATCATCGGAAGTACTTTATGGACTTCCTAGGTACTGATGTGTACTATTTGGTCCTAGGGGACAATTCCTCAGAGCAAAAGGAAGGGGCTCTAGGGAGAGTTTCCTGCAAGGAGGAAAGCAGAGTCCCCATTCAATGTGCCAGCAAACTCGTCAAGGTGCTAGTTGGTGCTCAGAACCATGCAGAGTGCCAGGGTTACAGAGCACTGTGTTTTACTATATGACCTCAGTGGTTTAGAGTCTGATGCATGGGTTTAAATGCTGGAGGGTTTTACCTGCGGTTTGCATGCTGGAAACTGACTGTACATGTAACAAGAAGGTAAGTGTCCTTTCCTACCTTGTCCTGTCTGGCTGCCTTCCTCTTACCCCTTGCACTCCCATATCTCACTGTCCAGATGACCCCATGTGCCTTCCTGTCTTTCCTTCTTCTCCCAACCCATCAAATGTATTTGTTCATCATTACATTTTATGTGTCTTGCTCTTCTAGAATTCAGCTGAACTCTGTTATTTACCTAATGTGTGCTTTCTCCCTACAGGTAACAAGTAGTCTTACCTCCCTTAAAAATGTACATGGTATACACAGTTACTGTCTAGTCATCTGTAACAGTGGACTAAACTTTCCATTGTTCTGCAGAGTCTGAATTTATAGTATTATTCAGTATAGTTCCTTTCTTCAGGCACTTTTGGAAGTATCAAGAGTAGAATAAAATTTAGGTTTTCAGTTAACAAATAAATTAATAAATATTTTCTTTTCCTCTGTACTAACATTTCAAATACTTTTATATTGTTTTACAATCCATACGAAAGCATCTGTAGACTACACAAACTTCACTTATTGAATAAATATTCATAAGCTTCTATTATATGATTAGGTGATAGAAATACAAAGATAAAAGAATATCATGCATGTCCTCAAGGACCCTAACTTATAGTAGATAGAAATTAAATTGGTTTTAGGGAAACTGCCAGATAAAGATCCATAAATGCAAGAACCACCGAATCACCACACAGCAGATTTGTTTTTCTGTTTATTTGTTTGTTTGTTTTGAGACAGATGCTCACTCTGTCACCCAGGCCAGAGTGCAATGGCACGATCTCAGTGCCAACCTCAATCTCAGTGGTGCAATCTCCAACTCCCAGGTTCAAGTGATTCTCATGCTTCAGCCTCCTGAGTAGCTGGGACTACAGGCATGCACCATCATGTCCAGTTAATTTTTGTATTTATAGTAGAGATTTGAGCTTTTCCATGTTGGCCAAGCTGGTCTCAAACTCCTGGCTTCAAGTGATCCACCCACCTTGGCCTCCCAAAGTGCTGGGATTACAGGCATGCACCACTGTGCCTGGCCCCAGATTTTTTTTTAAACTGAAGAATCATTTGAGTATAATGACTTAATTATAAAAATATAGATCTGGGAAGAAGCCATTGCCCTAATCCAAGGGCAATGGAGAGTACTGTGGTTGCCAAGGTAGAGATTCTTTACGTTGTCCATTAAGAGGCAGAGCTCCTTGCTAACTAGTAGGCACCAATGGTCACAAAGAACCCAGAACTTTCTGGGAGGGAAGGAACCAACATGCCAACATCAGCACCAAAGATACAAAGGTAGGAAGTGCCGGTCCTGGGTGTCTCTGACTAAGGGTCACAAATGGAGTACCTCTGGAGGGCAGTAAGAAACACAGTTTCAGCACAAGGGCCTAAACCTTCATGGGGAGAAATACAACCTGGAAAACCATCTTACTGAAGTCCCCTAGAGTACATCAGTGACAAAGGAGCAAGACAGTTGAGGGGAAAGTACAAAATTCATACAGCAGCCCAAAAACTAGGGTCTGAAAGCAACACTGCTTTTAGCGCCAAATGCAGACAGTAGAGATTATTTATCTTCCTTAATCACTGTCAGCATTCTCTCCCCCAACCACTGATGTTGGCAATCATAATTTGAGGTTCTCAGATAATCTATAGACATATCACTCCAAGAGGTGCTACTTAAGTATGGGACCTAAGTGGGTTGTAATCATGAGTGATAACACTATTTCTTCAACTTTGTGGATTAACTGTTGTGCTTTGTATCAAGATAGTGCTAATTTAATTTTTAACTTTGTGAATACTGTGACTATATTTTCTAAGAGTGTTGCAGAAAATCCATATGGGTCTGCAGCAACCTCAATTCTTGTTTCCTCACAAGAAAGAATTCGGCTGAGGGTCATAAGGCAGAAGATGAGACCGAGGCAAGTTTTAGAGCAGGAGTGAAAGTTTATTAAAAAGCTTTAGAGTAGGAAGGCAAAGAAAGTAAAGTATACTTGGGAGAGGAACAAGTGGACATCTTGTTCAAGGTCCATTTGACCTTAGACTTAGGGTTTTATATGTGGGCCTGCTTCCAGCATCTTGAATCCAGTTTCCCTTGATTATTCCCTTAGGGTGAGCCGCCTGCATGCACAGTGGCCTGCTAGCACCTGGGAGGTGAGCATGCTCAGTGTTACTGGAGTTGTCTGTATGCTCACCTGAGGTGTACTTCCCTGTCCTGGTGGAATGCCCCCAGAAGGTCATATACCAGTTAAACCCCACAATTTTGCCTCTTAATGTGCATGCTCAAGCCCACTCACCCAGTTCCTGAGATCTTCTTGGGAAGCTGCTGATTAGCAGTTTCAGGTGTTTGTACCTATTGAGAAACTGCCTTTCCCTGGTGCTGGCTATGACCTATTACTATTTTAGAGAGACATTTAACATCTGCCTGACTATCAGCTGATGGTTATCTGACTTTCCTGGTGGGGTGTCAGAGAGCCCTCTCCTGCTCTGCTCATGCCTGACTAGCTACCTACTGTAACAAGAGGTCAGATAGTGGAAATGAGATTGATTACATTATCTCCAGCATAATCCAGACATCACTGAAAAAAATAAGGCTAAGTGACTATGTTATTTAAATGACAGATGAAAGCATACAGGCAAGTGGTTTGGGGAGGTAAATAACCAAAACAGCATACTGTTGGTACAGTATCAGTATAACATGCAGAAAAGGATTTGAGACTGGATATGGTAGAGAAAGAGAAGTGAAAGCACATATGGAGGCTAAATCTCACAAGTCCAGAAAGAAACAGCCAAGTACCTCTAAATCAATTAAAAGTTTTTTCATCTCCCCAAAGACACCAATACTCAGTGGAAAACAGTGGCTATTGGTACTGAGCCCCTGGCGGGAGGAGCAGCCATGGTCTCTATAGATCAGCAGACTTAGTCTTTCCCCTTACTGGCTCTGAGGAATTTGGCCAGTCCAGATGAGTGGGATTCCTCCCAGCACAGTGCACCCCCTCCGCCAAGGGCAGCCAGTATTTCATTAAGCAGGTTCCAGATCTCATGCCTCCTGACTGGGTAAGACCCCCTAACAGGGGTTGCCAGACACCTTATGCAGGAGCATTCCTGCTGGCATCAGGTCAGTGCTCCTCTGGGACAAAGATCCCAGAGGAAGGAGCAGGCAGCTACGTTTGCTGTTCTGCAGCCTCCACTGGTGAAACCTCCAGGTGTGGGAGCGACCCAGGCGAATAGGGTCTGGAGTGGACCCCCAGAAAACCACAGCATTCCTACAGAAGAGGGGCTTGACTGTTAAAAGAAAAACAAGCAAACAGAAAGCAACAACAACAGCACCAACAAAAATGTCCCCACAAAAAACCCAACCAAACGTCAGCAGCCTCAAAGATCGAAGCTAGACAAACTCAAAAAAATGAGAAAGAATCAGCAAAAAAACACTGAAAACTCAAAAAGCAAGAGTGCCTCTTCTCCTCCAAATGGTTTCAACACCTCTCCAGCAAGGGCAAAGAACTAGGTGGAGGCTGAAATTGATGAATTGACAGACGTAGGCTTCAGAAGGTGAGCAATAACAAACTTCGTTAAGCTAAAGGATCATGTTCTAACCCAATCCAAAGAAGCTAAGAACCATGATAAAACATTACAGGAGCTGTTAACCAGAATAACCAGTTTAGAGAGGAATATAAATGACCTGATGGAGCTGAAAAACAGAACACAAGAACTTCACAATGCAACCACAAGTATCAGTAACCAAATAGACCAAGCAGAGGAAAGAATTTCGGAGCTTGAAGACTATCTTGCTGAAATAAGACAGGCAGACAAGATTAGAGGAAAGAGAATGAAAAGGAATGAACAAAACCTCCAAGAACTATGGGATTATGTAAAAAGACTGAACCTACAACTGATTGGGGTAACAGAAAGAGATGGGGAGAACAGAACCAAGTTGAAAAACAAACTTCAGAATATCATCCAGGAGACCTTCCTCAACCTAACAAGACAGGCCAACATTCAAATTCAGGAAATCTAGAGAACCCTAGTAAGATACTCCATGAGAAGATCAACTCAAAGACACATAATTATCAGATTCTCCAAGGTTGAAATGAAGGAAAAAATGTTAAGGGCAGCCAGAAAGAAAGGCCAGGTCACCTACAAAGGGAAGCCCATCAGACTAACAGCGGACCTCTCAGATGAAACTCTATAAGCCAGAAGAGACAGAGGGCCAATATTCAACATTCTTAAAGAATTTCCAACCCAGAATTTCATATCTGGCCAAACTAAGTTTCATAACCAAAGGAGAAACAAAATCCTTTTCAAACAAATGCTGAGGGAATTTGTCACCACCAGTCCTGCCTTGCAAGAGCTCCTGAAGGAAGCACTAACTATGGAAAGGAAAAACTGTTACCAGCCACTGCAAAAACACACTGAAGTATAAAGAACAATGACACCATGAAGCAACCACATCAACAAGTCTGCAAAATAACCCACCAGCACCATGATGACAGGAGCAAATTCACACATAACTACATTAACCTTAAATGTAAATGGGCTAAATGTCCCAATTAAAAGACACAGAATGGCAAGATGGATAAAGAGTCAAGGCCCATTGGTGTGCTGTATTCAAGAGACCCATCTCACGTGCAAAGAGACATAGGCTTAAAATAAAGGGATGGAGGAAAATTTACCAAGCAAATAGAAAGCAGAAAAAAAGCAGGGTAACAATCCTAGTTTCCAATGAAAAAGACTTTAAATCAACAAAGGTCATAAAACACAAAGAAGGGCATTACATAATGGTAAAGGGATCAATTCAACAAGAGCTAACTATCCTAAATATATATGCACCCAATACAGGAGCACCCAGATTCATAAAACAAGTTCTTAGAGACCTACAAAGAAACTTAGACTCCCACACAATAATAGTGGGAGACTTTAACAGCCTAGTGTCAGTATCAGACAGAAAATTAACAAGGATATCCAGGACTTGAACTCAGCTCTGGATCAAGTGGACCTGATAGATATCTACAGAACTCTCCACCCAAAAACAACAGAATATACATTCTTCTTGGTGCTACTTGGCACTTACTCTAAAATCAACCACATAATTGGAAGTAAAACACTCCTCAGCAAATGCAAAACAACAGAAATCATAACAAACAGTTTTTCAGACCACAGTGCAATCCAATTAGAACTCAGGAGTAAGAAACTCACTCAAAACCACACCACTATATGGAAATTGAACAACTTGTTCCTTAATGATGCCTGGGTTAGTAATAAAATTAAGGAAGAAATCAATTAGTTCTTTGAAACCAATGAGAACAAAGACAAAATGTACCAGAATCTCTGGGGCACAGCTAAAGTAGTGTTAAAAGGGAAATTTATAGCACTAATTGCCCACGTCAAAAAGCTAGAAAGATCTCAAATAAACACCCTCATATCACAAACTAAAAGAACTAGGGCACCAAGAGCAACCAAACCTCAAAGCTAGCAGAAGACAAGAAATAACCAAGATCAGAGTGGAACTGAATGAGATAGAGACATGAAAACCCCTTCAAAAAAAAAAATCAGTAAATCCAGGAGCTGTTTTTTGGAAAGAAAAATAATCAAATACACAGCTAGCTAGACTAATAAAGAAGAAAAGAGATAAGAATCAAATAGATAAATGATTTGATAAAAATGATAAAGAGGATATCACCATTGACCCCACAGAAATGCAAACAACCACCAGAGAATATGATAAACACCTCTATGCAAATAAACAAAAAAATCTAGAAGAAATGGATAAATTCCTGGACAAATACACCCTCCCAAGACTGAACTAGGAAGAAGTTGAATCCCTGAGTAGACCAATAACAAGTTCTGAAATTGAGGCAGCAATAACTAGCAGACCAACCAAAAAAAGCCTAGGACAAGACAGATTTACATCTGAATTCTGCCAGAGGTACAAAGAAGAGTTGGTACCATTTCTTCTGAAACCATTCCAAGCAATTGAAAAGGAGGAACTTCCCCCTAACTCATTTTCTCCCTCACCAGAATCATCCTGATACCAAAACCTAGCAGACATACAACAACAAAAAAACTTCAGGCCAATATCACTGATGAACATCGATGCAAAAGTCCTTACTAAAATATTGGCAAACCAAATCCAGCAGCACATCAAAAAGTTTATCCACTACGATTAAGTCAGCTTCATCCCTGGGATGCAAGGCTGGTTCCACATATACAAATCAATAAATGTAATTCATCACATAAACAGAATTACACACAAAAACCACATGCTTATCTCAATAGACACAGAAAAGGCCTTTGATAAAATTCAACATCCCTTCATGTTAAAAACTCTCAATAAACTAGGTATTGATGGAACATACCTCAAAATAATAAGAGCCATTTATGACAAACCCACAGCCAATATCATACTGAATGGGCGAAAGCTGGAAGCATTCCCCTTGAAAATTGGCACAAGACAAGGATGCCCTCTCTCACCACTCCTATTCAACATAGTAGTAGAAGTTCTGGACAGGGCAATCAGGCAAGAGAAATAAATAAATGGTATTCAAATAGAAAGACAGGAAGTTAGACTGTCTCTGTTTGCAGATGACATGATCCTATATCTAGAAAACCTCATTGTCTCAGCCCAAAAGCTTCTTAAGCTGATAAGCAACTTCAGCAAAGTCTCAGGATTCAAAAGTCAACATGCAAAAATCACAAGCATTCCTATATGCCAACAAGCAGACAGCCAAATCATGAATGAACTCCCATTACAATGGGAGCTACAAGAGAATAAAATACCTAGGAATACAAATTACAAGGGATGTGAAGGACCTCTTCAAGGAGAACTACAAACTACTTTCCAAGGAAATAAAAGAGGACATAAACAAATGGAAAAACATTCCGTGCTCATGGGTAGGAAGACACAATATGAGGAAAATGGCCATACTACCCAAAGTAATTTATAGATCAATGCAATTCCCATTAAACTACCATTGACATTCTTCACAAAATTAGAAAAAAAAAGACATTAAAATTCATATGGAACCAAAAACGAGCCCATATAGCTAAGACAATCCTAAGCAAATAGAACAAATCTGGAGGCATCATGCTACTCAACTTCAAACTATACTACCAGGCTATAGTAACCAAAACAGCATGTTACTGGTACAAAAACAGACACATAGACCAATGGAAAGAATAGAGATCTTAGAAATAAGACTGCACATCTACACTTGTCTGATCTTTGACAAACCTGACAGAAACAAGTAATGGAGAAAGGACTCCCTATTTAATAAATGGTGTTGGGAAAACTGTCTAGCCATATGCAGAAAATTGAAACTGGACCCCTTCCTTATACCTTATACAAAAATTAACTCAAGGTGGATTTTAAAGACTTAAATATAAAACCCAAAACTATAAAAAACCCTAGAGGAAAATATAGACAATACCATTTAGGACATAGACACAGGCAAAGATTTCATGATGAAAATGTCAAAAGCAATTGTAATGAAAGCAAAAATTGACAAGTGTGATTGATCTAATTAAACAAAAGAGCTTCTGCCCAGCAAAAGAAACTATCATTGGCTGGG
The DNA here is from genome assembly GCF_000001405.40 of Homo sapiens. Taxonomy (NCBI): domain Eukaryota; kingdom Metazoa; phylum Chordata; class Mammalia; order Primates; family Hominidae; genus Homo; species Homo sapiens. The sequence goes on from NC_000008.11 coordinate 108,154,266, forward strand.
TGCAGTGGCTCACGCCTGTATGCCCAGCACTTTGGGAGGCCAAGGAGGGTGGATCACCTGATGTCAGGAATTTGAGACCCGCCTGGCTGACATGGTGAAACCCCGTCTCTACTAAAAATACAAAAATTAGCTGGGCATGGTGGCGGGTGCCTGTAATTCCAGCTACTTGGGAGGCTGAGGCAGGAGAATCGCCTGAACCCAGGTGGTGGAGGTTGCAGTGAGCCAAGATCGCACCAAGAAATTATCATCAGAGTGAACAGACAGAATGGGAGAAAATTTTTACAACCTATCCATCTAACAAAGGTCTAATACCCAGAATCTACAAGGAACTTAAACAAATTTACAAGAAAGAAACCAAACAACCCCATTAAAAAGTGGACAAAGGACATAAACAAACATTTCTCAAAAGAAGACAAGACATTTATGTGGCCAACAAACATATGAAAAAAAGCTCAACATCACTGACCATTGGAGAAATGCAAATCAAACCCACAATGAGATACCACCTCACACCAGTCAGAATAGCTATTATTAAAAAGTCAAGAAACAACAGATGCTGGCAAGGATGTGGAGAAATTGTAACACTTTTACACTGTTGGTGGGAATGTAAATTAATTCAACCATTGTGGAAGACAGTGTGGTGATTCCTGTAAGACCTAGAACCAGAAATACCAATTGCCCCAGCAGTCTCATTACTGGATATATACCCAAAGGAATATAAATCATTTTATTTATAGACACATGCATGTGTATGTTCATTGCAGCACTATTCACAATAGCAAAGACATGGAATCAACCTAAATGCCCATCAGTTATAGACTGGATAAAGAAAATATGGTACACATATACCATGGAATACTATACAGCCATAAAAAGGAATTAGATTATGTCCTTTGCAAGGATATGGATGGAGCTGGAAGCCATTATTGTCAGCAAATGAGTACAGTAACAGAAAATCAAACACTGCGTGTTCTTACTTATAAGTGGGAGCTGAACAATGAGAACACATGGACACAGGAATGGGAACAACACACAGTGGGGCTTGTCAGGCAATGGGGGCAGTGGGAGGGAGAGTATCAGGATAAATAGCTAATGCATTCAGGGCTTAATACCTAGGTGATGGGTTGATAGGTGCAGCTAACCACCATGGCACACATTTACCTGTGTAACAAACCTGCATGCCCTGCATGTGTTCCCTGGAACTTAAAATTAAAGTTAATTTGATTAAAAAAAATAAAACAGTGGCATTGAATTAGCTTGGGCATACTCCAGAACACACATATTATGTCATTCCCTTAATTGCTCTATGAAGTTGAGTCAAGTTACATGTCCTAATTCAGAGGTTCCAACTGAAATGTTGTGTGGGCAAACAAAAGGGGGAATTTTCATAACAGATGTGTTGGCTCTTTAGTAGAGCTGATTCTGTCCGATCTTACTAATGATCATGCTTTCTATAGTATATGTGATTAGTTGAATAATGGCAAGAAAAGAAATGTTTCCTCTGGCTCTTAGGAATTTTGATTTGAAAAATGGAGTTTCAAATCATTGTCTTGATTTCTATGAAGATTTCAGTGAGACTACAGAAAACACAAAAGATTGTTATCTTGTCCAAATAAAACCCGGTTTTGCTCATCTATTTGCAAATTCAGCACTATGCAAATGTAAGTTTTGGAAAATTCCACTGTCTAAATTTATTATCAAAGAAAACAATAAGGTCCCACCTGCTAAATGTCCTACATACCTTGTACACAACATTATTGAGAAGGGGGAGGAGGAGTGGTATACTTACCTGTAATGTTGAGGTTCTTATCATAAAAACCTTGATATTTTTCAATTTCCCCAAAATGTGCAAAAACATCTGATAAGATTTTTTCCTTTAGAGAAAGGAAAGGGAGGTTGCCTTTTTAGACAGGTGCCTACAAGATGTATATTATTGTTGCCAGCCATAAAAAGATGTTAAAATATTAGCCTACCATAAATTATATTTTCAAAGTGTGGGACAAGAAGAATGTCCTTCTCTGATTTGAAAATGCATTAAGGGTGAGGATAGAGAAAAAGATTTACATTAAAACAGAAAATTCTTCAAAACCAATGACCTTCGAAGAGGTGATAGCAAAGGATGAACTGACTGCCATTATTGCTTAATGTTGTTGAGATTGCAACAACACCATATTTTTTTTCATACGGTGAAAAAAAAAGTGACTCCTTTTTTCAAAAATAAGATTTCTTTAGAACTCAGAAAACGGCATCCAAGTTAAACAGAGCTTTCTCATTTCTTTACTAAAACTATACCTTATTTGGAATCCATCTTCAATTTCACAAGTTAAAATTACCTCTATTCTTTAAAAATCATTTTTTCCCAATAAAAGAGGTTTAACTTATGATGATGTCCAATGTGCTTAAGAATATTTAAAATTGATGGATAATTTAGACATGGATGACCTACATAATTAACTTCTAGATGCAAAAAAACTGACTGATAAGCAGCTGTTCTACCAAAACAAGTCTGTAGACACAAAATGAATAGACAAAGCTGAAAAGTCTAAAAACCTGTTGTTGGTAGTGAGTGAAATCCCAAGGTATTCAATGCTAAAATTATTTTGTTGAGAAGATATTTAGATCAATGTCATCACAGTAGCTTGACACCACAAATCAGTATAATGTGGGCTTGATAAGGGCAGAGGTGCAAGGCAAAGCGAATTTTGCATTTGACTGTTATTCACTCTTACCACTACATAAAAGAATAAAAGCTTAATTAGTTTAATTAGATCCCACTTGTCAATTCTGGCTTTTGTTGCCATTGCTTTTGGTGTTTTAGACATGAAGTCGTTGCCCATGCCTATGTCCTGAATGGTATTGTCTAGGTTTTCTTCTAGGGTGTTTATGGTTTTAGGTCTAACATTTAAGTCTTTAATCCATCTTGAATTAATTTTTGTATAAGGTGTAAGGAAGGGATCCAGTTTCAGCTTTCTATATACGGCTAGCCAGTTTTCCCAGCACCATTTATTAAATAGGGAATCCTTTCCCCATTGCTTGTTTTTCTCAGGTTTGTTAAAGATCAGATGGTTGTAGATGTGTGGTATTATTTCTGAGGTGTCTGTTCTGTTCCATTGGTCCATATATCTGTTTTGGTACCAGTACCATGCTGTTTTGGTTACTGTAGCCTTGTGGTATAGTTTGAATTCAGGCAGCGTGATGCCTCCAGCTTTCTTCTTTCGGCTTAGGATTGACTTGGCAATGCGGGCTCTTTTTTGGTTCCATATGAACTTTAAAGTGGTTTTCTCCAATTCTGTGAAGAAAGTCATTGGTAGCTTGATGGGATGGAATTGAATCTATAAATTACCTTGGGCAGTATGGCCATTTTCACGATATTGATTCTTCCTATCTGTGAGCATGGAATATTCTTCCATTTGTTTGTGTCCTCTTTTATTTTGTTGAGCAGTGGTTTGTAGTTCTCCTTGAAGAGGTCCTTCATATCCCTTGCAAGTTGGATTCCTAGGTATTTTATTCTCTTTGAAGCAATAGTGAATGGGAGTTCACTCATGATTTGGCTCTCTGTTTGTCTGTTACTGGTGTATAAGAATGCTTGTGATTTTTGCACATTGATTTTGTATCCTGAGACTTTGCTGAAGTTGCTTATCAGCTTAAGGAGATTTTGGGCTGAGAAGATGGGGTTTTCTAGATATACAATCATGTCGTCTGCAAACAGGGACAATTTGACTTCCTCTTTTCCTAACTGAATACCCTTTATTTCCTTCTCCTGCCTAATTGCCCTGGCCAGAACTTCCAACACTATGTTGGATAGGAGTGGTGAGAGAGGGCATCCCTGTCTTGTGCCAGTTTTCAAAGGGAATGCTTCCAGTTTTTGCCCATTCAGTATGATATGGGCTGTGGGTTTGTCATAAATAGCTCTTATTATTTTGAGATATGTCCCATCAATACCTAATTGAGAGTTTTTAGCATGAAGGGCTGTTGAATTTTGTCAAAGGCCTTTTCTGAATCTATTGGGATAATGATGTGGTTTGTGTCTTTGGTTCTGTTTATATGCTGGATTACATTTATTGATTTGCATATGTTGGACCAGCCTTGCATCCCAGGGATGAAGCCCACTTGATCATGGTGGATAAGCTTTTTGATGTGCTGCTAGATTCGGTTTGCCAGTATTTTATTGAGGATTTTTGCATTGATGTTCATCAGGGATATTGGTCTAAAATTCTCTTTTTTTGTTGTGTCTCTGCCAGGCTTTGGTATCAGGATGATGCTGGCCTCATAAAATGAGGTACAAGGATTCCCTCTTTTTCTATTGATTGGAATAGTTTCAGAAGGAATGGTACCAGCTCCTTCTTGTACCTCTGGTAGAATTTGGCTGTGAATCCATCTGGTCATTTTTTTGGTTGGTAAGCTATTAATTATTGCCTCAATTTCAGAGCTTGTTATTGGTCTATTCAGAGATTCAACTTCTTCCTAGTTTAGTCTTGGGAGGGTGTATATGTCAAGGAATTTATCCATTTCTTCTAGATGTTCTAGTTTATTTGCGTAGAGGTGTTTATAGTATTCTCTGATGGTAGTTTGTATTTCTGTGGGATGGGTGGTGATATCCCCTTTATCATTTTTTATTGCATCTATTCAATTCTTCTCTCCTTTCTTCTTTATTAATCTTGCTAGCGGTCTATCAATTTTTTTGATCTTTTCAAACGACTAATTAAATGAAAGAGCTTCTGCACGGTAAAAGAAACTACCATCAGAGTGAATAGGCAACCTACAGAATGGGAGAAAATTTTTGCAATCTACTCATATGACAAAGAGCTAATATCCAGAATCTACAAAGAACTCAAACAAATTTATAAGAAAAAAACAACCCCATCAACAAGTGGGCAAAGGATATGAACAGACACTTCTCAAAAGAAGACATTTATGCAGCCAATAGACACATGAAAAAATACTCATCATCACTGGCCATCAGAGAAATGCAAATCAAAACCACAATGAGATACCATCTCACACCAGTTAGAATGGCGATCATTAAAAAGTCAGGAAACAACAGGTGCTGGAGAGGATGTGGAGAAATAGGAACACTTATACACTGTTGGTGGGATTGTAAACTAGTTCAACCATTGTGGAAGTCTGTGTGGCGATTCCTCAGGGATCTAGAACTGAAAATACCATTTGAACCAGCCATCCCATTACTGGGTATATACCCAAAGGATTATAAATCATGCTGTTATAAAGACACAAGCACATGTATGTTTATTGCGGCACTATTCACAATAGCAAAGACTTGGAACCAACCCAAATGTCCAACAATGATAGACTGGATTAAGAAAATGTGGCACATATACACCATGGAATACTATGCAGCTATAAAAAATGATGAGTTCATGTCCTTTGTAGGGACATGGATGAAGCCGGAAACCATCGTTCTCAGCAAACTATCACAAGGACAAAAAACCAAACACCGCATGTTCTCACTCATAGGTGGGAATTGAACAATGAGAACACATGGACACAGGAAGGGGAACATCACACACTGGGGCCTATTGTTGGGTAGGGGGAGGGGGGAGGGATAGCATTAGGAGATATACCTAATGTAAATGACGAGTTAATGGGTGCAGCACACCAACATGGTACATGTATACATATGTAAAAACCTGCACATTGTGCACATGTACCCTAGAACTTAAAGTATAATAAAAAATATATATATATAAAATTAAAGACCTAAATAAACAGTCCACCAATTAAAAAATAAAAAGAAAAAAGAATAAAAGCTTGCCCCAAAGTAAAGGTTGTAGGCAGTTCTGAGTATTATTGAAAAAGGTAATTGAAAGAGGAAAAAATATCCTCCTGTATCGCGATACAGAAAGAAACATCTTATTACTGTTTTTTTATTAAATACAGGTAATATCTGTTTAATTATGGATCATAAAGTACACACCAATATAGCCTGAAATCAATCACTATCAAATAAAGAGATGACAAGAGTTAAAATAAATCATTTTTCCAGATAAAGAAATATTATCAAAATATTGTTAAATCTTCCTCACACATGATTTTTTAAATTAGTCCTACTATTAATTACTACTAATTGCCATTGTTAATTATTTATGTTGTTTTGGCTTAGATGATAGTATTTATATAACAGAAAAGTAAATAATACAGAATTTAATACAATTTCAAGGATATGCCCATTTTAAATACTTTTATGTTGAAGTCATAACACACAAATTCTTTATTCTATATTATTTATGGCTGTGTCCCAGGTTGTATCTCTAAAAAATTGTTCACCCCATTTCTCTGCCAGCCCAATCCTGTTCCCTCACCCACCTAGTGTTCCCAAGAGCACTGCCCACTAAACCTCCTTCACACAACTCCCAGTCCACTACAGTCTGATTCCAGGAAACCTAATGACAATGACCAACACAGAAATAGTTTCCTCCTTCAATTAACTTACAGTCTAGCAGGAACAAAAAGCATCAAACATGTAATTACAAAAAAAGTGTGTAGAAAGGAAGGATGGGGATATACAGAAGACTAGAGAAAATACCAATGGGGTAGCCAATCTGGCCAGGGAAGGCTTCCCTGAGGAAGTCACAGCTAGTCAGTCCCCTGGAGGATAAAATGAAAACCACTTGCAAGCCCAGGTTTCTGGCATTGGAGTAAGTCAGGGGCTGCAAACCAGTTGACTACAGAGAAGATCAGGCTGTCGGCCTGCTTTGTGTGGTTCCTACAATGTTTTACAAAAACCTAGTTCCAAGGTAGTCTTTTTTTTAATCAAGATATTTTTACCTAATAGTTGGATTTCTGGCCTCTTTGGAAAAATAAGAAATTTAGCAAGACTGGATCAACATCCAGTGGATTACAACTGGATTACAACCATCAACAAGACATGAGTAGCTGCTGACCCGTTTTCTAGTTCACATCATCCACATCACTCTCAACTCTTGTCCTGCACTGAGACGCAGTGTTACAAGCCACATGTTTTCATGCATGCATGCTGTGACTTATAGTAGAAACACTTCCTATCAAAATGAGAAAACAAGAGGACTGGGTGGCCATTTTCATTCAACCCATTTTACTCATTGAGGTCACTTTAGGAATTTGACTTGGTAATGTCCATCATAGGTTCTCTCTGTCTCTCTCTCTCTCTCTCTCTCTCTCTCTATATATATATATATATATATATACATATATATATATATATATTTTTAGAGACAGGTCTCACTGTGTTGCCCAGGCTGGAGTGCAGTGGCGCTGTCACAGCTCACTGAAGCCTCAGCCTCCAAGGCTGAAGCGATCCTCTCACCTCAGCCTCCCAAGTAGGTGGGACCAGGTGTGAACCACCAAATCCGGGTAATTTTTTTTTTGTAGTGCCAGGGTCTCACTATATTGCCCAGGTTGGTCTCAAATTCCTGGGCTCAAGTAATCCTCCCACCTCAGCCTTCCAAAGTGCCCAGATTACAGGTGTCAGCCACCATGCCTGGCCAAAACAATGGTCTCTACATTTCAAAATTACAGGGCATTTTTGCAGAAGAGCTATAGTTCAGAACCCTTGTGGCATCTCTGTCTCCTAACCACCCCCCTCATAGTGTTTCTAAAGTCAAATACTTTTCTCAACATAATTGACCTGGCTGATCTTTTGTCAATGTAGAGGCCTCCAGTTGGAAGTGCCATTCTCTAAGCCTTATCCTATATTTCATTCAGCCCATGTACCTGAAAGCCATGGGGTGGTAAAACAATTCAATGAAGTGCAGGAAGAAAATGTTAGCACTTCTTTTTATGTTTATTTTTACCTGATAAAAAGAAATAAATTAAGATTTATAAACATTTAATATTTAGCTTGATGTGATTTCTTTACTCCTTCCATGTGCCAGGCTGATACAGATCTAGGTATCCTCACTAACTTCTTCAACTTCAGTACATTATGATATATTGCAGTTTACATTTGTCAAGTTGGTGAAATGATTGCACAAAGTTCAATAACAATTTAGTGGCAAAAATGGGACCATAATCAATGCCTCAGATGACTATAACCAAATACACTGTGTTGAGTCTTTCCAGTCTGGGGATCCACTACCACTTTCTTCCAGTTCTTTCAAGGGTTGTATCTCTTTTTCCCTTAGGAAGCTGTCATACCTTTGTTCTTCCCAGTAAACAGCCTCACCTTCCAGTCTTTCACTAGTTAAGAAAGACTTTCCCTAAATATAGCAATCCCTCTGGGATCTGGCCTTCCACCTCTCTGACCAGCTTGGATAAAGCTCCCTGTAAAGTCCTCTCCTTTCTTTTCTTAAGAAAGTAGCTATTACCTCTCATTTTTGCTTTTAGTTCAGACAGAACTGAGTTGGCCTCCTAGCTTCACTATGTGTTCTTGGTCAAGTTATTTAACCTCACAAAGCCTCCGCTTTCTTATCTAAAAACTAACAATTTTGAAAGATGGTTGAGGGGTTATGTAAAGTATCTAGCACTTTACATACTACAACAACAACAACAACAAAATAAGTATCACAACAAGGCAAGACTTATCTGCTATGGTATTCTGATGTTCCTTTTATTTAATCTTGGACATTTACCTTGTTCCCAGAATAATTATTAGAGAGAGAGAGAGACAGGTTTTAATTGAACCCAAATAACACAAAAATACTTTCAAATATCCAGCTTTTACATGGTTGGCCATTAAAACATAATAAAGAGCTCAGAATGAATCTTTTTATTGCTCATTAGATTGTAAAAGCATTCACATACAATATTAAACTTTTTGCTTCTAGTTCCCACCTGCTCAGCTTGCATCTTATTTCCTTGACAACAAGTTTAAAAGAAAGACAGCAATGAGAAATGGAATGTCTGGGGCAGATTTTTGGACACAGGAGATAAACTCCAAGTGTCTAAATTTGCACATATATCAGCCTGTGGTCTCGTTCTGATCTTCATAGTAAAAGTACATTCCTTTGTTTTATCCTCACTCAATCTCTTCTTCCATTTCCCCACTGAGGACTGATCAGACTCTACTTCAGCCATAGCCTCGATAGCGAAATGAATTCCATCGTCCTTTTCAGTGAGGTGTCATTTGTCAACTGAAATAAGGGCCTCAATTGTAAGGGGGAAGCCCTTAATATCGATAGACAACCTCCGGCTATCAACGCCTCACTCTTACCCTGCACCGGACACCCCCGCCCGGCTAGCTAGGTGTCAGAGGTAACATTCCTCTCGGAGGATTCAATACCCTCCGTGGTGACCCCTTGACTCTGTTTGATGACTTTCATTACTTATCTCTGGATTTTGAGGAAGGTGAGATTCTTAAGCTTAGTGGGGGTGATGGAGGGAGCAACCAATTGGATGCTGCTCAGCGCTAAAAAAGAAATGGATTGAGGATCACCTTATTTGTTTTAATGCCTGCTACTCCACAACATACTGTACCCTCTGGTTGGGTTTGCTGACTTTCTGGACCTCATTCACACTTACTTTTAAGTGATTTTTACTTGTTAAAATAACAGTTGTAAAGCAAATGCTCAAGTTCACACACAGGCAGACACACACACACACACACACACACACTATGAAATGATAGAACATTGTTAGTATCTTAGAAACTCATTCTTTGCCCTTCTCTTCCCTTCTCTTCCCCAGATGTAACCACTGTCCTAACTTTTGTGATAATCATTGTTAATAGTTTTATCATTTACATATGTTATTCCTTAACAATGTAGTTTAATTTTGCCTTAGAATTTTATAGAAATGGAATATCAGTTTTCTCTTGTGATTTGTGCATTTCACTCCATATTCTGTTTATGAGATTTTTCACATTGATATGTAGGTACAATTAGTTAATTTTCTCTGCTATATAGTGATACATTATATTACTTTACAATCTTGCAATTTTTTGTGTCTATCTTACTGCCGGTGAATACGTTTTTCTCCATATGCACTTTGCTCCACTTGTCCCAGTCTAGGAAACTTTCCCTTATTTCCCCCAAGTATTCAGTTCTCCCAAAGTATTGACTATTGTTCTTCCTGATTATTCCTGACTAGTTCACAGTCCATTTTCTGAATTACTAATGCATACATTGATTAATCAGTCAAATACTTTGAGTATTTAGTACTACAAATTTAGACTCAATACTACATAGTTTAATATTCAGTATAGCTCACAAATCTTTTCTTTTACCAACACTGTCAGTATAATAGTGCTCAATTAGTACTTGTTAATCTTTGGTTGAGAATAATAACAATAACAACAATGATAATAATAATAGTAGCAGTAATAGCTAACACTTATTGAGTACTTAGCTACATGCCAGGCACTATCTAGAGCTTTAGAAGTATTAATTTATTTAATCCTCACAAAGATATTATGAAATAGGTACTACTACACTTATTCTCAGTTTACAGATAAGAAAACTAAGGCCAGAGAAATTATATAATATGCTCAAAGTTATACAGCTAGTAAATGCTAAAATGGAAGGGATGATAGAAACTTAAATATGGTCAACTTCATTATTCCACAGTGATTTAGAAAGGTATAATTATAAATAATAACAGCCAATACTAACAAGTATTTCTTGTTCTGTATTCTCACTAGGCCAAATACTGAATTCAGTCTATTATGTGATCTTCTTAATTCTCACCACAATTTATTATGATGGGTGTTATTTTTCCAATTTAAAAGTGAGGAAAATGAGGATCATTGAGGTTGAGAAATTTTCCTAAATAGCTGGTAAGTGACATGCTGGGATTTGAACCTAAATACTGTATCTCTGATCCTAACATCTGTGCCCTGCTGTAATACCATGCTGCCTCTCTGTAGATTTCACCAGCCCTGTGATGTTGGCACTTTTCCTTGTTAAATCCTAATTTCTTTTCTTTTCTTTATTACTTTTCATTACAGGATGTGATGGGAAATGAAAGTTAAGAAGTCCGATTTTCCAACTTGCAATGATGTTCAGAAAAGAAAGGTCATCGCTGGTTGAAGTGACGGTACTGGATGAGCCATGGGAATTTTGTATCCATACTATTCTGCTCTCTGTGTCACCATAAGTGACTGGATGTAGTATAGGAAGAAAAATAGAATGTGGCTAACAGCCCTATTGAGAAAAACTCACTGGCAAATATCAAGACATTCTCTTCTCCCATCAGTCCTTCAGATGACTCACTTCTTCCTTGTTTCCTGAGAATAGAAGTTACCAATTAGATCTCTGTTCTCTCTGCTACATCCATTGCTGTAAGTAGTGAAAGTGAAACAATACTTTTAGAACCATTGTGTAGTAAGTACAATTACAATCACAAATCAATATTATTTTATAGTTTATAATTAATTAATAATTAAAATCTTATACTTTTAGTAAGAATTATCAAATGCAGCTAAATCTTAGCCCCCAAAATGGCACTTGGTTTTTGTTTTGTTGCTTATATTACGCAAAATAATTTGTAAACTGAGAGAATAGAAGTGCCATTTGACAAGCTCCTTTATGAATCATCTGTGGAGAAGTTTAAAAGTTAATATGAAAAAAAAAGTCTACACAAAAATGAACAGAGGATGGTACAAGTTTAAAAATCCAGAGACGTAGATGGATTTTTTTTCTATTTAATTTCTAAACAGTAAAAATTACTCTTTTTGGTGGACAGTTCTATGGGTTTTGACAAAAGCATGGGGTTGTTTCACCACCAGCATGAACAATATACGAAATGGTTTCATCAACCCCACCCTCACCCCAAATCCCTTGAGTTACACTTCTGGGCTCCTGGCTGCCACTGGTCTGTTCTCATTTCCTATAATTTCGCTTCTCCAGAATATCATATAGATGGAATTGCATGAAATACCATGTTTTGAATCTGGCTTAATCTCAACATGATGAATTTGAGATTAATTCATGTTGATGTGTGTATCAGTAGTTAATCTTTATTGATGAGAAAAATTGGTATATGCTACATTGTATGGGATGTACCATAGCTTGTTTATCCATTCTCCAGGTGAGGGACATTTGCATTACTTGCAGTTTTTGGTGAGTAGGAATAAAGTTGCTAAGATATTCACAAACAGCTTTTTATGTAAACATAGGTGTTTATGTCACTTAGTTAAATGACTGAGTGGGATGATGGATTTTAATGTATAAATGTATGTATGTTTAATTTTATAAATAACTGCTAAACTGTTTTCCCAGGATACTAGTTTGCATTCTCACTAGCCATCTGTAAGAGGTCCAGTTGCTCCACACCTTCCTGTGCACATGGAATGGCCAGTCTTTGATTTCAGCCATTCTGATCTATGAGTGGTGATGCCATATTGCAGTTCTAATTTTCATAGCCCTAATGATCAATGGTGTTGAACATATTTTCATGTGTTTATTTGTCATCTGTATACCTTCTTTGATGAACCATTTGTTCAAATCTTTTGCCCATTTTAAAATTAGATTCTTCATTTTCTCATTTTTGAGTTTTAAGAGTTCATATATATTCTAGATCCAACGTCTTTGTCAGATATGAGATTTTCAAGCAATTTCTCCATGTCTATGGCTTGTGTTTTCATTTTCTTAACAGTGTCATTTACCTCTGGGGGCAGGGCACACACAAATGAAAAGACAGCAGTAACCTCTGCAGACTTAAATGTCCCTGTCTGACAGCTTTGAAGAGAGCAGTGGTTCTCCCAGCACGCAGCTGGAGATCTGAGAACGGGCAGACTGCCTCCTCAAGTGGGTCCCTGACCCCTGACCCCCGAGCAGCCTAACTGGGAGGCACCCCCCAGTAGGGGCAGACTGACACCTCACACGGCCAGGTACTCCTCTGAGACAAAACTTCTAGAGGAACGATCAGACAGCAGCATTCGCGGTTCATGAAAATCCGCTGTTCTGCAGTCACCGCTGCTGATACCCAGGAAAACAGGGTCTGGAGTGGACCTCTAGCAAACTCCAACAGACCTGCAGCTGAGGGTCCTCTCTGTTAGAAGGAAAACTAACAAACAGAAAGGACATCCACACCAAAAACCCATCTGTAAATCACCATCATAAAAGACCAAAAGTAGATAAAACCACAAAGATGGGGAAAAAACAGAGCAGAAAAACTGGAAACTCTAAAAAGCAGAGCGCCTCTCCTCCTCCAAAGGAACGCAGTTCCTCACCAGCAATGGAACAAAGCTGGACAGAGAATGACTTTGACGAGATGAGAGAAGAAGTCTTCAGATGATCAAACTACTCCAAGCTACAGGAGGAAATTCAAACCAAAGGCAAAGAAGTTAAAAACTTTGAAAAAAATTTAGACAAATGTATAACTAGAATAACCAATACAGAGAAGTGCTTAAAGGAGCTGATGGAGCTGAAAGCCAAGGCTTGAGAACTATGTGAAGAATGCAGAAGCCTCAGGAGCCAACGTGATCAACTGGAAGAAAGGGTATCAGTGATGGAAGATGAAATGAATGAAATGAAGCGAGAAGAGAAGTTTAGAGAAAAAAGAATAAAAAGAAATGAACAAAGCCTCCAAGAAATATGGGACTATGTGAAAAGACCAAATCTACATCTGATTGGTGTACCTGAAAGTGATGGGGAGAATGGAACCAAGTTGGAAAACACTCTGCAGGATATTATCCAGGAGAACTTCCCCCATCCAGCAAGGCAGGCCAACATTCAGATTCAGGAAATACAGAGAACGCCACAAAGATACTCCTTGAGAAGAGCAACACCAAGACACATAATTGTCAGATTCACCAAAGTTGAAATGAAGGAAAAAATGTTAAGGGCAACCAGAGAGAAAGGTCGGGTTACCCACAAAGGGAAGCCCATCAGACTAAGAGCAGATCTCTCGGCAGAAACTCTACAAGACAGAAGAGAGTGGGGGCCATATTCAACATTCTTAAAGAAAAGAATTTTCAACCCAGAATTTCATATCCAGGCAAACTAAGCTTCATAAGTGAAGGAGAAATAAAATACTTTACAGACAAGCAAATGCTGAGAGATTTTGTCACCACCAGGCCTGCCCTAAAAGAGCTCCTGAAGGAAGCACTAAACATGGAAAGGAACAACCGGTACCAGCCACTGCAAAATCATGCCAAAATGTAAAGACCATCGAGACTAGGAAGAAACCGCATCAACTAACAAGCAAAATAACCAGCTAACATCATAATGACAGGATCAGATTCACACATCACAATATTAGCTTTAAATGTAAATGGACTAAATGCTCCAATTAAAAGACACAGACTGGCAAATTGGATAAAAGAGTCAAGACCCATCAGTGTACTGTATTCAGGAAACCCATCTCATGTGCAGAGACACACATAGGCTCAAAATAAAAGGATGGAGGAAGATCTACCAAGCAAATGGAAAACAAAAAAAGACAGGGGTTGCAATCCTAGTCTCTGATAAAACAGACCTTAAACCAACAAATATCAAAAGAGACAAAGAAGGCCATTACATAATGGTAAAGGGATCAATTCAACAAGAAGAGCTAACTATCCTAAATATATATGCACCCAATACAGGAGCACCCAGATTCATAAAGGAAGTCCTTAGTGACCTACAAAGAGACTCAGACTCCCACACAATAATAATGGGAGACTTTAACACCCCACTGTCAACATTAGACAGATCAACGAGACAGAAAGTTAACAAGGATATCCAGGAATTGAACTCAGCTCTGCACCAAGCGGACCTAATAGACATCTACAAAACTCTCCGCCCCAAATCAACAGAACATACATTTTTTTCAGCACCACACCACACCTATTCCAAAATTGACCACACAGTTGGAAGTAAAGCTCTCCTCAGCAAATTAAAAGAACAGAAATTATAACAAACTGTCTCTCAGACCACAGTGCAATCAAACTAGAACTCAGGATTAAGAAACTCACTCAAAATTGCTCAACTACATGGAAACTGAACAATCTGCTCCTGAATGACTACTGGGTACATAACGAAATGAAGGCAGAAATAAAGATGTTCTTTGAAACCAACGAGAACTAAGACACAACATACCAGAATCTCTGGGACACATTCAAAGCAGTGTGTAGAGGGAAATTTATAGCACTAAATGCCCACAAGAGAAAGCAGGAAAGATCCAAAATTGACACCCTAACATCACAATTAAAAGAACTAGAAAAGCAAGAGCAAACACATTCAAAAGCTAGCAGAAGGCAAGAAATAACTAAAATCAGAGCAGAACTGAAGGAAATCGAGACACAAAAAACCCTTCAAAAAATTAATGAAACCAGGAGCTGGTTTTTTGAAAGGATCAACAAAATTGGTATACCATTATGAAGACTAATAAAGAAGAAAAGAGAGAAGAATCAAATAGACGCAATAAAAAATGATAAAGGGGATATCACCACCAATCCCACAGAAATACAAACTACCATCAGAGAATACTACAAACACCTCTATGCAAATAAACTAGAAAATCTAGAAGAAATGGATAAATTCCTTGACACATACACCCTCCCAAGACTAAACCAGGAAGAAGTTGAATCTCTGAATAGACCAATAACAGGCTCTGAAATTGTGGCAAGAATCAATAGCTTACCAACCAAAAAAAGTCCAGGACCAGATGGATTCACAGCCAAATTCTACCAGAGGTACAAGGAGGAGCTGGTACCATTCCTTCTGAAACTATTCCAATCAATAGAAAAAGAGGGAATCCTCCCTAACTCATTTTATGAGGCCAGCATCATCCTGATACCAAAGCCTGGCAGAGACACAACCAAAAAAGAGAATTTTAGACCAATATCCTTGATGAACATTGATGCAAAAATCCTCAATAAAATACTGGCAAACTGAATCCAGCAGCACATCAAAAAGCTTATCCACCATGATCAAGTGGGCTTCATCCCTGAGATACAAGTCTGGTTCAATACACACAAATCAATAAATGTAATCCAGCATATAAACAGAACCAAAGACACAAACCACATCATTATCTCAATAGATGCAGAAAAGCCCTTTGACAAAATTCAACAACCTTCATGCTAAAAACTCTCAATAAATTAGGTATTGATGGGATGTATCTCAAAATAATAAGAGCTATCTATGACAAACCCACAGCCAATATCATACTGAATGGGCAAAAACTGGAAGCATTCCCTTTGAAAACTGGCACAAGACAGGGATGCCCTCTCTCACTGCTCCTATTCAACATAGTGTTGTAAGTTCTGGCCAGGGCAATTAGGCAGGAGAAGGAAATAAAGGGTATTCAATTAGGAAAAGAGGAAGTCAAATTGTCCCTGTTTGCAGATGACATGATTGTATATCAAGAAAACCCCATTGTCTCAGCCCAAAGTCTCCTTAAGCTGATAAGCAACTTCAGCAAAGTCTCAGGATACAAAATCAATGTACAAAAATCACAAGCATTCTTATACACCAATAACAGACAAACAGAGAGCCAAATCATGAGTGAATTCCCATTCACAATAGCCTCAAAGAGAATAAAATACCTAGAAATCCAACTTACAAGGGATGTGAAGGACCTCTTCAAGGAGAACTACAAACCACTGCTCAATGAAATAAAAGAGGATACAAAGAAATGGAAGAACATTCCATGCTCACAGATAGGAAGAATCAATATTGTGAAAATGGCCATACTGCCCAAGGTAATTTATAGATTCAATACCATCCCCATCAAGCTACCAATGACTTTCTTCACAGAATTGGAAAAAAACTACTTTAAAGTTCATATGGAACCAAAAAAGAGCCTGCATCGCCAAGTCAATCCTAAGCCAAAAGAACAAAGCTGGAGGCATCACGCTACCTGACTTCAAACTATACTACAAGTCTACAGTAACCAAAACAGCATGGTACTGGTACCAAAACAGAGATACAGATCAATGGAACAGAACAGAGCCCTCAGAAATAACGCCACATATCTACAACTATCTGATCTTTGACAAACCTGAGAAAAACAAGAAATGGGGAAAGGATTCCCTATTTAATAAATGGTGCTGGGAAAACTGGCTAGCCATATGTAGAAAGCTGAAACTGGATCCCTTCCTTACACCTTATACAAAAATCAATTCAAGGTGGATTAAAGACTTAAACGTTAGACCTAAAACCATAAAAACCCTAGAAGAAAACCTAGGCATTACCATTTAGGACATAGGCATGGGCAAGGACTTCATGTCTAAAACACCAAAAGCAATGGCAACAAAAGACAAAATTGACAAATGGGATCTAATTAAACTCAAGAGCTTCTGCACAGCAAAAGAAACTACCATCAGAGTGAACAGGCAACCTACAAAATGGGAGAAAATTTTTGCAACCTACTCATCTGACAAAGGGCTAATATCCAGAATCTACAATGAACTCAAACAAATTTACAAGAAAAAAACAAACAACCCCATCAAAAAGTGGGCAAAGGATATGAACAGACATTTCTCAAAAGAAGACATTTATGCAGCCAAAAAACGCATGAAAAAATTCTCACCATCACTGGCCATCAGAGAAATGCAAATCAAAACCACAATGAGATACCATCTCACACCAGTTAGAATGGCAATCATTAAAAAGTCAGGAAACAACAGGTGCTGGAGAGGATGTGGAGAAATAGGAACACTTTTACACTGTTGGTGGGACTGTAAACTAGTTCAGCCATTGTGGAAGTCAGTGTGGCGATTCCTCAGGGATCTAGAACTAGAAATACCATTTGACCCAGCCATCCCATTACTGGGGATATACCCAAAGGACTATCAATCATGCTGCTATAAAGACACATGCACACGTATGTTTATTGCGGCAATATTCACAATACCAAAGACTTGGAACCAACCCAAATGTCCAACAATGATAGACTGGATTAAGAAAATGTGGCACATATACACCATGGAATACTATGCAGCCATAAAAAATGATGATGAGTTCATGTCCTTTGTAGGGACATGGATGAAATTGGAAATCATCATTCTCAGTAAACTATCGCAAGGACAAAAAACCAAACACCGCATATTCTCACTCATAGATGGGAATTGAACAATGAGCACACATGGACACAGGAAGGGGAACATCACACTCTGGGGACTGTTGTGGGGTGGGGGGATGGGGGAGGGATAGCATTAGGAGATATACCTAAAGCTAAATGACAAGTTAATGGGTGCAGCACACCAGGATGGCACATGTATCCATATGTAACTAACCTGCACATTGTGCACATGTACCCTAAAACTTAAAGAATAATAATAATAAAAAAAAGTGTCATTTACACTATAATAATATTTAATATTGGTGAAGTTCAGTTTGTCAGTTTTCTTTATGAACTGATATTTTTTGTATTGTATCTGGAATTTTTGCCCTAATTTAAAATTAGGTCACAACAATTTTCTGCTATGTTTTCTCCCAAAATGTTAATAACTTTACCTTTTACATTTATGTCTATGGTACAATTTAAGGTAAAATTGATATCAAGCATCAGATATAGGTCAAGGTGAATTATTTTTGCATATAGATGTTCAAGTGTTAGAACAGACTTGCTGAAAAGATTATTTTTCAGACCTCATCCAGCTCAAGGAAAAAAAAGATTATTTTTTCACCTTCACATCTTTGGCAAAAATCATTTTACCATATATGCATGGGTCTATTTTTAGACTCTCTTCATTTCCACTTATATATTTACACATTCTTTCCCAAATACCACACTGTCTTGATTACTGCAGCTTTAAAGTAAGCTCTGAAATCAGGTAGTGTTAGTCCTCCAAAGTTCTTTTAAAAAATTGTCTATTCTAGATCCTTTGCCTTTCCATTTACATTTTATTTATTTTATTTTATTTCATTTTATTTTTTTGAGATGGAGTCTCCCTCTGTCGCCCAGGCTGGAGTGCAAATGGTGCAATCTTGGCTCACTGCAAGCTCCGCTTCCTGAGTTCATGACATTCTCCTGCCTCTGCCTCCTGAGTAGCTGGGACTACAGGCGCCCGCCACCACGCCCGGTTAATTTTTTGTATTTTTAGTAGAGACGGGGTTTTACCGTGTTAGCCAGGATGGTCTCGATCTCCTGACCTCATGACCCACCCGCCTCAGCCTCCCAAAGTGCTGGGATTACAGGCATGAGCCACCATGCCCAGCTCCATATACATTTTAAAATCAGTTTGTCAAGATCTGCAAAATATCCTGATAGAATTTACACTGAAATTGCACTGAATCTATAAATCAATTTGGAAAGCATCAACATCTTAATAATATTAAATTTGTTAATCCATAAACACAGTATATATCTTTATTTATTTAGGCCTTCTTTGAATTCTTTCACAAATAATTCATGATTTTCAGCATCCAGATGCTGCATATATTTTGCTAGACGTATACCTAAGCATTTTTGGTTTTGTTTTCAGTGTTATTGTAAATAATACATTTAAATTTTTTTTAATTTCCAATTTTTCATTGCTAGTATATAGAAGTAAAAGGGATTTTTATGTGTTGACCTTGTATCTTGCAACCTTGATAAACTCATTTAAATAAATAGATTTCTTCCTTTCCAGCCTGTATACATTTTATTTCTTTTTCTTGTCTTATTGCATTGACAAAGACTTCCAGAAAAATCTTGAATAAGGTTTATGACAGCAGACATTGTTATTTGTTCCCAGCCTTAGAGGAAAAGCATTCAGTTGTTTGCCATTATTATGTTAGCTGTAGTTTTAGTATAAGCCATTTGTCAAGTTAAGGAAGTTTCCTTCTATTCCTAGTTCGTTGTGAATTTTTATCATGAATGGTTATTGAATGTTGCAAGTGCTCTCTGTATAACTACCAAGAAGATCATATGGTTTTCCTTTTTTACTCTGTGAATTATATTGATTGATTATTGCATGTTGAACTGGCCTTACATTCCTGGAATAAACCCTACTTGGTCATATATTATCTTTCTGTATGTTGCTGGATTTGTTAATATACTGTTGAGGATTTTTGAGATAAGGTTCATAAGAAATACTGGTCTGTTGTGTTCCCTTGTATTGTTTTTGTCTGGCTTTGGAATCAAAGTAATGCTGACCTCATAAAAAGAGTTTGGAAAGTGCATCTTTCTCTTTTATTTTCTGGGCCAGTGTGTATAAAATTTATGTTACTTCTTCCTTAAATGTTTTGTAATTTGTCAATAGAACCATAGTTTTCTTTTTTGGAAGGCCTTTGACTATAGATTCAATTTCTTTAGCAGATATAGGGCAATTCATGTTGTCTATTTTTTTTCTGAATGAGTTTTGGTAATTTGCGTCTCTCAAGGAAACTGTCAATTTAAGTTGCAGAATTTATAAGTGTAGAGATGTTTACAGTATTACTATTCTTTTAATTTATTTAAGGCCTGTAGAAATATTCCCCTTTAATTCCTGGTATTAGCAATTTGGGTTTTCTTTCTCTTTTTTTTTCTTAGTCTCGCTAAAGATTTATCAATCAGAATGATGTTTTCAAACAATGCATTTTAAACAAGAATCCCCAAAAATTCTTATATTGATAGTTCCAAGTGGATTTTTAGGAGACCCCAACTTGTAACATACAAGGCACTCACCATCATTAGGAGGCAGCAAATCCAAAATAAGATTAGGTTTGAATAAGGCTCTTATAATTTGCCTAACTCAAACTGGTTTCATCACCTATGATATCATTTTAATATGTTAACTTAAAAATCAGGCTGGGTGCAGTGGCTCACACCTGTAATCCCAGCACTTTGGGAGGCTGAGGTGGGCGGATTACTTGAGGTCAAGATTTGGAGACCAGCCAGGCCAACATGGTGAAACCCTGTTTCTACTATAAATACAAAAATTAGCTGGGCATGGTGGCGGGTTACCAGCTACTCAGGAGGCTGAGCCAGGAGAATCACTTGAACCCAGGAAGCAGAGGTTACAGTGAGCTGACATTGTGCCACTGCACTCCAGCCTGAGCAACAGAGCGAGACTCTATCTCAAAAAAATACAATAAAAAAAGTCATTTGAGCATTAGAAAACAGTTTGGCTGTTTGGGAAGCTCAGCAGCCTCTTCAAATGAGTAAATGGTGGGTTTTCATCTTCTCCAAATATACCTTTCTAAATCTTTGTTTACATTTCAAATAGTTGCAAACATTTTTCAGAGTAATATATTGTAAATATCTTAATTATTAATTTTCCTTAATCAAAAGAAGTTACTATGATTAATGTGATCCTGAATTCAAAATAAAATTATGACCCAGACACAACAACTTCACTCAAAGGCAAAATAATATTTAAAAAATAAATAAATAAAATTATGGAAATTTCAGGAGATGGTATCAAATGTTTTCTAGATGTCCTTTAAAATTAGTGATTTATTCACACACTCACATTGACTTGAGAAAAATAAAATAGGGCTCAAAAATGATTCAAGGCATCTAAGCTATTAAAATTAAATTGTCTATGGACCCTAGTATGATAAATGCCAAGAGAAATGAGTTGGAAAATGCCCAATGCCCATCCCTTTCTGGAGATTCCAAATTTATAACTAAGTTATTTCTGTAAGTCTAGGACCAATTTCTGCAGTTTCCATAATGTTTAAAGCAATGCTACTACTGTATGGGATTCAAAAAAGATTGATCTGTATTTTAATCTTTTTGGATACTTTTTGGATACTTATAGTATCCAATTCCGATGTGGTAGAACAAAAGAAGTCCTAAGAAATATTTATTAAACTTCCACTTTTTATTTTAATGAAGATTTTTTTCCACAAATAAAAATTTACCTTGAGGTCCTCTAAAATTAGATTAATTTTTCAATCATCTTATTACCATTTAAATATCGTCAAAATACCTGTATACTGGCTGTCAAAACCCCTTCTCTGATACACTGCCTAAAGTTAGGGCAATTACATATTCCAGTTTAGATGGTAACTTAGAATGCCACTCTGTTTAAAATGAGTTTCAACCAAAGCGATCAATATAAAATCAAACATTCATTAGAACAAGTACTAACTAAGCAAAACTAAATGCATAGCAGTTGAGAGATAAAAAGAATTAATGCCTTCTGCTTTTAAGAAAATAACACTACCACAAGCTAACGTATATAAATACTGTAAACTAACAAGATGAAACTTTTTTAAGTTGCATTACTTACAAAAAGTATAACTGAAAGAAGAAAGTTTCTTACAAGCTAGTCTCTTAGAGGTATAAGAACCAAAAGCATGCCTCTTTTGGCCCTTACTCTATGCTTGGTACCTACCACAGTGCTTAGAATATAGTGGGTACTACATAAATATTTGCCTGCTGACTGTAAGCCTAGTGGTTAAGTACATGGGCTTGGAAGTCAGACAGATGTGGGTCAAAATCCTGCTTCATCCAGGTAGATATGTACTAAGACTTTCATTAAAGGCAATTTATCCAGTTTATTCTAAGTCATAAGAAATGAATTCAAAAGACTTCTATTTCTGAAAATCAAATCTATTCTAAAAATTTAAGATTACCACCAATGAAAATAGCTACAGGTTATGTTTTAGGCTTTGAAGGCAATTCATAAAGGAGATTTTCAGTATTTGGAGCATGTTATATAAACAATTATCTGTGCAGAAAGAACACTTCAAGGAGGATGTACTTTGGGATACATAAACTCTAGTGTATTTGTTTAAATTCAGTTTCAGTCACTGATGGCAGAAGACTAAATTTAATAAAAAGAGGAATTATAAATCAAAAGCCTTATTATAAATGTTTTTGTAGGTTGACTCATTAATTCCACTTCTGAGAATCTATTCTAAATCAAAATCCAAAGAAATTAATTGAATTTCTTGAAATAATTACAACAGGAATAACCTAATGTCTAACAATAGAAAAATTATAGTAAAATTATATAGTACATCAATGTCATTCACTATAATTATGAGAAGTCTTTACAAGGAAAATTGTTTTGTTACATTGCAAAACTGGAAGCATTGAATACAAATTATATAGTAGTCATTCAACTATATAAAAACCTATGTAAAAAAAATAACAAAAAATAAAAAAAGTTTTAAAACACGAACCTATGTAGAAATAGCACATAAACTTTCTCAACCTTTTAAAAATCAGATTTTCAGATTAGATAAAAATAAAAGACTAATTCTTCAGGTATGAGGTGCAAATAAAAAATAACATACTAGTTTAAAGTTAACAGATGGTTTGAAACATATTAGGCAAACAAAATAAATGTCAAGACATTAATAAAAAAGAGAATTCAAGGAAGAAAGCACTAAATGGGGAAAAGAGATACACACACACACGTATGTGTGAGTAGGGGGCATAATACATTATAAAAAGCAGTAACAATTATAAAGGTCTGTGTATCAAATTACACAGCACCAAAATATAGAAAGCAAAGATTATTAAAATATATGAGGAGTACATAGGAATAAATTTTATATAGAAAATTTTGACATGCCACTATAAATTCTATGTCATATCAAATACAAAAAGCAAATAACATAGAAATGTGAATAATTAATTAATAATTAAATTTCCTCTACGATCTCACTTATATGTGTATCTAAAAGAGTCAAATTCATAAAAGAGAGCAGAATGGTGATTACCAGGGGCTGGGGATGTGGGGGATATGAAATAGTATTGGTCAAAGTATACAAAGTTTCAGTTAGACATGATAAGTTATAGGATCTGTAGTACATGATGATGATAGATAATGTTCTCAACACAAATTTAAAAACTATATTGGGTGATAGATATGTTAATTAGCTTGATTGTGGTAATCATTTCACAATGTGTGTATATATACACAATATACAAACATGTGTGTATATATATATCTGTAAATGTATACTTTTTCATCAATTATGCCTCAAAGAAAAAACTCAAAAAAAAATTAAAGTATCTATCCACATCGTAAAGGCTTCATACCATTTTTTAAAGCATCCAAGCAAAACTGATATTCTGATCTCCAGCAGACCAAAAAGAAAATTTAAATGTACTCCACAAAAGTAAGATATATCAGGATAATTTCCAAATTAAAAGCAATGAATTTACAAATTAATAATAGAAATGTAAACAGAAAACCTCAACAGCTTCAAAATTAAGAGTGCTTCTCTTATTAGATCAAAGTTTATGGAATATAGTCAGTTATCCAAAGGGACAAATTCATAATCTTTATTATTTTTTAAAAGATCAATAAAAGTAAATGAACTAATATTCAATTCAAGAAGCCATAAAAATAAGCTGTTTTCTTCACTATCAAACTATTAAATGTTTCTCAGGGCTAGACTCTCTTCTCAGTCTGTTGCTAGGCAATTTCATCCACTCATCCTTCCAGTTTCACTTACCATTTATTTGGCAAGTGAAATAATTTAAAAAAAAAAGTAAAAGCAAACAGACAACAAAAACAACAAAACAGAAGAATGGAAACCACCCTCCTAAAAAGAGAGAAAGCAAAAAACAGAAGAAAACTTAAACAAAAAAAAAACCCTACAAACAACTTTCTCAGAGGGAAAAGGATAAGAAAAGCTACTGCAGTTATGAGAGTATGCTATTAAAAATGATAAAGAAAAATATGAAAAAACACTTAAAATTTAAAGCAAAAATAAAAGATACAATGAAAATTTCAAACAAAAGGTCAAAAGGCAAAGTTGAGACTTTCAGTTTCTTCTCTGACATTGGAGGTCATCTCGCCTATCTTCACCAGAGAAGAGCTGAACAAACTGAAAATCAATGACTTTTCTTCGATCCCTCAAAGAATTGAAGTCATAGGACAAGCCACCATCCTAAAAAACTGGAGAGACAAGAAAATATATGGAATACAGATCAGTTTACCCAAAGCAGATGTCACTGGAGACAGGAACTGGTAGGAACAGT
Source organism: Homo sapiens (assembly GCF_000001405.40). Taxonomy (NCBI): domain Eukaryota; kingdom Metazoa; phylum Chordata; class Mammalia; order Primates; family Hominidae; genus Homo; species Homo sapiens. Next base: position 108,178,980 of record NC_000008.11, read on the forward strand.
TAAACAGTAATTTTGATAAATGACTAAAGGCTTACTGTTGACAAGCTCGAGCGTTAAAAACTCCTGGGGGACAAGTCTATGGGGGCACCTCTACACTTCTGTAGGTTGTACTTCCAAGAGTCCCACCAGGTAAAGATCAGAGATAAAATCCACTTGTGTTCGTCCAGGTTTGTGGGGAAAGTAACCATTTGAAATAGGCTCAGAGCTTTCTCCACCAAAAAGGCATATCAAGCAAGGGAAAATACTTCATCAGAGATGAACCTAACTTGAGGAAAGGGAAATTACTCAACTCCAGCCCCTTCTAGCCTTCCTATCTCACATAATGGGGAGAAAGGTTGAGAAGCATTTGTGAAAGTCACAGCCCAAGGACACAGGCCCACTAAAAAACTGAGACTTCATAAGATTATAGAATGTTTGCACTCTCTGCACTTATTATCAAATCAACTTGACTCCTGTATAACGACACTAAATTACTGCCAAAAGAATTGCAAAACTCAGTCTTTACTTAAGAAAGAGTTTCTAGGGAAGTTCAAAGACAACAAGGGAGACAAAACAAAATCATTGTAAAATATTGAAGCCTCTGACATGTACAACTACAGCAAACAGTAGATACAACCCAACTTCTAGACGGATAAACATAAAACCTCAAACTAAAGGCCTATCTACCTCAGTTCCTATTCTGAGATAGCTCATGTACAGCTTTCAACAGAAAATTACAAGTCAGTCTAAAAGACAAGGGAACAAAAAGCAATCTGAACAGAAGAAATAAACATCAGAGATAGACACAGATATAGCAGAAATTTTGTAATTAGCAGACTGAGAATTAAAAATGACAATGGTTAATATGCTTAGGGCTCTAATTTTTTTTTAAAGTGGACAACTTGCAAGGCCAGATACATAGTGTAAGCCAGGAGATGGAAACTCTAAGAAAGAATCAAAAGGAAATGTTAGAAATAAAAAGCTGTGTAACAGAAATAAAGAATGCCTTTAATGAGCTCACCAATAGACGGGGAATAACCAAAACACAAGAATCAATGAGATAAGATGTGTCAAAAGACAAAGTCACAGGAATCCATCAAAAAGTAGAGGAAAAAGAAAGAAAAAAAGACGACAGGAAGGAAAGACAAGACAAAGTATAGGTCGGTCTGGGAAATCCAACATCTGACTAACAGGAGTAACAATAAGAACTAGAGAGAATGAAACACAAGAAAGTTTCAAAGTAACAATACAATTTTTTTTTTACATAACTGAAGGATGTAAATCCCCAGTATGATAGAATCCACCACATAAAGGCATCATTATGAACTTTCAGAAGCCCACAGAGAAGAAAATCAATCATAAATCTTCTAAAGAGAAAAATCAGTTCATGTACAAAGGAATAGGAATCTGATATTTCTCAGGAAAAATTCATGTGTGTAGGTTGATAAAAGTATTTTCAGGCATACGAGAACCAAAAACTTTACCTTATGCAAACTTTCCATGGATGACAATGGAGGACAAATTCTAGGAAAATCGAAGAGAAATTTAGAAAAAAAAAAAAAAAAAAGAAACCATTGGGACAAGGAAACTGGAGATCCAATGCAGAAAAATAATGAAGGAAAATCCATGACAAGAGCTGCTCAGGAGGCCCAGAGAACAATCTGTACAGATTAGAGCAGAAGAATGGAAGATCCAAAATCTTTTCATGAAAAAAAAAATGAGGCCGAGCATGGTGGTTCATGCCAGTAATCTTGGCACTTTGGGAGGTCAAGACAAGAGGATCACTTCAGTCCAGGAGCTCGAGACCAACCTGGGCAACATAGTAAGACCCTTTCTCTAAAACAAAAGAAAAAAACATAGCCAAGCTTGGAGGGGCAGGCCTGTAGTCCCAGCTACTCAGGAGGCTGAGATAGGAGGATCACTTGAGCCCCAGAGGTTGAGGCTGCAGTGAGCTGTGATCACGCCACTGCACTCTAGCATGGGTGACAGAGCAAGACTCTGTCAAAAAAAAAAAAAAAAAGCAATTATTTGTGACAGGTAGTGCTTTACAAAGATGGCCATGTCACAATGAAACTGCAGAACATCAATGATGAAGAGAAGATCTTCAGAGAAATCTAAAAAATAAGATAAATGATCTCCAAAGAATCAAAGTTAGACTGACAGCAGAATTTTCTATAACAACAATGAACTCAGGTGTCTATGAAATGAGTTCAATTTTGCTGTGAGAAAGTAACTGTCGGCCAGAATCTTATACCCAGAAAGTCTATAAAAAGTTATTAAAAACGAAGGTGAAATAAAAATGTCCTCAGTGAAGCAAAAACGTAGTGACTTTGCTACCAACAAACTATCACTAAAAGAAATTCCAAAATATATGCTTCGGTCACATGGAACATGGTCTCTCACAGAAAGTTTCAAGTATAAGAAGGAAAAGGTTATATGGATAAATTCAAACAAATATTGATGGTATAAAACAGCAAGATTAATGTCTTTGTAGATTCAAATAAAAATAATAAGTTATTATTAAAATACATTTATAAGGTATAGGTTGATTTCCAGGTGGCTGGAATCAACCATGCTAAGATTCATGTATTGTTTAAGAGATGGGTAAAGATTTTAATTAAACCACATCTTGATTACTTAACATGCAAGTTGATATTTCTAAAAAAGTCCCTGGAATAATATCTGTTTTATTATGATCTAGATAGAGGTTTTTTTGTTTTTTCTTTTTCTTTTTGAGTCAGGGTTTCACTCAGTCACCCTGGCCAGAGTGCAGTGGGATGATCACTGCTCACTGCAGCTTCAACCTCCTGGACTCAAGCAATCCTCCTACCTCAGCCTCCCCAATAGCTGGGACTACAGATGCAAGCCACCACACCTGATTAATTTTTGTAGTTTTTTGTAGAGAAGGGGTTTTGCCATGTTGCCCAGACTGATCTTGAACTCCTGGGCTCAAGCAATCTGCCTGCCTCTGCTTCCCAAAGTACTGGGACTACAGGCATGAGCCACCATGCTGGGCCTGATCTAGGCAGTTACTGATAAGAATGATCCAGGCTGGATACAATGGCTCATATATGTAATCCCGGCCCGCTGGGAGGCCAAGGCAGCTTGATCACTTGAGCCCAGGAGTTTGAGACCAGCCTGAAAAACATAGTGAGACCCTGTCTCTACAAAAAAAAAAATTAATTTTTAAAAAATTAGCCAAGCATGGTGGTGCATTCTTGTAGTCCCAGTTATTTGGGAGACTGAGGTGAGAGGAGAGGATCGCTTGAGCCCAGGAGGTCGAGGCTACAGCGAGCTGTGATCGTGCCACTGCACTCCAGCCTGGGCGACAGAGCGAGACCCTGCCTCAAAAAAAAAAAAAAAAATGATGTGTCACTGCATTCCAGCCTGGGAGATAGAGCAAGACCCTGCCTCAAAAAAAAAAAAAAGATTCAGAATAGTAGAAAAAACTAATCACTTAGAAGAGAACAAAGAAAAAGAAACATAAAAAAGATAAAACAAAGAGGAAGCACAAAATAAATGTTAGAAAAAATATCCAAATATGGTATATAGTAATAAAAATATATTGTATAAACAAACACTAATATTTAAAATATATTTATGTATTTATATATCATGTATTTATATACATAGATATTAATAGCAATTATATCTATATACCACGTAGTAATTAAATCTTAATGAACTAAAAGTTCCCATTAAAAGGAAAAGATCATCAGAACACATTTAAGAAAAAAAAATCTACATTCAAAACATATGTTAGAAAAAATACCAGGAAATACTAATTAAAAGAAAACTGAAGTCACTATATTAATATTGTACATATTAGATTTTATGACAAAAAGCATTAAAATATAAAGGCTCACTACATACTAACGAACTGGAAGTTAACAGTTCTAGACTTGTATACCCCTAATAACATGGCCTCACAACATGTAAAGCAACAATTAATAGACTTTTAGGAGAGACAGATAAATCTGCCACAATAGTGGAATATTTTAACAGAATTCTCTCCACAATTGGCAGATTTAGCAGGAAAAAAATAACGAAGATACAGGCCATTTGAATAACACAATTCATAGGCTTATCTAATGTTAGTCTAGAAAATGCACCTACAATTACAGAATATACTTTTTTATCAGACAGACATGAAGCATTTATCAAAACTGACCACACACATACAGTAATTCTCAACCAACTTAAAAAGATTGGAATCACAGACCTTATTCTCTGACTACAATGCAATGAAGTCAAAAATCAATACGAGGATGATAAGGAAATAAAGAACCTAGAAACAGATATCTTTCAATGGTCATTTGTTATGTGACAGAGATAGGGTTGCAAAGCACCCCTACCTCACTTTATATGCAAAGTCAATTCCAGGTGTATTTCACAGCCACATATGAAAGGCAAACTGTAAAACTTTTAGAAATCAAGATAAGAGAATATTTTTATGGCCTCATGCAGGAAAAAATTTCTTAAATAAAACACAGAAAGTACATATCAAAGGAACAGATTAATAAATATGACTGCTAAAATTAAGAACTTGTATTTATCAAAAGTCTCCATAAAGAAAGTGAAAGATAGACATTAGCAAAATATATAACCAATGAAGAATCAATAATGTATAAAGAATATTATGGAACTACCATTTGATCAAGCAATACCATCACTGGGTATGCATCCAAAGGAAAATAAATTGTTCTACCAAAAAGACACATGAACTTGTATGTTCATCGCAGCACTATTCACAATAGCAAAGACACGGAATCAACCTAGATGCCTATTAACAGTGAATAGGATAAGGAAAATGTGGTATATATATACCATGTAATACTACACAGCCATAATAAGGAATAAAATCATGTCCTTTGCAGCAACATGGATGCAGCTGTAAGCCATTGCCCTAAGCAAATCAAAACAGGAACAGAAAACCAAATGCTGCATGTTTCCACTTATAAGTTAGAGCTAAACACTAGGTACATATGGACACAAAGATGGGAACAATAGACACTGGGAACTGCTAGAGGGGAGAGAGAGAAAAGAGGGGAGAGAGAGAAAAGAGGGGAGAGAGAGAAAAGAGGGGTAAGGCTGAAAAACTACCTATTAGTTATTATGCTCCCTACCTGGGTGATGGGATCATTCATACCTCAAACCTCAGTGTCCCATAATATACGTATGTAACAAACCTATACAATGTGCCCCTGAATCTAAGTAAAAGTTGAAATTATATTAAAAAGAATATTGTGATTTATTTTTCAAAAGACAACCTAATAAGAAAATAGAAAAAAATGAATTTCACTGGAGCAGAAACAAAATACACATATAACAAAAGATGCTAAATCTAATTGACAAATCAGGGAATGCAAATTAAAATCACAGTAAGATAGCATTTAAATCTACCAATCCATTTGAAACTACTGTCACAAAGCAGAAATCCATTTCAGTGCTGTTGGGAGCAGGACTGTGCAACTTCCAGAGACAGAAACTTGAGTGACCCTGTCCACTGCCCAGTGAGCCCAGCTGCAATACCTGCTTTGTGACAGTAGTTTCAAAATGATGGAAAACAATGGGTCTATGTCATATGCTGGACAAGCTGAACACAGAAAAACCCTGCAAGGAATCCTTCTCATTGTGGTTTATGTGCAAGCCATCTTCTGAGGTTGCACACAACAAGCATAGGAGTTTGCAGGGTCCTGGCATATGCTCAAAATGTCAGTTTCTGGATTCTACCATCTCAAAGTATGCACTCCTGAAGTGGGAAACTCCCCAAAATACAGGAAAGGTGTTCAAAATTTTTGGGTGGCTGTTAAGGGCTGAATCGTGTCCCTCCAAAATTCCTATGTCAAAGCCCTAAACCTCAGTACCTCAGAATGTAACTGTATTTGAAGATAGGGCCTTTAAAGAGATGATTAAGTGAAAACAAGGCTGTTAGGGTGGGCTACATTCCAATCTGCCTGTGTGTCCCTACAAGAAGAAGAAATTTGTACATATGAGAAGACACCAGGGATGTGTGTGCACAGGGAAAAAAGCCATGTGAGGACACAGCACGAAGGTGGCCATCTGCATGCCAAGGAGAGAGACCTCAGAAAGAACCAAATCTACCAACACCTTAATGTTGTTCAATTGTGAAAAAACAAATTTCTGTCGTTTAAGTCACCCAATCCGTGGCATTTTGTTATGGCAGCCCTGGCAAACTAACGCAGCATCCAAAAAGGACAAGTGTTCACTGAAACTACTCACTAGAGAAAATTAAAAGGTAATATCATAAAAATTATTAGTCAAATAATTTTTTATCAAATCAAATACATTATCAAATAGATAAATCAGAATAGTGATTACTTCTGGAGAGATTTGGCTGGGATGTTGTAAATCAGTGGTCCCCAACCTTTTTGGTACCAGGGACTGTTTCACAGATGGCGGTGGGGATGGTATTGTTTCAGGATGAAACTGTTCCACCTCAGATGATCAAGCATTAGTTAGATTTTCATAAGGAGCATACAACCTAGATCCCTCACATGCACAATTCACAATAGGGTCTGCGCTCCTATGAGAATCTAATGCTGCCTCTAACGCACTAAGGAGGAGGCAGACAGAGCTCAGGCGGTAACGCTCCCTCATCCTCCACTCACCTCCTGCTATGCAGTCCAGTTCCTAACAGGCCACCAACTGGTAGTGGTCCTCAGCCCAGGGATTGGGGACCCCTGTTGTAAATGATCTATATCTTGATTTGGGTAGTTGTTACACAAATGTGTGTTTATGTCTGTATGTGTGTGTAAATATATACAATTTCATGGTGTTATTTATATACATATTAGGTTTGCACACTTTACCATGTGTATGTTTTACCTCAAATAAAAAGTAAATTTTTAAGAACTACCACAAAAGAGGTGAGCAGGTCACTTAAGGTCAGGAGTTCGAGACCAGCCTGGCCAACATGGCAAAACCCCATCTCTACTAAAAATACAAAAATTAGCAAGGTGTGGTGGTGCACACCTGTAATAACAGCTACTCAGGAGGCTGAGGTAGGAGAATCACCTGAACCCAGGAGGCGGAGGTTGCAGTGAGCTGAGATGGCGGCAGAGCGAGACTCCGTCTCAAAAAAAAAAAGAGCCCCACAAAAATGCTTGGCACTAATTTTACTGGTAAGATCTTTCACATTTTCAAAGAGCAGATATTTCTCAGGCTATACAAACTGCCACAGGGTTTGTAAGTAAAGCGATTAAACTCATTTTATGAAATTAGCATAACTCTGAAACTGAGACAGATAAAGAACTGGACCAATTTCACTTAGAAATTAAAATTTTTACATAGTAAATTATTAGCAATACATTTCAACTGTACATTTAAAAAAAATCTTTTACTAGCACAATTCAGGATTTATTCCAGAAATAAAGATGGTTCAATTTTGGGAAATTTATTAACATATTCCACCCCATATGTCAGTAGATGTCAAGTGACATTCCATACAAGATTCCTGATTTTCAAAAAAAAAGAAATAGAAGTAGCTTTTCAAGATAAAAAATACATAATGGTAAAATAAGGAAATTAAAAGGACGCCCACTAGCCTCACTATTGGTTAACATTGCATCAATCAGAGATTGCAGAACAATAAAAGTGGGTGAAAATAGAGTTAGAAGAATTAAATGTTGTTTGTGAATAATAAAATGATATGCTTAGAAAACAAATGAAAAGCAACTTTACAAAGTTCTAAAATTACCAGGGTTTCAGCAAAGTAGCAAAATCTAGATGAATGTGCTAAAAATAATAGCTTTCCTTTCAATTGGCTAAAAAAATAATTGGGAGGAATGATTTCATTTGCTTTAGAAACAAGAAAAAAATAAAATAATTCTAATAGAAATTATATAAGGTTCATACAAAATTATAGTACTTTTCTTCTATAAAATCAGATTTGAATGCAGAAGTACCATGCTCCTGAATAGACAGGCTAATTATAAAAAGGTATCATTTTTTCCCAAATTAATGTAATAAAACTAGAAAAAATATAGATGCGTGGCAGCTTTGGAATATGTCAACTTTTCTTTGTTTTTTGTTAGAATGAACTAGAGAGATTCTGAAGGGGGATTTGGAGGGCAGAAGTGAAACCACAGCTATATTGTAGATTTTACACAGTCATTGGTCCGCCGACTCATCTTATGGTGTGAGGGAGTGGCCAGGCCTACAAAGCTTCGCTTTCCCCTGGATCCTCTTTCTTCTGCTCTGACTCCTGGCCCAATGTGTGTGTTTAACCTCATGACCAAAAGCAGGCACCTAACACCCCTAAGGATAGAGGCAACAAGAACCAGCCTGGGTTTCCTTCTGTCCCTGAGCGGGCTCCAGCTAGTGCTGTGATTCCACCTGGTCTTTGGTCTTCCCACTTTATTTCCATCTTCCCTTCTGACCACCTGCCTTCTGGACCGCAAGCTCCAGCATCAGACATGAAGGCAGTGGCCACACAGAGATTGCTGAACCAGCTCCCACAATGGCATAAGATCAAATGCGAGTGTGTGTGTGGTTTCTGTGTCTCCTACTAATTCTGCTTCTCTGATTGAACCATGTCTGATACAAGGTGTCTAAGAAAGAACTGGTATGAAGGATTTTTTAAAAGAAATAACAGCAATGGAAGAAATCACAAAAACTGAGAAGTATGACTACATACTAATTAAAATTTCTGAATGTTAAAAATACATTAATACATGGAAAGGCAAAAAACAAAACCAAAAGTTCTTAACATGTGTGATAGATAAAGGTATAACATCCTTAATATATAAAGAACTCCTGTATTCCTATGAATGAATTCTTTAAAACTAACAATACAGATTTTTAAAAAATGGGGGAAATGTAAAGAGGTGCCACAGAAAAATTGTAATTAGCCATTCAACATATTAAATCAATATGAAATCCAATTTTATTTAAAGAAAAACAAATTAAAATTTTAAATTGCCTACATAATCTACCAACTTTAATTTACCAGACTGTTAAAAAACAAGATCTAAGCTCATATAGTGATAGTGAGAAAGTAAATTGATATGTGGTTTTCAGAGGTCAATTTGGCCAGACATACCAAGAACTTTGGGGGGAATTATGAATTCCACTTCTAGAAATCTAATCTAGGAACACAATTAGCATTTGGATAATTAACAATATGCAAAGAGATTCAATGCAGTAGTACCTATGCTAATAAACCATTGTATACATAATTATTTGTGAATAAGAAATTGATTAAATATATCAAGAAACATTCATAAAATGGAGTCATAAGTCTCCATAAAAATGTATATATGTGAAATACTAAAATAACGAGGTAATGTCTATAATTCTATGTCAAAAGAATGACCTATAAAAATATGTAAAGTATGTTTCATTAAAAATTATAAATTAAACATTAAGATAATAAAATAAAGGGCTGTAAGAAAAAATACATTAAAATATATGATAATGTAGGGAATTAAGGATTTTTTTTACTTTGGTCTTAATTTTCTTATGTTTGTTTTTCTTTATAAATTTCCATAAGTGTTCTACAATATTAGTTTTTTAATCATAAGAAATAGATGCTATTAATATACTAAATATTTGTCACTGGATTATAGGCAGGTTTCTGGTTTTATGGAATCCCAATTTTTTTTATTTATTAAGTTTATAATCTTACTTTTTATAAAAATTGTACTTTTCACATTATATCCTCATCTCAGGCAAAGTGAACACACTTAAAAATCTCCAACATTCTCACCAAAAATGAGCTAGCTACCTTTCCTTTCCTTGACAATGTGAGATCTTTGAGCTGGAAGATCAGTAGAAATAGTTTCAACCCTGATTAGTAAAGGTCTTGCCATTATTTATCAGAACAGGATTTTCCAAGGTGTTATAGCCCCAATTGTTAGAAAGTTCTCATCTAATTGTTTCCAACAAATGGTTTCAATGCTGTCCTCTTGGGCCACATAGAGCATATTTAATCTCCCCTTCACATTTAAACTCTTTAACTGTTTGAAAAGTTTATATTTCCCCTAGGGTGTCTCAAGGCTACATATCTCCAGATTTTTCAACTATTTCTCATAGGTCATGATTTCGAGTCTCCTCAACTCAGGTGCTATCTTTCAGACACCCTCTCTTTTTTCAGAGAATCAGTGAATGAGAAAACCTTATTGATTATCCAAAAAAAGAAGAAAAGCCAATGATAACATTTATTCTCAGACTCAGTACTATTTATTAGAAAAGAGTTGGGTGTGTTTTTTTTATATTGAAAGGTGAATTAAAAAAATAATTTTTAGTTTTTGTGGGTACATAGTAGGTGTATATATTTATGGGATACATGAGATGTTTTGTTACAGGCATACAATGAGTAATAACCACATCATGGAGAATGGGGTATCCATCCTCTCAAGCATTTATCCTTTCTGTTATAAACAATCCAATTATACTCATTTAGTTATTTTAAAATGTATAATTAAGTTATTATTTACTACATAATAGTAAATAATAATACTATAGCACAACCCTGTTGTGCTATCAAATAGTAGGCCTTACTCATTCTGAAAAGTGAATCTCTAAGAACTGTTCTTCCAATACTCAGAAAATTGTAGTTTAGGGATAAACTTTACTAAATTATTTTATTCCTGGAAGCAATATAGATTAGTATTAAAGGGCATGGGCTCTGGAATGAGACTATTTGGATTCAAATCCTTTTCTACTGTTCACTAGCTTTATGACCTTGAGCTGATTCACTGTGCCTGCTTCCTTCTCAATAAACTGAGTAGTGATAACAGTTAACTATCTCATTGAGAATTAAATAGGATAACGTAAGGAAAGCACTTAAGTCACAGTGTCTGACACACAGTAAAGTCTTGATAATCTTAAGTGAAAACATTTATATACATTCTCAAAGTTATTTACATATCTATTTCAAAATAAATCTATTTATGATGACTGTACCTAGATATAGTAGATGATAGCACCTACATCTGCAAGTAAAAGGATAATAGTTACGAACAGTCATTTTTTGCAATATTTCATTTCTGAATCCTAAATGCATGAGTTGATATACAAACTGTACTTTTACTAATTCAAGTCAGTGGATACAGATCTTTACTGTGAAGGACAAAGGGCATGTGACACAATTAGCTAACTTGAATATTCTAGGGGAGAAATGATGAGGGCTTGATTATTGGAGAGAAGGCGGTGGTTTTATAACAACAATGAAAACTACCACTTTACTGAGTGTTTACCCTGTGTCAAGCATTCACTCTAAAAGGAAGAGGAAGGCAGACACTGTGTTAATGCTTTACATGAATTTTTTCATTTAATCCCACAGCCCTACAAAGTAGGTACTGGAAGCATTCTGTAAGAAGGTTAAGTAACTTCTCCAAAGCCAATTTATAAGTGGCAAAGAAGGATTCAAGCCTAGTCCTTGATCACCAAGTTATTGCTGGGTGGAAAAAATCCCCAGACAGTGCTTATGACTGTTTAGATAGGGGGAGCAAAAGAACAGGGAAGAAAAGAGCCAGGCCTGGCGTCTTTATAGAGGACAGAATCAGTAGTGATAAGAAATAGGGATCAAGTCGGGGTGGAAGGTGGAGTCAAAAGAGTAAAGGAATAATTCTTTGGTGTTTGTACTTCTTAAGACGATATCTAAAAGGCTTCTTTTGGGGTTAAAAAAAGACAATATTCATAACATTCTAAGTAAAATAAAATTGGGACATGTAGGTTACTCTAAACCAATTTCTCATTACAAAGAAATTGAATGCTAAAGGTCAGTAACAACCACTTAACAGACTAGATAACATTCTCAATCCTTCCTTTCACTTAATTCTGATTTCTAAGAAAGTTAAATGAAAAACAAAAGATAACAAAAACACATTCCTTTTCCTTTTCTTTTTTTCACCATGGAGATTTTTTATATTTGGTAACTTCAGAAGGTCCACGTTTGTCTCAATTTGATAAAATAAAATTTAGAAGTGGGAAATTAAGCATCATTCCTTAAATTCACTCACCAAAGGAGACCTCTCAGGACTCAGCAGCATGTTTCAGTCATGCCATGTTCACTTTCAGAGGGACTCCAAGGCTGGCTGGCGATACCGCCATGCCAATGCTTTTTCAGATACACACCTGATTAAAGGCTACAGGATCAAAGAGCAAACCACTTATGGCAAAGTGCTGCAGAGCCAAAAGCTCATCTGTGGATGGAATCACTTAAAACTATTTTAAAGGGTCATCAGTAAGAGAGTGCTTATTTTTAGAAATGAGTTTTCTTTTGATACAAAGAAAAATGTTGGCCATTTCCTTTATGTTTATAACAACATTCCAATTTAATCTTCAGTTTAAAAATTCTTTAATTATTGCACAACAGTGCTTTGTTGATTGCACAACACCCACATCTCTGTTTGATAGTAAAATCTAGACTTTTTTACAAGTGTTGGGGGGGTATGTACTCATGAACACCCATTCTTATCCTTATATCATACTATAAGTAGTGATATATTTGAAAACCACGTTTTATCATTTTAATTCTGCTCTCAGGAGAGAGCTATAAACATGAATGATGGGGGAAAAAGTCTGTTATAAAAAAGTTATACTTTTAATCAGTTTATAATTACCCACATCTTTTTCAAGCAACAGCAATAGGGCTAGAAAGAAGCATAGTATTGTGCAGGTTTTATTTTATTTTATTTTATTTTATTTTATTTTATTTTATTTTATTTTGTTTTGTTTTGTTTTGTTTTGTTTTGAGACGGAGTCTCCAGCCCAGGCTGGAGTGCAGTGGCGCGATCTCGGCTCACTGCAAGCTCTGCCTCCCAGGTTCACGCCATTCTCCTGCCTCAGCCTCCCGAGCAGCTGGGACTACAGGCGCCCGCCACCATGCCCGGGCTAATTTTTTTTGTATTTTTAGTAGAGACGGGGTTTCACCGTGTTAGCCAGGATGGTTTCGATCTCCTGACCTCGTGATCCGCCTGCCTCGGCCTCCCAAAGTGTTGTGCAGGTATTATTTGATTGTGTTCCAAAAGTTTATTCTTCTGAATTTCGTATCCTTATTTTCCACCACCAAAAGTCATCAATCAACATGTATACACATAAAGTCTTCAAGCAAAAGTAAGCAATAGGTGATGAAATTTTTCTTAGAGCAATGATTAGTATCTGGTATAGAAAAAGGCCTTACAATCTAAATTTCCCTTGTTGGTTGTCATGAGCATCACTGAAAAATCTGGAAGAACACATGCCAAAACACACAACCGCATGTTTTTTTGTCCAGTCATACATAAGAACCCAGCATAATTATTCTTGAATTAAAATCAAAAGCAAGTTTATAAGAAGAAATCTGTTCTTTTAAATACTGAGATCTCATCTGCTATTCAGCTAATAACAATCATTGTATTTACTTGACTTTTATAAGAAAATTAAAAGTTGAAAGATAAAAATAGTCCTACTAATTTAAATCAGTTATGTAGGACATAAAAACACTGCATACCACTTTTTACCTTTATATGTCTTTGGCATTTCTATTTTGAATGAATAAATATAATCAAAAAAATGGAAAGTTTTAATGTAACTTTAAAATTTTGTTTTATAAAATTTAAGAGTGAACATTTAACAACAAGCAAACAAACAAACAAAAAACAAAAGGAGTTTGTTCACTCCTAGAAGACAGAACCAAAAAAACATTGGGTAAATTTTAAAAAAACAACACACACATTAGTTTTGCTTCTCTACAATTTAGTCTAATTATAGTAGAATATAAGTTTCAAACACACAAAACCTCGAGTCTCCTGGTGTATCTTGTGTTACCATCTCTTGTTCCATGGCATTCCTATGTTGGAGCAGAGTGTTCTTAGGATAATTTAGCTGAAAAAAAAAAAAAAAAAAAAAAGACTACAGTTCTTCCTTGTCTATTCAACTGTCCAGAGATCCCAAAGAGAGTTATTTTACTTTTTTTCCTCAGATACTGTAAAAGGGAAAAAAAAGTTTATAACTTAAGAAAAATAAACTTTGATGAATGATATCTAAACTTTCACATTGTTTTCTGATAACAGAATGCAGTGTCTTAGAATTAATTTTGTTAGTATAGGACTATGCTTTTTTTTTCCACTTTATTGTCAATTATTCTTCTCAGAGTTGTTTAAGTCACTAATGGTCAGATAAAAATGGTTATTGCCAAATAACCAACCAGGTAAACTTCAAGACTAATACCTTATTTACATTACAAGGTTGTTCTCAAACTCACTTAAAATCATATAAATGATCATAGATGGATGTTATCTAAAAGTGAAAATATAAAGAAAATAAAAAGGATTATTGATTGTTAGAGAAATCTGAGTCCTACAAATCCTCAAAGAACTAGGCACAAATCCCAGGGCAAGGGAGCTAGACAACTAAGAACATTTCTCTAGTTATGTCCTCTATTAAAACAGGAGGCATACTGGTTTTGTAGACCTCTTGATGATTTCTGAATCAATGAGATCATCCTCATTCCAACCACTATTTTCTAGGACTGGTTACACTAACTTGCCACCAAAAATTTAATTTTTTTAGATAAAAATGATAACAAAAGTTTCAATATTCAAGTTGGTCACAGCTTCTTAAGTTTTGTTCCTATCATATAGCATATACTCTGACAGCAGCACATGTGGTATAAAGGTTTTGACCTTTGAATACACAAAGATAAAACTTCTGATCTGCCATTAAGGGCTTCATGCTTTATGCTTTGTTTTGTTTGAAAAAGTTGTGATGATTTTAAGCTAATCTATCTGCACTCATTTCAGGTCTCCCTCACATCCAATGGCATGCACTTGGGAAACAGCTGGCAAAGGTTCAAGTGCAAATCTGTGGTTAGGAGCAGAGAAACACTAACTGGCTTATGCAGAGATGGACCCACAGCTCTGGCCTTGTTAGCGAAATGAACAAAGACACAGCTACCCATGTGCTTCCTTCCCGTGCAGACCATTTGTCTCTAAAATGAAATGAAAAGCTGCATACTCCCTCAGCAGAGGAAAGCAGAGGGAATCAATCATGTTCTTTCTGCCAGACTGCAGCTGTGATACTTTCCAAACATCACCTGTCTACCTGCATGCATGAATGGACAGTGAACAAGTAGGTATCTACCAAGTATCTATTATTATCCCTTCTGTTTGGAGAGTTACAGTGCCTAAGGAGCAATGTAGAGGCAAGATAAAAAATGTTGACAAATAAATGCAATCCAATAGTATTTTATTCTCCTAGGAGAGCTGCCAGATTTCAAATTCTGATTAAATAATACTGTCTTTCTGTGATCCAATTATTTTTTTTCCATATCATTTTGCATATAAGCCATGCCTCTGGTCCTCAAACAGCTGCCTTCTAGCATCAATCAATTTGGAATCTTAGAGGTATACCTTTAAGCAATTAGACTTACATATACATACACACATAAGTATATTTAGTTTATTTACCTGGAATTGTGCCTACATTTCCAAGCTGTTTCCCAGTTCAAAATGTCAAATTCAAACAACATTCTCCTCACCCCTCAATGGTCTTTACGACAATTAAAAACAAAATGAATCAATCTGGCATTGTTCTCCCAATCTCATCAGACTAAATGGAAGTCAGCACAAGAGTCATGGTTTTAGAACCAAAATAGGAGATGCCTTAGATTAATGTTATTTCTTGCAGATTCTAACAGTCAAACTGTTTATTAAATACATGAGATGAAAAATTATCAAAACATAACAGTGTTTGTGTTACCTCTCCAGGAAGTTAGCGCTTTTCCAGAGGACGTTTGATCACTGAGAATTAAAATGCATGGGAGTAAATTATGCATGGGAAACACAAAACAGTTTAACAGCGGGATGTTTTTTGAATCTAATTAAAGCCTCATTGGAAGCTTTAAACATTTCACTCCAGCAGATAGTTTGCCCCTGACCTTGACTACTTTTCTTACTGCTGGTCTTTACGGCTGAATTTTTACTACTGGCCTCTATTGCTGAGGCAAACCCAGTTTAGGCTCTCAATTGCTCCTGTGTTAGTGGCACGGGAACCAAAAGGGTTTACTACCCAAGTGACCTCTTCAAGGTACATGAGGGTATTTGAGGATATCTGTACCGCTATGCTTTGTTCACAAAGCCACCAGCTAGAAAGCAAAACAGTGGTCATATGCGGTGATCAATCATAGGCTGGCAAACAACACGAGGTCAGTATTGTATTGTGAGTTTATAAGTCCAATAGTTTTGTATGCTGTCCAGCTTTTTGTTTGACAACTGGGAAGTTGAGAGGAAGAAAAACATCTGAGACAGTGTATCTGCCTCTCTCCATTTTTACTTCCACTATTACCAAGACGGGGTCAAGACCAAGAAAAAGATAACTTTTATAAAACTTTTCATACACTGCAATATCCTGATGATTTTTAACAGGTCTTCAACTGACTTTAACCATTTTAAGAAATGTATCTTACAGAAGCACTTCATAAGTCTAAGTGTTTTCACATACAGTAGTACTTATCATTTTATCTTATGTTCATGTGTCTGTCCCAGACGTAAACTGTGAACTCATGTAGAGAAGGGCTATGATGTTTCTGGGTTTTGTGGTTTTTAAAATTTATTTATTGGTACTTAATCCCAAATAGCCAGGCACACAAAGCAGTCAATACTGCCATTTGACGCATTAGGAAATTGGAGAATAAGAAATACATGATTTTGGTCATGATCACCTGATAATAAAAGAAAACTAAAGTTTTCCAAAAGATACATTTTTTAACCTTTTACCTTCAAGTCCAATTTTTTCCATTATGCCATTCTGAACATTCATTGATTCATTCATTCAATAATTTATTGAGGGCCTAATAAGAGCCAGACATTAGGGATTCAGTAGTGAACCAGATAGATATCATACATAAATAAATGAAAATGACAGTCTAGGACAGGCATTGACCAACTACAATTGACCCTTGAACACATCACAGTTTGAAAAAACTCACAGACAACAATGTAGCTGAGAAATATTGACGAAATTAAAATAAAGTTGTCATGAATGTATAAAAATATGTAGCTACCCATCTATTTTATCATTTACTACCATAAAATACACACAAATCTATTATAAAAAGTTAAAAATTTTCAAAACTTACACAAACACTTACAGACATGGTCCCATTCCCAGTCGAGAGAAATGTAAACAAATGTAAAGATGCAGTATTAAACCACTCATGCATAAAATTAACTGTAGTTCATACTGTATCACTGTAATACTTTCATAGCCACCTCTTGTTGCTATTGCAGTGAGTTCTGGTGAATAACCACTTCAAATGCCATGTGATGCTACCATCTCTGTGTGAGCAGTTCATCTCTCCAATAAATTGCATATTGCAGTAAAAAGTGATCTTTCATGGTTCTCATGTATTTTTCGTTTAGTGCCATACCATAACACCATGGAGCCCATAAAAAATGCCACTAGTGGTCCTGGAAGTGGTCCCAAGAAGCAGAGAGAAGTCATGACGTTACAAGAAAAAGCTGAATTGCTTGATATGTGCTGTAAATTGAGGTGTGCATCTGGATTGCCTGCCATTTCAAGATAAATGAATCTAGCGTAGGAACTATTGTAAAAAAAAAAAAAAAAGGAAATGTATAAAGCTATTGCTGCAGCTATGCCAGCAGGTACAGAAATCTTGTACTTTTTGTGAAATACATTTTTATCTCATATTGAAAATGCACTTTTTATGTGAGTGCAGGATTGTTATAAGAAAGGCATAGCTATAGACTCTAATATGGTTCAAGACATAGTGGTCATTATATGACAACTAAAAGCCAAAGGAAGGTGAAGGTCTAAAGCTGGAGAATTTAGTGCCAGCAAAGGATGGCTTGATAATTTTAAAGAGGATGGGCTTAAAAAGTGTCAAGATAGGAGAAGCAGCTTCTGCTGTAAGAGGTAGCAGATGAGTTCCCAGACATTAAGAAAATCACTGAAGAGAACGGATGTCTGCATGAACAAGTTTTTAATTGCAGACAAAACTGCCCTATTCTGGGAAAAAGTACACTTATTTGTAAGAAAGAGAAGAGAGCACCAGGATTTAAGGCAGTAAGAAATAGGCTAACTCTACTGCCTTATGCACAAGAAGTCATGATCAGGACTGCCCTTATCAATAAACCTGCTAACCCCCGAGCTTGAAGGGAAAGGATAAACACCAGTTGCCAGTCTTTTGGTTGTACAAAAAAGACTGGACAACTTTAACCCTTTTTCTGGATTGGTTCCATCAGTGCTTTTTTCCTGAATTCAGCAAGTACCTGGCCAGTAAGAGACTGCCTTTTAGGTTTTTCTGATACTGGACAATCCCCTGGCCAACCAGAAGTCTGTAAGTTCAACACTAAAGGTGTTCAAGTGGTCTACTTGCCCGCAAACACATTACATTTAATTGAGCCTCTCAATTAGGAGTTAATAAGGACCTTTAAGCCTCAATGCCCATGGTACTCTATGGAAAGAATTGTCAATGCTGTGGAAGACAACCCAGATGGAGAGAACATCATGAAAGTCTGGAAGAATTACACCACTTAAAGATACATTGTTGTTACAAAAAAAAAAAAAAAAAAAAAAAGCCGTGAAAGCCCTCATGCCCAAAACAATAAATTCCTGCTGCAGAAAACTGTGTCCAGATGTTGTGCAAAACTTCACAGGATTTACAACAGAACCAATCAAGGAAATCATGAAAGAGGTTATGGACATGGCAAAAAAGGTGGGGGGTGCAGGGTTTCAAGATACAGATCTTGGAGAAATTCAAGAGCTAACAGACACCATACCACAGGAATTAACAAAACACGACTTGATGGAGATGTTTCTGAACCAGTGCCAGATGATAAGACAATGCAGAAGCAACAGTGCCAGAACACAAATTGATGTTAGACATCCGACAGAAGGGTTCCGATTATTCAAGATTGCTTTTGACTTCCTTCATGGCACAGACCCTTCTGATACAGGCACTGAAAACTACACAAATGGAGAAAAAAGGATGAGTATCATATACAAATATTTTTTAAAAAATGAAAAAGCAAAAAAGTTGAATTACAGTGTTTCTTTAAAGTTGCAGGTGTGCCTGCTTCATGCCTCCCCTTCCACCTCCTCCACTTCCTCCTCTGCTACCCATGAGACTGCAAGACCAACCCCCTCCTCAGCCTACTCAATGTGAAGAGAAGGATGAAGACCTTTATAATATGACCCATTTCTACCTAATAAATGTTAAGTATATTTTCTCTTATTTCCTCATAACATTTTCTATAGCTTAATTATAAAAATACAGTATATAACATACTAAATATTTATTAATCAATCATTTATCAGTAAGCTATTAGTAGTTTTGGGGGAGTTGTAAGTTATACATGGACTTTTGACTCTATGTGTCTCCATGTAATGATTTTTTACTTTCGGGTTACTGGTGAATAGGTGTCCCTAACCCATGTTGTTCAAGGGTCAACTGTGGGTATATATGGTATATATGTGTGTATGTGTGTGTGTGATAAAACAATAAAAACAAAGAAATTAACACAAAAGTTATGGTAGTGTTTACTTTTTAGGGGCAAAGAAGAAAATACAATTACTGAGGGGCCAATTACTAGGACCATTCTATTTCTTCAGCTCAGTAGCATGTAGGAAGTATTGGTATTGGGTAAATGCATTTTTTTTCTTCTGTAAACTGGACGTTTACGTATACTTTTGTATAGTTCATATTAAAAAGGCATAAACACATATGCTTATGAGTGCACAGAAAAAATTTTAAAGGACTCAAAGCAACTTTTTTTTAACATAAGTTTCATGAATGCTCTTCTTCGATGTGTTTATAAAAGCTGCTAACACATAGGAGGATGTACTATCTACTGAATGGGAAAAAAAGAAAAAAAAAAGAGCACAAGAAAATTAGTAACTACTTATTTGGTGCTCAATACTTTACTGGAACAGCCTACCTGTTATCAAAACTTAAGGTTAAGCCCCAAATCAAGTAACTTTTATTATGCAAACTTCAAAAATGGGTTTTAATGACAAACAAGTATTGGTAATGTGCAAAAATGGCCATTAGTTGTATATAGTTTTTTTCTTTCTAATTGATACTAGTAATCCATAGTGGCATCATCTTTCAAGTTCAAAAGATGACAATATGTGAAAAGAAAAAAAGTGGTAGAAGTGAGCATTAATTATTCATATAGCAGATAGTCTTGAAGGAGCAGAGCATAAATAGAAAAAAGAAAAATCAAAGAGATGTTCTTCAGAGTTTTCTATGTTCCAACAGGTTTTGTGTGTAAGGGGCCACTTGTATCCAATGATTATACCCGTAGAAAAATAGAGTACCCTTTGCTCTTATTGGAAGATAATGGTGCTGAGAAACCTAGTTTGGTGATCAAGACCTGTTCGCACAACCTACTAAATATGTATCCCTTAACTCTTTGCAATTTCTAATTATAAGGCAACAATGAATGATGTAAGGAAGGTTAGTGTGACATAACTTAAGAGTCTTTTCCTTACTTTAACTTGTATTAGGTATTACCTTAAGCCAGCAGTCCCCAATCGTTTTGGCACCAGGCACCGGTTTCGTGGAAGACAAGTTTTCCACGGATGGGGGGTAGGCCACATTAGATTCTCTTAAGGAGTGCGCAACCTAGATCCCTCTCATGCTTAGTTCACACTAGGGTTCACAGTCCTATAAGAATCGAATGCTGCCACAGACTGGTACCAGTCCACAGCCCAGGGGCTGCGGACTCCTGCCTTAGGCAACCATGTGAGTATGCTTCCTCATCAATAACATATAAATAATACCACCTAAATTTTAGTATTTCCAGGCTTAAGCAAGGCATTCAAATGTTAAGATTCCCTTCTTTCTCCTTAGGTTAGTTTATTTAGAGAAACAGAGGACATAAAAATGCCTGACACATGGTAAATACTTACTACTGGCTTCCTATGACACATGGTAAATACTTATTATTGGCTTCCTATTTTTCCTATCTGGGGCTTTTACTAGTCCACTAGGGCATATTTAATAATTGTTTTTAGCTGCTGAGCTATGTAATCATCCAGAAATCTTCGTTAGCTATTAATGTGGCTTGGTTGAGCTACAGTCTTAAACGGTGATTAATGATGTCTCCATGTAGGAACTTTTGGCCCTTTGGTTACTGGTGAAGGAAACATGAAGTCTTGTTTCCTTCCTTCTCAGCCGAGAACATCTTTCTCAATTCTACATAGCCTGAGTAATATATGCCATTTTATATGGTTCTATATAACTATGGCTCTATTTGATAAAGATAAGAACTTTTAATTCATGGAATTAGCTGCTACATATATAAAGAGTCTGTCTTGTTACTGTCCTACCTTGTTACTGTTTCAACACTTTGGTACTTTCTCCATGACCCTTGACCATTTTGTACTACCAAGAATCCTCTTTTATTTCTTTATGTATTTTTTCCTGCCCTATACCTGGCATTTTCACAATACTGGTTACAGATAAATAAAAAAATAGTACTTGGCTTATCCTAACCAATAATCTTCCTAGTTTCAGCACCCTTAGACTAAAGCTTAGAAGTACCAATACCCCAAGCCAAGGGTTGGAAACCACAGCAGGTGAAACAAATCTGGCCTTGGCCTGTTTTTGTAAATAGTTTTACTGGAACACAGCCATAAGCATCCATTTACATACAAAGGCTGCTTTTGTGCTACATGACAGAGTTGAATACCTAAAACAGAGAACATACTGCCTGCAAAGCCTAAGATTTAATATCTGACCTTTTACAAAAAAAAGTTTGTAGACCCCCATGCTGTTTAGTATTGGGAGGTCTCCATGCTCTTTGAATGGCAGATGCAACCTAACTACCGTAGTCTCTAAACTGAGTATGGAAGGTGGCCTGATCAGATGTCAAATAAAAGAACAGTATGTACCTTTTTATCTTTGAACCTCCTCCTTGAGAGCAGCAACAAGTTTCTGTTATCTGACTGGCTGTCAGTTCAACCAAAGTGAAAAATCAAGCCACTTCTATGTAAAAAAGGGACCCAGTGAGGGCTCTGTAGCTCTTAAATACCTCCAGTATCCAGTAAACAGTATGTCTGTATTTAACATTTGACACTTATAAAATTCAACTTATATGCCTAGTCTCCGTAACTATACAGTGAGTGACTGAGGAGCCACTTTTAAGAAATTAAGGAACAACAGTTTTATTTGTAATAGTACCAAACTGGAAACAACTAAAATATCCTTCAATAGGTACATGGTTAAACCACATGGCACATCAATACCAGTTAAACCACGTGGCACATCAATACCATGGAATACTATTTGGCAATAAAAAAGGAATTAACTACTGATCATATATATATATATATCTATCTCTCAACTTGGATGGCTCTCAAGAGCATTGTGATGAATGAAAAAAGCTAATCTCAAAGGTTGTGTATTATGTAATTCCATTTATATAACATTCTCATAATGACAAAATATAGCGATGAGGAACAGATTAGTGGTTCCTAGGGTTAGAGTTGGTTGGGAGTAGGTATGGCTACAAAAAGGTAGCATGAGGGAGATCATGATGATAGTTCTCTATCTTGGCTGCAGTGATGGTTACACAAATCTACACGTGATAAAATGGTAGGGAGCTATTTGTACACACATTGTACCAATGTCAACATCCTGGTTTTGATACTGTACCATAGTAAGACAAAGTGAAAAAATTGAGGGAAACAGGGTTCAGCCTACAGGGACTTCTCTGTACTATTTTTGCAAATTCCTCTGAATATAATTATTCCAAAAAAGAAAGTTAAAAAAACACAAACTTGCACATGCAAGAAAACTGACAGCAAGATAAAATGAATCAATTTTATTCCAATTCTTCAAAATTTATACGTAATATGTTGTTTCCAAAATGTAAGTCACCCTTTATATAATAGTTTTATTATTTCATCTTTCTTTGATAGTTTTTTTTTTCATCTTTTCTTTATGGTTCTTCAGTAGAAGCCAGAATCTTGAGTTGCCCAGTTAGGAGCCTAAAATATGCAAAAAGAAATCAACACCGTGAAAAGAAAATACTTTCGGAAAAAAACTAACATAGAAGAAAGTAACACAGCATTTACTTCAGCACTATAGTCTCTTGCCAAACCATTCTAAGATCTTAACTCCTGCAATTACTAGATGTCAGATGTCCCACTCAGGACAAAACAAACACCAAAATTATTATCTGGTATAGCTTTTGGCCAATTAAAATATATAGCAATAACAGTATCATTAATACTGGAACAATAAATGATACAAATTAATCCTAAAGCATACAGAAAAAAACATCATATGAAAGTTACTTTCTAGGCTCAGTTATTCTAAACTTGGCTAAAATATGCAACTTGAATTCTAATGCATCCTTCTCATTTGAACTAAAGGATTATTCTGCGGACACAAATTTGTTCCTAAAATTTCAATCAAATGGGGTCTCTGCATATCCCACAACTGCTTCCTAATGACTTCCTACCCTCCAGTTACACATAATCATAATGTCTAAACAACACAGTTTAGGATTCCAAAATTATAAGGCCATTCAAGTTTCTTCAATCTCTAACATGCAGGATCTCTATCAAAATGGGAGATTAATTTTTGATATGAATATCAGATGAAAGATAATGAAATTTGTATAAGATCAGCACTAATACATATAATAAGATCAACATTTTTACAGAATTATTTCTTTAGATTTAGAAAGAATACACATTTCGAACACTTGAAAGAGGGCTACACATGTAAGTTATCATCTGCCAGTATCAAAATGATGTGTTGAAAACCCTGAGGAAATGAGTTAATGAAGTCACACAGGAAGAGTCAAAGCAAAAGAAAAATAGTTATAATAAACTAGGAACACAATTTCTTTTTCAGTTTCTATGTTTAATGCATATAATACATCTAAGAAAAAATTTTCTGTTTAGTAATTTCTTAAAAATGTTCATATCTTTAAAGAGAAAAACAAAATCAGCTACAACTCATCAATACACTTTGAAACTTCATGTAACAATTACATGGTTGCTAAACCCCAGACAGAATAGAAGATGTGTGGTTCTTACCTCTGACCTGCTATTCTGATTAAGTTTCTTCTCAATATTCATGGCCAACATCTGGCTTCTAAAGGAAAGGCTTTTGGTCTTTTCAATCACTTGCTGATAGGGTGAGACTGCATTGTTACCCATAACCACATGACCCTAAAAGGAAACACAGGGAAATTGATCCTATAATGTTAATGACTGAGTTTCTCAGGTAAGTAAAAAGCATGACATACCTTTGCGCATATTTTAATGCACTGTATAGAGATGACAATATTTACCAAGGAAGAAAAAAAATAGGAGGCTTCTGTTGCCTTCAAAGAACTGTTTTACATTAAAACAAAATAAATTATTAAAGGAGGTAATAAAATGTCCTAGTTAAGAATTCCCAAAAGTATAATCAGGAACTGATAGTATGTAGCATAGCTAACATAATACTCACTAATTTAGAATCAATCTTGGCATCCAGTCTTGCATTTCTAATCAAATTTACAATCCACCTTTCAGCTTCTTCTGGAGTCATGTTCAATTTATCTGCCAACATGCTAATGAAAAAGTAAAAACAGCAATGTTAATTAACTGGGCCTAAAAACTTAGTTTTATGTACACAGTGTTGACTCACACTCTGCATAGATACTTTTTGGTATTTCTGGATCACCCTTCTCTTATATACCATGACCCCTACTGTCTGATTTGTTCATGTGCTTGTGCCTATTGACTTGTACTATGCACGACCTATTCCATTCACCAACTGGACTGTAAAATCCTTGAGGGTAGGGTAACATATTCTGCATTTACGGAAATCCTTCAGCTTCTAGAACAGTACTTTACATTTGCCAGGTGCTCAAGAAGTAATGATCTAAGGGAGAAAAAGGTTTTATGATGTTCCCTCTATATAAGTCAGCCCTCCATATCCACAGGTTCCACATCCTCAGATTCAACAAACCATAGATAGAAAATATTTGGGAAAAAGCAAACAAACAATAAAAAAGAATACAAAAATAATACAAATGAAAAACCAATACAGTATAACACCTATTTACATAGCATTTACATTTTTAAAAGTAACCCAGAGATGATTAAAAGTATATGAGATAACATGCATAGGTTATATGAAAATATCACCCCATTTTATTTAAGACACTTGGGAATCTATGAATTTTGGCATCCAGGAGGGTCCTAGAACCAGTCCCCCAAGGATATCAAGGGACAACTATATAATGGTTATACAAAGTAAACCTTTGTATAAAGGTTTCTTTGGATAAAGAAGACATATGAAAAAGACACTTGTACAGATATATTTACAGCAGCACAATTCACAATTCACTTAGGAACCAACCTACGTGCCCATCAACTAATGAGTGGATAAAGTAAATCTGGTATATATAAACCATGGAATACTACTCAGCCATGAAAAGGAAGAAAATAATGTCTTCTGCAGCAATTTGGATGAAACTGGAGGCCATTATTCTAGGTGAAGTAATGCAGGAGTGGAAAACCAAAAACCTTATGTTCTCCTTTATAAGTGGGAGCTAAGCTATGAGCTAAAATCCCAGAATTCACCACTATATTATTCATCCATGTAACGAAACACCACGTGTACTCCAAAAGCTACTGAAATAAAATTTTTAAAAAAGTAAGCCTACTATAAAGAGCATCAGTAATAAGTATAATCTCAGGAAAACATAAATAAAACTGACGGGCATTGTGTATATTTGTGCTATAAACTGTGGGGGCACTCCCTGGAGCTATATACTATATATAGTATGTATGTATATATATATATATAGAGAGAGAGAGAGAGAGAGAGAGAGAGAGAGAGACAGAGAGAGAGAGAGAGAGAGACTGAATTTCAGATAAAAGAGACAGAGGGAGCAGACCAGACCATGAAGATCTTGATCTAAAATACTCTTTGATATCAACCAATCTGCATTTTGTATTTTTCCAATTTTATGATCAGGTTGAAGAGGGCCATTGCAGAGCTTAATTTATCAGAATTAAAAACACACCAGTCTTAGTAAATAGGTTAAGTCAGTTCCGCTGATGGAAGAGTACCTACATATGCATGTAAAATATTTAAGAGTATGTAGTATACATGCATGTATGTATGTGTGTTTATATACTGTCTTTTATCTTCATGGAAGCTATCAGGTCTCAGCTAAAATAAGACCCTCATAAGCCTTCTAAGACACCTCTCCCATCTGTGATACATCAGTTAGGTGCTTTCATAGCACCTATTTTTGCTATAGTTGTTTTACTGAATATCTGCTTCCAAGGTAGACCGTATACATGTAACCAAAGTGCACGCACCGTATCTTCCTCATTCACTGCCGTTATGTCCAGCAATTAGCAGCATGACTCCTCATACACAGGAGACGATAAATATTTACTGTCTGATTGATTCTTATTCTAGTCACTACCCTAGTCCAGGCTCCATTACTATTTCTTAGTTTTCTAACTACTTTACCTCTTGAGTCTCTACAATCTATCTTACACATCTGCCAGGTTAGTTCTACAACCCAACTACAGTAGTTCCCACTTATCCGTAGTTCCACTTTCTGTGGTTTCTGTTATCAGCAGTCAATCCCAGTCTGAAAATATTAAATAGAAAACTCCAGAAATAAACAATTGATAAGCTTTAAATTGTAAACTGTTCTGGCTAGCATGATGACATCTTGTATTGTCCTACTGTCTCACCTAGGACTTGAATCATCCCTTTGTCCAGCATATCGACACTGTATACGCTACCCGCCCATCAGTTACATAGTAGCTATTCCAGCTATCAAGTGTCTTGATATCACAGAGCTTATGTTCAAGGAACCATTTTTTACTTAGTAATGGCCCCAAAGTACAAGAGTAGTGATGCTGGCATATTGTTATAATTGTTCTATTTATTATTGTTGTTGTTAATCTTCTACTGTGCTCAACTTATAAATTAAACTTTATCATAGTTATGTGTGCACAGGGAAAAACCTAGTCTGTATTGGGTTTGGTACTACCTGCAGTTTCAAGCATCCTCTGGGGGTTTTGGAACATATCCCCTTGGGTAAGGGGAGACTACTATACCCAGTTTATTTCCAAATTCCTTTCAACACTTTTAACTTTCCAAGTTCCCATCATTCTCCTTCATAAATATAACATGCCAGCCAAACCAAACCAATCCTTTTACTTTGTTGACATTTACTCAACAAAATACCAACCGTGTTAGATGCTACTGGCAAAACATCCTCTGTTGCCAGCCTTTACAGAGTTTAAGTCAAGGGGGTCTTGACTTAAACATCGCTTGATCTTGGGAGGCAGAGGTTACAGTGAGCTGAGATGGCATCACTGCATTCCAGCATGGGCAACAAAGTGAGACCCCCATGTCAAAAAAAAAGAAAAAGAAAGAAAAAAGAAAAAGTGGAAGGACCTATGTATGTGAAATGCAAAAAGGTCTACCAGTTCTAATCTGGAGATTTGGGAACAGCTTACCTAAGGAAATGATATTTAATCTTAGATTTTTAAGACCATAGAGTGAAAATTCCATTCTAGGCTGGATGTGGTGGCTCATACCTATAATTCCAACACTTTGGGAGGCTGAGGCCAGAAGTCTGAGACCAGTCTGAGCAACACAGCAAGATTCTGTGCACATGTGCACACACACACACACACACACACACTGGCATGGTCGCACAGACACACACACACATACACACGCACGCACGTACAGTGGCCTGCACCTATAGTCCCAGATACTCGAGAGGCTAAGGTGTGAGTATCATTTGAGCCCAGCAGTTTCAGACTGCAGTAAGCTATGATTGCGCCACTGTACTCCAGCTTGGGTGACAGAACAAGATCCTGTGTCTTTATAAAAAAAAATTCCATCTTATGTAATAACTCTAACTAGAATTCTCTATCCCTCTCTCTTTCTTTACATCCATATTCTAAGACTCATTCCAACATAGCTGGTGTAATTTTGCAACAAGCATCAAGATCCATAAATGCCTGCACGCTCTGAGCCATATCTTACTTTGTGGATCTTTGTTTGCACTGTGCTTGTTGATCTTTTATTTGTTGATCTTTACTTTTCGAAGTGAATCAGGTCAAAGAAAAACCTGAAATAAGGCCCAAGGAATACTAGTAAATAATTGATGGCATCTCAGTTTATCTAAGCTGCTGATTATCACTCTGACTGAATTAAAGAATGTAGAAATAATCTGGTTTCAGTAACATGAAAATACACTCAGTAAAAGAAACCAAATGATTAATAGGCCTGTAATCTCAGCACTTTGGGAGGCCGAGGCAGGAGGACTGCTTGAGCCCAGGAATTTCAGACCAGCCTGGGCAACACAGCAAGACCCTGTCTCTACAAAACGCAAAGGAAAAAAAAGGACTAATAGAAATCATCAAAGTCTACAGATATTAAAATAAAAGTGTAATATCCTATCAAAGCTTAAAAGGCTGTCCCTGGTGGTCTAGTGGCTAGGGAGAAATAAAACCAATTTTAAAAAGACAAAAAGTTGGCGTAACCTATCCCAGAACATGCTTGCCTCATGTTACTGAAAATAATTCAATTTATTAATAAACTAAAAGACAAAATCCATCAAAATGCAGAATTTCTGAGAAAAATATCTAGTCCAATCCAGATTTTAAACACCCAAATTTCTAGATTATTTAGATTACACTAAAAATCTCAACCTTGTCTGTAGGCAGCTTAAGGTAGATACTTAAATATGTTCTGTAAATCCTTTATAAATATCTTTAACCTAACTAGCTCTGCTGCTCAACTGACACACACACAAAACACAACATCGAATATGTTAAATAAGATATGCACAGAATTCTTAAGTGCTATTTCAAAAGACAAAGCAAAAACAAATCTTTCATCCTCAGTTCAATTTAATTAAACATGTTCATGCTTCTAGCACAAAATGAAATACTTTGTTTCCAGGAAGTAAAAAATAACAGAGATCCCACTTAAGGACACAAGATAAATTTAAGTCTTGATTTAGGGAAATATTTTTTTGTTTCCAGGAAGTAAAAAATACCAGAGATCCCACTTAAGGACAGAAGATATATAAGTCTTAATTTAGGGAACTGATAAGGGTTGTATCAACTCTAGATTTTCTATCAGGTTTTGAGTGCCTAATCTTTCAAATGGTCTTACTTTTCTAAACCCTCCCATAGCCACCATCTTCCCCCAACCTCTCATCTTAACAAACACTTGGAAAAATAAGGCCTGGGGATCTGATATTTCACCTGTCTTATTAATTACCTCTTTGAATAACCTGGCTTTCCAAATTTTATCTGATAGGCACAATTTATTTCAAAATACTGCTGATTTAACCATTTGGATATAGAAACCTCTGGTCTAGTTTTCACTGAAGACTACTGGCCAACTATTCAGCATATCCAAAGAAAAGTACTCCAAGTCTTTTCTAATTAGTTTAAGACAACTAATTAAAGAATCAGTGTTAAGTGTAAACTATGTTTAACTGTATGATTGGGAGGAAACAGGACAAAGAAAAGAGGAGAAAATTGAGAAATGCTAAATCCTTATGTGAAAACTGAAAATTATCTCTTTATAATCTTATAAATAACTGAACCTTATTGATAATGCAGAAATGCAATGATAATGGCCTTTGAAACTGTTTGTCTCCATACATTTACATTCTAAATGTAAATTGTTATGTGGTAATAAGAACTTTAAGAAAAATATTAAGAACTAAAATATAACTTAATAAAATAAGCAAAGTAGAATAACTTCAAAACTTAAGTAACCCCCATTGGGAAATTATACTAATGTATGCTCCAACATGTTTATCATACACATCCAAAATATTACTTCCATAATTTGTTTTCATCTACAATTGAAAACTCGTCCAAGAATTATTTTAGAACAGCTTTTAAATTTCAGACACATACCATAGCTGATAAAATGATTCAGCTATACTAAATTAAACCCCAACACAGTAATCTTTTTTGACAGATGTTGCAAACTTTATGGTAAACAGATTTGTAACTTATCCTACATATCAATAAGGTTGTATAAAAACATATAAAACATTCTTAATATGCATTTTTATAAAGCTGACTATCACATGTGCTTACAGGCATTTAGTCAGGAAATCTATTAACAGAGAATGTTCCAAATTACAAATAGAGTTATTTAATAAACAATTATGGGTTTTATAATACTATTTTCAGCATTTGAAATGTGTCCTTTGGTGGGAGAAAAAGAAGCTGAGATATATCCTTTCCCTTCCCCCTCAAAAGACAGAACATCAGATAGCTTTAAACTAATTAAAGGCAAAAATAAGCCAGCATAAACTAGTGAATGGAATAATATGCCATAGTTAGTATTCAGTGGAAAAAAGTCTATTTTGGGGCTTAAAGATATTTCATTTGGAGAGTTATCAGGATTCACTGACCCTACCTAATTTTCTTCTCATTGTTCCCCAATGCAGAGTGACTAGAGAGAATGATATGGACCTATTTTTAATAATGTGTAACTTCAAATATGAAATTTTGAAATTTCCCAAAATTACAAATATTTTCAATAATTTGTAACTTTATATTTATTTGTCCACTTATTTAATATCCGCTTCTTCCTCTGGATTTTAAGTTCTTTGAAAGTGTACTCACTACTTTCTACCCCGTGTTTGGCCAAAAGAGGCACTCATTAACATCTGTAATGTTTTCTTTGGAGAGCTGTACTACTAGTTAGGTTGCTAGTAATTAATTATACCATAATCATGATACATAGCATATTTGCCGTTTAGGAAGCTGAACACTAACTTTTAGAAAATGTTTTGCATATTCTCAAAGTAATAAAAATATAGGAATGGAGAACAAATGAGTAGTTGCCAGAAATTAAGGACAGGGTGGCAGGGAAGAGGGTACCACTATAAAAGAGCAGCTTGAAGGATCCTTGTGATAGAAATGTTCTGTATCTTGAATGTATCAACATCAACATCCTGGCTGCTATATTTTACTGTGGTTTTGCAAGATGTTACTAATGGGAGAAACTGAGTAAAGGACATAGGGGGTCTTTTTATCATTTCTTACAACTGATACATAATCATCTCAAAATAAACAGTTTAACTTTTTTTTTTTTTTTAAGCCAGATCTTGCATCAAAATCACTTAGAGGACCTTTTTTTAAAACACAGTCTATGGGGTCTCCCTCCAGAGAATGTTTTTGTTTTTTAAAGGTTAGGCTCAGTCATATAGTATTTCTGTTTATTACTTTTTAGAGTTTCCCATTTGATTCTAATGTGTTGTCAGTACTATAAAGTCACTAATTTACAGCAATGATTCCCCAAGGCTGACTGCAAAAGAATCACCTGAGAAGCTTTAATCCCAGATTCTCAAGCCTGCATCACAGAGATTTTGATTCAGAAGGCCTGGGATAAAACCAGGAAATCTATTATTTTTAAGCTAAATTCTTGTTATTTTACTTCTCCAGATGATTTCAATGTACAACTAGGTTTAAAACCTCTGGCTTAAAGAACAAGTACTTTTTTTCCCGTGTAATGTTTAAAGGTAATTTTTAGCTCTGTTGGTCATTATCACGGATTACAAATTCTTGGAGTCCAAATTAAAATGTTAGCTGTATTTATAAAATCCCAACATAAATACGTATTATTTCCAGCCACTGTCTTTTTTCTATTATTATAGTTTAAGTTCTAGGGTACATTTGTACAACGTGCAGGTTTGTTACATATGCACACATGTGCCATGTTGGTGTGCTGCACCCATTAACTCGTCATTTACATTAGGTATATCTCCTAATGCTATCCCTCCCCACTCCCCCCACCCCACGACAGGCCCCGGTGTGTGATGTTCCCCACCCTGTGTCCAAGTGTTCTCATTGTTCAATTCCCACCTATGAGTGAGAACATGCGGTGTTTGGTTTTCTGTCCTTGTGATAGTTTGCTCAGAATGATGGTTTCTAGCTTCATCCATGTCCCTACAAAGGACATGAACTCATCATTTTTTATGGCTGCATAGTATTCCATGGTGTATATGTGTCACATTTTCTTAATCCAGTCTATCATTGATGAACATTTGGGTCGGTTCCAAGTCTTTGCTATTGTGAATAGTGCCTCAATAAACATATGTGTGCACGTGTCTTTATAGCAGCATGATTTATTATCCTTTGGGTATATGTCCAGTAATGGGATGGCTGGGTCAAATGGTATTTCTAGTTCTAGATCCTTGAGGAATCACCACACTGTCTTCCACAATGGTTGAACTAGTTTACAGTCCCACCAACAGTGTAAAAGTGTTCCTATTTCTCCACATCCTCTCCAGCACCTGTTGTTTCCTGACTTTTTAATGATCGCCATTCTAACTGGTGTGAGATGGTATCTCATTGTGGTTTTGATTTGCATTTCTCTGATGGCCAGTGATGATGAGCATTTTTTCATATGTCTGTTGGCTGCATAAATGTCTTCTTTTCAGAAGTATCTGTTCATATCCTTTGCCCACTTTTTGATGGGGTTGTTTTTTTCTTGTAAATTTGTTTAGGTACTTTGTAGATTCTGGATATTAGCCCTTTGTCAGATGGGTAGATGCTAAAAATTTTCTCCTATTCTGTAGGTTGTCTGTTCACTCTGATGGTAGTTTCTTTTGTCTTTCTAACCCACTAAAGCATCCTTAGAAACACGAAGAAGCTTATCTTCTTAATTCATTATATAATAAAGGTATTAAATTACTGATTTTTCACTCCATTACTTTAGCAGGCTGTAATTACACGCCTAAAAAACTGGTTACCTAATGCAGTGGTTTTGGATTCTGGCTGTGCTTCGGAATAACCACCCTCAAGATACAGCACAGCAGCCCTGCTGCAAATCATAGCATAGCCTACTCAATAAATCTGATTCAATGGTTTAGGGTGGCTATAGGGAGTTTATAAAACAAACTCTACAAAGATTCTGAAACACAGAGTTAAAGTGACTTAGGGTTTTCATCTTTATCCTCTGGCTCAACTGATAAACTAAATGACAAATTAATCTAAACCTGACATTTCTAAAAATATAAATTGTTCACAATATAAAAGAACTTACAGTGAGGTACAGTACAATGAATGTCAGATACCTTTAGTACAGGCTCTATCAAGACCTAGCTTAATGTCCTTGAGCTTTAAATTTCCTGGCTACAAAACAATGCAGTTGTTCTGAGTCAGTGTTTTGTAAAACTGTGTTCCAAAGAGGTGTCTTAGTAGTCAGGAGAGAAGCTGAACAGAACTGTAAGATAGGCACGGTGAATGGGCTCTGCTTTGATCTGCTTATACACATATATAAATACATATATTCATATATATGATATTACATTTGAAAATAAGTCCCACTGTCACACAGAGATTTGGAAACCATACTTCAAGATCTTGAAATGTGAGCCATCTATGAAGTATACTGTACTGAACACATAGAAACACATTTTCAGATATAAAACATTTCTATCACTACAGAAAATTCTACTGAGAAGTCCTTCACCTGAAAAGTAACTGTGTTGTTGGATCAGAAGATCCCTAAGATTTCTTTCAGATTGAAAATTCTACCATAGTACTTGAAAAAACGCTGGGCGCAAGTGGCTCACGCCTGTAATCCCAGCACTTTGGGAGAACAAGGCAGGGAGATCACTTGAGGCCAGGAGTTCAAGACAAGCCTGGCCAACATGGTGAAACCCCATCTCTACTAAAAGCACAAAAATTAGCTGGGCGTGGTGGCACATGCCTGTAATCTCAGCTACTTGGGAGGCTGAGGCACGAGAATCTCTTGAACGCGAGAGGCAGAGGTTGCAGTGAGCAGAGATCGCACCACTATACCCAAGCCTAGGCAACAGTGCAGGACTGTGTCTCCCCCCAAAAAAAGAAAGAAAAAGAAAAACATACATTATTGATCTATGTACTCTTAATCATCTTAGTAAAACATTGAAAAAAAAATTGAAGAACTGAAGTGAAAGAAAATGCTACTACTAGAAAAAAAAATATTTTTAGACTCTGGAAAGCCACTAGGACTTTAGTCTGAAAATGCTTTGTAGATTTTTGTCTAGCAGAAAACTACAGAGATCAAGGAAGTAATAAAAATCTACACGGAGAAAAGTCTGAAAAATTCTTAGGTAGTGTCACATAAAGGTATATAGAAACATTCCCACTCTATTAACTTCTTTGAGCTGCACATCTCCCTTCAGTAAGGAGAACACATACTTAATCTATGTTCCTCTTAAAAGATAATAAACCAAATCCCAAGAAAGAAAATAATGAATACATGGCTGCAGAGTTAAAGGAAAAGAGCTACAACAAATCTTATTGATAGTACCTCGGAAGCAAACACCAAAGCAGACAAGCATTATCATGGACAAAAATGCCAAGTTCACTAATAACAGAAGAAATTTACTTAACAAATATTTATATTGTATACTCACACTATACTGTACAAAGCATATTAGGTGCTACAAAGTTAGTATGTTAGGTGCTAAAGATGCAAAAAAAAGGGTCAGCTTTCAAAAGGCCCACAACAGCGGTAGTAGCTAAGTCAGTTCTGGACCAAAAAGCACCCAAATGACCACATTCTAATGAGAAATGGAGAAAATTCTACAAGGGAAACCAAAATACTAACATCCCTCTTTCACAAGCCCTAATTACAAACCTTAAAAACAAAGAACAATGCAAGAATTCAGTTACTACTATCCACCGGAGCCCCACATATGATGTACCTACCTCTTTATTTCATAACCAATTACATTATTAGGAATTTTCATGTAATTTGTAAGAGAATCAGGTTTAAAAAATTCTGTCTGCAAGCTACAGTAAAGTGCTAATAAAACTGTGAAGGCAAGGATTCAATTCCCATAGGAAAAATCCCATGATTATACTATCCTTCTAACTCTGGACAACCACTTCAACGGACGGCCCACTAAAATTAGGCAAGCGAAGTATGGATAAGCAAAAACAAATGGCATTAAAGAAAAAGAATTTGTTTTATGCACAATTCCTCAGAAGCAAACACTAAAGCAGTAGGTTTTTAAACATTTGTTTGACTTCCTCTGTGCCCAAAGGGCACTAGTCATTTTTCAAACTGTAATGTGTACAATTTATTTCTAATAGGTTATGTACATTTCACAATTTTTTCCCAATATTTTCTGACAAAACAGGAAATTACAACTAAAATTCACTATAATTTTTCCATCTTTCAACATTTTAAGATGCCATAGGAGTTTACTATAGGAGAAGTCAAATATGTAATTAAATCATACAAACTAAATGGAAAGGATTACCAA